>NC_000003.12:188705574-189955574 GCF_000001405.40 Homo sapiens | reverse complement strand
GGCACTCAGATTTGCTGATTGGAGGATCTGGGTGAGGATCTGATTTCTGTTTTCTGGCAACAAGGCATCAACATAGAAACAGTCTTTGTTTGGCTCCTTAAAGTTCCCACTTCCTGGGTGCGATGGGCACTAGGGGAGGGGCAGGGACTTCATCACTGATTCTTATATTCAGTCCCACAGAAAGTGGGTGAAGGCCGAATAGATGTTGTGTTAGAGCCACATCTTGTGCCATTTGCTGACAACACAGGGTAGTTATTCTTGTTTTGCCGGTTAACCATGTTGCTTTACACCTGAAACATCATGTATACACTAAAGCATTTACTTCTTAATCTGCTCCACATCAAACCATACATAATTTCATTCAAATATTTAGGGAGTGTCATCAGACAACTTAAAAAAAAGTGAAGCTTAGAAATTGCAGTTCGTATGGCACATAATCCCTTGTGTAGAAGGATGGAAAAGCCCATTAGGACATTTGTTGCTTTTACAGCTGAAGGAGGGCGTAGAAATCACAGTTCAATTTCATCTTTCTTTTTGGGTAGAAAGTGAGGCTTAGAGGTGGTAAAGATGATCCCATGGTTACAGAATTTGAGCAACAGAGCCAGAGCTAAAGCCAGGACTGTTGAACTTGGTTATGCAAGAATGCCTGTGGGAGTGTACATGGGGGCTGGAACCCTGGCACAGGGCTTTGTCCAGCTGGTGGAAGGGATGTCTTATTCTATTTGCCCAGAGATGGTACTTGCTTACCAATCTATGGACCTGCAGGGCTATATCTTTCCAGAAAGGGTGTCTTTTCTAATTCTCACGAAGTGCTGAATGTGCTTGAGTCAGCCTAGGTTAAATAGTCCAATGTGTATGAATAGTACATCTCATCTGTGTTATCTGAGGAATTACCGTTGGTCTTGGTGATGATCCTTCCCTTGTGTGAAAAGTCTGCAGCTCACAAAGCTTTTATTTTCACCTATATTATTGTTTTGAATGCTTATGACACAGAGCATGTTCACACACTGGGAACCCCAGGAGGTATTCTGGGCATGGATCGTGATGTCCATTTTGCAGATGAGGACATGGAGAGCAGTGGAGAGAGGTGATTACCTGGGGTCACGTGGCTCAGAGTGTCCAGGTCTGAGCTAGAAGCACAGTCTTTTGGGTCAGAAGGGAGAAAAGAGCACCAGGGTTGTTGCTCCCCTGGCCGTGCTTCTAGGCATATTAAATATAAAATAATAAATGTGAATAAAAAAGTCTGATTTTACCAAATCAAGAAAACCTTTTTCTCCTCTTTTATTTTCCTGCTGAGGGATGTATGTTGGCATACTTCCTCTTCTCTCCTCTGTGATATATTGAATACGAGTTGTATTATTCAATTTGATTCAGCCCTATTTTTAAAGACATACCTTGAGCCTTGAACTGCTTTTATGAAGCTCACAAAAGGGAAGAGGATTCTAGTCAGGTATCATTTTTCTCTCCCTCAAAGGCAAAAAGAATCTTGAACTTAAATTTCTTCTTTAGAAAAATCTGACACAGGACAGAGTGATACTGTGGATGGGCGAAGTGCTTTCTTCACAGCCCCGAACCTACATTGTTTGACAAGGAAATCTCAGTTTTAACGCACTCTTAAGACTTTTAATGCACTCTTCATCATTGACATCATAACATTTTTGGCACTTCCTCAGCTGAGGAGAAGCCATGGAATGAGTCAGTGCTATTTAATAATATATACCTGTGAATTTTAATTGAAGTACAAATGCTGAATTATTTCACACAAGAGAACCACAGGGAATGACTCCCTCACTGACGTCAAGAAAGGAGGTAATGGGGGCCGCCTCACCAGTTCCTTATGCCAAAGCATTGAACATTCTGAGCTGACTGACAGTGGTATGGCTGAGAAGTGGGAAAATGTTGACCTGTTCCCACATCCAGAGCACTTTAGGGAAACAGGAGCCATTGGCAAAAACTCCAGACCACAAGTCCGTGTTACAAGCCCTCTCTGCCTCCTGCCAAGAAGGCTGTGATGTGAAATGACGTCTCACATAGTTCCAACTGCCCACCCACAAATCCTCTACTCCCTGATAATTTGATGTTTCCAACAGGAGGCATATAGACTTTTTTTTTTTTTTTTTTTCTCCTGAACCTGGTTGATTTCTTCAAACACATCAAAACAAGTAACATCAGCCACTCATTGAGCTCACTGCTGGGTTGGAGCTGCAGACTCATTCTGTCAGAGCTTCCCCTTTACCTCCTCCTCCTTGTAATTCACAGTGTTTTCTGTGCCCACTGCTGACCTCCGAGGCTGGGCAAAGCCAAGTTGGGAACAATCTGACTATTGATTCTGTTTCACTCTACAATGGATGGCATCAGCTGTAAAAAGTTGGGTTAATGAGGCACCTCTGGCTTCAACTATCTTATTAAGGGCCCGCAATAAAAATAACCAAACAAGATGTTCCTATCATTTTTTTTCCAGACATGTTGCTGGGGAGGAAAATCTAAATGAATGCTTCGTTTAGTCAACATATGACACATGTTTTCTAGTCATTTTATATGGTACATTTAGGAGAAGGGAGAACAAAAGGTGAATAAGACATGCTGTACCCCCTCTCTTTATTTTGGTAGAATGGCCACAGAGGAGAGCCAGGGTAGCCTAGAGTTTGACAGTCTTTCTACCTTAACAGTCCCTTTTATAATTATCTGATATCTTCTGCTTTTGAAGGACGAATCAATTTCGAATAGATAAGGCCACGTGCCTTCTTGATTTGAGCCTCATTTCAACAGTGAATTGAGTGTTACCTATATATATGGGAATCTTGCCCTGGGCCTCTCTCATCAGACCTAGGTGCCTTCCCGCATGACGGCAGCGTGATGACATCGGTCCTAATAATCTTATCCAGACCCGAGGTAAACCCTCCTCTCTTATTCCAAGTTTATGTTTTTACCTCTGAGTTACTACCTGGTGGTGGGTGGAGGTAGAAATAGGGAATGGACAATAAGCATTACCTGGTATGTCTCATCTCTTTCCACTTGTTAATCGTATATTCCATTGTTTCAAAGGTTGTAATCGTGGTTGGCTTTATAAAGCTTTTTTATGGTCTTGAAGCACGTAGCAATCATATGTAACTACATAATTATCTTGAGAGACACGTCAATGCCATCTTCATTGTGTAAATGGGAAAAAACAAACAGGCACAGAGAAGGTGATGTCGTAAAGCCCTGGTCATGTATGAATTCATTTCACAGAGAGTTTTTGAGTGGCCGTGCCGTTGTAGGCTTAGGGAGGCATTTAAAGATGAATAAAATGTTATCCCTTCTTTTAAGGAACTCAAAGTGGAAAAAAACAGATGTAAACAAATGATCAACTTAAAGTAAGGTGAATGTTACGGCAGAGGATTGTGATAGGGGTAGGAGGAAAGGTCATGCAAGTGGGAAAGGAGTGGTTAGTGGTAGGGAAAAGTTGGAGAGAAGGTGACAGGTGAGCTGGATCTGGCCTGACTGATCTGCCACCAATACGTGGGAATGAGCCACTTAACCTCTCATTGCATCACAGTGTCCTCAGCTGAAAAGTGTTGCATTTGAACTGAATGATTTCTTGGGTTCTAAAGGACTGAGCCTTCGGAGAAAATGAGAGTTCAGAAAGTTGGTGTTTTGGGGTGGAGTGGAATGAGATAGCCTTCGGAAAGCAGTTTAATGAATGCTGTGAAAATCTTAATAAATACCAGTTAAAGAGTAAGTTTTATTGTATTCACTTGCAAGGGAGGTATTATTCAAGTGGGTAGTGTGAAAGCCCTGAAGGACTGAGCTTCCTTCTGAAAAGCAGAGGAGTAGCTACTATCAGAAATAGCTGACGTGAATTCATCGTTGAGACTAAAGTCAATGGGCTCTACCAGCAGCATATTCCTCTGCCCATAAGTCCATGAAACTTTCTACCCTACATGACCTGGAACTAATCTACTTCACTCAAATTATTAGACTTTCGTATCAGAAATGGGAATAATGACAATATTGCAGCACACAGGTATGTTGTCTGAAAAGCCTAGCATTTGGTAAACTCAGTCAGTCTTTTAATAAAACCCGAAAGCCATGTAATGCTTTACTAATGACATCTTTTCCAATGTCAAACAAGGAACAGAAGGAATCATTGAAAGAAAACCATCTCCAACAGGAGTTAATTGGAGCAATTTACCTCATTTAAAACCAAAGGGTCAAATAGGACATAAAGCAACAAGCATCCAATCACCCTTTTTGTTCTCTGTACCTGTTTTTTGGTGTGTTAAACTTTGCAAATGCCTTTGAAGGTCTTAGGCAATCAGACTACTTAGATTTAGAATAAATTATAGAGTCCCTGAGGCTCAGAAGCTGACTTCAAGGCTTCCGGTCACTGGAGTAATATTCTGGTCTATCACGATAGTCCAGTGTTTAGCAACATTTACTGAATAGATGCTAGAATTTTTATTATATTTCAAGTTCAGAATTTCAGGACTTTTTTTTCACAAGGTAATATGAACCAGAATTATATTTCTTTGAAGTTAACATTGGTTAATTAAATAAAGACTACTTGGAGATTTTCAACCCTTCAGCATCCCAGATAAAGGTGTAAACATCTTTTAGGACAGCTGGATTCTCAGTGGTCTTAATCTGCAATTTATTCTAACTTTAGCTACTTAGTATTAAGTAAAGAACAGGCATGGGCGGTATTGTTGAAGCTCCCTTGCCTAGACAGAGTAAAGATTTCTGGGAAAGTAGTCCACTTCATCGTTTAGCATTGGGTTCACTAAGTTTTTCACGACATCCCAATAGATGTGATGATTATTCTCATATAGTGGAAAAAATAAAACACCAGAATAGATAAATAATTTGACAGAAGTCAAAGTCAGTAGATGTCAGTTCCTCGAGTTAAAAAAAAGTTGCTGAACTCTCTAAGAAGATTTTGCAGTTTTGATGTTTTGAATAACTAGGAAGCAGTAGGAATTATTATGAGCTTATCTGACACTAGATCTCACCCACTCCCCCACACTCCAGTGCAAATCCAGAAGGAGGCGACATCTTCAGCAAGATGGCTGCTGCCACTGCTCTGAGTTGGTTAGACATGATTAAAGCTCTGTCTAAACATGCCCTGGTTTCCTCACAGGGAGCACTTTCAGCCTTCTCTGAACTTCCAGGCCGCAGGGCTAAGCACAGGGTACAGATTTTTCCTTGCAGACGTTTGGCTTCTGAGTGATGTTTTTTTTGTCTCTAAGGGTAATAAAAGTACATCAGATGTTGCTCCCTGTACCAGAAAGTTTGCTTTGAAGAACGCGTGAGCCGCTTCAAAGGCTAGGCATGCTGCAGAGATGGCTGTCCCCGGAGACTGTGAGCTATCGGGGTGTGCCTATTAACTAGGGACACGTTGCCCACCAAGCCACTTACCAGCTAAAGGCTGATTGTCAAAAATGTCAAATGTGACAAATTGGCGTGCCAAAACTGAAAACTGCCCTACCTTCAGAATCAGCATGAAATAAACTATCATGCCTTGAACTCTGTGGTCAAAACATGTCATTTATGTGTAGAAGGATTTACAAATTAAATAGAATGATATTTGAATGACCATCAACGTCAGCACAGAGGGCTTTTCATTATTGATCTGAGGTCAACGTTTAACTCATCAGAGCAGGCTAAACAGGGAAGATCAAGTCCATGGTAGGGACCCCAAGGAAGAATCATAGCCACAATTGTGCTTTGTATTTATAGCTTAGCAAGTGAACGACACTGCAAACAACTGACTCCAAGTTGGAAGGGACCTTAGAAAGCACCTGACCTTATGCCCTTTATTTTAGAGGTGGAGAAATGTGAGTTACTCAACTTTACTGAAATGTTAGTGGTAGAAATATGGACTCAAAACCAGCTCCTCTGACTCCTAGAGCGGCAGACCACACTGAGAAGCTATGGAATTGCAGAGAAGAGTGCAGACTGTGTTACCATGGACTTGCAGCCCTTTCTGCCTTTTACTGGCCTTTAACGCACATCTGTTCAGTGTCTTTATCTATAAAGAAAAGGCTGGTAATATCTATTTCATAAGTTATCTAGAGATTTCATTGGCCAGGCATGATGGCTCATGCCTGTAATCTGAGCACTTTAGGAGGCCAAGGCTGGAGGATCACTTGAGGCCAGGAGTTTGAGACCAGGCTCGGCAACATATGGAGATACTGTCAGGAAGGGAAGGGGAGGGGACGGGAGGAGAGGGGCAGGGAGTGGGGGAGGGGAGGGGAGGGAAGGGGAAGAGAAGGGAAGAGGGAAAGAAGGAAGGAAGGAAGGAAGGAAGGAGAAAGGAAAGAAAGAAAGGAGAAACAAAGAAGAAAGAGAAAGAAGAAAGAAAAAGAAAGAAAGAAAAAGAGTAAGAAAGAAAAGAAGAAAGATTAATTGAGATTATAAAAAGAGAGCCGAACACATAGCAGGTAATCATTAAAAGACAATGACTTGTGACTATATCAGAACACCTAAAATGAAGGAAAATGAATAGGACTGTGAATTCTCTGGCAATATTTCACCTGCTCTCATGACTTTTTTTTTTTTAGTGCATTATCCCTTGATCAACCTCAGAACCTTCAAGGTTAATTTTCATACAGTTACATTTAGAAATAGTCTGATCATATATAACACACTTATTGCTAGGGCAGGGGCACAGGAGAAGAGAAACTTGTTACAAAATTACAAAATTGAGAGTGTTTGAACTCCAAGCTGGTTGTCAATCAGCAGTCCAGAAAAGAGAGGCTTGTCTTGTCTGCAGCCACCTCATTTGGTCCTTCTGACAGCCTAGCTTTCTGTCTGCACTGTGACATTACAGCTACTTTGTTTGTGCCAAGCACCTTGAAAGACACAATTTTTACCTATTTCCTTTTACTGAGCTTTCTGTCACTTGCTTTTCAACTGTGTAAAAAACAGAATCGTTAGTCAGCAGCAGAGGGCACTATTAGCATATTTTGCTGTGAGGGGTTAAAAATAAAAAAGAAAGATGCCTCTATGCATTCATTCATTCGTTCATTTTAGCAAGTCTTGATTTAACATCTACTATGTTCTCAGCATTTAGAGAAATGCTAAACAAGCATGAGATGTTGCATTTATAGTCCAGGTGGGAACATGATATGAAATGATACATGTGGTACATGCCTGAATGCAAAGGGTATATGTTTTGGAGGTTTTTGAGGACAGCAGAGTTCAGTTCGGTAGGCTAGTGTGACCCAGGAAGTATTTGGCAGGAAGTTAGTCTAGAGTTGTTTCTTAAATGACGAGTATGATATGGAGTGGTAAAGATAAAATATATAAAAGATAAAATAGACAACATTAAAAAAATCAGTAAGTCATGCATTGCCATGAATATCAACACTAATTGTTGACAACCACTACCCTGACAAGTATTACTTACCTCTACTGCTTATAATAGTCATCGTGGCTCACACGGGTAGCTGCTTTCACAACCATGATGTCATTTTGCCCTTGCTGTAATCCTGTGACTTCAGCTCTATAGGTATTATTATCCTAATTTTACTATGAGAAAATCAAGGCTTTTAGAGGGAAAGTGACTAGCTTAAGCTCACACAGTCACTAGTACTGCTGGGATCCAAAACTGGTTTTCCTCCCTGCTACTGCAGCAGGAAACCATAAATTTGTAACATAGACTCCTCTGGAAAAGAGGGTTTGGGATGTGAAATTAAAAGGAAAAGTCACAGCTGTTAGGCTACCTACAGGTTACCGAGGGCTTGATCGAAAGCTAAACTGAGGCATTGGGGCTTGATCCTGTAAACCTCAGGGAGGATTCTGAAGTTTGGGAGAGCTCGACACAGGTGGTTATAGATTGTAGTTGTTAGATTAACAAAGTCAGCCTGAGAAGGATTGGAGGAAAAAAGGTCAATTGTCAGGGATACCAATAAAGCAAATGTTACACTAATCAAGAGTTGAGTGGGAGGGAATTTGGGAGTAGTCTGCCCCAGTGGGAAGGAGATTTTATCTTTGTCATTGTCTATAGTTGCTGGCACATAGAAATAATACAAGGCAGGCTAATTTCGAATTGGTTTTGTATTGGTTTTAGACCTCTAAAGACAACACCTCGTCATTGCCTGCACCCAGGGGTATCCAATCCTACTGATTGCCTAGCTTAGTCCACCACTGCCAAGGCACATGTGAGGAAGCCTGAGGCAGGCTGGCAGCCGTGGAACTTGCGGGTAAAGGACTAAGCAGAGACATCCTGAAGGAAAAACAAATCAGAACTTGGAGGCTGTCAGAGTCACCAAGAAGAAAAGATAAAAATTATGTCTCTGAGCTGTTGAGCCTAAGAAAATAATGATGTCAGTGATGCAAGCAGAGAAACGAGGGAAAACATCAACTAGTTTCATAGGGAATTTGACCTTATTACACAGAAGGACTCCCAAGTAGCAACTGAACACTTAGCTGGAATGTTTTCGTATAAATGTATTTCCTACTCTGTTTAGTGATTTCTTGCTTGTCATCTTTTTCTTTACCTGAAAACTTATAAATTACTTGTAATAGCTCTTCTACAGGTAAATTAACAGAGGTGACAGGTAACACTGAGTTGTTAGTGCTAACACTCCTTGCTTAAAACCCTTCCAATGATGTAGAAACAAATCCCAGCGATCTTCTGGCTTCCTCGCCGTACGCTGGTGCCCTTGCCTACCTCCTCAACCCTGCATGCTGCCACTTTCCTCCTCTTTATTCCCTACCCTGTAGCATGGCCCTCTCTTGTCTCTCAGATGTTTACATTCAATTCTCTCTGCTGAAAACACTGTCCTCCCACCACCACTCTGGTTTCACCAGGAAACTCCGACCGTGGGTGGTCACCCATCCCACTTTCCCTGGGACCGAGGGGTCTGAAAACCAAACTTGGACAGTTGGTCACTCTACATCATGTTGTGGCTTAGGTCTGGAATATTTCTTCCTCTAGGAAGCCTTCTCTGATGCCATGTACTCCTAGGCTAAGTTCGGTCTCTCTGCAGAGTAGTCCAGACCCACCCTTCCTTACCCTTCTCACACCCCTCATTATTGAGTTTATATTCATGTCTTCTGCTGTCCATGGTAGTGGACTTTGTGCCATCACCACTCTCACCATCTTCGTCTAAGCCACCATCATCTATCTCTCTGCTGAATTACTGCAGTGTCCTCCTAACTTTTCTTTTTGCTTCCACTCTTGTCCTCTTTCGGTGTATTCTCAACCAAAAAGCCAGCGGTATCCTTTTAAACATAAATTAGCTTATGTCATTCCTCTGCTCAAACATCTTTCATTGGTTTTGCATCTCATTGGCTAAGTCATTAGAACAGCCACCAAGACCTGAGGCAGCTACCTCTCTGTTCTTATATCCTATATACTCTCCCCTTGCTTAGTTGGCTGCAGTGGCACTGGCCTCCTTACTCTTCCTAGAACATGCCTGTTGCCTAGCATGCTCCAGCCTCAGGGCTTTGCATTTACTGTTGTTTATGCCTGAGCCATTCTTCCCTCAGGTGTCTACGTGGCTCATTCCCCATGTCTATCTAGTTGAGATCAAAGATCACCTTCCTGGGGAGGTCCGCCATGACCTCTCTCTACAACTGAACTCCTGCAGTCAGCATTCTCACTCCCTCTCTCTGCTTAATTTTTTCTTTTTTTTTTCTTTATTTTATTATTTTTTTTGAGACGGAGTTTCACTCTTGTTGCCTAGGCTGGAATGCGATGGTGCAATCTCGGCTCACCACAACCTCCATCTCCTGGGTTCAAGCAATTCTCCTGCCTCAGCCTCCTGAGTAGCTGGGATTACAGACACGTGCCACCACGCCTGGTTAATTTTGTATTTTTAGTACAGACGAGGTTTCTCCATGTTAGTCAGGCTGGTCTTGAACTCTCGACCTCAGTTGATCTGCACACCTCAGCCTTCTGCTTATTTTCTTCATAACCCTTAATATCATAACTTCCTACTTATGTGTAATCTAACTTGATTTATTGACTACCTCCTTCTGCCCAGAATAAAGTTTCTAAGACAAGAGTTCCATTCATTGCTATATTTCCACAGTTTAAAATATTACATGACACAGATAAGAAATGCATAACTATTAATTAAATGAGTAATTAATTAATGTACACACAATTAAATGAAAGAGTGAACAAACACATTGGAAAGGACAACTGACTGAAAGTCACAAATTTTAGCTTAATCACTCAGGATTTGGGAGGCTCTGAGAAAATTACCCTCTAACTCAAATTCTTAATTTCTCCAACTAAAAAATGAAGGCATTAGTCTCAATACTCTTTGAGAATACTATAAGTAATGGTACTGTCAAAGTCTAGGAGCCAATAATAAGTATAAACTAGAATCCAAATTTGTTGCTAAACAGGGTCCGAAAGCAATAAACAATAACAAGGGAAAGAGAAGCATTGTGCAAATTCCAACTGAGAAAAAAATATATACAAGAAACATGAGAATTCCATATGTGAGGAAACACACAAAAGGCAGGTGACTGGGGCAAGCTGACACAGTCAATTTGTTACAGGGCTAGGATTGAACCTCAGCCCAGGGATATGTTGCCCTGGCAGCCTGGAAGAGAGAGTCAGTCCCCATCTGATTACAAAGCCCTGCACTGATACAATTTGTGACGAGAACACTGCCTGGAAATCTTTCCTCGTACCCGCCTAATGGCCCCCAGAGTGGGTGGATTCTCGAATTAGTCATATGAGAACAGAAGGCTTAAGAGAACACACATCTAAGTTCTAGGCTGTTCCACTTAGAAGAGTATCACGTCTTCGGAAATGGAAAGCAGTGTCACCGTGCGCACAACTTTCTGCCTACTGCAACACTGTCTCCGGTGGGAGCAACAAGCTGGCCACCATTTTAGGGCAAAGGGGGAGGGTGGAAGGGACTGGACTGGTAAATTTGAAACAGACACTGTAAGCACTACAGCTGCCACACCCTGAGTGCGAGGAACAAGACCGGTTATTCAACTTCCCCTGTATAGCTACTGTATGGAAACGATGCCCAGTAAGGTCAGAGAGTTATCCTGCAGTAACCAAACCCATGGTGTTGCACTGATTATCAGAGCGATCTGCTTCTGCCGTTGTGGTTGAGTAGGATTTTGCTGTTGTCACCTTGTTTGGTAATGCAGAGATAGCCAAGTGTTGCAGATGTAATTGTCCCTATTAAAATATCCTCTTGGCAGTTCCTGGTGTGTGTGTGTGTGTGTGTGTGTGTGTGTGTGCTCATGTGTATCTCTATGTGTTTACCAACCTCTTCAATCTTCACAGAGCAGCTCTGGGAACCTGGTTTCCACCTTAAGGAAGTAATCATAAGTGGGACTAAGATCCAACTAACAGATACCAAACGCCTAGTTCATGCTAGTCATTTTCTTGGACGTTTTGTGCTGATCTAAAACCTCGAGAGCCAGAATGATTGGTTCCATTTATAGACAAGAAAACTGAGGCTCAGAGAAGTTGGGAGGTAAATACTCAAGGCTCTACTGAGAGCAAGTTGTCAAGTCAGGATATAAGGATTTTAGGATTTGTCTGCCAGACACAGAAATATTTCGTCAAATAAAATCTTAGGCAGACTACCACTGTAAACAGCAGGAAAAATCAGAGCTTCTTGGGCTGAAGCAAGAGTCAGGAATTTGGAGCTCTCTCCGCTAACCCCTTCTCATCTTTCCCCATGGTCTTCCTAGAGCTCTGTGGAACACATCTGAAAAGGCTTGCTGGGTGAACTTGATTTCACTCCCAGCTCTAAAGTTCTATTAATCTAAGATTCGCAGAAGTTCCTGCTCATATCCGGATGTAGACTATTTACTCCTTTCTTTGGATGAGCACTCAGTATTCAGACCTCCGATATGGGAATCTGAATTTATTCACAGTTTACAGAATCATAGACTACTAAGAGTGGAAGAGACCGTAGAAATTAATAAAGCTGGTAACTCTACATTTTAACTATATGATAATCCTTTTTTATTTTCACTGAGTCATAGTAACCCAGAAAAAGAAAATGATTTTCCCGGGGCAGTCATCCAGTCAGTTGTCCTCTGTCCTCCAAAGAGGTGACATTTATAATATATAACAAGCAGTACATTCTCAACAACCAGAACAAATAAAGCATAGGGCAGGGGCCAGGGCCACAACCTGGATTGTGAGGAGGTCTCAAGGTTTTAAAGGAGGAACTGAGGAGGCTAGAGGCAGAGGTTGCTGTGGTTCAGGGGCTGGGGCTGGGGAAAGTGGCTATTTATGAATTGTCTGAATTTTGCCCTACTGCTGATGCTGCTTCCTTTTCAGAAGGGGACAAAAGAGGCAGGGAGGAGCAGATCTTCTGCCAGTCAAATGTCACATTAAAGAATTCCACCCAGATCCACACAGGTGCAGACACCTGAGGGGCATTGCCGTTCAGATAGTGCTGTCTCTGGTAATTGGGTTGACATCATCTAGCAGCCTTAGAGGATGTGAATCCTTTCCATGACTCCTGTCACCTTCTATCTGGCGGTGAAGACTGCAGGCTGGAACCTGAGTGATTATGCAAAAGCAGACACAGGGAACCTAGAAGATCACACTGCTCAATAGAGAGACTTTCCCCTAAGTTCCAATCCAAATACCCGAGGAAAAGCAAAGGGCTGAGACCCCACTTGCCTAGAAATGAATACAAGGAGGGAGCCAAGAGTCATTATGAAATTATGTGCCTATGGGAGTGGAAATCTCTCTAGTGGTCACTTCTTCCAACACCCCGTCTAAGGCTTGAATTTTCAGGATGAACCATCATCCCCGGCCCCAACCAGACTGAAAGATGCTTTGTTCCAGAATGAGCCTTGTTCTTCCTCCCTTCTAGATCTTTCTCTATATAGTCTTGTCTGCCTGCAAACCCTCCCTCTTTCCGTGCTTCCTTTGGGGCCTATCTTCTACTCGCCTTCCATGTCTCTTTTTAGATAATATTTTTTTTTCAAGCAGTTTTCTCTGGTCCTCCGAGTCTGCATTAGGTGCCTCTTAGATATACAACTATAGCTGTTGGAACTTCACACATGCAGCATTTATTACAATCATGTTTTCATCACTCTCTCTTTCCTGGACTATGAGCTACATTGGGATGGGAGGGATTGGTTCTGTTAAAATTTTAACAGCAGCTCCCACCACGGGGCCTAACCCAACAAGAGCATTCAAAAAACATGAATGAATGAATGAATGAATGAATGAATGAATGAATTGCTATATCTTGACTACCGATAAAGTGTTTACATTCAAAATCCTATAATCATACCATACTTATGACAAAGATAACATGTTTTATGATTATAAGAAGTAATATTTTAATTTTCATTTTATGAATGAAGAAACAGACTCAGAAAAGAAAGCAATTGATATGTATTTAGCACACATGTGAGCCATTTATTGTCCTAGATGTTTTCAAATCTTTTATTATTATCCTCACCCTTATTTTAATCACTCTTTAGAATTTATTTGCTTTTAAAATGTGTATACAGTACAATTCATTATTTTCAGGTTCACTTCTATGGGTCACAAATGCGTGGAGCTGTGAGACCACCACTGTAATCATGACACAGAACTTTCCTCCTCCCACCCACCCCGCTGCCCTTTGTGTCATTCCCTCCTGACTCATTCCTGGGCAATCACTGGTTTGCTCTCCACCCCTACAGTTTGTCTAGACACATTTTTAACAAATAAAAAAGCAAGGCTCAGAAAGTTTAAGTAACTTGCCCAAGGTAAGCAGCTAATAGGTGATTAGATTTAGCCTTTGAACCCAGCACTTCTGATTCCCTGTAAAGGCTGGAAAACATGAGTGTGGAGCCAAGGAAAACAGCTGTCACATTCTCTTGTCTACCTCCCACCTTCCATAGAGAGGCCTTTGTTCTTAGTGTTCTATTAGAGGCAAGGCAAACACGGCCTCATTACCAAAGGCAAAATCTGATAAAGTTCCACCTCTGATCATCCACTAAGTGCTGAGGGAAGACTCTGTTCCTACCTAGCAGAATAATCTGAAAACCATTATGATCTGCAGCCTGTTTAGCTGACTATGGTGTAAGGCATTGGTCTTTTTCCAGTTCCCTCACTTATCTCCAAGAAAAGAGGGCTCTGAAAGGAGGTCACTGCTAAACATCTAGCCTCCCAATTCACCAGCTTCCCCACTAAGGCCCGGGGGCCCTTTGCTAGACATAGGTAAGACCACAGGTGGGCCTTGCTTGCACAAAGTGGATGCTGCTGCTAATTGGGTTGATGTAATTAACTGTCATTGTTGTTCACCCGGGAAGACAGCCATAGTCTCAGCACGAGCAGCCTATCTGGGCCAGCCTGTGGCAGCAAGCACAAATCTTATTGGAGCTCCAAAAGCAAACAGGTTTAGAGGCAGCTTCAAAGGTGAAGAGCTGGGCTGCCGCTGGGAGAAGGCCATTTCCCTGGGAGGCGTTGGCTTTGTAGGCCATGAGGGATAGAGAAATCATTTTATCTTCATCCTGCTTTTAATCAGGATGGCAGGATATTGGTGCCACTTTTGTTTAAAGATAATCTTTCTCTTTCCTAAATTAAAAAAAAACAAAACAACTTGTTTGAGGCTGAAGGAAAATAAGTGAGCTGAGATCTGCCCTAACAGAGGGAGAAAATAGCTATAGGCCTCCTCTTTCTACACTGGGCCCCACCACAGCTCCTTCTCCCCACCATCCTGAGACCCCAACTCTCTTTCTTCCCTAAGAAGATACCTTGAAAAATTATTTGCAATTCATGAAGGCTGAATCGCTCCCCATCCCCAGCCTTTAGGCTCACAGCCTTTGCTACAAAATGCCATCTAGCTGTACCCAGTTAAGTTAGATCTACCTGTGAGGGTTTCTCGGATCAGTAGCCCAGACATGTTAGGTGGGGGAGTCTCCAGAATTTGCATTCTGCATTCTCTGTAATAGACCAAACCCAAGACTCTAACACAAAACTAGGAACAGCAAATAGTGAAAGACATTTCACAGGCTATGGAAACCTCAATACTGTCCTGGTTAATAACTAGCTGTGGGATTTTGGGTGAGTTGTTTGTGTTCTGAACATCATCTTCCTCCTCTGTGCAATGGAAGAAATAATACCTATTTTTACTGGGTTGTAGAAAGAATAATGCATGTAAAGCGGCATACAGAACACATCAATAATAGTAATTATGATCATCCCATCATCACCATCACCATTTACTCAACAGAGTTTTGTTCAGACAACAATGTTTGGATATTTCTGCAAATTATATACCTAAGTTGTTCTCTGCCTTTTGCTGCCAATCCACAATATGATACAAGACAAGGAATGCTCCAGCCAATGTCCTGGATAGAACATTTGCCCTGAGAGCTTCTTCGTTTCTACCTTAGACTGGGTTACACACTAAGAAGTATATAGAAGGGTCCTCTCTCTCCCAGAGAGAGCCCAGAGCTCAGAGCCCAGGAGTAAGTGAATGCCACTAGCCCTTGCCTTTTTCTTCCACAGCCTACCTGGTCTCTTTGAACCCACAGAAACAAAATTCTCTCCTAAATAGCGGGCAATTTATGGTAAGAAAATCTCAAGAAACCACAGGCCAGCAAGGCAAAAATGAAAACCCAGATATCCTTTATTCTTGTTCTTCTCCAACTAGCTTTCCCAGTCTGGAGAGGTATGCCCTAAAGGTGGAGCCATTCCTTTGACTCAGGGTGGACATTTTTTCATCTCCTCCAATCTTTGCCTGTTTTAGGTAGAGTTCTCTTGTTGTGATGTCTGGGCATCAGAGGAGAGGGTATGAGGCCCACAGAACAGGTGTGTTCAAATCATTAAATGGGAGATAATTTGAACGCAGAAAACTACCTCTTTTTTTTTTTTTTTTTTTTTTTTTTGAGACAGAGTCTTACTCTGTTGCACAGGCTGGAGTGCAGAGGTGTGATCTTAGCTCACTGCAACTTCCGCCTCCCGGGTTCAAGCAATTCTCTTGTCTCCACCTCCCAAGTAGCTGGAATTACAGGCATACACCACCATGCCCAGCTAATTTTTGTATTTTTAGTAGAGACAGGGTTTCATGATATTGGCCAGGCTGGTCTTGAACTCCTGACCTCAGGTGATCCACCTGCCTTGGCCTCCCAAAATGCTGGGATTACAGGTGTGAGCCACCACGCCGGGCCAACTACCTTTTATACTACAGCTAACTACTAGTGTAGGATGGTTGATGTGATGATTCCCTTGTTGCCTAGTTTTGTGGATTTAAATGATAGAAGAGCTGCTCATCTTACAGTCATTTAAGCTACCTCATCCCTTTCCTTTCTTAGACCTTGGCAACCTGAAAATATGGGCATAAAAAAAAGGATGGGGATCAGGTAAATAATTAATTCCTGCGGCTGGGCACAGTGGCTCATGCCTGTAATCCTAGCACTTTGGGAGGCTGAGGTGGGTGGATCACCTGAGGTTGGGAGTTCGAGACCAACCTGACAAACATGGAGAAACCCCGTCTCTACTAAAAATAAAAAATTAGCCGGAGGTGGTGGTGCATGCCTATAATCCCAGCTACTTGGAGGCTGAGGCAGGAGAATCACTTGAACCTGGGAGACAGAAGTTGTGGTGAGCCGAGATTGTGCCATTGCACTCCAGCCTGGGCAACAAGAGCGAAACTCCATCTCAAAAAAAAAATATATATTAATTTGTAAGACAGTCCCTTGATACATAGAAATCCTGGCAGTAGCTCTGAAGTTAAAGGGTGTATTTTGGTGTCTTTGTCTACTGCATGTAGACTAACTTCTTATCACATTAATTCTTGGTATTTAAGGTTTAACCTTCAACTTAGGGCATTGAGCTTCTATTGACATTGCCTTCAAATTTCCTGCCCTTCTGTAGGGGCAAAAATTAAGGACTAAGAGAAATTTTAAGATCTACTCAAGATCACACATGAAGTCATCAGAACTCCTGATTCTCTCTCCATTCCTGAACTACTCTTCCAGCCGTCTTGCTATCTCAGATCCTCCTCCATAAATAAACATTTTAATTGTCACTTTTTTACTATATTAGGAACTATGTTATCTAATAAAAATAGAAAAGAGAAACACAAAAATATTAATACTAGTTATATCTAGATGATGGCATTAAATGTCAATTTTTTTGTTTTTCTTCCCATATTTTCCAATCTTTAACACTGAACCATTTATTAATTTTATCCTAGATATATGTATGTGTGTGTGTGTGTCTGTGTGTGTGTATACACAATTTATTTCATAAGGCTGCATACAGTGGTATACAAAAGTCCTTTAAATAGTCAAAAGACATAACCCATCTGAGTATTATTGCTACTCAGTTATTATTCAATCTCTTGACCACTCTGCAAACTGTTAGGCTTTCTCTCAAGCTTTTTCTGGAGAGCAACCCTAAACAAAGGTGTTAGGTTCAAGGATACTCAGAGATGCAGTCTGCCCTCTTCTAGCCATTTAAAGACAAAGTCACCTCAGCCCGTGCTTTCCTGTCACCAATGCGAAATGTAGCCAGTAGCACAGTCGTAGAATCACATCACACTCAATTTCGTGCTCTTGAGGTCAAGGCCCAGCAGAATGAAAGGAACTGGCAGGTGAGAGAACCTTGGGTGGAGAATAGAGCACTGAGTCATTAAATTCTCACCAGATGTTAACTGGAAGGCTTCGGCCCACCCAGTAGCCTTAGGCAAAGTCTCTTGGCCATTGTTTTCCCATCTGTAGGCTCTAATGCTGACCAACCATCCCCTCTGGCACCTTATAAGGGAAAGCTAATTAGAAAACTCATCTTGCAAGAATGCTGCAGAGAGACCTTTCACACATGGAGTGGAACCACAGTGCCTTGAGGTACTGTGACTCAGTGGTGTATCTGACTTCCAACACCCAGGCCTGATCATTCTCCAGCCAAAAGGAGGGTGACCTATCCAGCAAAAGCCAGGCAAATTCCCACGGGGCCAGTCACAAGGATAGGGCACGGGAGTGGCAGGTCCTCACAGTGCCCTAGAAAGCACTAATTACACCCATAGTCTCAGGAAGAGAAGGGAAGAGGTCAGCCAACTCATTTGCTCATTTGTTTATTTTATTAGTACCTATCGTCTGCCCCTAAATATATTATTCCCTCCTCATGTACCAAGGATTGCATTATTTGCATGGGGAAAACAAAGATGAATCAGATAGCTCTGGCCCTCAGGTCTACTTAGAGGGAAA
This sequence comes from Homo sapiens, assembly GCF_000001405.40. Classification (NCBI taxonomy): domain Eukaryota; kingdom Metazoa; phylum Chordata; class Mammalia; order Primates; family Hominidae; genus Homo; species Homo sapiens. The sequence goes on along the minus strand of NC_000003.12, from coordinate 189,937,436 downwards.
GATAAACCTTAAAATATTAAACACCTTGTAATCACTGCGAATGAAGGCATATACATGGAATGGAATAACATGGAATGACAAAGTCAGGTGTAGCTTAACTTGAGAGGGAAAGTGAAGGTTTACATGAGAATTAAATTAATTGTTAAGTGTAGAAAAATGAATAGGAGTTTGCCAGGCAGTGAAAAGCATGACAGCTAAGGGGATACATGTATATAAGTAAGTAAATAGGAACAGAAAAGATAGAATAAACAATCCAAGTGTTTAAAGTTCATTTCGTGCTCTAAACATTCCATAGATCTCAGCCATGTCATTCTCTAAAATTGTAATAAAAATTTTACCTCTGTTCACAGTAAAATTCTTATTTCCCAAGTAGTAGAGCACATTACAAGAGAGAGAACGGGAAAAAAGAGTTGAATAATCTAAGGCCTCCTTAACAAAACAAAACAACAAAACAAAACAAAACAACAAAACAAACAAAAAACAAACAAACCAAAAAGGTGCCGTGTCTTTTCTCCCAAGGTTCCAGGATGCTTTATCTTAGAAACAGTCAGAGGCCCTGCCCAAGCTGGCTCTGGGTTGTTCTTCTACTCCATCTGCCAACTTAATTATTTGATACACTTTTTCACTAGGATGGCTGGGAACCACCCAATAGCCATCTGTGTGTATGTGTGTCTTTTAAGGTTGCTATCCCTCATGTTTTATCTTCTGTTTTTATTTTTCTTATTTCCCAACTTCCCCTAGCCTTGGGTGTGTTCCTGTTTGGCCTCTGTGGGAGACACTCACGTGTCTCTCACTACCTTGTCAGTCTTGCTTTTTCCCCAATAATTTTCACCATTTCTCTCACCTCCTGAGACGAACCACTACAAGCAAAGCTGTGATATCTTTGCTCATTCCCTTTGCTTTGCTCTTATTTCTTCAGCTTAACATGACAAGGAAATAAAGTGCAGCCACAACGGCTGAGATGAAAAGGAGTTACATATTTTGGAGACAAGAGTGCCCTTCTTTTCCCTGGAGGCAAATGTGAGCACAGTGGTAGAGTCATCATCTTAACACATTGTTCTGTGCCCGGATCTTGTGTCATGTATAATGCAATAGATAGATTGTGCGGGCCTTGAAGTCAAACTCCTAAATGATTATGTAATATCATTCCACAGAGAAAGTAGAATCTCCTCAGGAGACTTATAAATATCAAGGTAGACATAGAAAGACCAGCAATGCCTTTGCAGAACATTCTTCTCTAGTATTTTGGTGCCTTTCTTCAGGAGCACAGATTTTGATGCATAGTCCATGGGCACAAACTTCAGCTTCTGTCCTGAGACTAGAAACGATCCACATGCACACTATTTTACTATTTTAAATTAACATAAATATGCCTTTGCCTGCAATTCCTTTCTTTTATTCTCAATGACACTACTGAGACATGAAGCCAGCTGGGCTTCTGGGTGGGGTGGGGACTTGGAGAACTTTTCTGTCTAGCTAAAGGTTTGTAAATGTACCAATCAGGGCTCTGTGTCTAGCTAATTGGGTAGGGGACTTGGAGAACATTTCTGTCTACCTAAAGGATTGTAAATGCACCAATCAGCGCTCTGTGTCTAGCTAAAGGTTTGTAAATGCACCAATCAGCACTCTGTCAAAATGGACCAATCAGCACTCTGTAAAATGGACCAATCAGCAGGATGTGGGTGGGGCCAAATAAGGGAATAAAAGCTGGCCACCAGAGCCAGCAGTGGCAACCCACTGGGGTCCCATTCTGCGCTGTGGAAGCTGTGTTCTTTCGCTCTTCACAGTAAATCTTGCTGCTGGTTTCTCTTTGGGTCTGCACTACCTTTATGAGCTGTAACATTCAATGTGAAGGTCTGCGGTGTCACTCGTGAAGTCAGCAAGACCATGAACCCACTGGGAGCAATGAACAACTCCGGCTGGACCACCTTTAAGAGCTGTAACACTCACTGTGAAGGTCTGTGGCTTCACTCCTGATGTCAGCAAGACCATGAACCCACCAGAACGGAGAAACTCTGGACACATCTGAACATCTGAAGGAACAAACTCCGGACACACCATCTTTAAGACCTGTATCACTCACCGCGAGGGTCCACAGCTTCACTCTTGAGGTCAGTGAGACCAAGAACCCACCGGAAGGAACCAATTCTGGATACACTACTACATCCATCCTTCTGGCAACATCACTTGAATAACATCATCCTTCTCTTTAAAAATCTTCGTTAGGTTCCCTCTGCATGCTATAGAGCCATCCGACTTAAAGTTTGTAGGCGTTCATCTAACTCTCCAACTTTATGTCTTAGTAGTCCCAGCCACATGTCCAATGCATATAGATTCAATGAAGTGCCTAAGGATCCAGGACACATGCACACCCAGCTGCTCACTGGAGACTGACTCATCTGTCCCTTTCTGCGTGGATTGCATTTCTTCTGAATCTCCAAAGAAGAACAGAAAACAAAACAAAATGGGGCTGTAATGTATGGATGACATTCCTTGGCTCTCCCCCATCCACTGTAACCATTCCACCTTTCAATATAATGCTAGTAACATTTTATCTGCATTTCTCATTTGAGTTCTAGCAACTTATCTCTGTCAATACCATTAAATTTTTCCCTTGTGAGTACAAAAGCAACTTGAGAGCAAGGATTTTGTCTGTCTGTTTTGTTCAATGGTGTATCCCAAGCACCCAGAATAGGGTTTGGAAGGTACTACATGCTCTATAAATAATTATTGAATCAATTAAATTAAATTTCATTAAATACCTATTGATCACCTATACTATGCTAGATATTGTGTTAGAGTTACTTATGTGCATATCTTATCTTTCCTAATTGACTGTGTGTTTCTCAAAGGCATAGAGAACATGGTTTATTCATCTCGAATGTACTTACCACAAGGCCTGCCTGGCACATGCTAAGAAGTTGGTAAACATTTGTTAAATAAATGACATAATGAATGAAGACATATCTTTATAGATAACAAACCTCACCCAATATCCTTTTATTTTGTAAAGAATTACTTTCTTTCTGCCTCTATTCTTCAGATTCCTATGACAAGGTTCTGCATTGCACTTGAATAGAAAAATCAGTAATACACATTTGTCCTGCCTTTGTTACTGCCAACATTTTCTACCAGTGCTTTACTCATACTCTGAGTATCCATTTCATTGCTTACTATGGGGTTCAATAAGTGTTAGTGGTGAAGGGGAGTGATCAGGGAAGAAAGAATTAAATTGATTAAAGAAGTCAAGAAAAAATAAAAATGCCATATCCACCAGCCTCACAAACTTTATTTATAACCCCTTTGTTTGCATAATAGATATATTTCCAACTATAATTTGTGCTATTTGAATACCTTGAATATCTACTGAAAATTTGCCTTGCAGTATAGAGAATTAGCTTTCAAACGGAGGATCTTGTTGTTTGGCCAATTTTTACATTGACTGTGGTTCCAACTTTAGAGTAGATCTCATAATTATAACAATTCTAATTTAACCATGTCTCAAGTAGTGTCTGGTGATATCCATAAAGACAGAGTTTAGTTTGATTCACCCGTGTGTTGCCATTAATTAGCCCAGTTTCATACACAGAGTGGGATCTAAATATGCACTTACTTATCACATGGTTACTTTTTCAGTTGATCAGTTGAGTGAATGAACATTTATTTAATGTTTTCCTATATGCCACACAGCTTGCAACATTCTGGGATAATACAAATTAAATATAACATCCTGAGTTCTTCATGTTAAAATGAATAAATCCACAATAAACTGCAAGTTATATGAAGCAATTTTATGATACTGTTAGAGCTACATTTTAAAATCCATAAATTACAAGGTAGTTGACACTCATGAACATAGATGCAAAAATCCTCAAGATACTATTAGCAAATGAAATGCAACAACCTACAAAAAGAATTATACATCATGACCAAGTGGGATTTATTTTAGGGATGCACGGCTATTTCAGCATTCACTAAATTAATTAATTTAATCCACCACATCAACAGGCTAAAAGCCTGGGCAACATAGGAAGACCCTGTCTCTACAAAAAAAGTTAAAAAAAAAAGTAGCTGGATACTGTGGCATGTCCCTGTAGTCCCAGTTATTTGGGAGGCCGAGATGGGGGTGTTTCTTAAGCCCAGGAGTTCTAGGCCGCAGTGAACTGTGATCACACCTGGACTCTAGCCTGGGTGACAGAATGAGACCTTGTCAAAAAAAAAAAAAAATTCGGAACATAGGCATAGGCAAAGAGTTTATGACTAAAACACCAAAAGCAACAGCAAAGAAGCCGAAATTGACAAATGGGATGTAATTAAACTAAAGAGCTTCTGCACAACAAAAGAAACTATCATCAGAGGGAACAGGCAACCTACAGAACGGGAGAAAATTTTTGCAATGTATCTATCTGACAAAGGGCTAATATCCAGAATCTACAAGGAACTTAAACAAATTTACAAGAAAAAAAAAAAACCCATCAAAAAGTGGGCAAAGGATATGCACAGACATTTCTCAAAAGAAGACATTTGTGCGGCCAACAAACATTTGAAAAAAAGCTCATCACTCGTCATTAGAGAAATGCAAATCAAAACCACAGTGAGATACCATCTCACGCCAGTTAGAATGGCGATCATTAAAAAGTCAGGAAACAACAGATGCTGGAGAGGATGTGGAGACATAGGAATGCTTTTACACTGTTGGTGGGAGTGTAAATTAGTTCAACCATTGTGGAAGACGGTGTGGCAATTCCTCAAGGATCTACAACCAGAAATACCATTTGACCCAACGATCCCATTACTGGGTATATACCCAAGGGTTTATAAATTATTCTACTATAAAGGCAGATGCGCACATATGTTTATGGCAGCACTATTCACAATAGCAAAGACTTGGAACCAACCCAAATGCCCATCGATGATAGACTGGATTAAGAAAATGTGGCACATATACACCATGGAATACCATGCAGCTGTTAAAAAGAATGAGTTCATGTCTTTTACAGGGACATGGATGAAGCTGGAAACTCTCATTCTCAGCAAACTAACACAGGAACAGAAAACCAAACACTGCATGTTCTCACTCATAAGTGGGAGTTGAACAATGAGAATGCATGGACACAGGGAGGGGAACATCACACACTGGGACTTGTTGGGGAGTGAGGGGGGCCAGGGGAAGGATAGCATTAGGAGAAATACCTAATGTAGATGACGGGTTGATGGGTGAAGCAAACCACCATGGCATGTGTATACCTATGTAACAAACCTGCATATTCTGCACATGTATCCCAGAACTTAAAGTATAATAAAAAAAAAAACTAAAGAAGGGAAAGATCATATTATCCTATCAATAAATGCAGAAAAAGCCTTTGATAAAATCAAATACCCATTCATGATAAAAGAATCTTTCAGCAAATTCAACACAATATTGAAAGAGAAGAACAAAGTTGAAGGACTGGCACTACCTAACTATAAGGCTTAATATAATGTTACAGTATTCAAGACGGTGAGTATTGGGAAAAAAAAAGAAAAAAGAAAAATAAGTAAGTCAACGGAACACAATAAAGAACGCAGAAATAAATCTGCACAAATATAGCCAACTCACATTTGACAAAAGCGCAAAGGCAATAGGATGTGTAAAAATAGTCTTTTCAATAAGCGACACTGAAACAACTGGACTCCCACATACAAAACAAAATGAATCTAGACACAGACCTTATACTTTTCACAAAAATTCGCTCAGAATGGATCATAAAGCCAAATCTAAAATGCAAAACTGGAAAACTCCTGGGAAACAATGTAGAAAATCCAGTTTACATTCGGTTTGGTGATAATCTTTTTTGTACAGCACCAGAAACATAAGCTATAAAAGAAAAGATTGATAAGTTGGACTTCATGAAAATTTAAAGCTGCTCTGTGAAAAACATGTCCAGAGAATGAAACTATAATCCATAGACTTAGAGAAAATATTTGCATAAGATTTATCTCCAAAGGACTGGTATACAACATATAGAAAGATATCTTCAAACTCAACAATAAGAAAACAAACAACTCAAATATAAAATTGTCATAATATATGAACAGTCATCTCACCAAACTAGGTATATAAGTGGCAGGTAATAATATGAAAAGATGCTAAATATCATATGCCATTAGGAAATTAAAATGAGATACCACTACATACCTGTTAAAATGGTTTAAATCCCAAACACTAACAACATTAAGTGCTGGTAAGAATGTGGAGCAACAAGAACTCTCATTCATTATTGATGGGGATGTCAATAGTACAGCCACTCTGGTTGATAGTTTGGTAGTTTCTTACAAATATTAATTAAATTAATATTAAAAAATTAAATACAGTCAGCCCTCAATATCCAAGGGTTTTGCATCAGCATATTCAACCAAACACAGACTGGAAATATTTGAAAAGGTAAAACCACTACAATAAAAATAACAATACAACAATAAAAAAATACAAATAAAAACATTACGGTATAACAACTACTTACATAGCATTTACACTATAATAGGTATTATAAGTAATCTGGAGATGATTTAAAGTATATAGGAGGATGTGCATAGGTTATATGCAAATACTGTGCCATTTTATATAAGGAACTTGAGCATCCATGGATTTTGATTTCTGCAGGGGGTACTGAAACCAATCCTCTATGATACTGAGGGATGACTCTTACCGTATGATCCAGCAATCATGCTGGTTAGTATTTATCCAAACCAATTGAAAACTCATGTCCACACAAAAACCTGCCCATGAATGTTGATAGCAGCTTTATTCATAACTGCCAAACTTGGAAGCAACCAAGATGCCTTTCAATAGGTGAGTGGATAAATAAACTGTGCTACTTCTATAAAATGAAATATTATTCAGCATTAAAAACAAAGGATCCATCAAGACACGGAAATGCCTTAAATGCATTTTGCCAAGTGAAAGAAGCCAGTCTGAAAGGCTACAACCTGTATGATTATAGCTTTACAACTTTCTGGAAAAGGTAAAACTATGGAGACAGTAAATAGATCAGTGGTTGTCAGGGAAATATGTCTGAGAAATATCATGAAAGAAACATTGTCGGTATTTGGCAGTCACTCGATTAAAGATGCATTTATAGCCTGAAAAGTTGTAGGAGTAGTAACAAGAACGCGAGGTGAAAAAGGTAGGAGAGGTTTTGGGTTTAGGCACCATATGGGTTATTTTATAATGTTATTTATTATTATTATCAGTGCTGATGGAAATTCTAGCAGAAGTCTGGCAGGGAGTTGAAATTGTGGGACTAGAAATGAAGAGAACTTTAAACACTAAAATTATAAATTCAGAAGTCACCTGCATAAAGCACAAGAGCTGGCTGATATTACACTCTTAATAAATGCATGTTAGTCAAAACTATAAAACTGTATGAGCTTCTTTAATATTGTGAAAGGAGAAGTAAAGGGGGTCAAAGACAAAAAGTTTGTGCTAAAAATTATCTTAGGGAGCAAAAAGATTTATCATCAGAGAAGACAAGATTAACAAGGAAGATGGATGATGAGGAGTGGGTTTTGGAAATGGGAGGAACGAGAAACCCAGACTCTTGATTCAGTAAAAGATGCGTGTATATGCATGAATCTATGTAAAGGTGGGCTTGGAATGACTCAAAGGCCATTGATTTTGACCCTAAACCACCCCATAGCTGGATCCTAAAACTTCAACATTACAGTAATCTCACATAGCTAGATAGATGAAATTATTATACCAGAGACTTGACTAAGAATAGTTAACTAGCATCATAACATTTAATTACCCTTCATCATAATCTGATAATTTTATATATATTTTTAATGATTTATGAGCACTGTCACAAATATTAAATGTAAGTCCTAAAATAAATCTTTGAGATAGATCTAATTCTCATTTTCACAGGTGAGAAAAATGAAATTCATGGAACTTAAATTACTAAGAACAGTCATGAGAATAAAACACAGATTTTCTGACATTATCCAATGCACTTGCTACTGTGTCACACTAACATCACCTTGCACAAAAGGGGGCCATAGAGTTCCTAACACAGTAGGCATCCTGTTGCAGATCCTGAAACACTGGGACATCTTCATAAGACAGAATGACAGGATAATATTTCAAATGAAGGGGGAAGTGTCTTGGGCATCCTGGGTTTCTGAAGAGTGATAATACAATCTAATTTGTAACAGTTTTCTGGTTTAGAGAGTGCTTTCTTAATTTTAACATGACATTACAAACTCCCAACACCTTATTAAATCAGAATTACTAGCTCCATTTTACAGATGAGGGAAATGAGATTCAGAAACAATATGTTAATGACTCACACTCATACAGCCGGATCAAAGCCACATGTAAATACAGTCTCTTTACATTACTAGTATGGAAATAAACTTTAAGAGGGTATGGAAATGCAAGCTGTCCTCTTGTAATGTTGCAGCTAGAATTAATGGTGGTGGTAGTAGTAGCGTGGGGTTAGAGATTTTGTAAACTGACATATATTCTGCCGGAATAGTTAGGGGTGTGAATTGGTGAGACCGATGCTCTAGTGCAGGTAAATACGAAGGGGCCTGGAGCAATGTTGAAGGTCTGAATACTTTTGCAGCTATCAGAAGGCCGAGGTGGACAAATAAAGTCTCCTACCATGTCATTTTGGTGCAACAGACTCTCTCCATCACGTGGTACTGTTTCTTAATTTCAAAATAAGTTTGGGGATTAGGTGCTGATCTGTATCAGAAACCTGAAATGAATGTTATATGAGGTAAAGGACCTTATCTAGACTGGTACCTGAATAATTTAATGATTTTTCTGAACTAATGGTACCCAGAGGCATGTATGTTGAATAAATCATGTGAGATAAGTTATCCTTATTCCCACGTTGGTAACAAATCTCTTCTCTCTACCATCTTGCATTGCTGTCCTCATTCTGGAGAAGTGACTCAGTCTCACCTGAAGGGAAATGGAACTAAATGGTTGGTATGGCTGATGACATGTGGCTTATGACTAAGAATTCCCAGAAATGAAGGGCTGATCTTTTCCCCTGCAGCAAGATACAGCATGGCAGCTTTTCCTGAGACTCGATTTAGTTGCCAATTTCCTTAATCCAAGGCCAGTGAGTTACCTAGAGGAAACAATGTTGAAGGACAGAAAGAAAATGGCCTGTTTGGCAGCTCTGCTCATGCCCAACATAAAACACTGCTGATTTATGGTGAGAGTGGAGCTGATTCTAAAGAATCCAATGAATCAATTCTACAGCAAGAGTTTATCAGTGCTTATTCATTTTTTAAGAGATTGAATGCACTAAGGCAAAAGTGAATGCACTAAGGCAAAATGTAAGGATTGGTCTAATATACTGGTTCTTAAACTTGGTTGTACACTGAAATCTCTTGGAAAGTTTAAAAATATATATACTAATGCCTGGGCATCAGAATTTTTGAAAGCTCCCCAAGATCTAATATAAAAAACAGTTTGAGAACAATTAATCTGAGAAATACTCTTTTATTTTGAAATTTGGTTTTTGAAGCTTTCTCATTTCTCATTTCATTTCCATAACCACTGTATGCACCAGTCTAGGCAGAGATTGTTCTCTATGTTAGGTTGGAGATACTAAGGTGAAACAGCAATCAAATGTCCTGACTCTAATTTGACACTTTCTTTCATTTAATAGCCAATGTCATCTTTGGGGTGAATGAAGGACAAGAGACAGAAGTGCTTATGCTTAAAAGGACATTATTATATGGCAGATAATCTTTGTGAAGGGATATTTGGATTCTGAAGCCTTTTCACTGTTTGCCAAACATCCCACATGACAAAACAAGTCTGCAGGGCTTCACAGAAATGTTTCTAATAAGTGCCTGCATTAAAATTACATGGAGATCTTGTTAAAATGCAGATTCTAATTCCAAACCCCCCAAATTTGTTATGCTTAATCAGAAATAGATCTTTGGAGTCTGCATTTTAAAACTCCCCAAAGTGATTCTTATGCCTACTGAAAGCTCTAGGACCATACCACCGTGAAGCTCTCAGACAGTGTTGCCTATTGTCCCAGTGTCGACCTAGATTCCGGTGACTCTTTGCACTGAAATTTAGAATTAAGATTTAGCCATCTGTTAAGCTCTATCAATTCTGTTGCAAAATGAGAACCTAGAACACTCCTTAAAATCTGGTTGCTGAGGCAATAGAAATATTTCTCCTAGAATTTCAATATACCTGAGGTTCAGCTAAATAAACCTGGTAAAAACAAACAAACAAGCAAACAAACAAACAGAACTACAGTGAAACAAAAATAAGTTTTTATATTGGTACATGGTTATTGGTTATGTACAGTCAAGAAATGCCATGTGCTTCTTATGCAAAATCATGATTGATGTTTTCTATTTATTACGGAAAAACATCGCAGGAGACCAAAGATGTAGTGAAAGGACACTGATTGAATTTAGTGTCAGAAAATTAAGCCATGATTTCACTGCTAATTATTCAGGTGACTTTGGGTAATTCACTTAACTTCTCTGATTTCAGTATTTTCATTGCTAAATGAGATTATGCCTTCTCATGCCAATATAATAGAGCTATTTTAAGTTGCAAATGGTATACTCAGTATGAAAGGGCATACTTATAAACTAATTAATTTTATACAAGTATAATTATTTCATGGTAGTTACAGTGGAATCTTCTTTAATAGCCTTAGATAATTAGAGAATTGCTTCCATGTGGGGCTATACTTTCGGTGGCGGGGGAGGGTAAAGACAGATGTGTAAATCTTAAGAGAAAATTAACAAATATTTATCAACAGGGTACAATGAATTAACCCTGGAAAAAACTATCTATATTTTATCCTGGGGCCAGTATGATGTGTGGTATCATAGTTATTCTTAATTTGTTTACTAACATATAATAAAACATTGTGTAGTAAAATATCGTGTAGTAAAATATTGTGTAGTGTGTAAAATGCATTTTCAAAGAGGGTTTATAGACATGATGATACTGATAAATGGGGAAAAACATTTAACTTGCATACATTATTATGCCAGTATTGTAAAACACATAAAATTAAATTAATTCAAGAAATGTTGAGCACCTATTGTATAAAATGTGAAATGTTCTCATGCTCTTTGCTCGAAAACATAACAGTTGAATGAAAAATATTCCATTATATATTAATAACACAATTTTTTAACCCATCTCTTCCTAATGGCTATTTTGATGGTTGACACTGTTGTCGCTGCTATTGTAGTATGAGGTCTCAGCCAAAAAACCTCACTGATCAGAGGATCCCTTTTTGGTCCTTTGAGCCAATAATCTCACATTAAGCAATGCTGTAAAAATTGTGTGTGTGTGAAAAAAAATTATGTGTACAGATACAGATTACTTACTGGCATACAGATGTGTATATATACATATGTGTGTGTGTATAGCTCTGGATTATAAAATTATAGTCTTGTTTTTAATTAAAGGGCTATACATCTCTGTAAACAACCTAAGGTGATGGGAATAAAAACATTATTTAAAAAGGTAAGTCACAAAATAGAGAGAACTTCTTAGAATCTAAGGAAGATGGGTGGAATGATGCCAAAAGCATATGGATAAAAAAGCATCCTAATTTTAATAGGGGAAGTCCAACTTCTAGAACCTAGAGCGCAGCTTCTGGTTAGCACTTGTCAAATCAATGCTCTACTGAATTGGATAGATAAAAACTTTGGTCAAACTTTTCCAAGACGGGGCAGTTTCACAGGATGTCGTCTGCCTTCAAACACTTTGAGGAACATAGCTTTTATTTATTTATTTATTTATTTATTTTTCTGTTCATTGCCTATTAGCTGAGAGGTTCCTTAGACTAGTCCTGTCACCAACAGGGTTATCCTTTCTTTGCTGGCTTAAGGAGAGGTAACAGGATAGTTGTATGCCTTTCCTTTCTCTTTGTGGGAGAAGGAGGGAACAATTTAGTTCCTAAATAATTTTGAAGGCAAATTGTGTTCTCTAAAAGGAAAGTTAAGTAATCTTATCTGAGTTTTAAAGTTCAATACGTGGTTCTACAAATAAAAACAAATTATCCAGTGAACTTTCTTATATATAAATATTTACCTATATCTTTGATAAGATCCTCTAGTAGATTCTAAAAGGTAAAAACTCCAGGTCAAAGGATATGATCGTTTTAAAGTTCCTTGCACATGTTGCCCAGCTTATTTCCTGAAAGATTATACCAATTTACATTCCCATGAAAATGAATAAAGTGCTTATTTGACTTTGCCTGCAATAGAGATTAATTGTCTATTAATAGGCAGGAATCAAAGAAATAGTTTCCTTCAAACCTTCTTTTATCATCAGGACAATTTTGTCAGATTTTCTTTTACTATTATGTGTAACATTAGCTTCTACTTTTATGGGGTGCACTTCATCAAGTTGAAAAAATTACCTCCTATTCCTAATTTGATGAGAGGTTTTTTTGATCATGAATGAATTTAATTTTGTCAAATGCTATCTCTCCATCCATTTAAATGATAATCTTCTCACATTTATTGGTTTTTTTTTTTTTTTTTTTTTTTTTTTTTTTTTTTTTTTTTTTTTTTGAGACGGAGCCTCGCTTTGTCTCCCAGGCTGGAGTGCAGTGGCGCGATCTCTGCTCACTGCAAACTCTGCCTCCTGGGTTCCCGCCATTCTCCTGCCTCAGCCTCCCGAGTAGCTGGGACTGCAGTCACCCGCCACCACGCCCGGCTAATTTTTTTGTATTTTTTAGTAGAGATGGGGTTTCACCGTGTTAGCCAGGATGGTGTCTATCTCCTGACCTCGTGATCCACCCGCCTCGGCCTCCCAAAGTGCTGGGATTACAGGTGTGAGCCACCGCGCCTGGCCACATCTATTGTTTTATTATAAATTCCATTGATTGAATATCTAATGTTCACCCAATTTTGCACTCATGAGATTAAACTCTATATGATAAAGTGTATTATCATTTTGTATACTGCTAGGTTCAAGTTGCTAATATATTAACAAGATAATATATTCCTGAAAAAAATGGTCTTTCAGAGTATTTTTTTCTAATGTTTTAGTCTGGTTTTTATAACAATGTGACGTTGTTTTCATAAAATGACTTGGCAAGTCTCTCCTATTTTATGTAAAAGTTTATGTAGAATTTGCTTTATATTTTTAAACTTATATTTGATGGAATTCACTCATGAAGCCATCTGGGACTAGAGTTTTATGTGGATGAAGGTTGTAAATTACAAGTTCATTTTTCCTAATAGACATAGGGCTATTCTTGTTTTCTATTTCTTTTGTGTACTTTTTATTTTTATTTTTATTTTTTATTTTTTTGAGACAGAGTTTTGCTCTGTTGCCCAGGCTGGAGTGCAGTGGCGCGATCTCAGCTCACTGCAAGCTCTGCCTTCCGGGTTCACGCCATTCTCCTGCCTCAGCCTCCCGAGTAGCTGGGATTATAGGCGCCCACCACCACGCCCAGCTAATTTTTGTATTTTTAGTAGAGATGGGGTTTCACCGTGTTAGCCAGGATGGTCTCGATCTCCTGACCTCATGATCCACCCGCCTCGGCCTCTCAAAGTGCTGGGATTACAGGCGTGAGCCACCGTGCCCGGCCTCTTTTGTGTACATTTTGATCATAGTGTCATTCAAGAATTTTGTCCATGTCATCAGCTAACCAAACCAAGGAAAGATACTAATTGGTGTATATACACATATTTATAAATGTTTTAATTGTAATAATCTATATCTACAATTTAAGCAAACAAGAGTTCATACTTATGTCTCCAAATATAATCCATTACCATGTGAATACCCGCGGCATACTTTTTTTGCTTATCTGTTAACCCACACCTAAACTGAGAAACTTGTGTCCACCATCCACTATCCATTTACTTAATTGTTCAATTTCAGTATACAGTATAGCACCATCAGTATTAGCACCTGCTAGAAACAGCTTTACTAACTAGAGTATAGCGCTTGTAAGTAGCTTATTTTACTTTCCGTTTTACACACTCAAGTAATTTCCAAAGTTTACTTAGCCAGTATCTTTTCCCTCCAAACCTTTCATTGAAGTTTTTCATACATCTGTAATACAGTAAGATTCTCTTGCCACAGTCCACACTTCTTCCTAAAATCCTCCAGTTTCAGAGATGATTTTTTAAAATGAGCATGCATTAAGGTTCACACTATGTATTGTGAAGTTCAATGGGTTTTGATAAATGCATAATGTCATTATAGTACATACCATTATAGCATCATACAGGATAGTTTTAATACCCTAAAAATCACGGGAATTTTACCTATTTAACCATCTCCCTCTCTCACTGAGTCCTGGATATCACTTACTTTTTAACTTTATCTACAGTTTTACCTTTTCCAGAATATCCTCATAATGAAAATCATACAGGTTTGTAGTCTTTTCAGACTGGCTTCTTTCACATAGTAGTCAACACTAAGGCTCTTCTGTGTATTTTTATGACTTGTTATTTTACTTTTATCATTGAATAATGTTCCATTGCATGAATGTATCACAATTTGTGTATCTCTTCACCTATTGAAGAATTTGGTTCTTTCTAGGATTGGCAAATGTACATAAAGCTGTTCTAAACACCTGTGTGTAGATTTTTGTTTCGTTATAACTCTTCAAATCAATTAGGTATGTACCTAAAAGTGTGACTGCTAGATCATAAGACTAAGTTCAGCTTTGTAAGAACCTCACATGCTGTCTTCCAAAGTGGTCATATCATTTTTCATTACCACTAGCAGCAAATAAAAATTCTTGTTCCTCTGCATTTGCACTAGCAATTGGTATTGTTAGTGATTTTTTTTCTTATTTGTTTTGTTTTACCCATTCTAATAGATGTGTAGTAGTACCTCCATATTGTTTTAATTTTAACTTCCTAATGGCAAATGTTACTGGGCATTTTATATGTTTATTTACCATCAGTATATCTTTTTTGATGAGATGTCTTTTCAGATCTTCTACCCATTTTTATTGGGTTGTTTTCTTATTGTGGATTTTTAAGAGATTACTCTACATTTTGGATGCAGGCCTTCTATCAGATATACGTCTTGCAAATATTTTATCCAAGTCTATGGCTTGTATTTTTATTTTCTTAACATTGTTTTCAGCAGAGAAGTTTGTAATTTTAATAGAGTTCAAATAATTTATTTTATTTCACAGGTTGTGCATTTGATGTTATATCTAAAAACTCATCACATAAATTTTCTCCTGTTTTTCTTTCAGAAGTTTTGTAGTGTAGCAATTCATATTTTAAACTAAGGTGCATTTTGATTTAATTTTTGTGAATGGTATAAGGTCTGTCTAGTTTACCCTTTTTTTGCATGTGAGGATTCAGCACAATTTGTTGAAAATCTGTGCTTTCACTATTGAATTGACTTTGCACCTTTCTCAGTTGATTGTATTTGCAATGGGCTTATCTGTGACCTCTCTAATCTGTTCCATTGTTCTTATCCCTCCAGCTGTGTTCTTGAGTATTGTGTTAACTGTGCTAGGTCTTTAGCCTTTAAATATAAACTTGAGAATCAGTTTGCTAAAGAGCTTACTGAGATTTGATTGCAATTGCATTGAATCTATAGATCAAGTTGAAAAGAATTGACATCTTAATAATATTGGGTCTTCCAATCCATGAACATGGAACACCTCCATTTATTTAGGCATTTGATTTATTTCATCACAGCTTTGTTGTTTTCCACAATTAGATTGTACACATATTTTGTTAGATTTATACATGTATATTTTGTTTTATAGTATTACTGCAAATGGTATTGTTTTTATAATTTTAAATTCCAACTGTTCATTGCTAGTATATAGAAAAGTAATGGGCTTTTGTATAGTAACTTGTAACTTGTCACCTTTCTATACTTGCTTCTTAGTTCCAGGAGGGACTTTCTACATAGACAATCGCTTTGTCTGCAAAAACAGTGTTCTTTCTTCCTCATGTATATACATTTTATTTTGTTTTCTTGTCTTATCACACTAGATAGATAGAACTTACAGTACCAGGTTGAATAGAAATGGTAAGAGAGGGTATCTTTACCTTGTTTCTGATCCTAGGGGAAAGTATCCAGTTTCTTACCATTAAATATGAGTAGTTTTTTTTTTTTTTTTTTGAGACAGAGTCTCACTCTGTCACCCAGGTTGGGGTGCACTGGCACGATCTCTGCTCACTGCAAGCTCTGCCTCCCGGGATCATGCCATTCTCCTACCTGAGCCTTCCGAGTAGCTGGGACTACAGGCGCCCACCTCCACAGGTGCTCCAAAAATTAGCGCCCGGCTAATTTTTTTTGTATTTTTAGTACCGATGGGGTTTCACCATGTTAGCCAGGATGGTCTCGATCTCCTGACCTCGTGACTCACCCGCCTCAGCCTCCCAAAGTGCTGGGATTACAGGCGTGAGCCACCATGCCCGGCCATGAGTATAGATTTTTATCAAGTTGAGGATATTCCTCCTATACCTAGTTTGCTGAGTTTTTGTTTGGTTGGCTTTTGCTCATTTTTAATCATGAAAGGGTGTTAGATTTTATCAAATACTTTATGCATTTAGTCATATGATTTTTCTTTTTTAGCCTTTTGATGTGGTGAATTATGTTGGTTTTTAAATGCTGAACCAACTGTTTCTTTTTTCCTTGTAATTTATTTATCTAGTTTTGTTACTAGAGTCACATTGTCCTCATAGAATGAGCTGAGGTGTTTGTTTTGCTTCTATTTTCTCGAAAGATTGTGGAGAATAAGTATAATTCATCCTTCAACATTTGGTAGAATCCGTCATGAAACCATTTGGACCTATTATTTCTTTTATTGTAGGTTATCAATTATTAATTCAACTTATTTGATAGATGTAGGCCTATTCAGATTATCTGTTTCTCTTTATATGAGTTTTAGTAGATTCTGTCTTCATGGAATTGGTCAATTTTATCTAAGTTATCAAATTTGTAGGCAAAGAGTTGTCATAGTATTCCATGATTATCCTTTTAATTTTCATAAAATAAAAAATAATAACCTCTTTTTCATTTCTGATATTGGCAATTTAAGTCTTCTCTTTTTCTTACTTTCTTACATATTAATTTTATTGATCTTTCCAAAGAAATAGATATTAGTTTACCTTTTTCTATTTTATTTTTGTTTTTAATTTCATCAATTTCTGCTCTATTTTTTATGTTTTTTTTTCTTCTGCTTGCTTTAGGCTTACATGACTCTTTTTTTCTCTAGTTTCCTAAGGTAGAAGATTAAGTCATTGATTTAAGATATTTCCCTTTTTTTCTAACATAAGCATGTAATTGTAAATTTTCCTGTAATCATTGCTTTTGTTGCCACTCACAAATATTGATGTTTTACTTTCATTTAGTTAAAACATGTTTAAATTTATCTTGAGGCTTCTTTTTTGATCATGTGTTATTTAGATGTATGCTATTTAATCACCAGATACTTTGATATTTTTCACCCAACTTTATATTACTGATTTCTTGTTTATTGTGTGTATTGAGAGCATACTTTGTATAACTTCTGTTCCTTTAAATTTGTTAAGGTGTGTTTTATGATTTAAAATGTGGTTCTTCTTGGCGAATATTCCATGGGGGCTTGAGAAAAAGTATATTTCATCATATTAAATAGAGTTTTCTGCAAATGTCAATTAGGTCACTGTGATTGATGATGTTTTTAAGGTCATCTATATCCTTATCAGATTTCTACCTGTTGGATCTATCAATTATTAAACGAGTGGTGAAGTCTCCCACTATAGTCGTGGACTTGTCAATTTTTCTTTGCAGTTCTATCAGATTTGCTTTGCATATTTTTATGCTGTGTTGTTGGGTACATGCACATTAAGGGTTGGTGTCTCCTTTTAGAAAGTTAACCCTTTTATCATTATGTATTACTCCTCTTTATCTTTCAAAATTGTCCTTGTTCTGAAGTGTGCTTTGTTTAAAATTAGCATAACTACTCTAGCTTTCTCATGGTTAGAATTAGCATGGTATATCTTTACATTTAACCTGAGACTTTACATTTTAAAGTGGGTTCTTGGTAGACAACATGTAGTTGTATCTTACTTGTTTTTATTCACTCTGATATTGTCTTATTTAGTGTATTTAGAGCATTCACATTTACAGTGGTTGTTTACACAGTTGGATTCAAATTTAACGTGTTTTAAACTGCTTTCTATTTGTTGCATTTGCTGTTTTTTTCTCTACTTATAAAAAATTCTTCTTTGGTTAATTATTCATTTTGCATAATTGCATTTATCTCCACTCTTAGCCCATGTATTATATGCATTTTAAAGTTTTAAATTTAATTTATTACTTATTCTAAATTATTTAGTGATTACTGTAGTATTTGCATTATTCAATTCAAATTAATCAAAGCCCATTTTCAAATAATACTGTGCCATTTCAGATGTAGTACAGATATCTTGCAATAGAGAATTTCCAATTCCTCCATCCCATTTCTTATGACAAAGTTGTCATCCCTTTTACTTATCTATGTACTATAATTATCCAATACATTGTAACTATTAATAATTTAAAGTTACATTTTAGATTAAGAATAAGAAAAACAAAATGCTTTATTTTACCTTTATTTATGATTTTGTGGTGTTCTTTCTTTTATATATGATTGGAAAGGTTTTCTGTAAAGTCATCTGTGCTGGGAAATTTATTTGTAAAATGTTTTAAAATTACAAATTCATTTTCAAAAATCATATGTTGGATTTGTTAGATTTTTCGCTTTTTCCTTGTGTTTGTTTTGGTCAATTGTGTTTCACAATGACTTTCTTCATTTCCTCTGATTTACAAATATATTGATCAAAAATTATTCTTAGTATTCTCTTATCTTTCATATGTATATGAAAGAATATATGAAAGTTATAATATTTTAAATAATACATTTTGTAATTTACAAAAATATTCTGTAATTTATATTTTGTAATACATATAATGCCCGCTTTTACTTCCTAATATGGTAATTTGTACTTTTTTCTTTTCTTGATCAATCTTTTAAAAAAGTCTTATCCACTTCACTAATTATTTTTCAGAAACCAATTCTTGCCTTTTTAATATTCTCTGTTGTACTTTTGGTTTTAATTCATTCATTTCTACTCTTATTTCTTTTCTTCTGAGTTCTTTATGTTTACTTTGATGTTATTTTCATAATGTTTTAAGATAAAACATTAAATCATGAAATACAGCCTTTCTTTTCTGGTAGATGATTGCAAATCAGTATTTGTTTGTTCGTTTGTTTTTTGTCAAATTTAGCTGTGTATGTAAAGCTTCAGTATGCGTGTGTGTGTGTGTGTGTGTGTGTGTGTGTGTGTGAGACAGGGTCTTGCTCTGTCAGCTAGGCAGGAGTGCAGTGGCACAATCACAGCCTTGAACTCCTGGACTCAAGTGATCCTCCTGCCTCAGCCTCTTGTGTAGCTGGGAATGCAGCTGCACACCACCATGTCTGGCTTATTTCTTAAAACTTTTTTGGAGAGACAGGGACTCTTTATGTTGCCCAGACTGGTCTCAAACTCCTGGGCTCAAGTGATCCTCCTACCTGTACCTCCCAAAGTGCTGGGATTACAAGCATGAGCTTGACCTCCATATTTTTCTTTAGAAGTCATCCAAAATATTTTGCAATTTACACTGCAATTTATTCATTGGTTCATCAATTATTTTAGGAGTTTATAGTTAACATCCAAACATTCAAATTTTATTTTATTTTATTTTATTTATTTATTTATTTATTTGAGACAGAGTCTTGCTCTTTTGCCCAGGCTGGAGTGCCATGGCGTAATCTCAGCTCATGCAGTCTCCCAGGTTCAAGCAATTCTCATGCTTGAATTGCTCCCAAGTAGCTGGGACTACAGGCACCGGCCACCATGCCTGGCTAATTTTTGTATTTTTAGTAGAGGTGGGGTTTTGCTCTGTTGGCCAGGCTGGTCTCAAACTCCTGACCTCAAGTGATCCACCCGCCTTGACCTCCCAAAGTTCTGAGATTAGAGGTGTGAGCCACCATGCCCGGCCATTATTTTTATAAAAATACCATGTAGTATATTTTTCTGTTGAACACACTCTATTTTTTTAAACTTTGAATCAATATTTGTTAATTATTTAGTTCAAACCTACTATATTTGTTCTGACTTTTGTCTGCTTGTCCTATGAGTTACTGAAAGTTGTAAATCTCTCATTATGACTGCAGTTGTGCCACATTATACATGTTTATATATTGAGACGATGTTATTAGGTGAAGACAGATTTGTAATTGTTACAATTTTTCTTATTATTTATAATAATGCTTTTCACTTTAAAGCCTACTTTATTAGTTTCCCAAGTGAATTTTGGTTAATATTTGCATAGTATATTCTTTTTCCCATTCTTTTATTTTTAACCTCTCTACATATTTGTTTAAGAAATGACTCATAAATTGAATGTGCATTTTTATTTTTATCAAATCTGAAACTTGTAGTCTATTTACAGGCAATTTATCACTGATTTTTTTTAATTTAAATCTACCGTATTGCTATTTTTTTTGTTTATCCCAACTGTTCTTTTTTTCTCTTTTGTTGCCTTCTTTTTAATTGATTATTTTTTCAACTATCATTCCATTTTGCCATCTATTAGCTTATTAGCTAGAAATTATTTTTCTCTTATTTTAGTGATTACACTAAAAATTACAACAGAAAGCCTTAAATTATTAGCATGTACTCTTAATTAATATTTTGTTCATTTCTTAGGAAATGTGAGCACTTGAGGACTCTTCAATTTCATTTACCCCACTCAGGCTTTTTTGTATTATTGTCAAGTATTTTAATTATGCCTGCATTTTAAACCCCATGTTGTATTACCATTGTCATTTTATACTATCAGTATTCATTTCTGTTTCCTTATATGTTTATTCTTTCCAGTGATTTTATTTCTACTTAAATTTTTGCCTGGATTGATTTTCTTCTTGCATTTCTGTCTAGGATAACTTTCTTTCTGCCCAAAGAATATTCTTTAGCATATCTTTTAGTACATGTCTGCTGCCACTAAATTTTCTCATTATTTTTCTGAAAATTATTTTATGTTCATTTAAAAAAATGTTTTCAACTGGCATATAGGTTTTGTTTGTGAATTTTGTTTTTCAATAGTTTAGCATTAGCATTTTGTTATATTCTGTATTTCATCATTTCCTTTGAAGACACACAGAGCTTTTTAAATCTGTGAATTAATTTCTTTAGTCAGTTCTGAAAAAAATTTTTTTTTCTGTATACATTTCACCTGTTCAGTGATTTCTAGTGTTATTTTTTTTCCCCTTTTGGTCATTTTGTCTTATTCGGAAATAGCTAATCATTTTGGATTGAATGCTTGACATTGTGTAAAAAAGATTGTAACATCTTCGTATTCCTTTTTAAGCTCAAAGTTAGAATAGGGTATAACATTTCAATTCTATAAGGAATTGTGCTAATGTGAGGATAAATTTCAATCCTTGTAACAACTGTTCTATTTTTAGTTTCCCATTACTCCTCATTAAGTCATGAGAAATATGTGATCCATTAGTTATATATTTTTTTCATTGGTTTCCTGGAAGTTTCATGTTACGTTTAACATTTAAGTACAACAATTATATTGACCTTGACCTTGTTTCTTAGTTTTATAACAAACTTTTTTATTTTAGTTAATTGTCTTACTGTACCTGTATCTATTATTATAAAGATTCTCTAGTATTTTATGAAGTTCATTCACTCATTATTTATTATCACTTGCCTACATTATTTGGGGCATCAAATTAGTCTCTAAGTAGGCCTATAAGGATGAATTCCATATTTCCTGACTTAACAGGTCTTGCAGTCAAATAACTGGAATAGGAGAGAGGAAGAAAACTGTGTAACAGGTGCATAAACCACATGCTGTAGGGAAGCAGACAAAGGAATAATACAGTTTTCCTAGAATGATGAGGGAGAACATGGTAGGCTAGCATTGGAGCACACACTTTGCCAGGAGAAGGACATTGCTTTAGGTTAAGAACACAACATGAACAAATGTACAAGAAGAGAAAAATAGGGTAGTTTGAGAGAAGAGCCTGATAAAGGAAAGGATGAATAACTGGAGGATATTGTTATGGGGCTGAGCCAGGGCTGGGTAAAGCTTATTTAAAAACTAGTTTCTGAGATTCTTAAGTCAGTGATTCGGTTGCCAGAAATACGATCAAGTATTATTCTTTGGTGATTTTAAAATATGTGCTTGTTCTTTAATTACCTCCCAAGAGATGTATATTTACTAACTAAAAATCAAGAAACAATTGCTGCCTCCAGGGCTAAGAGTATCTAAGGAAAGAGAAACACACCTGCTTTTTTGGTCACCAATATTAATATTTTACTTTCTTGCATCTTGAATGGTAAGCTGAAGCCACGAGTTGGAACGGAATACAGGCCGCTCTAGGGTGATGATTCAGGATGACTATTAGACTTGCAAAACTGAATGTGGGTGGTTTTGTTGTGTAATCTTTTGCCTTAATCTTTCTGCCTTTAATGAAGTGCTTTGACTGTCTCTTTTTGTGTGTGCCTGTTAGAAGTAGGACATGCATAGAGTTTCTCAATGGAATCTCATCAAATGTAAAGTCATGATTGAAAAATTGTTTGCCTTAGGTTAAAAAAGTCCCCTTTAGTTACAGAAGATATTACTTTATCTTGGGATATAAAGTCCAGAGAATTAAATAATTTGGTCAAATTACTTCCCAATTTAAGTGGATTTCAGACCTGAAATTTAATAGGTACAAAGTTAGTGTACACATGCAATATTGAAGAGAAAATTTGGCTATAAACAGCAAAAAAATTATCTAGTAAACAGTAAATCACGAATTGAATATTTTATCATTTCAAAAAAAACCACTAAACATTTTTCTAAGTAGCATGCTATTACATCAACTTTCTCAATATTTTAGTCAATGTTTCTTCAGCAAACATTTATTGATTGTCTACTATATGCTAGATTCTCTGCTAGCCTCCAGAGACAGTGATGAGCAAAATACAGGCACCACTTTTAATATTTTGAAGATTATAATCTAGTGAGATTCATCAGACATTTATC
Organism: Homo sapiens; assembly: GCF_000001405.40. Lineage (NCBI taxonomy): Eukaryota > Metazoa > Chordata > Mammalia > Primates > Hominidae > Homo > Homo sapiens. The sequence goes on along the minus strand of NC_000003.12, from coordinate 189,914,389 downwards.
AAATAATCATACTTATGAAAGAATAATTCCAAATTTAAAAAAATGCTCTGAAAGAAAGAAGCACAATTCTATCAGAGGCAATAATGAAGGGACTGTAAATAAACACCTTCATTCTTTTTTGACCTCAGAAGTGGGTGGCATACAGAAACTTGTTACCACAAGCTGCTTGGTGCTGTGGAGACAACAGGAGTCTTAGAATTAGACTCTTGTCAAGATGATTAGAGCTTTTCCATGATGTCCTGCAAGGTCAGAGATGGCTAAGAGATTCCTGAAGTTAGGTTTGTCCTAGTCCTACCTGGACTAGCCCTTTACTTGTCCTTTGCTTTCCTCCAACCCACCTCTACAGTGCTGCCAAATAGACAGTTTTAATACTCAGCTGGTAGAGTGCCTCAGATCTTCCCAACACCATCTGAAGTTTCTTCTTTACACAGTTGCATTTCTCTCCTTCATATTCATTTAAAATCAAGTTCTAAGTCCTGACAAACAAGTTTCCATAATCTTACCAGACTCCAGCCAGTCTTACCAGATTTGCTTTATCTGTCTTCTCCACACTTCTGTACCCCAAGTTACAGACTCAGTTAATATTTTCTAGCAGAATTATTTACTTCCCTGAAACAGGCATGTGCTATTTCCTTTTACTGGGAAGCATTCCCTCTCTTCTTTGCCTGGGAAGTCCCAATCCTGACTTCCTCACTGAGGCTCTCTCCTAATCCCTAAGGTAGAGTTAGTTGCTTCCTTCTTGGTATTTCCTCAGCATTTTGGACGGGCAGCAGTTACAGCTCTCATCACTTTGTACTGTAACCATTTGCTTTTGTGTTATTTCATAAGTTAGAATGTCAACTTTCAGAAGATGAGGACTAGGTCTGATATACTTCTGTAATCTTATTTTGGTTCTTCCCAGGAGGATAACTAATACCATGCTTTGCATATATTAGTAGATGGTTGTTTAAGGAAAGAAGAGGCCTACAGGTCCTTGATGTCATGCCTTTTTTATTTCTAACTAAATAATGAGCCTTAGAGCCTAGTGTGGTGGCACACACCTGTAATCTCAGCTACTCAGTAGGCTAAGGCGGGAGGATTGCTTGAGCTTAAGAGTTTGAGGTTACAGTAAGCCATGATCATGCCATTGCATTCCAGCCTGGGCCACAGAGAACAAGACCCTGTCAAAAACAAAAATTAAAAAAAAAATGAAATAAATAAATAATGACCGTGATATATTTTTAAAGAATGTATGAATGAAATAAAGAGCTCAGGTGGTTCTTAAAACTAAAATTTGAGGACCAAATTAGAGAGCTCTTTGATACTTAGGGGAAAGAATAGTCCCTAGCTCATATGGTAGCTATGTGTTAATTATAAAATGCTGTCCTTTTCTCAAGACCCTTTACTTCAGTTGTTGTCCTAAATATACAAGGCTATGATAGCTACAGTAAAAGTTATAACTTTGGAATGTTGTGCCTGTGTGCACTTCTCAACCTGAATGACTATAAGTGTCTTTCAGAAAGATAATATGCTCTCTATTATTAAAAAAGCACCATATTGCTGCTTTAAAAGGAAAAATAAACTTACAAGTTGAGCTGCAAATGGACACCATTGTCATTATCATGATTAACAACAAATGACTACTGAATACCTAGAACATGTAGGCAGGGAGGTGAAACTTAAGGAAGACAAGACAAAAGAATTTATTTCTTTTTCAACTGAACTTCTAGCACATATTATTTCTTTTCCCTTATGGTTTAACCCTACCTACTTTGAACTTTTGAATTATTTCACTCATTCTGCTTTTCTCAAGCAGAATTGTCTAGGCATGAATGTTACCATTAAACCTAATTTTACACCAAAGGGTTCTCTTTGGTGTTGGTTTATGCACAACAAGACCAATGGAGATGGGCAAGAGAAAGAAGTCTAAGTTGACTACCAAGTTAATGGATTAGGTAGATGAGAAGTATACATTTATGCTAATTACTAAAGTAAATGTTGCTGGATGACATTTTAAACCCATAATCATTTTTTCCCAGTAATTTATCTATATGTTCCCATACTGCTTAATCAAAGTAGTGGTTGATCAGGAATTATTGCTTTAAAAAAGAGAAATTTTCAAAGTACAGTTACAAAATTACTTGCTAGTGTTTTTCTGGAGTTTGGTTATAAATATTTAAGGTTAGCTTAAATAATTTAGGCAGAAAAAATATATTTGAAAGATGAGAGTTGGCTTCCTCCAGACCATAAAAGCTTTCCTCACTTGGAAAGACAGAGTTATGATGCAGAGATGAGAAGATAGGTATTGGTAGATACTGGAGAGAAGAGTCTTGCTTCTTTTTTCAAGAACAGAGCCTTAAGAAAGTAGCAAGACTTTAATATGTCCATATTGCATGTAAGCCTAGGCAGGAAGAGCCCAAAACAGCACCAGAGAGATTCCCATGCTTCTAAGCCTGACATAGAGCTGCAGGCCTTGAATGGCCATGGCGATGAGAGAAAGAAGCCTTCCAGAAATGACACTAGTGGATTAATGACTAAGGAGCTGATGGGATTATGGAATCCTTAGTGTATGTCTGAGTGGACAGATGGCTGAGTGGACAGTTGGCTGAGTGGATCTGAGGCGCCCTACCAGAACTTAAAAAGGAAGAAAGCCTGAACTGACCTAGAAGCTTTTTATTTTTTACCACATTGGTGCAAAAAAAAAAAAAGAAATAGAAATTAAGTCAATATTTAATAAAAATAAAGAAAGGTAAATTTCTTGCACATTTACGTTTGTGGAGTGAGGTTCATATACGTTACAAAAGGAAAAAAAGAGTAGGTGTGCTGGGGGTGGAAAGCAGTGTGAACTCAGCATGAATGAACCATGATGAGTTTGAATTATCTATGGGAAAGTCAAGTGCTACATGCAGAGTTTCTAGAATACGAAGATTTGTAAGACATAATCACTATCTTTTAGAAGTTTACAGATGGCCTATAAGGATGTATTCTTTAAAAGATCAGTGATAATCCCAGAGATGATGTGCTAACTCTAACAACTGCAGAAGTAGTTCAGATGAGAGAATGATCATTGAGGTTTTCTAGTGAGGAAAGGCCCCACATAGAGATGAGACTTGAACTTGGCCTTGAGAGAAATATAACACTTAAGCAAATAAAATAAATCAGCAGTTATGTGGTAACAAAATTATGCATGGTATGTTTGAGGGACAGTGAAGCCTGGTTGTGTCAGGGCAGGTGGTTCTCTTATGTTAGAACATAGGTAAGGCACGTTGGAGTGCTCTACCTGGTTCAGGGAAGAGGAAGTATGGAATACTCAGCTACAGAGTTGAGCTTTAATTTGAAATCAAAAGGCAGCCATCAGAGGTGTGTGAATGGAGGGAGTTTCTGTGAAACAGGATATTTCAAAAAAATAAATTCCCTACAGTATGTAATTTTGCTTCTAGCAAATCAGGCACAGTTATATAAGATCATCCTAAAACAGTTATTCCAATGAGAGAGACTATTCCACTAAAAGGCAGAAAAATTAAAGTTACAGACTAAAGGTAAAGAATACCCGGATGGTGCATTTGTAACCTTATGTTTATATTAGAGATGGCTTATGTGGACTTGATTTGCAACTATTAGAGAAAATTACTCTTATTGTCTGAATGACAATACTGACACATGAATGAACCAGTAACCTATGTTTACTATTAGTTTGGTTTGCTCACTGAGCTTGAGGATTCTGTGAGCTCCAGGTCTGTTCCTCGAAAGTGGTTTGCACAGATGCTCCCATGCCCTGTGGCAGCATATAGTCAAAAGTGTACTCTTTACAAACATAACCAGGTTTGTTCCTCTCTACTCAGAATCCTCCAATAATTTTCTATCAGTCAGGTTAAATGAAATTTCCACTGTTTACCTTGGGTTACTTGACTCTATGTGATCTAGTCTGTTCTCTGCCACTGTCCCTGATTTTGTCTCCTAATACTCTTGGCCTGCCTCACAAAACTGCAGTCATACAGGGCTTCTTCCTATTTCTTTAACATTACAAATATATTCCCTCCCAGGGTCTTTGCTTTCATTGTTATCTTTTCCTGGAACTCTACTCCTAAGATATCTTATCCTTTCCACTTATTCAGGTGTCTGCTGTTCTACCCAGAGAGGAATTCCTGGACTTCATATCTAATCATTGATATCCTGAATTTCATCTCTAATCATAGCCTCCATCTTTCACTCTACCACTCATTCTGTGTTTTGTTTTTTGCCTTGCTTCAGTTTTTTTTATTGTGCTAATCAGTAACTGACATTGCATTAAATACTTATTTGTGTGCTTATTGTTTATGTCCCTTGCTAGAATATAAACTCTGTGAGGCCAGGGTCTTTAACTAAACCCTCTGTAATTCCTGTCCTCGAAGAGGCTCTGACACATAGAAGGTACTTGATAAATATTTGTTGTATAAATGAATAAATAAAGAACATTATTATTATTCTTATCATTGTTCATAACAAGTATTTACTGAGACTTCGTCATGTGCCATGACTGGGTTATTAAAGGTTGTACTTGCTTATTTCATTCCTTTCTCACAGGCACTGACCTACCTGCTGAATCATAGACAGGTGAAGCAACTTCAGCAAAGTCACTCAGCTAAAATATGGATGAGTCAAAATTTAAACCTGGAACTGTTGAACTCCAGTGATCTTGCAATGCCATATAGTATATGTAAAACCACCATGCTGTATCATAGAGTATATATGAAAGCATTAGTGCGATGTCTGTAAATTAGTAAATGAAGGTAACTCTCTTAAATATAGATCCCCTTGTTAATATTAATTTAAAAAATTGGGAAATGTAGCTGATAGGATGCTATTGGATTAAGGTTTAGATATTCTAAGATCACGTTTTTCTAGATAATTTTTTTTTCTTAAGTATGTTCCCTGGGCTTTGGTATGTTTCACTTCCAACAGCCAGCAATTGTGATGGTTCTTTTTCGATGACTGCCCCTGGGATTTTTGGAACACACAGGAAACTGAGAGTTCCTAAGAGTTTATATGTCCCTGGGAGAGCCCTTTACCAATGATCGGTAGGTACAGGATTATGACATCCCAAGTTTCCCAGCCTCAGGTTGAGACTATTTTGGGAAACTTGACATTTCATAGTTCAGTGTCAAGTTCAGGCTGAAGCTATTGTCTCCCACCTTGCTTGACACTGTATTCTTGCTTGTGTGGCTTCTTCCTCTCTCCTGTCCTGTTTCTGTCACTATTTTTTCATGGAGAACTTTGTTATTAAATAACTTGTACATTATGAATTTTTTTCTGGGTCCGATGGTAAGCAATCTAACCTTAATTAGTAAATCATCCAGTTCGTGTGATTGCCAATGAGAGTACTATGGCCACACCTTAATTTACTCTTCATGGGCATCCATGCCTTTCTTTCCATTCATGGTCTTTCCAGACTTGCAAATGTAAGATTCATACTCACTGGAGCCAAGTGTTAGGGGAGACTTACTGTAAAGAAATAGCATTTGTAGGAAAATCACCTTGGGTGTGTATAGATCCTGGTTCTTTGCATTGTGAAGCTCAAGCATAGATTTGCCCTAACTCACTTCCTCCCCACATTCCTGGCTGATAGACAAAGGCAGGGAGGAAGGAGGAGCTGAGTCACTGAAGCTTAATTCACTTTTCTGTTTCTTAGCCCCTAGAGCTTGGTTTAATTGAAGGTGGTTTCAGTAGGATTAACTTTGCTCCAAAAAGTGTGCTTTTGGCTATATTGGAGCAGCATGACTATTTAATGTCTTTGAAGAACGTAGGTATTTGCTAACTTTGATGGGACTACCTCTCTAAGTGGGCCCACAGAAGTCATCTTCCCCTGTATCTTCTCTGTATCTTTGTGTTGAAAATCTAGAAACAGCAGTGTATGGGTGCAGTGGCACAAGCTAATGGCATCAGATGACCAAGGTAGGCACTCTTTCTAGAGACCCCAGTGGAATTCCCAAACACTAAGAGGTTTAGAGAAAAACAAACTGGCCTCTGTATTTTATAGGACCTGAACAGTGAAGGCAGGTTGCACTCTTCACCTAATATTCTAGGGAACAAATTTCACTCTCAGGATCCTCCTAGTGTGCTCTTGCTTGGCTGAAGCTAAACTGGAGCATGCTTTGTGCAAGAAAATTAAAGAAACATGTAGGAGTGTTATTACCATGGCATGCCAGGAAGAGTATTGCACAGGGTGTGAAGAAGAGACATGAGAAGTCACTGGAGGTCAATCACTGACTTTGCGACCTTAGGAAAATAACTCAAATTATCTGAGTAACGGCATCCCCATCTGTAGAGAAAAGCAGTCACTATGAGTTCGCTGTGGTCAGCATTCTGCAACTTCATTCTTCTCTCGTAGTATCCAGTGTTTCTGTGGACAATGAATGGTCCCTGTATCAGCTAGCCACAAAACAGAAAACTAGGAAACTCACAATTTGCTGTTCACCCCAAGGCATTGGAGCCTTCCTGCTTCTCCCACATGTCTTCGTGTAAAACCTGCAAGTTACTCCAGGGGTAATTGAGCAATTGTCTAAATATTATGAGGGGTGGCTAGCCACACTAGCGAGTTTTAGATGTTTAGCTGAGTTGTAGAGTACCAAGAAAACAGAGTTTTTCTAAAATTCTGTAAACCTTTCTGGGGCAAAAATCCCCAAAGTAGGTACAGTGGCCTGTCTTTCCTGACTTTTGGTCATATGTAAAGCTGTGAGTCCCCATTCATGTTCCTAGCTTAGCGAAGAGGTCTGTTGACTTAACCGTCACATTGCCATGTCGTTATGGCTTTGCCCGTGATATTCATTCTACAAGATAGTCCAAATGCTTCTTCTCCTCTGATATTTCTCCAGATTTCTCTGATCAAAAACATCTTTTCTTCCGCTGGGATTCTCCCGAGTAGTTCATACTGCAGTCTCACTTGGAAACACTTTATACATGTTTGTTTATGAATCCTTACCTTCTCCCAAACTCTAAACCATGCTCACAGGAAGGGCAAGGGCTATAAGTCTTACATCTGTCTTGCTCCAAAGAATAATTCATGGAGACTGGTACCACTAAAAATTATGGACTTCCAAGCTCAGTAGTATTGGCATATGTTTTAGTCAATCATTTTAGAAGGTACAGCACGATGCAAAGGGGAGAGCAAAACTTTGAAGTAAAAAAAAAAAAAAAAGCATTTCAATCCTGCTGCTTCTACTTAATCTCCGCGTGGCCTTAGGTAATTTGTTTCAAATATTTGAATTTCTGTTTTTTCATCTGTGTGACAGTCAATTTTAGATGTCGACTTGAATGGGCCCAGATAGCTAGAAAAACATTTCTGATTGTGTCTGTGAGGATGTTTCTGGAAGAGATTAGCATTGGAATCAGTAGACTGAGTAAAGAAGATCATCTTCACCAATGTGGGTGGCATCCCTTGAGGGCCTGAAGAGAGCCAAAGGTGGAGGAGGGACAAATTTGCCCCCTATTTGAGCGGCAACCTCCATCATCTTCTTGACTTTCAGACATCGGTATTCCCAGTTCCCTGCAAGGATGCACACAATCCACCAACACCCTCCTCCTCTCGCTTTGTTCTTGAGTCTTTGGACACAGACTGAATTACACTGCCTGCTTTCAAGGTCCTCCAGCCTGCAAACAGCAGATCATGTGACTCCTCATCCTCCATCATCACACAAGCCAATTCTCATTATATATATATATATATATATATATATATATATATATATATATATATATACATATACACACTATTGGTTCTGTTTCTTTGGAGAAGCCTAATACAATCTATAACATGGCAATTCCATCACTTAGCTTGACTGTATGAAGGCAGAGAAACTGGATGAAAAAAAAAAAAACCTTAACGTGGCAACTGTTATGTTTAAGATTATTATTCTGGCCGGGCACGGTGGCTCACGACAGTAATCCCAGCACTTTGGGAGGCTGAGGCGGGCGGATCGTGAGGTCAGAAGATCGAGACCATCCTGGTTAACACAGTGAAACCCCGTCTCTACTAAAAATACAAAAAATTAGCCAGGCATGGTAGTGGGCGCCTGTAGTCCCAGCTACTTGGGAGGCTGAGGCAGGAGAATGGCGTGAACCTGGGAGGCGGAGGTTGCAGTGAGCCAAGACCATGCCACTGCACTCCAGCCTGGGTGACAGAGCGAGACTCCATCTCAAAAAAAAAAAAAAAAAAAATATATATATATATATATATGTATATTATTATTCCAATTCTATGAAATTTACTTATCTGTACTATAGAAAGCAAAATGATAATGGATTGGAGGAAATACTCTAAACTTATGGTGCAGATTAATTCTGGCCCCAGGTAATGCAGGGAAGTAACAGAGAAAGATGTGTATACCTATAGGTAGGCGATAAAGGGGATATTTACTTTGTTAAGTTTGACTTATATGAAAAGCACAGAGATACATAGATTTGTGGTAAATATGAAAAAGTGTTAATCATAATTTATGGGCAGTAGGTATATGGACATGTATCAATTATTTTTTAAACTTTTCTATATTTTTAAAAGTATAAATTCTATGTATACTAGAAAATTTCCATTTCACATCATAGAGCTTAGGGTGTGGTTTGTTGACCACAAAATCCTCTTTCTTCAGTAGAAAGCATGTCACTAGTAAATCAAGGGACAATCAAGGAGAAGCTAGAGTAGGTTTTAATAGAGCTTTAGACTCTCAAATGAAAGTAGTAAAACATTTTGAGATCTCTAATATCCCAAGGGGTTATTTCCTAGCTAAGAATTAGGAGTTACCCCAACTGCAAAGCTCTGTCCCTTCTAGACAGGAGCTGAACCACAGCTGATGCCAGATCTAGTGTGACTGAAAGAAAACCTTATATATATATATATATATATATATATATATATATATATATATATATGTGAAAATAAATTTTGAATATACCAATCTAGTATCTTTTTACCTTTCTACTTCCTTCCACTGAAAGCTATTCAGAAAAAGCAAAACATACTACCTGTTTTTCCTGTTTGCAAAGTATTTATTAGCATTTAAAATAATAATCCATCGAACCTTCATTAAACACCCATTATGTCTTAAGAACTTTATTTAGGGGTTGGACTAGAAACTGTGCAGGATCAACTGTCAAGAGATATATGACTACAAAACAGAAAACACGAAGCAGATTGTGGTGACATCCATAGAGGCATAGGTTATATTCAAACTACTTAACAACCCACAGAGAATGGGCACAGACCACTCAAAATGTACACATTTACCAATCAGAACAGGTAGCTTGCCTTAAAAGATACATTTTTAGGGGGTTTGAAGAAAGAATGAGCATTCTTGTATCAAGGAGAACCTGGGATTTTCAAAAGGCATTTTTGAAAGACAGGTGGTATCATTGGCCATAGCTGAGGGTTTTATATAGGTATATATTATATAGTGGTGTGTGTGTGTGTGTGCATATATATAGATATAGATATAGATATAGATATAGATATAGATATAGATATATTTTTTCCTTTTCTCTTCCTATTTCCTATCCCCTGGAGGATAGGGGAGGCATTGCTTATGTTCTGCCCCCACAACAATTAAAATGCTTTTTAACATTCAGAAATAGAAAAAAGAGAAAAAAAAGACGATCAAACTGAGAAGCCAAGTTCGTTCATATCTATCATGAAAACAGAAACACATCTAAGTCCTACAAAGTCTTTCCAGTGGTAGATAATCAAGGAAGCTTTGTTGTGGAAGTAATGTTTGAGGTAATTTTTGAAAGACAAGAAGAGGTAGACTGAGATGGGTGAGAGTAGGGTCGAAGCATTCTGTTGAAGAGAACAGCATAGAAAATGCACAGATACCTGAAAATTCAAGAACTGATTTGTTGAATTCTACAAATAGTTATTGAGTGAAGGCTACAGTAGGCTTCATCAATTAACAACGCAAGGAAACCTGCCTTGTGAAGATTACATTCTAGCTGGGAATGTTGAGTAAATAGAATTGGTTGGAGCATCAGATAATATTAGACTTAAAGGGCAAATTAGTGACAAAGTTAGATAGGCTTTATCCTGCTGACAATGGCCAGTGATAGAAGGGTTATGTTTTCAATAAGGGGCTTGAGGGGCCTAGGTTAGTTGGATGCAATCTAGGGCTGACAGATTTTGGAACGCATACTCTGTCTCCAACCAGGGAAAGTCCACAGAATTCTTTTCTTTGAGGCGTGTGTGTGCAGCCTAAGAGAGTGACCCGCTGAGAACTTATTTTCTGATTGGAGACAACAGTACCACGGAAAAAAAGAGCCAAACTAGAATAGAAAGACTTGCTGATTCTACCACTGACTATAATAGCTTTGTGAACTTAGACATGCCTGTAACTTCTCAGAGGCTCAGCTTCCTCCGCCCTTTGTACTGACAATGTTTGCTCTGTCTATTCCACAGTGTTGAGGAAATAAACAAGATAATTTATATGAAATGTTTTAGGAAACAGTGAATCAGTATATATTAAGAATATAAAGATTTTATATTTATTTATACAATCCATCTAGATCATCAGACCTATTGACAGATACTCTTTAGCTATGTTTTACTTGATTGTATTTTTTTAAATATATAAACTAGAAAATTGCCACTTCTTTTCCCCTACGTTGACGTCATCTCTTCTGTTTCCTGAGAGATTAGAAGAGGGTGTCCCAGCTGAAAGTCATGCTATGAAGGAAGATTGTCATGGAAAATACCTACAGCTGTTGCACAAATCTTTGCTTTTATCCCAGCAATTCCTGTTAGCACCTTTCACAGCTTTTACCTAAATGTTATTAATTCTTAAGGCCTCTTAATTTTAGCTAAGTAATGTCAGTATGTAATGAAAATCCCATTTTCTTCCTTAAATGGTGGCCTACCTCATGGTGAAATGTACATTTCTAGAACACTGAAGCTAGTAGAGGACTTTGAGATCTTTTACTCCAGCCTCTTTCCTCTTAGAGATGCGAAAGCCAAGACCCATTGTGTGAATTCCAGAGTTCTTTAGGCCAGGGGTGTTTGTGGTAAAAACCAGCATGGGGATGAAAAAGAGTAAAGCAAACAGAGTGAGAGAAGGAGTCACTCCTAAGCAGCACTCAAAAGTATTCATTGACAAGTTCCATTGAGAAATAGCAACAGCAATAACAAGGGCATCACTGTGGTATGGAAGAGAGACTTCTTCTAAGTAGAGGTGGAGTTAGGTTGTACTACAAATGAGAAAGGGAAGTCTGGATCACCTGGTTCTTCTTTGCCTTGCTGTGAGAATCTGTATAGTTCCTTTTCCTGCCTGGGCCTCAGTTTTCCACTCCAGAAAATGAAGAGTTTAAACTAGATGGCTCTTAAGTTCCTTCTAGGTCTAAACTTCTGTGATTCATAGAGCTGTGTATTTTTCAACTTTGAATTTCCCACAGTGCCTTGCACATATGAGAGTCTGTCAAAGGCAGCTGAGTAACCCCTGGGACAGGAAGCACAAGGAGATCCCTCACCAAAGCCCATGTGTAGCCTCCACACAGACCTTTGCTGAGCTCCACCTGCTCCATCAGATTCTTTCATTTTCCCAATGTTTACCACCTCTAGTCTCCTCACTGAAGGCACCCAACCCATTCAACATGAGGAGGAAAGACTGGTATTACACAAGAATATCATGGAAATAATTGGAGTGGAGTTCATTTAAAAAAAAAAAAAATTAGTCTTTCAGCCAAGAGACAGGGAAGCACTTTTCCTCAGGGAAGGAAAGAATGCATTACAATCATGGGAAAGAGGCAGACATTCACTTCTCCTGATACTCTACCAAGGGAGGTCAAAGTGTTACAGAGGCTGTGATGATGAGCAAAGACTGTGGTATTGTACCCCAGGACAAGAAATAATGAGGCTAAGGAGATGAAAGATGGAGGAGAGAGCCAGCCAAACTATGTTCTTATGAATAGGATATTATACCAGGGGAGAAGAAGGGCTGTATCTGAGAAGACAGAACTCTATTGATTGCCAAATGCTAACTGAACACTGGCCAGCCACTGGACAGTATTACGCCTTCTGCTGGGCCTTTGGTGAGACTAGGCTTAGCCATGGCTTCCTGTCTTACATGTGACTCTTGAAAGAATCGTGGGCCTTAAAGTGGGGATTGGTAAGAATAAGTGGCAGGTAACCACCTCCAAGGCATGGTTAGAAACTCCTGGCAAAATGCATATAACCGTGGTATCTCATGCACCATCAAGGAAATTACCACCTAGCTAGGAACATCAGGTTTGAGTAGAGAAAGTAAAAAAGAAAATGTGAATGTCTTCAGCAGAAAGGGAAAAGAAAGACAGGCATGGGAATGGAATATTCCAAAGACAACTTTCGTATCATTTTGCTGAGAGTTTGTGCTGCTTATAAGCCAATTACTTAGGGTGACAGTGGGACCCCGAGAAAGCAAAAGATAAGGAAAAGGGATATTGAGATGTTCCTATCCCCAAGCAGTAAAAACAAAAATTGTATATATGCATATATATATTTATATATATATATTTTTAAAAAATATATATATATATATATTTACTTCTCAGTGTCCTGAAAGCCATGTTGAACACCAGGTGTTGTTAGGCAAATATTTCCTAGGGCTTCTTCTGCGTGGGCAAGGTTCACAAAAGTGTTCTATTTCTTAGAATATTATTTCATGACTGCCATTGGATATTTACGGATGTCAGCATTTGTTCTGAGATACCAAATGTGCTGGTACCTGGATGCCACGTAATTCCAGAATTCTTTAGAACGAACTTTCTAAACATTTCCAAAACGCATTTGGCAAGAGGCCCCATGAAATGACACAGCAGAATTTTCTCTATTCATTTCACAGTCCAGAATCTGACAATGGGTTGATCTTTTTGTTCTCTCTTTCTCCTTTCATTCTCTTTTAAAATTCCACCATTTCTGTACTTTAGGGATTGCGAGTGCTTTCAAGTGCTTTCTCTAACATTTAATCATTAGTGAGACAAAATCGTATTAGGAAGGTATTGATAAGTTGGAGAAATATTGAAGACCGCTGATGCAAGCTTAGCTAAAATACAGAAGAGCAGGCTGGACGCAGTAGCTCATACCTGTAATCCCAGCATTTTGGGAGGCAGAGGCAGGAGGATTGCTTGAGGCCAGGAGTTCCAGACTAGCCTAGGCCACAGAGCGAGACCCCATCTCTACGAAAACTAAAATAAATTAGCGGTTTTGGTGGCACACACCTGTAGTCTCAGCTACTAAAGAGGCAGAGGCAGGAGGATTGCTTGAGCCCAGGTGTTCGAGGCTGCAGTGAGCTATGACTGTGCCACTGCACTGCAGAGTAATCAACTTACTTATAGAAGGTAGTCCTAGAATTTCGGAATATTGAACCATATTCAAAGTCACCATAATTTCTTTCACAGAAAAATAATAGCGTTTCCAATTACAGAGCAAATGTCAGATGAGTTAAAGCGCTCACAGGATTCGTTATTTTCTGCCTGGTGTTTCTGATGTCAAACTCTCTCTGCAAAAAATTTTTGTTCCTCGTCCTGTGTCAGACTTTTACTTGAATTGCAAAACGTTGGTCCTCCAGTGTGCTAGGCCTAGAATTCTAATCAGAATCACAAAAGGGAAGTTCACCTGCCAGTACTTGCCACCCACCTGGCACATAGACAGAGTCAGGATTAGTGTAAGGAGTTACAAATCTCATAAATTTCAAGGACACACCCAACATGACTGTAAACCCACAAAGTTAAATTAGTGAACTACTCTTATCTGAGAAAAATATATATGGTTAGTGCTCTATGAAAAACCTTTCTAAAGAAGGAACAAGATTCCCGACACTTTTAGGTCTGCATTTAACGAAGATTAGAGCTTTGAGACTGCTGAATTTTTTCTGAAAACGCTAACCCCATTTCTATATTGGAAGAGTTGTTTCATGCCATCCTTCGGCTTTCTTCCAAAAGCTATTACTGAAATACTGACAAGTTAGGGGTTCAGACCTCTCATCTGGCAGATGTTGAAACTGAAATGCAGAAGATTAAGCATCTGGCCCAAGTCACCAGACTCCTCTCAGTCAAGTGTTCCTTTCACTCTGGATCTTCATATTTCCGTGAAATCTACACATCTGCATAACTTTTTTTGGAATGAGTCTGAAGCACCAGGGGAAAAGGCATAGTGTAAATCAAATTTGGAAGAATGATAATGGACACCAAAGTTTTTATGGGTACAAAGAGGAAGCTAGGAAATCCATACTCAAGGCTGAAAGTGTCCTATGTTCCAGTTTACCTAGTAAGACAACTGTAGTATATGAAAGAGAAAGAATGGCAAAACGGGTAATAACCACTGCCTTCTGCCAGTCTGTGGATGCCCTGACTCAAGATTAAAGTTATCTTTCCTGGATCTAGGAAGGTTCCAATGTCTACCCACCTATGTGCAGGCCTTTATTCCATACTTTTATTTTGCTACTAGGAATACAAAATAAATCAGTATACTAAGGAAAGTCCTTGGGTTACCTTCTTAGATAATTCAGAAACTGCACCCAAAAGCACAAATATGTTCTTGGAATCTCAGAGATTCTATGCAGATTTTAGATAATTCAAGAGTCTTTAATGAACATTAGGTTTTTGGCATTCTATAACAATATTAGATAAATTATTCTAATAATTCTCAGTGCAGTAGTCATTATCCGTATCTTCTGGGTCTAATTAATGCTTTATATTTTTATTTTAGTAATTTTATAAATAACAGAATATATGGTGAAGAATAATTTTATAAGAAATTTTAATATAAACATAGTAAATCTAAAATTTTGTTAATGATTTCAGTGGCACATGTACATGAAATAGAAAATACCTTCTGAATGCAATTAACTGCTCATGAACTACCATGAAATTTGGGACATAGCTACCTTGTAAGTATTGATTTCAAATGCACCTCTGATAAGAAGTTCTAACATCATTACTTCTGATTGCTTTTCTTGTATTTACATCATCAACATAAAACACTTGAACTATTTTTTTTGAATCCTTGATGGCTCATGCCTTTGTTGAAGAGAGGATGACTATGTTCTTCACTCCAAAACCGCAAAATACTTTTTAAACACCAATTAGAATGATTAATCCAATGAGTTAAGTTTCTACCTCATTTTTCTTCCGATTACCTTTGATACTCACCAGCCTTTATTTGTCCACTTGTGAAGTATATTGGTAAATTTTGGTGCACAAGAATCATTAGAACTAAAATAATACTATCGCATGTCCTTTTAGAAAATCGGATGGTCAGATTATTGTTGTAACCTTAAATGGTAAAATTCTTCCTATTGAAGAACTATCTAGATTAAAGTAAGCATATACCCTTTTTATCTTTAAAACTTTATTCCTTGGCCACTGAGCCTTGTGCTTGAGAAAATTCATCTAGGATATCATTACATGAAAACTCAAACTTACACAAGCCATTTCACCATCACCAGAGTCTAGAGTGCCATTGTGTTTTGTATTCATATTCTGATGTAACAATTTTGAAATGCTTTTCTCTGTCAGTTTTAATATCTTTACCATTATGGGGAGAAAATGAAAAATCCTAACTACAAAGATATTGTCTCCTATTCTATACTTTGTTGAAAACTGATGCAATACTAATGAGCAACCCAGTAAAAAACCAAAAAACCTGGATAATTACACAATAGTAAATAGTAACTTCATTTCATCATCCTAACAGGCTTCTTATTACATCATCTTTCTAGCTAATTGCCCAATAGAACTACAATGAAATCCATTTACATAATTTTAAATTTTGTAGTAAGCATATAAAGGAACGGGTAAAATTAATTCCAGTATATTTAACCCAAAATATTTATTTTCAACATCTAATTTAAACAATTATCAAGGAGTTATTTTATATTTTTGAGTCCCTGAAGTCTAATGTGTATTTTGCATATACAGCACATCTCAGTTTTGACTAGCTCCATCCATGTGCTCAATAATTACATGTAGCTAGTGACTACCATATTGGACAGCACGGTTTTGGGCAATCCCACCATTCTTCTTGGTTTTTATTCTTTTTTTACTCATTAGAATTGATGGATAAAAATAAAGCAATTTCTAGAACGGCTAAAATAAAGTCTCAAGACATGAAAAAGAAGAAAATCGCCGAGTTTCCATAGTGCATTTTGTATTTGTAAAAGGGTTTAACAGACCCAATAATTCTAAGCAAATGCATTTTTTTAAAAGTAGGTTTTTCTTTTACTCCAGAAGACAGCTAAGAGTAAATAAAAGTCATGAACTACCAATTCATACAAATAGAACTACTGAAAAAATAAAAATTAAAATTGAAAGAGCCCAAATGACAGATCAATTATTAATCATTTTTATAGCTCTTTTATATTCCTCATGCTAGCATAATTGAATTAACTGTTTCATTTCTGGCACTCTATCACCTAGACTGCAAGGACTAAGAATTGAATATTTTGGCTGCACCTGCTTGCCTATATGAACATATCTTTATAATGTGATTATATCTATAAATAGAAAAACAAATTGATATCTCTAGTATATATTTTTGTTATTCTGAAAAGTTTATTTTATAAGTCTAAGGCATTATATTGTATTCATGCCATCCAATGTTATCCCATAAAGTAATATACATTCTTATTTAATAAAAATAATTCACCCATTTTGATAGAGATAGTATTGGCTAAATCAATGTACATAACTGAAGGGTGATATTTAACAATGAATTTAAAAGGGAACATGGCCCAGTCAGGGCCCATCATCTGCAGCGTGCTCCCACATACCACCAGCTTATTTGCTTTCCACTCCCACAGTACTGATGAGGTCACTGCTGAGTATCATCGGAAGGTCACTAAGTTAGACATTAGGAATATTTGAAGTCTAGTCCCTGTTCTAAAGCAAACTCTTTCTGACCTCAATCAAATAAGGTATTAAAACTTTGAATGTCTCATTCACCAAATGAAAATGCCATTCTGGTCTTTCCTATTTTGTAGGTTGGCTAAAATGAGAAAAGAATGATTATTTGTTCTCAGATGAGAAACGTCAACATCTGAAACTCTCCAGTGTTTTGCTCGGTATCTCTTCTTCCTCGATAATATCAACAAGGCCAAAGGATGGAAGAATGGACAAATAGGCAAACAGACACAGATAGACACACACACAATTTCTTAATTAGTTTTTATTTATTTTTTAAATTTTATTGCATGTCCTGGCAAACAAAAAGAGATTGTAGATTGGCTTCTGGCTCCCCAAAAGCCCATAACAGAAAGTACCAGAAGACAAGCAACTGAAGCTTAAAAAATGTATCACATGTATAATACCTTTTGAAAACATTAATAAAGCATATAAAACTTTTAACATTTGCTTAATTTTGTACAATTATAAAAATAATAGAAAAAAATATCCCTTTAACATTCAATATCCCACATACTGTTATTTTAGGGGATTACCAAGAAAAAAAAAAGGTAAAAGGATTTAATGAAAACTCTGCTTTCCATTTCTGTTTATAAACGTCTCCAAACAAAAACTTTTCAATTCTTCAGCTAACTGCATTGAGCTGAGGCCACAAGAACTCCATTAAGCCCACTTTCTAGTGGTTTCTATGCTTACTATCCTTTTACCCCTTACCCTGGCTACTCATACACTCAAGGAGAGTAGGCTGCCATGAGGAGGTAAGCCAGTAAGGGTGCCTCGCTTTGGCTAGTGCCAAATCCATGAGACACAGTACAGGAATTTCCAAGGCCCTAGTGTTACCTGAATAGTACTGACATAGCTCGGAAGTCCTAGGTTTATTCAAACCCTCAGCAAAGTAAGGGAAGCAGTTTGTCTTCTTACTAGGACCAAGGAACAGCTTTCATTCTTCCCCTTAATGGGTTTGCAAAGCTGCATGCTTGTTGCAGAAGTTTACAGTGCTTATTACCATTTAAGTACAACAAAACTTTGAAATCAAGGACTCATTCTCTTTAACATACAAAATTTTAAAAAAATAATAAAAAAAAACTTTCCCTTCCCTCC
Source organism: Homo sapiens (assembly GCF_000001405.40). NCBI lineage: Eukaryota > Metazoa > Chordata > Mammalia > Primates > Hominidae > Homo > Homo sapiens. The sequence continues at coordinate 189,896,425 of NC_000003.12, read as the reverse complement.
CCTCTTAAAATTGTAGCATTATTTCTTATTTGATGTGGTATTCTTACTAAATGGTATTTTCATGAAAATACAAAAACGATAAAAAAAGGTTTCAAGTGTGGTTCTGGAAATCCCACTATCCCAAGAAGAAAAAAAAAATAATCAAAATACAAAGTATGCAATTTCACACAAAATATATACACACTTTTCAGAGGCAATCCACACATTACCTTTTAGAGCCACGCTGGCCCTTTTGCACTTTAAAATTAAAATGGAAGCTTATGTGCAATGACAGCCCTTGACCAGAATGCATGGGAAGATTTCAGAGCTCATTTGCATGCATGCAAAAAAATGTGTTATATTTCTGAAAGATCTGGAATATTGTCATTAACATGTTTTCCCAAAGTTTCAAGGGAACTCTTCGTTTAAGTGGTTTAAGCAACAGCAGCCATGAAAGACTTATCTCTTGCTCTGTGGGGACCTTTCATGTCTATGGGTAGTCCCTAAGGGAGATGGACGGGAAACTGGGTTCTCACAGTTACTTTCCAACAAACTGAAACTCTTACCGGTTAAAAAAGAAAATGATACAGTGATGCAATTTATGCCACAGGAAAACCAATCTCATAATTTTATATTTTTCAAATCACCACTCCTATTGTAAACCTTAGAGAGAGAAAGGTAAACAAGCCTCTACATGCAGAGTTTTATAGAATAGGAGGGTCTTTAAAAGAAACATTTACCAAACAAAAGAAACATTTACCAAACAATATTATCTATGCTTCAAAAGATTTTTACAAAGTTGAATTTATGGTTCATTGAGATATCTTACTGTTTAGTACAGACTCAACATTTCTGAATGATTCCTATTTACCCTGAATATTAATAGACAGTAAAACTTCACTGTTAGAACTAGATAGATGGCATTCATCCCAATCAAATCAATCAGAATTCTTACAACAGTAGCAAATGTGTATTTGAGTTAGTCAATCTAGTAGTGAAATTTAGTTTTAATACCTCTGTAATGGCAGCAAATGTTTTCCCAATCAATATTGTAAGATAAGGTATCTGGTATTAAATTTAAGGGGGTTACTGATATGCTCAAATACATGACGTCGGGTGTTTTTGAACTGGCTGCTATGGGCCTTTTAAGAATTTTCCTCATTCCCAACCAAAAACTAAAGAGGACGTTTGGACATGAACTTCTTCTTATAACTGGATTAAATCACCCCAACGTGAACCATCATCACTAGAAGAAATGTCAGTAATATAAAATATACCAACACTGAGAAAAGAATACATATCTACAGTCTTACCTACATAATAAGCAATGGAAATGGATCTACTCAAAGGTTTGATGTGGCATGTATTTAGAATCCAAAGAACTGAAAGAATCTGTACATCATCGTCACTCACATGTAGCATTAAGCTCTAGATACCTATCACCATACATGATACCCCTTAAGGGAAGGAGTATAGACAAGCCATCCAAAACAAGTAAATTAAAAAATGGTCAATAAGTGCAACTCAATTTTCTTTCATTTAAATTACATTTTAAACAATACTCAATGCCCCCCACCCAAAAATCTATACTGTATATTTATACATTTATATATATAGTCTTAGACTATAAGGGTGAACATGCTTTATAAAAGTCAATGAGAAATCTCTGCAGCTTAAGGAGACACCCAACTCTTTTTTGCTCACTTCTACCTAGCCATGGCAGCTACAGTTCTGCAAGCTATAGTTTTGAAGGCTTAAAGCCAGAATCAGAATTAGATGCCAGGTCAGATGTTAGGTAAGAGGTAGCCTCTTACTTCTCCTTCCCCTAAGAAATCAGACAAGAGGAAGGGGAGGAGCTAGGGAGAAGGCTTTGAAGATTAAGCAGGAGTGCTTTTAGGGGGCTGGCAGTTAGGAGAGGGATAGGAAGAGCTCACATGGTGAGGCTCACTCCCCCTCCTCTTTGATGCGCTGTTGCTTATTGCGGCGAGCATCCATGTCAAAGTTGAAGTCATTCCACTCATCTCGGGGTGGGAAAGAGATGGTCTGGCGGAGGGTGAATCGCACAGCATCAATAACACGCTCACCCCGGGTCTCACTGGAGCCCACACTGACTGTAGAGGCACTGCTTGGGGTCCGCAGGAGATGAGAAGGGGAGGAGAATTCGTGGAGCTGCCGGTGGTCCAGGATGCCCTTCCAGATCGCATGTCGAAATTGCTCAGGGATTTTCAGACTTGCCAGATCCTGTGCAACAGGGGAAGGTGTCATGGAGAATGAAAACAGGGAGAAAAACGGACATTTAGTCCACAGCATCCTATCATTCCCTGATGCTCTGGTTTAATTGATCTGAATCTATTGATCCACAAATTAGAAAATAAAATTAGTTCTCTGAGTCTTCAACTCTATGGAACTAAGCACAAAGGCACAGCCTTGAGGTGTCTTTCCTGCCTGTGTAGAACACTTCACTTAGTCTCTACTGGCCTCAGTTTCTTCATTGGTAAAATTGGGATAATAGCTAGATGAGAGGGCAAAAATCCCAAATAGAAACATGAGGTACCTACTTATGCTTGAATTTACCTGGCTAGTCACTAGAAGAAAGGTATTAATGGAATGTCACCACCACTTGGTTGAGGAGATGAGAAGAAAAGATTGAGTACTTTCTATGTGCCAGGCCCTGAATTATTTTATATTCATGATATCATTTAATCCCCAGATTAGTGGTAAACATTATTAGACCTGTTTTATAGATAGAACAACTGAAGGCCAGAGAGGTTGACAAGTTTAAAGTCACATAACTAAGTGAAAAAATTAGGGACTTAGGGCATCCTCAGAACCTGAAACGGCACTTTTATCTAAAAGGTCTCTTGGTGTTTGAATAAAGCAAGGTATCAAAATGCAGAGCAACTGTGTCTATGTTCTGTGAATGGGTGCAGAAGGCATTGCAAATAGGGTCAACCTTAACTGACTGTGGTGATATCACTTACATTTATCTGCGTTAGCTCTTCTTTAGATTGTTTCAGTGATAGCTCATATTTTCACAGGGCAGAATGGTAGGTAAACAGCACATTGTGCTTGGAGTGAGAAAACTGTGGCAGAGGTTTTGATGGTCACTGACTGGCTATAGAACTTCAGCAAGTCACTTATTCTCTACCAGCCTCAGTTTCTTCTTTGGTAAAATGAGATACAATTGCTTTATAGGGCAAAAGATGCTATAGACTCATAGGTAAATACAGCTATGAAAGTATTTTATAAATTACAACACACTCTATAAATATTAACCATTTGTATTATTATTATGTTGTATTGTTACCTCATTTTTGCATGTTATGGGGATACTAATGAAGTTCCCCAAATTTAGGTCACATTCCTTTTCCAGGAAGTGATGATGCCCAATAACTTAGACTGGCTCTAAGATAAAAGCTGAGAAAAGGGTGTCTCTTTCTAGAAATACGCAGGAAGAAGCTGAGGTGAGGAGGAGAAAATTGCACAGCTTCCCAACATTTCTCAATTTGGAAGTTTGTAGTCTGGTGTCATATTTTCCTATGGTGTGAATTTTCAGGCCATTAGAGGTATTCCTAATCTCTTACTGTAGCAGAAGAATACCTTATAAAGAAGGTAATCCACAAAAAAATAAGCATAGCTTTTTTTATTATTTTTTGAGACGGAGTCTTGCACTTTCACCCAGGCTGGAGTGCAGTGGCGTGATCTCGGCTCACTGCAAACTCCGCCTCCCAAGTTCACGCCATTTTCCTGCCTCGGCCTCCTGAGTAGCTGGGACTACAGAGGTGCACCACCACACCTGGCTAATTTTTTGTATTTTTAGTAGAGACAGGGTTTCACCGTGTTAGCCAGGATGGTCTCGGTCTCCTGACCTCGTGATCCGCCTGCCTCGGCCTCCCAAAGTGCTGGGATTACAGGTGTGAGCCACCATGCCCGGCCTAAATAAGCATAGCTTTTTATGTTTCTTGGATTCTTTATACTTTTGAGGCTCTCAGTAAATGCAAAGCTCTTTGTAAATTAGACTCTGTTCATTGTCATGATGCCCTGGATGGATTTTAACTAATGACTGACAGGTGAGAAAGCTGTGGCCCACAGATTGGCATAGGACTTAGTCAACATCAGCAGAAATGAACTTATAAAGGGTATCTGCAGATCCTAATGATCAAGGGAACATCCTGACACATTCCCCAGTGGAAATAAGTGAGCAAGTGGAAAGTATAACTTTAAAAATATAGGGAAGAGGAAGATTCTCTGTTCCAAAATGTAGGAATCTACTACAGGAGACTCTCTCAAATATAGGGCAACTCTGTTCTCTTCAGTGGACGGAAGTGACTGTAAAGTTATCAGAATAATACTGGAACTTACTCTTAAAGCTTTCCCTGCAGTTTTTGCTTATAACTTATTCTATCAGGGAGCAGCAGCCAGGAGTGATTTATGGGGTGAAGAGGGGTGGGCATAGGGGCAGTACACTATGTACACGTCACCTCATGGTGGGGGCATTCTTATGCTGCAGGGGCATCTCTAGCATCGGTGCTCAAGGAGGGGGAAAAAAGAGTCCCCAACAATAGAAGTAGCAGCAGAGGCAGAGACTGTCTTCTTCCCGCAGTCCAAAGTACCCTCTGGAAGCTAGAAGAGAGGCTAGTGAACCCCAAAGAGAGCAGCATGAAGAGCGCGGCCTAAGAGACAAATCAGATTGCCATAAACCAGAGCAACACTAGCTCCCGTGTGAGCAGGAGTTCAAAAAGTGGAGTAGGAAGCAAGAAAAAGTCCCCTCTCGCCCAGCTTGTTTCAAAGACAAATCAAAGGATATGAAAGCCAGAAAGGAGTAATTTGAACCCAATATTTTATTAACTGAGGCCCAGAGAGGCAAAGTGATAACCCCAAGTTCTCATTGCTACTAAAAAGGGTGATTGGGATTTGACCCCATAGCCATTGATAATGCCCAATGATTAGAAATGGCTGGGCTCTATTAGGATGAAACTGAAAATTAATAAAGGAACATATAGTTTTAATTGAGAGGAACGGCTGAATCTCCCTTAAGGTACTAATTTAAAGAAAGGCAGAAAAGGCCAGTTAATAAAGTTAAAGACTGTAAGCTTACACGTTTGTGTTCTATTCCTAGTTTTGTTTTAAATAGTCATGGCAAATGACTACTGTGTCATCTCTCCATGTTTTTAAGAGAATAGCACCACCGGTGCCCTGCTATCCTTTCTGGGAACTGATACAGATTAATGAGCACACTCAAAAAGTTGTATTAATTCTTTAGAAATTATGAATGTTTTGATTGCGGGAATAGCTCCTCTTTCCCACCTTGAGAATAGTGTAAGTGCAATAGACAATTGTTGACTGATAAGACAAGCTAAGGAAGATTGATTGCTAAGCTTCTAATATGTATAGGTTGAGGCCTGGGAATCTTTCTAACATAGTTATGGGTTCTATCAAAATGGATAATTGGGGGCATGACAAAAACAAATTTTTAAACTATCAGGGATTGAACTACAAGGCGGTTGTCATCAGAGGAAAGAAATGAAGAAATAAAATTTGAGAAAAGTCTAACAGTTACTTACATCCATGGAGTAATGCTCAATCTGATAGATGGTGGTCAGCCCCTGGGTCGTGAAATAGTCCAGACATGATGAACAGCCCAACCTCGCTAAGAAACTGCAGAGGGAGGAGGGAAGAGGAAGGAGGAAACAGAAAAAGAAAGTTCACCCCAACTGCATTGGCGAGATAAGGGAAAACCCAATATATTTTGCCCTTGGATGCCCCACATCAGAGATGAGGATTGGGTAATATATATGTGGGCCTTAAGTCTGAGGTCTGGAGATTACTGGTGACATGAAGTTTAGGTCTACAGAAATTAAAATCAACTATAAGGATTCCTGCAGATCAGCGATTATCATATGGTGATCTGTGGAATTCTAGGGTTCTGTGTAAGTGTCCTAGGAACCATTGCAAAGGGTGAAAGGGAAGTCCAGTGTTCAGGTTCCTAGCTTTCTTGCTGCTTGGCTCTACACTTCAAAAAGAACATCTCTACTTTATTTGTTTTGTATCTGGGCTTTGTGAGAATGGCTCATGTGGTTAAGAAAAAAATTGTAGGCCTCTACTCCATTAAGTCATTCATGCCTTTTGATTTATGTCCTTCTCAGGATACAGATCCCCTTCCTTTTGGTGCTGGTCTGAGACTGATGATGATGCCACCATCATTACAGAACAGACCCTGGGTGGAAAAGGCCACGCACTTTGCCATCCCTGTGATTGACGTAGCAGGAAAATCAACACAAATCGTTCCAGTAGCCAAATGAAACAATCATTCTGCACATGAAGCAGAAGAAGAAGATATACACTAGGCAAGAAATCTGGGAACCTACTCTTGCCTCTGTGGGAAGCAAATCTTTCAGGCTTCATGCATTTCTTTCTTCTGCTTATCTCAACTCCCCTTTTCTGGAGTGTGCCCATTTCCCATAGGCAGAGTAGTAAAGGCCATCAGTTTTTGAAAGTCCCTGTCATTTTGGATAACATTAAAACTTTTTATGGACATCCAACTCCAAAATAATGGTCCCATGGTGGCTGAGAGCTATAAGGATTAGAGAGAGAGGAAAAGGAGCGAGATAGCAAGTTTATTGCCCTTTTGGAAACCCAGCCCTGAGCACCAACTTGAGGGCCGCAATTGACAATGTAAAAATGTGAGAGAGGAGGAAGGGAGTAAGTGAAGGCGAGGGAAACAGACATGAAAACAATATGCCTATCAACAGACACTTTCCCTTGTTTCCATGCTGGTTATAGTAGTTTTCCTTGATAAAACATTGTTGACCACTCCACAGATCAGAGATAATAGTGACTGAACTCCAACCACAGGACTGCTGTCTTCCCTTCCAACTGTTTTATGGACTATAACAGTATCCGCCCTCCACCATCCCGGGATGCTTAGGGCAGGCCCCCAGGGGCACATGCTGTGGACTCACCTGACAATGCTGCAATCTGTGGGATACGGAGGTGGGGGTGTGCAGTGGGAGGTGGATGGCATGGAGAGTGGGGGAGGGAGTGCCTGGGTGGGGCTGAGTCCATTCATGTCTCCAGCCATTGGCATGTGGGTGCCCATCATGGGAACTGAACAGAAGCAGGAGGAACAAAAAGGGTTACTGCCATCATCATGTACCAGCATCCCAGTGGTCCATCTTGTCTGGTTAAATTTTATCAAGGGCCTAAACTACCAGCCTTCCTTTTTAATCTTCGCTCTCACTACACCCCTTCAAACAGCCTACATCTAGTCAAACAGAACGGTCAGACTCCAAACTAATTAGGCACCTCTTGACTTTTGTACCTTGTCCGAGAACAATCTCTTTCCTCCCCTTTCTCTGCTTCTAATTCTCTAATTGCTAATTGCTCTTAATGTTAACATATTCTTCCTTGTATTTGCCTTCGAGGGTGATATTTCTGTCTCCCTCACTAACCTGTGCAAGCACAGAGATTAGATCTTATAGGTGTCTAGATCCCTACAGTCCCTAGCACAGTGCCTGGCACAGAGTAGGTGCTCAGTAAACTTAGGGTAAGTGGATAAATGCACAAATCTGTGAATGAAAGAGTGACCCTTGGAACATTTATTTGGGAATAGGGAGACTGACTTCAATATTTAGAAGGACTCACGTGCCTAATAAATGATGATACAATTAAATATTCTATTACTTATGGTCCATTTTCAGGGTTGTATACAGGAACACCACCAATACTTACTGATATTTTACTAAACAATTAAGTGTAAACACTCACTGATAGAGAAAAAAAGTTTAATATCAATATTTATAAAATGAATTTTGCCTTCATGTCAAAAAGAACAAAATAATTTACTAAAAGATTAATGTAATTTGTTTCTACTTTAGTGAGTAGCAGTATGCCTAGAAAAGGTCTTTGCCACTAACTAGCTAACTAAAGAGCATACCCTATCACATCTCAATCTGTTTCCCTTCTGAAATAATTGTAAAGTACAAATAAGAAAAAAAGTAGGCAAACTGTAAGTTATACAAATGTGAACCATCATCACTATTATCACAATTTTGTCATACCAAGAAGGAACTTGAGGACTCTAAGATGTCACAAGAAATAAAATAAAGTTGAAAATAAATGGTTTCTACTCTTTTTATGTCAAAGTAGGCCTGTCAAGGGGTCAGGTTTTAAGCCTTATGATGAGTTTATCATTAGTGAGAGAGTGATCTCACTCTAAAGTCTACGTTTGCCATAACAGGCAACCATTGCAAACACACACACCTCTATCTCATTAAAATATGAATGTGTGGCCAGGCGCGGTGGCTCACGCCTGTAATCCCAGCACTTTGGGAGGCTGAGGTGGGTGGATCACCTGAGGTCAGGAGTTCGCGACCAGTCTGGCCAACATGGTGAAAACCCACCTCTACTAAAAATACAAAAAATTAGCCGGGCGTGGTGGTGCACGCCTGTAATCCCAGCTATTCGGGAGGCTGAGGCAGGAGAATCACTTGAACCTGGGAGGCAGAGATTACAGTGAGCCGAGATTGCGCCATTGCACTCCAGCCTGGGCAACAAGAGCGAAACTCTGTCTAAAAAAAAAAAAAAAAAACCAAAACAATGAATGTGTGCCATTAGACCACAGAAAGTCATAATCCTAGCCTCCCCTGATTTCTTTCAGAAGAGACAACACTGAAATGCTCGTTTAGAGGTTTGATCAAAATAATTAGGATTTCAAAAGACAAGCTTGAGGGTACTGTTTTTTAGGTAGTAAGGATTATATGATACCCATGCAATGTTCAGTCTTCTGTATCCCCGAGGGTGTTATACAATCTTTTGCATTTTTACCACGACTTTTTTTTCCTTCAAGTTTGTGTATCCACTTTGCTAGATTTAGTCCTAGTGGAGAAGATAATTATATTTATAGTAAAGCTATATGCCAGTCATCATCCACTTGGAGGCCCAATTCTTACAGTGCCTTTTTCATTTGTACTTAGCTGATATGAGGAATGTGTGTGAGAAGAAATAAAAGGCAGGTTCCTTCGTAGATCAGTTCCTTACTGACTGTGTCTGGGATAGAATAGGTGAGTTTAAAAGGCCAGGATTATAGAGTAACAGACATAAAATGTTAAGTATATATAGTGACAATTTTATGGATAGAAAATTAAGTATTCGAGAAGTAACTTCTTTGTAATTAGAGGTATTTTTTTCATAGAGTCCAGACGATAATCTACTTTTCTAGATTTTTTTTTTTTTTTTTGAGACTGAGTCTCACTCTGTCACCCAGGCTGGAGTGCAGCAGTGTGATCTCACCTTACTGCAACCTCTGCCTCCCGGGTTCAAGTGATTTTCATGCCTCAGCCTCCTGAGTAGCTGGGATTACAGGCATGCACCACCAGGCTCAGCTAACTTTTGTATTTTTAATAGAGACGGGGTTTCACCATGTTGGCCAGGTTGGTCTCGAACTCCTGACCTCAAGTGATCCTCCCGCCTCGGCCTCCCAAAGTGCTAGGATTGCAGTCGTGAGCCACCATGCCCGGCCTATTTCTCTAGATTTTAAGTTCACTGCAACATGCTACTTTATGCATGTTGCATTTGTTTCCTTTTGACTATTTCAAAGGCTGCAGGTGGTGAGTCTCCATCCAGGATAGCAGCAAGTAGACTGTTCTTTTCACAGAAATCCTTATCCCTACACTAAAGAAACATCCGTCCCTATCTCTACCAGTAGTATATTTTGCAATGAATGATAAACCTCAAAAGTGAAAGGTTCAGTCAGAAACCCAAGCCACTCCACTTTGATCTGATCTGTCCCACTGTGTCTCTCATTTAGCTTAAGAACATGCCTTCCCCATCACAGAGTCTTGTCCTAAGCTAGCCTGTTCATCCTTCAGCCACAGCTAAAAGGAGATGCTCTTACTGTTGGCTCCCATGCCATCAGGAATGGTTGTAGGAGTGAGGGCGTTGCGCTGCTGAGGGTTGATAAGCTGGCTCACAGAAGGCAGCTTGTTCATGCTGTTCATTTTGTTCAGAGGTGGGGAGCTGTTACCATATGAAGATGGAGACTGTATTGAGGTCCTAGGAAGACAAACATGGAAATAATGGTGAGCAAGGGACACTGAAGAGTGGGGACTATTGATTTTCAACAGGTCTCTGTTTAAAACATGGCCTCAAACCAAACATTTGAAAACATTCTTCTAGGATTAATGGTAAGAAGTTAATTTTGTTTCCATCTGAGAATATTTCCTGAATAGGGAGAAACTGACTGCGAGGCTATCATCAAATCATATTTTTCCTGAATGTGCAGAGTGCAAGGTTTAGTATTTCCTTTGAGAAAGAGAAAATTCTTGCCTCCTCTTTTCCCTTCAGTTGTTTTCTCCATTCCCTTCTCCTCTTTTCCCTTCAACTCAAATGAGTTTGAAAAGCAGTTAGGGAAAAGAATTGAGCAAAGACTTAAAGGCTGACGAAAAACATGGATATCCCACCCTCAAACTGCAGCTAAGGCATTCCATTTGTAGCTTTCTGTATATTCCATTTGGGATATGCAGAAAATGACTACAAACCCAATCAAACTGGGCATTTGGCAGCTCATCTTGCTGTCATGCAGAGGCCCCTACTTGGAAACATGCATTTTCAATAGAGATGTTCATGATGTATGAGAGAACCTACTGGAATGTCAAAAGCATTTCTACACAGGAGAACGCTGAAGCCCAAATAACTATTCTATTGACTTTCCAAAAGTCTCCTGGGAGAAATGAAAAAAACAAAGCAACAGAAAAACCCAATAGTTTTCCATTCAGCATGATCTTCAATTTGGAAAGTTACCAGAACTCATTTGTCATATTATATCTAACAGATAATATTCCCAACTCAACTGTCATTCCTGATGTTTTATCTTAATATAAAAACTAGTGATGTGTACTACAATGAGAGTCACAAAGTCAGAGATGAAGCCTTCCTCCGTCATCTGTTAGGATGCTATAGATGCCCATGCGAGCTACTTAACATCCTGGCCTTTGTTTTCTCACAAGAAAACTATATAAACTACATACATTTACACTTGCTGCATGAGTCAGATGTTCAAGTTAATAAAACTTAAGGCATGGTCCCCATCTTTGAGACACTCATAGAGTAGTGGAGGCAATGGATATAATAATCCATCCTACCTTATACGGCTATGATGAGAACTGAAAAAGAGAAGATGAGGAAGAAATGTACAGACTATGCAGCATCTACACTGAATTACTGTGACCACAGAATGAAGACTGGACTTTAAGCAAGTGTCTAGTCTGTTATGGGAAAACTCCCCTTTAACAATTCTCAAACAAAGCGAATTATGTTGTTCCTGTTTACCTTTTCCCTGTCACAGGCATATTTACATTAGAGGGGAGACAAATTTTTTCTTTGAGTTTTATCTGCATATATATGTATAATTCAAATTTTGGAGGCTCTGTAAATGGACCCAGGTTCCAAGCCTATATGGCATAATATTTGAAAAAAATCATTTTAAAAATGGCCCTAGCACTTAGGTGCTGCAATCGTAGGGATGGTCTTCGAAGCTGCCACTCTGCATTCTCTCCATAATTACATGAAAATAAGGAAGGCTCCATTCCATGTCAATGGAGAGCCACAGCTAGATGAATGCAAACAATATGCTGTATTTTAATGTGTATAAATTATCATGTCAATTAATGTAAATTAACAATTCAGGTGTATTTTACAATCACTGCCTTTAAGGTAGGAGGGCATTGACTTTTCTCTTTAGCCCTTATCAAATACTCACAATTATAGATCCACATTGTATATATATACTGGTGTTGATACAATAAATCCTCCCAACTATAAAACATTTCAGGTTACCGAACTCTTCTTTGTACATTTTCTGAATGATTGTCACACCATCCTTGTGGAGCAGGTCATGGTATAGCAGGGCAGAGATGGACAGAAATTACTATTCCAAATATACATATGGGTAAATATAAGGTTCTAAGAAAAAACATATGCCCAAGATCACATGTTGCTAAATGGATGCACTGAGGGCAGAACTAGGTCTCCTGGCACCTATTGTTTTTTCTAGGTTATGGGGACAAGAAATAGATGAAGTAGTAAGAGAAATGTAGGAGACCAAGATGGAAGAGGGGTAAAGGAGGTAACTCCAGCTACTACCAAGCACTTCTGAATCCACTCCGTCCCTGTGGGGGAACCTTTTCAAAGAGTCAGCACATATGGCTGCACTTAGGCTCATCCATTAGTCCACATCAGAGTATAGGAAAGCTTGGGGCAAGGCAGTAAGGAGATTCTCTGCCAGCTGATGTTTCTTCAATTCTCTTTGCTCACTGAAAAGTACCTAAGATTCCAGGTAGCCCATATTCCTGATGCAGTTGGTCCTCTGTAACCTGAGGAGACCTCTCTATCTGTCCCTCCTCAAACCAGTCAAATGTACAGCAAGAGCTAATAGAAAGCAGTGCTTGAATCATTAATAGCCACAATTAGAAAAATAAAAATACATTTAAAAGTTTTGCTTTTTTTTTTTTCTGGACGCTCAGAGTAAATTCCTTCTTACAATTCCTGTTACAACCTCCTGCTTTCTTTAGCTTATGGTTATTATTTTTGACTATTTTATTAGTTCATTTACCATTTTTCATCATAAGCCACTAATTTGAGGAGGGTAGGTCAGAAACCACAGATGAAGAAAGAAGGAACATGGATTCTAAGTCAATCAAAACATCTAACACAAACTTAGTGACGCAGGATGTTGTACAAGTTTCTTGAGTCTCATTTTCTTAACCTGTAGCCTAGATATTGTACCTACTCTAGAAGATTTCTATTAAGAATGAGATCATGTAACAGCCCTGGACAGGGTCCAGTGATTTGTAGGTGCTCAGGAAACATCAGCTTCTTAGCTTCTTTCACTGTTTCCCTCCAGCCTCAAATATTTAACACTCTGATATGTGGCCCATGGCATAGAAGATAACTATGTAAGAATTAATAGGAGGAAGTGGCCAGAGGTGAGTTGGATTCTTAATTGAACATACCCAGAAATGAGGGTGAACAGTTGAATGGGGTTAACAGTCAGGAAAGGTCAGAAATTCGGAATGCCTTCCCTTTAATATGAAAGTGAGTTTTAAAGCCACACGGAAGGGAAGCAAGGTAGTCTGTCTATTATTAATTTCAAAATGACTGAACTAGAAGAAGCATTCTGAAAACTACATACGGTGAAAAAGGAAGCAAGGCTGAATAAACTCAGCCAATTTGAAAGCCTTGAAGAACAACCTTTTTTAAAAAAAATTACAAATTTAATACAATAGTTCTTAAGTGAAATATTCCAAAAATTTCTGGAGAAACTAAAGAGAAGGAAAATGTGTTCAGAAGAATAACAGGACCTGTACCATTCTGGTTTTCTTGCCTACACTCTCCTCTCCTATCCAAAACCCAAAAAAGTAAGAATCCAGCTGTCTGCAGAAAAAAATCGTAAGGTGTATACCTCAGGTTGTTTTCTCTAGAGCCTCACTAGATTTTTCTAAGAATTCAGTGTAACAGAGATGTAGAAAATCATATTTCACGTATTTCCAGCTTTGAAGAAAAATCCTGGTGGAGCCAAGTCCCAGTTCTTAACTTTAACAATATAAGCTTCTGCACAGTTTCCGAAGAATAAAATTCAAAATTGAAAAGCGAGAAGTGGTTTTAGGACATATAGGACTTCAAATCAGGTTTTCTGGTTCCAACCCTAGTGACTATCTATGTGGTAGAATATCAAAATTCCTGCGCAGACACAAGTTACACTATCTACCTCCTAGATGTCTAGAATTCCACTAGATTCCTTCTTTTGGCTAAAATCTTCCACTGCTCATTAAAAAGCAACCCTCTAGTAGGATTTGGTGATAGCTTAGGCCAAATCTATTTCAACAAACCATTTCTGCAGTAAAGAATTTGGGAGCAGAAAGGGATACTGAGGGCGGAGCAGAGCATCCTTGTTATGAGAAAGGTCAGGAAAAAAAAAAAAAAAAGGGAAAACATGGACCATCAGAAAAAGAATCATATCTTCTCTCAATTTTACCCAGTACTGCCTACCTGTGACCTTTCTCTCTAGCCGGGTTATCTGGCTACTAAAGACAGTGCAGCATTTATTCTCTAGATGGGAAAACTGTAATTTTCTAATATTTTCCATCATTTCAAATATGTGCATTTATATACAAGTCACTATAAACACATTAAAAACTTACTTAAAAAAGGCTGAAAGAAAAGAAAAACCCTTCTGAAAGAAAAGCAAATATCAAAAAACGAAACATACTCACCAATCCTTTAAGGGCTTTGTGAATCAAAGTTATTAGACCAATTGAAAAACACCTTGCAAATATAACAGGAGCATCTGGTTTTACTAATATACTTTTATCTCAAATATAAAGATTTTTTTTTCTGAAATATTTATCTAAAATACTAATTTTTTTTTTTTGGTTAGAACTTCTTATGAAGCTTTTAAAAGCAATTATTCAGGGCTCAAAACATAAGTAAAAAAAAAAATTGGACAATAGGTTCCACTGTTGATTTCTGGCCAAATATTTGCTAATGTCTATGCCACAGAAGCCATGTTATTTAAAACATTTGGATTTGATTGAAATTCACTTTAGTAAATTTGGCGAATTAACATACAACTAGAGGTTTGTCAGGAATGTCAATAAATGATTCTATGGTGTCTGGCTTCCTAGGACAAACTTTAAAACTCATAGAGCTAAAGTATTTTTTTAAGTTAGTTTAGGCATTTTAGTTCCTTGTTACGATTGATGACCTTGATACAGAGTATCTTAAATAAAAATACCAAATACTGACAGAAGAAATGTACGTAGGAACAAAGTGATGATTCTATTATTATTCTTGTTCCTTAGACCTACACATGCTACTTCAAGCACTTACATGAGAATATTCTAGTATTTAGTGGAAAAAAAGTGAGAGAGACAGAAACAAAAAAACTGCAAGATAAACCAAGATGCAAAAGTTTATTGAAAATTAAAATCACACATCCACAAAAGCAACAGCCTCAATAACAAGAAATCATTGTCTTGGTGACAGAAAATACAGTGCTGGTGACTGGGTGTGGGAAGATGGAGGGGAGGAACATTTTTAAAGTCTTTATGCTATTATCTTAAAATATGTTTTTAAAATGGAAAGAAACAGAGATTCTCTAAACTTTTGAGTAAAAAAAAGAAAAGTAGTCTACCCTTTCAATCTTTAATTTCCAGTCCAGGAGTGCTGATTTTAACACGTCTGCTTGGATCTCACTTACTCAAAACGTAAGTCTCCTGGCTAAATGCACTGAACAGTATCAGTAATATGGCTGGTTTTATGGTAGGTAGGCTTGAGGGATAGAAGCTCTAATTAAGCAAATTAATCACAGATTTTGTGAGAGGGCTTCAAATTCTATTTTGAGCTTTGAATAATGGTAAACAACTACGTAAGGGCAATATTACTGGGGTGGATTTGTCTTTCTATTAAAAGCACAAAATGAGTTCACCTGCTATGGGGGCCAAACAACAGTTTTTTTGTAGTAGGTCTTCCAGGGTTTCATGTACAAGAAAAACTTTAGCATAACAGATGCCAACATACAGTGGCAGAGGCAGGTACACAGCATTAAGAAATGTTCTACCTACACATGAGGGGAGGACACAAATAATGCAAGTTCTCACAAAGAACTCTCCACCCACAAAGTTGATTACTTTTGGTAATGATCACCTCGCTGCCCAGCAGTACACTTGACACCTTCGTTTCTTACTACTTGCAATATTATTACATGACCAGCATTAAAAGGGTCTGACTGAGTCTCTCAGTCACCTACAACTTACTTATGCACAGACAATAACAACTTTTTTCTCCTTTTCTTAAAAAGACATCTTAAGTTTGAGACCTGCTCAAAAGCTTCCCTGTGAATTTTAGAAAAACAACAGAAGAAGACAGAAAAGGGTTCCAATAAACATCTTAATGCCCCTTTCCCCACCTGACCCCTCCCTCCCAGGAAACAACAGAAAGCTCACAGACAAACACAGTGGTTCCTCACCCACCAATGGCCGGTCTAAGGATACAAAATCTGCAGAAAACATCCTTTCTTGTAAAGGTTTGAGTCCCTTCAAAAGATTCTCTCACTAGTGGCTTTGTGCCTTTGAGCAGTTGGGTCTCTGAGCCAAAGTGTCTTCAAGTCCTGTTTATGAGGGCTAGATACACACGCACACACATACACACACACACACTCACATATACACATGGAAATACAACACACACACTTAAAATATAGAGATAGGGCTCTATGGGTACACTGATCGGTTTGGGGGCTTGGAATGTCTAAAGAAGACGTCAGATTGTTTTGGAGTTTCTCTCCGGGGCTCCACAAGCTCATTCCTGAAGCAGGCTGAAAGGAGACTGCAGAGAGGAACCAGAGAAAAGAAAAAATGAAGGCCTAGGACTTCATCTATTCAAATCAATTGAATTCAGAAACACACTCCTTATACCTTCATGATCATAGTATAGACAGAATAGAGTGCCTGAAAAGCTATTTTTGTTCTTCCAATTTATCTTCTTTTACAATTACTGAGACTTCTCAAGATTTTTATGAGGAAGAAATGGGATAAGGCTATAGTAGTTAACCAGAAATAAACATCAGAATCACTTGTGAAACTTATAAAAATGCATTTTCCTGGCTCCCTTCCAACACAAGCTGGCATCCAGGAAAACATATTTTTAATAAGTTACACAAGGCGATTCAGTCGAGGACCACTGAGATAAGGTAGATCAAGGTATTTAACACAGTGCTTCGCATACGGTTTACTGGACTCAATTAAAAAAAAGGAATGAAGAAGAAGAAACTTGAATCTTTTGTAAAATGTCATCTGGTCAATTATTATCCCTCATTACAGTTCTTGTCTAGCCTAAGTGTGAGGTATAGAGAAATATGATATTATCAGAATGGGGCCTGTGGCATCAGGCATTTACAAAGAACTGTTTAATGAGTATTTTGGATATTCCCAGATTGAGATGGATAAATACCTTAATCCTTTGAGTAAAAAACTCGGCCTATAAATGCATATATCAAACCCAAGAAAGCAATTTTTTGCATAATTAAGAAATTATTTACACCACGAGGATGCCAGAAATAAACCCTTTTATTTTGCTGAAAGTTGGGCAATCTCATGAACTGTTTGGAAATTGTTTCCCAGATTGGCTTCTTGAATCACATTTGGCTATGCCTTTCAAAGGAACAAAGTCATTTTTATTTGCTTAATGCTAGGATTCAGTAAACCATGTCACCGGCAAGAATTGATATCATCTTAACAGAATATGCCCGAATAAAAATGGATGGGGAAGCAATGTACAGCTAACTAAAGACCTCTAAGACCTAGGACTGAGCCTGATTCTGCAATGAGGTGAGAGAAGTTACAAAAGTAATTTAATCTATCTGAGTTTAATTAATCATTGAGTTTTTTCTTCATTACCAATTCAGAGATAATAAATCTCTGCCCTGAAAACTTCATAACTATGAAATTCAAAAGTAAACTGTAGGCTGGGCGCGGTGGCTCACACCTGTAATCCCAGCACTGTGGGAGGCCAAGGTCAGGGGGATCACAAGGTCAGGGGTTTGAGACCAGCCTGGCCAACATGGTGAAACCCCGTCTCTATGGTTTTTCTTCATTACCAATTCAGAGATAATAAATCTCTGCCCTGAAAACTTCATAACTATGAAATTCAAAAGTAAACTGTAGGCTGGGCGCGGTGGCTCACACCTGTAATCCCAGCACTGTGGGAGGCCAAGGTCGGGGGGATCACAACGTCAGGGGTTTGAGACCAGCCTGGCCAACATGGTGAAATCCCGTCTCTACTAAAAAAAAAAAAAAAGAAAAAAAAAATTATATATATATATCAAAATACAAAAATTAGCCGGGCATGGTGGCAGGCATCTGTAATCCCAGCTACGCAGGAGGCTGAGGCAGGAGAGTTGTTCGAACCCAGGAGGCAAATGTTTCAGTGAGCCGAGATCATGCCACTGCACTCTAGCCTGGGTGACAGAGCAAGACTCTGTCTCAAAAAAAAAAAAAAAAAAAAAGGAAACTGTAAAAGCTTGTGTAGTTCCATAATAACTATAAGGGTGAATCATATGAAATTATCAATATTCATCTCTTTTTAACCTATAAAGCTGGCAATTTCAGATATTCTGGAAACGTGGAGGATTTCTCTGTCTAACCTAGAAATACGGTGTTGACATTTTCTATCAGTTTGGAGACCGTGTACCTTTCTCTTTTCTACATTGATAATACTGAAAATACTGCCTGCTTCTCCCTCAGATACATGAATCTGAGAAAAAAATATCAATATTCTTGATGATAACCATCGCCAAACAAGTTTAAAGATACAGGACTTTAAAGTGAACCTACAAGAATAAATACCAAGTAACTAACAACAGAGTCAGAAAAACGTGCCAGGCACAGTGGGGTGTGCCTGTGGTCCACAGCTACTCGGGAGGCTGAGGCAGGGGATCGCTTGAGCCCAGAAGTCCAAGTCCAGCCTGGGCAAAATAGCTAGACCCCATCTCTAAAACAATCCTACAAAAAAGAGACAGAAAAATGGAAATAGATGTTTAAATTTTATAATTAACTACTTACTTAACTGCCAATGTAGCAGAACACAACATTACAAAGAGCTCTATGTTCTAAATCTGATTCTAGTCTTAGCTTTATTATAAACTGGCTATAAATTCACAGAGCCTCAGTTTATCCGGCTATGGTGTGAGGGGCTGGAACCATGGACTTGGAGATCCTGCTTTGTTCTAATAATCTCTGACTTGTGTTACTAATGAGCCACAATTGTCAAGTAATCATAAAAGAGAAGGAAACACTAAGGGCTCATCAGGATGTCACAGATCTGTTTTATCATTTAAATAAAATTCATCCTGTAGAAGCTCAAAAATAAATTTCCAGAGGAAAGTAAGAGCTAGCCTAAGCGAGACTGTAACAAAGTGATGTCAGCCTCGCTTTTATGTTGGAAGCCAAGAATAAGGGAAAACAACTAACAAATGAAAAAAGAAATAGTACTGATCTGAAGTACAGAAGTCAAAACGTTGCTAAATAGGTCTCAAGAGGCTTCTGCAAAGCTGTCTTAAGCGTTGATGTCCCTTGATAATAGGATGGCAAGAAGTCTAAAGATAGGGTCCGATTTGTCTTTCTATTAGATTCTGGCATCTAGAAACATAACTCTCTATATTTATTCCAATGTAAGCAAATCAACTAAAATCACATTTCTTCGTAATATAAAGCCTACTTGTATCTATAACAATTTGATTCACAGCAGCTCTGTAAAGTCTATCTTCGATAAAGCCTATGATCATGAAGGTAAACGCGAAGAAATTTTTTTAAAAAGAAAAACCATGCACAAATGAAAAGCAGGCAGAAGAAAACACATAGTGGGAACCTAATAGAAGTAATTAAAGTAAAAATATTGTAGTGCCACCTTACAGAAAGTACGTTCTCTTCCCACTAATTTTCCCTCTACTATAAAGAAAAATACAAAATTGATTCCTTACCAGCATAAAATTGGTACTATCTTTTTGGAAAGAAAATCACAGGCTATTATAGGTATTTTCCAAGCTGATTTATTCTTTTCAAATGATTGCCAGGAAATTAGATTTTTGTTTTTCTTTGTTTAGTCATTCATGCTCTTTCTTGGAGATTTGCATGAAAATAAGAGCTAAAAAAACTCAGCTGAAGAATTCAACTGAAGGATTTATATAGATGCATATCAATCACTGGAGACCCATGTATATATAATGTTACAAAGACATAATTAGACCAAATGTCTATATTTTGCAAAGATTTAATTTTGCAGTCTGTTAGATTTCCATGCACAAGTTATCACAGCTGTGAGATACCAACTCAAAAGCATGCATATAATACAGTTAAATGAACACACCAGGGAACTATGAAGCTACTAGTTCTTTACTATCTATCTGTGGCCACACATGCAAAAAAGTGTAAATATGTCCCTAAAATCTTGTGTGCTTTTAAAAATAACACAATATTAACATGTGTTTTCTTCTCTGGGGACACAGATTATTTTATGAAATATGAATAAAAAATTCCCTTTAGAGCAATGTGAGCCGGTCAGACAATAAGCACTGGATACTCATCGTATAGAAAAAGAGGGTTATGTATTTTCATGTATGCCATAAAAACAAATACATTTAGCATATGCCCCTGAACTGAATGATGTCAATCCTCCTGGCTTGTCAAGTTTCTAAAACAATGACATGAAACTATTCTTTTTCTCATATGATCCATGGAAACTGTTTAAAATTGTCCTATTAACTTGCACAATGCTGAGGATAAATTTCCAGAGCTTTCTTCAAACTCAGAGTGTTAAGGTTAGAAATTCACCATTAAATTGTAGACCATGGGAAGGCAGGAGCTACATCTTTCTCACCTCTATCCTTAATGCTTTCACATAGCACATCTTCAATAAGAATATGTGACGTGAATCAAGTCAACTATTCCAGCCTCATCTGACAATGAGGTTGTGTCGTTAACTACATTTTATATCTGGATGGGCATGCCTCACTTTCTCAGACAAAAAAGATATCTGTTCAAGGCTGGTGTTGCTTTTTATTAGATACTGAAATGCCACCTGAAAAACCACTTTAGGATTTCCTAAAATCTTTTAATAACTTTCTAGCTTGGAATATACATATTAACTTCCAAGTACACCTATCAAACAAAATTGGAGCCTCAAGAAGCAATGAAAGGAGATCCACGCATTTATCTATAAGACAGACTATCAAACTACAGCAAGCTAAGAATAGTTTATATATATATATATATATATATATATATATATATATATATATATGTATGTATTTTTTTTTCTTTTTCTTTTTGAGATGAAGTCTCTCTCTGTTGCCCAGGCTGGAGTGCAGTGGCACAATCTTGGCTCACTGCAACCTCTGCCTCCCAGGTTCAAGCGATTCTTCTGCCTCAGCCTCCCAAGTAGCTGGGACTACAGGTGCGTGCCACCTTGCCCAGCTAATTTTTGTATTTTTAGTAGCGACGGGGTTTCACCATATTGACCAGGCTCGTCTCGAGCTCCTGACCTCGTGATCCACCCACCTTGGCCTACCAAAGTGCTGGGATTACAGGCGTGAGCCACCGTGCCCGGCCTACAGTTTTTAATAGGGGGAGGAACAATCAAAAGGAGAATAATATTTCACGGCATGTGAAAATTATATGAAATTCAAATTTTAGGGTCCATAAAGTTCCATTTATGGAACAGCCACTCTCTTTCCTTTATGCATTATCTTCGGCTGTTTCTGTGCTACAACCACAGAGCTGAGTAGTTGCAAAAGACAATATAGACCCAGAAAATCTAAATATTTACTACCAGGACTTTACAAAAAGCAGCTTGCCAATTCCTGTACTACATATGAGACCTTTTCTTATTAACTGAAAAAAAAAAAAAAAAAAAGACAGGAAAGAGTACTGAAGAGCAACTAGTTCAGCATGATATATTACTTAGTGATGTTTTGGAGGTCATTTTGGTATAGTCAAACTTTCAGAGTGAACAGGAGGAAATTTGAGGGTATTTCTTAATACCATGACACACATATCTTAGGAAAGGTAGATATCCCTCCTGGGTCTATAAATGATGTTACAGGTCTCTGTTTCTTTGATCCTGGTTGTATGGTTTTATAAGAACTAAATCATTTTCCACTTAAATATGTTAGTATATATTTCCATCTGATATCCCAAAACATCCATATGATTAGCAATGGAAATTGTGTCTGCAACTCTGAGTTCTAATTCTCCTTCAGAATACACTGTGTGATTAAACTTTCTGCTCAGGCTTACAAATAAAACCATACCATTAAAATTTGCAAAACTTTTATGCTAAAAGTAAATGGTGAGATCCCTTCGGGCCAAAAAGGATCTTGGATGCTCAAATAGCTTAGAGTCCTTTGAACAGAGAATGTGCCTCTTTTCTCCCTGCCGTCTACTCCACTCTGTAGATAACAGGTGCTCAGAAAGTGTTTCTTTACTATCAGAGATACATTCATATTGATTAAAACATAATAACAAGGCCGGCACGGTGGCCCACACCTGTAATCCCAGCACTCTGGGAAGCCGAGGTGGGTGGATCACCTGAGTTCAGGAGTTCGCGACCAGCCTGGCTAACATGGTGAAACCCCATCTCTACTAAAAAATACAAAAAATCTGCCAGGCATGGTGGCAGGTGCCTCTAATCCCAGCTACTCGGGAGGCTGAGGCAGGAGAATCACTTGAACCCGCTAGGCAGAGGTTGCAGTGAGCCAAGAAAGTGCCACTGCACTCCTACCTGGGTGACAGAGCGAGACTCAATAATAATAATAATAATCATAAGCCCTCTTTATTACACTTTCCACAGCTGACTCCCTACAACAGCTAATAACATAGAAAATAACCATTTTTATTGTTCATTTGCATTTCTATTGTAAAATATAATCTTTGCCTCTGGAAGATAGTTTTTGACTTCTTTTTTGCCTAAAGTATGAAGTTGAAAGTCTACATTACTCAAGTGGACTCATAATGTATATATTTTACACTTATCTACAGAGTCTCTGACAATACTTCCAGGACACATATCATATTTTAATTAAACTAACAAGTGATTATTTTTAACCACAGAAAGGTAAATATAAACAAGGTCCTGATTGGTCAACCTCTCATCCTTTCATAAGAGCTATTCTATTCTAGTCAGTCATAAAATCACTTTAGGAAAGATCCAAGATTCAAGGCAAAGCTTAACATATAAATAGGTTATATGTATATGGTAATATACTTGAAAAATCTGGCTTGATTTATGCCAAAAATGTACTGCTGGAAGACAATCTAGAGCAGAGATTCTAAAATACGGCAACATGATGCTACCTTATCCTTCTGCACCCAGATATTTCCCCAATTATCATGCACTAGGTCTCAGAATTCTTCTCATTACAGCATTCAAACAAGTCACTTTATATTATAGTAAAGCCTATTTGCTATCCCTGGTCTACAGTGTTATTCCCAAAAGTGGATAGTGTGCATCCCAGGAGATTTATAAGACAATCCATTGGGATGAGAAAAGATTTCATGTTTTCAAATATACACATCACTACCAAATAGAGTGTGTACTTACTGTTAGTGTGTATGGACCAGGCATATAGAGACGAGAACTGTTAGTGTGAGTTTCTTTGTAATTCACCAGAAATGGTTTGTATTTAATTTCAGAACATAAGTGGAATTCTGAAGGGAAGGTTATAATAAGACACGTAAAAAAGGTTGCAACTGAAAGAGGGTTGCCATACCAGGTCATCTGAATCTATGACAATCTGCTATCTCCCATTATGTTCCACATTGCTCATCAATCACCCTATTGCTGATCCAAATAAAGTCACCCTCACTCATGCCTCCTAAAATGACACGTTGATACACTCACTGTTTCTGAAGTAAGTGCTGGTGCTGCTGCTGTTGCTGTTGCCTGTACGTTTCAATTGTGTGCTGAGGAAGGTACTGCATGAGTTCCAGGGACTCTTTGATCTTCAACAGCATTTCATAAGTCTCACGGCCCCTCACCTATGGAAGTGAGCAGAAGGAAAGAAGGAAACATGAAAAGCTGTAGAACTGTTAGAAGTGTGGTCAATCCTCATTATTTGAGGATTCCGTAATTGCAATTTGTTTATTTGCTAACGTTTATTTGTAACATGAAAATCAACACTCTTGGCCCTTTTGTGGTCTTTCAGACCCGGGCAGAGTGATGAAAAATTTGAGTCACCTGTGTGCATTCCCAGCTGGTTCGAACAAGGAGATGCTCTGTCATCTTGTAGCTCTTATACCGTAAACCCACGTTCTTTTCATGGTCTATTTAGCGCCACGTGTTTTACATTTTTGTGCTTTTCATTGGTGATTTTGTTATTTAAAAGACCCTCAAGGGCAGTGCGGAAGTGCTATCTAGTGTCCCTAAGTGAGAGAAGGTCGTTCCATGCCTTATGGAGAAAATATGTGTGTGTGTGTGTGTGTGTGTGTGTGTGTGTTAGAGAAACTTTATTCAGGCATGAGTTATAAGGCTAATTGGCCACGAGTCTGATGTTAATGAGTCAACGGTATATATTAAATAAAATGTCTCTTAACAGAAACACACAACAAACGAAGTGATATATTATTCTGTTGTGAAATGTATGTGACCAGAGGTGCATAGGAACCCAATCCTATATTTCTCTTAGGAGCGATGAGATGATTCATATCCACCAATACCATTTTTGCAACACCTTCATAAAACTAAACTACTACAAAAAATAAGAATAGATTGTAACTATGTTTGATAGGATAAAAGTTTCCATGTGGGATAAAATATGTTTCTCTCTTTAAGAGAGTCCCTTAAAATCTTTAAATAAAAGCTCTTAAAGGCTTTTACAATTATGAGCAGGGGCCAGACATGGTGGCTCACACCTACAATCCCGGCAATTTGGGAGGGAACAGATTGCTTGAGCTCAGTAGTTCAAGACCACCCTGGGAAAAAAACTCCTTCTCTACAAAATGTGCAAAAATTAGTGGGCGTGGTGGCCCACACCTGTGGTCCCAGCTACCTGGGGAGGTGAGGTGGGAGGATTGCTGGAGTCTGGGAGTCTGAGGCTGCAGTGAACCATGATCCTGCCACTACACTCCAACCTGGGCAACAAAGTGAGATCCTGTTTCAAAACAAACAAAAACCAAAAAAACGGATGAGCCGGGCCAGGACTAGAGTGAGGCAAGAGAGGCACTTAGCACAACTGCATTGCCTTGGGTGTGAGTGACTATTTAAATTTTGCACCCTAGGCACTTTAACTGCCTTACCCCAGTTGCTGCACCCAGTAGGAAAGGCAGAATTAGTCAGAATTCAGAAATGAAAAATGTTCTCCACCTTTTGTTGAATTAACTCTTACTCATCCCAGCTGTGGGACCCCTTCTCTGAGAAGCTTTTCTTGATCTTACTCTTATTTATAGTTTTTGCATCTTTGGAGCTTCTTGGGTACTCACACAGCACTAGGCCTTGATCTAGGAATATTTATTTTATTACATTACATTTATTTATTACATTATAACTGTTTGTGTCCTCAATAGAAGGCAAGGTAGTTGAAAGTAAGAATTGTATCCTACTGAACTCTAAATGCTCAAGGTCTAGCATATTTGCCACTCACCAAACACCAACAAAATATATATTAAATTAATGGAGTTTTTCCTCACCCATAAATTATTTAGGCTAAGTCTTCTCTCAACTTGAGACATGACACTAAGAAGGATACCTCCTTCTTAGTACAAACTGAAATTTTAAAATAATTTTTCAAGCAGTTCCTGTTTTATCAGCTGAAAACATATTAAGACTTTTGGAATATTTAGTGTATCAGGGTAATGTTTTACTTTAACATCACAAGTCAGTTTCCATATATACCTTGAGAAACAAGACACTGGGAATCTCAGCTAACTCACCGTCTGATTGGTCTACTGGCAATTTATTCCCCTGAGAGTCAGGACCCAAAGAAGATGAGGAAGAAAGTGCAGCACACCTAAATCCGTTGACTTTCGTTAGTTCAATCCCAGGGTAGTAGTTCATGGTCAAATCTCCTGGCCCTGCTTGGCTGTGTCTCATGTCATCGCTTTAGATGGCATCAAGGGCTATGCCAGCCACCAAAACGTCATTGCCACCCTACATGGCAAAGACCTAATGCAATAAGAATTCAACTAACTAACTGCAACCATAATCTAATAAAGTGATCTCATTAGTGATTGCAAGAGAAGTAATGTCCCTTGTAGGAATTAATGAGGTTCTTACATAATAATTGGGCTAAGACTTCTGGCCATTTACATACACAGTTGTCTTTTGATATCAGCAGAGCATTGATTCCAGGACTACCCACCCCCATCTGGCCCCCATGGATACTAAAATCCTAGGTTGCTCAAGTCCCTTATATAAAATGGTGTAGTATTTGCACGTAACCTATGCATATCCTCTGTATAGTTTAAAATTACCTCTAGATTACTTATAATATCTAATATAATGTAAATGCCATGCAATTAGTTGTTATACTATATTGTTGTTATATTTGTATTATTTTGATTGGTGTATTTTTTTATTGTTTTTTTCCAACTATTTTTGATCTGTGATTGGTTGAATCTGCAGATATGGAACAGGCAGATAGGGAGGGCTGACTGTAATTCAGGCTTCTGCCTTGCTTGGCTTTCTTTATAGTGCTGCCTAAAAGACATCAAAGTCAAGGCTATCATTGCTGCATTATCAATTTTGTGAACTTTTTCTGACAACATTTTCGGCCTAAATTTCTATGGCCATGCTGCCTAGGATAATCTTATCATTCTCAAATAATGAAGGACAAATTAATTTTAAATATTAGGGTAAGAAAAATTCTGTTAGGAGTTTAGCTTTAGTTGGGTGGGTAGGTAAGTAGAGAAGCTCATGCTAGTAATACAGTCCAAAACTGTGGAGAGAAAGAATAATATTCTAATTTTAAAAAACACATATTTTCTCTCCTTTGTATCACCAGCTCTCAACCGTCTCCCCTCTTCCCCATTATGGACTGAAGGTTTCTGTCCTTCCAAAGTTCACAGATGGAAATTTTAACCCCATTGTGATGACATTAGAAGGTGAGTCCTTTGGGAAGTAATTTAGGTAATGAGAGTGGAGCCTTCATAAATGGGATTTTGCCCTTATAAAAAAAAAAAAAACACCCTAGAGAGCTCTCTAGCCCTCTCCACTATATGAGAATACAAGGAGAAAATGGCAGTTTGCAACTCAGAAGAGAACTCTCACCAGAACCCGACCATAGGGGCACCTTGATCTCAGACTTCCAGACTCTAGAAAATAAACTTCTGTTGTTTATAAGCCATCTAGTCTACGGTAGTTTGTTGTAGCAGCTTCAACTGACTAAGACACCTCCTTTCCCATTGTCACAGATAATGAGATGATGATCATACTGTAAAAGCCCATTCAAAGAAGGTTAAAATGAAGCAACCATGAACACCCAAGGAAGACCTACTGGTAAGTATAACAGTTCATCATCTGGGGATCTTCGTTTCTTGATGGATGTCATCTGGATACCATGTGTGTTCTGACGAAACGCTGGTGGAGGAAAAATGCAAGTTTCATCCTGGGAACACTTCTAAAGCACTAATGCATATTAAATATACTTAATAATTAAATATTAATGTTAATCAGATTTAATATACATATTAAAAAGACAGTAGTACCAGCAACACATGTAAGATTAGAGGCTCTAGCCCTAAGCGTCCATTTAACTGGGGACAATTGTTTTTACATTGATTGTGATCCTAGCAATAAGGAGGTGGAAGGATGGTAGGGAAGAATACATAAAAGAAATTCAGTATGCTGGGAAATAGCCTTTGGCTTAAGTAATGTTGCAGGAAAGCCCGTATCTTGCTGGTGTGTGTCTGTGAATAGATGATGTTTATGCTACTGGTGTGGAAGTCACATTTTGAGAATCCCTGGACTGAGAAATTGTCACAATGACTACTTGTTTTTGTAAAGCTGTAGTACATGCCTGGAGTCCACTTCAATGCTATACCTATTCTCACTGGCTCTGAGGGCTGACGTCCCACTTGCTGCTGAAGGTCACAGGTCTTATCATGCAGCTTCTCCAATATCACCCCATTCTCCAACATCTGGAGAAGATTCAACCCTACCCCATTTGGCCACTACATCTACTTACGGCGCTTCGTACCATCACCGTTCTTTGTACTGTCCGAAACTTGCTGCTTTCTGATGCTATCTTCATCCGCCTTCCTGTCTCTTCCTGGGCAAGCACAGATCCGGGCCTCAAAGCAGCGTCGGCCCAGGACTTGCCCACTAGGAATTAGAATAAAGGGGAAGAAAGAGTTAAATTCAAAGCATTTTGAAAGTCCCCTGAAGATCTACCACTTCCACTTCCCATATGGGCCATCGCCAACGTACTACCAGCTTAGCCATGGCGGCTTTGAGAATGGACCCAAAAGCACTTGGCAGAACACAAAAGTGCTAACATGCCACAAGTAATATTAGTAAATAACATTCCATTTGTTCTCCAAAGAACCTCTGAGCTATTAGCTGAACAGCTGTATTTAGCTACATATTTTGAAGGAAACTTGAGTTAAGCCAGTGGATGTCTCAAGGATAAAATCCCCTAAGGCAGCGCAGACTTAAAAAAAACTGTGAAATGCCTTGAGGACCATGGTCTAATCAGAACAATTCCAGTCAAATGTCAAGAATTCAGGTATGAAGTGACTTGCACACTTTTCTAGCTCTTTTTTTCCTTCTAACTTTACCCACCTTCCTTTGTCTCCACTTTCTTAGATCTTTTATGTAACCGTTTGTAGCAAGGATTTAGAGCACAAAGGACAAGCTCTCCGCTGCACATGCAAAATTAATGATAAAGCAGCCACGATTTCACTTTGCCCTCTGCTCGTGATTTTTTGTGTAGAATGACAATTTTACATACGCCACTTACTCTCTGGTTTCCAGAGTAACAATGATTAAAATTGGACGGCGGTTCATCCCTCCAACACAACTGCTGTTACACATGAAATTGTACAAGACTGTCGTGAATTCAGTGCCAACCTGAAAACAAGGGGTAAATAATCTGTGTTAACAAGGGTTTAAACTGACGTTGTTCCTTCTCAGTTCTTCCCTCTATTTAAGGAATTCCACTTCTGATGAAGTGATACGCTTCCTCCTAAAAGGGCAAACTCTGAACCCTGTTGTAGATTTTTCTTCATCTTGCCTGCGGGGAAGCTTAAAGCTAATGTTTGCAACACTGAACACTACCTTAGGTGAGACAGGCTTTAACATTTTGTGATCTTTGATCCTGTTCGTTTGTAAGCTGATCCACATCATGTAATTCAAATAGGCTATACCACCTTCATGAATATCACTGAAAAGGGAAAACTGGGGATAATTGCCAAAAACAGTAGCAATGCTCCAAGAATATTTTCCCTGTGTGGATAAAACAGTACAATATAGATTTGAATATATACTTCCATTAATAACATCTTAGAGCTCAAAATGTTCTCAGAATTAAACATAATCTAGTCCAAAGTACATACGTACGGGTAAGGCAACTGAAGCCTAGAGAGAGAGAGTTGCCGAAGGTCCACACAGCAAGCCAGCAAACCAAAGAACTTGGGTCCTGTTACACCAGTGTACTTTCAACCACACTACTCTGCTTCATGCAACAGATTTACAAATCTATCATCTGTTCATTCAAACTTCAGCTAAGAGATCCCTCTTAGGCTTTCCCACTTATGGTAACACTTGCATCCACTACTATTGCTTATCCACTACCCGTCCAACTGCCAGTTGGATAAAACAATCTCATGTATACACCCAATTGCCAGTTCAATTGTTATCTGCCCTTAAGATGGGAATATGGACACAGAGCCATGTTACCAAGTTGATTCAGTGCATATTTAGGTATTCTGAAGGGAAAGCATGTGGAGAACAGGTAGAAAAAAATACAAAAATATTATATATTTGATGACAAGAACTAAGACAGTGATAGATGCTAGAAACATCCCTGTTGCTGAAACAGATGTTCTCTCAAGTCTACTCAGTCCATAGAGGTGTTGTTTTTTGGTTTGGTTTTTTGCTTTTTACCTGGGGTGGCTCATAAGGTACCAGCACACTCTGTCTTCCTGTGATGGGATCTTCTACATACTGGGCATGGCTGTTCCCCTCTACTCGAATCAAATGACTAGGAGGGGCAATCTGTCCTGCAGAGCAGAAAACAATAAAAGAGTTAGTTCTTTACCTTAAAAATAAAGAAAATAAAATGAAATTGCATGAACAGGATGTTGGTGGCAAAAGAAATAGTCTGTATAATAAAGAAAATGTGCATCCTTGAAGAAACGAACAGATCCCATAGCCAGATATCAAATACATGAAGGTGTCATAACCTTTATAGCAACAGAAAGGGCTGGAATGCACATCTACAGTTAAGGGAACAGTCCTATAATTTGGAGTTTAAGATTAATGATTCAAGCTTTATGGAACTCTATAACTACATCTCTGACCTCATCGTGGAGGAAATTTTGCCAGCTTCCTGGAAAATGAAAGGGAAATAAGCAAATTAATTTAAAAAAAAATCAGTTTAACTGAGAAAATGCTGCCCAAAAGTCTGACCAGCAAATACACTGAGAAGCAGAAGATAGCAAGGATATGACTTCCACTTCTTCTTCTTTCCTCCTCCTCAACTTTTAAACATTGTGTTGATTATAAAGATAAGAAACGTTCTGGTGTTTGTGTGTTGAAGGAGTCCCAAGTTGGGTGTAAGAAAAGGGATGCAATTTTAAAAAAGAGACTGAGTAAAGTTTCATAAAATTGTGATATTTAGCAGAGCTCCAAAAAAAAGAAGATGCTCCAAGAACTGGGACCCGTAAAGCTGTTTTTAACAGCTCTTAGGTCCTATAGTCCCAGTCTACAAAAACCATTCAATAAAAGTAAAAAGTGAAGCATATCAAAATGTTCTCTGCTGCATCATCTATTATGGTTAAAACTAAAAACAATTTTTATGTTTAAAAAATGGGAAAACGCTTACAAATAGTATGTTATCTTGGTGAAATACCAAGTTAGGGAGGCTGATAATGAAGTCTATCTATATTGCAATATTCTTTATGGCAGATTGTTAAGTGAAAAGCAAGAGATAAATGTACGGATAATGTGGCCATGTGGGCAAGGACTTGAAATTAATGTGTAAAAAATAGTTTTTTAAAGAGAATTTTGACTTTATTTTCTTCTTTTAAATTCCGATCCATTCTCTTTCTTCTTCCATTGATTTTCTCTACAATTATACTCTCTATATTTATCAATCCTTATATTTTAATATTTTTTCTATAAAGTATCCTAACCCCCAACACCTTTGGCACCCTCAATACTCTTTGAGGATTGCTTATGCTTTATCCTGCTCTTACCTTCCACTTTTCAGCACTCTCTGTTTAGTCTCCCTTCATGGAACTATAATATCAGATCTAAGGGAACTCTTGGCATTGCTGACCTTTTCTGCTAAATTGTTGTAGGATCTGAGATGTAGAATATGAGGCATGACTTATTCATGGATATAGCGTCTAAAGGTGGCCTTCATGATACCTCATCCCTCCACTCCCAGTCCTTTATTTGATTGGCCACAGTATGCTCTAGGCCTTCTATTTATTCCCCTTACCCATTACTTGCCTTCTCATCTTTTTTTCCTTTTTCTTCTTCTGGTTTTTTCATTATTTCTTTCATTTGGTGCTCCTTTCTCTTACCC
The DNA here is from genome assembly GCF_000001405.40 of Homo sapiens. Classification (NCBI taxonomy): domain Eukaryota; kingdom Metazoa; phylum Chordata; class Mammalia; order Primates; family Hominidae; genus Homo; species Homo sapiens. Next base: position 189,865,149 of record NC_000003.12, on the reverse strand, counting down.
TTCCAGGTCTCAACTGGTCTAGACTTGAGAATCTTTCTGGGAAAACACTAAATCTGAAGAAACTGTAGCCTGGGCCAAGTAGAATAGCTACCATGTAGTCTCCTGGCACCCTCTTATTTTTTTTTCATTTATTTTTTATTTTTGAGATGGAGTCTCGCTCTGTCGCCCAGACTGGAGTGCAGTGGTGCCATCTTGGTTCACTGCAAGCTTGGCCTCCTGGGTTCACACCATTCTCCTGCCTCAGCCTCCCGAGTAGCTGGGACTACAGGTGCCCGCCACCATGCCCAGCTAATTTTTTTGTATTTTTAGTAGAGATGGAGTTTCACTGTGTTAGCCAGGATGGTCTCGATCTCCTGACCTCATGATCTGCCCACCTCGGCCTCGCAAAGTGCTGGGATTACGGGCATGAGCCACCGTACCCAGCCTCTTATTTTATTTTAAAGGCAAGAAAAATAAAAAGAAGGAAGCAGGAAGGAGTAAAGATAACCAGTAGTTCAGGTCATCTAGTAATTACTAATATTAAATAGTTCAACCACTGTGAAAGCCATGAATTTATTTATCATTATTCTTAGATACTGTCAGCCAAAAAAAAAAAAAAAAAAAAAAAAGGCAGACTGATCTGCCATCGGAGTGCAGAAGTCTGAATCAGGTAGGTGGGTCTCAAACAAAAATGCCCACAGAATCTTGACCTTCAAGGAGGTTGAACAGTTAGAGATTCAAATTCTGCTTACCCTCGTTGAATTCACGGCTCAGCTCATGGTTGGGGCACCGCTTCACCACCTCCGTGACGTGCTCAGCTTTTTTGTAGACAGGCATGGCGCGGATAACAGCTCCCTGAGGAGGTGGGGTCATCACCTTGATCTGGATGGGGCATGTCTTTGCAATTTGGCAGTAGAGTTTCTTCAGTTCAGTGGAATACTGCTTAGAGTTGGGGCCAGTGGAGAAAGGAAGGAGAGAACCAACAGGAGATATTGTTACATTCCAAATCAGAACAATGAAAATCTGTCCACTTTTTAGAGCTGCATGCTGCCTGTTTACTACTGGCTACTATAGATGTGACGTATGTCAATGTTATTAGAGGAAGTTATATTAATATTTTGTGCTATCATAAATAAAACCCCATGTTTACAAAAGGTTTTATGTTTATCAAAACACATTTATGCCATTATTTCCTGTTATTTTCCTTTAGCATGAAGAAGCTGAGGCTCAGAGGGGTTTAAATGAATGAAACCACGAGTAGCTTCATAGATTACCAGAAGCTAAGTGAAAGAAGAGTATTGGCATGTACTGAGTGATATTAAACAACAACCACAAAGACAGATTTCTGCCTAGATTACAATTAATCCAGTCTTTAATATACTTTAGAGACACTCACAGGAATTAGGGTTCATGGGATTTTTTTTAAGATGGAATATCTGTTAGAGAGTGAAGAGATTTCGCCTGACGTCAGATCGCTTGAAACTGTAAAACAAGAACTCCCTTGAACGCCTGCACTTTCCTTCTGATGTCAAAGACTAGGAGAATGCAAGAGCTGAAAGGGGCTGTTTGGTCCTAAACTCCTGAAAACACCGGGCCTGATGTAGCACAGCTAATCATGGCACAGAAAGGATCTGGATGCAGATCTTCTCACTCACAAGTGAGTGAAATTTTTCCTTCTCCAGGGAGAGGAAGTTTAGTGGTGGTTAGTTGCTTGTAAGTTGGCAAAACGGGCTGGAGAAAGCCTGAGACCTAGAACCAGATAGAGATCCCATCCTGTGTTGCTTCCTCTTCCCACTTCTGAAGCAGAAGAGAACCTTCATTCTAATCCTTACACTATAGTAAACCTTATCATCCCTGTGCTCTGGGTCAAAGCCCTATCTCTACATTCCTAGCCACTCAGGCACTTTGCTCAGGCAAACCACCCAGGCACTGGAATTGCTGGCCAAGAGTGGGGCACCTAGTAACATGTATCCAAACAAAGGATAAACACACACACAGGTTGCAATCGTAAGTTGGCCCCAACATCCTCCCAGAGGAAAGATGGTGGGGGGGCAGAGCCATAGTGGCAATCGGATTCGTTACTGATATGTCCCACCCTAACTCTCACTAATGGCAAGTATCTTAACAAAAATCACACATTTAAAATGTTGCTTTATTTCTTCATTTTAAAATATAGTATTTGTTTAAATGACCTTTCCTTTTCTTCCAAGTATTCCAGCACACAAAATTTTTAGTTAGAAGTTTCCCAATGCTAGAAAAGTATTGCAAAATCAGTCCTCCATGTCCGCAGGCCATGGATTAGACGCAGCAAAAGGGTTTTATATAGCTTGAAGAAATAGGAAACATGCCAAACTTCAACCACAAAAATAAAATTCTACTTGGGAAACACTGAATGAAATCTAGATGGGTATTTTTGCTCTAGTGCTTTTAACTAAAGACTTACACAGAACTTGTTTTATGACATGTTAAGAACTTCCTTTTATTGAGAACTTGAAGAAAATAAGCATATCCATTCGTGTTTTCGTTAGGAGGTATATAACGCATAATCTAACCATGAATTTCGTAAGATGACCCTTAGGAAAGATGACTGAAAAATAAGTCTGTCAACTAATACCTAAAGGCAAATAAGGTATCCTTCCAAGTATGTAAAGATTGCAGAAATGAAGGTTAAGTGTTCAGCGTAGAAGTTTCTTAAGGAAAACATTCCATTTTAATAACTGATATACTATAAATCAAGCTCGAGAGAGTACAGTATAAAAGCATTAAGAATAAAATTAAGGATCGTCAAGTGCTAATTCTTGTTCATTCTCGGGGATGGGGGTGGGAATCTAATTTTTAAGCTTAATTAATGATAAATAATAATAGCTTCATCGTTTACTGAGTTCTGCCTTAAGAAATTTTATCCTGATACAACCCTAAGAGGAAGGTATTACAAGCATACTGTCTCTTATCTGAAACCACAGGGGCCAGAATTTTCAGAATCCAGAATTGTTTAGATTTTAGAAAAATAGTAGTTTGCATAACATATGAATGTATCCAGCAGAATTTAGGGTAGCACCATAAGATCAAACATTATTTCTGCAGAATTCATAAATATTCACACTAACTGATAAATGACTACGAAACCTGGGTTTCACCATCAAATGAGTGTGCCACAAACTTAAGAAATCAAAATAAAACTGAACCAACTTCTGATTTTCAGAGCTCTTGGAACTTCAGAATTGTAGATAACAGATAATTGACTTGAATTATCATCCCTATTTTATAAATAAGAAAATAAATGTACAGAAAGGACTTGCCCAAGAACCTGCTTAGTAACTGGTATATGAGTCTATCCTAGTCCTGTAATAACAGTTTCTTATGTCTCTGTTCTCTTAACTCAGCCATGCAAATGTTTACCTTTTTCTAGTTTCCAACATTGTGGTTCTTTTCTGAATCAATTACAATGCTTACCGACTCTTCTCCAAGCATTAAAATGGAGCTCAAAAGTGGTCTATTTAACATAGTTTTATTAATTTCTCAGTATATTGCTTACTCATTTAATGGTAGGGAGAGGCAGCAAGTGATAGAGTTGAAAAAACTTTGGGCTAGGTGGAAGACAGCCTGGACGATTACACCAGCTGCTTCTGGGAATTCAAGGATACAGTCTTGCTCTTTAACATGGTTTATTGAGGACTTTATGAGGCCCTCTGTATTATGGCCTTATCTATCTCTAATTCCCCCTACCCCTCCACCCCCACCCACACACATTTCTCACCCCATGTTCTACCCATACAAACGTTTTAATGCTTCAAACACACCATAGGATCATCACCCAAAATTCAAAATGCTATTCCCTGAAATCATGTCCTTTGCAGCAACATGGATTGAGCTGAAGGCCATTATCCTAAGTGAAACAACTCAGAAAAAGAAAATCAAGTATCATGTGTCCTCACTTATATGTGGGAGATAAGTAGTGAAGACACATGTGGTCGGGCACAGTGGCTCATGCCTGTAATCCCAGCACTTTGGGAGGCCGAGGCAGGCAGGAGCTCAAGACATGCCTGGCCAACATGGAGAAATCCAGTCTCTACTAAACATACGAAAAAAAACCACAAAAACCCCAAAAGGATACACATGGACATAAAGATGGAAATAATGGACACTGAGGACTCCAAAAATGAGGAAGGTAGGAGGGGATGCGGGTTAAAAAATACCTATTGGGTACAATGTTCACTGTTTGGGTGACAGGTACACTAGAAACCCAAACCTCACCATTATACAATATATTCATGTAACAATACTGAACATGTACCTACTGAATCTGAAACCTAAAAAAATTAAAAGCAACAAGCAAGCAACAACAACTACAACAACAAAAGTGATATTCCCAGTGTGGTACACTTCTCTTTTTCCTCTGCTCTCCACGTCATGCCAGGACAATTCAGATATCACTTTTCAGCTAGTACTGTATCTGTACTGCAAACCATATTTTCCAATTTTAGTGGTGAGGGCTTCATATTTGACTAAATCAAAATATCTGACCACAGCCAAGATGCATTATGTTTATTGCTTTTGGTTCAACTACCAGTCCTGCAATTCAGCAACTAGAGGCGCTGAAGTGGTCTGGCACAATCGCTTTTTTTTCTTTTTACAAAGCCAAATCTCTGCTATTCTGTTTACTTCATTGTTTGCAAATCTGTTCCATGATGACCTTTATTTTTTTTACCCAGTACTAAGTTCAGTCTCCCTGGTCTATGTGTATAAACAAGTCCTTAGACTTGCCCACTTCCGTATCCCTTACAAAATAGCACCATCATCTCCAATTTTCCCGGCTTCTGCAAGATTGGAACATGGGAATCTGATTTACAGCAAGATTTTAAAATACCCTGATGATTCAAGTCAGCAGAAATTGTAAATTTGAACACACATGGCTTATTTTACTATCTTTCTTTCTCTGTGGAATTTAAAAAATTCACGTCTAAATTGCTCCTCAACATTGACTTGAGATTCTTTTCATTCTAAGGCCTAATTTATTCTTTTTTGTATGGGGGTTTTGTTTTATGTGGTATACTTTTCCGCAAAGTATACCAGTTTTTAAGTGCAAAAGCTGATGGCTTGACAAATGTACACCGTTGTGCAACTACTACTACAATCAAGATATAGAATATTTCCATTCCTGTTCCAATTATCTTTTGCTTCTTTGCAGTTCATCCCCTCCCTAGCTCCTGGCCTCAACAATCATGTACCTGTTTCCTCCACTAGTTTTACCTTTCCAGAATTTTATGTAAATGGAAAAATATAGTATATAATCTTATGTGATAAGGCTTTTGAGATTTATCTGTGGTTTTTGCACGTATCAGCATTCCATTGTATTTTTGAATAGCACTTCATTATTTGTCAACTCACCAATTATTTCCATTTTTTTCTATTGTGTATAAAACTATTATGAACGTTCATGTACAAATTTTTGTGAGGATGTACATTTCCATTTTTCTTGAATACCTAGGAATATGATTGCTGGGTAAGTGTATGCTTACTAACAAACTCCCAAATAGTTTTACAAAGTGGTTGTGCCATTTTACATTGTCACTTGCAATATATGAGGACTTCATATCCTTGTCAGCATTTGGTATTGTCAGCTGTTATTTTAATTGATGTCATTCTGGTATGTATGCAGATCTCATTGTGGTTTAAATTAACATTCCTCTGATGATTAATAATGTTTAACATCTTTTCATGTACTTATTTCATTCATATTTATATATAATAAAAATAAAAACAAACTTATGTAATTCTATACAACTATTTGATATTTTTTGAAGCATCTGTTCAAATATTTTGTACCTTTTGAGTTAAAAAAATTGTAATACAGACTGTGTTCTCCCCCTTTGTAACACAGAAATTTCACTTTTTAGGTTTTATTTTATGATTGATACAAAAGAATTGTACATATTTATAGGTAAAATGTGATGTTTTGATACATGTCTATATTGTATAATGATCAAATTAGGATATGTAGTATATCCATCGCCTTAAACATTTATCATTTCTTTGTAGTAAGAACATTCAAAATCCTCCCTTCTAGCTATTTTGAAATATGCAATACATTACTGTTAACTATAGTCATCCTACTGTGCAATAGAACAGAACTTATTCCTTCTGTCTAACTGTAATATTGTACCCATTGACCCATCTTTTCCCCATTTCCCCTCACCCCGTGTCCCCTTCTCAGCCTCTGGTAACCCCTATTCTACTCTCAACTTCTATGAGATTAACATTTTTAGATTCCATTTGAGTGAGATCTTGTGGTTACATCTTTCTGTGCCTGGCTTATTTCACTTAATATAATGTCCTCAGATTTATCCATGTTGTTGCAAATGACAGGATCAGGATTTCTTTTTTTATTTTTTGAGACAGGTTCTTGCTCTGTCACTCAGGCTGCAGTACAGTGGCACCATCACGGCTCACTGCATCCTCGACCTCCCAGACTCAAGCAATTCTCCCATTTCAGCCTCCTGAGTAGCTAGGGCTACAGGTGCGCACTACTATGCCCAGCTAATTTTGGTGTATGTTTTTTGTAGAGATGGGGTCTCACTATTTTGCCCAAGCTTGTCTCAAACTCTTAGGCTTAAGTGATCCTCCTGTCTCAGCCTCCCAAAGTACTGGGATTACAGGCATGAGCCACTATGCCCAACCTCAGGATTTCATTATGTTTTTCTGACTGAATAGTATTCTACTGTGCATATACACAACATTTTCTTTTTTTTTTTTTTTTTTTTTTTTTTGAGACGGAGTCTCGCTGTCGCCCAGGCTGGAGTGCAGTGGCGCAATCTCGGCTCACTGCAGGCTCCGCCCCCTGGGGTTCACGCCATTCTCCTGCCTCAGCCTCCCGAGTAGCTGGGACTACAGGCGCCCGCCACCTCGCCCGGCTAATTTTTTGTATTTTTAGTAGAGACGGGGTTTCACCGTGTTAGCCAGGATGGTCTCGATCTCCTGACCTCGTGATCCGCCCGCCTCGGCCTCCCAAAGTGCTGGGATTACAGGCGTGAGCCACCGCGCCCGGCCTATACACAACATTTTCTTATCCATTTATCCTTTGATGGACACTTAGGTTGATTGCATATCTTGGCTATTGCAAATAGTGCTGCAATAAACAGGAGTGAAGATATCCCTCTGACATACTGATTTTATTCCCTTTGGATAAATGCCTAGTAGTGAGATTGCTGGATCACATGGTAGTTATATTTTTAATTTTTCAAGGAACTTCTATACTATTTTCCATAATGGCTGTACTAATTTACATTCCCACTGAAAGTATGTAAAGGTTCTCTTCTCTCCACATCCTCGCTAACAGTTATCTTGTTGTTAATAGCCATTCTAAATGAAGTAGTATTTCATTGTAGTTTGATTTGCATTTCCCTGATTAGTGATATTGGGCATTTTTCATATGCTTATCCTATTTTGACAAATATCCATTCCGGTCTTTTGGCCATTTTTTAATTGGGTTATTTTGGCGATTTGGGGTAATTTGTCAGTTAGGTTGCTTTTGTTTTTAATGTGAGTTTTAGGAGTCCCTTATGTATTTTGGCTACAAGTCTTTTATCAGATATACATTTAAAAATATACTTTCTCCCAGCCTGTAGCTTGGCTTTTTTCCTGCTTTCCCAAAATACTTAATTATCAATATTTTCCCTTGAAAGCTCTTGCTTTTTATATCCTAAGAAATCTTGGCCTGACATTAGGAGGATTTTCTATGTTTTCTTCAAGTAGATTTATTGTCTTAGCTCTTCCATTTAGAACTATATTTTCAGTCAATTGTTGTATATGGTGTGAGTTAAGGGTTTATAATTCTTCTCTTTTTAACAGATATCCAATTGTTCTAACACCATTTGTTGAAAAGATTACCTGCATATTTTCCCTTGTTGAGCTGCCTTGGACTCTTTATTGAAAATCAATTGGTCATATGTGTTCATGTCTGTATCTGAATACTTCCCTCTTTCCTATTGATCTATTTGTCTATCCATATATCAATTTCAAATTGTTTGGGTTAATCTACTTTATAGTAAGTCTTGAAATCAGGTAGTCTGATTCTTGCAATTTTGTTCTTTTTAAAAATTGTTCTGGCTATTTTATATCCTTTGATTTTTCCATACAAAATTTACATGCAGTTTACAATTTCCATAAAAATGCCTGGTAAGATTTTTGCATGAGATTGTGTTAAATATGTAAGGTCTTTTAGGGGAGAACTGATACCTTAGCAATGTGGTGTCTTTTAAACCATGAGCATATGATATCTCTCCATTTAAACAGAGTATCTTTAATTTTACTCAGAAATGTTTTATAGTTTTCAGTGTATAAATACTGTACCTATTTTGTTAGATTTATCCTTCAGTATTTTATTTTAAAATAATTGTTATAAACAGTACTTTTAAAAATGAAAATTTCTTTTTGTTTCTAATGCGTTTTATACTATGTCATGTATTTATACCTAATTAATTCATGTATAATGACCATGTAGCCTATGACCTTGGTAAACTTACTAGTTCTTGTAGCTTTTTGTAGATGCCTTCCTTACGATCTACATAGATGATCATGTCAACTATGAACAGGGACAGTTTTACTTCTTCCTTTCAAATCTGCATACCTTTAAATTTTTATTTTTATGTGACTGCAATAATCAAACCAGGGTTGAGTTTGCTATTTTTTTGAACTAGAATCATATATCATTCATTTTAGACTTTCACGTTTTTTTCTAATATAAACATTTAATTCTACCAAGTTTCTTCTAGGTACTTCTTAGCTATGTCCACAAAGTTTTGATATATCTAATTCTTAATACTGAGTCATATGTGAAGCATTTCTTTTAAATCTTTTATCAGTCCTCATAACCAGTATATCAAATACAACACTTACTCACATTCCTAAGAAAATTAATTCTCTAGGTCTTCTGCTTGTTTCACGGGTTCCATTTCTAGCTCAAACTTATTTTCTCCTTTACACATTTCTTTACCATTCTAAACAGATTTTTTAATTGCTATTCCCAGGGTTACCTTATATCTCTATGTAGGTTTCTCCTACTTATAGGCATTAAATTAAGTACTCAGTTGATTTTATACCTGAAAAAATATCTTCTATAGCTAAGAACTTTTTTGATTATGCCAGCCCATTGTATTAAATTTCCAGCAGCTCTTTGGGTGGATAGCAAATATTTCAAACCTTCTATGTGAAGGTATAAAGTACCTTGCCCTGTAGTGTTGTCACTATGAGAAGCCGTTACAGAAAATTTAAAACTTTTGTCAACGTCTCCCCAACTTCTCTTTTTCTACAATCTGCCTTTTATTAATATTTCATCATTGTCAAAACATGTGCACACAGAATTCTGGAAAAAAATGATTTCTTGCTTACTCAAGAGATACATACCATTATTAACATTGTTGACCGTTTTCTGTGCATACACACACACATACATACATACACACACACACACATATATACACACAAACTAGGGGCATATAATACAAAGACGGTATTCTTTTTATAATTTAATATATCATGAGCATGTTCTAATTTTAAAACATGATTTTAAGTGGTGGCTGTCACAGTATTAAAAAGGGATATACCATTATTTATTTAATTGTAACTTTTTAGTAGAATAGTATAATTTAGTATACTTCTGTATAAATTTTACTCCAGTTAAAAATAACACCATATAGCACAGTTTAGTATATAAATTGGCTTTAGATAGATCTCTTAAAACAGAGTAATTGAGTCAATGTACATTTCAGTGTAGAAAAGTCCAAGGTCAATCTGAATTTTATTTCTTTAAATTAAGTAAGCTGCTTATTTTTCCATAGTTTCTTGTAGAATTTTGTTTATCTTTTTTAAAAAATAAAGTGGCACTGTCTCTAAATGTGATTTTTAAAATGGAAGTTACTTGGAAATTGGTGGGTCCTTTTAACTTTCATGCTTGACCTCAATACATTTTGTTCTTCAATTGTATTTTTGTTTCTTCTGCTCGTATCAGTTTCCAGAAACACGTTAAGTCTTACTTTAGGATCTCCACTTTCTATCCGCCATATATTTTATGCAGTTTTTCCTATTGTTTGCATTTTGGGAAAGCTTCTTAAATTTGTCTTCAGTATGTGTATGGTTTTCTACACTTAATTCTGCTCTATTCTACTACAAATAATACTTTCACTTCTTCTGCTGCATTTCAAATGTCCTTCCTTATTTAATCTTCATCCCTTTTTACTAGTCCTCTTTACATCTCAGCCTGCAATTTTAGGTTTGCCATGTCTTCCCAACTTTACAGTGTTACTGTCTTATTAATTTGCACCAAAGTAATCTTCTAAATATTTCTTCCAGTTCCTAAGTTGATTTTCTTGAGTATTTAAAACGATGTTCCCCTATAGATAGGATTTTGTTTGTTTTTAATATAAGCCCTTTCTCGCTTTTTTACTTTTCCATGAACATAGCAAGATATAGCCACAGCTAGTGTTTGCAGCTTTCATTTCATTTTGACATTTTTCAGTTCTATCCTATCAGGCTTTTAGGGCATAAAATTATTATAAAATTCTGCCAATGGCTTGAGTGTCCAATTTAGTTTAATTTTTTCTGGAATTTGTAATATTAATATTTTAATACAAACTTAGGAGAGGCCGGGCGCAGTGGCTCACATCTGTGATCCCAGCACTTTGGGAGGCCAAGACGGGTGGACCACCTGAGGTTAGGAGTTTGAGACCAGCCTGACCAACATGGAGAAACCATGTCTCTACTAAAAATACAAAAAAATTAGCTGGGCGTGGTGGCACATGTCTGTAATCCCAGCTACTCGGGAGGATGAAGCAGGAGAATTGCTTGAACTCAGGAGGCGGGGGTCGCCGTGAGCTGAGATTGCGCCATTGCACTCCGGCCTGGACAACAAAAGCAAAAGTCCATCTCAAACAAACAAACATAAAAACAACAACATAGGAGAGACTACACTAAAAGCTGCTAGTCAGTTGCCATCATAAACCACAAATGAGAGCTAGCTCTTCTCATTTGTACAACATTCAATACTTAATCTAGCCAACTCTTACTGAGCATGTATTGCACAATGCTAGGTCCTTATTCTGTACTGGGAACAGATAGAAGTAAGACTTTAAAATCCTGGAATGCAGAATTTTATGTATCCATGCTGCCTAGGATGGTACTTGAAATATAAAATAAATTGAAAGAAAAAAATCGATCTTTATCCTCAAGTTGCTCACAGTCTAGAGGCAGAGTACAGCAAAAACAACCAAAATACACTGGGTATAAAGGAACCATCTGCAAGTGTTATGGGATTACAGAGATAGAACAATTAACTACTAGGTAATACATTTGATTTTTATTGAGCATATACTATTACCAAGGCTCTGTTTTAGTTTTGGAAATTCAGCATTAAACAAAGACAAAGTCTATGCCCTAAAAATGCTAGAATTCTAGAATAAACAAATAACTACTATGTCAGATAGTGATAAGTGCTATAAGAAAAAGTAAATCAGGGTAAATTCAAAGGGGATAGAGTATAAAAAGCCAAGAGTCAGGGGAGTGAGTGTGAAGAGGATATTATTTTTTCCAAGATTGTTAGGAAAGAATTCTTCAATAAGATGATATTAAAGAAAAAAGTCTGGAGGAAATAATGAGCTGGGCCATATATATACCTGGAGAGATAGTGTTCCAAGTACTAGAGACAGCAAGTGCTAAAGTCCTGGCTGGGTATGCTTGCCATGGAGGCCAGTGCACCTGCAGAAAAGTAAGCAAAGCCTGCAGTGGTAGGAGTTAAGATCCAAGATCAGAGATAATAGGGAGCCCAGATCACGCAAGGCCTTGTAGAGCAGGACGGGTCTTGAGCTTTTTTCGTGTGAGATAGGAAGCCACTAGAGGGGCTTGAGCAACTGATGTGGTCTGATTTTTATTTCTATAAGACTACTGTAGCTGTTATGTGAAGGACAGACTTTGTGGAACAAAGACGGAAGCAGGAAGACCAGTCAGGGGGCTCCTGCCAATAATCCAAGTGTAAGATGAGAGTGGCTTAGACCAGCAGTAGAGGTGATGAGAAGTCACCAGATTAGCTGATGAACTGGCTGGGATAAGAAAGAGAAAATTAAAATAGAAAAGACAATTTTCATAGAGGTAGTGATATTTAAACTAGGCCTTAAAAAAGAAGTTATTATTCACCAATTGGATTGTGCACCCAAGAAAGAAAGGAAGAAAAAGCCAGGAGACAACAGTAGGCTTTCCATGAAGACAGAATATCATCAGTAAAAGCAAGGGGATGTTAACTGTGGATGAAATATAGATGGGATGGGGGAAGGAGGAGGAGTAGCCGAGCAGAAGTCAATGAGGCTGAGCTAGAAAGGCACTTACCAGATTCTGAGGAGCCTTGGATGTCACAAGATACCGTTAACTACTATGAGCAGGCAAAGAGGTGTCACTGAGGATTATAAGGTAGGGGAAAGACCTAATCAGTTCTTTGTATTCAGAAATACAAAGGTGGTGGGAACAAGCAAAGTAAAATTGGGGAAACCCATCAGGAGCTATTCAGACAAGAAATGAGGAAGGCCCAACCTAGGGCAGTAGAAATGAATGAAAAGGGAAAATGATGGGGGAAACTCTTTGGATTTACTAAATTCAGCCTTCTTGGTTTTAACATGAAATACATACATGGAAGTACCAAAACAGACCAATACATATTATGCTTTAGAACAAAAGATGCTTGCAAAAATACTATCAGTTGTTTATCTGTTTTCTAAAATCAAAGCAGAATGAATGAGTTAATTTTAACACAGAGCTCCTGATATTCAGCAGACAATTGAAACCTGGCTTAGCCAATGGAATTGTCGACAATAGAGAAAGGATAGTTTTAGTTCTGGACAAATAAAAAAATTACATGAAGTAACACTGGAATTAATAGGCCAATTTTGTTGTGAAGGAGAGGGCTCAGTTCTCAGATCTAAAAGCAACAGAAAACAGACTCTTGTCCAACACCAACAACTGTGGGCATCATTTATTTATTGGACTAGGAGTTAAAAAATCCTATTTAAATTCTGCCTCCTCTTTTTATTCCCTCCCTCTGCCTTCATGTAGTCTTAACTGAGTACTCCCATTTCTTCTAAGAAAAGAGGAATGAGTTACTATTATTTTTATTATTTTCTCTTATCCTGTCCCCTTTCCTCCCGTTCCCTGTTTCCTACTTAGCCCTTCAGAAATGCAAATATAACCCTTCACGTCCTCCTCACCAGATACTCCCTGCAGGGTAAGTTCTAACTGTGTGCTCCAAGACAAATCTCTCCTGGAGAGCTGATAGTCCATTTGCAAACCAGAGAACACCTGCCATGGAACTTTCACCTTCACGGGGTGGCCTTGGGACTTTCACCCATCAGAAGGGCATATCTTAAGTCTGCCTGCTTGGCCATTTTCACAACTTATTTCTGCCCGGGTTGGTGCCAACTCAACTATCAGGTAGATGAGGCACCAAGCTAGCAGGGGGACCGCCTGCCCTTGTTCACTTCCCTCCTTACCTTATAAAAGTGTCCACTTCTTTCTGCTCCAAAGGGGAACTAACACATTTTATTTTATTTATTTATTTTTGAGGCAGAGTCTCGCTCTGTCACCCAGGCTGGAGTGCAGTGGCGCGATCCTGTCTCACGGCAACCTCTGCCTCCCAGGTTCAAGTGATTCTCCTGCCTCAGCCTCCAGAGTAGCTGGGATTACAGGCGCCCACCACTACGCCCGGTTAATTTTTTTTTCTATTTTTCTTTTTCTTCAGCAGAGACGGGGTTTCCCCCATGTTGCCCAGGCTGGTCTCTCACTCTTTGGGCTCAAGCGATCTACCTGCCTCGGCCTCCCAAAGTGCTGGGATTACGAGTGTGAGCCACCGCGCCTGGCTGGAAATAACACATTTAAAGGCAGACTGCTTTGCGCCCCTTCCCAAGCTCGCTTTGAAATACAATAACATCTAACCCACATTTTGGCCACTTCACCATTACACATATAAAATGGAAAAAATTATAGTTCACATCTCTTAAGGTGAAAGAAAAAATAGATTAAAAAATTCTTACTCAACTGCAAAGATCAAAATAAAAGTCATGTATAACAATTATGACTGAAGCCTCATATTTCTAAGATTCTCCACATAAAGTGTTTAACATAGCTTAAGTAATTTTAAGACAGCACTGTGAAAACTGTATCTCAACCTGGTGAGAAAGTGTTTGTTGACATAGTAAAAGTCTGCTAAAGTTTGAATGTTAACCATTTAAAATAAATCACACAATTCATATTTATCTATTAATAATCATTAAGTTCTTAACCATTTCAAATTACTAGATTCATTTATAAAAAAAGAATTTTATTTACTCCCATACATTTTTAATACACATCCATAAATATATGTAATATAATTTTGCGTGTCCTTAAAATTTTTTTTATTTTTATTATTATTATACTTTAAGTTTTAGGGTACATGTGCACAACGTGCAGGTTTGTTACATATGTATACATGTGCCATGTTGGTGTGCTGCACCCATTAACTCGTCATTTAGCATTAGGTATATCTCCTAACGCTATCCCTCCCCGTGTCCTTAAAATTTAATTTACATCATCCTACATTTAGCCTTAGTAATCTATTTTCAATTCCCATGCTTCCCAGATTTATCCATGTTCTTATATACAGGTATATTTTATTCATTTTAATGGCTGAAAGAAGGGAAATGAGATAGAATGGAGGAGTACTTTTTGCTTTATATTTTATTTAAGGAAAAGATTTGAAGCAATATGGAAAAATGTTAACATTTTGTCTTATACTCAGATGTCTTAATTTACTTACTTTTTTTACGTTAGAAATAATTCTTTTTTTGGTGGTGGCGGTGGGGGAAGGGGTACGGGGGGATGGAGTCTCACTCTGTTGCCCAGGCTGGAGGGAAGTGGTATGATCTTGGCTCCCTGCAACACCCACCTCCTGGGTTCAAGCAATTCACCTGCCTCAGCCTCCCAAACAGCTGGGACTACAGGCGAGTGCCACCACTTCTGGCTAATTTTTGTATTTTTAGTAGAGACAGCGTTCTGCCATGTTGGTCAGGCTGGTCTCAAACTCCTGACCTCAAGTGTGATCCACCCACCTCAGCCTGTCAAAGTACTCGGATTATAGGGCATGAGCCACCACACCTGACCTTGAAATATTTCTCACTTAAAATGTTTAATACATAAATTATTATGAGTAGCACCAACCTGTAAACTTGTTACAGACCTATGATTTTAGAAGACAGAGAATACAGAAGATGTTAGAACTCAGAAGGAACATTATAGCACCTCTTGTCCAAACCTTCTTCTCCTAATTTTCTGATATAAAACTGAGACTTAAAGAGGTGAAGCTTATTAATTCAGCAAATATTTATTGAGCACGCGCTTCATGCCAGTCCTTGTCCTGGCTATTAGGGAACCAACGGTAAACCTTACACTAAGGGAGTTGATCCAAAGGAAGTACTGACATTAAAAAAAATAATTTCTAAAATTGTGACACATGTCTTGAAAAAAAAGCAAAAGGAGAGAAGGTAAAACATGGGGGTCTATTTAGCTTGGAGGATGTTTTGGGAAATGCTCAAACTGTGTTTTTTCCTCTCCTCTCACATTACCACAGCAACAATCATCAACACAGAAGATGACTTCTGTGGCCAAATGTGTGGGAGTTTTTCACCACTCACCAAGCAGCAGACACCAAGCTGGGTGTCCTCCAATTCAACTGTGACACTGTCTACCCGGAGATCTGTCATATCGCACAGGTTGAAGACTCAGTTCCCAAGACTCCACACACAACCAGGAGCAAATCCAGACCTCTGGAACTTCTGACCAACCAGCTTCAAATTGGGTTTTCCATGACCCCAATTTGGGTTTGATTAATTTGCTGGAGCAGCTTACAGAATTCAAGGAAACACATTTACTGGTTTATTATAAAGGATGTTGCAGAGGATGAAGATGAAGAGACATCTAGGGAGTGGTATGGGGGGAGAGGTGCAGAGTTTCCATGCCCTCCCTGGGCTTCAACCTCTAAAACTCTCCACATGTTTTACTATCTTGAACCTTGCTGAAACCTGTCCTTTTGGGTTTTTATGAAGGTTTCATTATCTAGCCATGATTGATTAAACCATTGGCAAGTGGTGATCAACTTAACCTTCAGCCTCTCTCTCCTTCCTGGAGGCTGGGGGGTGGGGCTGACTCTCTAATTGTGCCTTTGCCTTTCCAGTGACCAGACCCCCATTCTGAACCCATGAGCCAGCATTAGCATACAAAAAAGGCAGCATTTTGGAAATTCCAAGGATTTTAGGAGTTATATGCCAAGAAACTTGGACAAAGTCCAAATACGTATTTCATGATATCACAGAGGGTCAGGAGTGCATCCCTGATAAAATGATTTCTAAAGGTTGCACAACTAAATTTGGGTAATGAAGAAGTGAACTCAGATTTCCTTAGTTCTATGAAGATAATGCTTTTACTACAATATTATATTCTAATTACAGAATTTCTGTAGAAATCCAACTTGACATCTTAAAGCAAGGGCTTGGTTCTATGTTTCTATTACTGAGTCATCCCATTTCAAAGCATTTTTAGTTTAACACACATTTGCTAAGATTTTTTTAGAACATTAGATCAGGGGCCAAGTTCAGTGGCTCATGCCTGTCATCCCAGCATTTTGGGAGGTCTAGGCAGGAGTATTGCTTGAACCCAAGAATTTGAGACCAGTCTGGGCAATACAAGAAGACTCTGCCTATACAAAATTAAAAAAAAAAAAGCCAGGTATGGGGGCATCTGTAGGAGGCTGAGGTGCAGAGGATCACTTGAGTGCAGCAGGTTGAGGTTACAGTGAGCCATCCTCAGACCAGTGCACTCCAGCCTAGGCAACAGAGAGAGAGAGAGAGAGAGAGAGAGAGAGAAGGAGGAGGAGGAGGAGGAGGCAGAGGGAGGAAAAGGAAAAGGAAAAGTTAGATCAGGAAAATTCAAAGTTAAAGATCATTTGGTTCAGCCACTTTATTCGCCGATGAGGAATCTAAGCCCCAGAAAGGAGAAGAGATTTGCTCAAAAGTTCTCAGTAACTGGGACCATCTTGACATACAGACCAGTGTTCTTCCCCACGTCCCACACAGTTTTAACAGTTATAGTATGAGGCCAAAGTGGAACTGGTGTATTCGTGCCAGAGTGAATTTGAGTGAATAAACACATGATTAGAAAATATATGATTAGACAATCAAGTGTAAAGCTCAGAGGCCATCTTACTAACAAAAATAAAAATATGATCACCAAATTCTTACAGGAGTATATATACTTATTTTTAGTTAAGCAAAGAAGTTTGTCTAAGAGTTGAGGTTTTCTTCCCTAAAGTGTAACCATATTCTCACAATGGGAGCTTGAACATAAAAACAACACAAAATGCCCACTCATTGCTTTAAGAATCAACTCTACTCCATCAGGTCCTGGGTTCAATAAGTCAGCAGTGGGTTGCACTAACCTCGTTGCCTATTTAGAAAGGACCCCCAGTGCAACTGTGGCTCTTTGCATTATGCAAATCTAAGTGAAATCAGAAATAAAATACTGTGATGGGTGGGGGGAAATAAAGCACATCTGAAATAATTTTCAAAAACGATTGGCCTCTTCAAAGAAGTCATAAATATCTGACACTCACTGAGAAATAACTGGCAACTTACATGATCCCCCCAAATCTTGAGCTAATCATTCATAGAGGGGAAAATAGATAATGTATAGTGTTACTTCCATTTGATGATAATGATGATGATGATGATGATTATTTTTGTTATTCTAAGACTGAGCTTCGCTCTGTCACCCAGGCTGGAGTGCAATGGTGCAATCTCAGCTCACTGCAACCTCTGCCTCCAAGGTTCTAGCGACTCTCCTGCCTCAGCCTCCTGAGTAGCTGGGATTACAGGCGCCCGCCACCACACCTAGCTAATTTTTGTATTTTGGGTAAAGACGGGGTTTCACCATGTTGACCAGGCTGGTCTCAAACTCCTGACCTCAGGTGATCCGCCCGCCTCAATCTCCAGAAGTGCTGGGATTATAGGCGTGAGACACTGTGTCCGGCCTCATTTGATTATTTTATAATTTGGTGCAAATCTCTTAGAGAACGCAGTTACCAGATTTGCACTGGCAAAGTGACTCTTTAATAAAGAATGTGGAAGGCCAAGCGTGGTGGCTCATGCCTGTAATCCCAGCATTTTGGGAGGCCGAGGTGGGTGGATCACAAGGTCAGCAGTTCGAGACCAGCCTGGACAACATGGTGAAACCCCATCTCTACTAAAAATATAAAAATTAGGTGTGGTGATGCACACCTGTAATCTCTGCTACTCAGAAGTCTGAGGCAGGAGAATTGCTTGAACCCAGGAGGCAGAGGTTGCAGTGAGTCAAGATCACACCATTGCACTACAGCCTGGGCAATAGAGTGAGACTGTCTCAAAAAAAAAAAAAAAAAAAAAAAAGAATGTGGAAAACAAAGTGTTGGTAATCTTTCTGATGACACACACACACACACACACACACACACACACACCCTACTGGCCATTTCTGATCATATATGTATAAATATATAAAGTAGAACTTAATATATGTTCTTCTGTATACATACTGTACATATATTCAATAGTTTGTTCATTCCCAGGAAGCACCAGCCCATGGGCAAGAATGATGAGCCTAATATTGTACTGATCTTCAACCAAATTTCCTTGTATACTGACATGACAGTTTTGGCCATCCACATGAACTAAATATTTCAACAATGACATGGAAAAGAAGTTCCTGAAAACTAACAAATGAACTAAACTCCTTCTTTTTATAAAATATCCTTGTCAAAATGGATAAGTAAGCTTTGCCTAAATTTTGTTTTGCTTTGGGAGGGAGGGGAGGAAGTTTGGAATATCGAGGGGTGAGCTGCTTAAAGCCAAATATCATGTTCAAATAAAACAACTCCAGGGGATTTTGGAAAACAAGTAAATTCAGCTCCTTTACTAATAATATGTTGCAAAGAGAAGGGGGAAAAAAAAAGAATTCCAGTGACTAGGACCCTACCTTTACCACCTGCCTCAGTAGACATACTATATTACACGCTTTTGGCTGGCAGACTGGTAATTCAGTATCACAATGCATAGAGGTGCCAGGTAATATCAGCACACACCTGCGTAATTTTTCAACACCTCCCTTTCCTAAAGGTAGAATCAAAACCCTCCCTGCCTACTACACCAAAACCAAAAAACAAGAACTTTAGCTCTTTCATCCTCTCCCAGAAGAAATGCCATACTACATGCAAATCTCAAATCACATGGCTATCTTGAGCCCTAAATCTTAGAGACTATGGATGAAATAAACTCTCACGGAACAAAAAAAAATCATTAATTCTATAACCTACCTCTCTTCTCAATCCCTCTTCAAGGAAGGCAACTAGATAGAGTAGCATCAAAGCCCTCCCGAGTCTGCAATTCCAGATCAATTCACGTCTGGCATGTTCTTATACTGAGGTCTTAAAAAAAAGAAAACTCTAAGAAAGGCTTAAATACACCAACGAACATATTAGTCTCACTTTATGCCTGGCTTTCTGAATGAATTTGAATTTAGTTTCTTTAAAAAAGAGAGAAAAATAATGAGATTTACAAATACAATGAATCCTCATTTAACATTTTTGATAGATTTTTGGGAACTGTAACTTTAAGCAAAACACATATAACAAAACAATTTGTTTTTCTCATCACTGTTATAAGAAAATAACATTGTATGAAACAATTACTCGAAGATCTCCTGCACATCATTTTGTTTAAGGTCGCAGTTTACCAAGAACCTATCAAGGACATTGAGGACTTCACTGTTATCTAAAAGATAGCCACTAGTCACAAACAGGAAATGCCAGGTGCACTTCTAATTTATGGCTTCTAGTTCAAAAAACTTAAGAGGTAAAGTGTTGTCTGTACTATCTCAAATAACCCAAAATACTTGACAGGAAGAAAAAAAAGTCAAGCTCTAAAGCTCTCAGAACAATTCCGTTAATCAAGTACAAAGTCTGTCTTAACTTAGTGCTCTCCTAAAACATTCAGTGACTTAATTTTTTTTCTTTTTATAAGCTATATTCCTTGGGACTGCCAAATTAAAAATGTCCTTTTATAAGGGTAAGAGGGTGATGAAATCAATAATTAGAACTGCTGGGAATGAAAAATCATACAAAACAGATGGAGGGTTGCCAGAGAACCAGATAAAGTTCTGGCAGCTAATCTGGTGGGAGGCAAGATTTAGGGAAGAGAAATGAGATACATGAAAATAAAAATTTGAGGGTCCAACAATAACTTTTGATAAGGAGGGTTTGAAAAATTAATTCTAAAGATCCAATTCAGTAAAATGTAAAAAGACCCTTAGCGCTGAGACACAGCTTCAGTTTGGTCTGCTTCAAAGACACTGATTATCACATGAAGTTATATGGGCTAATTATATACTATACTTTGGATTTGTCCTCTACAAAAAAACTCACTTGAAAAACATTTTAAATTTCATATCGAGAAAGATATTATTTTTTAAAAAATGTAATGTTTAAAAAGTGTTGGCCGGGTGCAGTGGTTCACCCCCGTAATCCCAGCATTTCAGGAGGCCGAGTCAGATCACCTCAGGTCAGGAGTTTGAGACCAGCCTGGACAACATAGTGAAACCCCATCTCTACTAAAAATACAAAAATTAGCTGGGTGTGGTGTCACATGTCTGTAATCCCACCTACTTGGGAGGCTGAGAAAGGAGAATCGCTTGAATCCAGAAGGCGGAGGTTGCAGTGAGCTGAGGTCGTGCCAAAAATTAGCTGGGCGTGGTGGCGCGTGCCTGTAATCCCACCTACTTGGGAGGCTGAGAAAGGAGAACCACTTGAACCCAGGAGGTGGAGGTTGCAGTGAGCTGAGATCATGCCATTGCACTCCAGCCTGGGAGACAAGGCGAGACTCTGTCTCAAAGAAAAAAAAAAAAGAAAAAGGAAAAGTGTTCATTTCAATGGCTTTTAATATATCCATCCTAATAAACATCAGGTCAATGTGTTCTGATAGTCAGTGTCCCGAACTACCAAAAATAAAAAGTAGGGGGGGTGAATGGGTACAGGTGGTCTGGGGTTGGGGTGGGGGCATTCTCTTGAGAAGTCAGCTTTAAGTGGTTAGATTGAAAACACTAATATCTTTCAAGAGGCAACTGATCATCCTTCCTTTGACTAGGACCCCAGTTTTGTCATTCTATTTCTAAACTACATGTGTATAATGGGGCAGTAAATATTGCCCAGTGAATCATGGAAACAAAGCCAAGAGGCATTGAGTTTGGCTTCTAGTCCTCTACCTGCCCACTGACTTACTGCATCATCTTGGGCAAATTATTTCTCCTCTGGGGCTCCAACTTTGGCCCCGGATTTTTTGATTCACAAATGAGGCATTCCATTTTAAGACTGTATCCACATCAAAGGAAGGGGAATTCTGCAAAGTGAGCTTGCAAACAAGTCCAAGGCCACCATATCCTTTTGGATCTATCACAATGATCAGGCAGACGCAGATCCCAACATTGGCCCCACAGTCGTCTTGGCAAGGTATTTACTTCTCCCTGCCTCCCTTCCTGCCACAGCCGTCTAGCTGCCAGACATGTACGAATTGTGCTCTTGATCATTTTTTTAAAAAAATCCTTCCTCCAAGCACTTTTCCTGATGGCTCCAGCCAAAGGGCCGCCTGTTGCCACCTGTCAGTTGCGGGGATTAATTACCTGAGCCAAGGAGGCTGGGAGCGGCACATTCTTCCCGGGCCGCGCCCACAAATGTTGACATCAAGCAGGTGGGCTGTCTGCTACTCACTTACCGTGAGGACCAGCCAGGAGCCCACTGGGCCTGGCAGGTGGTGGGAGTGGGGCGACACTTAGACCGTGCCACAAAGCAGCAAAACCTCTGCAGGGAGTAATGTGTCCTGGGTCTTCTTGGGGAGGCCATAGCCAGCTTTGTGGCTAGCCCTGGGCACTGGCCCCAGAGGCAGCTGTGTCCTCCCTGCTGAAGGGCAGCATGTTGGCACCCACCTTGGGAAGGGGCGGGGGTGGAGCTCGCCAGCCTTGTTCTAGTTGCCTGAGGGTATGGATTTGGAAACCCAGTCTAAAAAGATTTGACAGACTTGATCGGTAATTTTGCAACTTTATCTCCCCAGGAGGGTAAAATGACCTTTCATTTAGTGTCTCCTGCCAGGGCCACCTCTGTCAACCCCACCTGACCAGTAATATCATTCACAGTTACCTTCACAGAGCAGACACTGGGAGGCATTTGTCAGAGTGACTGTCATACAGCAGGTACTCGTGTTAAGGTCGGCTTACTCTTACATGTTTCCTAAAGTCACGACCATCATGAGAAAAAGGCCAGGGTGAGATGACACTGATACGTTAGAGGTGTAGAAACAGGAGCTCAAAAGTTGAAAGCAGCACTCCAGTGAATGGTGGAACTGAGAACTGAACTGCAGTTAGTTTTCCCTCTTCTCAGTGCTGATTAAAGGCCTGCAAACCACCTTCCTGACTACTGGACATCTATGTGCTCCCCTGCCCCTCAATAAAACAAACCTGGACATTCCTCAGCAATACAGGAAGACACAATTATCTGTAGAGTCAAAATTCTTCTAGTAGAAACCCTGGATGGGCAGAGAACTCTTACCCCTCACCCCTACTGGACATACCTAGTTTAACTCCCCGATAAATGAGAGACCCAGAGAAAATATCACACCAGAAGTTAGCAATGAGACATAATTAGAACTTGTGGCTTCTAATTTCCAGCCCTGTAATCTTTTCACTGTAAAACATTCCTGTACCTCTTCTCTTTAAGATGTTATTGGTGGGGGACAGGGTTGGTGGGCAGATCGGAGAGCTTTATGGACACAGACGTGACATACACGCGCTCTCTCTCTCTCTCTCTCCAGACAGAAGACAATACGTTGCAACCCCCTTCCACTGCAGTAGCAGCATGTCTGTCTCAGCACACTGCTCTGCAAGTCAGCTATCATTTTCCCTTAAGGTAGAGAAAACATTATCCTCCCCCTAAGGGTGGCTTGCTACTCCCAACTGCCTGCAAAACCGCGGGCTACTACACTATCATTTCTTTCCCCTCTGGGCCCAAACTGGTTTTCCCTGTTCCTTCCTCAGCTCTTACTTTGTTGTATCAAGAAGTCACGCTTCTACAAAAACGATAGCCCTACCTAGAGCTCAGCGTCCTGCCTGAGATATGTTTTACCCCCTGGTCCAAGACAAAGCCTCACGCAGTGGCACCCAAAGTCGTAGGAGTCCTTCCCTGGTAGCTGACCTCCTTCAACACCTGGACGCTAGAGGTGAAAGTTATTGTCTATGCTTCCACACATACTCTTTGATTGTCTTTTAAAATGACTCACAGTATAGAATTCTTAAATCTCTGGTCTCTACTGAAGGTTGCATCATTCCTAACAGAAACACGTTCAGAAACCATTCATTCTGGGAGGCACTCACAGCTCAATTTCTATGAAATGACTCAGGTATCCTTGGCGATATAATACCACACATATTGGTTCTCTTTCCTGGTAGATTTGTGGCTTGTTTTGGAGTTTCATTTGTACATCTGCTCTAAAAGTGAGTCCTCTGTTCCAGTAATGGTAATTTGTATCTGCGGGATATTCTTTTTACCGGAAGACTAGGTAGGCCAGTCTGATAAGAAGAAATGGGAGACTATGTATCGACAGTATGGAGAGTAATGGCATCTACTGATTTCCATAAATGACACCATCACTCACCCATCTGTATAGTCCTTAACAGTTTATAGAGCATTTTCATACAGCTATTAATTTAATCCTCAGCTAACTCTATAAGAAAGTCACCTGTATTCCCTTTCTGTCAAGGAAGAATCAGAATCAGAGACTTAAGTAAACTACTTTGCTCACGATAACACAAAGTTAGAATTCTCCAATCTAGGTTTTAACTTTAAATTCAGGGCCCTTACTGTACATAAGGCACATACTATATGTACATTGCAGGATGTCTTCCTGTGCCTTTGTGGTGTCCTTGCCGTGTTCAAATCATTATACTGCATGCTAGGATGGGAAAAGGTGGGGACAAAGTATCCACCCTCTATTTACAAAAGATCTATATATACATATATATAAACTTATGTATATAAATATTGCTGACCTACAACAGTATATAGCATTAAGACACACATATAATGGAGCATGAATTCCAAAGCGCTCTCTAGCTTCAAAGCCCAAGAAGGTTATTGGGAAACCTTGAATAGTTGTTTTTTTTTTTTTTTTTTTTTGGAGACTGAGTCTTGCTCTGTCGCCCAGGCTGGAGTGCAGTGGCATGATCTCGGCTCACTGCAACCTCTGCCTCCCGGGTTCAAGCAATTCTCTGCCTCAGGCTCCCGAGTAGCTGGGATTACAGGTGCCTGCCACTACACCCGGCTAATTTTTGTATTTTTAGTAGACACGGGTTTCACCATCTTAGCCAGGCTGGTCTTGAACTTCTGACCTCGTGATCCACCCACCTCAGCCTCCCAAAGTGCTGGAATTATAGGCGTGAGCCACCGCACCCAGCCACCGTGAACAATTTTTTAACATTTCACACAAAGAATATGTTCCAAGTCCTTACTGTGTATTCTCACCCTCTCCCATCTCTCTCTCTGTCTCTCTCATAAACACACACACACACGTACACAATCTATTTTTAAAACAAAGTGTTTAATACTGTTTGCCTGAATTTGGAGAAGAAAAGAATAAAAGAATTTGTAAAAAAAAAAAAAAAAAAAAAAAAAAAAGACGAAAAGCAAAAAAGAAAAAACTCAATTCCTTAACTCCTAAAACAACTGTACATCCTCCAATTGGAGCAATAGACTGAATTATGGTAGACGTCTACCTTTTTGAGGATTACTGCATGAAAAAAAAAGTTAGGATCTGCACTTTCAATGAAAAACAACACTTACCACCCGTACGTATACACTCAAATACTCTGAATACTGGGGAAAGGGTAATATGACAGATGTAAAAAATAAGACTTACGCTTGATGTATAAAACACAAAAAGCTAACACGTACTGTGATCTACAGTCTAGGCACTTCGCTAAGTTCTTTATGTCTTATATGATCATCGCAGTAAGCTGTGAAGTAGACATTGTTATTCCATTTGCCAGTTAAGTAAATTGAAACTCCTAAACGTGAAATAAGTTGCCCAATCTTTCACAGCTACTAAGCCAGATTCAACTCCAGATCCCCTCACTGCAGCACCCTTGCTCCTCCCCTGTACAGGGCTGAAAAAGAGGACAGTTCTCTCTGCTGCAAAACCTTGTGTGACTCATTTCAAGGCTGAGATAATACTACTGCCCACTGCAAGCTTGTCCTGAGTGTGGAGAAAAAGCCACATGATATTCAGGGTACAGTGCTTGGTCCAGGGTAAATGCCTGATGAACAGCAGCTATCACGATTGCATCACACTATTTAGCTGAGCTGTTGTTTCCACTAGGCAGTTTAACTGCTAGACAAGTAACACAAGGAATTTCCTAAACAAACTTCTGGAGATCAATCTTTGACTAAGGTACTAGTTAATATTACCGTATAAGAAGATACGTTTTGGGGTGAATCACAAAACAAAGAAAATAAAGGGGAGGGAGATTGAAATAAAAATAGAAGGCCTGTTTCAATACTGGAACTTAAATCACTATAAATGGATGCTCCATTCTATGTCTGAAGTTCCTATAATATTTTATAGGAACCACACTTTACTATTTTTCTTCCAAGGTCGGGGAAGTCCAGGTTCCACTTTGTGCTTCTAACTGCAATATTTAAACCGTAATCCCTCTGTACTGTCCTTCCGGCAGGAATTAAGTCAGATAAGCAAAGAGCTTTAAATCTCTTCATGAAAGAGTGCCGACAATAATTGTTGAGAATCACTGTTATTCTGACATTTTAGATCCTTCATTCTTCTCTCTTCAGAGAAATGGATGCCCAGGTGTAAATATAATAGGATTTAAAAACGAGGAAAATGAGTAGCAAATGGATTTCAAAACATAAACAGAGTCCATGCTCATTGGTATACTTAAATCTACTTTTTCTTTTTCTTTTTTTTTTTTTTTTTTTTTTTTAGCTTAGGATACTAGTTGCTTTTTAGTGCACCTTAAAAGTGAACCTGCAAATGCTGAGAAGTTTAAGGGACTTTAAGGTCCCTTCAACTACAGCTGTCCCCAAGGTTTCAAGTGAACAATAATGAGATAAATTTAGTTCAAGGCTCTACTATCCTATAGGCAAATTGCTGAGTTTCTTTATTCTAGATAAGTACAGGAAACCAATATGCTGAAATACTGAGATCCTAGGGGTATTAAGATACTGCCAAAAAGGAAAGGTGTAACTTAATCAATTAGATCAGATTTGCTCTTTAATACCTTCAAGCCAAGTTTTAAACTTTTGCTCTCCTCTCCTTTTTTAAGGGAACCCCTGGATAATTGAAACAATTTTGAGACATCTATTTCCATCGTTGATAATTAGGTACCGTGTGGGCCACTAATACATAAGCATCTGTGTTGGCTGGGGGTAGGTGTAGGGGGTGCTTGGGGAGAGATTTAAACAAACCCTTTCCTCTACTTGCAACATCTCTTAAAAGCTTGTCATCATGTTACTTCCTATTTCTTTAGAGTTCATTTGTTTAAGACGGAAACGTGCTTCATCTTGTTCGCTTTTTCTGCATTCTTTGTAAACTTAATATTCTAATTAGCCCCAACACGGAAAAGAATGTAACACAACTGTCTTAGTTGTGCCATAGAGTTAGAATCTATCTATTAACATGTTTTAGTAATAACAAGAAAAATAATAAAAACAAACCTATTATGAGAAGCTGCCCATGCCAATAAATTTGAAACATTACCAGGAATATAAAGGAAGGAAGGAAACAGGTGAAGACACTCACAGCAACAACAAAAAGGTAGGAAGAATAAATAGGAGAGAGGAAGGGAGGTAAGAAGGAAGAAAGAGAAAAGGAGGGAGGGGGGCTCAGGAAACTGTGGAAAACAAGTGTCATAGCTTAGCTCATATTTAATCTTGTCACCTCACTAATCCTGACCTCACTATGGCAAGAGAGATGAAAAATTTCCTTCTGCTTAGAGAGTTGGTGATTGAGCTGGGAATGGGGTTACCAGATAATCTCCAGCCTAATTAAAATTTAATTGTAAAAGCAATGAAATTTTTCAGCATAAGTAAGGAATATTGGCCAGGCACAATGGCTCATGCATGTAGTCCCAGCACTTTGGGAGGCCAAGACGGGAGGATTGCTTAAGCCCAGGAGTTCCAGACCAGCCTGGGAAACATGGCAAAACCCCTGTCCCTAAAGAAAAAAAAAATACATAAATTAGCCATCAGGAAGCTGAAGTGGGAGGACTGATTGAGCCTGAGAGGTAGTGGCCACAGTGAGCCATGATTGCACCACTGCACTTCAGCCTGGGTGACAGAAGGAGACTCTGTCTCAAGAAAACAAAACAAAATAAAACAAAAGTAATAACTATTGCATGGGATTCCCTTATGCTAAACATTTTTTCATGGTTTATTTGAAATTCACATTTAACTGACATCCTTGGTTTTTATTTGCTAAATCTGGCAACTCTAGCTAGAAAGGATAAGTAAAAATTTTAAGAAGTTTCTTAAATTTCTTAATTTAAGATTTAAATTTAAAATTTCTTAATTTGAAATTGGATTTTTGGAACCTGAAATTGGAAATTTCAAATTTAATTCCATATGCTCATCATCTATATTCAATAGTTAACTAACATTTTGCCAATCTTCAAGGTAGATTGCCAGGATGATAACAACTCTTAAGTTTCTGGTAGATAGATGAGGATTATTAACCAAATTACATTAAATAGCCAAATTATGTGACATAATTTTGGTAGGCAGCAGTGAGAGGAGAGAGAGAGAGAGAAAAAAAAAATGTTTTGAACAGAGGAAGTAGCAGGAGACAGGGCATGCAGAAGGGAAAACAAAACAAAAATCATCTTTTGTTGACTGCGAAACACCACCTCTGCCTGTTGGGAAGAGTATATATTTGGAAGCATCGTACACCGTGAAGAACACGGTACTCACAGAGGCAGAAGGCTCATTCCCCTACTTTCCAAACTGAGGTATAATCTCAAGAAAGGTTACATAACTTTGCATGTGAGAAGTGAGAATAACACCTGCCAATGTGACAGGTTTGTTATGAGGATTAAATGTGATAATACATATATGTGTGTGTTTTGAAAAATATAAGACATTTTCCAAACAGAAAGGGATTATTATTAGCCGTGGGGAATTGGGCCAAATACAAACACTTTGGTCAGAGTGTGACATGCTTACAGGTCATCATGCAGTCACCAACAATGGACCATCAGCAATCCATGAACTGAGGCGAGTGTTAGAAAGATCCTTCTGCCTGACACTGAAGAGGAAGAGTAGGAAAAGAAAATGTCTAGGAGCACTGATGGGGCTTATCACACCAGTTGAACAACAGGTAGGTGTATGGATGGGTTTGCCAAGGAACAGGGATATTAAAATTAGGGAAAAGAGACATTACCAAAACCAAATTAGCAGGATAGTACCAAGTTTTAAGTTTCTGGTAGATGAATGAGAATTATTAACAAATTATATTAAATAACCAAATTACACTACGTAATCATTTCTACAGGTTACAAAGCAAAAACGCTTTGCTTTGCCCAACCCTATAAGAGTTATACTTTCCAAGGCTAGCAAACACAGAAATACTGCCTACAAGTCCCCATGCTAGAAGGTAGCATTCCATTTTCTTAGGAGAAAATTGTCATTAACAAGTGCTGATCATGTTTGTAAACCTCCAACACTTTGGGTACATTCAGTTTCATATTGTTTGCCAGTTGAAATAAGAAAAACTCCTCTTAAAACAGGGATTCTTTGATTTTAAGTTGCACGTGTACATTTGATTAATTTCCTTAGAAGAACCAAGTAAAAACAATCTCTTCTTCCAAAATTAACAGTTTCCTGAATGTGGAATATGGACAAAACCCAAAGTGAAATCTCCTGAAAACAGCAAATACTCATGGAAATAAACCACTACCCGTGTGATCAAAGGAATAGACACTCTGAGCACTTGCTTCAAAGATAGACCCATTGATAGGAAGTCTGACGCGTGAGCCAAATCTTGCCTTCCCCACTTTACATTATTATTATTATTATTATTATTATTATTATTATTATTATTATTATTATTATTTTGAGATGGAGTCTCGCACTGTGGCCCAGGCTGGAGTGCAATGGCACGATCTTGGCTCACTGCAACCTCTGCCTCCTGAGTTCAAGTGATTCTCCTACCTCAGCCTCCTAAGTAGCTGGGATTACAGGCACCTGCCACCATGGCCAGTTAATTTTTTGTATTTTTAGTAGAGATGGGGTTTCACTATGTTGGCCAGGCTGTTCTCGAACTCCTGACCACCTGCCTCGGTCTCCCAAAGTGCTGGGATTACAGGTGTGAGCCACTGCACCCAGCCGCCTTCCCCACTTTTTTGGAACATTTTAAAATGCTTTGAACCCAGACTTGCTTTAGTTGTAGGCAAACAGTTGCTGACAGGACAGGAACTGAGCCTTCGGTAAGAATGTATTGCAATGCTTTCATTATGTTAATTATATCTGAGACACCAGGAGGCTGGTATATACACACCATGGTAAGTATTTCTATTCATTTGATTTTACTGGGCACCAGATTCATTTACAATTAGGACACAGTTAGGACAAAAAAAGTAAAAACGATACAGTTATTCCCAGTCAGAGAACCAAAGAGAGGAAATTGGCAGACATCTTTTGTTTTACATGCCTTCATAAACTATAATTTATTCTCTCCCCATTTAGCCTTTTATCATTAGGAGTTTAATTTTTATAAAATATAACTATTCATCTATGTCCTTCTAGACAGTATAACTAGACCCTCCATCTAGTTTAATAAGCTATACAGAATCTGAGAATATAAAGTTAAGAAGATTTTAATCCTGAAACTCTAGAGCTTTATATGTGTGGGATCTCAAACTAGGAGATTTGACTCCCTCCACCAAGGTCAAAGTGAATTAGGGACTGCATGAAAAACCCAGCATTTTTGTCTCACAGGACTCGGACGATCCATAAGATCAGGTCACTCTTCCCTATCTCAGTGAAGATTTAAATGTTTAGAGACATATGACCCAGTTCTCTGTCTTCAAGCTTAGAAAAAATGTACCGTTTGACATTTAGCAAAGACAAAAAAAAAAAAAGGAAAAAAACCATATGAAATCAACATCTATTATGTTTCAACAAAATATCAAAACATATATAATTGCTTTTTCCAAAAAACTGACCCATCCTAAGGAAAGATTTAGGTGCAGAGATTTAAGAATTGTGCTTCTTATGAAAAAAGGGTGTGCTTGCTCTGTCTAGAGCACCAAACTCTCTCATCACACCACTTGGTTTATGGTCTTAATCACCAGACAGATGAAAGCGACCTGCAAGTTTGGGAACCCACAGCCCAAGTGCTAGGAAGAATCTGTTCTGTGTGAACAGCCACAGCGCAATTGTGGAGATACATGGCACAAGTACACAAAATAAACAGTAACGTATTTTCTTTTCTTTTTGGTAGAAATTCCTAATGGAAAATTCCTGATATAGACTTTATTAGGAGGAAACGCGAGTCCATAACTGTAAATGGTGCAAAGCCCACTTTTTCCACCTTATTAGCAAGTGCATAAGCATAAGAATCTATGTTTTCCAAAAATCATATTAATAATTTCCCCTGTCTTTCCTCCCAAAACTTAAAAAAAAAGACTGTCAGACTATCAAAGCACTGTCAGTGCCAGTAAGACACATCATTAAGGTGAGTAATTTTCCTGTTTACTTCAAACACTTTTTTTCCCAAACTCCAACCTGGGCAGGTCTGATCAGGTTAGGCTTTGGAACGAGTAAAAGCATCCCCAATTTCTACATAAGCGCTGCAGGCCATGGGCAAAGACAAGTCTCAACTGAGCTCTCCACGGTAGTCAAGCTTCCCGGCGCCTCTGGTCTTGTCTCCCTCATACCTAACAAGTATCGTCATGTCTCTCAACCTTCAAAATCGGTTTATCTGCAACACAAATGCACATACGCTCACATACATCCTACTTCTTTTACTTTTACTTATAATTAATATCTACATACATTCTGAACACATTTGCTTTATAACAATTCTTTCCTATGCACTTTTCAAAAGAAAATATTTTCCATTCTGAATTCAGGCATTCTTCATGTAAAGACAAATGGCAGAATGCAAAATAATAATCGTTTTTAACTGCAAAATGCTGCTCTAATTTTTAAATTCAGTGGAGTAGAGATCTGGCTTTTCTATTTTTTCCTGGAAATAGATACCGCTGTCTTAATTAAATGTTTTCAAGATCTACCTTTATGCAAATATATCTACTATGTAATTTGTGTTTTCTTTAAAAAAAAAAAAAAGAGAGAGAGAAAATTGCTACCCTTGACATAAGATTCCTCTTTCAGTGTGATCTGCTTCTAAGAAGACAGGAAGCTGGAATTAAGAGTTTAGTATTGGATCTATTTTGTCAACGTGGACAGATTGGTAGGTCTCAAGTTCACTTCTCAATCTATAAAAAATAATGCATGAAAATACATATAAGTCCCCAGGTCACAGGGGAATTGTGAGTTCTACTGTTTGCAAAGCGTTTTGCATTCTTTGGGTAAGAGGTGTTGGGCTTGTTATGAAGACACTGTACTTACATAATCCTAAACATGCTCATAAATTGGAAAGGCAGTTTTCAAGCCAAAGGCATAATGTTCTTTTACACTACAAATGAACTTGTTTATATGCTGGTCTGAGATACTTATTTGCTCCTACTCAGTCACCCTGTTTTCTTCTTGAGGCCATCACTATCATCACTGTTTCTTCCCCTCACTGTGCTGAATTTGTCATAGATAGAAGAGGGAAATAGAAGCAAAATTAAGTAATGAATAACAAAAGGCTTAAACTAAATGGAAACTCATTTTTCAACCTCATGGTGGTGGAGGCAAAGTGAGGAAACATGAAAGGAGAGAGAAGGCCTTAGCAAATTGGATTCGATTTACTCTCTATCAATAAGATACAAGGGAAGATCCAGTCTCACCTTTGCCTCTGCTCTCTTTATCTCATTAAACGTGCTTAAATTTGGACAGGCAAAAATGAGAGCTGTCAAATAGTAACAGACGCATAATAGTAAAAGTCAGAATACTAGTAGGAAGTGCTCTGCATCCAAGGATCACTCATCCCTAGACTTATAGCATAGCTCTCTATTCATTTGGTAGGTGACAGGTGTTGTCAGGTCTAGAAAGACACATAACTCTGCATCTGTGAAATGGGAATATTAATCCTCCATCCTGGAGAACTGTTACATGAACCAGTTCCCACAGTGTAAAGTGTCTTATGGAGTTTTTGACCTGGTACTCAACATATATTAACTACCAGTTTTATCTCTATCATCTAAATTTTGGAGTTGGTCATCAGTGGCCAACTCCTGACAGCATAATAATACACACAAGATAATAAGCATAACTGACTATGCGGCCAGAGGTTAAAATTTATGTCAAACTTCATGCTTTATTAAAAAATGAAGGAATAAGTCAAGAGCCTTTTATTTTACCCTTGCTTGCTATGTCACTGTTGTAACTTTTAGGTTTAGCTGGCGAGCTGTCTCCTCCTGCAGCTATTGTACTTGAGTTGTACTACAGGTAATATAACCAACTAATGTAATGAACGATATATACTAAGGAAAGTTGGCCCTGAGTGACCTCCTTGGATTGAGGACTTTGTCTCTAACAACTGTCCATCTGTCAGTCCCTGGGGTTGATTATAAGAAGAACAGTATACCCCAACAAGCCCGATGCAGAGAAGTCTCAGGTAACTTTCAGGTTTTCCATTTGCCAGTCATTTAGAAAAACCCCAAGAGGAGAAAAAAAATTAGGATGCTGACATCATCTGAAGATTCATTTCCCTCTATTAAAAGCATTATAGTGCTGGGCGTGGTGGATCATGCCTGTAATCCTAGCACTTTGGGAGGCCAAGGCAGGTGGATGATGAGGTCAGGCGTTCAAGACCAGCCTGACCAACATGGTGAAACCCTGTCTCTACTACAAATACAAAAATTAGGCGGGAGTGGTGGTGCATGCCTATAATCCCAGCTACTCAGGAGGTTGGGGCAGGAGAATCACTTGAACCCTGGAGGCGGAGGTTGCAGTGAGCCGAGATATCACGCCACCGCCCTCCAGCCTGGGTGACAGAGTGAGACTCCGTCTCAAAAAAAAAAAAAAAAAAAAAAAAAAAAAGAGCATAATAGCTTTCATGGCACATCAAGTTCTGGGACAAAAATTACACTGCCAGCTCTATGTGTTATAAATCAAAACCTACTACTTATCAGCCAAATACCACTTTAATTACAGTGTTCTCGTATTAGAGAAAGAAGATTAGGAAGGGTAGGAGCTCAAACGGTGCAGAATGGGAAGAGCTTCATGCTGCTATCATCAAATGAGCACCTGGCCAGAAAATCAGAGTCTGAACTCCACCATCTAGTAGCCTAAAGACTGGGGTTTGTCACTTTACCTGTGAGCTTCCGTGTCCTCATCCTCAACATGAAGATGAAGATAACAACACTGAACTTGGAGTGTGGTTGTGAAGCTCGAATGATATCATGGAAATGAAAATGACCTGTGCATATAAATGTATAAATAAAATCAGTATTTAAAAAGTAAATTAAGAAATACCCTCACAGCAAATTAGAAAACTGTCTGCCTATTTAATCTGCCCTCTGCAATAGATTTATAAAGTCAATCGATTAGACGGAAAATAAATAAGGATCAATAACCAACTCAAGTAGAAATATTTAAGAAAGAATGCAGGACCCAAGGAACCTCAAACAGCAGATTTCAATTAGGATCCTCCACATCAAAATTATAAGTGCTTTTGTTGTTGTCACAGATAGTGCAAGTCTGTTCTCACCTCATGAGACTCTGAACCCCTATGGGTTTTTATTTGAGGGGAAGTTGGCAGCATTGGCACTGGGAAGATAAACCACACCAACAACAGAAATACAGGCTGCCCTCGCAGTTACTACTTCTGGCCCATCTCATCCAGCAAAAGCTGGTAGAGGAACTTTGGTGTTTTTCCATTTCCCTAGTATTGTAGTGAGATAATTTTACACATTTGCAAACCTTAAATAATCCTACACAACTCCTTTGTGTTTAAATTGCCCTAGACCTTATAGGTGAGGTTTATTCTCCCTTTACATATTCATTCCCTTCTTCAAACAATATTTACTAAGTGTCTATATGCTCCCTTCCTCCTTCAAAGTCCCAAAGAAATTTAATAGTATCTTTATTTTTTCTTGCGTCACATATTAATTTTTCTGTTATGATAATTATGGGCCTTTATTTGTCTTCCCTGCCAAGAGACTATACATTTCTAAATGGAGACCTTACCTTATCCATCTTTTACTCAAGTGACAGGCATAATAAAACAACAGCAGCAGCAACAAAATTGCGTGTTATGTAAACAGAAATGATACTTGTGTAAAACAAGTAAATGAATATATTTGAGATAAGCATATCATTGTGGTTTGTGATGAAAACTCACTATGATGAAAGGAAAAGTGATGACTTTCAACTCCTGTTAGTAAACTGGAGGTTTTTCAGTCCAATAAAATTAATGCTGATATCCAATTTCCAATGGTTTCAGGATATACATTTTTTTTCAAATTTTATAGAATGAATTTTGTCTCTATCCCTTGCCATGAAAATCAGAGTTGCAGTAAGTCAAATTGAAGGTAGATGTGTTTTGTTTTGTTTTGTTTTTCAAACACACAAATTATCAATCTTTTGTATCAGGAACTCTGGCAGACTGTTACAACGGTAGCTCCTGACTACAATTTGTAAAGGTCTAGCTTTTTTCACTAGACAGATTCTCCTAGTCAGATCTCAAATCTGAACTCCAGATATACTTGAACTGTGTTTCTATAACCAACAGTCCAATGCTCTCTCACCAAAGCCCCATTCCCCATCCTATTCCAACCCTACTAAATGACCGTTGGCCTTTCTTTCCAGTGTTCAAGAAAATGAAGGTTACAGTGGAGCTAATACTTAATCCCAGACACAGCTCATCCGATGTACAATAATTTCTCTTTATACAATTTAAGAAAATATTGTATATCAGATGAGATGTGTCTGGAACATAAATACAAATTTACTGCAGAAAAATTGTTTATCTTGGTTGAAAAAAATTAAGGTTATATTGGTCTGGTAATGAAATAATTAAAAGGGCTAATATTTGAAAAAAACTGTCAGCAGTATAGAAATCTTTGAAACTGAATTTGTTAGTTGGTGAAAAAGTAATGGCAAAACCTGCAATTATTTTTGCACCAACCAAATAGTTAGAAGTGAAGTAAATTTTTATTTTTCTTTAAGAGCTCCAAACTTTCCAGAATCTTTTTCTCTTCTAAGTCCTCGCCAGACTCTAGGCTTTTAGTACCCTGCTCCTCCAAATCTAGTCTCTGCCCATTCCTTAGTTCCAAAGCTGTTTCCACATTTTCAGTGAAATAAACTTTCATAGAAGCCATTCCAAATACTTCCAGTTATAACTCTAAAATAACACGTGCTGTTCTCCAGCTCTTCCACTTCCTCCCCTAAGATCTGAGACAAATAATCCAGTAGACATATAGGGAAAGTAGATTTTCTAAGAATTGATAGTTGGATGCTAACTTGTTTACATGGGTCTAGTTTTCAGAATAAATGCTTAAAACTCATATTTAGTGTCAATTAGGGCAATCTCTGTAGTGTATTGCTCAGAAACAGCATGTTCAAGGCATGAAAGCAGGAAGAAACATTTAAATGATTTCCTGAATCCTCTTTTAAGATGGTTGGGTCTTGGGTCTGTAGACAGGTGATTTACAGAGTCTTCTCTCTTGGTCCAGCTCCTATAGTTAGATTTGGTAATATGGTATCTGCCAAGATTTTTGAATCCTTCTTTGGGTACCAGTAAAAATAAAAGTACTTTATTATCAGTAAATATCATCTGTAATAAATTTATGGTCTTTAGTACTCAGCAAAAAAGAACAAAGAGATTTTATAATTCTATTCACTGAACATTCACTGAGGACCAACCACGAGTCAAAGGCCAAATACATTTTCCTAGCTTCTGATTTTGTAAAATGGTACTGCTATTTATAATAATAGCATTCATTTCATTACGCTCAAAACACTGAAGTGAAAGATGCTTCCGTTTTCTTTAAGCTACTATTAGATTATTTTCATTCAGTAAAAGGACGAAAGTGTTAACTTCCATACCACGTTAAGAAATAGGAAAAAGATATCAAGATTTAGCTCAATATGTTTCTTTTACAGATAAGAAAACTGAAGCTCAAAGCAGCAAAACGGCCTAGCCAAAGCCATCAAGCCAATCATTGGCTATTTGGGCACATTTCTTCCTTCTTAAACCAATAAATTTTTTACCCAAACATTTCTAGTGCAAGGCAGAGACATAGAGAATATAAAATGTTCTTTTGTCTGACCAATTACAGGTATGTGGTTCTTCTCATAGTCAAAGCAGAAGGATAAATAGCCAAGACTAATCCTAACTAAAGAAAGCAAAGCATGGCACCAAAAAGGCCCCAAACCTTGAGGAATATATCATTCAACTAGTTTCTTGGTACAGTCCTTATAAGAAGTACCTCTAAAACCAATGTCTAGAAAATGTTACAATGGTAGGAGTCAAAATAATCCCAATTACGGAAAATAGGTTTCTATCTCTAAAATATATACTGCAAAACCACCCCAAACCCCACACTCACCTCCTTTCCCCTTTGCCTGCCCATATCTCCGTATCTCTCTCTCTTTTTTTTTTTTTTGCTTGTTTTGAGATGGAGTCTCGCTCTGTTGCCCAGGCTGGAGCACAGCGGCACGATCTCAGCTCACTGCAACCTCTGCCTCCTGGGTTCAAGCAATTATCCTGCCTCGGCTTCCCGAGTAGCTGGGACTACAGGCGCCCACCACCTAGCCCAGCTAATTTTTGTATTTTTAGTAGAGAAAGGGTTTCATCATATCAGCCAGGCTGGTCTTGAACTCCAGACCTCAGGTGATCCACCAGCCTCGGCCTCCCAAAGTGCTGGGATTACAGGCATGAGCCATTGCACCTGGCCCCCATATCTCTTATCTAAAATATTGCAACACCTTTCCAATTAGCCTCCCTGCTTTTAGTCTCCCTACCTCCAAACTGCTGCCAGTTAGCTTCCTCCAACAGAACATGATGTCATCTCCCAACTCACAGCCCTTCCATGTTTTCTTAACACTTGCAGGACTAGAGCCAAACTCCTTAGGGTGGTATTCACAGCCCATCTCAATCTGGCTCTGTGGACTTCTCTCTAGCCTCATTTCCTGCTACTCCTGTTCCTGCAAACTTTCTATGGTCCAGGTATACCAAACTGCTTCCCACTCCTAGACTTACATAACACATTCATGTCTCCATGCCTTTACTTACCCTGGTCCCTCTACCTGGAATATCTATTCTTATTTTTCCCAAGACTTTGCTTATCCTTGAAGGCCCAACTTTAAATGCAAAGTTTTCTGTGAAACTAGCAAAATCAGTTTTCTGTACTACATTCCACTTTGTTTAGGTAATAGGTATTACCTGAAAAATATTTGTTAAGACCCATTATATGTGCCAGCACTAAGACCCAGAGATGAAAGGTCAAAGCTACTGCCTCTGAACTCCTGAGTACGTGTCTGTAAGGGGGAGCTGGTGGGGGGTGGGTATCACAAGGCAAGTGTTCATCTACAATTAATGCTTCCAATGAGTTTTAAAGAATAAGTAGGAGTCTGCATGGCAGACAGAGGTGGTGGTGGCTAGGGGAACATTCCAGACAGATTATAGCACCTGTCACACTAAATTACAACTAGGTTTATCAGTTTGCCCTTCTTGACTGTGAGCTCTTTGAGAAAGGGCTAACTTATCTATTAATATAATTACCCAATAGTGTCTAGCCTTAATAATAACTAGCACAATTTATCAAGGCCCTGCTCAGTGGCAGGAACTATATTATGGGCTTCATATATTGAACTTTCAAAAGCCTTCAATGGAGATTATTTTCACCTCACAGAAGAGAAAATTGAGTCTCAGAAGCATCAGGTCACTTGCCTAGTCAACCCAGCTAGTCAACTGTGGAGTTATATCTGTTTTTCTTCAATGTGTACCTTCCAGTGCTTAGAAAATGCATGTTGAAACTAAAGGTGCTGTTCAGTGAACTCTAACATTTGAGACCTCATAGTATGGGGCCTTCAACTAAGCCTCAACAAACGCATCTTGGGACATGTGTGCACATGCATACCATACAAAATTACAAGGCACCAGTTGGAGAGATCCTATGAGACTCATGCTATGCGTCCTCTTAGTTACACCAGTTTCGGTGGTTAGTAATTCTGAAGCTTATAAGGAGATAGAACTGAAAATATTTCAAGCCAAAATTATTAATACTGAATTTTCATGTTGTGGAGCTCTACACATATCCTGCAACTTACTGATAAACAATCCTTTCAGTTTTTTAATTGGGATATTTCACTCAACTCCTGACTTTGGAATAGTTCCTTCGTATTCTATTTTACGAATATTTCCCTCAAATAAAAACTGTATGTGTCTTGGAATGCCAGAAAGTTAAAAATAAAACAAAAAATATACACAGTATCCCTTCCTAGAGAGACTCATTGTTTACATCACGGTGTCCATAAAATCATTTTTCAAGTAGTATAAGCAAAAGGGAAGTTAAATTTCTGGATGTGGACTAATCAATGCCTTTTCCAAGAAGCTCATCAAATATAATCAACCTACCTTCATTTAAGAGACAAAATGCTTCTTTTGAATTTTCCAAGTCAGAGGATAACATTTGTCCTTGCCTTAGTCAATACTTACAGTGGGCTCAGTCAGTATGTAAAGATTTGGTTTTATGAACTAGAAAATTTTAATTACACTAATTTCCCCCATGGAAGCTCAAAAGATTCATTTAGCTAAAAAGAACCATAAAACTTTAAGTTTTAAATGTCCTTAATATTTTTCTCACCATTTCCTATTTTTTTCTTCCCTTTTCTGCCCTGTCCTCCATGTAGCTCACGTCCTTCTTCAGAGAAAGAAACAAGGAGCAAGAAGCAAGTGGGGGAGAGAGAGAAGGAGGGGGAAGGGTGGAGAGGCTGCAGGGAAGAGCAATCTTTCTTGTAAACTCTGAATACTGGGTACAAATTACAGCGCATACCCCTAACTTTCTTTCCAAATGATGTGTTGAGAAGTACATGACTACCATAAAATATTATTTTTTTTAAAGCACGTGGATTTAAGAAGATGCATTAGCACTACATAAGCAATGGCTGTTAAAAACAAAAGAGAAGGCTTCCACTATCTTTCCTAAAAGGCATTTCCTATTATGTGTAAATATATGATAAAGGGAAAGAATAGAGAAGACACAATTAAAAATCATGTTGTTTAATAGATACTGATATTATTTAAGCTTATTCTTTCTTATTGACGTCCATCCCCAATTCTGTTATTTTATTTTTAATCAAGTTTTGAGCAATACCTCTGGGTATTTTGAAGCAAATATCCATGTATTTCCCTTTTATTCTTTGCATAAATTCTCTACCAAGAACATTTAAAAACGTGGAAAGCATAATTTATTTTTGCCTGCTGCTGGATTAATCGGTAGACTCACGAATGATTGCAGATATTCCTAATACTTTTCTATCTACTTCATATTGATAACCATTTTTATATCACTTAGCTCAATATTGGCACTGCTCAAACTCCAACAGGGTGTATAGTTTAGCCACCACGCTGTGAATGTATATGCCTATTATATGAGGAAATAACATTTTAAGGTGATTCCTCCAAAACTTTATAAATCATTTTAAAAATTAGACATGTTTGAACAGGCACTAACACACAAACAGGTCTTGGCTGTATCTCATGCAGAATAAGGGTTTGTTGCAGATGTTCTCCTGCAAGCTACATCTTGCCTATTACAAGAACATTCATCTCCCAAACACACCATTTTACCTTCTTTGCCAGAAGCAAAACAAAACACACGCACAAATCAGAGAGCTTTTATTACTATTATTTTTAATTCTGAAATTCTTCCACTTATTCTATATCCTTACAGAGGAGAGGAACCAAACATCTGATTTCTAAAATGCTGCTGTCTGATGATAGCTCAGTTTGCTTTCCCCCTGAACAAGCTACTGATATTAGGGGAGTCTAACCCATGTCTTTTTTTTTTTTTTTTTAAACCTACAAAACCGATGCCTGGGCCAGCACTGACTCATAAAACTGGAGACATTAGCTCATGGCAATGATTCAGTCGTGAGAATTCTGACAAGGGCCTCTCCCTCCCTGGTGCTTTAAGAGGAAAATCGTCCTGAGTAAGTATGGCTTGTGATCTAGGCACAGATGTTACTGTGTCTGTGATCAAGTATTATAAGGAAAGGGGCAGTGCCGTGTGACAGCAGCCACCCTAAGGAGAAAATCACTGTCTTCACAGGAAAACAGTTTCACAGCAGCCCCGGCACAGCCTAATTGGAAAAGTCCAGGCTAGGCACGGTGGCTCACTCCTGTAATCCCAGCACTTTGGGAGGCTGAGGCAGGTGGATCACCTGAGGTCAGGAGTTCAAGACCAGCCTGGCCAACATGGTGAAACCCCAACTCTACTAAAAATACAAAAATTAGCCAGGCATGGTGGCAGGCACCTGTAGTCCTAGCTACTGGGGAGGCTGAGGCAGGAGAATGGCTCGAATCCGGAATGGCTCGAACCCAGGAGGCAGAGGTTGCAGTGAGCCAAGATTGTGCCACTGCACTCCAGCCTGGGTGACGGAGCGAGACTCTGTCTCAAAAAAAAAATAATAATAATAATAAAATAAATAAATAAAACAGTCCTACAAAAAGGCCCTGGGCTCCCACGGCCAGCCATTTCAATCAGCCTGGGAGAAAAATATGAATTTTATTCACTGGACTGCTTTGGTTTCTCCTCAAGGAGAGAGGAAAGGCAGGTTTCCTTTGAAAGGATCCTCTTGAAACGATCAAGGTTTGGGGGGCTATTAGGCTTTTGGCATTTATTGCTAGGTGTGAGAGAGAGAGCATGAAAGGAAGTCTTGAGATTAGGCTGGATAAGAGTTATCTCACTGAACCAGCACCTTCATCTTGGACACCAGGTGAGAGGATAC
Organism: Homo sapiens; assembly: GCF_000001405.40. Classification (NCBI taxonomy): domain Eukaryota; kingdom Metazoa; phylum Chordata; class Mammalia; order Primates; family Hominidae; genus Homo; species Homo sapiens. The sequence continues at coordinate 189,823,901 of NC_000003.12, read as the reverse complement.
AAATGTTCATTTGGCAAGACAGAAAGCTGAAAGGTATACCTGCTGCCTCTATCCGAAGTCTATCATGCGGTTTGCATGATAGACTTCCTAGTTTACAAATCACTTTCACCCCATCATCTCATTTAATCCTCACAATAACCCTTCAGGATAGGTAGCATCATCCTCATTTTGAAGACAAGAAAACTGAGGCACTAGGGAGGAAGTGATTCGTCAAGGTCCCAGCTAGAGAATGGCAGCCAAGCCTTTAGGACAGACCTGCTCTAGTAAAATAGCTAATCATTTTGGCTCCTTTTCTGGCTCTCCATTCCTCCTCCCTACCTTTCTATCTAGCCCTTTGGAGTAGTGACTTCAGCAACTGACTCTTGCCCTATCTCACCTCTGTCCTTCCCCTGGTGAGTGAGCCACATCACCGACTGAGTGCTCAGCTCCACAGTGTGCGTCTGCATGCCGTGGCATTCTCCAAACTGCTCTCCTTTACTGCAGGCCCCTCCAACCAACCGCCATCTGCTGTCAGGTTAATCTACTTTATATACCGATCTGAAGAGGTGCTGAAAAAGTATGCAATGTCAGCACACTGCCCATGCGATAGAGTTAAAAAGCCTTACCCTACATAGGCTGGCCCATCCTACCTTTTAGCTTCACCCTATGTAGTTTCCTACATAGAACCACAGCTTCAGAGAGAAAAGAAGAGTCACTGTCCTGGGGAAAGGCACAGAAGGCTTGCTGTGTGTTTTGGTGTAGGCTGAGTCCACTGCCTGTCTGGAGAGTCTACTCTCTTCAGTTAACCAATGGTCTGGCATAGAAAAGGTCAATTGCAGTCAATCTGTATCTTTCTGGTCACAAAATACTTCTCTTCTGGATGCAAAGAATTTGAATTCAAGGGGAACTTCAGAGGCTGCTTGATTGTTTCTCTCATCTAAAACTTGAGTCAAGGGTGTCTCACTCTCTGGAGGTGGAGAACTCACCACCACTGGAGGCAGTGCAGCCACCCCTAGAGAACCCTGACCATTCATTTTCTGCTGCAATCTGCCTTCCTGTGGCTTCCCTTCTTACGTGGTTATTGTGCCTTTGGGGACATCTAAAGAAGTCTAAAATATCTCTAGGAAAGCTGGCCATAAAGAAGGAGCTCTATACAACTGATGAAGAGCGTTATCATTTTGTAGCATGAGTCCGAGTCATTTTGGGCTAAGGCTCCAAAAATAAACAATGCTCTTTCCCAGGGCACTTTAACTTATCTCAAAATTGTGCTTCTGAAACAATTATTGAAGGCACTTGTACATCAGAAGTGTTCCTGGTAGTGCGCCTGGGTATAATAACTCAATGTTACAAGATAAATACTACTCATCTTCCTGGAACAACAATTTTAAAGACTTTTTAATGAGGGGAAGAAATACCTATATTGAAATATATATTTATATTTGAATGCAAAGTTGAAATAAGTTTTTCAGAAAGAAAATGATATGTCTTCTATGGACCATTTCAGATTAAACCCTCAGGATGGCTAATCTAGCCATTCATTTTCCTCTGCTCTTAATTGGGGTAAAAGTTTTAAAGTACTATCCTAATACATCACCTCTACTAGGCACCAGAGGCTAGAGCTACTTTATGGAGTAGATTTCCTGCTATGATTCTGGACAAATCTATGAATAAGGTAGGTTTAGTGTAAATTCTAATCCTAAATCTATGATCCATCCTAATAGAAATTACCATTTACAGGCATTGTTTTAGGCACTTTATACTTATTATATCAAATCCTACCAATAACATCGTTACCTAAAGGAGTATCATCCCTATTTGAAAGGTGAGGAAGCCGCTCTAGAGACAGTGTTTAGCCCAACACCATACAGCTAGAGAGAAGTGAAATTCAACCCCCCAGGTCTATCTGACCACAAAGCTGAATTCTTTCTCCTACACCCTCCTGTTTCCTTAGGCACTATTTGTCCTTTAGTAAAAGAGCCATAGTCCCTGCTTTCAAGAAGAGCCAGGATGTGCTAAATATCATATTTGTAATCTTCATCTTATAAAACAACCAAAAAAGATATACTGTAAGTATCATATGCTTTATACGATATCTCGTAATTAGCAGTTAAGGGGACATTTTCATTTTAAATCAGGAACTTATGGAAAGAAGATAATTCAAAGTATTGCATTTTTTGTTTCTGAAGTCTAAATTCCAATGTCAAATTAAGAAAGCAATAAATTAGGAGATAATCTATGCCCTACAACCACATGCCCAAATAACAACTTAAAAACAAAAGTTCAAACCATTAGAAACAGAAAATCTGTTAGTTGGGAATGCTTTAAGCGAGGCTTAGGAAAATATAACCTCTCTCACTGTTCATATAGCAGCGTGGGCAGTACCCAGGCAACACTCTAATTCTTTCCCTTGTTGTTCTGAAGCATCCTCCATGTGGTAAGCACGCTTGACCCTCTATTGAGACCAGTGACAAAAGATGACAAAGTAGCTGTGGCCATTTCTTTCTCTCTGGCTCTGGAGGAGGTGGAGATTACTGCAGTCACCAGGACCCTCAAATGCAAACAGTATGAATGCAGGAATCAAATCTAAGCGCTGTGAAGTGAGGCTGTATTCTGAGTTAGTGCAAGGGAAACATACATTCAAAAGTAACCATAATAAAAGAATACTTCTAACAAGTAGAAAGAACATAAAAGTAAAAAATGCTTCTATATGAAAATACTGCTTCAATTACATCACAGCACTAGCTACCAAAATAAAACCACTGCTAGTACACATGAATCAAAGGTCTTAATTTGTTATTGCTTTTTTTTGTTCTTTTCACTAAAATTCAAATAGATATTTAATGAGACCTTCCTTCCTGGAAGTTTCAAAGAATTTTAGAAAAGTATACACAATTACATATTATTCATTCATTAAGACCACCTAAAGTAGTGGGTATATTTTGAAGAAAATGCACTGTGTTCAAAAAGCAGCAAGGCTTACTAGGCAAAGGAAAGTAAGACATCTTCTTTCCTGAAATAGTTCAGTCAACTCTCCTAAAAAGAAAACTGAAGGAAATAATAGGTATGTCCTTATATTTGGAAGCAAAAATACCCATGAGATTACAGAATGTAATAATCAAGGACGTGAAGATTGTAGATAGATTGAATTTTAACATGCTATTTGAATTGGTTTGGGTCTCTTCCTCATATTAGAAGTTTATATCCATAAAAATATACCATCAGAGCTACAAAACCATCTTAGAAAACATCTAACTAACAAATGTAAAATGCGTGCATTGTACTTCTGTAAAAGGCTCCACTCACTAGTATCCAACAAACCATTTCACTTCCCCTTTCTCCTTTTGTCCCTTCTGATGATGCTCTCCCTATCTCCACCCCTAAACTCAAAGTGTCTAAGATGACAATTACACTTAGGTTGGGGGAGTGGTGAGAGAAAAGAGTCTATAAAACCTTAAAAGATTGTTCCCAGAGGCATTCTTATACCTACTAACCCCATGTCTACCATGCTTGTGCAAGGAGAAACATTATAACTGAAATCCATGCCGTGCTAGGTAAGAAATCAGTTCTGAAATATGAATGCATTGTGGAAACTTATACAAATGGTCGTATATTTAATTGCTTTTTGAAGAGAAAACCAGACTGCAAGAAGTCTATAGTTCCTTGTGGTTCTGAGGCTGAGTGAGTCATTTTCTTGTCCCCATCTACATCACTTGCTCTAGCTTTTACAGCAAAAGGTAAACAGATGAGTTAATGTTTGCTAAATTATGTGATAATTCTCAGACATAAAGTATAAATAACTGCAAAATATGCCTTTGTTACATTTGCATACAAAAGTATTCAATGTAGTCATTGACAATAGATAAAAGTAAAATAGGGCTGGGCGTGGTGGCTCATGCCTGTAATCCCAGCACTTTGGGAGGCCGAGGCGGGTGGATCACAAGGTCAGGAGTTCAAGACCAGCCTGGCCAAGATGGTGAAACTCCATCTCTACTAAAAATACAAAAATTAGCTGGGCATGGAGTCACGCGCCTGTAATCCCAGCTGTTCAGGAGGCTGAGGCAGAGAGTTGCTTGAACCTGGGAGGGGGAGGTTGCAGTGAGCTCAGGTGGCACCACTGCACTCCAGCCTGAGTGACAGAGTGAGAGACTGTCTCAAAAAAAAAAAAAAAAAAAAAAGGTAAAATATAATCCATTACCAGTGAGTACTGTGAAAGAACAATAAAAATCTAAAGAATGAAGTATCTTTTGGTAACTCTTGGATGTTGACAATTCTATTTGTAAAAGACTTGACTTAAGCAGTATTAAAAATGTTTATTTGCCAAGTAGCTAAACTTAAAGGTAACAAAATTAGACAAAAGCATTTTATAAAACAGTGTAAACACCGCATGTTCTCACTCATAGGTAGGAATTGAACAATGAGAACACCTGGACACAGGAAGGGGAACATCACACACTGGGGACTGTTGTGGGGTGAGGGAAGGGGGGAGGGATAGCATTAGGAGATATACCTAATGCTAAATGACAAGTTAATGGGTGCAGCACACCAACATGGCACACGTATACATATGTAACAAACCTGCACATTGTGCACATGTACCCTAGAACTTAAAGTATAATAATAATAAAATTTAAAAAAAAAGTGCACATTTGCTTATACTTATATAACTTCAACACAGCCTGGGTGGGAGAATAAGCAAAGCAGAAAGAGGTTACTATCTTACGTGTCTTAGTTCAAAAAGAGATTTTTAATCATCACAATAAGGATACATTTTCTAGGCATCCATTCTAACTATGGGAATATAGAAAAAGTTATTCCAAATTCCTACTATGAAAACACTTTCTATTTTTACATGTTGGTCAATCTGCTTTATCTATCAACTATCCACCGTCTTCCAAATGCTTTATTCACTAAATCCATGGTTTTGTATAGAAAGGTTATAAGAAAGGTGATAAACTTGAATTGTGTTTAAAGACAAACTCTGGGTCTAACACATAAATCATGTTCTCAAATTCCTTTTCTAACATCAAGGCAAAGGTCTAGAAGTTTCCCCATTAGCAATTCAAACTCTTCTCATATCTAGCTGCCTTTGAGGACCTTTTATTTCCTCAAGACTACTCTGTTTTGGGGAGTGGGGTATCAGGCAGGAAGAGTAAATACACTCCAAAACTACATTTTCAAATTCAATCAGATACAGTTTTTTTTCTTACAAGCAAAATTCTTAAGTAATATCATTAAAAATGGATTCAATTGCTTAAAATGAAGACTGACCTACACTATAGAATTTTTTTAAGCATCATTCCTAGTAACAGGAATATATTATACAAGTATCCATTCTAATTTTCCTACGAAAATTTTGAGAAACATAGGCTTCTCAAATTATTCCCCATGAAATGGATCAAAATTATGGCATGTCAAAATGTTAAAAGTATTTATTATAATAGCAGTCAGTTCTAGATAAGTTTATAAAAATAACATTTTATAAGTAAACTTAATACATATATGTCAAGGCATATAAAATATTTAAGCAAAGTTTATATGACAATGAGAATCATTTTGTTATTTCCAATAATTATACTGGCTTATGGTGGTAATAGCTTTGCTTTTATGACATAGAGTTAAACATATCTATTACTTACTTGATGACAATAGCTTGGTCAGAAATTTTATCCATAATTATGACACTGTTCTTATGGGAAAACATGATTTTTCTTTCAAGAATACAAAGTAGGAATAAAAAGAATTTTCAAGGCAATTTATATTAACTCCAGGGCTCTATATACATTTTTATATTTTATAAATATGAAAATCTCAAATGAACACACAGTAGAAGAAAAAAGTAAGGCAGAAAGATAGAAGAAAGGAATATCTTTCAAGCCCAAATTATCAAATTCTAATTACTGTAAATTAATTCCATTGTTATTCAATTGGAGTAATATATTTATATTTATATATATCTAAATGCGCATATTTATTTACATTTAAATAAGTATTTACATTTTTTAAATGGAGTAAATTTTTCTTCTCATGACCCAGTAAAGATGACTGCATTTTAAAACTTTTTACTGGTTCTGCAAAAATGTTACGAATAAAACACTGAAATGCTTTTAAAAAAATAAAGCTGGTTAACAGATATAAGATTCAATTAAACATTTTTTAAGAAGAAACTCTTTTACATCAGAAAAAAATTATGTGTAATTTTTTCATCCCATATGAATGTCTAGGGACTTATATATTTATGTTATTTTATTTCATGTCTTTGTAGAAATAAAAAACCTCAGAAAACTGCCTGAATTGTAAGCATCGTTATGATACAGATTCAAGCAAGTAAATCTAAAAACAAAAATCCAGGATGAGATAATAACATATTATGTTTTTAGAGCTTCATCTCTCAGGCTCCCAAAGCACTTTATAAACTTTAATTAAGCCTCACAGCAATCTTGCCAAGTAAAAATTATAATACTCATTTAACATACAGACAGAGACAAAAGACCTGCCCCAGTTCATATAGCTTGTTAGTACCCCAAAGTTGTCCTTCTGAGTCCCGTATTCTACTTAATGAGTCACACTCCTCAGGAGCCTGTCAGATGTCTTCTCAAATTCAAATGAGAACCCTTAAGTAATCATTAGTCTTCTTATTTAATACAACTTGGAAACCACTCAAAGGAAAAGTCTTTAGAAATAGTCTCCTCAACTTATTCATTATAGTTTTTATAAGATTCAATGCAGATGATACTGGCTGAACAGCACATGAAGCAAAACAAAAATAAAAACTTAGGCATTAATCCAAGAAGGAACTCCTATTTAATCAATGAACTTGAAAGGTTGGTACTAACACAATTAGCAATTAAGGTCCCTGCTCTGTTTTCAGGCCTTTCTGATACAATAACAAGGTGGCAAGTTGTAGGGTTTTTTTTTTCCCCCACATGAATCTTCATTATTAAATTCAGACTAAAATGAGAAGTCTCATTCTATCTGTAAAGTCAGAATCCCTCCCTAATTTACCTCACAATAAATTAGATCTAGGGTCTCTGACTACTATCAAATTTTCTTTTAAATTTCACGTGGGGGGCTTAATGATAAGGTCATGATCATTACTAAAAACCACAAGAGAGAAATCTACTAAGATCATTACCTTTACGCCTCTGTGTGCCTCATTACAGGATCCATCATTCTAAAAACCATTCCATATCTACAAAATGTCTGCAGGGCTTCAAAGAACTGAAGAATTATCTTTCTATCTTTCTATTCTACAATAAACTCTTCTTTAATTTTGAAGAATTGGAAGTTGTTGGAAAGCTACATTATCTCAAGTCTCCTTTCAGTCACAGTGACCTGACTAGACATACCAATTGCTGCTAATATAAAACCAGGGGGTTTTTATATATAGTTATATGGTTTTACTCGCGATATGACAGCTGTAACTGCTGAGGACTTTTCATGAGAAACATACATCGGCCCTTTACCAAAGCGGGTAGGAACAATTGCATAGACTTGGTCACGTTATGGAAATAACCTAATTTGGGGAATGCGAACAGGAGAATGTGCAAAGCTCATGTATGGAAATGTACCAAGAGCGACAATCCCACAATAAATGGTACACATCACTCAGGGCCGATTTTAAGTTTGCATTCATTTTAAGGGATCTCTTTTGAGCTTAATGATATAGTTTTCCAGAGTCATTAAAAGTTCTTATGACATTATTTTCTCTTTATACTTCAATTATCAGATGATTTTTGTTCTGGCACACTATGTGCCAATTAAAAGTAAGCTATCTGTTAGTAAGCTGAGAAAATTGATTAGAAGCCCTTTAAATCTCAAAGCTCTTTTCTGAGTGCAACTTTGGCCAATTTTAAGGAGTTAAGTTACAGAGTTCCATAATTCTCTAATGATAAGCACAGGAACAAACAAACAATAAACTTCCAAGTATCCAATCCTGCATGCCATTAGATTTTTAAAATATAAAATGATATAAAAATGAGAAGCAGAAAGGTCATTTGCTGTAAGAAAACAAGTTGAGAAAAATATGTTCTGATAATGTATTGCTTAGTTAAATGCAGCAAGAGATTAATCTATATGACTTTGTAAAGGAATAAAGAATTATTACTTGTGAATAAAATATACCCACTAGTAACCTTTCTCTTAGATGCTGATTCCAGTTATTTTAGTTATTTTAATAACTAACTTCCAATTAATTTATTTAAACATTTAGTAATCTCCCCTTGTTACCATTAACACCTTGCACAGGATGGCATGCAGCCTGTGTACTGTTTTGTTTGGCCTGTAGTGTTTTACAACTTTTTTTTGAATTAGTATCATCATTTTAAGATATGAAGATATTACATGCAAACCCAGGTTTCTAGTTACTCTTTTAAAAATTAATATTTAAGAGTTAATATTGTGATAATTAATTTAATATTTTAAATATTTTAATACTAGGTCTACTTTCCCCTGTGACAACAGTCTGGGATTGTAAAGCAGATGTCCTTGTAGATACAGTATATAAGCTCTTTTGCCACAGTTTCTGTACTTATCATTCGGCTCATTTATGCTACCTCCCTGACTCCAATGACATTTGGGTTTGCTACCTCTAAAGCAGCCCATTATTATTCACCAAAGTGATTTGTTACATGAAAAGGTTGTGATAATTTAATCCTGATAAAAATTTCCACGGTGATTGATATATATCATGTTCTCCATATTAATTTATGGAGAAGAGTGAAGCTATAGTAAAAAAAAATAAAGAAAGATACCATGTAGCTGATGATACCTACAAAACCAAATTAACTAACAATAATAACATAAATGAAGGAAAAAAGAGAAGGAGGGAGTAGAAAGAAGGGGGAGAAGAAATGCGGGAAGAGGAGAAGAATAGGGAGAAAGAAGAAAAGGGAAAAGCAGAGGATTTTTGCTGTTACTCTTTGTAGTAGGAAAAGAAATATAAGCTTTATTTAAATTATTCATTTTTAAAATCAATAGTTTTTATAATGTTCACATGCAATAAATCAAGATCAGTTTAATGTTAAATAGACACTCCACGGTGCAGTGAACAAATCACTCAAAATAGTATGGGAGGCTGATAAGCCTTAGATTAGATTAAACTGGCTCATCACGAATACGTTAACCTAGAGTCAATCTAAAACTCAGGCAAGAACGCTGATTCAGTTATTCTGCTCTGGATGAGGGAACAACTCTTCGGAAGCATGCCTTACAATGAATATTCATTTTAAATCCAAAACCTAGAGGTAAGTTACTTGAACCATCACCAAAAATCTCTAAGCACTTTATTTAGTACATTCTTCCTCAATACTCTGTGAACTAAGAAATAGTTTAGATAACAGATTAATATGCTCAATGCTATTATTTTCTTCATCATGGGAGTGGCACAAAAAGGCACCTGATACACATCTCACATAATTTATGAAACAGCTATGGCAAGAAGTAAAAATTATCTTGTTATGATAAACACGAACACATGTACCAGTGGCACGAGCTACTGACTTCTGCCCCTCACCAATAAAATCTAACAGCCACTGAATTGTAAGATTAGATCAAGCCCCAGATGAGACTCAGACTTTAATGGGGGAAGTGCTTCCACTGTGAAAGAAAACTGATAAATCCTATTTACCATCGAAGAGTTTGTCTGTACATCTTGTCCTTTGATGGGCTATTCTTAAGAGTCTCTAAATTCCAGAGGGCCACGCAATTGGCTGGGTTGCATTAGATTTCTGCAGAGCTGGCAGCCTTTTTCTAAAAGTCTTACATTACAGGTAACCTGATGACAGGGAGGGTGGGCCGCAGGCGCGCATCTCAGCCTGCCTGCGGAGCCAAAGGGAGTGAGCTTGCGAGACCAAGACCCATATGCTGGGATCAATGGAACTCTCCCGGGAACTGGCTGTTCCCCTTTCAAACGCCACCTCCCTAATCTCTCCACTTGCTCAAGTCAAATTCTCCACAGCTCTGAACATGACACGAAGCTGGCATGGTTAAGAAAGGCAAAGGAAGAACACTCTCTATAAATCATGGGTGAAGGCTACAGGGAACAAATTCACGGGCAGTTAACAATCAGAGTCAGAATTGAGGGCTCCTGCTGGGAACTACAATTGTTTCCTTTAATTATGAGAGAAAAAAAGTTCCTTCCCATTTATTAAAGGTTTACTGTGTGCTGGACATTGTGCTGGGCACTAGATCAGGGAGTCTGCCATACAAGACCTTGAGGTCAATGACAGGAGAAAGATACAACAGCAAAAAGTGATCCTATGTCCCAAGGGTAGGGTCCTTACTTCAGTCTGAACACAATTTAAAAAACAAAACAATGCAAAAAAAAAAACAACCTGAGGATTTTCATGGCGTATGCACACAGAGAGTACTCTCGTGTCATGAGCGGTGAAAAATAGCTCTCCAACTGGCAAAGGTGTGTGAGGCCAATAATCAAGACAGACTGAACTATGTTCACCAAGAAGCCTCATCACTAGAGGGGAGCACAAAGAAACACCGCCCCTACAAGTGGGGTTCCTTACCAGGACTCTCAATTCTCAAGCAGGTGCCACAGAAAGCTTTCTTTTTCCCTCACCAGCAACTCCCAAAGCTTTCCTTATCAGTACAGAGAATTCTTTCTAATGGCCGTATGGTTATTGCTTATAACATGCCATCTAGTTTTTCACGGGTGACTGATCAGGTTGCTTCCAGTAGTTTGTCATTATACATTAATATCTTGAGTCTGCCATAAGTAAGGCCCACTGTTATTCCTTAACACAAAGAATACAAAAAGGCATTCCCATCATGAAGCATCAGATTAAAAATGAGGAACGAATGTCAAAAATCAACAGGTTCTTAAATCTGGAAAGGGCCTCTCCTTGCACTGGCAAGGAGAGCCTACATCTGCTTGGGCAGGCTTCGGAAAGCAGCAGAGCCAGCCTGCAGAAGTCTGCATGCAGGAGAGGCTGTTATCACCCTATACCATCTATTCATATATTTGGATAGTGGATAGTATCACAGTCCCTCTATAAAGTATGCATGTTAATAGCCCAAAAGCTTTAAGAAAAAACATTAGTTGAAATTTTATTTTTCATTCTCTCAAATGAGTACCTTTAGTACAACTAAAGGTACTAAAGTTTTGTCGAAGCCTCAACAAAACTACAATGAACTCACGAACCGAAGAAATTCAAATTCAGACCCAATAAACACTTGGGAGCATATGAGTAGCTAGGTGCTAATAGGTATGTTTACATGAAGTAATCCTCATGATAAGGAAAGTATTAATGTTCCCATTTGTTCCCATTTGTAGGTGAGAAAAGTGAGGTTTAGAGAGATTGAATTTTTGGTGAAAGCCCCATATGCTGTTAGTAAGTTTCCGAGTTGAAATCTGAATTTAAGTTTCTTGCCATCTCCACACTACCATTCTTTCAACTGTCCTATGATTAACGATTCCCAACTACAATGCTAGACCAGCACTACATTATATTAAATGATAGGCCTCTGTAACTAGTATCAATTAAATTGTGGAAATAAGAAAATCTGAAACTAAAGTAAACGTTGGTTTGTCGTGTATGTATGTGTGTGTGAAACAGAGAAGATGAAAAATGTTGTCTTATTTTACTTCATTTCATTGAAAGAAGTTTAAAATAAATACCATATTTTTGTAGAACTGGAAACATAATCACATTTGTTATTTAAAACACAGAAACGCAAAGGAAAAATGCACATATACTTTAAATATATTAGCTATATTTTGACAGTAATCCTGAGGGTAAAACCAGAAAAGTTAAAAAAGAAAACTTGACATAAAAGGATTGCAAGTGATAAAATGGTACTAAAAATATTTTTATTAAAGAATTACCAGAAGACTATGCGATAAGCATGATCTCCCCCTAATGACAGCAGCTTCTGTTTCTTTCAGTTTGTGGGCAGTTCTAAAATGCAGCATTTTATTTTGAAAAATTGCTCTAAAATGCACAAATGCCTAAGAAATAGGTGTTGTATAATAAGGCACAAAAAATTTCTTTACCAGTTGGACTCTGGGACATAAGAGGCAAGCTCCAAACTACACAGGCACTGCCTGCTCCTGTATGCCCCTCCCTGGTCTCAAACCAGAGGAGAAACAGTCTAACTAGGATGGTGGAGAGACTTGAATTAGGGTGAGGGAGGCCTGGATTCTTCCCCATCCTTGGCTGGTTATTAGCCATGTGACCTTTACATCTTCAAGTTTCCTCATCTATAAAACTGGGGATTACAAACTTGGTTATGAGGCTCAACTAAGATAAATATATGAAAAAATACTTTTTAAAATGGGAAGTCTGTGTATAAACATGAGGATATATAATTTGGCTCAAAGAATTAGAAGCTAAGATGCAGGTATCCATGACGAAGAACTTACATCTTTTTAGGTGATCTCAGTAGCTGCTCAGATAAGGGTTCAAGTGCCCTAATTTAGAAGAAATGAACTGGGCCTGAAATAAGCCTGGTTGTGAACAAGAAAGAAATTTAATAAAAATATAATTACCATGTGATATGTGAGTAGAAACCTGATTGTAAAATTTATAGGTAGAATGCAGAAAAGTGAACAAAAATCCAAGAGAAGCAAAATCACTTAACCAAGGACACTCATGAATGGCAGACAATATATCGATGCGAACCAAAGCCCTTCTAAAAACTTTCTACGTTAATTATTAATACTATCATCTCACCTTAAGAAAACAGAGTAGGTTTCTCCATTCTCATCCTCTTTCTCATCTGAGGCACAGACTGAATTTTAGAAAGATCAAGTGACTTGGCTAAGTTTGCATAAATGATCAAGACCATAATCCAGGTTTTCTGTCTCTCAGTCAGTGCCTTTTTCTCATCACCACAGTGTATCCCTTTTGTCAGGGCACTGATATTACTGCTGTCACATGTAAGGAAATTTTACCAGTGTACCAGAATATTTTCTTTTCTTTTAAACCTAACATTTTGGTAGAGATCTCCAACTTTTTGAGTAAGACAATTGACTTCTCTGAGAGAGGGGCTTTGAGTGATGGTTTAGGATTATGCTAAACCTGAAAATAACTTTAATTTTTTTTTTTTTTTTGGAGACGGACTCTTGTTCTATTGTGCAGGCAGATCACATGTAGTGGTGCGATCTCAGCTCGCCACAACCTCTGTCTCCCAGGTTCAAGTGATTCTCCTTTCTCAGTCTCCCCAGTAGCTGAGACTACAGGCACCCACCACCACGTCTGGCTAATTTTTGTATTTTTAGTACAGACAGGGTTTCACTATGTTGGCCAGGCTGGTCTTGAACTCCTGACCTCGTGATCTGCCTGCCTCAGCCTCCCAAAGTGCTGGGATTATAGGTGTGAGCCACCACGCCCGGCTTTTAAGATTTCTATATGAGGAGGTAGTGAGGAAGGGACAGGGAAGGATAACTAATTTGATGTTGAACTTACATCAAGATTCATCCCCATGGTTTTCTAAAAATTTTACAGGGAAAAAAAGCGATTATTCATTTAGCAGCCCTAATATGCCCATCATCTCATCAGACATGCTGACTCCTAATATAATGGAGACCTGGCGGAGTAAACTGAATTAGTAACTGTTAGCTTTGAAGACTGGTGACTGTAAATGTCCGGTTGGTGACCTAAGAGATATCAGTGCTCCATTTATAAAATGGTTATTCTAGTGGCTCTTTAGCAAGATACTACTTAGATCAATCAACCAACTATTTGAAGCCTATAAACTCTAAGTTTACTCACCTGCAGTATCCATCGCCTCCAGAATTATAAAAGTAAAGGAAACTAAGGATTATGACTCCATTGATAAGTAACACGTGGAGGAGAGATCAAGTTTTAAGCTGATGTTCATGCTCTACAGTTGAAATATGAGCCACCGGAGAATTACTTCTCAAACCACAAGAGGAAAGAACTAAAATAACATTAATTTTTAGACAATTTTGGGAGATCCTGATATAAAATGGTTGAAAGAAAGGATACAATCCAGTGAGAGGGAAGCAGAAATGAAAAACAGGCCCAGCTACACACAAGTTTCTGTAAGTTTAGGCATGCCTCTTAACTTAACCTCCAACTTCTTCAGCTTTCCTCACTAGCACAGTGGAAGTTATAAAACTTGTCCTGGGTACTTCACAAAGAAATGAGGTGAAAAAGAGGAAATGGATGTGAAATGATGTTAGAGTGTAATAGGTCTTAGGCATGCCGATCATTTTATAAACTATACAAACTAAAGGCTGGAATGAACTAGATACTATATATAACATAAACATAGAAATGCTTTCCAAAGAAATCCATTTGTCAAAGAGGGAAAAAACTGTCAAAACAATTCTAAAGCTACTTTTTATTAAGATGATGATATTTGGAAGCATTTCTATAATCCATGTAAACATTAAGTTGTTTGACAAACATACCACTTTGGTCTTGATTAAGTTGTTTGACAAACATACCACTTTGGTCTTGAACATTCTTTGATCAACCAGTTAAAACCAACTTTGTAGGTGTCCTCTTTTATACTTGAGCTTTATTCTTGTTATAATACATTTCAAAATACACTTCAAAATAAAATATTCTTGGATCTAGTTATGAAAAAGAAAATTCCATGCTTCCTTAGAAAAGTTATATACAGAAAGATTTTTTAAAACAATTTCTTTGGACTAATTCTTGTATCTTCCTAATTTATGAAAAGAAAATTCCATGCTTCCTTAGAAAACTTATATGCAGAAAGATTTTTCTTTAACAATTTCTTTGGACTAATTCAGGGCTCTGATATGTCTATTTAAAGGCTTTCTTTTCGAAAAGAATGTTTCCAAATTAAATAAATATATACATATCAATAAATTATAATTCACTGATAAATTATAAATAGTAATTTATAAGACATTATACAATTTACTGATAAATTATAATTTATTGATACCTACATGTATAAACATATTCATCCTTCCTTCATAAATGGGATTTTATTTTCTTAATTTTTATAACACTATATTTATTATTTTACTCAGTTTTTAAAATCACAACTTAATGTGACACTTACTTCTTTACAAGAATGAGACTGGTAAACACGTTCACGTTCTGGAGACTGTAAACACATATCCCATGATTATGATACTTCTTGTTGGCACAGCGCTCTTTACCTTGCCATGAACTTTCACATACAACAGTGTGAAGCAGGCAGGAACACACTGACTGAAGTTGCCAGGAGCTGGCTAGAACGCAGACGTTTGGTTCCTAAATTGGGACTTTTCCCACTAACTGGCACTTTCTCTCTCTCTGGTTCAGTATTAAATATTCAAAGACAAATTTTCCACCATGAACATGGAATCGCTAAACTGGGAAGGGGGAGAAATCCCTGGGACGTGGTGAAGCCCATCCTTGGACTTGGGGGGTCAGGTATGTGCGTGCCCGCTGCTCTTACCGTCCAGGTGGCCGACTTGGCGGTGCTCGACTGCTGGAAGGACACGTCGAAACTGTGCGGGCCTGGGTAGTCGGTGTTGGAGGGGATGGCGGGTGATGGAGAGAGAGCATCGAAGGTGGAGCTGGGCTGTGCGTAGGGCGAGGGCGCCGTGACGCTGTTCTGCGCGTGGTCTGTGTTATAGGGACTGGTGGACGAGGAGCCGTTCTGAATCTGCTGGTCCATGCTGTTCAGGAGCCCCAGGTTCGTGTACTGTGGCTGCAAGGACACCCAGAAACCCCAATATTAGCCGCTGAAGCCACGGATCATTGCTCCAAAAAAAGGCATCCATGGGTGAATGCATTCTACAGAGATGGACCTCACGTCGGAAGCACTTCACATTCAAAGTAAAACCGTTGATTTTTGGTAAACAGAGAAAACAAGAGAAGTCTGAGCATGTGTGTGTTTGTAACGGCTTTTCCAGATCACTCAGCTCTATGTGCCACCTCTGGAGACTGACTTCCTACAGAGCATTTGAAAGTAGAGTATATGCTTATTCACAAACTAGGCAAAACGTTCCCAGTGCTCAGTAGCTGCTTAGGAAGTCTTTAAATAAATACTGCCTGCTATTCCATTTTGAGGTTGTTGGTGGGGGTTGGGGCGTGTTACACAAAATGAGAAAGACCACTTGATAGGTATGTTCCAGAGGGGATTTAAGTGTTAAATTGTTGCATAGGGGGCAAAATCAAATGACCTTCGAATTTTCTCTTAATCTTGCAATTCTGCATTCTGTCCCAGAGTACCAAGAGTGTACCACCCAGCCCCCTAAGGACTGGTTTCACAAAGACTGGAGGATCATGGGTAGCGGGGTTAGGGACACCCAACTATGTATTTTAAAAAGTAACATGCTAGTAAATCATCCAAACTGGTCTAATTCTTTTTTATTTGTTCTTTCATTTTCTTAATAGAAATTTATTCTTTTCTAGAGTAGAACATTTGTAAGAGAAATACCAACTACTTATGAAGAAAATTCTATGGTCAATATAATTCAAAAATACATTAGCTCATGTATTTCCTTCTGCCAAACGTTTTTATGTCTTCTATGTGAATGGGCCCAAGCACAGAGTAAAAGTACTCAAGAACATATTTATGAAAGAATAAATTAATTTTGCCTCATTTACTCTACAAAAAACTTGACTATATTACTATCGGAGAGGTAGAGCATTTGCCCTAGCATCCGCTAACACAATGACTGGGGCTTTCGGTGCTGAATCTTCTGGTTCTGACTTCAGGGCTCTGTCCATGCCATCAAAACTGTCAGCCTGAGTAGGCAAATCAGCCTATCATCATTTCTAAACCTGAGCCAAAATGAACAAAGGGGCAACCAGCTTATGGTACAGTTGCTTTTCCTTTGTAAAACCTTCCGACACATAGAAATCTTGTTTCATCAACCTAATGAATGAGAAAAAAAAATCAAAAGCAAGATTAAGGCAGTCCTATTCGTACATATTTTATAAAGGAAATAGGCCTAGCTCTTCAGTTGAAATGTAACTGAGAGTCCCAGATTAAGTAAAACTATAGAGAAGAACAAACTTACAAAGAAATAGGAGCTAGGCTTATCTTTTTAAAAATTTCAAACTTTTAATTATTTTATTGAACTTTTTTTTTTCCACAGGGGGAGGAGAAGTGGGCTTTGCCATTCCATTCAGTCCAGGAAGCATTTGTCTAAATGTTAATAGTCACATGCTCATTCCATTACATTCATGCATTCGCATTCCACTGCCGAATGCCATGTCCCCATTTGCTCTTCAAATAACTATTAATCTCTTTACACTTATCCCCATGCTGACAAGAGCAGCTGTTTGTCTCGCTTTCTCTCCCTTCTGACTTCTATAGCTGCTATCCACCACTTACCCACCATCTTCAGCTTTCTCTCCCGGCAGGTGTGGCCAAACTGCAGGTAAGACAACTAGGGGACAAAAAAATAAAACCTGAGCCCATATAAATGGTCCATACCCCGGCTGAACTAAAGCTCTTAGGTATCCAAGCCTGAGGCAACAGCCTCGGAAGGGGATTGAAAAGATATTCTTTGTGTTCAAGTTAAGGGTCAGTATACAAAGCACTCTTGAACGTCCTGTAGGAATCAGATAATGCTCCCAAAGGCACGTGCCTCCCTACAGCAGTACAATTAGGGAGGCAGCCGTCCCTGACAAAAAGGACAAAGAAACTCACAGCACTTTCTCGCAGGCAGTAAAATGCCTGCTGGGCCACCCCCTTCCCTCCTGCTTCTAGCTACACAGAAGGAACCCCAGCTAACTAATTGTGGGCTTGGATGAGAACAAAGACGCATGGGCCCCTTGATTTTTTTTTTAACCCAATATAAACGAAGAAAAAAGTTTTGGGACCACACTTTAAAAGCCAGTGAGCAAACACTCTTCAATTCAACAAGGACTTACAAAAAGGGACAATTCCGTGTAAGGGGCAAAAAAAAAAAAAAAAAAAAAAAAAAAGTGTTTGCTTCTGTTGTTTATTGGGTGGGTTCTGAACAGCAGGAGATCCATGTCCAGGGTGGTTTGGTGAAGGCCCCTCTCCCCAGGGGGGTAGCAGGAAAATGTCCTTGACTTGGTGAACTTGGTCTGCCTCTGAGTCACCTGAGGAACCTGTGTTTTGAGCCAGGGTTTTTGGCCTTGAGGCAACATTTCCTCAGTCTCCCTTTGCAGTTCAAAGTATACGGTGACTCTGTTGCAATACTTTCTTCCTTCAAATCCTGCCATTGTTTTGTTGGCCTGCAATCAGCAGGACCTCAAAATAAGCCATGCTCCTTTGCACACTCACTGGCCTTCAGGACCTCAAAATAAGCCATGCTCCTTTGCACACTCACTGGCCTTCCTTCCTATTTCTCCTGGTGAGCGGGCCTCGGCAAGGCTGGCCAAGGCCGAAGGCCTCCCAGGCTGTTCTTCCACTGTCCTGAAACAGTGTTTGGTGCCATATAAGGCCAAGGGTAAACAAGCCTGATCTAGGCACTGCTTTATCCTAGGACTTCACCAGTGAAGTTAATAAAACTTACCTGACTAACTTGAAAGTTGGTTCCCAGAAAATACATTTCTGATTTATAAATCTCCTGTTATGCTCATATGACATTAATAATTATCTGTCTTTGATGATGTGTTTAAACTGAGCAGCAGAAAATACAGAGGCCATACTTTCTGGGAAATTTTAAAGGAAGAAATCATTTGTAATGAGATGAAAATGTTTTAATGAATAAGAAAAGCTAGTGACAATTTTGAGAAAGGGTTTAGGCTGTATACTGCTATATAATTTCTTGAGTAAACTGATTTTATGGATATTAAGGAAAAGAAAGGGAAAATTCCATTTACTGAGGAGTCACAAGAGTCCTTTGGAATGATAGAAAGACTGAACCATTGAGAAGCAACAAAGAAGCAGAAACTGTATTTCAAAAGTCATGAATAGCAATGTGGGTACTGATGGATCTACTTTTAGGCGTCATAGTTTTAAATTATATCCAGTCCCAAGGGAGATTTTGTACGTAAGAAAAACAAGATTTGTTACCAATGCTAAATCCTCAATTAATATAACATAAAGGTATATTTCTTAGGATTGATGAGAAATCAGCCTACTACACACAATCAAAGTGGGAAAACACATTTCAGTTGAAACGCTTCTCAAGTGATACTTTACAGAAATATAAGCCAAGTAGTATACTCCGTTGTCTTTTCCTGGAAAGCGTAAAACTGACACTACTAACTTTGAATGTTAGCTTAAAATGAACAGAAACAACAACAAACCCACCAAAGTCAGAACTGAATGACTGGAAATCCATTTACATATTTTCTTAGTTTATTAAAAATCAATAAATTCATTCTTCAGAAGTTAATTTTTAAAATATCTAGTTTAAAGAAAATATTCTTATTCACTTATTCCTTTGATTTAAAGAAAGATCGCGTGTGTTAACAGGGTACAATTGGAAGCCAAGGGCTGGCCATTATAGTCAAGAAGAACAAGTGTCACCCAGACAGGTCCAGCAAAACAATTTGTACAATTTGTAGTGCTCAGTGCAAGATGAAAATGCAGAACCTCTTGTTCATAGATTAAGAATTTCAAAATGATGATAGCAAAGCATTAAACAAAGAATGGTGCTTTTCTAAGATAGGGCCCTGTGTGACCAATTGCAGTTTTTATGCCCATGAAGCTGTCCCAGGTCAAGTGAATAATATCTATCCCTTATTTTCTATCACAGCAAATCTGGCGGGGTAAAGGGAGCAGTACCTCTTGCCTTATTTACAGCCAATAATTCCATAACAGAGGAGAGAAATGTGTAATATGCTGGGATGTTAATGCAATGCTTACTGACAATGACAAGTCAAAGAGTCAGTCTCAGAGATTAGAACACTATACTTTCAGATCAGCCATAAAAACGGCCTTTGGAAGAACTCCATAGAGCCCCCATGTCCCATATGCATGTATTTCTTAGGTAACAAAAGTTATTGGCGTATCTGAAATGAAATAGGAAGCAGGTTCTCCCTTTCTAAACACAAGGCATCTTGATTTTGGAATAACCTTAACATACCCTGCAGACACCCAAATAATGAGTGAATGGAAACATTATATATCTATCTCAGCATGTCTGAAAAAAGAGGCAGTATTCTTTCCACAAAACATAAAGGCAAAAATGAACACAACTTCTGTGATATCTACTGTGAAACTTATAAAGTAAAATAATTTCCTGTGATTCCAAACAGATGCTTCATTTTCTATAAAATAACTTTGAAATAGAAGAATCACTGTTTGGACCCTGGAAAATTTATTTGTAGTTGTGATATATTCAGGTTCCTCACAAACTAGCTGATCTGATCACAGAAAGGATGAAGTACGCCTTGGTCACATGGACTCGACATATTCCCTGCAATCATAGAACACCCTGAGGGCATTCTGAAACATACAGCTTGCATGGTAGGTATAAAGATACCCAGGAGCTGAATCTCAAACTGTTTTCACCATGAAGAAACAAAACTGTGTCAATATATATTGCTATAACTCAATATTAAATAATTGGATTTATATTTACTTAAAGTTGATGACGTAATTATTTTCCTATAAAAGTATTTAACATCAAAAAGAGATTCCAATGAAGCTATTTGACCAATGCAATAGAAATAGGTATTTACCTATAATTTGTGTTTTTGAAAATCTCTCTCCACCAATTTATCTGTAAAAGATAATTTTTTTTCTTTGAGATGGAGTTTCACTCTTGTTGCCCAGGCTGGAGTGCAATGGCACGATCTTGGGTCACCACAACCTCTGCCTCCCAGGTTCAAGAGATTCTCCTCCCTCAGCCTCCTGAGTAGCTAGGATTACAGGCAGGTGCCACCATGCCCGGCTGATTTTGTATTTTTAGTAGAGATGTGGTTTCTCCATGTTGGTCGGGCTGGTCTCAAACTCCCGACCTCAGGTGATCCACCTGCCTCAGCCTCCCAAAGTGTTGGGATTAAAGGTGTGAGACACCACACCTGGCCAAGAGAATTTTTTAAAATGTCCCCTTTTTCAGATATTACTATCTATAATAGTAAATTTATGACACTATAGCAACAATAGTCAACAATATATAGTAAGAGGTTATTAAAAAAATGGGATAGGGACCAAATCAGGGGTAGAAGAGATTACTGTTGGGATATATAATCATAACTTATCTCGATTCAACCAGACCTTTGTTACAAGATACAACAGTATTCCCAAATTTCACTTGGAAGAAATTGTATTTATAATCCATGAGTGACTGGTGGATGAGGCTAGGGGATTGAACACGCTTCAGTACTCCTTACACTCCTGTATGGATCCTAGTGATGCAAAAGAATTCTGAACTTAAACTTCTTTACATGGAGTCTAAGTCCCAACACTGCCACTAGTGTGCTGTGTACCTCTGGGCAAGGTAGCTGAACAACTTGTGGACCTTAGTTTACCATAATCCAAAGTCTGTGTAAAATTGAGGAGACTGAATTTGAGGATTCAATGAGAGGGATCTCCAGTTCTAACATTCTGTGACTTATGGCCATCCTCATCTGTGAAGCTACGTTAAAACAATGCTATAAGACCACATTCAAAACAGTTTTCTAAGGTAACTGTTCTCTCTCTATACAGATGTCCCTGACCAAACTTAGAAATCTAAAACATTTTAGGCAGCACATACAGTTTCCTCAGCTGATAACCACCTTTCACCTGAGGCTTCACGGAGGTGCTTTTATGAACATTCTACAGTCCCTCATGGGTAAAGAAAACAGCTTTACTTGATGACCCTGGCTTTAAAAGCATTCATTCAATTATGCTTTAGCAGAGAGTACTACATTTCCATCCCCAAATATCAGCAGGATAGTGACTTTTCAACAAGCACTGCCTAAGGGAGACATACTTGTCATTTTTTCGTCTTCTGCCACCTGCCCCACCTCAGAGAATGATGGTTTCTTTTATGCTAGAATTAAACACAATTGACTTACAGTGTTCTACTCCAGGTTAAGAAAATATATTGGTATTCAAACGTCAAGTTAAAACACCATCTTTCCAACCGAAGAATTTATGTAGCATCACATTTTTCTCAAAACCAGATTTTATTAGGTATAAAATATGTCACTCATTTTGTTTTCTAAAATTATATAAAAAGTGAATACTTAATATATACTCATACAAAGAACAAAATATAAGAATAAAGTATTTAAACGCACCCAAAACTATCAAGACTGTAAGCAGAGAGTTCACTAGATGTCCTGTGTTCTGACACAAAGTGTCAAGATTCCTTTGAGTGCCAAGATTCCATAATTTAGGAGAAAGAGCTCTAGAAGCCCCAACGGCAGGTGAGAGAAATAAATACAAAGTTGTCTGATCAGGTGGACAACAATGTCAACAAACATTTGACACAACATTTGAAAAGACAGGAAGTGGGAAAGGTATTAAAATTAAAACTTGATCCAAATGCAGCTAAATTAAAATGTGTAGAACTCAATTAAGAAAAATAAATTTTAAAATTATATTATTTTAGTACATACTCCTATAATAATCATAACAACTCAACAAAATGAAAATCAGAAGGCATCCCAATTCTGAAGGAATTATTATCATTTTATATCAAAGAAGTATCAAACTAAGCAGAAAGCAGGATAGAATTTTAATATTTAATAATTTTTAATTCTGGTATTAGGGGAAATATTCAGAATTTCAGTTTATTCCAAGTGAATCAAAATATGTTTGAAGAGATTTTCAATCTATAGCAATCAATATGTTTTCATAGCTCTATATAGCAGATATGGTAATATTAAAAGAAGAAAGTACATAGTAATAAAATTCTTCAATGAATGTTAAGCCATCTTTATGTTAAGCATACCATACTGCCTTTAGAAGCCCAGCAGTAATGCATCCTTGGTTTGGAAAGTGAGTTTAAAAATATTTTTTAAATAATGTTGGTAGTATATTTGTCTAGTTCATATCCTAAATTGTGACTTAAAACAACGGGTGATTAAATGTGATTAACATTTTATCACAGAAAATAAGCTTTCGTTACCATGACATGAAACTGAAGACATATCAGTTTCAATAAAGTAATGGTGACTATCAGGAGCAAAAAATAAAAATAAAAATAAATTTTAAAACTCTGAAATCTACTTATCATCCATCTTCCATCCCCTCTATAAAAGAAAATGAGCAATTACTTCTACTATTATTAATTCTCTTACGGAGTTCTAAGTATGTGTCTTAGAGTGTTCAAGTGCTTTGCATGGTTTTACTTATTTCTCATGAGACACATGGCATTAATATCCATGTTTTATCCATGTTTTATAGATGAGGAAACTGAAGCTCCACAAGGTTAAGTAACTCGCCCAAGGTAGTGAGAAGAGCCTGGATGTCGAACCAGTAAATCTGGCTCCGGAACCCGCTTTCCTAAGTAGCTTTCATTCCGACTGCATGTAAATAGGAATCACTCACATTTCTGCCTGGAATTTTTATCTGAAAGTTACAATCAAGAAAAGCGCACCTCTTTTATTTGCTTTTTTTTTCTTTTTTTTTTTTTTACTCATTAAAGACAGGATATAAAAGTTTCCCCATTCTTAGTTAGAATGGGTATAATTGCAAAGGGTCAGAGACCCAACTCCTTGTAACTACCACTTGAAAGGCATTGCAAATCTGATCTTGTCACTCTCAAGCTTAAATTCCTTGAGCAGCTCCCTATTCTCCTAGAATAAAGGCCTCAGGTCTTTAACGTGGCCTGTGAGGCACTATTTGAAACTCTGCTCTGGCCAAATAGAACTTTCTTCATTTTTTTAAAGGCTAACTCCTTCAGTCTTCAAGTCTTTTGCACATGCCAGCTGTTTTCCAATTCCTTGTTCAACCTTTAGCTCAGATGTCATCTCCCAGAAGTCTTCTTTGACTGTTCAGACAGATTATTCTCTTTTGTTCCACATTTTCATAGCACTTTCCATTTGTATCATATAATCATAATAGAAATTAACTATATGTATAAACTTTTAAAAATGTTGGTCTTCTCTGCTAGGCAATAAGTTAATGAGAGAATATATCTGGCCTGTTTAGTACTGAATCCCCAATACCTGGGATAATGGCTGAAACATAATAGATGCTCAGGAGACAGTTCTTAAAAGAATAAATGCAAAACACTTCAACATGAAAATTACTTGCAGAAAGTATCTCTTTTATTCTAATACAACTGATCATTTATTTTATCCTGAGTCTGTGTCCAAATTTGATTCATTTCTTTATATGCTACTGTCAGACAAATGTTATAGTGCATCCCTAAATAATCTCTATGATCTTTACTTTTTGTTTAGCTTTGTCTTGGTAGGTGGGAATTGTGCTTTTAGCTTCAGCTTTTATGGGAACTAGTAGCAGAATAGCCAGTCCTGTCACTCACAATACAATGAGTAATACTTGGTAGCTCACACCTAGCTGGGAAGTTTATTAATGAGCTTCTACTTCCTTAAAACAAACACATACACACTTTTGTGCCAAGGCAGTGTTTTTTAACCTGATGGTCTAGGTTTTGTTTCGAATGCACCTAGGTCAGCAATAAGAACCTATATCTTTGTGGTCATATAATTATTCACTTCCTACTGATGGAGCACATGGCCAAATGCAGGTTGCTTTGAAAAGAAACCACCCAGAAACAAGCTTAGAGAAAGACATTTAGTTTCTGGTAGATAGGCCACAAAATTGGTCCCTCCCTGCCTAATTTCCATGATTTTATGCCCAGTTAGCCAGAATTCAGTTTAGAATAAAGCCATAATTAACAGTTTGTGATTGTATGTTTAAGGAACTGAGATTATAGTTTATCAGACTTATAAATCCTTTCTTGCAAATGATATAAATTTATGCTCCAATATAACAAACACTTAAAGGTTGAAACACTAGTTTTTATTTGCAACTGGAAAACTGAGGCTTGAAACAAGGAGTGTACTACTCAATCTTGTTAGACTATAGGCATTCAAGCGGGGAACACTGTTTCATGAGTTCTAATTTGCTTTTGTTTGTCAAATTCTTTGCTGATTGCTACTTTTTAAGTTATATTTGAGATAATTAAAGTTTTTAGTGATTACTTTGCAATTAGATATGGTGACCTATATAACATTGGAGTGTTCCTCTCAGCTGTCACTTTAACTGCAAAATAAAACTCAAGTTTTGAGCTATGCAGAAGACATGCCTTACTTTTGAAAAGACACTCGTCTTATTCATTTTATTCTATTTGTCCTATTATAAAAGATATGAGCAAAACCAAAAGTTGGAATACCACGTTTAAGAGAAAAATTGCTTTGAGGTTTCTCAGACATCCTTTAGTGATAACACTATAGAGAATTAAAAGGAGAGAGCGTTTGCAAATCATCAAGCTTATTCACCCAGATCAAACTTCCCCCATCTCTGGTGAGGACAGAGAGAACTGCAGGGGATAAACTGAATCAAGGGAACAGTGCAGACACAGGTAAACACTTTTAAAAAGGGCCTGCAAAGCAAGATAAAAATCTAAGACTTTTTTTTAATCAAACACATTCTCTGTCCTTGTGAGTAATCAATTATGTGAAAGCAGCACATACTTTACACTAATTACTTGATACCAAACAAATCATCTGCCCTGTCTTTCAAAAACTTTCTTGCTATTTAAAAGATAATGGAAATAATATTGGGCTTATTAAAACAAACAAACAGCAAAAACAAATGACCTGCAAGATGTGAAGGAAAATGACACAATTTGGTTTACCTGCAGAACATATAGATAGAAGAGGCTTGTATAATATGTCGGCTCGCTTTATTTATTTTTGTGCACAAGTCAATTACAAACAGCCTTTTAAGTATATACAATACACCATATATTCCTAGGTGAAGATATCCCTTCAAGCAACAGCAACAGATGCATGTCCTCATCACATTCAGGGAACATTACTGAGTGGCCCTGTAGGGGATACAGAGATAAGCATAACACATCCTCTACCCTCCCAGGGTCTTCAGTCAAAGGATAGGGAGGAAGGATCTGGTGTACACAGAGAGCAATGAGGAAGAAACAGAGTAAAAGAGTTCAGAGGATGGAAGTGTTATCCTGAATGGGGGAATCTGAGAGCTTTTTCAGGGTTAAGTTTCTCCCCAGCAGGGCTTAATGACTGGAAAGGATTTGACCTGGAGATAAATATATGGGGGTGAGGTGTTGGAGCAAAGAAAGAAGGCAGAAAAGCCCTCTTCTCTGAAGTCTCACCATTCTGATTTTCAGCCTTTCAAG
The DNA here is from genome assembly GCF_000001405.40 of Homo sapiens. Taxonomy (NCBI): domain Eukaryota; kingdom Metazoa; phylum Chordata; class Mammalia; order Primates; family Hominidae; genus Homo; species Homo sapiens. Next base: position 189,797,770 of record NC_000003.12, on the reverse strand, counting down.
CATTTTGGGATTGTCTGTTGAAATAATTTCCCAGGCCTAAGGCTTATGAAGAGCTTCCTGCCTCACCCAGTGTTACTGTTTCTCTTCAAGTGTGTCTTGTGGAGTCCTCAACCTCAGTCTGGTGACAGAGTCTCACACGGTCTATTTAAAAGTAATCACGCCATTCCCCAAACATCTGATGTTGCCCTTTGAGAGGGTAATGGTTTTCCTTTTAATTCTGACTCCATCAATAGAGTGACACTAATCCAGACTGATTTGAGTAAACAGGGCATATTCCCCATTGTCTCTGTGATCTGAGAAAGAATAAACTTGAGAAAGATCACTGGCTGGGTGGGAAATGGCCCCTTTGGGTGTTTTGCGCAAGCTTAAAAGGAAAAAGAAAATGCCTGTACAGAGTTCCTTCCAAGGCAAGCTCACTTCGGGGGTGGTAATTCTCATAGGGGTATTATACTAAACTGCACCTATTAGTGGCTTTAGCACCAATAAGAAAGTAGAACTATTTCTTTTGTAGTGTTTCCAGCATAGCTGACAAGAGTGTTTCATAAATTTCCGCCTCTGGCAACACACCACAGCTTGACTCAAAATTCCCTCTTTCAGCTTTTATAAGGAAATCTTTTTGCCATTTAAGAAATACAGACAAGATGCAATTCAGATTACAAGTTTTGCATGAAATATCAATTTACGTTACACACACATTCACTAACATTCCAAAAATGTTTTATTCTTGCCAGTTATTCCCTCACCTAGAACCAACATGTGCTCTATCTTAACCCCAGTGACTGAATTTTAAATTGACAGGTGAACATTATCTGGTGAAGCCATCTCAGCTCGAATCCATACAATGATCCATTTGTACTTTGTCTTTGAAAAAGAAGCTTGAACAACTTCAAAATCAGAATAAAGTTAGTCCATATCAAACATGCAATCAATCAACTTAGAAATAAGAAATTTATAATTTTTTTTGCAGAAAATGGAAAAGAATAGTTTTTGAATAGTATAGGTGCTATATTCTCAGACCAACTAAGGAAATCAACTGTGGGGAAGTATAAAGTAAGACTTTTGAAAAGATTTTACAGACACTTCATTGAACTACTTATTTCTTTTAAGGAGGTTGTATTTAGTGGAACCTCACTGTTTCCCCTAATGTCTGTAGGACAATCATATGTTAACATTTGATGCTTTCAAAATCTACTTTTTGAAAGTGGAGGATTAGGTTGGTAAAAAAAAGAGAAAGAAATGAGTACTAGCTTAGATGTCTCCTTATTTATCTTGAAGCCCAGTTCTCTTATCCACTCCCTTTGGCTTTAAATCAAGTCACTGGTTCACTCCTTCCTCCCACCATGGCCTACCCTCCCCTGCCCTGTTATTATCTCTTCAATTGCCCACGTGGTCTTCTTGGGTGAGATGGAAGTGATGAAGGAGGCTGTGGAAAGGGAGGATATTGATGTGGGAAAAGACATGTCTTCTCCCAATATTTATCTTTACATATTACATCTTACACATGTATCCTTGTCCCAAAGTCAAATTTAAAAATTTTATGGCAAAGATAATATCTTAAATTTTTTATTTGGTGGGGTTGGCTTTTAAATGGGATATTCATATTTCCCTCTGCTCTGTTATTTATTTCCCAGCTGGGATTCTCATTCTGAATAAATGTCTTATATTCAGCTTCAGGATTACTATTTGCATTTAGAGCAGTGACCAGAGAAAAGACTTCTGGTCCTATTTCTAAGACGACTATTTAATAAATAAAATTAACTCATAATAAACACAGAGAGTCAGTTTGAATTTTGTTCCTAGCTTTGATAAGTTTTAAAATGTCATTACTAAGTCCCTATAAATGATAGGACACCATATCTGGCTCTGTAGAAGTCTAAGGAACGGGAAAAGGTAATCCTCAACTTTTCAGCCTAAGGAATCATTCGGGCTAATTTTCTTTTCCTTCCTGCAAGATGTCACTCATCATCCCTAGAGTATGTGAAGTTTTGAATCTCGAATTCTGAACACTGGTCACACTTTTAAAACACATATAGGTTTCCGCTCTTAGTGAGATCAATATTCCAATTAACTTTTGTTGCTATTTCTACAAAAGCGTTCCATTTTGACATAAATAGTAAATACATATCAGTGTTTAAACCAACACATTTTCTTTTTAAATCAATATACTATGTTCCTTCACGTTGTCTGGCACAGTCCTCCCTTGTATTTTTATAAATTTTATCCCCTCTACATAGAATGTCTTTCCTCCCCTCACGCCACATCTGAATTTCAGTTCTCAAACCATATAAAATATTACCTTTATCATAAACAGTTTGAACTCGATTTCACTCTTTCAAAACTTGGGATATCTTTTACCAATTCTGTTTTATACTGGAGTCATTTACGAACCCCTCATAACTCCCTCAGATTATGAATTCACGGAGGCTAGAAGCTGTGAATTACTAATTTCTTCTTTCCTCACAGTGCATATAACAGTGACTATTATAAGTTTTCAGTAACTGTTGGGTTGGAAGGAAGTGTTTCCTTTAGTGGGGGAAATAATCAAAATGATTTGTGGCTGGTACTTCAAAATCATTGTGTCTGGCTTACAGCCAAATTTATACTACTTTTTCATTTTGGGGTGGAGTGTTAGTGTGTGGAAGAGAATGAAATAAAGAATGGGGTCTTTACAGAGTGACTATATAATTTATCTTCTAAATGGGACAGTTTTGAAAGTGAAAAGGTGTGCTATTAGTAATTATGCTAGAATAGCAGGCATAAATAAAGACAAACCAAGACCAGTAGTTCCCAATTTGTCTATGGCAGGGACCATAGCTATTAAAAAGAGCACTGGGCAGAAAATACACAGGTTGTATGAGACTTTAGAAACAATCCATGCGTATCCTTCCAAAGATCCAAGAGAACTGATAGATATTTCTGCAAAACAGGCAGCCAATGTGCAATGCAGAGAGATGCATTTTCATACTTCTAGGCAATCTCAAGCAAAGCCATTTATTCTCCCTGTGCTCTCTAGTAGAGCTCCAATTACACAATTACACCATTCTTCTGTTCGAAATCCTTCCATGGCTTTTCATTGTCACTATGATAAATGTACTCTCCTCTCAGTGTTATGGTCATCTCTGAGCCACTCTATCTTGCATTTCCAACTTTATTTCCTGATCGTCTCATAATTTCAATTGCATTTGAACTATTTGATGCTTCTGAGTGTACCAGCATTCACTCCTCACCCCCCTTCCCTTTGCTGATGCTTATTTCTTCACCTAAAATCCTCATTCCTTCTTATATTTCTAGAACTTGGAAATTTCCATCTGTCCTTCCAAGTGCAGCTTCATCTTACATATGCATATAGACTTTCTTGATCTTCCTACATCATGGACTCTCTTTCCCTTTGATGCTTTATATTATCTTGCTCACACACTTAAAATCTCTCCTGTATTATAATTGCATGCATACTTAGCTCATTCCCCCAAAGAACTATAAACTTCTTAGTGTAGGAATTATTTCTTAATTATTTTTAGATCCTATATACCATTTTACATATAATTGATGCTCAGTAAACATTTTTTTAAGAGTCAGTCAGTTCTTCTTCTAACCTGTTTCTCTTTCTCAATACTACTTTTCATGAATATTGTCAACATAGAACTTAATCAAAAAGTATAAGTAAAAATTATAAAATGTTTAGAGTGGTGGCCCATTAATAAGCCACATTTCACTATTTTCTTGGGCCCACAAATTGTGTCCTTAAGATTAGGAATAAGATTTAAAACTTAACTTTTGAATCAAATGTTTCACCTTGACACTTGAATCCATGCTCTTCCAGACCCAAAATGTAGTACTCTATTGGATACCATTTGTAGGTTCCACTAAATTGGCACTGGACAATAATGCTATATTAGTCAACTGACATTTTCCTCAACATACATCTAAAGAAAATTGAGCGCCCACTTGGGTTTAACAATTTTTTATCTTCAAAATAGTAAAACTTATAAATTATGGAAATCATCAAGTTGTTTTTCACAGAAGTATCTTTTTGTTACCTGTATTCATTCTATTTGTTGACATAAAACAATTAGAAATTTAAAAATATTCAAGGGGAGAGAAAAGTTATACTAGGAAGGAAGGATTTTTACCTGTGCCCCTCTATTCTACCAGCTCAGATTCCACCCAGAGCAATCATATGCACATCAAAGAAAACCAGGGTGTATTTGTGGTAACATATTTCTCAACTGTTTGATCCAAATCCCTTTTTAAAATCTCATGACATTAGATATATACTCCCTTTATAGCAGAACGCAGAATCTAAATTCTGTCCATAGTCATTGAGGAATGTTTTAGCAACTTTGCATTCAGAAAATGTACGTATAATGAAAAAGAAACCAATATTTTTTTGGTTGCTCTAGAAAATGTAGACATCCATTGATGCTTTCTGCTGTACGTGTGACATGCTGTTGAGAATCACTGCTCTTCTAAAAAGCAAACCAAACCAAACACGGTTTTCCTTATCGAGGTAAAGGATAAGTGATTTATTGTCTCAAAATCTTTTTTTTTCCAGTAGTAGTGAAGGAAGGTATGATCTGTGATCTGTGATCTAAGATGTCTTTCTCCTAGTTCCCTCTGGGCTCGAGGACAACCAACTGTAAAACAAGTAGTGCAATCTATGGCAACAGCATGGAGTGAGGAATACGACCTGGCTGACACTAATTAAAAATGCAGCTTCTGCTTCTCACCCACTGTGCTTTTTCCTATGATGCTAACTAGCTCAGAAGTACAACATGGGACAGCTTAATACATTTATTAACTATCAATAGAAAACTCACACCCATATCTTTTAAATGGTTGAGTCAGTAGAAATAGTACTAGGACAGGACAGATTTTTTTCCCTAGACCAAGCAGACAAAGAAGTCAATTAAGTGAGAATGACCTGGACTACAGGGAGTTTACACTGCTGTCTCCACACTTTTTTTCTTGCATTCAACTGGCTTTGTACAACTGTTCTTCATGGAAACTGTTTTGGAGCATCTACTATGAATCATCCCATCTCTCCTTGGTATTAAAAAGAAAGTGGCTGAGTAAAGGGAACACGATCGTATACATATAGCTCTCTCAACTACAGAAAGAAAAATCATTAACCCTGATTTGTAAAATGAGGTGTTTCCATATATGAACCTTGATTTCCCATTTAGTTCGAAAATACTGTAACCCATTTACCAAAGTGTCTTTCCTTCATCATCTAAAACCCCGGATGAGGAATTTTAGTAAATATCTCTTTCTAAGAAGGAGTTTGAGATCCTCCCCACTCACACACATACACACTTACACCACACACACAGCCCAGTTTTGTTTTGTTTTGTTTTGCCAGAAAGTTGAAGTTAAAACTTGATCTGTGAAGAAGTTCCTTTATTTTGACCCTCTCTATCTCCAAGTCTGAGACCATTCCCAGAGGCTCTGTCTTTCCTAGTCTGGCACTGGGGAGTGGAGCTTGCTTGCGGCCTCTCCGCTGTACCCAAGGGTAGAGCCTTCAGCCTTGCCTGTTATATCCTGCTTGTGTTCTCCTCCCTTCCGGACCATTTCCTGTTAATTAGCAGCTCCCCCAAATCCAAATCTGCTAAGGGTTGGGGAAGAATTCAAAAGTTGTGGGAAAAGGAATAGAGAAGGAACAGTGTTCTTATATAGTTTTTGAGTTATCAACTCAAAGAAATTGCTAGCAAATTAAACTATAAATTTATTTGAAGTCAAAGAATGGATTATAGTTTTTAAATAATTTTCACTCTTACAGGGAGTTTTATGCCTTTTTCATTTTTAATCTACCCAATGTTTAACAATTCTTGTGTAATAATAGTAGATTGCTTTTTCTGTATTGACAGTTACTAATAAACATAAATCCCTATACATTATAACTTTTATATTAAATTCATGGTTCTCAGAGCCATGTGGTGCCAGGCATTTCATATACTCAGATGTAGCACTGAATTTTAACAGAGGACTAGATATGAAAGCATAATCCTGTACAGAAAGAAAGTTGTTCGTACGTAATAGAATGGAAGTCAAGCCATGAAATTATAACCTAATACATGCACTGGTGGAAGGATATGAAAGTCATGCAGGCAACATGCAAAAAGACATAGAAAGGTAGGGAAGTGCAGCCATGTTTTTTACAGATATTTTTTGTCGACCTTAGCAGCATTCCAATAGAAAACAGACAAGGGATGCCTTTTGTAGCTCTTGATTACATATTTACCTAGAGTTGTGAAAAACTAAAACCTGTGTATAAAACTATTTTCTTTCATAAGCATGCCATATTCTCACATACAATATGACTCTTTTGCCTCCATAAAAGGAAATAATTTCTACAAATATCCTCTAATCACAACATTAATGCAATTGCTTTCTTTCACGACATTATATTTAACCTAAAATTAATCATTTCTTGCCACTTTACATCAACCTTGTGCTTCACTTAGAGATATCAATGAACAGACTTTTGCTTCTCCCATTTGACTTACAAGATCCTAGGCGGCTTATAAATACTGTGTGTGAAATAGTTCATGAATAAAGACAAACAAACTCAGGTATGACATGATGGACAGATCATTTTCTGAATGATTAAAACTGGACAAAATTGGATCCAATAGAATCAAGAAGATCTTAAAAGCTAATCCTATTTAAAAACAAATTGGTAACATTTTAAGCTAACTTTCAATATAACTGCAAAACAAGAAACTCAAGTTTCTCTACTGAGGACAAGCAAGCCTGCTTGAATGTTTTAAAGAAAAATAGGCACTTCCTTTTCCTTCTTTAGATAACTCGATATTTCCCCTGTTGTATTTACACAGTTCAGGAGTCTAGACAATAGCGTGGTCAATACGATAGCACAGGCCCTGCTTCGCAGCCCTCTGCTCTACTCTTCCTCTTGCGGTCTGCACCGGAATACTATGCATTTTGTTTTGATTTTTAAGGAGCTCAATTTGAGTACTCTAGTCCACTTTTCCAAGCACTCACCTGCAAGCATTTTTATCTGAAACACCGAACTCTCTCTCTCCACAACACTCCCCACCACAACCCAATCTGATTAGTGTCAACACAGCTGCCCCATTCTGAGGAATGTAAACTAATATTGTTGTTAGACCTCCCTCAACCTTAGGAAACTTCCTCAAAGCCTTACAGTCTCTTCAGGATTTTTTTTTTTATCCCTTTGCACAGGTTTAAATACCTAAGACAAACTTGCTGAGAAGAGATCAGAAATGCAAATAATCAGTTTCTTAAATAAAATCCTGTATGCTATAATACACATTTACATGTATGCATGTATAAATATTTAACAATGCATCCCTCCAAAATAACTTTATTTGTCATCACACGTGAAAGTACAAGTCACCCTCCAGACGACAGAAACGTTATCACAGCCCCTTCTGGATTTAGGTGGGTCTCTGGATTGACAGACTTAAAAACGAAGATGGCTTTAAAAAATCTCACCTGATTATTTTGAAAAAAGCTTCATTTGCTTTTAGGATGAAGTCTGGAAATAGAACTATGCTAAGAAGTTAAGACACAGTCAACTGATTTTTCTTACTGGTACATGAATACCCATCAGAGGATTCATTGCAATGTATCTAGCAGAGTGTGATCTGCTCTCTGAGTCTGTTTTTCTAAAAAGTGATTTTATAAACTCCTGAATATTATTTTTTCAAATACATAATGTCACCCAGATTTTCTTTTTCATCTTCTCCTACTGTTTCATCTCCTACTTAATAAAAAAAAAAAAATCTTACAGCCACCACAGAAAACATTAACCAAGAAAAGGAGATTCCTATATACAATTTGCAAAACATTACATTGGGTGACCGAGAACCGCAAATACGTAAGTTTTTTTACAAAAATAAAAATTAAAAAGCATCTCTAAATGGAGTGCTAAAATCTAAAATCCTTACCTCACTAAATTGAGTCTGGGCATTGTTTTCCAGGTACAACATGTTAGCTGTAAGATTGATCAATGCTGCTGTCCTTTCTTCTGGCTCCAGGATTTTGCCAACCCCCCCACCCCGAGACCCTTACAATATGAATCTACTTAAGAAGATAACAGAACTCAAGTCCCTCTCTCTCTTTCTCTCTCTGTACATAATTTAAGGTTTCCTAATATATACCCAACTATAGGCATGAGGAGGCGGGACTCTTCTCTTTACCTGTCCAATCCATCAACTTCCACCTGGACTCCTCCACTCCAATGGAGTGAGGCCTCTCCCATCTCATTAAGTAGTTAGAATTCCTTATCACCAATCTTTAAAAGAAAAAGAAAGAAAGAAAAAAAAAACAAACCCAGGAGACAGACAGGTAAAACTTTCCCTGTCTCTTTCATAAGAAAGTGCACTGTCTTTTAAAAACAAAACAAATCTCCCCAAACAAACCGCACCACCACCACGATTTACAGAAGGCATTTCAGAAAGTTATTTTACTCTTTGTAACTGAAAAGTAAACTTCAGGAAAACTTTTAGAAGGCTTCTTTTTTAAAATCTAGATTTGGGGTTTCAAGAATGATTACACAAAGTTAGAAATTAGGAGAGAGTACGCAAATCCACTGTTACATTTAACCAATATAAAAAATTAAAACCCACTGCCTGATAGCTAAAGAGTTTTTAACTTATTTTCCCCAGAGAAATGCCAGTGGTTTCATAACAAGCAATTACAAAATAAGCTACCTGATTTTTTCGAGCATGTTTCAATAACAAGTTAAACCACCGGTCCCGTTAACTTACAAAAACAAACAAACATCCATATTATGTACGGGAAATAGGAATCCTGATAAATGTGTCCTTTCTTTCTTCTTTTTTTTTTTTTTAACAAAACGCTTATCTATTTGAATATTTCTTTTCTCTATTTTATTGTACCCAGTTTATACTAATATTTTTGCTTGTGAATAGGTAATAAAAATGATTACTGCACGTGATGCATCTATGTAAATGATTAGTGGAATAAGTATTAAAGCATAAGATATCAATTGGCTTTTGTTTTAAAAATACATTTACATAAATACGTACCAACATTCATGTAGAATCTGGCCTTGGTACGAAGATTTAGTGGAGATGAAATGCACCCTGATGGTTATCATCTGATTCATTAAAATACTCTCTTTACTGCTGAGTATTTGTAATTCAGTTAGATTTATTTCTTGACATCATCCTACACCCCCACCCCCCACTCAGGGACCCAATTTCCTCTATTTTGCTTGAAAGGTTGTAAGTGGCCAAGATAACTATAAGTGAAAATTGTGATTTCTTCTAAAATTTAGAAGACACAAAGTTTAGAAGAGAATTGGAAGCCAGAAGAGATTAGAACATACATTTCAGAAACAAAGTTTGCAAATACGTTCACGACTTCGGATTTGCCTCCCCTTTACTTCTACTTTTGCATCCATAAAATTTATGCACTTAAAGGATGACGTGGTCATTGGCTGATATATAAGACCCATAGGTTACTGGTAATAATGCTTCCTTCTTTTATACACAAAAACCAAAAAACTCCCATAATATAATTTGATCTTGAGTATGCAAGAATATGACAGTACTCTGTAACACTACAAATTTATATCAGACAAAACATTCATTTCTTCACACATATATTGGGAAGAATGATCTCTCTTTCTACCTATAATTAACCAAATGAGCACTGCCTAGAAGGCAAAAAAAAAAAAACCTACTTACAAAATACAGTATAATTTTTTGTACAATGTGTCTAAATTCTACACCTACTGACAGCTTAAGAGTCAACAGTAGAAAGCAGATGGTTACTTCCTTAAAGGTATGCATAATTCCTGTGGCCCAAAAACTTGGATGATCCTGAAAATCATCCAGGGTGCTTTTTAAAAACAGATTTCTGGACGTGGCCCCAGACCTCCTGAATCAGACTCTGCAGGGTTACAGCCCCAACAACTGGATTTTATACAGCCTGCTAGGCGGTTCTGGATGAGTCACGCTTGGGAATCAATGATCTAGAGGAAATGCTGTTAGCACAACTGCCTACCAAAGTCATTATTAAATTGTTTTTTACACTAATGGGATCATGTAGCCATTTGAACACCTAAATCTAAGGCTCAGGGTCCCAAGTATTGATATCCACTAAAAATGTAAACAAACTTCACCTTTCACGAAGTCAAAAGATTCCCAGCAAGATTTGAAAGATGAAAAAGTCAGATTCCTTCCATGTGCCACCTCAGCTATCAGCATGAATCCAAATACGGTCTCTGTCTAACATATCTACAAAGATTCTGGACAAAATCTAAGACAATATATCCACTATGGCTACTTGAGAACTTTGAGTATGTTGGAAGAAAAGAGCACTGGACTGGGAGTTAGGAGACAGGAGCTCCGTGCCCTTGGGGCAAGTTACTTAACCACTCTGGATTCAGATTCCTCATTTGTGAAATGAGGGCAGAGCTAAATGATTTCTAAAGACAATTACAAAGATAAGAGCCTGTTTTTGTCCAGAATCAGAGAAGTGATTTAGAGGATATTCCTCTGATTTTACTCGGATATTTATTTGTCCCTCAGTTTGCTCATCTTCATATTGTACAAGTGAAGTAGTCAAGCTGCACAGCTACTTAAGATACTTAAATGACATAAAGGAAAAGGAACATATTGGTGGAAAATCCATATTTTTTGCTTTAAGGTATCCTCACAATGAAAAATTCGCTAATAGTTCATGTAGATTTGAACTCAGCACAAACATTTCCATAAAAGAGCTAATTAAAGTATACCTGATAATGTTTGGTTTCAGAATTAGTGAGTAGCTGATGTAAATATCATGCATTGATTTAAGCAGGTTACAAAGAAGTAACAATTCTCTGCACTCAACAACAATGCTTATATGTGGATCTCAAATGTACTAAATGTTTAGTAACATGCATTAATTTTCTAACCACCTAGTGGTGTAAGTTAGTATTATTATCTACATTTTTCAGATAAATAAAGAAATGCAAGGATTTTACGTCAATGTCCCAAGTCCTCAGTAGTTAGAACAACTCTATTTAGAGCTCTTGCCTTTTCTCAGTCATTTCCTCAGACTTCGTAAAGCTCCACGGTCTCTGAATTAGGGGTCACGCTGCCCCCTGGGTAAAAATGGCGGCGCTGTAAAGCCATAGCTTTGGGAATAGAAGTCCAAGATGTCAGATCGAAGCATATGCTTTCCAGAAATAACAAAATGCTAACATTTTGTTGACTATCTTTTTTAACATCCAACTTTTTATTATAAGTGCTATATTTTCCTGTGTTTGTGTTTGTATATGTATTTGTGCATGCGTGTGTGTGTGTGTGTGTGTGTGTGTGTGTGTGTGTTTAGGTATGTCTGGTCTTTCAAATTTGCATACAGTATTATGGTTTGCTTTTTGGTGTAGGAAAATTCTAATTTTTCCATAGTCAACTTATCCTTTTTTGTTTTATGACTTACTGTGTTTCAGACACAGCGTGAAAGGCCTTTCCCAGCCCAATGTAAAATTTTGCAACCATATTACAATATTAGGATTTTTGAATGTTTTCACATGCAAGTCTTTTAACTTTCCAGAATGTATGTCTGTATGAAAAACAAAGGAAAATCCACTCTCATCAATCGAAAACTGATCTTTATTATTTATCGAATAATATATATTTTTCTCAGATTTGAAATGCCATTTTCATAAAATACCGATGTCAATGGCTCCATTTGACATCCCTATGTGAAAAAGTTAAATAGTTATACTGGATTTTTTTGGTTTGTTGTATTTTTATTTTTAATTTTTTCCCTGAATATTTATGATCCATGGTTGTTTGAGTCCATGAATACAGAACTAGCAGGTACAGGGGCTGACAATCAATCCTTCTATGTTTTAATAACAAATCTACCTGAATGCTGAATGAGGGCAAAAAAGGAACATACAGCAATGTCTCCACTTTCTTTCCTCCCTGCTAGAGCTCCCTCACTATATAACTTCATCTTTCCTAAAGTGCAACTCTGATCATGTCACTCCTCAGGGTGTCCCAGTGCCAACAGGACCAGATAAATTACTTAGAATGGCATTCAAGGCCCTTTAAAATCTGGCCCCAAACTACCATTTCAGCTTCACTTTCCTTATAATCCACTTTGCTTAGCAAATGTGGACCCCAGCTGGCTATTTTTGTCCTTCTGTTCATTCCGGTCCCTCAGTTTAGAATGCCTTCATTTGCTTTCCCGATATATTCAAATACTTTTAGATTCTTTAAAGCCTACCGATGTGAGAATTTCTCTAAACCCTAGTTGAAGTTAAACCTTCTCTTATTTTATATGAATATAAATAAAAGCAGTAATAAAATTCTATCTTTCAATGCAAAAAGTTGTATACTTAACGCTCTCCTCAACAAGATTGTGAAGTTTTTGAAGTCAGAATACATTTATGTTCATCATGTCACATTTAGTACTCCAAAAGCTCGGTGAGTATCAGCTCAATTAAACAGTTCTATAATTCTATAAGAAAGAACTAGAATTAGAAGAGTATTTACCCAAAGCATTTATTATGAGACGGACACAGAGAGATGCCTTTTTACAGAGAGATTTTACAGAGAGATGCCTTTTGATCTTGTAAAAATCAAAGTATAGTATCTAAAATAGAAGAGAGAAAAAATATCGCTTTCAATTCAAGCTCCGTATCTCAAGCCCTTGATAATTATTTGTGAAAAGGGACAGTTGTCAGCATGAAAAACCTGTAATAGTCAAAAAAGGTTGGGGTTTTTAGAACATGCGTGAAAGCTAAGAAATGTTGGGGCTTTCCAGGCTGCTGCAGAACAAAACCAATGAGATCTTTTTGGTATCAGCTACCATTAAGTTGAAGGATGATCAACAGAACACACTGAGTAACTTTTAAAGTTCTAATATTGCATGAATTAAGTGTTTACCTTCCTCTCCTGCCTCAGATAGGTGATAAGAATTAGCATTTGAGGAAGCTACTGAAGGCCACTGAATTAGTTCAACAAATCAATTTTTAGTCTGAGGCTAAGTTCCAAAGCAAGATATTAGATCTCACCCATTTTAGGGTGACCAGCTAAGTTCTGAAAAATGGGTAAGTCTCATAGGCATAGAAAGGGAGACGAGTTCTGTCGTAAATCTTACAGTTGTATTCTAGATTTAATTTTTTATTTGTATACATGTTCAAGTAAAAGATAAAATGGTAGACAGAATTTAGATTCTGCACTTTTTATGGTTAAGGTACTCAAAGCACTTTACATATAACAAACTCATTTAATACTCACAAAATTATGCCTTAGATACTATGTTCATTGTTATTGCACAGATGAAGACACTGAAATGCAGATAGATATTAAACATTGGAATTGAGATCCGAATCTGTGTATTTTGAGACTGGAATCTACAAACACTGCTTCATTGTTTAATTACATCTTAATATTTACTTTTCCCCCTACTCCTGTATTTATCCTTCTTCAATGTCATGTATGTCCTACAGTTCATTTACCATATAGCCCATGCTATGATTGTAATAACAGTATTTTACCACTTACCTGGATTTAGATAGTGCCTTACTTACAGTTCAAGTAAATAGATATACAAAGGTACAGAGATAAGATAATCTCTCCTCATATTGTTTTGTATTATGGATTTAAAAATTTTAGGTTACAAAAATAGTGTGAAATTTAGAAGAAAAAAGTAAAATACAAATAAAAAATGAAAGTCAACTATAAGCGCAACTCTCAGAATTACATTAAAAGTTTCTATGGTCTTCCTCCCGTGTTTATGTATATAAACAAGATTGAGATCATATGCAATATAATTTTTTTTTAGTTATCATTATATTTTGAGTATTTTCCCCTGTTAAGTACTCCTACAACTAAAAGTACTGGGTCAAATGTTATGGATTTAAGTCACTTCATGGATATAATATCAAGTTATTTTCCAAAAAGACTGCACCAAATTACATTTGAATGAGGCTAACTACTACAGCACTGAGAGGATTATCTTTTCCAACTTTATAAATGAAAAAAATATTTCATTTTGATATTAATTCCCTTTAGTGCTAGTGATATTACATGTGTTTCAATATGTTCATTAGCCCTCTGCCTTTCTCCTTTAAATGATCTATTAATATATTTTGCCTTACTCCCAATCCCTGCTCTGTTGAGGGAGTAGTGTCTTCATTAATAAAGGTTTAAACCTTTAACATATTCATCAAGTATTTCCAAATTGCTTTCCTTTTTAGTATTATATACATTAAAATAAAAACTCTAATTATTTTATTATACAAAACTCACTTCTTTAGGATTTTTAAAAATACATGTATTTGTTTAGATTACAAATATGTTGTTGAAAATATAGAAAATACACAATGTATGGAATAAATTGCAGTCATTTATCCTAGAAACTACACGTAGACACCATTAGCATTTTGGTTTATTCTCTTCCAGAGATACATATTACACACAAGTATGTGTTTTACCAGGTGTACACATACTAAATACCAAAGATATATTTTGTTAAGTATGTACATATGTATCTGTGTATACAGATGCATATACCTACTTTTTGAAATTAATCTGCTAAAATGAGTACGTTCTCAGTTCATTGAATGCATTATGTTAAATTTTAAAATTAAAGAAATTAAACTGCTACATAGTTATTGAATTAATTTAGCTATTTCCAATTAGTTGAGAATTCAATTTGCTTCGATTTTTCTTTACCGCTATAATCATACAGCAAAAATTATTACACTATTTATTAAAATACACTATCATATAAGCAAATTATTCAATTAAAAGACAAAAATATTTTAAAGCCTGATAGATACATTAATTTCCAAACAGTATACCTGTTTATGTTTAGGCCAACAATGCATTACAGAGCTCACCTTACTACAACACTAGTACAAGCACTAGCAGCTACTATTATTTAAAATATTTTTTAAAATTTCTTAGAGTAAAAACTCATCAACAAAATTAAGTTCCTCCTATTGCTATTATACGTTATTCATTAAAATAAACATATTCATCTGTACTCCCATTGACTGGTCTACTTTGGAAAGAGAAGGTCTTAAATCAAACTAAATTGTGTTTGAATAGTGATGTGTTTAGTTTCTTTGAACTTTCATCTCTAAAAGGTAAAATATCACCTTACATTATAATATTTAACTTCCCTAATCAGCCCTATGGCACTATTTAGTTTATGATAGATTCCAAATAAATTTCAGTATCTTTTATTGTTGTATTTATCAATATATGTATTTCTGAAGATGGCTACTAAATATCTCCTATAAATTCTTATTTTTTAAAGCACTGTATTGTCTTATGTTTGAATAGCCGGATTAAAACTATATATTCCAGTCCCTGGCCCCCCTACTTACTGCCATATCCTCCATACAGCTGCCACCATGGCAAATGGTCATAGACGCAGTCAACTGCCAGCAAGGAATAGTGGAAAGAACTCTGGAATCAACATCAGGAAACCTGGGCTTCGGGTTTCACCTCTTTGATTTTGAGTTAGTCTCTTCTGCTGAATGGATAATGAATAAGTATTCACTCAAGTTCACTGCATAACACATCACTTTTCCTTCTGATTCCACACTGGGATATATTATAATACAAGCCCAGATTTTCATAATTCATTCTACCTTGAAACCATAAAAATGAAACCCCTCTTGCATTTCAGGATCATGCATGAAAGGGCACTGTTCTAAGAGTCATGAATTTTGGGTTAAGTTCTGCATCTGCCAGTAAATTCATTACATTACTTGAAGCAAGACACTTCCCCTGCCCATGCCTCAGGTTTTCAACCTGTTAACTGGATTTAGTGTCATTATATATTCGGCATCCTATATAATTGTGATCCTACTCTCCTTGGAGATGGCATTTGTCTATTTAACCTAGATTTGATTTACTATTGATGAAGACAGACAACTTCCCTCTCAACTTTACATCAGATGTCTGCTCCTTATGGTATTTCCACCCTAAAGGGCCAGTGAGGCAGCTAATTTTATAGACTAGTTGATTTCTACCAAGATTTCAGCCCTGGCAATTTTAGGCTTCACTTTTAGTTCCTCAATTTCTCTCTCCTCAGCAGGAATAATAGGTTGGGCAGGAGATGCCTCATTCTTTCTGGAGGCTGTATTTTGAGGCAACTCAGCTTTCTTACGTAAATCTTCTCCACCCTTTCCAGGAAAAAAAAAAATCCCTAGGCAAAACAGAAAGGAGGTGTATTTACTTTGGAATCCTAGATGAACTCCAGGTGGGGCGGGGATTGCATTTTGCTCTTAGAGAGTTCTAGCGTCCGTCTCTGGTTTTAATTGCTGCCGGTCTGCACCTTTAGTTATAGCATATGTGTCCGCTAGTAGCCACAGTTCAGTTTTAGAAAATAGGAGAAGTCACAGGTTTGTGACATCAGGAATCCGTGGATAATCCCACCTGTGAATCTCCCATCCAGTATGCACACCACCTTTGCATCATGAACCACGAGGGTGGATAAGTCACTCCAAGAACCCCGTTTTCACTAATCCTCTCTGCTACACTGTTCAGGATTACATTACCCTTAAATCCTAAGTATACAGAAATGGTATATGTAAATGTGGTATCTGTAGCTATCTATATTTTTTAAAGTTCCACTTTTCTCATGCTGTGACTTGCTACAAGGCCTTGACATAGCTATCTAGTCTGTCTGTTTCTCAGCCTCTTGCAAGTACGACAAAGAGTTGGCCAAATCCTGTGGGATTTCTAAAGTCCTTTCTGGGCCTGACGTTCTCGGATTTTCTCTACGCTTATAAAGGACACCAGTCCCTCACTATGCAACTGCTTTGATAATGTCTGTTTTGGCAGAAAATAGCCCTTACCACAAACACAAAATGAGAAAAATTGCATTTTAAGAAGAAGAAGAGAATCAACATGATCCGGAAAACACACAGACTGAAACCTTAGCTGGACCCAGGATAACTGACATCACTGTCACCGCCAGCAGAGAGGTGGAAGTAATTTAGGTATGACAAACCATAGTGTTTCTTAAAACTGGGGAAGCAGCATGGACTGGCAGCTCTCCCAGGCACAAATGTCACCAGGCTGGTGTCATCTTCCTTCTGTGACACTAAGCCATGGGAGAAAAAGCACCTGTCTCTGAAAACAATTTCCACTCACTCTAAGTGTGGGGTGTAGGAGATCTTGGTCCAAAACAATAATAAAGACATAAAAACAAGTGCCTTCCTTGTGTCATTTTTGTCCCAGTGACCCTGAGTACAGGAGAGAGTGAAGTGTACATAGAATTAGGAAATAGGGGCCTATAAGTAATCTATGGAGGAAACTGTTTTCCAAAGTGAAAAACCAAATCCAACTTCAAGAGTGCAAGAAAATATTTTGATAAGAACCTAATGATCAGTTCTAGCTTTAAAGTATTCTACATTTCTGTCTAGGATGATCTAACTTGAGTACTTCTTTTGGAAAAGTCTTATTGGTGGGCAAAGAAGGGTACAGTGATTTGGGGCTGGGTAATAAGAGCTTAAGGATATGTATCCTGCATTGCAGCTTACAAAGCATACATCTCTTATATTTCACAATTTGGCAGCTCTGTAGACCCTAGTTCCTCTGTTATCTCCAACAGGCAAACTCAAACACATTCTTTAACACCCACATAACTGCTACTTCCATTTTACTCCACACTGGTTGAGTGTCTTCTATGTACTTAGCTTGTGCTTGCTAGGATCTGTCTTCTTGCTTTTTTTTGTAATTTCTTGTCTTTTCTAGGCAGTCAGTTGCTCTCTCCGTTAACATTTTACTCAATTCTTGGGATACCTATATTACTGTTGATCTGATCTTATTGCCTTTTAGTTATGTTTTCATGAATCCCACACTGAAATAGAAGCTTGAGAGCAAGGGCGATGCCCAATTTAGTTCTATATTTCCTGCAGCTTGGAAAGTATGCAGAGTAAGCATTCACATTCTGCTTGGGAGATGTCTGTTCTGGTTTGATCCATATAATAAGTCTGTGAAGTTGGCAGCGTCTTATTGTCCTTGATTCTCAGATAAGGAAATGAGGCTCTAGAGGGGTTAAACGTCATACTCAAGTTCATACAATAAACTATACTTAAGGCTGGAGCTTGGAACTCAGGTTTGCTGGCTCCAAACTTCATGCTCCCCTGTGCTACACAGGTTACTCTGTCACAGAAGAGATTACTGTCTTGCACGCATGCCTGAACATTGTGCAGGAATTCCATATCAGAGCAAATCACCTTTTTTATTTGCATGCTCTGCAAGGGAAATTGAGAGGTCCTGTGGACACAAATGGCTCCCATGGATTTTCTTTGCAGCTTTTTTCCCTACATGTTGGTCTTCTGAGCTTCCTACTGTTACAGACACAATGAACTAACTTAACTCCACCTTCCCAAGCCTGATTCACAAGTTGATTAAAAAGTGGTGCAACCAAGTAGGTGTGCCTCTGTGACCCGGGTGGTTAAGCCAGATCTTCTGGCCTATGGAGGCTGCTGGTTTGATTTTGTAAGAAAACATTATCTGCATTGATCATGAACTAGACGATTTTGTAATAATGTCACAAAGGGATTAAAAAATACTCGAGGAGTGATGCATTTTAAAAATATAGGTAATTTCCAGCAAAGATTGAAAGCTACTTTAGTGTTAATATATATGTTGCTTAAAAGTAAAGGGAAACTATAGACTGTAGCCTCCTGATAATGATGAAATCATTTCTTCAAACGGATTCAGTATGAGTGTTGTATTTAAATCACAAAAAGAAATGCATAGCAAAGTCAGGCTTCATTATAAGTCATATAAAGACACACACACACACGAGCTATGGGAAAGCTGGCTTCAGCAAAATAAAAAATAAAGCTAAGGAATTATTTGTAACTTGGTTGCTAAGTGAATGAAATGGTAATATTATACCGATCTTAATCATTTACTTACATTCTCTTCTTTAAGTATTTCTTTGATTCACGAGGTTTTGTGATAGTTTCTCTATGGGGTAAGGGATTTAAGCTACAAAGTTAAAGGGCCGAGTTGATAACAACGTAAGTGGTGTGACCAGATCTATAAGATTGTGGACAAAAAAGGGAACTGATACTTCAGTCTAAGCATCTCTTTAAAAGATATATTCAGCTTCTTTTCTCCTAACTCATTCCTCAAAATATCCACATTCTTACAATTCCTATTTAGCAACAATAATAAGTTCTTGGTCATGATCAATAGCTAGAAGACTACTTAAGCAAATTAAAACTCATGCACAATCCTCACCCATCAGACAAGTTCTACTTTCGATTCCATTATGACTCTAGAATGGAAAAGGTCAAAAATGTTTACTGGTTCACATAATAGGAAAGATTGTCACATTTGAGTTTTTCATCCTCTTACAGGGAATCAAGACAATAAAAAATGAAGGCTAAAGTAAATAATAGCTGATTAAAAATTAGTTGATTTGATTTTATTGATACATCAAACTATAGACCCATTCAGTGTATGTTAATACTAGAAGTGTGTTAGAGGCCATCAGTTAGAGGCCATTTTATTTCTCCCACATACACCTGTAGACAAACACATTTCCTTTCAAACACTAACTGAATGCTTTATTGTACATTATCCTGCAATAAGACCTAAAGAAGAATAAGACTCGGCCAGGCGCAGTGGCTCATGCCTGTAATCCCAGCACTTTGGGAGGCCAAGGCAGGCAGATCACTTGAGGCCAGGAGTTCGAGACCAGCCATGGCTGGAGTTCACCAGCATGGTGAAACCCTGCCTCTACTGGAAATACAGAAATTAGCCAGATGTGATGGCGCATGCCTGTAATCCCAGCGACTCAGGAGGCTGACGCACCAGAATCACTTGAACCCGGAAGACGGAAGTTGCAGTGAGCTGAGATCCAGCCACTGTACTCCAGCCTGGGTGACAGAGTAAGACTCTGACTCAAAAAAAAAAAAAAAAAAAAAAAAAAAAGAAGAAGAAGAAGAAGAAGAAGACTCAGCATCTGTCCAAAGACTTCCTCATCTAGTATAGGAGACATACACTTAAAAGAAAAAAAAAAAATATGTTTACAAAGTCGGGTGAAATACATGTGAAATAGTAACTAAAGTGAAGACTAAGTAAGTGTAAAGTTACAGACATAGTTCTATGGGAACAGAGAGAAAGGAGTGATTAATTCTTCATGAAGAGATAAGGAGTTGAATCCTTAAGGTAAAAAGGAAATAGAAGAGGAAGAGGAAATCGACATTTAGGAATCTAATTAAGAAACAGCATAGGACAAAAGACAGAGACATGAAATTATGCATTCAGAATAACAGGGTGAGGCCAGGCATGGTGGCTCACACCTGTAATCCCAGCATTTTGGGAGACGGAGGCGGGTGGATCACCTGAGGTCAGGAGTTTGAGACCAGCCTGACCAACATGGTGAAATCCCATCTCTACTAAAAATACAAAAATTAGCTGAGCATGGTGGCGGGTGCCTGTAATCCCAGCTACTCAGGAGGCTGAGGCAGGAAAATTGCTTGAACCTGGGAGGCGGAGATTGGAGTGAGCCGAGATCGTGCCATTGCTCTCCAGTCTAGATGACAGAGCAAGACTCTGTCTCAAAATAAAATAAAAATAAACATAAAAAAATAACAGGGTGAGTTAGGTGAGCCTGGAATGACATGAGATGGAAGATAGAGTAGGAAAGACATGTTGGAATAAGACTGTGGTGGACTTGAATTATCTGTATCTTTCTCATACTTGAAGTAAATATGAGAAATATACTTCAGCTTTAAGCTTCCAGAAAGGTTTATGATTTAACTTCCCTGAAGAAAAGGTATAGGCCTCTTATTTCCTATGACTTGATATTTCAATTCCTTGGATTGCAAACGGAAGCCTTTCATGTGAATTGAAAGGACATTTAAAAGACCCTAGAATTTTGGGAACTGTCTTCTGCTATTGCTATCACCAAAGATCAACATCAACCTCTCTTCTCTCTCTTATCCTGCGTAGAGAAGTGTGCCAAGTCCACCCAACTGTCACAACAGCATTTACCCTCTGACCCTCAGCAAACAATTGCACAGGATGCCTTTTTAAATTGCTGGATGCTACACTCTTGTTTCTTTCAAGACTGACCTGCAGGGCTAATTAGAGAGTTCAACTCTCTGCCCATCTGAGACTAACATTTACATTTAGGTCTGTAAGGCAAAACCAGTGCTCCTAACAGATCCCTAGCTTTGGAGGACTCTAACCCAGCAGGGGCTGGCTTTTGTTTTCAGGATAAATTTAGGAATTCAAACATAAAGATCCATTTCTTCATTGCTACTCTTCTGTAGGATTGTGAGCCTTTAATAGAAAGCAATCAGTTAAGCATCCACTCCTAAATCCTTTTTTCATTATTTCCTAGGGCTATACATGTATTCACCCATAAAGATAGTGCCCCTTTCTCTTCTTAGGCCCCAGCAAGACAGGAAGAGAAAGGAGGAAGCGCTCTGTCTCCGTCTCTGGAGGGAAACACGGTGTTCCAAAGATAAGGGATGAAAACGAATGTCGGGCTTATTGTAATGATAATATGAGCAGTAATTGCAAGCAATGATAAAAATAAAACTAAAGAATATTACATCAAGAGACTTTAGAAATCATATAACCACACGTTTTTATTTTAGAGAAAGACAATATGAAATCCAAAGATTGAAAATAAGTGTCCCAATGTTTTGCAACTATTTTTTATATTTTGTTAAATTACAGAGACAGGGTCTTGCTATGTTGCCTAGGCTAATCTGAACCTCCTGGGCTAAGCAGTCCTTCTGTCTCAGCCTCCCAAATTTGCAACTATTTTGTAAGTGTCAAGTGGCTCTCCTTCTCTCCTCATTCTTAGTATTGCATCCAATATTTGAAATAATTACATTACTCATTACATTTAACTATGAGAACTAAGTATATTTTTGTTTGTGGCCCAAGGCTTATATTACTAGGGTACCAAAACTTTATCTCAATCATCCCATTCAGCTGCCTCAATTTCTGCTTTAAATTCAGTTAAATGTTGGTGACTATTACAGGTTTCCAATAAACATACTAAGGTAATAGTAAAAGGTAACCTCTGTTTCTCTCTGTGAAAAGTTTTCACTTCTATGTTTGGGCCTTAAAAAAGATACTTAAAAATGTGTGAATTAAAGAGAGATAGAAGGTTAGATATCAGTAAAAAGAAATGAGGATAAGATGCTTACAACATTCAGAGAAGTATAATAGTTGCCCAAGTATATTAGAAGGTACTTTACAAAAAACTCGATCCAAAGAGCACCCGCAATCAAATAGAAAGACAAAACTAAGTGAAAACAAGGAGAGAGAAAACATGGCATATTACGATCTAGGTAGCTGTGTGGAAGGTGGTTTTCATCTTATACTGAAAGGGTAGAACCTAGAACCCAGCAAGAAGGCAGAATCCTCTAGGTTTGGGGTGAAGAAAAGAAAATAAGACTGACTTGAGGCAGAATGAGTTTGAAGATGTAAACAAGTTAACACAGTGGACTCAGTAACAGCAAATGACTTCTTTATATGTAGTTTACAAGTCAATTTTTTTCTTTCTTTCTTTCTTTTTTTTTTTTTTTTTTTTTTGAGACAGAGTTTTACTCTTGTTGCCCAGGCTGGAGTGCAGTGGCACGATCTTGGCTCACCACAACCTCCGCCTCCCAGGTTCCAGCGATTCTCCTGCCTCAGCCTCCCAAGGAGCTGGGACTATAGGTGCCTGCCATCACGCCTGGCTAATTTTTTGTATTTGTAGTAGAGACGAGGTTTCACTATGTTGGCCAGGCTGCTGGTCTCAAACTCCTGAACTCGTGATCTGCCCGCCTCTGCCTCCCAAAGTGCTGGGATTACAGGCGTGAGCCACCATGCCCGGCTGTCAATTTCCTTTCTATGGGAAAAGATTTGTACCTCAATGGCCAACCGCGTACCTAAGTCTTGAGAATATATTCAATAACAGTACTAACATTTTGTACAGTACTTCATAGTAACAGATGATTTGCTGTATCTGATGCCCTATTTGAAAGCACTTCATACTTGGCCGGGAGTCAAAAGGTCTGGGTTCTGATACTTTCTAGGTTGGTAGCAGTGGGGAAAATTGGAAACTCTATTTTTACAATTATTAAATAGGGATAACAACACCTACATCATCTCATTTACAGGTAACTGTAAGGGTTGTCAAATGAGTTGAAATGTTTATAAATTATAAAGTGGGAAAAATATGAGATTATAGTCAATACTATATTGAGATGACCAAAACAGCGATGCATATATCTTTATGTTCTACTTACTGCAAGGCCCCCTTCAAACACAGGTGCACATACAATTCCTGTCACATTTTATCTTTAATTATGTCAACCTGAGACTTCTCAGCTCACAAAAGTATTTGGTCATAAGGAAAGATGGTTGCAAAATCGCTACACATAATTCTTCCAAGTATAAAATTTGTGTTCTACAGGAAATGCAGTTCGTTGGAAGAAAGCAATTTTTTCTTTAGACAAACTATAAATATGAAGCTAAGAACTTGGTTTTTTTGTTTTTGTTTTTGTTTCATATTCAGCAATATTTTCTGATCTTCAAAAGACAGAATACGGCCGGGCGTGGTGGCTCACGCCTGTAATCCCAGCACTTTGGGAGGCCGAGGCGGGCGGATCACGAGATCAGGAGATCGAGACCATCCTGGCTAACACGGTGAAACCCCGTCTCTACTAAAAATACAAAAAATTAGCTGGGCGTGGTGGTGGATACCTGTAGTCCCAGCTACTCAGGAGGCTGAGGCAGGAGAATGGCATGAACCCAGGAGGCGGAGCTTGCAGTGAGCCAAGATCGTGCCACTGCACTCCAGCCTGGGTGACAGAGCGAGACTCCGTCTCAAAAAAAAAAAAAAAAAAAAAAAAAGGCACGAGACACAATACATGGATATGTGTTCTCTTACCTCCTAAGGGAACTATAAGCCAGTCACTTGCATATTATAATGATGGAGTGAAAGGCCAGAGACAGCATGGGTGGTTAGATCTGATGACCTTCATGATCTCAAAGTTTTCTATGATTTAACAAATACCCTCACATGACATAAACTAGAAAAAAAAAGCCATTGATGGAGAGGATGATTAAACAATATTTGTAAGGTCACTGGGTATTTATATTTGGTGATTTAATGACTAGAAAATTATTCTAGTCTATGTTAAAGAGCAAAGTTACCTAAAAAAATAATGTGGCAGCCACTATTGTTCTTTAACTCTCCTAGGAATCAGCTTCTGAATTTTGAGTCATGGTCTGCTAAAAGGAAACAATTTTGGCTTGGCAACTTACTCTCTTTGTGTGAATTAACAAGATGTGTACAAAATTAATGGAAGCATACTCAGAGAGATCTCTAACAGGGTCCATCCACCTTATTAAACACGACTTTACTTCACAATGGTTTCTTGGAGCCACAATGGCCTGAAGCTGTCTGAAAGATTTACTGTCTAAGGACTTTGACCGAAAATAAGATTTACAAGGGAAATTTTTGAGGAGTAAAATAAATGCAAGAATGAGAATTACTCAGAGGAATGAGTCTGACACAATCGGAAGGGATTAAAAATACAGTAAATGCCTTACTTGGTACAGTAGAAGTTTCTTTTTTCAGATCCAAACATTGTAGGAGAAAGTGCATACAAAACATTGCATCAAGATCAAGATAACTTTTAGAGCGATTGCTTCACATCCTGGTCACTTAGCTTCACAGAGAAAGGGCAAAAACAAATCTTTACCGCTGATCTTTCTTTGGAAACATTTTCGCTGATTTATTGATTATGGAGGAGGACCACAGAATAAAAGGAAAGACCCCGTTGTCTCCTTACACTAAGGGACCTTGATGTTTAAGTATACAGCTGCCTTCAGATGCTCAGATAAAAGACACTAAGTGCAAAGTAGTAGTATTATCTACTTATTACCCCACTTATCTGCTTATTTCTTCCTTGAAGTCTGTCTGCAATATCAATCACTTCTCTGGCAGCTTGTCTCACTACAAAGGGGGGATTTGATCCCCTGCTTAGCCCTCTAGAAGCAGCAGACTCGTGCAAGACTAATTCATTACACCACCAACGCTGTTAGACAAGATTATCAAGGGGTTGGGCTTGGCATGCTCTTACAGCACATTTCTTGAAAATGAGACAGAAATTCAATCTACTTTTCCATTAAACATGATGTAGTCTAGGCACTAAACAGCCACCAAACTCATCAGAGGAAAATCCTTGATACTTTCTCCAAGTAGATATGAGCTGCTGTTAGGCAAAATGACAGTGTGAGAGCAACTATGGAACATACTAAAAAAGTTTGCTAGTCTCAAGTTGGTATGTATTGATTGGTGAAATACAGAGCTAGTTTCAAGAGATTTTATACAGCATCTAGCTTTCTAAAGGAAGCATCATAGTATAGTGGAAACAATTAGGAGACCTGGATTCTAGACTGGCTCCATCACCAATTAGCAATGCGATCTAAGGCTTATCACTTCACTTCTAGGAGCTTCAGTGTCCTTATTGGTAAAGAGCATTAGCTAGCTAGTACGTGATCTCTAAAGCCAGTTTGAGCAGTGACATTCTAAGTGAGTGAATAGAGCATTAGGTTATGAAGAAAAACAAACTAGCTCTCCATGAAATGTAAAATAGTTGTTATGCTTGGGAAGATATACATAAAACTTTGGGAAAGGGACAAGAAGCAAATTAGCAGAATGTCTATATGAACTCCTAGATTCATCATAATGGTTTGTTTATTTAACTGTCTTCATTAGCTGCTCTTAGTACATCAAGGGAGTGTTTCCAAACCCTTACAATTAGTCATGTAAACAAAAGCACAATTTATCACTCTGCCATGCTCAACAGTTTCCGAAATGCTATCGAATCCCATTGAGAATGATATCTACACTAAAGCCATTAGATTCTCATACAAATATTAAACAGGGTCATATGCATAGGAAACTTTCAACATATTTTAAGAATAAATGAATCAATCAACAAATTTGCTGAATGTTGATGTGAACTGACCCGACATTAGCAGACACTGCTCAGACATTTACTGCTTTATCCAAATGAGAGCCAAGATCTCACTCTCAGATAACTGAGCAATCAACCAAACAAGACTATTCAATCATGAGTTGTACTTATACTGCCACGTGTGCCCAAATATTCAACTCAGGAGGGCTAAAAAAGAGTCTGTCACATTATTAACAGGAAGGCAATCATGAAAATTAAAGAAAATGAGAGTATCTTCAAGGCCAATCAGCTGATCAGTGCTTTCATCCTCCACACATAGCTATATTATATATTTAATATATTTATATATTATATAAATTAATTATATATTAAATATTATATATTTAATATAATACATTTATATTATAGATTTATATATAATTATATATTTAATATACTTATATATTTAATATATAATATAGTCTATATTGAATATATTATATATTTAATATATTATATAAATATATATTATATATAAATATATAATATATTATATATATAAATATAATATATATTTATATATATATTTGTCTTAGCTTTATCAAAAATGTCACCTGCAGGTAGAATAACATGAAACAATAATAAAGAAAACGTTATCTTTGAGAGCTCATTCAACTTGGAGCTCCTGAACAATAGCCACATTTTTACTTGTTTAATGTTAGTATAAAATATTATGGGTACCTTTTAATTAGTCATACATACTAACCTGTTCACTAATGAAGTTAAGTGGCTTTTCATAACAGTTAATTAAGCCAAAAATCCAGAGATAATGCACTTAGAATGGTAGTAGATATACATTGCCTGTTGTTGTGAGGAGCAAGGGTAATAAAAGATGTGAAATGACTTTTTAAACTGTAGAGCATTACTCAAACATAAGATATTTGTTTGTTTTTGATGGATAAGTATCATTCTTCAAATCTTTACTGCAATTAGCTTTACTTCATCCAAACAAAAACCTCTGACATATTACATGATTTATACAGTGGAAGTGACTGATACATTTCAAGAGAAAATTTGCAGTATCAAACATTTTGTCTTGCCTAACTATCTGTAGAGATGACTTGGATTAGCCTCCTCAAATTTGCATAAATTCAGAGAAAAATGTTCTTTAAAATGAAAAAGAAGGGACAGCCTTCTAGGCATAATAATATTCAATAATTCCCCAAAGGCGTAAATTGTTGCTGCTTAACTTTGCTGCAAATTTCTTAATAGATGTCAAAGTAATTTTTTTTTTTTTGAGACGGAGTCTTGCTCTGTTGGCCAGGCTGGAGTGCAGTGGAACGATCTCGGCTCACTGCAACCTCTGTCTCCCGGGCTCCAGCAATCCTCCTGCCTCAGCCCCCCGAGCAGCTGGGATTATGGGCATGTGCCACCATGCCAGGCTAATTTTTGTATTTTTAGTAGAGACGGGGTTTCACCATGTTGGCCAGGCTGATCTCAGGTAATCCACCTGCCTCGGCCTCCCAAAGTGCTGGGATTGCAGGCATGAGTCACCATACCCGGCCCAAAATAATTTTAATTTAATATTTACACATTCCAGATGAATAGAAAGCAACAGATAAAAAATTCTAACAAGGATGGTGCCCCAATGATAAGGATTGTGTCTGGTTTTCAAAACTTAGATCAAGGCAATATGCAGCATTTAGAAGATTCAGATTGTACCACTTTTCTAAAGGCACTAACAATTTAGTTCAAGAGATGAGGCTACTACCGCCTCAAACCATTCAACAAACATTTGCTAAAAATGAACAGGTGCCAGGCTTTATAATATGTTTAACACACAAAAACGTATAATTTCTGATTTCATGAAGTTGTAACCCTGGTAAACAATCTGTTGTAAGTTATGAACCAGTCTGTGACTTATTATTGGAATATAATCAATGGTAACAAATGTTCATCTTTTTAGAAAATTTATTCAGCCAAATTTAGAGTGTAACATGAGTAGTCAAATAGGATAAGATAATTTTAATTCTGAAAACAAATTAGCATTAAAATAGGGACACTTTTATGCTCTGAATAATCTTTCATTGAAGGTCAGTGACAAGGAGGAAGTCCAGCAACATAATTGCCTACAATGGCTACTTAGAAACATTTTAAAATGTCTAAATGGGCACAGTCATTTTGAAAGTTTTATTTCTTTTGATACATCCTATATGGTATATAAACCATTTATTGGCTATATTTATTATAATCATATTTGTACTCACAGACCATATTAATTTTATTAATTGGATTAATTCTAATTATTTTAAAGGAATACCAATTAAGTGGAAGAATACCAAGAAAAGATCAAACATAGTTCTTACATCCAGTGGATACACAATTTCTAATCCAAACTCATGGTAGAGCTGGCTTGTCAGACTGAAATAACCACAAATGTATACACATAAACAGGAACATCTGTAATAGTGTTTTACTGTCCAATATTCTCAAAGGAACTGACTAGAATAACATTTAATGAGATAAAATTGTGCTTTCATTTTTACCCAGAATAAACTTCTACTCTATTATTCAACTTGATCCTTACATGGAATCAAGGTATCGGAAGATGATAGAATTTATAGTGCCTTTAATGCAGTATTAAACATTGAAAAAATACATATATGCATAAACAGAGTCAGAGAATGACAACAGTGACCATTTGTTAAACACTTTTTAAGGCAAGACATGATTCTGAGCACTTTATATACATGGTTTGTTTTAATTCTCACATCAGCCTATGAGGAAGGTACTATTATAATCCACAATTTACAAATGAGGTAATGAAACAGGGAGATGAAATAACTTGGCTGATGTTACACAAATAGTTAGTTTTAGACGTGAGCTTCAAAGAGGTCTTCTGCAGCCAGATTAATTTGCTTTTGTTCTGACCCTAGATTGAATCTTCTCTGGTCATCTTCGTGAACATACCTATACTTCTTGTAAATGTCATTTACTAGGAAGTTTTAACTCTGTGCTTTTTTGCTGTTGTTCAGCTCCATGCTTTATCCGTTACATTCATTTAATCTGTACATGAAGTCTCACTATGGCACCCACCTGCCACTGTCAAATAAGTTTTCAGTACATTCTCTTATAACAACCTAATATTAAGTCAACTATAAAATGACAAGTCAATCCTCAATGTACAGCGGGAGATATTGTATCATAGGCCATTGCAGTGCATACGTTTTGGAATTTTTGGTCAAAAGTGTTTATAAGAAGGAAAAATAAGCAATTGTTTAATAATAGTGTGTTGACTTTAAAATATTTTCTTACTATTTGTCTTTCAGGATTTTAGAGCAGTTTGAGTAATGATTATCTGGAGGTGGCAAAAACAGTTTTAAAAAGTAACATGCAACTACCTACGTTTGTGATTCGAGATATTTTAAAAGAATTACATAATCATGAGAATAACATCGCTACCAAAATACAAGAGGAATTGGATGTTGATGCTGGTAAAATATTGTAACTTCTATACAAAATCACCCCTTAAATTGTGTTTATTTAAAACAGCCCCTTGTGTTCAATGACTGACCTAAAAAAGTAAATAGTAAAGAAAAGCCCACGTTTATTGAACCAATGCTATTGTGGTAAGCTCTTTATATTTACTATCTCAATTAGTTTTCACCATAGTCATATTAATCCCGTTTTGCAAAAAAACAGCAACAGCAACAGCAGCAACAAAACCCCTAAAACCTAGAGATGGTTAGTTATTCATACACGCGGGGGGTTTGAACACAGAGCCTGAAGTACCTAGTTCTTAAAATAAATCTCTAACAATAAAATGCTACTTCATTTGTTTTACGTGATGTGCTGACATATTGTATGTGATTTCACATATGTATTATTATTCTAAAATCCTGGATTAAATATCAAATATTTAGATTATTGTAAGTGACGAAACTGACACTAGAGAGGGTTAGTGACATGTGTCAGATCACATCACTAAATGGTAGAGAATTCATGACTACAATCCAGGGTCCAAAACTTCTAAGGTAGCTCTTTTGTCTCTGTACAACAGTCTGTTTATTGAGATATTTGAGTCTGAACATTCTTTTCTCCTGTAATTAAGCCATAAGATGATGACTTATTTCTATTGTCTATCAGACAATTTAGTATCCTACACTCTATATGGTAAAACTTGAGACTCACGGTTTTCCAACCATGAGCTCCTGTTTAGCTGAACTTCCTGATGAGTATGGCTGTTTCATCATATTGTTCCAGAGGAGTTAGAAATGAAAATCAAACTTCAGATTGATTCAAATTCTGGGGATATCTTCAAATACGAAACTAGCAAAGAAAATGACTATTCCATTCTTGGCCATTCAGATTTTAGCCAGAGAAAGCGAAATTGAATTTTTATAACACTATGAAAAGCATCCTGATTCCGCTGCATAAATTGAAAGATTGGTACATGTTTACTGGTTTTTCCCCTTCAATGAATTCAAACCACAAACTATCCCTATTTATTTAATAGTACCTATACACAACAACAAGAACATGTTATGTGAGTTATTACTGTTCATGTTTTTTTTTCTTTCATGTAGAACTGCTGGATGAGAAACTGGTTCAAATAAAATAAAAAAGGAAAAGAATCCACTGACATCTGTGATTGCCTAAGATGCTAATAAATAATAAAGATAAATTTTGAAGTATATACTCTACAACCATTACATTTTTCACCATAGACGAAGAACCTTTTGTTTGTATGAAAGCAAACAAACAAAAAGTTATGGGGAAAGATTTGTTATATGGCAAGATTTGTGGAAATACGTGATTTTTATACTTTGTTCCACAATTTATACCTTATTTAAAGTGCCAGCCAAGAAAATATATACTTAATATTTCCTAAAATCACTCCCAGGCTGCAGGGTGAGGGATAGGAGGTGTGCAATAAGGAGGAAAGATTTCATCCAAAGAGTTTAATCCCTGTCACTCCAAAGAACAATTGCAACCAAGAAAAGTATTTTCTTTAAAAGGAGAAAAGCAACTGTTGCCCTAATTGTTTCTGTTTTTGTTACTGTTGCTGTTTCAAAGTGGTAGGTAGGTTTGTGCATTTTTTTAAACCAGAGAAAAGATTTTATGTGCAATATTTACCACTGTATTTTTTTTAAACATGATTTATGTTTTTAGCGAGGTTAATTTTCAGAAGAAATCTCAATGAGGAGACAGTCTGGAGAAAAGACATTCCAATGAACTGGTTAGGCAAGTAGTTGTTTGGAAAGAACACTGCCTGCAGGGCTTGCGAGGAAGACAGAGGCAGCATGTTAGAGAAAGGAACAGGAGAGTAACAGAAAGAGTTAGGAACTTCTCCTTTCACCAACTCCAGACAGTATTCACATTTATGACTGGTCTTTATTAGTGTAATACCTTACCACCCACCCCACCTCCACAGAAAAAAAAAACCTGATTAGGAAGTATTTATTTTTTCAGATATGTAAATGTAGCTTTTGTGTTTGGGTTTTTGCAATGCTCACCCCCGATCCAAGGACAGAAAGAAAGAAGAGACACCATCAAACTCTTTAGATTCCACGCTACAGCTATTATTTAGAAAGAAATGTTGTTTTACACTATTTCATACAGTTTACATTTGTTTATATATGCTTTCACTAGTTATTATTTTTTTAGATGAGGTCTTGCTATGTTGGCCAGGCTAGAGGGCAGTGGCTCCATAGCACACTGCAGTCTCAAATTCCTGGGTTCAAGTGATCCTCCCCACTCAGCCTCCCAAGTAGCTGGGACTACAGGCATTCACCATTGCACCTGTGCACCAATGTTTCTTAAAAACCTATTTAGATGTGCTGGGTGCCCACCATAGCCACATGGAGACACAAGAGGAATCCTAGCAACATAGAATTCAGAAGCAAGAGCATGGAGATTTATCCATTACAGACTATAAGAACACTGAGTATTCACCTAGCCCAACTCCGTGCTTTCACCCATAAGGAAACTAAGCCCAGAGGGGGAGTTATCTGTTCATGAACAGAAAACAATTAGTGGCAGCAGCATGAAGAACAGAAGCCAAGGCTCCTGGCTCCTAGGCCAGTGCTTTTTCACCAAACTGCTGTTCCTTTAAAAATGCAGAGGACAGGCCGGGCGCGGTGGCTCACGCCTTAAATCCCAGCACTTTGGGAGGCCGAGGTGGGCGGATCATGAGGTCAGGAGATCGAGACCATCCTGGCTAAAACGGTGAAACCCTGTCTCTACTAAAAATACAAAAAATTAGCTGGGAATGTTTGGTGGGCACCTGTAGTCCCAGCTACTCGGGAGGCTGAGGCAGAATGGCGTGAACCCGGGAGGCGGAGCTTGCAGTGAGCCAAGATCCCCCCACTGCACTCTGCCTGGGCAACAGAGTGAGACTCTGTCTCAAAAAAAAAAAAAAAAAAAAAGCAGAGGACAGGATATTTACAAAGCCCCAAATTGAAAACCCCAATTTTCCTTTTTATGTCAAAGGATTTCCAAAGAACTTAATGTTACTTGATGAGATTAATTCTTGGATCTCAGGGGGGAAAAAAACAATATACGGGGATACATTTGTTTCTCATATCAATTAGTCACAAAACTGATTTTTTTTTTCTGCTCTATATTCTCCTTAGTTTTCTATCAAACCATAAAATCTCATCAAGCAGCTGAGTTGTCTCTTTTCCTAAACAGGCTTATTGCTAAAAAGTGAATAAAATATCTTGGTTAAATGGGAAACTGGCTGCATCTATTTAATTCAATAGCAAAGATGGTTTCTGCTGATTCCTTTCATCCAGGGCAGCCAACATCACTAAATCCACAACGCTCCAATAAAGCTTTGATTACAGAAAAATCATCTGATACCCCACCCAGACATCTAAAAGAGTTCTTTTTTAAAAGCCACATTTTATAAGCCATCTAGTTCTAATTTTAAGAAAAGCAGGTAGGAACATTTACTAGAACAAAGTGCGCTCCATTCCAGGACAAAGCATGGGTCTTATTTCTAGTTTATTTTCTGATTCATTACGCTGTGCCGCCGAAGTACAAAAATGAGATTTTAAAATACCTGGGCTCTTTCTACCTCTTCAAGAGTGTGTGGTGAGAAATGACTTGAATAATATCCATTAGGAGCTCCCAGCTTCTTGGGAGGATGATAAGTAAACACAATGAAGTTAGAACTATTTTTTTTAATCTACAAGTGAATTGTATGTCTTTCCTAAACACAATGGATAACTTTAGTAGACAAAAGAGACTAGAATTAAGCTTACATCACTGCAGACAATATACTCCTGATGAGCACCCCAGTCAGCCAACCTATGTCCACAAAGTAGACAGCCAAGGGAACATCTTCAAAATAGCTCCCAGTAAAAAGCTTATACTGCACACACTAAGAGTATGACCTATGTGTGTGTGCGTGGGTGTTTCAATTTTTACCTTTTACCTGATGAAGACACCTGTAATCCTCCCAGTCAGAAATAAGCCATCCAGCTATTGGTTTTATCAGCTCTGTTTGTATTCTGGCATTTTATCAACATGGTTCTTGTTTCCTAGGTAGTGGGATATGCACCTGTATTCCTCGTTAGACTGAAAACTAAAGAGACTCTCATTTTCCTCTATTCTTACTCCAAGAAATAGCATGTAGTCTATTCTGAATGGATATTGGGACAGAAAAAGTAGACAATTCATAGGGCCTTATCTGCAAAGAACAGTGTGCCAGAGGGACTTAATCATAATCCCAAGACACCCACCTCTTTTGACAATGAGCATACAAGGGTGCAGAGTTTGAGGTCATATGCATGCACAGGGACCTGCACATCCCCAGCCACCCATCCTCTAATTACCACAGTCAGCTCAGCAAGAGCACCAGGTTATAGAGTATTCCTATTTTTCTTTAATTGACCCTCAGCTGTTTGTTTATTCCCATATAATTTATCTTGCTGTAGGGTTCACATCAAACCAAGCTGACTCTCCTCCCATTGCACATTCTGTCAAAGTCATGTTTACACTTAAGTAAGGGTTGTCACACTGATGGCCATATATATGTTCTGCACGTCTAGTACACTTTTAAAAATTAATTTAAATACTTCCGATGAGTCAAGTATTTTTTAGCTCTAAGCATCACCATTTCATGTCAGACTGAGTGTTTCACACATTTAAGCTGGCAGCCTATTTCCTAACTACCTTAAACACAGTTCGTCTTCCTAGTATAACCTCTCCCCACCTCTTTCAAGTGACCAGGCTATTTCCTGAGCTTTCAAATACAAATGGTGATCAGAATTTCTGCTCTTTACAGCTTTACTTTCCTCTGGCACTTAGCAATCTCTACCTTGACATGAGTTGCTTGTATTGTCTCCTGTCCATAACAAACTAAGAAATCCTTAGGGGCAGAATTTGCTTTTTGTTTATTAATTCATTCTCCACATTGCCTCCAGTTTAGCAAGCATCAAACGTAACTGAATGTAGGACCACTGAGCTGCGTGATGAAAAATATATCATGCTCTACATTATTCAGATAGAGTTTGGTATAAAATACTGTCTCTAAAGTAATATAGCCCAGCAGTACCCTCCTTTTTTATTATTATTTTTTAGAGACAGGGCCTTGCTCTGTCTGTCATGCTAGAGTGCAGTGGCACAGTCACGGATCACTGCAGCCTTGACCTCCCAGGCTCAAGCAACACTCCCATCTCAGCCTCCTTAGTAGTTGGGAATACAGGCATGCACCACCATGCCCAGATAATTTTTAAATTTTGTTTATAGAGACAGGGGTCTCACTAGGTTACCCTGGCTGATCTTGAACTCCCAAGCTCAAGCTATCCTCCTGCCTCGGCCTCCCAAAGTGCTGGGATTATGGGAATGAGCCACCACACCTGGCAAGCAGTCCTTGTTAATAACAGAACTCTGGTCTGTTGTTCAATGATGGATGCCCATTTATTGTCTTTTCTATCGATCCCTCAATATTTCAGCAGCAAATATTTTCCCAGGTACAATAATTTAGATCATTAATAATCTAGTTTATTGACTTCATATCTGTCTCCTCACCCACTCTAAGTTGTAGGCAGTGATAGACTCAGCTCTTTTAAACACTGCACTCCTAGCAGAGTGTGTTGAACTTAGCAGATACTCAGTAAGTGCTTCTTGAACTAATAAGTACACAAGCTTGACATTTTAGTTCTTTTGCCAAGGAAGAGATTTTCATGAGAATGCATTTAACATCTTACTTATAAAGATACATGTAGCCAACCACTGAATAATCATATTTAATTACTATTTTAAAGTATTACATTTTACCTTTTAACTTTTTAAATGATAAAACCCAGCAGACCCTTCCACATGTTTTAAAATGAGTCACAGTCAGAAATAATTATCTTAGAGATGGGTCTAGAAATTTCTTCTCTGTCATTATAGCTGTATACCTTTGGGCCTGAGGACTAAACTCTGACCTTTTTTCTCTCTTGCCCCAAAAGCTATCTAAGGGACCTGAGGAGTCATGCCCTACAAACCATAAAATCCCATCACAGGGGTTTCCCTGAACCTTAAACACCACGACTCTGACATACCAAATAACAGATAAAGAAGCCAACAAAATATTTTATACCAAAATATGTTTCTTTGCCATATTTTGAAGTGGCCCTAACAGGCAGCCTTTGTGGGGGGAAATTTGCATCTGTAAAGAATCTCTATTAACATTAACTAGATCTTTCCTCTTCCAGGTCCTCCCAATCCTGAAGAAATTAACTGAAAGTCTAGTATATTTTAAAGTTCTGAATAGGAAACATTTGCCATCTGCTATGGTTTGGCTCTGTGTTCTCACCCAGATCTCATCTTGTAGCTTTCCTATTCCCACCTGTTGTGGGAGACACCCTGTGGAAGGTAATTAAATCATGGGAGCAGGTCTTTCCCATGCTGTTCTCGTGATAGTGAATGAGTCTCAGGAGATCTGATGGTTTTAAAAACGGGGGTTTCTCTGCACAAGCTCTCTCTGCCTGCTGCCATCCACATAAGATGTGACTTGCTCCTCCTTGCCTTCAGCCATGATTGTGAGGCCTCCCCAGCCATGTGGAACTGTAAGTCCAATAAACCTCTTTCTTTTTTAAATTGCCCAGTCTCGGATATGTCTATATCAGTAGTGTAAAATGGACTAATACAGTAAATTAGTACCAGAAGTGTGGTGTTGCTGAAAAGATACCCAAAAACGTGGAAGCAACTTTGGAACTGGGTAACGGGCAGAGGTTGAACAGTTTGGAGGGCTCAGAAGACAAGATAATGCAGGGAAGTTTGGAACTTCCTAGAGACTTGTTGAATGGCTTTGACAAAAATGCTGATAGTGATATGAACAATAAGGTCCAGGCTGAGGTGGTCACAGGTGGAGATGAGGAACTTGTTGGGAATTGGAGCAAAGATGACTCTTGTTATGATTTAGCAAAGTTACTGGTGGCATTTTGCCCCTGCCCTACAGATTTGCACAACTTTGAACTTGAGTGAGATAATTTAGGGTATCTGGTGGAAGAAATTTCTAATCAGTAAAGCATTTAAGAAGTGACTTGGGTGCTATTAAATGCATTCAGTTTCAAAAGGGAAACAGCACAAAAGTTTGGAAAATTTGCAGCCTGACAATGCAACAGAAAACAAAATCCAATTTTCTGAGGAGAAATTTAAGTTGGCTGCAGCAATTTGCATAAGTAACAAGCAGCCTAATGTTAATCACCAAGACAATGGGGAAAATGTTTCCAGGGAATGTCAGAGACCTATGTGGCAACCTCTCCCATCACAGGCCTGGAGGTTTAGGAGGAAAAAGTGCTTTCATAGGCAAGCCCAGGGTATCTGTGCTGTGTGCAGCCTAGGGACTTGGTGCCCTGCATCCCAGCCATTCTACCTGTGGCTGAGAGGGGCAATGTAGAGCTTGTACCATGGCCTCAGAGGGTGCAAGCCTCAAGCTTTGGCAGCTTCTACATGGTGTTGAGCCTGTGTGTGCACAGAAGTCAAGAACTGAGGTTTGAGAACCTCCACCTAGATTTCAGAACATGTATGGAAATGCCTGGATGCCTGGGAAGAAGTTTACTGTCAAGGCAGGGTCCTCATGGAGAACCTCTATTAGGGCAGGGCAGAAGGGATATATGGAGTGGGAGCCCCCACACAGAGTCCCTACTGGGGCACTGCCTAGTGGAGTTGTAAGAAGAGGGCCAGTGTTCTCCAGACCCCAGAGTGGTAGATCCACTGACTGCTTGCACTGTGTGCCTG
This sequence comes from Homo sapiens, assembly GCF_000001405.40. Taxonomy (NCBI): domain Eukaryota; kingdom Metazoa; phylum Chordata; class Mammalia; order Primates; family Hominidae; genus Homo; species Homo sapiens. Next base: position 189,760,623 of record NC_000003.12, on the reverse strand, counting down.
GAAAAACCACACTCAACACCAGCCCATGAAGGCAGCCAGGAGGGAAGCTATACCCTGCAAAACCACAGAGGCAGAGCTGCCCAAGGCCATGTGAACCCACTTTTTGCATCAGCGTGATCTGGATGTGAGAGATGCAGTCAAAGGAGACCATTTTGGAGCTTGAAGATTTGACTGCCCCACTGGATTTTGGACTTACATGGGGCCAGTAGCCCCTTTGTTTTGGCCAATTTCTCCCATTTGGAATGGCCACATTTACCCAATACCTATACCCCCATTGTATCTAGGAAGGAACTAACTTGCTTTTGATTTTACAGGCTCATAGGCAGAAGGGACTTGCCTTGTCTCAGAAGAAACTTTAGACTGGGGACTTCTGAGTTAATGCAGAAAGGAGTTGAGACTTTGGGGGACTGTTGGGAAGGCATGATTGGTTTTGAAATGTGAAGATATGAGATTTGAGAGGGGCCAGGGGTGGAATGAAATGGTTTGGTTCTGCATCCCCACCCAAATCTCATTTTGTAGCTCCCATAATTCCCTTGTGTTTTGGGAGGGACCCAGTGGTAGAGGATTGAATCATAGGGGCGGGTCTTTCCAGTGCTGTTTTTGTGATAGTGAATGGGTCTCATAAGATCTGATGGTTTTAAAAACAGGAGTTTCTCCACACAAGCTCTCTCTTTGCCTGCTGCCATCCACATAAGATGTGACTTGCTCCTCCTTGCCTTCCACCATGATCGTGAGGCCTCTCAGGCCATGTGGAACTGTAAGTCCAATAAACCTCTTTCTTTTGTAAATTGCCCAGTCTTGGGTATGTCTTTATCAGCAGCATGAAAATGGAGTAATACAACAGCTACTCTCTCTGAGGGTGGTCACCTATGAGACTTCATCTACATAATAAGAACTGTGGCCTCCACAACTCCTTATCTCAACGCAGACACTCCTTTCTATTGATTCCATGTTTTAAAATAAACAGTTGCCAATTAGAAAATCTTTGAGTCCACCTATGACCCGTGAGCCCTTAGCTTCAATTTGTCCCATTTTTCCAGATCATACTAATGTATACCTCATATGTATTGACTGATATCTTACATCTCCCTAAAATGTATAAAATCAAGCTGAAAACCAACAACCTTGGGCACATGTTCTCAAAACCTCTTGAAATTTGAGGGCCATGGTCACTCATATTTGGCTCACAATAAACCTCTTCAAATATTTTACAGAGTTTTCCTCTTCCTTGACAGGTTAGTCACTTCCCAAAGCCCGAGTTCTGTCCCCTCCCATAAAAATATATACTAAATCACTTGATTGTACCACTGGTTCTCAAACATCTGAATCACCTGGAGGGCTTATAGAAAGATCACCACTCTCACTTTCCCTCCAGTTTCTGATTCAGTAGATCTGGAGTGATATCCAATAATTTGCATTTCTTAACAAGTTCTTAGATGATGCTGATGCTGCTGGCCCTGAGAACACACGGTGAGAACCACGGAATTAAACTATATAGGAGTTCATTCAGCTCTGACTTCATTATCATGCTAAGATTTAAACTCAAGTATATTGGTGTGCTCAACTGCAAAGCCCACGCTCTTAATCATTAGACTGGCAAAGGGAATATTTCATTATGTTATCATTACTGAATGACACCCAAATAAACAAAATTAGCAAGTAAAATAAAGTTTTCTTGTGAGTTCTCTGAAACCTGAACAGACAAAAGAGTGTTGGCTTTCATAAGAAGTCTGTCTGGTTCAAAATCCTGATCTTAGTTTGAAGAAAACTCAACCTTGTCTAGTTTCAAATGGGAAATGATGGTCAAGTCATATTTCACAGCCTGCCAGTGTCAGCAGTGGAACATATCCAAGGCATGCAGCACCAAAGTATGTTAGTGGCAACCAAACTGTATGGGTCTGCAGAGACCTCAACTCTTGCCTCCGCAGAATAAAGAATGCAACTGAGGGGCATAAGGCAGAGGGAGAGACCAAGACAAGTTCTAGAGCAGGAGTGAAAGTTTATTAAAAAGCTTTAGAGCAAGAATGAAAGGAAGTAAAGTACACTTGGAAGAAGCCAAGCAGGTGACTTGAAAGATCAAGTGCCTGGTTTGACCTTTGACTTAGGGTTTTATATGTTGGTGTACTTCTGGAGTCTTGCATCCCTTCTCCCCTGATTATTCCTTGGGGTGGGCTGTCGACATGTGCACTAAGGAGGGGCTGCATGTGCAATGTGTTTACTCGAGTTGTATGCATGCTCACTTGAGACCAGGGGCCCCCGGCCCCATTCCATGGACTGGTACCAATATGTGACCTGTTAGGAACTGGACCACACAGCAGGAGGTGAGAGGTAGGCAGGCCAGTGAGCATTACCACTGGAACCCCACCTCCTGTCAGATCAGCGGGGGCATTAGATCCTCATAGGAGCACGAACCCTGTTGTGAACTGCTCACGTGAGGGATCTAAGTTGTGTGCTCCTTATGAGAATCTAACTAATACCTGATGATCTGAGGTAGAACAGTTTCATTCCCAAACCATACCTCCACCCACTCTCTGTGAAAAATTGTCTTCTACAAAACTGGTTCCTGGTGCCAAAAAGATTGAGGACCCCTGCTTGAGGTGTTCTCACTTTACTAGTCTGAATGTTCCTAGAAGGTCATATACTAGTTAAACTCTGCCATTTTGCCCCTTAGTACACATGCTTGAGCCCATTCACCCAACTCCTGAGGTCTTTTTGGGAAGCTGCTGATCACTAGTTTAAGGTTTTTTTTCTATCTATCGGGAGACTGCCTTTCCCTGGTGCTGGCTGCAACCACGAACAATTATTAATATTATTTGAGTGAAATAGTGTAACAACTGCCTGACCATCACCTTATGGTCATCTGAGATTGCTGGTGAGGGTTGGGGGTAGGGGGTGGAGCCCTCTCCTGTCCTGCTCATGTCTGACTAGCTACCTACAATAACACTAGTGTATCTTCAAATAATATCATATTTTTTGGAAAAACAAAAATACAAATCTGTGTAGATTTTTTTCTTGTCCTGCATCAGTAATTGCTCTATTTAGGATTAATAATTCACTGTTTCCAAATTTAACACAGTCTAAAGACTAACAGCAACAACCATTTCCACTGAGGACTGGCCACAGGCAGTGTGTTATGCTAACATGCCTTATCTCAGTTATCAGAACAGCTCTCCTATAGGATGTCACCAATATCAATCCTGATCCTTGTTTTGCAGATGAGAAAACTGAGGCTTAGAAACATTCTGTAATTCACCCAAGGTCACCCAAATACTGAATAACTGAGCTAGATTCAAACACAGGCAGCCATCTATCTCTGGAGCCTGACCTCTTCACACCACCTCTGATAATAGCTGGAAAAATGGGTCCAGAAATCCAGAAAGTTGGGTGTAGCCCTGGTTTTCTTAAAAATGCTTATCAGAAATGTTGGAGAAGTCACCACTGATGAACTTGGATCTTAATAGTTTTCTCATCTACTAAAGGTTGGACTAGAATTAGCAGGTCTAAAGTTCCTAAATATAACATTGTAGAATTTTTCACGTTTTACAGATTGAAACTATATATATATGTATGTATGCATATTTTGCCAAAGGAAAGGACAGATGACTAATAGCATGAGTATTACTTCAAACAAATCAGATTCTTTTTAGCCAGCATGATAGGATTTCCACCTGATCAGTTTTTAAGAGGATGCAAGGTCAGAATCAGCTCCTGTGTTTCTGCTGAAATCCCTTTCTGTTTATCTGCCCTCTTCAACTTTGTCATTCCTAATGCATACAGTCTGAGCACAGTGTCTTAAGTAACATTGCTGAGGTTACACCAAAGACAGGTGTTAAGGGAACTATTTCCCTGGGGCTATCATTTCCAACTCTCCCTCCTTAAAAAGAGAGGGAGGAGACAGAAGGAAAAGGGTTTCTTTTCAGATTAAACACAGCAACTGCAAACACCTTCCCCTAGGCAATAAATTCTCTGCCAGTGCATACTGCAGTTTACCCAAACACCAAAGCAAAAGGCAAACAGCCCCTTTTGTAAGGGAAGAACTGTCACCTGTCAAGTGATATTTGTGAATTTCTAGAGAATAGAAGAAAGAAAACTCTTTCCCTTATTTTATTAAGAAGGCTGTTTGTTCAGGGTTTGAAATGCATACTTGTGTTTAAGGTAAAGTCCCCGACTTGGCACTCTTTAACAAAGTGCTGCCTTCCCATTGGCTATACTGTACAAAGAACAGAACAGAGAAACAGTCTGCTCTTATGGGGACACCGGAATTCAGTCTAAACGGAGTGAATATTGAGCTACCCTATAAGCCACATAGGTAGCTACAAATCCACTTTCCAAAAATTAGAGGATTTTTGCTATGTGAAATATATTTTCTTACTTGTTTAATTAATATTTACAGAACTCATACCCAAAGCCTATTTGACACAAATTATGTTTAAATGATTATTTTAATAGTAGAAGCCAAAGGGATAAAAGCATTTGGGATACTAAAAGCAAGGGTTAAGAAGGAAAAGGGGAAAATATTATGTCCATTCCCATGTTCAAGATTAACCTTAGGTGAAAGTCTCGAAATAGACTTTGTCTAGCCCTCTTTTACCACCTCTTCACTCATATTATTTCCATCCCAGCTAGGTCTGCTCACCCCACTCCTGGATACTCCATTCTTCAAGATGTCTTACTCACCTCCAGCCAAAACTACTATCCCTTCCATAGACCACAATCAAAGGTATATCGAGAGACACTATTGCAATTTGGTGGCAGACATCTAGACAGGCCTTCAGTCACCTAAAAGTACTTGCATGTTTCAAAGAGGAGACTGTATCATCCAATTGATTTCAAGTCTATAATCAAATTGATTTCAGGCCACACTTTTGCACAGTTGGTGGGAATGTAAACTGATAACAAACATTAAAAAAACAAGATTCATGAAAAGAAGTTTGGTTAGACTCATGTTTATACAATTTTACCCAATAATTACACTTCTAAGCATATAGCACAAGAAAATATTTAAATATTTTTTTCTTAAAAACATGTGAGTAGACTAGCTAAATAAACCATGGTATATGTACACAATAAAATATAATACATAATGAGGAAATTTAAGTTTTGAAGATTAGTAAATAAAATGTTTGCTATAGAATGAAAGAAGTATATTATAACATTTAGTATGACATGATCACAAATGTTTTATTAAATCTTTTCTAGAAAAAAATTTAAAACCCCAAAAATGTTCATAGTTATTATCACTGGTTTGGGATTTATGTCTTTTTGATACTTCTAAAGTTATGTTGGTTGTATTGCTTTCATAATGTGAGAAATGTATAAATTGATATTTTATTATAAAAATAAATACATATTTACCTTCCTCACAGAGCTTTGAGGAAAAATGGTACAGAGAGACAACCAGCAAGAATGACAATTTATATTCGGCTGTATATTTATGCACCAGTAACTCTGAATGAAACTCACCAATAAAGGTATCACCACAATTCTCTGAGATCAATGAGAAACACTGTTTATCTATACAAATGAGGAAGAAGCAGCTCATAAAGATTGTAAAGGTCGCACCTAAATTAGTGCAGACAGAATTTCAACTCTAGTGTGTCTGAGTACAAATCCCATGTTACAATTCTAAAGTAAATCATACATCATAAAGCCCTAAAAAAAAGCAGCAGCCTTTAATCAAATCTGCCTACACTGAATTTTAGCGGTTTTCTGGGTAACCAAAAAAGTGGATACTCAACATGGGGGAAAAGTAGGGAACTTGAAAAGGAAAAAGAGAATGTATAGGAAGAACAAAAGGAGGATGATAATGGCAGTGTGAGAGTGGCTCTAGGAGCCTGATAGAGACCAACGTAGGAAGAGAAGAGAAGGAAAATAGAGATGCTTTCTTTGTAGTGAGCTTGATATTGGTGTCAGACTTAAAGTTAAGTGACATTGTGAATCCTAGAAGTCTAGGAGACCAAGACACATAGAAAATGATTGCTGTTTCTATGACATATCAGAAATCAGATCCTTTCAACCTTCTTGATCCAGGAAAAGGCACACGGCAAGGAGGATTTAGAGTGTTTAAGTGACTCACCTAGTAATATTGTTAACCAGCTCCTTGCAGCCTGACTGGAGTTGGGTCAATGTATTTTTCAGTAGGCCACTGATATGTTCATACAATACGTGTTTAATATCTATTTAAAGATCAAAATTTATCAAATGAAGATTTAAAATAATTGGCATATCAGAAAGTTTTATAATCCAATTCTATATAGAAAATATAATTTGTTCAAATTGAGTTATATGTGGGTGATTGTGTACGTGTACATGCACATGCATGCAGATGCAAGGATGGAGGAAAGAAGGAAGAGAGGTATTAAGGAAATATTTATAAAACTTTGATCAATTCAAAATTTAGCAAACTAGAGCTTTGACCTGGTTTATGGTCCCAGTTAGAAAAAACTCATCTGATAAAAAAAAGAGGTGCATGCAGTTCTCTATTCTTCTTGCTGATGTCCAGGCAAAATGGTAGCTTTGGCATAAAGAGCAACAGCAATAATAAATATTATAGTCAATAAAATAGGCTATTTTTCTCTTGAGTTCTTTACTCTGACAAAAGTAAAAATTATAAGCATCTGATGAAGTTTTCAATGTACAGAAATATATATGAGTATCACATAAAGGTGTGAGGGTTATAAAGCCAATATTATGGTAATGTTTCTACCTTCCATTTGAATTTGTAAAATAGTGATTCTCAGCAGACTATGAAATAATGAATTTCTATGAGATTTATAGAGCCATCACTAAAAATATGAGTGATATAGCCAAAACTAAAATAGATAAATTAAAATTGAATACTAAAAATAGGTTAAATAATTTTAAAAGAAGTCAGTATAAAAAGAAAGGGAGGAGCACAGGAGGGAACCAATAGAAAACTAATAAATGGTAGTCCTAAAAGTACCATATTGATAATTACATTATATGTAAATGATGTAAATACACCAATTAAAAGACAGGAGCTATCATAATGCATAAGAATGAGCCAACTCTGTATTGTCTAGAAGAAACTCATTTCAAATGTAATGATAAAAGTAGGTTAAAAATGATAAAAGTAGGTTAAAAGTAAAAGGAGAAAAAATTTGCCTTGCAAACATAAATCAAAAGAAAGCTAGATTTGCTGTATTAATATTAATACAGACTAAAGTAGACTTCGGAAAAAAGCAATTATCAGATATCAGAAATAAAGAAATATTATATATTAATAGAAGAGTCAATTTATCAACATCTTAACAATCTTAAATATGACATACCCAACAAGGGAGCTTTAGTATACATGTAGTAAAACCTGACATATTTGATAGGAGAGAAAGACACATTCATAATGACAGTTGAAGAATTCAACCCTCTTTTCTCAGCAATTAATAGAACTAGTAGACAGAAAATCAGAATGGATATAAAAGAACTGCACAATACCACAAATCAACTATATCTAATTGACATTTATAGAACATTCCACCCAACAGAAGCTCATTAAACAGTCTTTTCAAGTGCCATAAAACAGTCATCAAGATAAACAATATCATGACTCTAGAAACAAACCTTAATAAATTAAAAAATTTTGAAATCATACAAAGTATATTTTCTGACCATAATGAAATTAAGCTAAGTTAGTATAGAAAGGTAACAGAAAATGTCCAACTTAGCAATTAAACAAAATGCTTTGAAATACTTATGGGTCAAAGAGGAAGTCTCAAGAAAAACTAGACAATATTTTGAACTGAACAAAATAAAAAATAAATATATCAAAACGTATTGTATGCAGCTAAAGCAGTGTCTAATAGAAAACTTATAGCAATGAATGGTAACATTAGAAAAGATATCTCAACTCAATAATATAAACTTCTAATTTAAAAAACTCGAAAAAGAAGAAAAAACATAAACCCAAAGAAAAAGAAAGCAAATAAGGCCGGAAATAATCAAGTTGAAAATGGAAAGAGAGAAAAACAGGGAAACCGATAAGCTGACCAAGTTCTTTGAATGATAAATAAAATTGATAAACCTCTGGTAAGACTGAGAGAAAAGAGAGGAAACACAAGTTAACAATATGATAAATGAAAGTGGAAGATATCATTACAGATTCCACTTACATTAAAAAGGATAATAGCCAGCACAGTGGCTCACAATTGTAATCTTAGAAATTTGGGAGGCTGAGGTGGGAGGATTGCTTGAGCCCAGAAGTTCGAGACCAGTCTGAACAGTGAACACGGTGAAACCCCATCTCTACAAAAAAACTACAAAAAGTTAGCCGGGTATGGTGGCACATGCCTGTAATCCCAGCTACTTGCGAGGCTGAGATGGGAGGATCAGGTGAGCCTAGGAGGTTGAGGCCGCAGTGAGCCAAGATCATGCCACTGCACTCCAGCCTGGGTGAAGAGGGACACACTGTCTCAAAAAATAAATAGATAAAATAAATAAAATAAAAAATATTCCCAATAATTTGATGTAACTCAACAATTTTGATGAAATTAACCAAATCCTCAAAAACCACAATTTACCAAACTTACCCAAGATAAAATAGATAATCTCAGGATTCCTATAACTATTAGATAATCAAATTCATAATTAGAGTGTCCCAGAAAAAAATCTTAGGCCCAAATGGTTTCATTGTTGAATTATATCAAATATACAATAAGATATATCAATTCTACACAATTTTCCCCAGAATATAAAAGGGAGGACATAGGCATGGGAAAGACTTCATGATTAAAACACCAAAAGCAATGGCAACAAAAGCCAAAATTGACAAATAGGATCTAATTAAACTAAAGAGCTTCTGCACAGCAAAAGAAACTATCATCAGAGAGAACAGGCAACCTACAGAATGGGAGAAAATTTTTGCAATCTACCCATCTGACAAAGGGCTAATATCCAAAACCCACAAAGAACTCAAACAAATTTACAAGAAAAAAACAAACAACCCCATCAAAAAGTGGGTGAAGGATATGAACAGACACTTCTCAAAAGAAGACATTTATGCAGCCAGAAGACACATGAAAAAATGCTCACCATCACTGGCCATCAGAGAAATGCAAATCAAAACCACAATGAGATACCATCTCACACCAGTCAGAATGGCGATCATTAAAAAGTCAGGAAACAACAGATGCTGGAGAGGATGTGGAGAAATAGGAATGCTATCACACTGTTGGTAGGAGTGTAAATTAGTTCAACCATTGTGGAAGACAGTGTGGCAATCCCTCAAGGATCTAGAACTGGAAATACCATTTGACCCAGCGGTCCCATTACTGGGTATATACCCAAAGGATTATAAATCATGCTACTATAAAGACACATGCACACGTATGTTTATTGCGGCACTATTCACAATAGCAAAGACTTGGAACCAACCCAAAGGTCCATCAATGATAGACTGGACTAAGAAAATGTGGCACATATACACCATGGAATACTATGCAGCCATAAAAAAGGATAAGTTCATGTCCTTTGCAGGGACATGGATGAAGCTGGAAACAATCATTCTCAGCAAACTATCACAAAGACAGAAAACCAAACACCGCATGTTCTCACTCATAGGTGGGAACTGAACAATCAGAACACTTGGACACAGGGCAGGGAACATCACACATCAGGGCCTGTCAGCAGGGTGGGGGTTTGGGGGAGGGATAGCATTAGGAGAAACACTTAATACAAATGATTAGTTGATGGGTGCAGCAAACCAACATGGCACATGTATACCTATGTAACAAACCTACACGTGGTGCACACGTACCTTAGAACTTAAAGTATAATAAAAAATAAAAATAATAAAAATAAAAGGCACTTGACACCAAACAAATACAGAAATTCCACCAAGGATCATAAACAATACGATCAAGATAAAAATGACTACACATCCTAACTACTACTATCGTCTCTCAATGGTGGGGTTAACTATTATTTGCTTTATAGTTTCCTTCCTATCAGAGTCCAACGTTTTATTACCTTTTTGGATCCTCAATATTTTTTAATTGATACATAATATTTTACATGTTCATGGGATATATGTGCTATTTTGTTACATGCATAGAATGTTCAGTGATCAAGTTAGGATGTTTGGAGTATTCGATACCTTGAGTATTTATCATTTCTATGTGTTGAGAACATTTCAAGTCCTCTCCTTTATGTACTTTGAAAATATATAATCTAATGTTGCTAATTATAGCCACCCTATTCTGCTATTCAACATTAGAACTTATACGTTTTCTATAATGTATGTTTGCACACATTGACCAACCTCTTTTCATCACCCCTTTCCAACAACACATCCTACCCAGCCTCTGGTATTTATCATTCTACTCTCTACTTCCATGAGATAAATTTTTTAAGCTCCTACATATGAGTGAGAACTTACAATATTTGTCTTTCTGTGCCTTATTTCACTTAGCATAATGACTCCCAGTTCCATCCATGTAGCTGCAAATGAAAATATTTCATTCCTTTTTTTTTTTTTTTTTTTCTGAGACAGAGTCTCACCCTGTCACCCAGGCTGTAGTGCAGTGGTGGGATCTCAGCTCACTGCAAGCTCCACCTCCCAGGCTCAAGCGATTCTCCTGCCTCAGCCTCCTGAGTAGCTGGGACTATAGGCGCCTGCCGCCATGCCTGGCTAATTTTTTTGTATTTTTAGTAGAGACGGGGTTTCACCTTGTTAGCCAGGATGGTCTGGATCTCCTGACCTCATGATCTGCCTGCCTCGGGCTCCCAAAGTGCTGGGATTACAGGTGTGAGCCACCGCACCTGGCCTTCATTCCTTTTTTATAGCTGAATAGTATTCCATTGTGTATATATACACCAAATTTTATTTCTTTATTAATTGATGGACACATAGGTGAATAATATTGCAATAAACATGCAAGTGCATGTATCCTTTTTGATATACTGATTTTTTTCCTTTGGATAAATATTTGGTAGTGGGATTTCTGGATTTTACAGTAGTTTTTAGTTTTTTGAGGAATCTCCATACTATTTTCTGTAGTGGTTGTATTAATTGACATTCCTACCAACAGTGAATACGAGTTCCTTTTTCTCTGCATCCTCAATAACATCTGTTATTTTTTGTCATTTGAAAAATAAACTAACTGGCATAAGATGATATCTCATTTTGGTTTTGATTTGCATTTACCTGATGATTAGTGATGCTGACATTTTCATATAGTTATTGGCCATTTTTACATCTTTTTTTGAAAAATGTCTTTTCATATCTTTTGATGTCAGTAATCTCATTTTTACGGGATTATTTATTTTTTTACTGTTGACTTGAGTTCCTCATATATTCTGGATATTAGTCCCATGTTGGATGAATAATTTCAAATATTTTCTTCCATTCAACAGGTGTTTCTTTGTTCTATTAATTGCTTTCTTTGCTGTGCAGAAGCTTTTTAGTTTAATAGCCCCATTTTTAGTTTAAATAGTCCCATTTGTCTATTTTTTTTTGTCTGTTCTTTTGTGGGCTTAGCCATAAAAATCTCTGCCTAGACCAATGTTCTGAAGTGTTCTATGTTTTCTTCTAGTAGTTTATAGTTTTAAGGCCTTACATTTAAGTATTTTATCTGTGTTGATTTTTGTATGTGATGAGAGTTGGGGATCTAGTTTCATTCTTCTGCATATGAATATCCAATTTTCCCAGTACCACTTATTGAAGAGTGTGTCCTTTCCCCAATGTATGTTATTTGTGCCCTTGTTGAAAATCAGTTAGCTGGAAATATTGAATTTAATTTTGGATTTCCTATTATGTCTCATTGACCTATGTATCTGTTTTTATACCAATATCATGCTCTGTTGGTTACTTTAGGCTTCTAACATATTTTAAAGCCAGGTAGTGAGATGCCTCCAGTTTTGCTCTTTTTGCTCTAGAATGCTTTGGATATTTGGGCTCTTTTTTATTCCATATGATTTTTAGGATTTTTTTTTTCTGTGAAAAATAATATTGGCACTTTGATAGGAATTGCTTTGAATCTATAGATTGCTTTGGGCAGCATGGTCATTTTAACAATTTTCATTCTTCCAATCCATGAGCATAGAATGTCTTTCATTTTTTTTCTGTCCCCCGCCTTTTTTTTTTTTTTTTTTTTTTTTTGTAGTTTTCCTTGTAGAGATATTTTGCCTTCTTGGTTAAATTTACTCCCAGGTGTTTTACTTTTGTGGCCATTGTAAATGAAATTGCCTTCTTGATTTCTTTCTCAGCTAGTTTGTTACTGATGTATAGAAATGCTACTGATTTTTGTATTTTGATTTTTGTATCCTGCAACTATATTGAATTCATTTATCAGATCTAAGAGTTTTCAGGAAGAGCGTAGGTTTTCTTAGATACATCATCAGCAAAGACAAACAATTTGACTTCCTCTTTTCCAGTCTGCATGCCTTTTATTTCTTTCTCTTGCTTGATTACTCTGACTAGGACTTTTCAGTACGATGTTAAATAGGAGAACTAGAAGTGGCCTTTTCTTGTTCCAGTTCTTAGAGGAAAGGCTTTTAGCTTCTCCCCATTCAGTGTGATGTTAGCTGTGGATTAGTCATATATAGCCATCATTATGTAGAGGCATGTTTCTATATTGGTCTGTTCAGGTCTTCTATTTATTCCTTATTCAACCTTAGTAGGTTGCAATATGTCCAGGAACGTGTCAATTTCTTGTCAGTTTTCCAGCTTGTTAGTATACAGTTGTTCATAATAATCTCTGATGATCTTTTGTCGGTGATATATTTTTCATTTCTGATTTTGAGTCTTCTCTATTTTTATCTGGGTTAGTCTAGTAAGTGGTTTATCAATTTGGTGTATCTTTTCAAAAAGCCAACTTTTGGTTTTACTGGTCCTTTCCAATTTTTTTAGTCTATATTTTGTTTAGTTCTGCTCTGATTTTTACTATTCTTTCCTTCTGCTAATTTTCTATCTGGTTTGTTCTTGTGTTTCCATTTCCTTAAGGTGCATTGTTGGATTGTTTATGTGAAATCTTTTTACCTTATTGGTGTAGGCATTTATTACTATAAACTTCCCTGTTAACACTGCTTTTGTTGTATCCCATAGATTTTTGATACATTGTGTTTCAATTTTCATTTGTTTCAAGAAATTTTTTAATTTCCTCTTTCTTGACCCAATGGTCAGAAACATGTTATTTGCATATATCTGTACAATTTACAAAGTTCCTCTTGCTATTGTTTTTCTAGTTTTATCCCATTGTTGTCTATGAAGAAACTTGATGTAATTTCAATTTTTAAAAAATTTTTGAGACTTATTTTGTGTCCTAATATATGATCTATCCTTAAGAATGTTCCTTGTGCTGATAAGAAGAATCTGTATTCCGTAGCTGTTGGATAACATGTTCTGTAAATGTCCATTAGGTCAATTTGGTCTAATGTGCAGTTCAAATCCAGTGTTTCTTTCTTAACTTTCTAGATGATCTCTCTAATGCTGTGAGTGCAGTGTTGAAGTTCCCAACTATTACTGTACTGAAGTCTTTCTCTCCCTTTAGATCTAATAATATATGCTTTATATACATGGGTGCTCTGCTGTTGAGTACATAAATATTTAGAATTGTTATATCCCCTTGCTAAATTGATTACTTTATTATTACATAATGACCTTTGTTTCTTTTTTTTTTTCCCTTAAAATCTGTTTTATCTGACGGAAGTATAGCTAGTCCTGCTAGTGTTTGGTTTCCATATGCATGAAATGCCTTTTTTCATTCCTTTTCTTCCATTTTTTCTTCCATCTTTCAATCTATGTATGTCTTTCCAGGCGAGATGAGTTTCATATGTGTGTGTGTGTGTATATAAAATATATTGAAATATATATTTATATATTAATAGATATTATAGTTGGGTCTTTTTAAAAATCTATTCAGTCTATGTCTTTTGAGTGGAAAGTATATTCCATTTAGATTGAAGGTTGTTATTAATATATGAGGACTTACACCTGCCATTTTATTAATTGCTGGTACTTTTGTGTAGTCTTTGTTCCCTTATTTAACAGTTGGTCACTTTATGTTATCTTATATGTTATATGTGCTTTGATTATTCTTTTTTATTTTTTTCATAATTGTGATTTGGTTGTTTTCTGTAGTGTTAACATTTGAGACTTTTCTTTGTTTTTATGTTTGTTGTATCAGTGTTGTTTATATTTTTATGTGTTTTCTTGACGGTAAATATCCTTCCTTTGCTTCTGGGGTATAGGATTCTCTTAAGCATTTCTTGTAGGCCCATCTAGTAGCAATAAATTCTCTCACCTTTGGCTTATAGGGAAATATTATATCTTCTTCATTAATGAAGGATAACTTTGCTGAGTATAATATCCTTGACTGACATTTTTTTTTTCTTTCAGCACTTAGAATATATCATTCTATTTACTCCTGGCCTGTGGGTTTCTGCTGAGTAACCCACTCTTTGTCTGATGGGGGTCTCTTTATAAGTGACAAAACTTTTATTTATTTATTTATTTTTGCTGCTTTTAGAATTCTTTGCCTTTTGAAAGTTTGACTGTAATGTGCTGTAGAGAAAACCTTTCTGAACTGTGTCTATTTGGAGAGTTCCGAAACTCATATCTGGATATATAAATATCTTGCTAGACTTGGGATATTTTTATGAATTATTTTGTTAAATAGATTTTCTAATCCTTTTATTTGATTTGGAAACACCAAAAATTCTAATGTTTTGTCCCTTTGAGGTATCTTATATGTTATGTATGCTTTGATTTTTTTTAATTCTTCTGTTTTCATTTTTATCTAACTGTGTTATTTTTTAAAAACCTGTCTTCAATTTCTGAGATCCTTTCTTCTGCTTGATCTAGTCTATTGCTGAAGCTTTCAAATGTATTTTGGATTTCACTTAGTAAATTCATCAGTTTCAGAATTTCTGTTTGGCTTTTTTTTTTTTTTTTTTTTTTTGAGATGGAGTTTCTGCTCTTGTCACCCAGGCTGGAGTGCAATGGTGCAATCTTGGCTCACTGCAACCTCCGCCTCCTGGGTTCAAGCGATTCTCCTATCTCAGCCTCCCGAGTAGCTGGGATTACAGGCATGCGCCATCACGCCCAGCTAATTTTTGTATTTTTAGGAGAGATGGGGTTTCACTATGTTGATCAGGATGGTCTCAATCTGTTGACCTTGTGATCTGCCCGCCTCAGCCTCCCGAAGTTCTGGGATTACAGGCATGAGCCACCATGCCCAGCCTGTTTGGTTCTATTAATGATATCTATCTCTTTGGTAAATGTCTCATTTATATCCTGAATTATCTTTCTGACTTCTATTGCTTTTTGGTATTCTCCTATATCTCACTGAGCTTCTCAGTATCAATATTTTGAATTTAAGAATTTAATAATTTTTACTGGGATCTATTGCTGGAGAATTATTGTGTTCCTTTGATGGTGTCATATTTTCCTGCTTTTTCATGCTTCCTGTGTCTTTATATTGATATCTGCACATCTGGTAGAATAGTCATTTCTTACAATTTTTTTTGAATTTGCTTTCATAGAAGAGGACAATTTCCTGAAGACATTATCTATGAAATTAGATGGGTAGGCAATTTTGGCTTTTATTCTCAGTATATACTGTCCTGTAGCCTCTGTATAATATCTTCAGTTGTAAACAGCATCAGCGGTGTCTATGATTTCCCTTGTGGCTTAGGGTGTGGTTGTTAGTGGAGGCTGTAGTGAATTTTGCTGGGTTTTAGACACCCGGTAGGCCAGCCTTTGGACTCCTGCAGTAGCAGTAGTGGGCTGAGTGTGCCTGTCCTTGGACCCTAGGGCAGTGTACACTGGTACCATTGTTAGTGAGTCCAGGCAAGCCAATTTTGGAAGTCCCAGGTGGCTTGCTCAGGTGGTTGGAATGGCAGTGGAAAGGTAGGTGGGTAGGCAGGTTCTTGAGCCCCTGGGCAGCTGGCATGTCATGGGTGATGGCATTAGCAGTGGCAAGACAACCCTCTGGGACCCAAATGTTCCACACTGGTATTGACAGTAGCTGTGACAGCCTGGGTGGGCCAGACCCCAGGCCTGCAGGTGATGTGTGTAAGTTGGTGGCAGTTATGGTGGTAGCAGCAGTGGTTGGGTGGGCGTGACCAGAAGGAATGCTCAGCTGCCAATGGTGGCACACTGAAATGGGCAATTTTCAGGCCCCTGGATGGTGTTCCTGGGCACTGAGGGGTAGGGCCAAGTTGGGCGAACCTGTCCTTAGGCCCCCTGCTGGTGTGTGCGGGCACTGGTTGTGGTAAGCAGAAGCAGGGTGATCCCCCGGGAGGCCAGAACAATGTTCAGGTAAGGGCCACAGCAGCTACACCATAGCTCTTCTACTGGGAAGGAAATAGCTGCTTTGAGAGTGTGTTCTTTGCTTGCATCTCAGCCCCACCACAGTGACAGCAGCTGCGGGCAGTGAGATTTGTCCTGAGGCACATGAAAATGTGTCACTGCTACTCTGTTGGGGGGTGAAGGGGTCACTGACTGTGGCTCTTGCCTCAGCCTTGGTGGCAGCCATTCCAGGCAGGGAATGTCAATGGTGCTTCAAGGATGTGGAGATGCATGGGCCGTTGGGCACCAGGGTAGGATGCAGTCTGGTGGAGGCTGGGTTTTTGAAATGGTGTCATGCTGCAGCTGCTTAGGACTTAGAGGTTTGTGGGATTCAGCATGAGCTCCCTCTCTGGAGCAATACTGTTGAGTAGTCTTCAGCTCCTTATGTTAGTCTCAGGGCCCATGATGGTCAAAGGGCTCTCCTTTGGCTAGGACAATAGGAGTCTGTGGTGGTAATGTGGACCGTGAGGGGTCTCCCACTTACCCTTGCCCAACATTAGGGAGCCTCTCCAGGCTACCAGCTGATCCCTCACATCCGTTTCTTGTTTTTGATGCTTCCTGTCACTTCTCTGTTGAATTCCGGTTTTTTCCCTTAGATAATCTATTCAAAATGTGACAATCTACTTGCCATTTTGGCTCCTCTCCATGGAGTAGGTGCCTATGATGAATCCAGTCAACCATTTTGAAGACTCCTTTCTAAAACTTTAAAGGCTATAAAATTTTACCTGGACTTACCATTTTAGTTATTATAAACAATGCTGCAATGAAGCCTTCATTTCTGTGTGTGTGTATGTTTGTGTGTGTGTGTGTGTGTTTGTGTTTGTAGGTACTTATTTATATTTGAATAGTTTTGTGGAATATCTAAAACTGGAACTTACAGGCCAAAGGGAAAGTGTCTTTAAAATTAAATAAATTAGAATGGACAAATTGCCTTCCAATGTATTATTTCGATTTCTACTCTCATAAGAAATGAAAAGATTGCCTGTTTCTCAACAATCTCACTAGCATTGGTTATTATCATTAAATTTTTTGCTGATCAGAAAGATATAATTAATCTCATTATTTCAATTCCCTAATTTTTTATTAGTGGAGAATTTGAACACTTTGAATCTGTTAAACATTTGTACATTAATCATTTGTGAATTACCTATATCTTTTTCCAATTGGGGAAATTTATCTCTCTTATTAAATTTTGAATATTTAGTTTATTGGGGTTATTAAGCTTTTGTTATGAATTATAATTTTTAAAGTTTATGTCTTTTTAATATAAACTTTAGTCAATTTTTTTAGTCTTTTAATACTTATGAGCATCACATTATGTTTTTATAATCAATTATTTTTATAACAGTTACCCAAACCTGATTATTTTTCCTTTCCCTGTTTTGATCAATTTGACTCATATTTTAAGGCCTAAATAAAAAAATTACCTTCTCTGCAATGTGTTGCCAATCTCAGGCACACTAAATCATTCCTTTTTCTGTGCTTTATAAAAACACATAAACACATATATCTAACTACTTTTCATAGATAATTTTACACACATTTGCCTTTTCTGCTGTGTTATCGTCTTCTCAAGGATATCATGGTCTGTGTCACAAAGATCATAGGTGCAAAATTGTTATGGCTAGACCTACTGTATGTGCTTGAAATATATATGAATCTTGGATTATATAAGATGTAGGGCACTACGCTAAGGGCTGTTGCCTAAGCCTTTCCAGACACAAATAAGCTACATAGATATTGGTCTTTTGATACTTAGAGCTGAAGCCTCTTCACATATATCTGGGATGATTCAACAAGTATTTACAAAAAGGAATAGTTTTAAATAATTACCACCAACTCCCCAGGGAAAAATCCAATACAGGTTAAAAGGGTTCAAAGTTTACAAGGAATAAAAAAAAAAAAATTGCGAAAGTAAGAGTTATGTAGTTAGCATCAATCAATCTGGGAGAACTTTTAAGTGTTAATATTATTATCTACCTCATGAAGACATGACAGGCATGCTTACACAGTCTATGAATAATACAAAGATGGGATATAAAGTAACTTTTTTTTTTTTTTTTTTTTTTTTTTTGGGATGGAGTTTTGCTCTTGTTGCCCAGGCTGGAGTACAATGGCACAATCTTAGCTCACTGCAACCTCCACCTCCCAGGCTCAAGCGATTCTCCTGCCTCAGCCTCCTGAGTAGCTGGGACTACAGGCACCCGCCACCATGCTCAGCTAATTTTTGTATTTTTAGTAGAGACGGGTATCCACCATGTTGGCCGGGCTGGTCTTGAACTCCTGACCTCAGGTGATCCACACACCTCGGCCTCCCAAAGTGCTGAGATTACAGGCCTGAGCCAATGCACCTGGCCTAAAGTAATATACTTGACAACAGAATCAAGAACCTAGAAGTTCCTTGAAAACAGACTAAAATGTCAAATTTTTTGGAGAGCCTCCACTCACCTTTACTTACTAACCCAATGGAGTTCATTTTTCATTGATACTAAAACAATTCAAATTAAGAAGGCACACATTCTCTGCAATTCAAATATCCTTTGCTAACAATCAGAGCAAAACATGGTGATTCCATTTAATGGCTAGTTATAAATGTTTAGGTTGTATCAAAAAATCAGTAAAACTGGGTTAAATTTCTCAATTTCGAGATTTCTATCCCTAAGAATATGACATGTTTTTTCATGTCTATAAGTTCATATTTCTTGTATGGTGAGAGAATGCTTGGCTACAATCCTTACTTAATGAATATTATATTTAAGAGGAAAGTAGTTTATTTGCAGACTTTAGGAATTATTTAGCTATTAACCTATACGTGGAAAAGAGAAAAGAAAATATGCTACCAAGTAATGGGAAAAAAGACTCTCACACCCGTTGTAGCAGTTCAGAAAGACTAAGAATCTAAAAGGATCCTACTCCCTACTTTCTAAACCAGAACACTAGCTATTAACATCCTGGGTAAGTTTACCATTTTTCCATTCTTGTTATCCAACTCCATTTTTGTGTCCTTCCACATGGACATATATGAGAATATAAAAATGTTGGAATAGTCATAAGGCAAGAGAAGCCCCAGGATTTCTACGTTGTTAGGAATATCTCAGGGTTTTTTTTTTTTTTCCACAGACAGAGCAGCCACAGATAGGCAAGTTTATTCAGTTAAATTCTTTCTCACTCTACCTTTATTTTCCTTTCAATACAGATGCCTCCAAGTGCCCTATTTCATTTACCTCACTGGCAAAACCTCATTTGTTTTCATTTTGTCTTTTAGCTCTCTCCGAATCTCCTACTATGGGGACCTACTATGTACCTTCAAGCACTGGACATGGCAAGTACAGCCCTGTTCTACTTTAGAGAAAAATAAACAACTATGACACTGTGTAAGAAGTAATTACTAGGCATTAAGGGACAAATAAGAATTATCCAGAGAGGAGAAAAAATGTGAATGGTATCCTCAAGGAGAACATTTCCAAGAATACAAGGAAGTAAGAAACAACATGGCACATTAAGACAATACATGCTAAAAACAGGTGTGGTGGCTCATGCCTGTAATCCCAGCACTTTCAGAGGCAAAGGCGAGTGGATCACCTGAGGTCAGGAGTTCGAGACCAGCCTGGCCAACATGGTGAAACCCCGTCTCTACTAAAAATACAAAAATCAGCCGGGTGTGGTGGCACATGCCTGTAATCCCAGCTACTCAGGAGGCTGAGGCAGGAGAATCGCTTGAACCCAGGAGGCGGAGGTTGCAGTGAGCCTAGATTGCGCCACTGCACTCCAACCTGGGCGACAGAGGGAGACCCTGCTCATAAAAAAACAAAAATCAAAAAACAAACAACAATAAAAAACTACGTGCTTCAGTGTGTAAGAGAAAATTCTTCATTTTTTAACTTCTTTAACTTTTTGCCAACTTTTATGAGTCCAAGACTGAGAACAGAAAATCCCTGGAGAGAATACAATAACAGGTTTTCCTAGGCAGATCCTATCCATCAACTTAAGAGATGATATTTTTATGAAAATTGGGAATGTCCTAATTTTTAAGTAACTGTCAAATCAGAGTTTACACATATTTATGTTGAATTATGATATAGTCCAAGGCCTTGAATGACCTGCCCCTTGGAATTATTTGATAGTTTCATTTCATTGGCTCAAGGATTGAGAACTATATCTGTATTGGAATGAAAAGAGTCAATGAAAAAGTGTATTTTTCTCTAATCAAATTAGTGACAAAGCATCTATGTATCTGCAGAGTTATAACTTTCTGTTTTTGTTTCCTCTTGCCTTTCTCCAATTGACTTTCTCCCATTGACTTTCTCCCAATATTAAGCAGTACATTCTATATCCAAAAAGTACATAGCAAAAATTCCAGTAAAACATATCAAACAAGGTAAGGCATTTTAAAATCATTCCCCTTAATCTCGTCAACAGATACTCTATGACACCCCGCTGTCTAGCTTCCCCCCACTAGTTTTCTAGAAATTTTTGATAGAAAAGATAGCAGGACTTGTGCCGTAAATAAATGATTAAAAAAAAAAAAAAAAGAAAACCCACCAGCATTATGAAACTGCACAAACACAGGAAATCTAAACATCTCAGGAAGGTGTTTTAATATCATTAACCCATTAAACTCCTTAGCTTACCTGGGAAGTATGTAACACCTATGATCTCACCACTTTATAAATGAGGAACTGGGGCCTAAGATCACGAGTGACTCAGTGGTATAGCCAAGAAAAGCCTGTTTCATGTATTAGTTTTTTTCCTCCCTCTTATTCTGTTACCAGGTACTTAAACCTGCATATGCACATAGAATTCATGTGCATAAATTCCTCCTGCATTAAAGAAGGATAGAGAAGTTGTTTGTCATAGTAGGAAGTGCCCTGGATAGGATTCAGATCTAAAAATCTGATTCTTTGCCAGCCACAGTGGCTCACACCTGTAATCCCAGCACTTTGGGAGGCTGAGGTGGGCAGATCACAGGAAGGCAAGAGTTCGAGACCAGCTTGGCCAACATGGCGAAACCCTGCCTCTCCTAAAAATACAAAAATTAGCCAGGTGTGGTGGTGCATGTCTGTAATCCCAGCTAATTGGGAGACTGAGTCAGCAAAATCACTTGAATCAGGGAAGCAGAGGTTGCAATGAGCTGAGATCCTGCCACTGCACTCCAGCCTGGGTGACAGAGTAAGATTCTGTCAAATAAATAAATATATAAATAAAATAAATTTCTGATTCTTTTGCTGTCCCTACCAGCTAGAAAGCCTTGAGCTGGTACCATCTTTTCTAAATTGGGGTTGACATGAGGAACAATCAAGATAAAAGATGTAAAGAATCTCCCTCCCCACACGGATGGAAACACATATATTATAGATATTTGCGGCAGACCCAGAATGCATAATCCACACCAAATCTTCTCTCAGCTAACAACATAGACTCTCTTCCCAAAGGCCTTGGCCATTCAGAGCCACCTGCCTTTTCACACATGACTGAAAAGACAGGTTTAACAGAGCTATAGATAGCATGGCCCAAAGACTGAAGAGAAAGCCTGTGCCACTCACCCACATGGGGTCACTCAGGTCCGAGTCCTGCATGCGGATACAGTCCATGCTAATCTCAATCTTGTTTGTCGCACCATCTTCTGATGGTTCATCCACAAAGTTCAAGTCAATGGGCTGAACTGAACATATAGGCCTAACACATAGGAAAGAAAAAAGTGAGTTAGGCATGGAAAGGGACTAAAATATACTCATGCTGTTGTTAACAACAAGCATTTTCTGCTTCAAAGTCAGCAAGGCTCATTGGTTTCTTGGAGTTAGAAACTCTAGGTTTGAGTCCTGGCTCAATCACTTATCAAATGTGTAATTTCAAGCAGTTCAAATCCAACCCCCACTTGTTAAATGAGGATCATGACCTCTGCCCTCCTCAGATAATTACTGGGTAGGATGCAGGAAATAACGGATGTATCTGTGATAGAGTATTTTATACTCGATTCCTAAGGGTCTCCAGTGTGCTGAAATTCTCTTTTCACCTTTTCTTAATTTACTCACTTATCCAAACCTGTTTTAATAAAGAAATAATAATACGTTTCACAGCAAGGTATAAATAAACAACAAAATTTAGTGTTTTATCTTCTCAGTGAGTACCTGCATTATAAAAGTAGATAAGTCTTCAAGCCAAAGGAATGGATTCTGAGTATCAGAGAAACATTGGGGAAGTGAATTTGGTGCAGGAGGCCTTAGGCCCTCCAAAATTACATCACCTTGGATTAGCAAGGATCTTTTGGTGTTAGAAATGGAAAAAAATCACCACTGAATTTGAACAAAGAGATGGCATTGGAGTCATTAACTTTTCCTAAATAACTTCTACTGATTCTAGAAAAAACATGCCCTAGTAAGCAATATTTTGACCACCCACATTTACCTATTTAGCTCAAGCAAAACATTTCTTGCTTGTTTTATACTTACTGTTCCAGAAAATCCCAGATATGCTGGAAAACCTCTGGACTGAGGAATTCATTTGTCTGTGTGCTCTGGGACATGGTGGATCGGTAATAACTTTCTTTCCAAGAGAAATGAGCTGGGGTTTCTACGAAACTTAAAAGGACAAAAATGAAACTAGTATTATACTTTCTGTATTTATGACACTGAATATTTAAATTAAAGCATACTCTATCATGAAAACATCAAGTGAATCTATAAAACCATGCAGGTATATATGTAGCACATGTTACAAGTTGCACAATTGGCATTTCTTCAGGTAGTGTAATGAATCCAATTTTGCCACAAAGTGAGGCAGACCTCCAATGCTAGACAATCTTGTCTTCTATCAAAGCTCTCCTTTCCTAACTAATAATATTATTATGCTCTATACCTCCACTATCCGACATCTGTGTTCTGTAGATTTTGAAAAGAAAATAAACATTTCCTCATTAAATTTGATAGCAAGCCTGACCTATCATTAAACCCATTTTATAATAGTCTCAACTGATTATCTGCCCATTCTGCCACCAGCATGTAAGAAATAGAACCAGGAAACAGAAATGAACTCAGAAAATTTAAATTTTTTCCTCAGATTAGTCATCCCTCCCATAACCGCAATCTTAGAATCACACTCAGGGACAATAAACTCAAACCTGTGGACCTAATATTTTTTAATTTTTTATTGCCAGTTGCTTACCTTGATGTGTGGGTGGTTCTTAATTAAAGTGTAGAATTGCATGTTAGACTTAATAATAAGCAAACATCTGAACACTTTGCAAATGAATCCTATTTCTGTTTGCTTCATTTTGCTGCTGAGCCCTGAAGTTTGCTTTACTTATTTTTTCCAAACATTTATTCCTATATATTTGGAGGAAAACATCAGCTTTCTCAGATGATGCGTTCTCCAAGTCTAAATATTATCCGGGCAGATCATCTTAATATGTGATTTGTTGTGATAATCAGTAGACTAATTTTATCCCAGGATAAAATTAGTTAAGTTCTTAAGTGTTACTGTTCCTGTTATAAAGAATTAGAAAAATACTGTATGAGGATAGTCAATCATCTTCTTAAAATTTCAAATATGTGTTCTGGTCTAGTAATACAGTAGAAGATAATACTATTAGATTTATGAATGCTGATTTCCAAGCTACCTGCAATAGCACATTCATTTGCTCAAGTTAAACATGCATAGAGGACTTATTTGCCAGGAAGCATAATGGAAACTGGAAATAAAAAGTGTATAATACTGTCTCATCTTCTAGGAATTGATGGTATAGAAGGAAAGACAGGAAAACAAACCTACAGTAAATGTGTTAGCAGTATAGACAGCACTACGAAAACACAAAGATGAACAATGTAATTTTATTTGAAGAATCAAGGAAAGAGCCTTTGCTGATGAAAATTAGGAAGGTCAGGTAAGAGCTAATGGTACACAGTGGGCACTCTATGACAACAGCATAAACAAAACACTATAATGGAAAATAGCCTGGTATGTGTGAGAAAATCACAAGCATCTCTGTGTTAATATTTTGAAAAATTTGGGGCAGAGAATGCTGGGAGATTAAGCCAGAGAGGTAAGAAGAAACTTATATGCTATGTTTTTAAAAAGCCTATGTCTGTACTTATGGTGAGAGAGACAGAGAAAGAGTGTGTGTGTATATTTACATATATCAAAATATATTAAATAATATAGATATATTTATATATTTAAATGATATAAATATATATCATTTAAAATATTCATAAATGATATGTATATTTTAAATAATATATATCTCAAAATATTTTAAATAAATTTTAAATTGAGGAAATTGTAGATTTACATGCAGTTGTAATGAATAATACAGAGAGATCCCATGTACCCTTTACCCAGTTCCCTTGATAGCAACATCTTGTAAAACTACCATATAATATCAAAACTGGGATAGTGACATTGATAAAATCCAGTGACCTGACCCATAAATCCTCAGTTCTATTGTACTTATTCGAATGTGGGTATATATATATGTGTGTGTATTTCATTTTATACAATTTTATCACACGTGTGGAGTAGTGTATCTATCACCACAGTCAGTATTCATGAGACAGACACAGTCAGACTATGCTTTATATTGGTAAATCTGGAAGTTGTGTGATGGAAGAATTTACAGCATGTCAGTTTATGGGTAAAGCGGCTATTTAGAATGTTCCTGCATCAGTTAAGGTAAGACAACAAAAGGGCAAAATCAATGGGAATGGAGATGATAGGGACAAAGTCAATTATTAGTAAAAAGGCTAAATCAGATATTGGTTGTGTTACTAATGAAGGGAGAATGAAGAGTGAAAGATGACTTTAAGTTTCCAGCTTGATTGAACCGTGTGGTTGATGATTCCACTAACTACATCAGTAAGTATAGTTGGAGGATCTGGCTTGAAGAAAGAGAGATGATAAACTGCATTTTAGCATGCTGAGTTTTAAGTACCTAGGGATATGAAAAAAGTGAAACCAACTTAAATAAGCCTTAAACTCTAGGAAGAAAAATAGACCAAAAGTTTAGAAACAGAAATCTTCCTCATAGGGGAAAAATGAATCTGTGAGCGTGGATAAAACGACCTGTGCAGAATAGGTGCAATGAGAAAAGGCACGTGGGGCTCCACTTAGAAAACCTGAGAACTAACAGACCCTGAGAAGTTTATGGTATTTTAGAAGCCAAGGTAAAAACAAAATGAAAAGTAATCAACAGTACTCAATGGCAATGGGATCTAGGAAGATAAGACCTCAAAAATACCTACTAGATTTGACATAAGGAGGTCATTCGCAACCTTGACATTAGAACCTTCTGTAGATTAATGACACCCTCAAAATATTTTAGTGTTTTGAGGAGTAAATGGGGGTGTGCAAAAGAAATGTTTTTTTGGATACAATTGGATTAGAAGAACCTGAATTATGCCTAAAGAGGAAGGAGCTAGTGTGGAGAGAGAAAATTTCAAGATCCTGGAAAGAAAGGGAATGGCATGGTAAGAAATCCTGGAATAGGCAGGTTGGAAAAGGTCAAGGCATAGGTAGAGAGGACTGTCTTGAACTAAAACCCCTTAATCCCTCACTCTAGGATGAAGTAGATGGCAAAATTAAGTACAGATATAAAGGTTTTCATAGAAGATAAATAGAAGTCAAGGCTGATGACTTCGATTTTCTTGATGAAGCAGGAGGAAGACAAGGCCATCTGCTGAAAATTGAGTGGGTCAGACATTAAGTGACTATCTGGGAAAAAAGGGTGAGGGTTTAGAAATGTGAATCAGTTTAGAAAACATGAATTTGTCATCTCCCAACCTACACAGTTAAGTGATTATCTCCAGCTTATACCACTGGGGAAGGGAACAAACAAAATAGATAAAAACAATACTACTGTTGTTTCACTGAATAGGTTACATCAGAGAATTAAGGGAATTGTAAAGACTAGCTTTGGATTCAGACTGGAGAGGGCAGGAAGAGGGTCCAGGGCAAGGAAACCCTGTCTCTTCCAAAAATACAAAAATTAGCTGGGCTTGGCGGCCGGTGCCTGTAATCCCAGCTATTCGAGAGGCTGAGGCAGGAGAATCGCTTGAACCCAAGAGGCAGAGGTGGCAGTGTGCCAAGATTGAGCCACTGCATGCCAGCCTGGGCGACAAGAGTGAAATTCTGTCTCAAAAAAAAAAAAAAAAAGAAGGGAGGGAGGGAGGGAGGGACGGAGGGAGGGAGGGAGGGAAAGAGAGAAAGAGAGAGAGAGAAAGAAAGAGAAAGTAAAGAAAGAGAGAAAGAAAGAAAAGAAAGAAAAAGAAAGAGAGAAAGAAAAAGAAAGAAAAGAAAGAAAGGAAGAAAACTATGTCTCTATGAGGTCAAAACAGAGTTATATAGGGAAGGAATTAACAAAGTTAAATTGGTAGAAATGGGAGAGTGGGGTATGAGAATTAAGGAGGTCCCTATAATTAGAAGACCATCTGATAATCCTGTATCTTTAAATTAAAAGGGTATATTAATTTTCTTCACTTCTCTTTTGAGATTGTGGCTGACTTGGTTTATTTACTGCCAAATAGTAAGTAGAGAAGAAGTAAAAGTTGATAGATTTAACGTTGAAGTGAAACTTATAAATACTCTCAAGATGACACTTTTGAATATGTTTGATTTACACTAAAATTTGTCTTCAGATAAAACTGAAATATAGGAAAAAATAAAAGTAAATGCAATCATAGCAAATGTCAAAAACAGAAATGAACAAAGGCATGAATTATTCCAAAACCAAAATGCAGATAAACTCCCATATGAGTGGTCATATACACGGACCCATAAGGACATCCCCAACATCCAAAGATCCAAACGGGATGCCTGATAGCTCGAAAGCCAGGTGAGCACTAGAAGGTAAACATCACCACACAAATAGGCTCTCAACAATAATGATATTAGTGTGTGAGATTCGAAAAAGTATGAGTTTTTAAGTTGGCAGAAATGTAGATTTAGTTTCTAAAGAGACTGATAGATAATGTGACCAACATCTTCAATAATAAAGACCAAGGCAGATTCAGAAAAGAGTGTTACATAGAAGGAAGACATCATCTCTAAGGCAGAAGAGAGAAAAACAGCACTGGTTCCATACTCATCATCTATTTCTATAATTTCCCTTATTTCCACATAGTAAGTTCTGGTTCCTGTCTGTAATTACTTTGTTATTTTTTTTGTTTTGCTTTTATCCCTAGGTTCTTACTCCTAAAAGTCATTTCCCTGTATTTCTAATGTCACCATAATCAGCTGTGAAAACTTGAACAAGCCTCCAGACTCCTCAAACTTCAGCTTCCTTGCACGTGACAGCATGGAGACCAGGATCTCCACCCCACTGCCTTTCCCATGCCTACCCAACCCTCAGTGCTCTCTTCCTTACTTAGTACTTCCTAGTTCCTAATTTAAGTATAATTTTTCTCCTTTGAATTTTGTTCTTTTATTTCATCTCATCAATGCTACTCTGTCCTACTTTGCTTGTTCAACAATTAACCTGCTGCAGAGGATTTTAGGTAATTTGTGGGTGAAACATCTCTCTCTCAGCTCTGTATTTCTTGTGGTTTTACAGCTCCTTGAGGATAGAGTTGAAGAATTGCAAGTTTTGGAATGGGGCTGACCTAGGTTCAATCTCAGTTCTGCTAATGACATGCTTTGAGGCCATGGCCAAGTTACTCAATGCCTTTGAACCTTAGTTTCTTCAACTATGCTTCCCTCAGAAGGTGGTTGAGAGGCTTTCTTTAAATGTGCAACATAATTGTCATACAGCGCCTGGTAGTCAATGCATTGGTTCTACCACAAAACGCGCTACATCGTTTGCATCCAGGACATACTTGCTGAATTAAACTGATTAGATAGTGTGTTTGAATGG
Source organism: Homo sapiens (assembly GCF_000001405.40). Taxonomy (NCBI): domain Eukaryota; kingdom Metazoa; phylum Chordata; class Mammalia; order Primates; family Hominidae; genus Homo; species Homo sapiens. Next base: position 189,732,475 of record NC_000003.12, on the reverse strand, counting down.
TCTGTTTGAGTTTTTAAAGTGTCACATAAAAATAAAGTAATTATATGAAACCTATCCCTCCCTTCCATCTGTAACCTTGGGTCAAAACAATACCCTCATCACCACTCATTTTCTTCTAGATCATTTTTGTCTTAGACTGGCTACATTAAATGAGGCAACTTTACTCCTCTCAGGGCTTCAAGGGGGCTTTATTACAAAAGACAGGGGTGGTGGAGGGGAGTTGGAATAGATCAGTCATTTTCAGCTTGTGTTTCCAGATATCCTCAGTTTCCTGGTGACTCAGTGTGTTCACCAGAGGTAAAGAAACAGCCATTGTCGGTGGGACTTGATACACACCTCCTTAACACCATGAAGTTCAGCTTTTTCTTGTCTAAGGTATATTAGGGTTCTGAACAAAAGTCCAGTTAAAGAAAGTGTCTGTTTCTTAAAAATAAAAAGGAAAGAAAAATTAACGGTCTATGTTAGGGGATTTTCATGGCCTTTTCTTTTCATGCTCAGTATTAATTTCCATTTTATAGATAAATATGTTGAAACATTATTGAGAGAAAAAGAGGAAAAAGATTAGCTGGTGCCATAGGGCAAGAAGAGTGAAGCAAATCCTACCTATCTTCCAAGTCTTTACCTTTGGGTGACTCTCAGTATCAATTTACTCATAGAACAATCATTCTGTTCAAAGGTTTTTGTCAAGTCAGTCACACCTAAAGATAGAAAGCCCGAAGTCAATTTTTTTTTTCTTTTCAAGTTGTTTTTCTTGGATTAACTGTCTTACACTCTGCATTAATTCAGGAAGAAAGAACTTTACAGAAGTGAACTGAAAACATCAAGAGGTTTCTGCCAATGGTCTGCACTCCCTCTTGCTTTGCCTGTTCTTCCCTAAATGTTGTCATTTTAGTCTGTTGCACCTTTATTTTCTGTCAGTGTGCTTGAAAATCTCCACATCTCTAAAATTTCAGATTCCAAACAACCTTAGCTGCATAGATGGGTTTTAGAAATAATAGACCTGAGAGGTCGTCTAGCTTAGTTTTTCTAATTTAACAGACAGAAAAGCTGAAATCTAAGAAGAACTGGTTCACTGGTTCACACCAGATATATTTCATGAAAACCTAAGTGTTCTTTTTTTTTCTTTTTTTTTGAGATGAAGGCTTTCTCTCTTGCTCAGCCTGGAGTCTTGTGGCACCATCTTGGTTCACTGCAACCTCTGCCTCCTGGGTTCAAGCGATTCTCCTGCCTCAGCCTCCTGAGCAGCTGGGATTACAGGCATGCACCACTGTGCTCGGCTAATTTTTGTATTTTTCGTAGAGATGGGGTTTCACCATGTTGGCCAGGCTGGTCTCAAAACTCCTGACCTCAGGTGGTCCACCTGCCTCAGCTTCCCAGAGCGCTGGGATTACAGGCGTGAGCCAGAGCGCCTGGTGCTAAGTCTTTATCTATAGTCCAATAAGAAAAAAAATTGTGCATCAGAAACAAATTCTTGTCATGAATTGTCTAACCCTTGACTTCTTTTAACAGTTTCCACACTTACTCCCCATTGGAGCATGCAAACTTAAAGCTATAAAACTACAAATAGACTTGATTGTATAGAAACATCAATATAAACTCATTTAACAAAATAAAATAGCACTTAGTAGTGATGCAGACCAGAAGCTCATTGATGCTACTAGATCTCCTGGCTCAAAGGCCTCCTTGACAGGGTGTCAGCAGTTGTAAGAGAGAATGTTGCAGGAGAAATCTCCAATAGAGCAGGCCTGGAGGGACCTCCTCCTCACCAACTGTGATCAAACTGGGATATCCTCATTGGGAGGATGGGATCACAAATAGGTATAAACCTTTGAGGACCTCACAAAATGTCAGCATTTATACATGATGATCTTTACGTTCAGCAAGGATAGGGAAGTTGTTACTCAGGTGTTGGTAATAAATCTGAGATTTAAATTTATATTGTTTCAAATTCGTGCTTTGCTAAATTACATATGTGGCTCCTTATTTTCATTCACCACAAAACTTGGGCAATATGAAGTTTTCATAGTTAAGAGGAATATTTCTTTTTTCTATGAAATAACTAAATATTTTACTAATTCTGTCTCATCAAAATAGTCAGCCTTTTTCCACGATATGACCAGAAAATTGGCATAAGAAAATGGGTAATGATAGGTGAATGATATTTACAGAATGCTTGCCCTTCTGCAGATTCTCAATGTTGCCAGAAGGAACTGACTCTCAAAGGTAATATAAGAAAAGACAGTTAGGATTACTATTGCTCAAGGAAACTTGAGCCCTCAAAGACTCTGGAAGTATCCTCAACCCTTAGATAAAAGTGATTCAAAACTCTAAACATGACTTCTTCCACCTATCCATCCATCCAATTTATCAATCCATCCAATTATTGCTTAAGCCTTCATTATCCACCTCCCTAGATCTTTTGCAAAATGAGTCTTCGGGTTAGCTTCAGAAGCATTCCTGACCACACAATTCCTTTTACATTTTTAGTTCAGAAAACATTCCAATACTTAGAATTTACCCTGCCATTACTATAACTATTCCATCATTAATCATCATACTTAGTTTTGAGGATGCCAAAGAATACCTTGATGCCTTTTAGTGTATTGCCTTTTTATTGTACCTAACAGTGCCCAAGGACCCTGGAGGACTAAATTTATTCATAAACTTGAGATAAATTTGCCTCCAAAACTCACTTGCAAACTCTAAATTAAGCCCATTAGCATCTTTTTTTTTCCTTAGATGGAAATCTTTCCTTTTCAACCTCAAATGGAAAAATATGAAGTTCCTTATCTCTCTACTCATCCCAACTCAAATCCATGTCAGCTTAACTCTCAGAAAACACAACTTCAAAAAATAAAATTCATTTAGAGCATTGTGTATGCCTTAATATCTCAATTTGCCACAATTTGAACAAAAATTCTTATCAAGGAATTTATTTTTATATATTACTGAACCAATATTCTTAAAAAACTCTATTTTGCATATTTCAACACTCATTTCTCCTAGTTACTGGCTTCTTTTCATCTTCAGAAATCTTTTCTCTCCTGACTGACCATGACCTGTCTTAAGATCTGATTGCCCACAGCTTCACGGCTTGCTTCTTCCATGACCTTTTACTGTGCAGTCCAACCGCGAATTTCTCCCATTAAAGTTCTACATATTTAGCCCAAACTTGGCAGTCATTAATTCTGAGGGAGTGTCCTTTTTCTCTCTCAATTATGAAATTCTCTGACGTCTTATGTTTTGTGGCCCATTCTTTATCCTAACCAATTTCTTCCTTAAAGGTAATGATTTCTCTGAATACAATGCCCTTCACTCATGCTCCCCATCCCACTAAACCTCTTGCCTTTTTCATTAGTCAGCATTTTCTAACTTAAAGGACTATGTAATGATCAGCCTTCAAAAGCAGAATTTTCATTAGGTTACTCCTTTTGTGACAGAGAATTTACAGTCATTAACCCTGCATCCTTGACAAAAATCTAATCACCTTTGTCTCTCATTCTTTTGAGCAAACCCTCCTTACAAATTGTTTAGCTAGCTGATATGGTTTGGCTCTGTATCCCCACACAAATCTCACCTTGAATTGTAATAATCCCCATGTGTCAAGGGCAGGACCAGGAGGAAGTAATTGGATCATGGGGGAGGTTCTCCGCCACCTGTGCTGTTCTCCTGAAAATGCGTGAGTCTCATGAGATCTGATGGTTTTATAAGTATCTGGCATTTCCCTGCTTCCACTCATTCTGTCTTCTGCCACCCTGTGAAGAGGTGCCTTCTGCCATTTTGTAAGTTTCCTGAGGCCTCCCCCAGCCATGCACAACTGTGAGTGTATTAAATCTCTTGTCTTTATAAATTACCCAGTCTCAGGTATCTCTTCATAGCAGCATGAAAGCAAACTATTACATCAGCTGTATCCTACAGGTTGTTTTCATCCTTGAGCCCTTACAGATTGACCTTTTACATAATCCACCATCTTCCCCCAAGTCATATTCTTTGCATTTGCCAACACTGAGCTCACCTAGAAAGGATACAATATTTATATATCTTGTTTGGGTTCACACCCTCAACCTGGCATGCTTTAAGTATTCTTGTCCTTAGTTCATTCTATCATAATTTACCCACAAATTTACCCACATTGAAATGGCATTTCCATTTTGTGTATGTAGGTCTGTTGCCTCAACTAATAAGATACTGACACTTAAAAAACATTATTTTCCTTGTTTTTTATTTTTTGGACAGATCCGTAGAAGGGAAAAACTAGAAAGGGCTTTATTTCTCATCATCTCTACTCCTTTTTTTTTTTTTTATAAACGAAACTCATAGGGATTTTACTCATATCCCACAGGAAGTCCACAAGTATCTAGTTCTGGAGCCTAGCCATCCTGGATCCTTAGGCAAAGCTCTTCAGACATAAAGTGTACAGTCAACACTTTTGCAAACTGTACTAACTCCACAAACATAAAACATGTTCTCAAACTTCGCTCTACTATACTAAATTCATCAGTTAATATTCCGAGCCATTTCAGTCTAGAATCTGGCATTTGGTAGAAGACAAAGATAAGGAATACTTGAGTATCTTGTTTAAAATGTCATTTTAGCATTATAGCATGCAAACACAGTAACATGCATGCTTACAAACAGGGTACTTTTTGACAAACTGCCCCCAAATTAGAATTTAGGAGACATTTGAATAAGTGTAATCACCATGACATCAGGTTTGGAATACATTAGGGTTTTACACAACTGTGAACACTTGAAGAAAAATGCATGTAACATCCACGACCCAGATACATGAAAATGGAGCTCAGGAAGGACTATGGGGAAATAGAAACCTGTAGAGGAGGTTTCTTAGGTTTAAAGAATGTGATAAATTGAATTTAGACAAAAAAGAAAAGAAAATATGGAAAAAGAAAAAGTAGAACTTCTTGGAAAAAATTATAAGGCCTAATGGTTGGAAGTACCTTAAGTCATCTAGTCCAAACTCTTAACTTATTAACAGTGATCTTGCAACCTCAGCCGAGCATCTGTACCACATAAGGCTGCTCACTCTTTGTCAGACAACTCAGATTGCTGAATGAGTGATTTAAAAATTGAGGAAAGGTTTACTGCCCTAAAACCTCCAGATACTGGTCTGATTCATGCAGAAAATAATCCAATTGCAGTGGCCTTCAACCTTTTCTCAATTATAGAATCTATTATGGGAATCTGATGACAGTTCTGAACAATCTTACACAATAAACAAAAAAAAGTAAAAATGAAGTATACATACTGACATACATGTAAGTGATTGGGTTTGATTTTCAAAGATTTTATAGACCTTAATCCACTTTCCTAATCCAAGTCCCATAGCTGAAAGCTTAGTGAAGAATCTGCACCATAATCTTTCATCTGGATTAGGTGTTGACAAACTACTACTCACAGGCAAAATCTATCCCACCACCTGTTTTTCTAGGTAAAGTCTTTAAGGACACTGCCATATTTATTTAGGTGTTGGTATATGGCTGCTTTTGAGCTACAACAGCAGAATTCAGGAGTTGCAATAGCAACCATGTGACCTGCAAAGTCAAAAATATTTTCTGGCCCTGTGTAGAAAAAGTTTGCTAACACCTGATGTACATAAAAGACCTTTAAAGATTTTAAAATAAATTGCAGTTTGAGTTAATACTTGTGAAGTTGTAGAAACTTTCTCTTGGACCATTATATGTGGAGTACAAAATAAAGGTGGGAGATCACTGGGCTAATATTTGTCATCCCAGGGAATTACAAGCAATCAGATGTGGACCTGGAAATAAGAAGTGACCCTGGACCAATGAGGCAGGATCCTCGGTTCACACCTGATTTTTTTTATTGTAACTGTTCATGTATTTTTCTTACCATCCTCATTAATATTTTAGCACTTTAAATATGGGATGGTGACCCAATTCATAAAGCATGATATATCACAAAGATATGATTCAATAGTCTATTGCTACATAATGATTCAAACCTGGAATACTTCAGTACAAAATCACTTTCACACATACTCCATTTGATAGTCATATGATGAATTATGTATCATATTGAACCTTAGGAACTTCCTGTTTTGTAGGTTAATGGTGGAATGCTACCAAGTTCATATGGTTCGATGTCATAGAATGAATATTATTGTCAATATTCTACAGCTGAATAACATTAAAATACTTGTCAAGATCACATATTCCATCAATAGCAGCAGACCAAGGTGTTGAGCCTCATTCTTTGGACTGCCGCTACTCAGTGATAAGACGATCGGCCCACCCAGAGAGTAAGACCGAGTGACGTTCATATGGAGGAACAAGATACGTGTTTATGGATTTTTCTTAAATATAAATTTGCCTAATCTGTACATGTTTTATTCCAAACATTCACTAGCAATGATGACAAAATATTCCCCCCCGCCCCACCCAAAATAAACTCTCGCTCTGTTGCCTAGGCTGGAGTGCAATGGCATGATCTCGGCTCACTGCAACCTCCGGCTCTTGGGTTCAAGCAATTCTCCTGCCCCAGCCTCTCAAGTAGCTGGGATTACAGGTGCGTGCCAGCACGCCCAGCTGATTTTTGTATTTTTTAGTAGAGATGGGGTTTCACCATGTTGGTCAGGTTGATCTCCAGCTCCTGATCTCATGATCTGCCCACCTCAGCCTCTCCAAGTGCTGGGATTACAGGTGTGAGCCACCACACCCGGCCTGCAAAATAATTTTACATTTGTATTGGCTATGTATGTGTTGCACTGAAGAATCAGTAGTAACAAAGAACCATGGCAGAAAGCTGAGAATTCACACACTCACATTCCGAAGCAGGATTTCCTCCCCCACCATCTGCCCCCATATTGCTAAATTCCCTCGTGTGGTTCCCTTCAAAGTGAAGGAAATATATATTTTCACCTGTCCTGACTTTATTTGTTCCAACTCTTGGTAGTAAAATAGCTTAAATCAGAGTCTTTAAAATGTACTTTATCACAACGGGATACGTATTATTAAGTTTTGGTGGCATAAAAATAGAAGTTTTAAACTTTAAAATTAGTCATCTTGCCATTCAGGAACAATTTCCTTTTATATATTAATTTTTACATATTTATATTCCTAGTCCCGATAAGTCCTATGTTTTATTTTTTAAATTTTCTGTCGATTATGCTTTAACCCTATTTGAAAGTGGACTTTACAGGGTCTGTCTTGTGTATAAACTTCACATTACCATGTTTACCTAATTCCTTAACATTCAAAGTAATAATTATATATACTATGTCTGTTTTAATTATTTGTCCTGGTAAATTTCATTTTTAGTAAATTAAATACACAAAATTGACTAAAGACAGGAAATGTGGTTTATATAAATCACAACCTTTAGACTTTTTTTCACAATGAGGTATAACACCTTGAAAAAATAGTATCTAGCAGTAAAGTCTGATACAAATCATAAGGATTTATTTATTAAGCAACACATTTGTGCAAATCATGGTGAGAAGTAAGGGAGAAAAAGAAATCGATTGCTGGTTTATCCTTGCCCCATATTTTTTAAATATCAATTATCCGAGACTGTGTTATATATTTACATGTTGATTGTTAGTCTCTCCCGTACCCCCATCCACCCCACTGCCTGAAGAATGTAAGCTTAACATGAGCTGATTGCCCCGTTCCCGGATGCATCCCCCAAGGCCTGGAACAGTGCTCAGCACGAAGGTGTTCCATAACCATAATGCTTGTGAATACAGAATGTGAACAGAGGAGATGGAGGGGATTTGAATCCCAGGTGCATTTAATTGTATTTGTCTTCCACTCTTGCAAAACATCTCTGTTAGTTATTGCCCCAGCTCCACTGTAGAGATGCAAAGAAATTATTAGAGAATGTCATTCTAAGTGAAGTAACCCAGGAATGGAAAAACAAACAGCATATGTTCTCACTCATAAGTGGGAGCTAAGCCATGCGGATGCAAAGGCAGAAGAATGACACAATGGACTTTGGGGAGCCGGGGAAAGGGTGGGAAGAGGGTGAGGGATAAAAGACTACAAATCGGGTTCAGTGTATACTACTTGGGGGATGAGCGCAGCAGAATCTCACAAATCACCTCTAAAAAACTTACTTATGTAACCAAACACTACCTGTTCCCCAATAACCTATGAAAATAAATCATTATTAAGAATTAAATATAATATAAATTACATACCACAAAAAAGTAATGAACAATTAGGGAAACTTTAACACTATAGAACCTTGAAGATACATTTATATCTCGCATCCCTACACATAACAGAATTCCTAATATAACAACTGGGCATTCATAAACATTTGTTGAATGGATGAATGGCTTAATTTATACAGCCTGAAAGGGTTAGTATAAAAATATAGGTTGGATAACTCCTAAGTCTTTATTCTTTCTGGTATATTGCAATGACCTCTGTGAGGAGTGGAGTGGATATTTGCAACAATGAGACAAAAAAAAAAAAAAAAAAATGAAAGCCAGGCACAAAAACAAAAAAGTACTTGCAAAAGCCCCTGAGGATTTTGGTGTGATAACACAACCCAGAAAATAAAGTTCCCCATGGTAATCCTGAGGGTGCACACTATTTTTGGCTTAAAAAGTAAGTATGTATTATATTCAGAAATGTCTATCTTCCAATACAAAAAGAAACATAAAATGCTATCTAACAAGTATATGTTCAACTATTATAGAAAACTCAGCTACCCAGAATAATGTATTTCTTAAGGATACCTGGTAGATAAGTTTTGTTTTTACTAAATCATCAGGGCACATTTTGTTCCTCTCTGATCAGAATTACATTTTGTCTATGGTACAGATCTTTATTTACAGTTCCTACCTGACTGGTTGGTTCATGGAGAGAAAAACCAAATTTTAGTTTCTGGCCTTTGTGGGTTCACAGATTAGCACAGTATATGGCACAGAGGGGGTGTCAAACAAATGTTTGTTGAATAAAATATTTGAAAAGGACAAGTAACAATGCTAACATCAATAAGAGAATCGATAGCTATCATTTGATTGTTTCCATGAGCAAAGTATCTGCAATATGCCTGACAGGCATTGTTTAATTTTCACAACATCCCTTGAATTAGATACCAACATGAACCCATTTAATAGATAAGAAAAATGCTCAAACTCACATGGTAACCGGGAGAATGGTAACTCTGGGTTCCTAAGGATATGGCTTCAGAGTCCCTAGTCTGTCATTCACAAGGTTAATAACTTTGGGCGAGCTATGCAACCTCTCTAACCTTCAATTTCCATATCTGTAATGGTGAGAAGGAGAATCCAGTAGTAACTATATCACTGAAGGAAAAAAAGGTCTTGACTCTTTACCTTAGGTTACTCCACTTCCCCAGTAAGGAGCGGTAGGTGTCACACTTTACAGTTCAACAGAAATACTTGGGAGTACATCTGGAAAATGCCAGTTCCTTGTCCCTTCCTCCAAGAGATTCTGTTTCAAATGATCTGGACTGAGGCTTACAAATCTGCACTTTAAACAAACTGCACTTGAAAACACATGGCTTCAGTATTCACCTAAATTCTAATGTTTAGAGTTTTATTAAAGACAGAGCACTTTAATAAGTCTGCATTTTCTCTAAATATCTGTCCTCAAATAGACAAGATTTCAGTCTTATTCACTGTGATGTCACTTTAATACTTGAACAAAATAGTATGATGTAATAATTATAATTAATATAACACATACTGCATGCTGGGCATTGATCTAAGTGCCTTACGAATATTTAATCCTCCCAACAAAACATGAGAAAGTTGGTGTTTTATACACACCCACGTTTACTAGGTGTATAACTTTGGGGAAGGTACATGAGCTTTCTGCGCCTGGAGTAGTTCTTAACTATCACACTGTGCACTGTGCGGACTCTCCTAGGAGTGAACAGAGTTCAGAGCCCTGCCTTACAGGCCCAATGCGTTCACTGGCTGGGATCTTGGGCAAGTCCCTGCCCCTGTTTGGGATTCAAGTTCCTCCTCTGTGAAGTGAAGGGGTTGATTCCCCTGAGCTCTAAGGCCCTCTGGTCCAAAGATTCTATCGTGCATTTTACAGGAGACTTTTGACCTTGTTATCAGATGAACTACAGCCCAAGGATTGCTGACACTAAAGACGCGCTTATCCTTCTAAGGCTGCTCCCTTATTATTTTTCCTTACCTGCCAATTCCAAACACTTCCTGCTGAGTTATTTGTCCTCTGTCATTCCTTTATGCTGAGGAAACCACATATACTTCAGTCTAGAGAGGGTAGATCAGCGTCTTCACGGAATTCTTTCCAAGCCCTGCTGTCTTTGTTTAATCTGGCCCCCAGAGAGCTTCCACCTGAGCCTGTTTGAACCTCATTACTCTCCTAGGAAGGCTCACCAGTTTCTTGTCTCTCCTTTCCTACTCTCCTCTTAAGCAATGACATTCTTCTGACCTAATTCATCCTCAGTAAGATCTCTCCAATCCATCCTTCCTACTTCTCTACTTTCTTGCTGTTGTTTAATTCCAGGCTTAAACCTTCAGGCTTCCTTTAGCCCTGTATTTCTCAAAGCTGGCTACACATTAGAATATCTGGGATGCTTAAAATACAGATGCCTGGGCACTACCCCAGTTCAATTAAATCAGAATTTCCCAGACTTAAATCTGAGCTGGAATATTACTTAAAAGTCTAGAAATTCCACAAGAGATTGTAATGCTTGGTGAGGTTCAGAACCATTGCTGTCTAGACTTAAGGAGTCTCAAGTGGCGAGGATAAGCAAATCGAAATCACCTGGGCAGCTGGATACTCCTTACGCCCAGGGAGGTAAGTCTGGGCATGTGAAACAAGCGAGAGCCTCCCAGGTGGTTTGAAGAAGTCCCTTTATGAAACAAAGTTCTAGCTGAACCTCCAAAGCAAGATGGATCATTATACTTTCCTGCCGCCCACTTCAGCAGAGCAACCCAAGGATTCTTGTTGTGTCTTGCCACCCAGTTAATATTTCCAATCACAACGGGCAATGCAGAGAAAAAAAAAAAAGCACCTGATAGATCCATATATTTTTCACTGTCTGCCCTAACTAGCCAGGTAACTACGGGGGAATCCCTTTCTCTCTCTAGTTTTCATTTCCCCCATGTGTAATAGAAGGTTATTGTATTACTAGAAAATACTAGAAAATCACTAAGCATCCTTCCTACTTTATTATTCTATTATTGGAAGGCCCACAACCTATTGTTCCTCTCTCTGTTACACAAGTAGCCCTAGTTCTTTCAACATTCAGCTGATGACAGGCAATTCATCTGAGAAAATCTATTCACGACTTCTGGTAAAGACGGTCCACTGTAAACCAATAACTACTGCTGCAAAGACTTCTTCAAACTTCCTACTGCACCAAAAACTCTCTGCCTAAATTGCAGATCAGGCCTCTAAATCTCTGCAAAGATCTTCCCTGTCAGTGTCCTCTTATAGCAACTTCATCGGAAGCCAATCACCTCCTACAGGCAAATGCCTTTATGGACATGACTGGGAGAGACTTGTTTACGAATAGGCCCTCTGGCCTCACCCCTCCAGCTGTCCAGTGGTGCACAGAAGGTAATTCCAGTGTGATTGCCATGTGGCTGCTGGGAGCCTTCTCTTTGTTTGCTGTCTCTTAGTGTGAGATGGCTGAGTCTGTTAGGAGATGCTGGATAATGAATGTGTAGCAGAGTCTCTCCCTATCTCCCTATCTGCTCCCTGCCAGCCTCCAGTCTTCTTCTTTTTTTTTTTTTTTTTTTTTCTGAGACGGAGTTTCACTCTTGTTGCCCAGGCTGGAGTGCAATGGCATAGTCTCAGCTCACTGCAACCTTCACCTCCTGGGTTCAAGTGATTATCCTGCCTCAGCCTCCTGAGTAGCTGGGATTACAGGCATGTGCCACCACGCCCGGCTAATTTTGTATTTTTCGTAGAGACGGGGTTTCTCCATGTTGACCAGGCTGGTCTTGAACTCCTGACCTCAGGTGATCTGCCCGCCTCAGCCTCCCAAAGTGCTGGGATTCAGTCTTCTTTAATGGAAGAGATGCACTATCTAAAGTTATTGGAGACAGGATGGTCTTTAAGGCCTTGTCTAATGAGAACATTCTATGTACAATGTATGAGAAGTTTTTTCACAAGTAAATGAAATATACTTAAGCCAATAATGATAATAAAAATAATATTTAACAGGATAAACATTTAAAATCAGGAGTGTTCACAAGCTTTGATCTTCCCTTCAATGATTCTTCCTCCTTGGCCTGGTTCTTTGATTTCTGTATCTGAGAATGATGGAGGGAGAAGACAGATGAACAAATTTAGCAATGATGCTTTAGTCTACCTACAAAACAAAGAGCTCTGAGACAGAGGTGGCGTGGAAAAAATGAAAACCTTGTGGGCCGAGCTTGCTGGGGGCAAGAATTTGAGACAGGGTTTGGCAGAGGAAAAATGAATAGATTGTAGCTTGTGAAGGCAGGAGAGAAGAGTAAACAGTGAAAACTGCTACTGAAGATTACTAACTGGATCTTCTTTAATATCCTTTTAGAAACAGAATAAATGAGATTAAATGAATAAAAATCCTTTTAAGGTTTATGTGATTGTTCAATGCTTCTCAAATGCAGTACTTAGAGGACAAACCCAGGCTTTATCTACATTTCAAGAAAGAAATTTGCTTTTTAAAGTTCATAGAGAAAAAGAGGAGCATAATTCCAAAGAAAAGCGCTCACGAAGGAGATCTGGCTCAAGAAAAACAGAAGACTCTCTGAAATAGGGATCTACAAACTGCTACCCACATACTCTCATCTGTTTTTGCAGCGTGTTTAAGCCATGCTCATTTGTTTAGGTGTAGTCTATGACTGCTTTCAACCTGCGACGGCAGAGCTGAGTAGCTGTGACAGAGACCGCATGGCCTGCAAAGCTGAAAATATTCAATCTGATTTTTTTACAGAAAAACTTTGCTGGACTAGACTCGAAGATAACATTTTATGGCATGATAATGCCATAAAATGGAGGGACTAGATGTGTTGATTGGTCAGGTAGAACTTTACAAAAGAAATCTGGAGGAATAAACAGATTTCTGATACATCGGATGCAAAAAGAATAGATATGAAAGAGTGAATATGGGCACATAATCAAGGAGAGCCAACTGAGCATCATGGACTCTGCAAGCGCAGATTAGGAAGCTTATAACTAAGGACAAGTTTGAGTATTTTCAAAAAAGGCTACCGATTCGTTTTAAAATAAATGATCTGAGTATGTACAAAAGAAAGTTGTGATTGCTAGGAGCTGCCTGGCTTCCCAAAGAACAAGTTCTCTCACTTTTACCAAACCGAGAACACCGTTTTTCTGTGGGCAGGTTTTTCCTTCGTGCGTCTATGGCTTTTGTCCTTGTCTGCATCTGTGAGTTTTGTTCTTGCTGCTATTTTCCTCTTACCCTACACTTCAATTACGGCAACCGAGAAATTTGTGCTTTTTCATTCAGTTATGTCTGAGAGATGTCAGAGCTCCTCACAAAGAGCTAGAGACATTCATATTCCGAAGTATTCTTTATGTTCTTCACATATTCTTTATATTCTTATTTCTGTTAAATATACCCCTCTCCAAAAGTATAGGCTACATTGTTTTTTTGTTTTTGTTTTTTTAGATAAATGATTCAAAGTAAAGCTCAAAAGTAATTTCCATCTTTTTCCACCTTTCCCAAAAATGACAATCCCATCTTACATGTATAGGTTCTCTACCCCCAAGGAAAACTGAATCACTTATATTAGTTGGCTAACTTAACAATATTATATGTTTACATGTTTCTTTAACAATTGAAACATTGAATTTCTAAATGATGTGATAAAGGTCTTTACACTTAGCCTGCTAAATGTTATTTATGCAGTATTTTCAGGTGATATGGTTTGGCTCTCTCTCCCCACCCAAATCTTGTCCTCACATGTCAGGGGAGGGATCTGATGGGAGGTGATTGGATCACGGTGACAGTTTCCCCCATGCCATTCTCATGACAGTGAGTGACCGCTCACAAGATCTGATGGTTTAAAAGTGTTTGGTAGTTCCCCCATCGTGCCACCCTGCAAAACACGCCTTCCTTCCCCTTTGCCTTCTGTCATGGTTGTCAGTTTCCTGAGGTCTTCCCAGTCTTGTGAAACTCTGTCTGAGTCAATCAAACCTCTTTTGTTTGTAAATTCCCAGTCTCAGGTAGTCCTTTATAGCACTGTGAAAACAAACTAATACATCAGGTTTATTTTTCCCTTTAAATAATTCTTTCCAAAATAAACACAAGATCACTCCTATCCCAGGAACATGTGTCCCCTTATTCAATCATGGCTTTCTGGTCACTGCAAAGTTGTCCCTAGGAGTTTTCTCCACACACTTGGGAATCAAAATCCATCACTTGTAGATGCTTGTGATATATCCTTGTAGGTTACCCTCTGTAAAGATTGGCATTTGTTTTTGTTTTTCCAATATAGACCTTCCTCCATCAGCGCATTCTCTTATGTTGTTATCTTTCTTGAATAATTTTCCATTTTAGATTCTTGGAGTCTGACAGAAATAGTGGATTATATAGCAAGGTTTCTCATTTTTCCACATTAACACATTCTTTAATTCTATCCCTTGCATTTAATATGTTTCCTGTTACTACTAACTCTATGTCTTCCCTTTCTAAGCTCAGGGTAAAGACTGACTTTTGGAGGCTGGGTCCAATTTCAAGCTAAAAGAAAAAAAGAACACAAAGAAAACTGCTTTAAAGGAAAGGGCTTATGCAGCACAGAAGAGATATCCTCAAGCCTAATTCCCAGATTTTGCAGAAGCATTAAGCAGCTTAGGGACTGAACAAGCATGATTACTTTTGGTTAATGAGACCAACTTCATTTAATCAGGATGTCTACAATCCTAATTTCAGATTTTATCTGTGACCTACAGGCTTGTGAGGTCATATTTTTAGTGTATTGAGTTTAAAGAAATTCAAATTCAGTATAGCTATATGAAAACAGTATAGCTGTTCTCATTTCTTATCCCATCCAGATGCTTCTGGAAGCAGTCAGCTTCCCAAATCTTAGCTAATAAGCAAATTATTATTCAAAGTTATTGTGTTTGTCAAAAGTTACATGACACACTCTCTCAAGCTGGTCTCTTGATCAGTGTGGAAGATGATATTTAGTACATTATTTATTATGAAATTATCTGTGATTGATCCAGATGAAGCATGTGTTTGCATGTTGGAAAGGTTATTAAATAGTGATAATAACTCTTTAATTTCAGAGATGTTGAAACATGGGAGCAGCTTTAGGACAGCAAACACTGTGTGTGTGTGTGTGTACATATTTGTTTAGTTCGTATACGTGTATGTTGATATTTCAGTTGTTGCAATTGATAGTGTGAATTAGATAGAAAGTTACTAAGAGGCTGGGTGCAGTGACTCACTCCTGTAATCCCAGCACTTTGGGAGCCCAAGGCGGGCAGATCACCTGAGGTTGGGAGTTCTAGACCAGCCTGGTCAACATGGTGAAACCCAGTCTCTACTGAAAATACAAAATTAGCTGGGTGCGGTGGCAATCGCCTGTAGTCCCAGCTACTTGGGAGGCTGAGACAGGAGAATCACTTGAAGCTGAGAGGTGGAGGCTGCAATGAGCCGAGATTGCGCCACTGCACTACAGCCTGGGTGAGACAGAGCAAGACTCCATCTAAAAAAAAAAAAGATACTAAGAGATTCTGATAGCTCTTCCTAGGAGAAGAAAAGTGCTTATCATGAAGTAGATGAACTGAAAAAATTTCAGATAAGATAGACTAGTGCCAAAGGGGAAAAAGAATGCAACTGAGGAACTGTTTGTTTATTTTGGTTCCTTTAAAAATGTTGGGCTATAAAATTCAGAATATCATAAAATTCCGCAGTCCTTTCCGAGTAAGAACTATGGATTTCTTGCATCTCCACTGTGTTTACTGATGTGAAAGCTGAAAATTTCCTTTCCTAATGACACCATTCCAATGTTGGGACTGAGTGAGAAAGATGATTGGCAAATTCTCTCTCTTTAAAAGGGAAGGGATCATGGAAGTAGCATTTCCAGGGCTTTTTAAAATTAAATTCAGCACAGAAATTATGACATTCTTTCCACAAAGTCCAGTGACTAAGAATCTAAACAAATTTTATGGTGTAAAATCATTAAAACAAAATGGCCCTGAACAAATATGCTATCCCCTGGGGTTTGATCTCACTCAAGAGTAAATAAAAATATATTTTATAAAATTGGACATTATACATAAAAGGGAGGTATCTAATACAATTACAGATAAAGAATACAAAGGTCAGTAACGGATGCATTGAGCACTGATTAGGAACATGACTTTTAGAAATGTGGTTTTGCCACATTACAGATGTTTGACTTGAACCAAGTTGCTTAAACTTTCTAAGCCTCAGTTTCCTCATATGTGGAACAGGAATAAAAATATTTAATGTGCTATATCGCTGTATGAGTAAATGAGATGTATATAGTTTTTAGTATAGTACGTAGTGAGTACTGAATAAATGGTAGGTAATTGTTATCACTATCTAAGCTAAAGTGGTTGAAAGTGAAATCCACATCCCTCTGAGAATAATGAGCTAAGGGATGGGCACAGAAGAGCATGGTTCAGTTCCTGAAGCCTCAGTGCTCACGTAGACTTAGAATTATTTCTCAAACAATTTCATGGTCTCTTGATTTTTCTAACAAAAGAAAAACAAACAGACCAAATCAGTGCACAGAAATTTATACAGTGATAAATCTTTACTATTCCACAATAAGATTCATTGTGGTTTATGTACAGTATCCAAATTCTTCACATGGCTAGCTGCTCCAATTTTTAGCATCAGATTTACATACCATGGTGGCTATGTCCCAAACCACCAGAGAGACGGTTTCAGACTCACAACCCGTGACCTTATTAAGGGTATAGAGTAATTTACCATCAATGTCAGTTTGTAATTACAATCATCTTTTGCTGAAATGTATATACCTAATAGGTCTTAATGTTTATATCAAGGAATATTCCCTAGAATAGCAAAGGTAGCACATTCTTAGAGAGATCAAATCTGGATGTTATACCTTATCTTCTTCTAAGTGATCAGAACATACCCTCAATGCTTCCTGTTTTAGATTAAAAGATAACCACAGGAAAAAACAAATGCCGTAATTTCAAAACAAATGCTATAATCAGCCTTCTCACACAAAATCTTACACAGATATTTCCCTTCTGGCAGCTCTCTTGTGTGACTTTCCTACTCAGGGTGACTAAGAGGTCTAGAATCCTTCCATCTAGTGGCTTAGCAGTCCTCTAGGGCCTCAAAGATTTCTTCTGGGTCCTCTCTATTCAGCCTATGATAAAGAGAGGAGAGGAGAAGGGAGGAGAAAGGGAGGAAACGAGGGCAAGTGAAGGGTCAGATGGTAATTTTAGGGCCACATCTGGAAGCAGCATGAAGCACCCTGCCTGTATTGCACTAGTTAGAACCAAGTCACATGCCCATGCCTAACTTTAAGGGAGGTTGGAAAAATATAGCTAACTACGTGCAAGAGGAAAATAAAACAGTTTGCTGAACGTACAGTACTGTTTCTCTCCCAGTGCTTCTCTGGTTGTGTAGAATTTTTGAGTTCTTGGATTTTTGTTCTATTTTGCTTTTTAGACAGCACTTTAAAAAAAAGAGATGCTTTTTATATGAATGTGTACATGTATGTCTGTGTGTGTTTACGTTCAATGACTCTAACTCTGAGAAGCAAGCTGAATTAACTCTTTGTCATTTATGTATGCCCTTCTTCAATACTCCCTCCTGAGAAACCAGGCCTCTCATATTTGAGAGAATTTTGGAAAGATGTAAGGATAATCTCCAGCCAAGGAAAACCTATCAGAAACTGTGGTGTACATCAGTGAGAGATACAGTCTTGAAAAGGAGGCCTCTAAGTCACAACCAAGTCACTCAAACATTACTAGGATGGACAGAAAAGAAACTTCTCAAAATTTCCGCATAATTGGTGTACGAACATACACTTTAACAGACCTCTGTCAAAACAAGATTTGTTTTTCGGTACTTGTCCTTGGATATTGATATTTCTGTATTATTCTCGGTTATATTCTGTTCTTAGGCAATGAGCCTACACTATGTGATGGGATAATTTCTGGAGCGATTGCTAAAACCTCATCTCTTTGCATACGTCTCTTTAAACTTTCAGAACACCGGGAACATGATCACTTTCCCAAAAGTCATGGCAGAGAATAATAGAACTTGAAGGCAGAACTCTTAGAGGTTTAATAGTACCTTTCCCAAAGTCCACCTTATGAGGGTCCTGTGACGCTTTGCATCACACACACATACATACACATACACACAATTCCACTTACGGGGTGTCTTTAATTCATCTACAGATAATCATTTGGCACTGAGGATCTGTGAATACCACATATAAAATGAAGAGTTGGAAAATCCAACTTTGTCTAAATTGCTTTTAGGTTTCAGATGTGTTAAGGATCAACAGAAACTATTAAAACCGTACTTTGGAGAGAATGAAGACCAGGTTTTAATCACTCTTTCCATACTGAACAAAAAATTTTTCACTTGATCATATATTTTCTAATTAGTGATTTGTAAAGCCTCTCAGACTTAGAAATTGATTTGCTACTTATTTTATTATATTATTATGGACTTATTTATTGAAATAATATTCAATTATAAAAGTTATAAAAGCATCAATTATAAAATTTATAAAAGCATCAATTATAATTATGAAGAGGGATATAAAGTTATTCACAGAATATACACCTAATATAATGTTATAAGTTAAAAAGTTGGATTAGACTTGAACTTGTAATTTAATTGTTCAACTATGGTATATATAACACTTTTTTGAATTACTTTTGTTATTTTATGCAGGCTTCAGTCTCTAATCTTTTCAAAATTCAAAAATCAAATAAATTTGGGAGATGTGAAGCTTGACTTTCTGAAGTTAAAACTGGATCAGTTCATTGGAGATGAAGTACATTTGAGATTACCCCCTAAACGTTTGGAATAAGATGAACTCGTTTCAAATGAAAAGAACTCAGCTCAGGAAAATGAAGTATTTATCCAAAAACTCAAGGACCAGAGGATGGTATCAAAGGCTAGTTGTCTGTCAGCTCAAAACCAGATGCTCATGTGTAGATTGTTTACTCAAGCTCTGATAATTGGCCTCTTCCCCACTGTTGAAACAAGTTAGTAGTTTGTCCATTCATTCAGTAAACATTTACTGAGTAGTTACTTGCCAGGCAGTGTGTTAAGTGTCAGAAATACACAGAATAAACAGAATGCTATAAAGCCCAAAGGCAGGGGTACAAATGGAGATGAAGTGGCCATAAAGCCTATTTTGAGGTTTTTGCATCTCAATCTATCTGACCATAAGCCAAATAATCAGGAAATCCAATCTGACCTCTCTGTCTGTGCTGTGGTGGTCTGGGAGAATTCCCAGGCAAACCTAGCTCTTTCTTAGAGGTTTAAGATGTGGCAATAGTGGAATTTCCCAGCACCCCTAAGTCCAAAAACAGATGTCCCCATGTCACTTGACATCTCAGATATTTTCAATGGCTCCCTCTCAAGATCAAAGCCCAAACTCAATGGCATGGTTCTGAAGACACCTAATGATCTGAGCTTAAACTCATCTCATAATAAAACATAATTCATAATCCTACCTTCATTTCTGAAATAGTCCTTGCATTTTATAACCTTTCTCTTTGCCTACTCTGTCTTTCAATCTGAAACACCTTTCCATATTTGTCTTCTTATTGCTGTGATCTGAATAATTGTGTCCCCACCCTCACCCCACCAAATCTATATGTTGAAACCTAACCCCCAAGGTAATGATAGTAAGAGGTGGGGTTTTGAGGAGGTGATTAAATCATTACTGCCTCTCCTCATGAATGGGATTAGTGCTCTTGTAAAAAAGGCCTCAAAGAGCTGCTGTGTGCCCTTTCCACCATGTGAGGACAAAACAAGAAGGTGCCACCTATGAAAAAGCTGGTGCTCATCAGACGGAATCCACCAGTGCCTTGATCTAAGACTTTCCAGCCTCCAGGACCATGAGAATTTCTATTGTTTGTAAGTTACCCAGTTTATGGTATTTTGTTACAGCACTCCTAGTGGACTAAGACTTATTAATAACCTAGCTAATCTTCACTTCTTACCTCAGAATATTTCAGAAAACTTTCTTATTCCTCTCCAATCAAAAATGTCTTCTTCCATATTTCTGTGACAAACTGACCTCTGTGACTGAATTCTACCTTGTGCAGTAGTTAGTTGTTTACGTGTCTGTTTCCTGTCCTCGTAAGTGAGGACAGGGAAATGCATTATTGTATCTCAGTGTCTACCACGGTGCCTATTGTAGTGTTTGTGCAAGGTATGTGCTCAATAAATGCACATCAATTTTAATTGTTCTGTGTTTTCCTTTTCCAGATTCAGTCCTGAAACTTTCCAGAAGAAAGTTGACTCGAGTCCTGCCTACCATTTAGCTACTACTTTTCTTCAAGTGGCCTCCACACTTCTTCCACTTTTCTCCTTCATGCTTTTGCTCTTCCTCTGTCCATCCACCAAACCAACATGACAGCTTCCTATCACGGAAGTTCCATCAGCCTACCTATCTCCGCCTTATATTCTTTGCTCAAGCCCATACATCAGTGTAAGGATCCAGCTGGTATAAGATCATAAAAAGTGGATAGGCCTAACTGGAGACATTATACCCACATGAAAGAAAACAGGTTATATTTTTTAAATTGTCAGAGTACTGTAGGCTGTCAGTCATTATGGTACTGCTACAACACAAGGCAAGACACTATTCTGACAATTCACTGAATTTCTCCGTTCTCTACCCGTTTGTTTGCATTCTTCCCTCTATCTGGAGTACTTCCAGATTTATCTATTAAACCCCTCTCTTCTTTAAAGCCTGGAGCCAATGTTACTTCCTCCTTGAAATGTCTCCAATCCTCCAGGTAAAATTTCTATTTTTTTCCCCACGTTCCTGTGGCACTTTTTAACAACTCTAGTGGACCACTCATCAGCACTCACCTCACACGGGTACTATGAATGTATTAGCAGCCTTGTCTTACTAATGTTGTCATTGTAAACACAAAAATATACTTGCTAAAGATGAGGTAGAACCTCACCCAGCACAGGACCTTGTACACAGAAACCCTCAAGAGGAATTGTTGAATTAAATGCATACCTCTCCTATACCTACTCTGAGCAGTAGCAACCAGGTTCTTGGCCTAAATTCCACAAGGCTGGTTTCTGAAAAGCAAATTGTAGATGGGAAAATCTATGCTGTAAATGATTAAGTAATGGTTCCTGGCTCAACTGGAAGAACAGTGGCAACATCAAGGTCAAAAGTCTTATCTCTGACAACAGATGACCCCTACCATATTGCCTTAGACATGGGCACTGTAACCAATGTGTCTATATACTATTCCCAACTCTCCAAGAGAACAGAGAGGCATTATAATTGATGAAAACACTCTTGATATTGAACTTATTTATAGTTTTTGGAGAAGAGAGAGGCAGTTTGATGAGTGTGCTGTTAAAACTCTAGGAACTTGGCAGCAGTCAGTGCACAGGAATTCCCCCTGCTCTGCATTTTTTAACACTGCTGTGATTTGTAGACATCACTATTTAATGAAGCACACAGCTGTGTAAGAAGAGCAGGAGGTGGAGTTTGGCAGTGAAAGGCCAGCAGGAAATCTGGCAACCCATGTCATCTGGAATTTCCCTGACTCTGTTGAATCACCCCTCCTTCCATCACCCTCCTCTAGCTCAACCTTCAGGCACTCTCCAAGATGGCCATTTTAAGCACATAAATAACTATGTAGAGAAATTGCAGTATAGGTCATGCACTTTAACGCATCTTTAGCAAGTATATTTTTGTGAGTCCAGGAACTAGAGTTGGACAAATCAGCAAGATAAAATAAGAAATAATCCAAAACTGCAACTAAAGCAGTAATGGAAATATTGAGGGAAGCTAAAAAAAAAATCTATTTGGCTAACATTATAAATTAAGTATTTTAATTAAATTATCCCTGCCCTTTTCTATTTTAATTGCTAACATGTTTCCAAAGCAGGAATCTGAAAGCTGAGAAACTGAGTGGTGACCTGTAAAGCTGAGTTTTGTAGCTGAGTTCAAATCCTAGCTCAGTCACATATTGATTATAAGTTCAGGCAAGTTATTTTGCCTCTTTCAGCTATATTTTTCTCCTCTACAACAGGGAGGTAATAATATCTATCCCCTAGGCCTGTTAGGAGGGTTACCTGACAAACTATACTTACAAGGGACACAGTGAAGGTATGTTTTCTCTTTTCCTTTTCTCTCCCCACGCCTTTCCCTAACATATACACAGACTTCTATGATTTAATAGTATAGTCTAAGTCTAGTGAAACATGGACCATTTTTGAAAACATAACAAATTCAAATAAGTACTTGACATTACACAACCCCCTATTTTTGCTATTACTAAGTAAATGATATGGTTACAGTGTCTTTAAATAACTCAAAGCATTTATTGATAAATATGTTTATTCATTTATAAAATATTCCTAAAAAGTATAAACAAGGTAATGCATGTCCATCTTAT
The DNA here is from genome assembly GCF_000001405.40 of Homo sapiens. Lineage (NCBI taxonomy): Eukaryota > Metazoa > Chordata > Mammalia > Primates > Hominidae > Homo > Homo sapiens. Next base: position 189,709,889 of record NC_000003.12, on the reverse strand, counting down.
GGATGGAGAAAAAGTGAGCAAAGGTTAAGTTGTATGACCCACCTTCAAAGGAAAACTACAATCCTGAGTTATATCATCCCTAACTGTAGCTTATCCATATTACATTGCCTCCCATGTATGCCTCCTAAAGTGTCCTCTTAGGAATTATAAATCAGAGAACAGGACAAATGATCTGAAGAACATTTATTGAGGACAGCATAAATGTAAAAAGCACCTGTAATTCTTTTTTATTATTATTATTTTTTGAGACGGAGTCTTGCTCTGTTGCCCAGGCTGGAGTACAGTGGCACAATTGTAATTCTTTAAAAAAGCAAATAAAAAAAGTTCTCCTCAGTGCATTTTCCATTAAGAATAAATAACATAAAGCTGTCTTAAATAAGACAAATTTAAAATAAAAATGAAGACAAAGTTGTAATAGTATGCTTCGGTTTCAGACTGTGGGCTCCATAGTGGAAAAATAAAAGAAAAAAATCATAAATAGGACAACAGAATGATGAAGGGATTAGACAGAAATATAACCTTGATGTTTGTTAAAGTTCCATGAAGCAAAGCTATAACAAATTTATTAATTCAACTCTTATGGAAAAAAAGGCTATTTAGATTCAGAATAGAAAACCATCATAATAATTTGTTCTAAAAGCAAATTTAAAATCATACCAAAAGGGAAAAGTAGTAATTTATTTCATATTGTATCTTCCTTGTTCTCAAAAAAGCTGAGCAATAATTACATACAAAAATTCATATTTCAGCTGCAGTGTACATTTTCATGATGTACAAGAAAAATAATGTACCATAAGATAATGGATTAAAAGTGAGATGATGAAATAAAACAGCAAACAAGGATGAATCTAACTAACTATATGGGGATAATACTGAGATATACCACAGTAAAATATATTCTAGGTATGTAAGAGGATTGCTTTTGGTGGAAACTGTGAAAAAACAAACTGACACTCTAAAATTTCTTGAACACAACGTAAAGGCTCTTAACTCTCGTGTTCCAGCAATGTCTCTGAGCCGTGAAGCAATGTATGGGTATAAAGAAGTCTAAGAGGAGTAATCCTATTTTAAGTATTATAAAAAATGAAAGTCTTCCTTCGCATATTATTTTTTTTAGCAGTTTAGGCGATGTTCATTATAGATTCTAGTAGAATAGTGGATAGTGACAGAATTAATGAATGAAATCTGTGTCTTTGAGTTCCAGGTGGGTTTAGGGGTTCAAGACCCTGCCCAGTCTACTCTTAAAAGCACCCTTGCACGTGCTTCCCTTTACAACCTGTTCATTCGTGGTCAGCAAACATGCTTCACAGCTCTATTTATGTCAGGTACCACAAGCCACTTTGGCATGCCATCTCTCAGTAAGGACATGTCATTTGAGGTTTTCCTCAGAAATTAGATGCATCCATTCCAGAGAAGAAATTAATCCACCAAATTAAATACTGCTGTATGCCAATCATACAGTTTAGGTTTTGGCACAACTTGTATAAATGACTGAACCAAAAATCAGGCTGTAGCTAACAAACAAACGAGAAAACAAAGATAGATTGTGGTTTCTTTGAAACTGTTGTTCACGAAACAACAGGTTGATTTCCTTAAGTCCGTGTATTTCTCATGACTGCTACTACTGGCAGAGACATTGTTTGCTGAAACTGGTTCCAAGTTCGAAGTTAAAAGATTGTACAAATTGAATTCAATGTTAGTAAACCATTTTTAAGCTTAGGTATTGTCAAGGCTGCTTTAAAAGATGATTTTTCACTCTGCTGATTGAGATCATGAAAACAATTTAGTGGGCTACAGCCAGCTTAAGAAAATAAAGAAGGAACGAAAAAAACATAGATGACTCTGAAATAGAATAAAAGGCAATGGAACGACATGGAATATATCAGATTTCACTGCATGTAATATGAACAAGTATTGTTTTATGAAATTTTAGGATTCACCTTATAGATACTTGCATGTCTTTGTATATGTATGTACGCAATGTACAATGCCACATAAATAGTACTTTTATTATAGCTAGTGGTCAAAAATATTGGAAAGCCACTCTAAAAAATAGGTAAGGTCTATTTTAAATTAACAAGAAGTATACATAAGTAACTTTCTTAAGTTCTAAATTTAGGCAATAAATTTGCCTTATTGATGTTTAATTTATTCTATTTGTGGTTATAATGGTTATGATGTTAGTATTAACATTTAGAATAATATTGTTTTTTAAAGTAATCATTTTCTAGGATAATAATCTAAATTTTAAATTAGCAGCATTCTGCTCAGGAAGGTTTTACTATGACATATGTAAAAGAGCAAAAATTTGATTATGCTATAGACATAAATATATCCTTATCCTCTGACACAGCAAACATGTCTGGGAATATCTCCAAAAGAAAATTTGTAAAACAACAAAAATGTACAAATGTATATAGATGACGACTATAGATTTGTTAATAATAGCAAAAAGAGTATATAATTCACCTACAATTCAACATAAAAGTTTGGGTTTATAATATTCTGGCAAATCTACATAGTACAATATTACATACAGTAATTAAAATGATTACTCTGTGGCAAATTCAGAAAAATGAATATACAATCCATTTAAGTAATATAATTTTATCAGTGCTGTGATTACAGATATGCAAATACTATGCAAGCATTTAGCAAGATTTTGAAAAGGAACAGAAAAATAGAAATGTTTAATTTGCTGAAGTGATAAAATAGTAGATGGTTTTTAAAAAATTCCTTTTTTAGATAGTATTATCATAAAACTGTACTATTAAAAATGATCATGTCTTAGTATGGTTCTAAGATACAACCTGTGTTGACAACAATTAGCAAAGCTAAAATGCTTCATCTGTATATACACTGCTAAAATCTTAAGAAAGTGAGCTAGCAAAAGAACACTTTTAAGGAACCATAACAGAATAAATCAAGACCTGTTACACAGCATGGGGATCTTTCAGCGTGTAGGAGAAATTGTATAAAATGCTGAAGATTGTTTCTCCTGGATTTGGATTGTCTATTTGGACTCTCCATTGAAGTATCAGAGATCTAGAGTCAGAACTACTATTGCCTTAGGCAATGTTACAAGTCGTCTCTGTGATCCTCCCTTATCTATCTAACAAAGCTGGTGATAACCTGTGTCCCTTGGTCTTAGAGTTTTAAATTCGCCTGGCTGATACATAGGATATAGCAAATTCTGAGTCTGATTTATTGGTACTGGTTGGAAAAAAAGTTTCCCTGCTTGAGATGTATTGCTGGATGTCACAAGATGCAGAGAGCCCACGGCAGAAGATGGGAAGAGTCTCCAAGGGAAAAAACAGAATTAAGAAGTAAATTCACGGCCGGGCACGGTGGCTCACACCTGTAATCCCAGCACTCTGGGAGGCCGAGGCCAGCGGACCACAAGGTCAGGTGTTCGAGACCAGCCTGGCCAACATGGTGAAACCCCATCTCTACTAAAAATACAAAAATGAGCCAGGCATGGTGGTGGGTGCCTGTAATCCCACTACTTGGGAGGCTGAGGCAGGAGAATCACTTGAACCCAGGAGGCGGAGGTTGCAGTGAGCTGAGATTGTGCCACTGTACTCCAGCCTGGGTGACAGAGGAAGACTCCGTCTCAAAAAATAAAAAATAAAATAAAATAAAAAAAAGAAGTAAGTTCACAATGGCAAGCTGATTTCTCTTTTTTTCTAAAATAATGTTTGTCATAATTGTTATACTGTGTAACAACTGTTTGTATTTGTAGGGGAGGGTGGGCTGGTGGAGCTGAAACCAGGGGGCGATTATAGATTAATACGATGTGATATAAAGATTTTCTCCATATTTAAAATGCACAATTCAAAGCAGAGTGGGAGAATTCCACACTTTATTAGACATAGTATATGCATGGGCACTACAGAATTAATAAATTTTTCCTTAATTTGTAAATCAGGTCAACATTAGGCTTCTTTATGGATATCCCAGTCCCTGAAGTATCACAGTTACTGTTAAATGGCTGCTGGCATTGTGAATTCACAGTAGACTGATACTTTCTCCCTCATATAATAAGCAATTTAAGGTGGCAAATGATCTCCTTTCAGGTCTAGGCCAGTGTTCCTTTCTACCTTTTGACATACAAAAAATCTTAAACACACCTGGAGAATTCAGTGTACCCCCCTTGAGAATATTTTTCTTTATCAAGGTTCTTGAAAACAACAGATTCCTTTTAAATTTTCTAAATATAAAAGTATATATTATAATAAATATGTTCTTTAAAACTCCATATGCTCTCCCATTGACTAGAGGTTCTGATCTGGGATGGGAGGTGTGCACCGTCTAGGTGAGAAGGCTGCTTCGCACTCAGGAGCAACTTCAGGCACCATAAGGATGTGTTTTAGGTATTACCAACCACAGGCTAAATAATCATAATGAAAAGAATTGAATAAGAATGAAAAGAAAAAGAAAAGAAAGAAATGAATAAGAATGAAAAAAGAATAAGAATGAAAAGCGTTGAAATGAAGAAAAAACTCAAAGTTACTCATTACTTACTATATGCTAAATACTGGGCATTATCTCATTTAGACCTTATACTAATCCTATAGGGTAGGTCCTATTACTATCCCCATTTTACATATGAGGAAACTGAGGCTCAGAATGGTTAGGCAATTTGCCTGTAGGACACATCCAGTAAGAAGAGCTGAGGTCATACTCATTCTGATAAAACATCTAAGCTCTTGAGTCTGCACTATACAGCTTCTCAGATAGCTTGAGCATTGAGAAACCTGGGTTGTTAGTTGCTAAATTGGATTTTTAATGATGACATGTTATTTATACAAATATTATACATAGGTAAAAAATATTGAAGAAAATCATACATCTAGGTGAATGTAAATTTAAAAATCATAGCATTTTACAAATATTTGGAACACTAGGTTTCTGTGATTTTAATGCTTCTCAAGGAGAAAGGAAGTGATAAACCACCTATAGGAATTATTCTAGCTGGCTAGCTGGATTTACAGGAATTTAGAAAATTTTCATGGATGAGAGATTTTAGCCTATTTTATTCATGTTTTTCTTTCAAATCTTTTTAAAAGCATTTTCTAGTGGCCAACACTCTGTGCCAAGCTCTAAGGAAACAAAATTCAGTGAGAGTGTCCGAATTGTGAAAAATTATATACAATTTAAAAGAATGCAGGTAACCTATTCTGTCGAGGAATATTTATTGAGAGCCTATTCTGTGCTGAGCACTGTGCTAGGCCCTGAGGAAATAAAGCTGTGAATAAAAGAACCTTGTCCTTCCTTAAATTTATAGCCTAGTCACGAGACAGACATTAACCAAGCACAGTAACTGCTCTCATACAACTTTGACAATTGGATGAAGAAGAAAACAGAGGGTACAATGAAAGCAGGTATTAGGGGAGTCTAAGCCTGGTATGAAGGTATGTTTCCCTGAGATCCTGGCATTTAAAGTGAAATCTGAACAATAGGTAGATATTATTTAAATGGTGGGCTGTCTAAAAAGCTGGAGAAACTACTATGTAAGCTATGGGTGGCTTCACAAGGGAAGTAATGAAAACTGAGACTTGAAATGTTAATTCAGTATTACCACGTAGAGAACCAGAAAAAGAACATTCTGGAAAGAAAAATAGCACAAACCAACATCACCTTACTACTTAACCTTTTAGGTTGGAGCAGGACAGCCACACACATATACACACACACTATTGCCTACAGGCAATCATACTTTTCTCCCACCATTGTAGCTCTTATCATCTAGCCTATTGCGCAGGGCTAGCCTGAAGTGTAGGTAGTATCTGGTTAGTAAGTGGAAACAGGATATGTATGGCCTAGTTGTCCAAATGTGAACCCAAAGAAATGTTCTCTGGGACAGGGAACAACAAAGTGTCCTTAATTCACACTGAAGTGTAAGTGATAACTATAGAGTCCTTTCTAGTAAGTGAATGTTTATTAGAGAACTTGAGGCTATCTCACTGACTGTAGACTCTCCATCAGAGGCCAGGTTGAGGTTGTGTAGAGTGTGGTGGTCTGGTGTGGTAGAGAACTGTGTTTTGGCCTCTGTTTTCCCAACAACTCACTGTATAACTCTGAATAAGTCATGATCACTTTCTTAGTTTCTATTTCCTTGTCTTTAGAGAAAAAGATACAAATGAAATTGCTCTAAATTTTCCTATAGAATATTGACAATGCTGTGACCAAAATATGGGGTGTTAGTGCACTTTCTGGCTTTTCTCTGTATTAGTATAGTATGTAAGGATCTGGATTTAGAAAACTGCTTTTATTTAAAGTTCTAATGACTCTGCCCTCTACCTTTTCTTTCAATATCATCTTATGCACACCCTACTCAAACTGGCAGCCACCTGCCTTTTCTTTTCTTTTTCAATAGGAAGACCTACGGATTGGGTCCCTAGAAAATAGCATCAGGGAGAGTATCTATCTATCTATCTATCTATCTATCTATCTATCTATTTTAGACAGGGTCTTACTCTGTCACCCAAGCTGGAGTGCAGTGGCACGATCTTGGCTCACTACAATCTCCACCTCCCAGTCTCCTCCTGCCTCAGCCTCCTGAGTAGCTGGGACTACAGGCGCATGCCCCCACGACCAGCTAATTTTTCTATTTATAGTAGAGATGGGGTTTCACTGTTTTGCTCAGGCTGGTCCCAAATCCCTGAGCTCAACAAATCCGCTGGCCTTGGCCTCCCAAAGTGCTGGGATTACAGGCGTGAGACACCGTGCCCGGCCTGAGAGAAGTTTGTGAACATGGAGTGGCCTTTGTAGTTAACCCTGATCCCAGTTCTGATTGCACCACTCATCAGCTGGCTGGGAGCAAGTTCCTTAAACCTAGCCTAGTTTTTCTGATCTGCAAAATGGAAATGACAATGGCACCTACCTTGCAGATTCAAGAGGATTAAATGTGATAATACATATGAGGTACATTGCACAATGCCTGGCACACATTGCCTGAGCCAGTGCCTAAAACCTGTTGTTAATGATGTGATTTATTAATTTCTTGCTATTCTTTATACATATATTATTTCCAATCATATCAATGGTGCTGTAAGATAAAACTTATTTCAGCCACTTTACAGAAGCAGAAAAGGAGCATGAAAGAAGTTTATGTTTCCTGAGATCACATTTCATGTGACAGAGGTAAAACTCAAATTCATGTCTGTACTTTTTGCTCTGCTCAATCCTGAATATTTACCTTTTTAAAAACAGTGTAGCATCCATGGTAACCTTCTGCGATGCTCAACCTCAACTTTTCCCTCTGGCTCTTTCCTGTGGCATGTGCCCTGCTCATTATACCCTTGGCAGGGCCCAGGCTGGTTTCCTTGGGACCCAGGCAGGAGAGGAAACATTTGGAATGCACCACAGCCAGAGTCCTGCTTATCTTCTGAATGAGTAAAGAATTTAAAGCTGTAGGGAAGAGGTGATTTACCAATCAAACCTCCTCTTCTACAAGTCAAGAAACAATGGTGAGATAATCTACGACAGCAAGGAAAAAGCTCCCTAATACCCTAAATCCCAGAGAAGCCCCTGGAGGGTTTCAAATTTGAATCATTTTGGCTTAGAAGGAAGTTAGTTTCAAATGAACCTTTGGAAAGTTGAGATTCATTGTCAATAAATCTTCCCTGCAGTTTCTGTCTGATGTTTCACATTCAGTTAAAACCTTTAATTCCCTCAGGGAAGCTACTAAAACAACAAGAGGCCCACTAGAGAAGCTCAGTAACTAACCCACCAAAGCAGCTCCAGAACCAGAAAAACCCCAAGGGCCAATTCAGCAGGACCCAGACTCTGGTACAGGCCTCCAGGGCTAGTGTTAAGAATTCTCTGGCCAACTCAGTAATACTAGGCATGTTGCAGGCTCCCTAAGATAATGCATTTGCCCTCAGGAATTTCCAACTTGCAGACAAGTTACACATTTATTTAATTTATTAAGGTAAATTGTGTATGTGGTGTTCACCTACATGGAAAAAGAAGAAAAAGAAAGAAAAGATTAGAAACAAACAGAGGTCCTTCAGATTTGAAGAATACACTCAACTAATTGTACTGAACATGACCGTGGGCCAGGTATTATCACCTCTGCTTCAAAAAATAGGAAAGTACAGAGACAGTGAGGAATCAATCCCAGGTCACTTATCTAGTAAATGATAGAAAAGGAATGGAGCGCCTTATCAGAACATTTAACTCTAGGCCTCTTTGCATTGGACCATGTGAATTTTTGAACTTTCCCCTCCATTTTCTGTTGGAATAAATATGATCCAAATAGGTACTCTTTTGTATTCCTCCCACATTTCCTGCTGAACTTAAAAATTACACATATATATAACATATATATAAAATTACATATATATATATATATATATATATGTATATATATCTCCTCACATTACTGAAAATCAGTTCTCATACACCCTTATCTCCAGCTTCCTGAAAGGTGGCTTCTCATATTCAGTTGGACTTTGCCTTGATTTCTTGTTCATGTTTAGATGCCTCCCTTAAATAACTACTGTAATCCCTTCTCTGGAAGACTCACTCCTTCATTTACTGTGATACTCAGACATACGGAGAAATGAATTTTCATAGCTTTCACATCTTCACAGAAACAGACTAATTCTTAATTCCCTTTCATTAGAGATAATTCTTGAGGAGCACGTACTGGAGTTCTATTAGTCCATTCTCACGCTGCTATTAAAGACATATCTGAGACTGGGCAATTTATAAAGAAAAAGAGGTTTAATGGACTCACAGCTCCATGTGGCTGGGGAGGCATCACAATCATGTTGGAAGTTGAAGGAGGAACAATCTTCAGTTTCAAAGCCTATCTCTCATTTTAGAAAATTTGAAAATATTAAATGATCCTTTCTAAAATCACATATCACAGATTTTCTGGTTTGGATGGGCCTTGGTAGCGCTTTTAACCAGGATTCATTAACATTATTTTTGTAATACATTTACTTTAAAAGAGATTTGGGTGATATTAATATGATCCATACCTTTTTATGTTCCTAGCTTGGTATGTTGTGATTATTACCATCCCATCCCAAACATATTCCTAAAATATCCCTGGAATATTCAGAGGATGTAAAAGAACTCATTATCTTAACTTCAGAAGTGGGGAAGTCAGTGCTACTAGACACTCCTGTTTCCAATTCTCTATGTACCAGCTGCTCATTGGAGCACATCGCAATTAAGATCAAAATGGAAAGTTTACCCCGCCCACATCAAGGGACATAAGGATATGTTATTGTGTTATAGCTACCCAGCAGTAATTCCCATTAATCTCTGATCCTGAATGGTGATGCCACATTCTAGCCATGATACCCATCTACCTACCTACCTCATATTAGAGCTCCAGCATCTGCAACTAGGAAATTACCATGTACTTTATTTCCCTTCTTCATGTGGGGCTTCCATTTCTCATACGCAATTTTGGGATATTAATAAGTACTTGAGCAGTAGTGCTATAGTGAGAAACAAATGAGATGGAGTACATGGAAACAGCAAACACTGGGACTGACCTAGAGTAAGGCATTCAGTAAGTGTTTGTTGAAACTGAAATCTATGAATGATGGCACCATTTTTTTCATAATGCCTGTATTACTTAAGATGGAGCTGTACCAGAAAACCATCCTGCTGGCTTTTCCTCTCATCACAATGCTGCCCTACAGCTGCTGTTTAAAAACCTCAATTGGAAAAATCAAAATGATCATCTTTAGGAGCCTCTGGGAAGGCATTTAACCTCAAGTTATTGCACAACCTGTTGATCCACCTTTTATCAAAGCTCACTCCAGACACTTCAAATGTCCATGAAGATTAAGCAACTAAGACTTCTTAAAGGCACAAGGGGATTTACCCACTCAGCACTGCAGTCAGACCAGTGTTCCCCAGTCACCAAACAGCATCAGCGCACATAACTCTTTTGTTTCTAAAACAAGATACTGCCAAAGCTGAGATAAATTAAAATACATTTCTTCAGCAGTTAAAATTCATGTTGGTAAATATTTGTGTAAGGAATCATAACTCAAGCTTCATTAACTATTTAATGTTGAAATTTAAAATATGAAGAATAGTTTCTTTTCCTTTTTTTCTTTGAGAACAAGCAAAAAATTTAAATTATCTATAATAACAGAAGTGACATTAATCAAATCAGTGATGGTATCCATAAAGCTATGTCAAGATATCTAGATTTATAGTTTCATAAATGCTAGGATTTTTTTTTAAAACAAATATGCTAGTGCCATTTTTACCAGATATTAACCTATGTTAATGAAGGGCAGGTAGATCCTACTTTCCTAGTATTTAGTCATTCTGAATTTCTTATATCATTGTTGTGGATAAAACTACAGACAACTGGATGATGGGCTGATGGTACTTGCATTCAGGCTCAATGTTTTAGAATCATTTAATGCATTCTCTAAGTTCCTCTCCGACTCCAAGACAAAATAGGAAAAATATGTCCAAACTTTTAATTTCTTATTGTTCCAATTTCATGGGACAAGTGAATAAAATACCTTTTGGACATCATGCTAGCTTGTAGAATGTGGAAACTTGCACGTAAAGAGCAATAACTTTGAGTCAGGAGAAATAAGTGAATTTAAGTCACATTAGTCTTGGGACCTGAGGCAAACCTCAACTTCTCTCTGTTTTAGTTTCTCCATGAGTAAAATAAGGGTATTAAGAGCAACTTCAGAGGGTTACTGTGAGTGTTAAAATGAGGCAGTAAGCGTGGAACACTTTGGACAGAGGAAATGCTCACTGTATTGTATGAAGGAAATAATTTACAGGAAAATTGATCTTTCTTTCCTACTTGATTGTAAGCTTTGTGAATGGAGGAACCATGTTGGCCATCTCATCACTATGTGCCTGGGAGCTAACCGTGGTCAGCACTTGGCAGGCATTCAATACTAGCTTAACTCAATATACTTGCATTCATGTCTGTTATTCTGTTTTATACCAATAGAATTTCTGTGAGACAAATATAATAGATACTATTCTTCCTGTCATACACTGTAATTTCCACAATATTATAGCTCTGTATTCAAAAAAGCAATATCAATTTTTCAAATATTGTGTAAAATATTATCTTGACCTGTAACTTAAATATTATATAGTTTAGATATGATCAATAGGCTCTTATTTACAATGTGAACAACAATGAGCTAAAGAATATGAGTTCTAGGATGTAATAAATTATTTACGTAATTTACTACATGCAGATATTCTTCTAAGAACATACATGTATAAGCATATTTAATCCTCACAAGACAGATCTTACTATTAGCCTATTTTACAGATAGGCAATGTAAAGGAGTAATCTATATAGCATCTCATGGATAATTAAAATGTAAAGCTGGACAGTTAACACAGGCATTCTGGCTTTAGAAAGGTATCATTACATTCTCTATTCCCCCTTCGAGAAATAACACATAGCTTGCCTTAAATAAAGGAATGATTGCCACCTCTAATTGAGATGGAAGAAACTGAGAAAAATAAGAGAAAGGAAGGAGTAAATGAGTAATTATTGAATTTCTAGTGACATTTCAATGTAAACTTTTAAAAATTATTCACTCACATAAACAGACTAAAGAAGATAAATAGGATCTTATTAATTGATGGAGAAAAAAAATCATTTGACAACATCCGATATCCATTTATGACCAAAAAGTCTCAGGACATTGGGAGTATAGGAGAAATTCCTCAACTTGACATAGAACACCTACAAAAAACCTAAACCTGATGTGTAATGGTACGAAACTGGATGCTTCTTAAAATGTTAAGAATGAGAACAAACCAAGGATGTCTTTTATCACCAGTCCTATTCAACATTGTCCTGGAAGCCCTAAATAGTGAAGTAAAATAACAAAATCATATTAAAATACACAAATTGAGAAGAAATATATAAAACTGGTTTTATTCACAGATGACATGATTGTCTATATAGAAAATCCATGGGTCTTCAGGTACCTCTTGAAACTAATAAGCAACTATAACAAAGTCACAAAATACAAGGGTAATATACAGAAATTGCTTTCCTATGTGTCAGCAACAAATAAAAATGAAAATTTATAGAAATTTATAACAGAACTGAAAAAAGAGAAATATTTGGCTATAAATCCAATAAAATAAATACAGGATCTATATGCAGAAAAGTATAAAACTGACAAAAATTCAAGCAAGATCTAAATAAATAGAGATATGTTTTGCATTGATGGGAGAGGAGACTCAATACTGTCTAGATGTTAGCTCCTCCCAACTTGATGTATACATTCAAAACATTCCAAATTAAAATCCTGGAAGGTTATTTATTTTTTTTTGAGATATTGGCAAACTCACTCTGAAGTTTATGTGGAGAGACAAATGATCTGGAATATCCAACACAATACTGAAAAAGAAAAAAATTGGAGGATTCATTCTACCTGGTTTCAAGACATACTGTAAAGTGCAGTAATCAAGACATTTGGTATTGACAAAAGAATATACTTATAGATCAATGAAACAGAATGGAAGGTTCAGATATATATACAGACCCATACAAATACCGTCAACTGATCTTGGGCAAAGAAGAAAAAGCAATTCAATGGAGAAATAATAGACTTTTTTTTCAAACAAATGGTGCTGAAACAATCGAGTGTCCATATGCAAAAAAAAAAAAAAAACTGAACCTAGACATACACCTTACATCTTTCACAAAAATTAACTTAAAATGGATCATAGAACTCAATGTAAAAATTTTAAAAATATAAAGAATGTCTGGAAGAAAATATGGGAAAAATCTGGACCACTGAGTTTGATAATAAATTTTTAGATAAAATGTATAATCTCAGAAATAAAATAATTGGTAACTTAGACTTTACTAAAATTAAAACCTTTTGTTTTATAAAGGAAACTATTAAGAGACTAAAAAGACAAGCTTCAGGCTGGGGAAAAGTATTTGCAAAACACATATCTGATAAAGGGCTTACATCCAAAATATACAATGAACTCTTAAAATTCAACAATTAGAAAACATTTTAAAATGGGCAAAAGATTGTAACAGACACCTCAACAAAGTACATATCAAGAAGGCAAATAGGCATATGAAGACATTTTCAACATAATTTGTCATAGGAAAATAAAAGTAAAACAATGAGACATCTCAATATACTTATTATAATGGCTAAAGTATAAACGACTGCCAAGCAATTGCTGGTGAAGATGTGGGGCCAGAAGGACTCTAATTCATTGCTGGTGAGAATGCAAAATTGTATGTGTACTTTGGAAAGCAGTTTGACAGTTTCTTACAGAGCCAAAAATGCCCTTACTATAGAAGATTCACCAATTATGTTTCTGGATATTTACCCAACTGATTTAAAACTTACATCTACGCAAAAACACACATTGGAATGTTTATAGCAGTTTTATTCATAATTACCAAGAATTGGAAGCAAGCAAGATGTCTTTCAGTTGGTGAATGAATACGTTGTGGTATATCCATACTATGGAATATTTTCAGCAATAATAGTAAATGAGCTATCAAGCCATGAAAAGATGAGGATTAATCTTACAGGTATACTGCTAAGTGAAAAAGCCAGTCTGAAAAGGCTACATACCATATGATTCCAAGTATATGACATTCTGTAAAAGGCAAAATTATAAATAAGATAAAGTGATTAGTGGTTGTCTGGAACTTGGAGTTGGTGGCAGGGAAAGGATGAATAGATGAGTACAGGAACCTAGGGCAGTGAAAATCTTCTGTATGGTATATTCATGGTGGATACATGACATTATGGGTTTATCAAGACCCATAGAACTTTATAGCACAAGTAATGAACCTTAATGTGTGCAAATTAAAAACAAAATAAAATACAAAGGAGGTCAGGAAATCTTGGGATGGAATGTAGAGTGTGATAAAATATTCTCACTATATTACAAATATATGAAACAACCTCACTAAAGAAGTGGAAGGGAGGAGACACTAACTTAAGTAACTCTGAAGTTAGCGAATCTATAAAATTTAACGTAAAATGAACCGAATGAACGATATATAAGCACTGTACTTTACTTGATAAAATTATTTTCCACAGGCTACATTTTAACAATTCTGAAACCACTATATATGTACACTGTGATAAAACAATTAAGTAAATGGATGATGCGTGTATGAGAGCGAGGTTTTTCACTTTAGTGTGGGAGGATACAGAAAAACAAGGCAAAAAGGCTAGAATGATCCATGTGGTTGAATAAAAGTTGGAGAAATCAGCATAGGTACAGCTAGTTCCACATAGAAATATTTATAGATATGTGCATATACATGGGTCAGTATATATCCATATATTTCCTTGCTCTGTCAGCTGAGACAGCCTAGAAGCAACAACACCCAGCAGCAATGAGAAAACCTAATGCCCAGTTCTTGGTTTCTAAAACTATCCTCCAGTAAAAGAAACCAGAGATCCTTGGATAAGTAGCTGCTTCTATGACTGAAGCAGGACATATATAAGATGAGCCTGAAACATCTTGTAGCACCACAAATTAAAGAAAAACAAACAAACAAACAAAAAATTTAAAACCATGCTCAAAATAATATGAGTATATCAAAGGGACACAGGAACTAACTGAAAGAGCTTTCAATGGCCAAAACTGGAGCAATGGAGCGAGGAAATAAAGTAGTATTTAATTATATTCCAATGTATAACATAACTATCCATGAGTTTATAATGATATAAATAAATATTCAGATACATTAACAAAAGTGAGAAAAAAGACGTCTCCCATGCAGAAAAATTCCAAATAATTTAGGTAGATATTCTACCCTCAAGAAGATAGAAAATAACTCTCCACTCTTAAAGAATAGGCTGTCAAGGTGGGCAGGTCACCTGAGGAGTTCAAGACCAGCCTGGTCCAACATGGTGAAACCCCATCTCTACTAAAAATACAAAACTTAGCCAGGTGTGGTGGCGGGCGTGTGTAATCCCAGCTACTCAGGAGGCTGAGGCAGGAGAATCACTTGAAACCAGGAGTTGGAGGTTGCAGTGAGCCAAGATCACGCCACTGCACTCCAGGCTAGGAGACAGAGCGAGACTCTGTCTCAAAAAAAAAAAAAAAAAAAAAAAAAAAAAAAAAGGCTGTAAATACTGGCCTCCTTTCAAAGAGTATGGCATGGAAAAAGAGGAAAAAAGAGTTAACCTCAAAGTGAAAAAACCTAACAAACATGACTCAGCCAGGTGATCAGTATTACCATCAACAGTGAAAATTCATGTTGATAGTATGTACCCTTAATATAATGTGTTGAAAATGGCACTTTACCTGCATGGTCTTCCTCCCCAAAGAACATAAACCCAGGTTTATCATTAAAAAATGCAAAGTCTAATTAAGGGGCATTCTATTAAATTTCTGAACAGCATGCCTTAAGACAGTCAAGGTTACCAAAACCAAGAAAAGTATGAGAAAATATCACAGCCAAGGGGAACCTAAGGCAACATGATGGCTAAATACAGCGTGGTATTCTGAATAAGGTCTTGGAACAGCAAAATACACTTAGGTGAAACAAAGAAAAATTGAATAAAGCATGAACTTTAGTTAAAAATAATGTATCACTATTAGTTCATTCGTTGTGGCAAATATACCATAATAATGTATGATGTTAGTGATAGGAAAAACTGGGTGTGGGTTATGTGGAAACTCCTTTGACTATCATTCCAAATTTTCTGTAAATTGTATACTGTTCTAAGATTAAAAGCTTATGTAAAATGAGAAAACTATATTCAAAGGAAGTGAAGGATATACTATTGGGTTGATCTTAGTCACATTTCTGTTCCGCTGTTTAATAGTCTGGAAGAAATAACACCAACATACTTTATTATAGTCCATGGCACTCTGAGCTATACCTCTTAAACCTCAGATAGTTTAGATAATTTCATGTACATCTTTTGAATGCATAAAACAATATGGCCATGTAATAAAAGATAACACTAAAACGGTGTTGTTGAGGTGTCAGAAACTTTTTAAAATCATCTTCATCTATTCACTCACTGAACCTTCACAACGACCTTGTGAGGTAGGCATATATTATCTTTGTTATCACCACCTACATTTTAGAAATGAGAACACCAGGCACCGTGAGTTAATCTGCTCCAAATGCACATCTAATGATCAGAGAGCTATCATTTACCCTAAGTCCAGATTGTTTTATTTACCTCTACCTCTACTGCTTTCCATTTTACTATAGCCGTATATATTCAAATAGGCAAAACATAAGGCCTAATATCTACCATAATTTTCTTACCTTTTAGAGTAGCACAAATTCAGAATAATCGTCCCCATCCAAATTCCGTTCAATAACTCCTTTTTTTAGTATACGAAGCACTCCATGATTTGTAGAATAATTTGTTGGTGCAAAACCCTATTTGGATTTAGCTATTATCATTCCACAAATAAAGATTCATGGTTCAGGTATTTTACCCAGCTTAATTCACACAGAAAAGCTGTCACACCTTGTTCTCTTCTCCCTTGGTTTTAATTAATGTGTATTTGGGGGAAAACATTTTCTTGGGTGTCTGTTCCTCAATCTGAAATCATTCTGCAGAATACGAACGTAGGGAAGAGTAGCTAACCTTCAATGGATTAGTGCAAGCAATTGGAAGAATTAGTTTAAATTCTAAAATGTATATACTTTATAAATCACTTTGTTTTCATTAATCACCTTTCCTTAAATAGTATAAGATATGAAATTCTGGAGTCAAAGAAACAGTCATCCTATCTATTTCAATTATTTTATTGATGAAGCCACATAACGGAGTAGATGCTTGAGATAAGATATAAGCCAAAGGTTGTAGGTAACAAGCACCTGTAACATAGTTATTCTCCTGAAAACACTGATTTTTGTTTGAGGGGGTGCTGGCAGGAAAGGTTCAGATGTACCCTTTTCTAAAGATTTTCATAATACTCGTCCATTTACAGGACATGACTCTCTTGTACGGGTATTAAGACCATATTAAATAGATTTGAATACACTTGCTACTGGCTGGCTCCACAGTGATTTAATCCATGCTAGATCTGCCTGAAGGAGAGAGAAAAGACACGTTTTGAGAAGGAGTTCAGTAAACAGATTGGCCACTCATAGCTGTGAGCAGCTTTTGACAGGTCATTGCTCGCAACATCTCCGTATCTTCACTTTTCACAGTTCTGGATTGTCTCTGAATCAATGATTCTGTGATGACCATCCTGTTTCCCCCTATTGCTCAGTTGTTCATAGAGTCTTTTCTTCTCTCCCAAGTCCAAAAATAAAATGCATTTATATATAATTTTTATAGTTATTAAATAATGTAGAATTTCTTTTCATTTGTGGAATGAGGAAAAGCTATATTTTTTCACTGTGATTACTGCCTATTTTTAGCCTATTAATTGTAAGTTATGCCACATTCCTTTTGTAATGAGGTGTAACACATAGTAAATAAAAGTGGGGAGGGAGGAAGGGGAAGGATGAAAAGGAGAAGAGAGGAAGAAGAAAAAAGGAAAGAAGACGAGATGGAAATAAAAAGGTAAAAGAAATAAAGAAGGGATGAAAAGAAGAAAGAAATAGAGAACAGAGGGAAAGAGGAGAAAATAAAAGAAAAAAGAAGGAAAACAAGAGGCACATATTCTAACACAAAATCTAAAGCTGTTTCAAAAGTATTTTGTATTTGTTCAAGTGAATGTCAAGTCCATATGGAAATAACTTTTAAGAAGAGAATACTGGTGTGTAGAGGTAAACTCAGGTAAGTTTGTTACATATTCAGTCACATCAGTGTTACCTCACAGTTGCTGTTTATCAATAAAATAATAGAGAGTGCTAGAAATAATGTTATTAAGGTAAGATTATAGGTGCTTCCGAAGATGACAACCCGTAGCAATAAAAGAAAAGCATTGAATTGTGTCAGAAAGAAATGATGAAGAAATCTGTATTTCAGTCCTGACATTAACAAGCTTGATCTTGAAAAGCACACTTGCCTTGAACATAATTGACTTGGGCAAGATGATCTATTTGAATGGTTCTAGGTACGATATTCTATGTTTCTATTAGTCACTTAGTTTTTTTAACTGGCCTATTTCTATAGTAAATAACAACAGAAACCCAAAGGACAACAACAGAAAAACAAAAGAGAATGGTCTTTAGAAGGAAACATCTAGTGCTGTAGATACCAGAGGACTGTAGTATAGACTCTTACACAGCTAGTGTGAGAAACATGCTTTCCTTTTACAGATAGGAACCCTGAAGCTTAAACAGGAAAACTGATTATTTAAAGCAGCGTTTCTTAACCAGAGGCAATTTTGGCCCCCAAGAAACATTTGGAAATATCTTGAGACATATGTGGTTGACACAGCTTGGGAAGCAGAAGTGTCATATTGGCATCTAATGGAAAGAGGCCAGAGATGTTCCTAAACACCTTACAAATGCATATGACAACTTCCCACAACAAAATATTGTTCAGTTCAAAATGTCAATTGCCCAGGTTGAGAAATCCTGAGTTGCCATACACAGTCAATTACCTTTCTTCTTTTCTTTTTCTTTTTCTTTTTTTTTTTTTTTTTTTTTTGAGATGGAGTCTCATTCTATCACCCAGGCTGGAGTGCAGTGGCATGATCTCAGCTCACTGTAACCTCCACCTCCCGGGTTGAAGAGATTCTCCTGTGTCAGCCTCCCGAGTAGCTGGGATTACAGGCGTGCACCACCACGCCCGGCTAATTTTTGTATTTTTAATAGAGACAGGGTTTCACCATGTTGGCCAGGATGGTCTCAAACTCCCTGATCTCAGGTGATCAACCAGCCTCAGCCTTTGCAAAGTGCTGGGATTACAGGTGTGAGCCACTGCACCGAGCCACAATCAATTACCTTTCTAAATCTCTGGCAGTAGTGAAGAAGGTTAAATATACTGTGAATAATTTAAATCACTCTATATCGTGCTTGTTCTGGTGGAGCAGTTCCTGAGAGTGACAACTCCAGTTTTCTATTATGTAACACATTGGGTTCAGGAGTCCAGTCAAAAAAGCATCTTCAGGACAAACTCCAAACATGTGGAAATATGTTCCAAGTCTAACTGAAAAGGCAAAGGTCACAAAGAAGGTAATGTGCCTCTAAAATAATCCAGTAATGATCAGAAATTGCATTAATAGAAGGATTCTATAAAAATGAGTGATACCCACATTGAATGAGGAACAAAACAGCTAAGCATGTAAATAACAGGCCAAAATCATCATTCCTCATTTCTCCTTATTCTACCGGGGTTTGGGTTTTCCTTCTTGAGCCACTCAGTTCTTGAGCTGCCAGGTATCACCCAGGACCAATTCAAATAAATGTGTCTATAGGAAGTTCTTCAAAATGTAGCTGTGGGGCAATCATAGAATGACAATGATTTCAGCAGATCCACATGAGACCTCAGTGACAGCTGGAGAGACCACAGAATTTTAGAGCTAGAAAGAAAGAAGGAATTACTTGTTTTAACCAGCTCAAGTTTCAGATAAAGAAATAGACGTCCTGAGTTGGGGGGAGTAGGAGAGTGTCTGGCTGAGTGCCAAACACCAAGTTACTATCAGGGCCAGGATCCTGGATTCCTAAAGAGCCTGGACCCCATCAGCCTGAGAAGAGATGGAGATGTGCAGATTAAATAAGTCCATGTTCTACTTACTCTACAGATTGTTTGTTGGGTTCTTCATTTGTAGATGATTTTTCCCACCTAGTAGAAAGCATGATATTACATTCTACTGAAAAGGTTTACCAGGAGATTGGAAGTCTGAAAAGAAAAAGCGATTTTTCCCAAGGCCACAAAACTAGCAAGTAGCTGAGTATGAGTTTAAACCCATGTCATCTTATTCAAAGTCCAAAAATTTAATTGTTTGGGACCTTCAGTGTGGCAGGAGGAGCAGAGAGGTAGAGGGAAGGAGGCAAAGATATCCATTACCTTGGAGGTTAAAACCCCAAGGACTTTCCCTGTTAAGACACAATATATAAAAGTTCAAAAATCTGCCTCATTGTTCTCAATATTCACCCTCCTCTCCTGCCATTACCTGTCCTATAAAGTGACTAATGATATTTCAAGTGGACCATTCAGTATAAACACTACTTTAGCAAAGAGATGAACTGCTAGTTTCCCAACAAGTCAAGACAGAAACTCCTCTTATGTATGGCCTTAAGACAATTAAAAATATACATCATAACTGCCACAATGAGCAGTAATCTAGGACATAGACCAATGTTACCTATCCTTTTTTTGAGGCATGACCCTTTTGAATACCTAATACAATTTATATACTCAGAAAAATGAACATATTTGCACACAATTTTGGCACACTCCCAATACACGATTCAAGAAATCCCCAGTAGCTCAACAATGGACCCCAAATTCTTTAGGTGAAGAATTTTTGTTGTAGAACAAATTCTACAACTAAGTATGTGTATTGCCTTATACATGTGAAATGAACCTCAGGGTCTCAGTTTCTCCACCTATAAGAAGGTAGATTTGGGCTGGGCATGGTGGCTCACATCTGTAATTCTAGCACTTTGGGAGGCCAAGGTAGGCAGATCACCAGAGGTCAGGAGTTTGAGACTAGCCTGACCAACATGATGCAACCCCATCTCTACTAAAAATACAAAAATTAGCTGGGCAGTGTGGCACGTGCCTGTAATCCCAGCTACTCAGGAGGCTGAGGCAGGAGAATCGCTTGAACCTGGGAAACGGAGGTTGCAGTGAACCAGTTCATGCCATTGCACTCCAGCCTGGGCGACAGAGTGAGACTCCGTCTCAAAAAAAAAAAAAAAAAAAAAAAAAAAAAAGAAAAAGGTAGATTTGAATGCTGGCCACTCTGTCATTCTATGTGTTGATGAAATTAGAAGAGTATGGTGGAAGATATTCCAGGAGTCCCAAAATCCCATCTGTCACTGCTTCATGTTGTGAATCAAGCAGTTTACTTCCCCTCTCTGGGACTTAGTCGCTGCCATTGTAAAGTGAGGAATGAATACAAGATGACCTGTAAATCATCTTGTGGGTCTAGTGTTTTGAGATTCTTAATTCAGGAAAGAATAAGGTGGTACAGGAAACAGCTTTAACTCCCTAATAAGCATGTGGAGATAGATTCACCTGCTATAAACAAAAATCCTGCCAGGACCTCTTCAGCAACCATTTACATAAACAACAACGTATTTGCTTTTGGCTAGGTCCTAGAGTGTGACTGGTGAAGCCAGATACTGTCACAGTGGATATCAGGTTTTTTATCAGCTCCCTTACCAATCTTTCTGGCCATAAACCCCTGCAGCATTGACCCCTATCAGTAGCCACATCTTTACTAGCAAAAGGGTACAGTGATAAGAACTCAGGTGGATTTTGAGAGACGATAGGTCAGGAAGTAGCCTCAGAGCCAGAGGAGATGAAACAGCTGTTTCTAGGACACAGAGGTATTGTAGTGAATAAGCTCAGTGTCAGAAGTGTGTGTGAACTGCATCCTCTTCAGCAACCAACTGTCTGTTTATAATCAAGGAGCTTTCCCCAGGCACTAAAGAAGGGTATAAATCTTTCTTATCTTAGGAAGGATTATATCCTGTACTCATATTCACTGCTAACATTTCTGAATTTGTAAGACCTAGAAATGTGGAGACTTTAGTTAAATTGTATTTCACCTGGACATCTCGAGTTATTCATTTCTAAAATGGAGGAAGACAATATTATCTCTAAGGCATTTTATAACTTGAAGATTTTAATTTTAGTGCATTTTCCTCAGAACCAATTTCTTTAAACTCAATCCCCCAACCCCAAAATCCTTTGAAGGAGCCAAGTATTGAAGCTTATTTCTGGGCTTTTTAATATAACCATTGCTTCACTTCTCCTCTAACAGAATTACAAAGCTGTAATAGATGAGCAAGTTGCTAGCTGTTTTTTTTTTTTCTTTCAGATCACATTACTTTGAGAGCTTCTTTGAAATGAAAGGGAAATAAAGAGCCATAACATAGTCTAGTCTTGACAGATGTCCTTCCAAAGGATCTCCAACTGTTTGCTTCACAGTTTTTATGTTCATTCTGTTATTTAACAGGTATTATTGGACACCTGCTACATTTCAGGGAACTGTAAATAAGACATTATTTCTTCTCTCAAGATGTTTATGGTAGAAGAGAAGACAGTGAGGGTAACGATACAATACTCATGGTTCCTCTACCATTGTACATTAGAATTAGAAGTCACTTTAAAGGGCACATTGTCCAGTCGCCCATTTGAAGCTTGATATTTCCCTCTAGTGGCCCTACTACGTGGTTGTCTTGCTATTCTTTAAGTAACCTAGATAATTCGGAGTCTCACTGTTTTTTGTAGCAGCCCACTTCATTTTTATTTGCAATTCTATATTCCCTTGAAATTACAAAAGGAGACTACAAACTAGGTTCCCCTTTTACAAAGGAGGTAAGACTTCAACTGAGGCAGGGCTGTAAAGTTATCAAGCTCAAGTAACAGGCAAGCATCAAAGATAAAATAATGCTGATTTCTGACACAAATGTGGAATCATTCAAACTAGGCAAGTGTTTTTCCATTTCTTGTCTTGGTTTTCCCATCTCTAAAATGATGGGATTGGATTGTATTAAAAGAAAACTTTGCATTTATGTGAAAACTCACCTAGAAAATAGCAAAACTATGTACCGTTTCATCATAACTGAGTCAAATCAAGTGGAGCTGATTTGACCATGGACTTGAATGATCTGGGTACTCCAGACTCTATTGAACCTAACTGAAGACAATGGAGCTCATTTTGCCCAACTGTGTACAGATCTGTAGACCACTTCTCCCTTATCTAGAGTGCTAATTTTCAATCCTTCATTCACCCAACCACCAAGGACCTCCTCTTCCTAGCATTAAAAACCCTGACCCTTGGCCAGGCGCGGTGGCTCACACCTGTAATCCCAGTACTTGGGGAGGCTGAGACAGGTAGATCACAAGGTCAGGAGTTCAAGACCAGCCTGACCAATATGGAGAAACCCCGTCTCTACTAAAAATACAAAAATTAGCTGGGCGTGGTGGCAGGTGCCTGTCATCCCAGCTACTCGGGAGGCTGAGGCAGGAGAATCGCTTGAACCTGGGTGGCAGAGGTTGCAGTGAGCTGAGATTGTGCCACTGCACTCCAGCATGGCTGACAGAGTAAGACTCTGTCTCAAAAAAAAAAAAAAAAACCCTGCCCCTGCCCCCCACCCCCTGAGTAAAGTTCTCAGTGAATTATTTTACTGGTGGTATGTTCCCTTATCTGGCAAGTTTGTAAACTTTGCTATCATTTTTTTAAGCTCTTGGGCATTATTTATTTATTTATTTATTTATTCTTTTTCCACTGGGTAGACTCTAAGTTCCTGTCTCTTTCCAGTAGTTCATGAAATTATGTTTCTAAGAAAGCCTCAGTCAACAGCCACCTACCATTCACTTTTTGAAAGCCAAGATATGAGGGTCCATGATCCCCAAAAACTGGAGACATCCTGTGATGCCACATCTTAGTTTCTTTGAATTGCTGGCATTACCACCCTGCCTGGGAGAGAGCTCTGTTTCCAGCCATTCTTGTTTAAGACACTTCTTACTCACTCACTGTCTTCTATTGCCAGCTTCAGTATGAAGGAGGAGAAACTGCAAAGACAGAATCTAAAATATAAGTTTTGTCTCATAAAAAGAAAACAGGTAAAAGTTCAAGGGACAAACTCAAAAATTAGTGATCAGGATGGAGGCCTGAACCTGGACACCAAGAGTACACATTCCTCTGTGCTTTCCTTTCCCTCCGGAAATGACGAGTCACAGCTCTGCACTCTCTTCTTCTTTACTTTCTGCCACATAATCAAACAATTTGGAGAACTTTGAGCCAAACTCCTCATTTTACAAGAGAAGAAACTGTGACTCAGAAATATGAAGTGCAGTACTCAAGACAGCTACTTAGTGCAAAGTCAAGGCAGAAATGTAGGGTTTTCTGATTCCCAGAGCAAAGCAGTACTCTTCTCACCATTTTATCCCCCTTCTCTTTGTTCATTTGTTTCTCAGATAGTTCCCTTCTTTTAAAAAGCTCATATTGTCTCGGAGTTGTTGTTTTAAGAAGGAGAAATATATTACCTCTGATTCACATCCTACATGTCTGGGGTAAGATGACTGGAAAGATACAATTGCGTTATTGCTATAAAATAATGCTTTCAAATTTAATATCAATATTGCTATCAAATTTCTAATTCTATAGAAAAATCAGCTGTGAGAGAAAAAGCTTTCTTTTCTTTTTCCTATTCTTCCTCCTTTCTTCCATTGAACACACATGTATTGAAGACTTGCTACACAAACCAGTTTGGGAAATATAGAGTTAAAACCTTTTATGCCTTGATGGAGTTCACAGGAAACCATATGTTATGAGAGAGGTTTAAAGTAAGTGCTACAGAAGCTGGCTGCGGGAAGCTTCATCTTGACTGGGCCTTAGAGAACAAAAGAAGCTAGGGTGAAAAGAATAAAGGCAGGAGAAGTGAAAGAAGAGTAACACTGAGGATGAAAAAAGGAAAATACTGGACTTATCCAAAACTAAGTGAGGCAGAGGAAGAAACAACCTGCAATGCAGGGCAAAGGGAGAAACATCAACCTAAGAAGAGACAAAAACCTCTCCAGTCCATTTGACTCTGCCTTTATCAACTCTAACCCAACCAAGCCCCTTAGCATCCTCCCCATGCCATCTCCTGCCACCACCTTGCAATCTCCTCCTTTTTGAAGTACTTTTGGTATTATGGTAATCTACTCACTGATTTCTGTCTTTGGTTACATTTAGAATACTCTCATATTCGTTTAGAAAAAGTCAGAATTTCCACCACATTCTATTTGTCTATTCTCATTTATGGTTTGTCTAGGGTCTGCCATACTTTGTAGTCTTCCTTTTGCTCTTTCACTTCTTTTCTAAACTATTCTACTCTATATGTATTTGTTTGATTATATCTATTACACAAATAATATATAAGTATATCCTTGGCCAGGCACGGTAGTTCACACCTGTAATCCCAACACTCTGGGAGGCTAAGGCGGGTGGATCATCTGAGGTCAGGAGTCCAAGACCAGCCTGACCAACATGGAGAAACCCCATTTCTACTAAAAATATAAAAAATTAGCTGGGCTTGGTAACGTATGCCTGTAATCTCAGCTACTCGGGAGGCTGAGGCATGAGAATCGCTTGAACTCGGGAGGCGGAGGTTGCAGTGAGCCGAGATTGCACCACTGCCCTCCAGGCTGAGCAACAAGAGTGAAATTCATCTCAAAAAAAAAAAAAAAAGAAAGAAAGAAAACATAAGAAATGCATAGATCAATTCTATATCCCTTGACATCACTAATAGGCATCATATTTCTCTTTTGCTCTAATCTACTCTCACTTCCTGCCCTTAACCTTCAGGTACACTAAACTACTCAAAATTCTCAGAACACAGTCTTATTCATACTTTTACGCATACTTACATGCAATTCTCCTGTTCTGAAATTCCCTCTGTTATCTTTTTTGACTTTGTAAAGTGGAGTTGATCACTATTTGAATTCTTTAACCCTCAAAACTCTCTGTTCAGATGTCCACCACAGCATTTATAATGTGTATGATGATTAACTATCACTCTTCCCTATAGGATGTTAGGTTTTAAAGAACTAGGTTTTGAAGAATGTATCTTATTCAGCTTCATATTTCTGGTACCTAGAAAAGTGTCTTACATACCATAGGTACCAAATAAATGTTGAATTACTGAATTAAAGAATAAAGAATGAAAGGAAAGTATTTCTTTTGAGTAATCTCTGTAATCTTAAGGTGTTGTTATATTTGTACAGAAAATCCACATCATGCTGTGGGTTTTCTCTTACCCACTCACACCTTGTATTACCGTCATAATGATATTTTACCAACTGCTTTCCTGCAGTTGCTGAAGCTGCAGATGTCCAGGGTGTAATCAAACCTTGTTAGTTTTGAACTTTGAATGTAAAACCTTACTGAATCTATTTTTCATCCTAGGTGACATGTCTGAATGCTGCAAATTTCCTTCTGGTGAGAACATTGGGCACTTTAACACTTTGAGAGCAGGTGCTGAGTTGTTGTTATTCCAGGTCATGCAAGACAGAGATTCTATAAATTCTGAAGTAGTGAGGAGAGGGTAGGATTGGCAGGCTACTGCAATGACTTCATGTTCAAGTATAAAGAGGAGACCGAGTTTCCGACAAAAGAGCAGAGGATGAAATCATCTTGGCCATGTTTGGGAACTGCAATTGTCCAACTATATAGTGGGACATTCAATATGCTAAATATGATAGGGGATGGAACTGATTCACTGGCTGTTGAGGAAGAAATATAGCTCTTCATGTTTTAGAAGTGGCATTTTTCCTGTTTCCTGTGTCTGCTGCTCCAGCATCTTGTATTTTAGCAACTGAGTTGTCAAAGAAAGATTTGTTTCTAAAAGAAAGTGAATGAATTAAGCATATGTTATAAATTATTATCAAAACATTATGTAGATGGTAGGAGCTTCACAAGGCAGCAAAGTGAAATGCATGTGGCTTTATTTTAGCTCTGCCACATACTGACATAAGCCTTGGGCAACATATGTTTTGTGCTGTGCATATTTTCTCATCTGTACAATGGAGATAATAATGATATTTATCTCAGAGCTGTGAAGCCTAAATGAACAGATACATATAAAGCACTTACTACAGTACCTTGCACATAGTTATCTAATATTCATTAGATATGATGAATCCTTTAGGCAATGTCTTTATAATTATTAAGAGTTTGAGCCACAAAATAAGGTGATCCAGGGCTTATATCTCAACCTTGCCACTTAATAGGTGCATGAAACTGACAGGCTAATTATCTGCTAATCCTGAGTTTCCTCATCTGTATAATGGAAATAATAAAAGCATCTGAAGCATAAGATTTTGTAATCATTAAATTAAATAGCATATTAAATGAAGTCCCTATCATGATTTTTGATGGATGTAAGCGCTCATTAGTATCATTTATAAACCATTCTTGCATAATTCAGAAATGGAGACTCCAGAGATCCAATGATTCACTCTCCCCAAGAGTTCTAGTCTAGAAGTAAATTTTAGGAAGTAAAATTATGGTTTGGGGTCAATGAGGTAAAGGGAACCCTGGCACTATATAGAAAAGGCCATTAGATCACAGAGGCAGGAGTGATACCTGTATTACTTTTGAGTAGAAATGTTCAGTGCAGAATAATGGTGAAAGACCTCCTAAGTGAAATAAATTAGCTAAAAGTTATATTTCCTTGTGTTTTTTGCAATTATAAATAATACTTCAATAAACAACCTTGTGAATAGGATATATATATATATATATATATATATATATATATATATATATTTTTTTTTTTTTTTTTTCCCCTTAGGACCAAGTCCCAGGAATGAAACTGCTGGGTTAAACAATCAGCATTCTTGAGGCTTTTGCAAAATATCGTCCTATTTTTTTCCAGGATAATGTAACACTTTTAAGGTAGCAGTGTAAGAAAGGTACCCCCCTCCTAGAAACTTCTCAACACTAAGTAGTAATTAAAAAAAAAAAAAGGTGCTGATTTATTCAACAGAAAATGGAAGTTTATTATTAATTTTCCTCTCTTTGATTTATGGCAAAGTTGAGAATTTTTCATATATGCATTGGTCATTTGTGGTCTTTCTTTGGGAAATTATTAATGCTCTTCATTAATTTTTATTTGAGGTCTTCTGTGTTGCACTGATATATGAATATAGATATTAAGAATGTCATCACTCTGCCATATATTAGAATATTTTCTTGAGTAGCTGGGACTACAGGTGTGTACCACCACACCTAGCTAATTTTTGTATTTTTAGTAGAGACCGGGTTTCACCATGTTGGCCAGGCTGGTCTCGGACTCCTGTTCTCAGGTGATCCTCCCACCTTGGCCTCCCAAAGTGCTAAGATTACAGGCATGAGCCACCGTGCTCAGCTGACAATATAGTTTTCAAAGCCTTTGCATTGCTATTTTGGTCTGGTTGGTTCACTTAGTGTGTAAAAGGTGATTGCCTGGTTCCCTAGGTAACAAATGAGGGATTCCAGCCTGTGGGGATAGAGGTCATTTCTTGATGAGGAGAGTCAGAAGTAAGAGGAGGGACCTGAGGAGAGAACCTGAGGAAGTATCCATATATTGTACCCTATTTTTTGGAAAATATTTACTTTTAGAGGCAGTCAGCGAGAGAGTAGAAAAAAAGGAGGAGGAGGAAGAAGAGAACCAGTAGAGTTCAAAGTCAAGGAAGCCAAAGGAATGGCAAGAAGAAGAGTTATTAACAGGGTCAAATATTGCATATAATTTATGGAGCACGTGAGCTGAAATATAGAGCCTGGCTTCAGTGATCAAAAAGATTGCCACTTTTAGCTAGTTGGATTTAAGTTCATGAGAAAGAAATCATGCTAAGATGCAAGCTTGGTAGCAAAGGAGGTAAAGTAAATAGGAAATACGTCTTGTAATTTAGGATATGTTAGACATTTTAATAAACTTGGCTTCAAGTTATTTTTAACCTTCCTAATTACAAATTTTAAAATGTATGCTAATGGAAGTGACATCAGCAAAATAGTGAAATAGGAGGTTCCAGCTCTTGTTCACTTACAATTTGGGTGACTATTCACTTATGAAAATATATTACCAGGAGCTGAGAAAACCAGGTGAAAGATTATAGGAGCACAGAAGTAAGAAAAGATACATAAGTGACTATTCACTTATGAAAATATATTACCAGGAGCTGAGAAAACCAGGTGAAAGATTATAGGAGCACAGAAGTAAGAAAAGATACATTTAGCAGAACTGGAAGGACATTTTTACAATTCCCCATGTCACCCCTTCCTCACACCTAAGCAGTGCCTCATGGAAAGACATACTGGCTGTGTGATGAGATAAAAGTGAAGGAAGCACCTGACTTTACTGTGGACCCAAACACCAGGCCTTCACCAGTGTACCCTGGCACCAGGCCAGCCAGCCCTTGCAGACCCAGACTCCAGGCTCATCTCTGTTGTTGCTGGCTCCAAACTTGCCTCAACATCAGGCTAGCTAATGTAAACTCAGGCTCAAGAACCACCCCAGCTTTAGGATGGACCCCTTGTACCTAGGCTTCAGGACAGCCTCCATAGACACAGGCTCCAGGTCCATGTCAGCATACCCAGTCACCAGGCTCACTCCAGTGGACCCTGACTCCATGCCAGCCACCATAGAACCAAGATACAGGCCTGTCCTTGTGGACCTGTTAATGTGATATGTCACATATATTGATTTGCATGTGTTGAACAATCCTTGTGATTCTTGTGGTAAGTCCCATTTGATCATGGTGTATGATGCTTTTAATGTGTTGTTGAATTTGGTTTGCTTGTATTTTGTTGAGAATTTTTATGTCTGTGTTCACCAGGGATATTGATGATCTGTTATTTGTTTCTTTATTTAGGCGGATTTAGTATCAGTGGAATGCTGGTCTCCTAAAATGAGTTTGGTGGTGGTCTCTCCTTTTCAATTTTTTGGAAGAGTCTGAAAAGGATGGGCATTAATTATTTAATTATTTAAAATAGTATAAAAATAAAATACTTAAGAACATATTTGACCAAGGAGGCTGAAGATCCATACACTTAAAACTACAAAATATTGATGAAAGAAATTGCAGAAGACACATATAAATGAAAATATATCCCATGTTCATGAATTGGAATAATTAATATTTAAATATCCAAACACCCAAAAGATATCTACAGATTTAATGCAATCCCTACCAGAATTCCAATGGCAGTTTTCAGTGACATAGAGAAAAAAAACATAAAATTAATTTGAAACCACAAAAGAGCCCAAATAGCCAAAGTGATTTTGAGCAAGAAAAACAAAGCTGGAGACATCACATTACCTGGTTTCAAAATTAAGACAGTGTGGTACTGTCATAAAAACTAACATGTATACCAAATGGAACAGAATAGAGAGCTTAGAAATAAATCTATGCATTTGTGGTTAATTGTTTTTTCCACAAAGTGCCAAGAACATACAATAGGGAACAGATAGCTTCTTCAATAAATGTTGAAAAAAATTGAATATCCACGTCAAGAATTAAAACTGGATACTTATTTTATGCCAAATATAAATACCAATTGAATACTTTACATAAAACCTGGAGCTGTAGAACTGCTGAAAGAAAACACAGGAGAAAGTCTTCTTTATATTAGTCTGGGCAATGATTTTTTGAATGTGACACCAAAAGCAAAGGCAACAAAAGCCAGAGTAGACATATGAAGTCGTATCAAACAAAAAAACTTTTGTACAGTAAAAAAACAATCAACAGAATGAAGAGGTCACCTACGAAATGAGTGAAAATATTTGCAAATCAGACATCTGATAGAGGGTTAATATTCTAAATATATAAGGAGTTTAAACAACTCAATTGCAAGAAAACAAATAATCTAATTTAAAAATGGGCAAAGAACCTGAAAAGACATTTCTCAAAAACAGTCTTACAAATGATGACTAGGTATATGAAAAAAATGGCAAACATTACTAATCATCAAGGAAATGCAAAACAAAACCATTGTAAGATGTCACCTCACAGCTGATAGAATAGCTATTATAAAAAATACAAAAAAAAGCAAGTGCTGGTGAGGATGTGGAGAAAAGCAAACCTATTGTTGGTGGGAATGTAAATTGGTACAACCATTATGAAAACCAGTATAAAAGTTTCTCGGAAAATTAAAAATAAAACTACCTCATGGTCCAGTAATCCTACTTTTCAATGCACATACAGAATAAATGAAATCAGTAACTTGAAGAGCTATCTGCACCCCCATGTTCACTGAAGCATAATCACAATAGCTCAGATACGGAATCAACCTCTGTTCATCTAAACATGAATGAATTAAGAAAAGACTCCTAGATTTGATAAGTAACTTCAGTAAATTTGGGGTCTTTGCTCATTTTAAAATCAGGGTACAAAACCAACTTACAATAATCAGTAGCGTTTATATACATCAATAACAACCAAACTAAGAAACAAATCAAGAAGTAAACCTCATTTACAATAGCTAAAAAAATAATATTGAGGAATACATTTAACCAAGGAGGTGAAAGGTCTCTACAAGGAAAACTACAAAACACTGACAAATGAAATGTGTTTAATGAAATGTTTGTGTTTTGGATGACACAAACACATGGAAAAATGTCACATGCTCATGGATTAGAAGAATCAATATCATTGATATGACCATACGGCCCAAAACAATCTACAGATTGAATGCAATTCCTATCAAAATACCAATGTCATTTTTCACAGAATTAGAAAAAACAAACCCGAAATTTATATGAAACTGAAAAAGAGCCTATATAGCCAAAGCAATCCTTAGCAAAAAGAACAAAGCCGGAGATTTCATGTTATATTACTTAAAATTATACTAGAAGGTTTTTAGTAAACAAAACAGCATGGTACTGGTATAAAAATAGATACATAGATCAATGTAACAGAATAGAGAACCCAGGAATAAAGCCACATATCTACAACCAACTTATCTTCAACAAAAACATATACTAGGGCAAGGGCATCCTATTCAATAAATGGTGCTGAGAAAATTGTATAGCCATATGCAGAGGAATGAAACTGCTTCTCCATCTTTTACTATATGCAAAAATTAACTCAAGATGGATTAAATACTTAAATGTAAAACCTTAAACTGTAGAAATACTAGAAGAAAATCTAGAAAAAACACTTGGGACAGTGCCTTGACAAATAATTTATGACTAAGACCTTAAAAGCAAATAGAAAAAAATCCAAAATAGACAAATGGGACTCAGTTAAAATAAAAACCTTCTGCACAGCAAAAGAAATATAGAGTGAACAGACAATCTGCAGAACAGGAGAAAATATTTGCAAACCATGCATCCTACAAAGGAATAATATCCAAAATCTACAAGTAACTCCAACATCATAACAAAAACAACAAGAAATAATCACAATTGAAAAAACGGGCAAAGTACATGAACAGACACGTTTCAGAAGATACACAGATGTCCAAAACATATGCGAAAAAATACTCAACATCACTAATCATCAGAGAAATGCAAATGAAAACCACAATGAGATACCATCTTACACCAGTCAGAATGGCTATTTTTAAAAAGTCGAAAAATAACAGATGTTGATGAGGCTGGGGAGAAAAAGAAATGCTTATACACTGTTGGTGGGAATATAAATTAGTGCAACCTTTATGGCAAACAATATGGATATTTCTCAAAGAAGAAAACATAGAACTACCATTAAATCCAGTAACCCCACTACTGGATACTGACCCAAAGGAAAAGAAATCATTATACCAAAAAGATGCCTGCATTTGTACATTGACTGTGGCACTATTCACAATAGCAGAGATCTGGAATCAACCTAAGTGTGCATCAACTCATGGTTAGATAAAGAAAATGCCATATATATATGTGTATATATATGTGTGTATATATATATGTATATATGTATACGTGTATATATGTATATATATACACACATATTTATATATAATTATTTACATATAAATATATAATTATTTATATATATTTATATATATAAATATGTGTGTGTATATAGAATATATATAAAACATTTATATAGTAGTATTCCACTGTGTGTGTGTGTATATCTATATGTACACATTATATGTACATATATAAACATGCAATATGTATACACACACACACACACAAACACACACCATGGAATACTATTCAACCATAAAAAGAATGAAATTATGTTTTTTCCAGTAACATGGATGAACCTAGAGGCCATTATCTTAAGTAAAATAACTCAGAAACAGAAAGCCAAATACCATGTGTTCTCACTTATAAATGGGAGCTAAATACCCTGTACGTGGACATAGAGAGCAGAATAATAGACACTGGAGATTTGGGAGGGTGGGAGGGTTGGAAGAGAGTGAGGGATGAGAAATTGCTTAATGTGTACAATGTATACCAGGAGTCCAAACCTTTTTGGCACCAGGGACCAGTTTCGTGGAAGACAATTTTTCCACTGATGTTGGGGGGTGGGTGGTTTCAGGATGAAACTGTTCCACCTCAGATCGTCAGGAATTAGTTAGATTCTCATGAAAAGCATTAAAACTAGATCTCTCTGCTATGTGGTCCAGTTCCTAACAGGCCACAGATGGGTACCAGTCTGTGGGCAGGGGGCTGGGGATTCCTGACGTACACTATTCGGGTGATGGCTAGACTAAAAGCCCACACTTCACTACTATCCAATGTATCCATGTAACACAACTGTACCACGTGTACTCCCTAAGTCTATTTTTTTTTAAAGGAACATACGGGATACACACACACACATACACACATGCACACACACACGATATATTCTATATAATACAAATACATATTGAAATATTATTCAGCCTTAAAAAGGAAGATCCTGTTATTTGCAACATGATATAACTGAAGGACATAAAGCTAAGTGAAGTAAACCAGGCACAGACAGACAAATACTGCATGATCCCACTTACATATGGAATCTAAAAAATGTCAAATAATAGGAACAGAGAGTAGCTTGGTGTTGCCAAGAGTTTGGGAGTACGAAAAATGGGAGGATATTGGTGAAAGGGCACAATGTTTCAGTTATGCAGGATGAATAAATTCCAGAGACTTAATGTACAGCATAATGAGT
This sequence comes from Homo sapiens, assembly GCF_000001405.40. Lineage (NCBI taxonomy): Eukaryota > Metazoa > Chordata > Mammalia > Primates > Hominidae > Homo > Homo sapiens. The sequence continues at coordinate 189,676,230 of NC_000003.12, read as the reverse complement.
ATAGTTAATAATTTTATATTGTATACTTGAAACTTGCTAAGAGAGTAGAACTTAAGTGTCCTCATCACACACACAAAAATGGTAAGTATATGAGGAGATGGACATTTTAATTAGCTTGCTTTTGGTACTCAGTTAACAATGTACGCATACATCAAAACATAATGTTATACAATATAAATCTATATAATTTTTATATTTCAATTATATCACAATAAAGCTGAACAAAATAAAATCTTTACTAATGGTTTTTCAAAGGGTTCACGGTTCTTTTTAATGAATGTGTGTGTTTCTGGCTCTACTGGAAAAAAAAGGACTTGTGGGAGCACATGCTTATTCTGTTCCTCAGAAGAGCTAATTAACACACCAGAAGAACATTTTCCATAAGAATTAAGCCTCTGTCTGTAGCCTCTTAAATGGGATAACATTTAGGAGAACAGCAGACATAAGTGACACCATACTTCCAGGCTGTAGCTGGTTTCATTTATTTGATGCAGCTCACCCAGCACAGTGGTGGGTGAGGGGGAGCAGGAGACATAACCGTGCCACAGTACTCGTTCATGTCAATCTATTTATGAGTCAACATTGATTCAGGCATCAAAGCAGGTGATGTGGATAAAGACTGAGTAGACTAGCGAAAAAATCTATGGGTTGGGAATATGGGGAATATTTATGACCTCTAAATTTATATGTGACTTATATATGTCTAATATGTGACCTGGTACAAATAGCACTGCCAATCTAGACTTTATCAAATTATGATGTTTAGGTTATATTCTAAATGCAATCTAAATTTTTTGACCTCCTTATATTTTTATAATCTTTTAAAATGACCTATAGACAGTAATTTTTTTCTATTTTGTATCATGATTAAATATTAAAATTCAATAATTATCTTCTGATGACAGTCTTCTTGCTATGATCTTAATGTTTGTATCTCCTCAAATTCCATGTTGAAATCCTAACCCCTAAGGCAATGGAGGAGGTGAGGTCTTTGGGAGATGACTGAGTTATGAATGAAGGCAGAGCTCTCATGACTGGGACTTGTGCCCTCATTAAAAGACTCCAGAGAGCCAGTTAGTCCCTTCTATCATGTGAAGGAATAGTATGAAGGTATCATCTATGAATAAGGAAATGATTCCCCACTGGACACCAAACGTGCTAGTGCCTTGGACTTCCCATTCTCCAGAACTATGAGAGAGAAATTCCTGTTGTCTATAAGCTAACTAGTTGATGGTATTTGTTATCACAGCCTGAAAAGACTAAGACACTTGACAAAATACATGATTTTGTCAATGCTGAGGAGTGCCTCAGCATTAGTAGAGTGAAGAAAACCTAACCCGTTTTTACACTTGATGTGCTACATAGGGTCTTCTAGTTAATATCATTATCACCTTAGCTCATTTCTGATTTCAGCCTTAGCTGCAGAGGGCAGTTCTGTGCTAGTTCAGATCTGCCACACATTGATAGAGTCCCATCTAAAGCTCATTTTATGTGTATATCTGTACTCTGCTTCAGTGCCTTCTCTGACACTTTGGGAATCTACTCAGCCTGGTACACACGCAGCCTGGATAGGCAGAGAGTTAGGGGAGTTAATGCCTTCATGTAATTTTCAATTCATGGAGCTTGTGGATAAATATTGCAGATTTCTGTCTGGCTAAGGGAAAATTTTGGGAAACTTTCTGTATGTTTCTCAGGTTTTGGAAAAAAATCCCTCATTGCCCACAGTGTAACCTCGATAAATCATTCTATATTGACGCTTCTGTGTCCCTGTCTTACTTTGTTTGCTCCCCTTTCTTGCTTCCTGGATCATCGCCTGAATAAATTACCAGGACCAAAGTTCCTGTCTGGGTTTCTGTTTTTGAGGGAACCAGAAATAAGACATTTAAGAACATCATCCCAAACAAGAATGACGACTGTGGTTTTGGAGATATGCAGACTTAGATGGAGTGGTTCAGGATTGAATAGGTCCCAATAAGAAGTCCTGGAACAATGCTATCTCATTTTGTTTGAAAAAGAAATTTCTCATATTAACCTACTTTTGAGCTACTTGCCACTTCTGCAAAGACCTGACATTATGTACACTGGTGTATCTACTATCCGTACATTGTTTTATGACTTATCTTCAGAATTTATTAGTAAATAAAAGGCTAAATAAGCCTGGATTTCTCACCATTATGAAAATTAATCTTCACTTACGCTATCAATCATATGTTGTTTTCTTTATTCAAAGTCTTGCCTATGGTTTCTTTATTGCTAAAGTAATAAATATAAGTATCTCACTTTATAACGCATTATTCATAATAACAATAATAAAACTATTTCAATTTGCTGTACTTCTATTAAGTTCAGGGTTTATGCCAATTACTTCACATATTTCCAATTCTATTAATGACCTATCCAGAAAATGAATTTTATGAATGATGACAAAGAATTAGAAACTGAGTTTAAGCTAAGTAAATTGCAGAAGTGAAACAGCTGCAAATAATTGAATTGAGTTGTGATTCCCACCCCTCTACACAAGGTATAACAGAAACGAAAATATGTGCTTAAATTTATCTCATCAATGTTTCAGTATAAATGTCCTGCCTATCTTTTTGTTAAATTTCTTCCTGTTTTGTGGTGTTATTTTAATGCTATGGTAAAGATTATTGTTTTTCAGTTGTTAACGACCTATACACAAAAATAAAATTCATTTGTTTGTATTTATATGATGTGACTTTGCTAAGTTATCTTATCTGATAGATTTATTTTTGTAATTTTTACAGTTTTTTTGTTTACTTTATATATTTCCAATCTTTATGTTCTACTTTGCATGTTTATTTATTTAGGTTTATTGTCCTAACTGGAGCCTCTAGAATAATATTGAAGATAATTGCCAAGAATAAACTTTCCCTTTTCTCTAATCTTAAGAAAGATTTCTTCAATCATTAAGTAGAATGTTAGCTGGAGGTTTTTTACAGATCAGTTTTATCAGACTGAGGAAGATTCCCTTCTTTCCTAGTTCCTAGAGTTATTATTATGGAAGAATGTTCAGTTCTGTGAAAAAATTTGCTGCATCTATTCAGATGATTGTTATTTATTAAATTCTGATAGGCTGGGTGCTATGGCTCATGCCGGTAATCTGCACTTTGGGAGGCTGAGGAGGGTGGATCACCTGAAGTCAGGAGTTCAAGACAAGCCTGGCCAACATGGTGAAACCCTGTCCCTACTAAAAATACAAAAATTAGCCAGGCGTGGTGGCAGGAGTCTGCAATTCCAGCTACTCGGGAGGCTGAGGCACAAGAATTGCTTGAACGTGGAAGGCAGAGGTTGCAGTAAGCCAAGATCGTGGTATTCTTTTGCTTTTTCCTCTTTTTTTGATTAATCTTGCTAGAGGTTTAACTGTTTGTATTAATTATGTTAAAAAAACCAATTGTTGGCTTTGTTTAATTCTCTATGGTTGAATTCTGCTCATACTTTATTTTTATGTTTATCTTAGGTCTTAATCTCTTCTTCTTTTTACCTGCCTGCCTGCCTTCCTTCTTTCCTTCCTTCCTTCCTTCCTTCCTTCCTTCCTTCCTTCCTTCTTTCCTTCCTTCCTCCCTCCCTCCCTCCCTTCCTTCCTTCCTTTTTTCTTTCTATCTTTATTTGTGACAGGTTCTTGCTCTGTCACCCAGGCTGTAGTACAGTGGCATGATCTCGGCTCACTGTAGCCTTCCCCTGCCAGGTTCAAGTAATCCTCCCATCTCAGCTCCCCTAGTAGCTGGGACTACAGTCATGTGCCACTATGATCAGCTAATTTTGTTCATCTTTTGTAGAGACAAAGTCTCTCTATGTTGTCCAGGCTGGTCTCCAACTCCGGAACTCAAGTGATCTTCCTACCTCGACCTCCCAAACTGCTGGGATTACAGGTGGCAGCCACTGCACCCAGCCTTTTTCAAATATTTTAATGTAGGAGCTTACATAATTTATTTTAAAACTTTTTTTCCTAATATGGATATTTAAAGCTGTAAATTTGCCTCTGCACAGCTTTGGCTGCAACCTATTTTTTTCCTTTTATGTTTAGTTTACAGGTAATAATTGTACATATTTATGGGATACAGAGTGATCTTTGCATTCTTATCTACAATGTGTAATGATCAAATAAGAATAACTAATATATTTATCACTTGAAACATTTATCATTTCTTTGTGTTGTGAACATTCAAAAATCTTCTCTTCTAGCTTTTTGAAAATATACACTACATTATCATTAGCTATATTCACCCTATAGTGCTGCAGAACATAGAACTTATTCTTCCTACTCAGCTGTAACTTTGTATACCTTAACCAGCTTTTTCCTATCTTTCCCTCCTTGCTACCCTTCCCAGCCTCTGATAACCACAGTTCTACTCACTACTTCTATTAACTCAATATTTTTAGCCCCCACATATGAGTGAGAACATGTAGTATTTGTCTTTCTGTCTCTGACTTATTTCACTTAAAATAATGTCCTCCCAGGCTCATCCATGTTGCTGTGAATGACCATATTTCATTCTTTTTTATTGCTGAATAGTATTCCATTGTGTATATGTATCATAAGTTCTTTATTCATTCATCCATTGATGGACATTTAGGTTGATTCCATATTTTGGCTATTTTAAATAGATCTGCAATAAATATAAAGGTGCAGGTATCTCTTCAATATATGTATTTTCTTTCCTTTGAATAAATACCCTGTAGTAGAATTACTAGATCATATGATAGTTTTGTTTTTAATCTTTTGAGAAACCTCCATACTCTTTTCCATAATGGCTGTACTAATTTATCTTCCAACCAAGAATGTGTAAGAGTTCCCTTTCCTTCACATCCTCACCAGCATTTGTGATTTCTTTTTGCTTTTTGATAATAACATTTCTAACCGGAGTGAGATAATATCTCATTGTGGTTTTGATTTGCATTTCCCTGATGATTAGTGATGTTGACCATTTTTTCTTATATTTTTTGTAAGTTTGTATGTCTTCTTTTGAGAAATGTTTATCCAAATCCCTTGCCCATTATTAAAATCATATTTTTGGGGTTTGTTTTGCTTTTGAGTTGTTTGAATTTTTCGTATATTCTGGATATTAATCATTTATCGGATGTATACTTTCCAAACATTTTCTCTCTTTCTACAGGTTGTCTCTTCACTCTGCTGATCGTTTCCTTTGCTGTGCACAAGTTTTTTAGTTTGAGATATTCTCATTTGTCTTTTTGTTTTTGTTGCCTGTGCTTTTGAAGTCTCACCTATGAAATCTTTGCCTAGACCAATGTCCTAAAGCATTTATCATGTTTTCTTCTGGTAGATTTATCATTTTGTATCTTACATTTAAGTTTTCATTCATTTTGAGTTGATTTTCATATATGACCAGGGAAAGGTTTCTAGTTTGATGGCTTTCCCAGTACTATTTATTGAAGAGGGTGTCATTTTCCCAATGTATGTCCCTGGCACCTTGGGTCAAAAATCAACTGGCTGCAAACACATAGATTTATTTCTGGGTTCTCTGTTCTGTCCCACCGGTATATTTGTCTGTTTTATACCAACACCAGACTGTTTTGGTTACTAATGCTTTGTAGCATATTTTGAAGTTGGGTAGTATGTGCATCCTACAATCTTTTATGTGTCCTGTTTTTATTTCTGTTCAATATATTTTCTTTTATGATTTCTTCTTTCACTCATGAGTCATTTAGAAGATTCTTATTTAATTTCCAGATATTTTATGAGTTTTAAAATCTTATTTTTGTATTGATTTATAATTTATAACATTAGACTCCAAGAACACAATTTGCATGATTTCCATATTTTGAAATACATTGAGAGATTTTATGGCTCAACATGTGCTCTATCTTGGTAGGTAAAAAGAATGTACATTCTGCAGTTGTCATGTATTGTGTGCTACAAATATCGATTGGTTCAAGTTGGTTGGTAATGTTGTTTGGATCTTCTGTACCTGTTCTGAACTCAATTTTTCTATCAATTACTGTGAAAAGATGAAAATAACCAACTATATCTGTTTATGAGTCTATTTCTTCTTTGGATGTGTCAGTCTTCAATTCTTCTTTTTAAAAATCTCTATTATTAAGCACATACACATTCAGGCTTGTTATTTCTTCCTGATTGTCTCTTTACAATTATCAAGTATCTATTTTTATTTCTAATATTATTCTTCTTGTTGGTTTATACTTTGTTCATTTCAGCTTTCTTATTAATATAGTTTATATGGTATATTTGGCCCCTTTTTTGTTAATTCAATAGGACAAACTCTACTGTTTAATAGGAATGTTTAACACTTAATGCAAACATTGATATAGCCATGTTTAAACCTACCATTTTGCTATTTGTTTTCCACTGGTCCCTTCTGTTTTTGCTGCTTTCTTATTCCTTTCTTGCCACTTTTGGGTGAGTCATATACTTTTGTTTTATTTTATTTCTCTATTGGCTTGCTTTACTATATCTCTTTTTATTTACTTTATGATAATAGCTCTAGGACTAATATTCTGTATCTCTAACTTATTAATGTCTACCTAGAGCCCATATATTATCACTTCAGATTTAAGCCTCAGAGCCCATTTTCCAAAACATTCAGAAATGTAATAAGCTTATGGGGTATAGTTCTATTTTCCTTGTCTTCCCTTTCACTATTGTCACAGGTTTTACTTACAGATTTTATAAACCCACTTTACAGTGTGATTATTTTTACTTCATACAAACAGTTGTTTCCTCAGGAAAATTCGAGAAACAAAAAACATTTTCTATTTGCCCAATTATTTATCATTTCTTATGTCCCCTATTATTTCCTGTAGGTTTGAGTTTTTGTCTGGTATAATTTCCTTTTAGCTTGAAGAAAATTATTTAACATTTTTCTTTTTTTTTTTTGTAGTACACACCTGCTAACTACAAATTATCCTCAGTTTGTTTACCATAAATGTCTTCATTCTGCTATTGTTTTTCAAAACTATTTTTACTAGACATAGAATCAAGTTTTACAGGTTTTTTGGTTGTTAGTATTGTTTTTTTCTTTTGCTATATACTAGCACCACACCAACCAACTGACCTAACTGCCACCACATTCCTTTGCTATTTAAAAGACGCTATTCCATTATCTTTTGGTGTCCATTTTTCTGATGAGAAGTCAGTCATGATTTATATTATTTATTCCCTGAATAATTGTTTTTTCTGCTTTCTCTGGTGGATTTTAAGGTTTTTTTTTTGGTTTCTTTCATCTTTAGCTTTAAAGAAATGAATTTATGATATGCCTAGGTGTGACTTTCTTTGTATTTTTCTGTTTGCTTTTTTTCTGAGTTCCTTAAGGATTTGTAAATAAATGTTTTTCATGAAATCTGGGGGAAATCTCAGTTATTATTTACTTATGTATTTTTGTTTTTAGAGATAAGGTCTCCTTGTGTTGCTTGGGCTGGTCTTGAACTCTTAGCCTCTGGCAATCCTCCCGCCTTGACTTCCCAAAGTTCTGGGATTACAGATGTGAGCCACCACGTCTAGCCAGCTATTACTTCTTTAAATACTTTTTTCACCCCTTTCTCACTTGTCTTTCTAGGATATTAGTTAAACATTTGCTAAGATCCTTTGATATTGTCCTGTATGCTTGAGTTGCTATTATATTTTCTTCAATATTTTTATTTCTTAACATTGGATAACTTCTATTTATTTGGTTGAAATCCATTGACACTTTCTTTTTCTACCTTCAGTCATCTGTAAAGCTCATATGGATTTAAGATTTTAGTTACTGCATTTTTGTTGTAGATTTTCTATTTCATTTGCTTTTATATTTTTCATGTCTCTGTTTAGATACCTCATCTATATAACATTAAAAGCATATTTTCATTTTATTCCTTGAAATGAACAATAGTTTCCTTTAAGTTTTTATTTGATAAATTAAACCTCAGGATGACTTTAAAATCTGTTTTTATTTATTTAATTTTTTCAATTTTATACTGGACATCTTGGATGATGTAATTTAGATAAACTGGATTTTGGATTTTTTTTTCCAGAAAATTGCTGATTTTTGTTCAAATAAGTAGCTCTATCATAGCCTATTTACCTTAAACTTGTATTCGCTTAGTTTTATGCTTTGTTGAACATATCTGTGCAATGCCTAATTTTTTTTCTCAAGCCCCTGTAACTTGCTACGGCTTAATTTCTAAACTCTGTCTTCCTGTGGATATTGTCAAAGCTGAGTTTTACGCTTTAATAAGGAGGTGTTGTATAGGCCTTACTCTTGGGTAGGGTCAGCAAACTATGGTCTGTGGGTCAAATCTCGACTGATACCTGTTAATTTTATGATTAAAGCTGTAGTGGAACATGGCCACACCTATTTATTTATGTATTTTCTATAGATGCTTTCACATCTCAAAAGCAAGGTTAAGAAGTTGGAACAGAGATTATAGGGACCAGGGTCAGAAAACATTTGCTGTCTCTTGCTGTAGAACATGGTCTATACTTAAGGAATGAACTTCTTGATGTCTCAGTTGAATACTCAGGATATTAATAAGATTTTTGCACTCTAGCTGAGTTGGGGCATTGGGTTCTTCCATAACCATGCAATCTTCAGCTTCTGTTCTACTCTCAAGTCTTTAGTACTTATTTGCTTTGCAGCCTCCCATAGTCTCTTCCTGAGCTTGTAAAGATTATCCCATAGCCAGACACCCTACAAGAGCTCCCACACAAACTCTGGGGTTCCTACTCAAATTAGCTCCCTGCTCTCTGGTGCCCTAGTCCACAGATTCTACCTCCTTCAGCAACTCTTAAATCTACTTTCTCGCACCTCTAATCCCAGCACTTTGGGAGGTAGAGGCGAGTAGACCAAGAGGTCAGGAACTTGAGAACAGCCTGGTCAAGATGGTGAAACCCTGTCTCTACTAAAAATACAAAAATTGGCCAGGCGTGGTGGCGGGTGCCTATAATCCCAGCTACTCGGGAGGCTGAGGCAGGAGAATCTCTTGAATCCAGGAGGCAGAGGTCGCAGTGAGTAGAGATTGCACCACTGTACTACTCTCGCCTGGGTGACAGAGCAAGACTCCGTCTCAAAAAAAAAAAAAAAAAAAAATTCTAACTTCTGCCTTAGCTTCAGTGGGACTGTCGTGCTATGCTTGTGTGTCAGCTCCTTCTTTCACAGTTTAGGAAATTGTTCTCAGGCAGAGAGTAGGTTCAATCATGAGACACACTTTTATGAGTTTTTTTTTTTTTTTTCAAAAACTGTAAGCCTGTGCTGTCTTTTGTTCAAGGCCTGAAAAGTTTTCTTATATATTTTGTCCAATATCAGTGTGTTTATATATGGTCACAAGTATAAGTTCCTCTACTGTCATTTAAAAATATCCAATCCATTCTTTTGTAAATGCATGTAAACCCATTTACATACATACACACAATTTCCCTTTTAGTAGATATTAAGCCAGTGATAGTATTATACTCATTTCATGTTACTTGAGAACTACCCATATACACTAAGCTTGAATTTAGGAGAATGAATTACTCACTTCTTCCAAGAAACTGCCAAAAGTTTCTTCAGCTACCTTTCAGATTTTTGACACCTCACAAGGTAAATCAACTGCCATATTAACCAATGTTGTATTATTTATTACTATTTTACTGTTTACCTATTCTAAATCATTTCTTAATATTCATCTGTCTCTTCTCTATTTCATTCTCTTTCTCTCCTTTTGCTAGAATAATATTGGATTTCAGACTATAGGTTGAATTTAAAACCTCCCAATTTCATTGTTTTTGCTAGAATATAAAAAGTCATAATTACAGTATAAGTCTATTTCATTAATTAGTATTTGTTCATTACACAGAATAAATAACTTCATATAATCATTATTTTTGTATTAGTTGATATAACTTTTGTGTAACCAATCTCAGGGGTTTTGAATGATAGTAGAATGTCAAATATGTCTTATTAAACCTAAGTGGAGTTTCTCTGTTAAAGGGTCACATTTTTAAAAGCATAAAATCAGAATACTTTGTGCTCTTTCTATAACTACTAGAGTTTTCAAGGAATTGTAAGAATAATGTTTAATAAAATCTACTCATTAGTTTATAATTGGAAATGTGCTTATTTATTACGTTTGATAAGTATCTTATGGCTATAAACAACCTCCCCTACTTAAGAAAGGCCTAAGTAAGTATTTGAATAACTGGGTTCTGATGTCTTTTCCTTTCCTAAGGAAAACTATATTTATTTTCAGTTAGATATTAGATATCCATCGTAGTCATCAGTACCCATTATTATACAAATATATATTTGCAGTGCTTACACTTTTTTAAAGTTTCTGGTTGCATTTCATGTTGACCCAGGTTCAAATAATGCTTTTATATACTGGAAGCTATAATTAAAGTTATGCTTAAAATTAAAAAACAAAAAAGACAAGCCTTTAAAATAGAAGTGCTAATAAGACCTTACATGAACTTTCCTAAATGTCGTGGCTGTAGGAATTAGCTGACTTTTATCTATAAAATGGGTAATTGGTGTATTAGTTAGGTTACTTTCTGCTGCATATAATACACACCACAATTAAAAGTGGCTTTAAAGAATATATTTTTCACATGACAAGGTGGCTGAAGTGTGACTCCAGAATTAATTAGTGTTGTGATTCAATATCATCATCAAGGATTCACTCTTCTTCCTGCTCAGCCATCCTCTGCATGTTAGGTTTTGCCTTCAGATATATCCCCTCATAGTTGCAAATATCAATAACATCAAATATTACATTCACTTCATCCTCAAACTACATATACTCTAATCTATTTGGGAATTTTACTCAAAACATACCAAACTAGGACCTGATCCTGACAAAAAGTAGCTTATCAGGTTTGAACACGAGATTATAATGTTGAAGTAGGGTTGAATTTGTGAATAGCAGAAGCTGATCAATATTTGTGATATTCCTCTATTCTCAGTGGCATGCTGACACATGTTTAACAACTGGATATCTGAGATAAAAATCCCTGAACCGTAGCATAAGTCAATTTCTACAGCATAAATACTCCCAACATGGCCAATTTTAAGCTACAAAAATTATGTCACTGAACACAGAGTGAAGAAAACCACGGGTGGTAGTACACTCTCATAAGGAGTCGTTTTACCATGCAAAGGCAGTAAGTGTAAAATAATGAGAACACAGGTAATAGTAAGATGTAGTAAAAGAATTAAGAAGTGATGAGTTTGGTTATTTATGCTTTCATTCTAATATTTTTACTTAGTTATAAGTCTATACAGTTTATTTTTTAATAATGGCTATATTTCACAATTGGTTTGTAAAATTCCTGAATATTTAATAACCAGATGGTATGAGCAGGTACAAGCTAGCTCCGATACAACACTGTCTCCCCACCAGCTAGATCTCTTCTGCTTTTAGTGAAATTATAGCTTTCTACCATCTACACACATAAAAGGCTATGGATTCTCTTAAACATTACATAAAAACAAATACTACTATTTCATTCATTATGAAAGTAGATGGAACTTTATTATGTTTAATATCCAAGCATACAATTCAGCAATAGTCAGAGAACACCAAAATATTTTATAAACTAAAGGAGAAATAAGAGGCACATACAATAAAGTCTTACTGTCACATTTTACTGAAATTTGATCTGGAGGAAAAAAAATAAAAACTGAAAAAATGACATCTTGAATCAACTAAGGCCAGAAGTCTTGAATTCTGAGTCACTGTTTTCTTTTTTAACTCAGGCTCTGGTTCCTGTGGGATTCAGATGTCTATGCAATGTGGCATGCTGCAATGCATGTTGCATCACAGAGCATTATCTTCCTCAGTTAGGAAATAGGATGGCAGTACCAAAGACCGACCATCTCTAGCTTTAAAGTTTGTCATTTTGAATGTTTTTGAAAAAATATTTCTATGTAATTTTGAGCATAGTACTGCCCTTCATATTTAAAATTTACAAAAGATTTTAGTAACGAGATAGGCATGCAATAAATTATGTCAGATTTATGTTAAATTTCTTTGCTGGGTATTGTGATATTCCTGTTGCTGTTCACATGTCCAAGTGCCTATTTTTACCAAAAAGCTCTTAAACCCTTTAAAGGCAGGGCTTGGGGGGATAGGAAAGATGACAAAAATATAGTTTAGGGGGAAGTCAGACCTAAGTTTTAAGTTCTAATCTGCAGCTTACTCTCTGTAGAGGTTTGGATAAGTAATGTACTTTTTCCCAGTCTCCATGTTTTTAGATATTTAAAATGTTTTGGAAGTTAATTACGCTAAAGCACTTAGTAGACACTCAAGAAATAATAGATATATATTTGTTTCTGTGTCCAAGGCACCTAACACTAAGCTTAACATATATTACAACATTATTATTTGCTAAATGCGTAAGTGAATTTAAGAATAAAAATGAAAGAATGAAATGGCTGGGTGCGGTGGCTCAGGTCAGGTGCAGTGGCTCATGCCTGCAATCCCAGCATTTTGGGAGTCTGAGGTGGGAGGATCACTTGAGGTCAGGAGTTCAACACCAGCCTGGCCAAGATGGTGAAATCCTGTCTCTACTAAAAATACAAAAATTAGCTGAAAATAGCGGCATGTGCCTGTAATCCCAGTTACTCAGGAGGCTGAGGCAGGAGGATCTCTTTAATCTAGGAGATGGATGTTGCAGTGAGCTGAGATTGTACTGCCGAACTCCAGCCTGGGTGACAGAGTGAGACACTGTCTCAAAAAAAAAAAAAAAAAAAAAAAAGAATGAATGAAATAAGCCACTTAAATTATGAATTAGGTGTTTTAGTTCATCTTGCCTGAAATTGTACTGAAATTATAGCAGCTCATCTTTGTGGACAGCAAAGGATAGCATAACCACTTTAAATGATTCTATAAGATGCTTTAAGATGATGTTTCTATAAATCTTTTCCTCTGGGTCTTAATTTCTTTCATTGATGAAAAAGAACTTAAATGGTAAGGACTCCATGGTTCTTGATAACTCTGAAGTCCTTCCAGAACCTATCTTATATTTTTAACTATAATCACTATTGTACAGAACTCAATGTCGTAAAAGTATTTTGATACTTACTGATATTTGTCAACAGTAGTCAGAGCACCATCTTCAAGGTCTCTACAGAATTAATACCCCAGCTACAAACATCAGTAAGACCGGAGGATCTTAACCACTTTGTGGGTAACTGATAATTTTAAAAATATGATCAAAACTCTAAAATGTTTATTTTGCAATAGTTAAATTTGCAAAAAAAAATTCAGAGCACTTATGAAAGCCACATAATAAGTTAAAATCACTTAATCTATTCAGACCACTTTATATACATAGAAACAAAAATAAGTCCCAGAAAGACTCTCTTAATCTTATATAAATAATTAGTGATCAAATTAGAATTCCAACAGTTTCCTTATCTTTGGTATGCTTCATAAACTGTAACATATATCCACAAATGTTTAAGAAACTAAAATAGAGGAAAGAACATGTTCTCTTCATCCCCATAAAAGACAAATTGAAAGTAGAGATGTGAAGTCATATATTTATTTATATTTTTTCTTTCAATGACTAAGATAAACAATCAGCCTATTTAAGGAATTGAAATACTGTACTATATATTTGAAACACAGAGCTAACCTAATAATTTGTTTTTTAAATAAATTCTACATATTATGAAGAACATAAACACTAGATGTTTATTCAGAAGATCTTCCACTCAAGTGTAGAAAGAAGCCTATTTGTTTAAAAATAAACTTTTATTCTGTGTGCAGATTAGAGGAATGTACACATACTTAACCATATAGCAAGTCTCAATAAATTAAAAAAAACTGAAATAATACCAACGATACTCTCAGATCACAGTGGAATAAAAGTAGAAATCAATACCAAGAAGATCTCTCAAAACTAGGCAATTTACATGGAAATTAAACAACTTGCTACTGAATGACTTCTGGGTAAACAACTAAATTAAGGCAGAAGTCAAAAGTTTTTTTGAAATAAATAAAAACAGAAACACTGCATACCAAAATCGTTGGGATGCAGCAAAAGCAGGATTAAGATGAATGTTTATAGTGCTAAACACTTACCTCGAAAAGTTAGAAAGACCTCAAATTAATGATCTAACATCACACCTAAAGGAACTATAAAAACAAAAACAAACTAACCCCAAAATTAGCACAAGAAAAGAAATGACTAAAATCAGAGCAGAGCTTAGGAAACTTGAGACCCCAAAATTCACCCACAGAATCAACAAAACCAAAAATTATTTTTTGAAAGGATAAACAATATTGATAGACTCTAGCTAGATTAACAAAGAAAAAAGAGAGAAGATCCAAATAAGCGCAATCAAAAATACAATGGTGGCATTACAACCAATCCAGAGACATACAAAAGTTTCTCAAAGACTATTATAAACATATCTATTCACACAAACTGGAAAATCTAGAGGAAATGGATAAATTTCTAGAAACACAACCTCTCAGGATTGAAGCAGGAAGAAATTGAAACTCTGAAGTGGCCAATATTGAGTTCTGAAATGGAATTGGCATTAAAAATTCTACCAACCAAAAAAGCCTGACTACATAATTCACAGCCAAATTCTACCAGACATACAAAGAGGGCAAGGTACCAATTCTATCAAAACTATTTCAAAAAAATCAAGCATGAGGGACTCGTCCCTAACTAATTCTATGAAGCCAGCATCACCCTGATACCAAAAGCTCGCAAAGGCAAAATGAAAAAAGAAAACTAAAGGCTAATATCTCTGATGAACATAGACACAAAAATCCTCAACAAAATACCAACATATTGAATCCAGCAGCGCATCAAAAAGTTAATTCACCATGATCAAGTAGGCTTCATTTCTGGGATGCACGCTGGGTTCAACATATACAAATCAATTAAATGTGATTTAACACATAAACAGAATTCAAAACAAAAACCCCATGATCATCTCAAAAGATGTGGAGAAAGATTTAGATAAAATCCAACACCCCATCATGATAAAATCCCTCAAGAAACTAGGCATCAAAGGAATATACCTCAAAATAATAAGAGTGATCTACGGCAAACCTACAGCCAACATCATACTGAGTGTGCACAAATTGGAAACATTTTCCTGGAGAACTAGAAGAAGACAAGGATGCTTACTCTCACTACTTCTATTCAACCTAATACTGGCAGTCCCAGCAAGAGCAATCAGGCAAGAGAGAAATGAAAGACACCCAAATAGAAAAGGAAGAAGTCAAAGTCTCTCTTTGCTGATATGATTTTACACCTAGAAAACCCGAAAGACTCCACCAAAAGGCTTTGAGAACTGATAAATGACATCAGTAAAGTTTCAGGATACAAAATAAATGTATAGTTACACTGATAGAAATGCTATCAGTAGCATTTCTATACACCAATAATGTTGAAGCTGAGAGCAAATCAAGAATGCAATCCCATTTACAATAGGAACACACACAAAAATACCTAGGACTACATCTAACATCGAAGGTGAAAGATCTCTACAAGGAGAACTACAAAACACGGTTGAAGGAATTCATAGATGACACAAACAAATGAAAAAAAACATTCCATGCTCATGGATTGGAAGAATCAATATTGTTGTAATAGCCATAATGCCCAAATCAATCTACAGATTCAACATTATCCTTATCAAACTACCAAAGTCATTTTTCACAGAACTAGAAAAAACTATTCTAAAATTCATATGGAGCAAAAAAAGAGCCTGAAAATTCAAAGCAATCCTAAGCAAAAGAACAAAGCTGGAGACATCACATTACCCAACTTTAAACTATAGGCTAGAGTGACCAAAACAGCATGCTACAGTAACAAAAACAGCATGGTACTGGTACCAAAACAGACACATACATTCATGGAACAGAATAGAGAACCCAGACAGACAGCCATACACCTATAGCCATATGATCTTTGACAAAATCAACAAAAATAAGCATGCGGAAAGGACTCCATAGTCAATCAATGGTGCTGGGATAGCTGGCTAACCAATATGCAGAAGATGAAACTGGACCCCCTACCTTTCATCATAAACAAATATTAAAACGGATTAAAGATTTAAATTTAAGATTGCAAACTATAAGAATCCTGGAAGAAAACTTAGATACATCTTTCTGGACATCAGCCTTAGGAAAGTATTTATGATGAAGTCCTCAAAAGCAATTGCAACAAAAACAAAAATTGACAAGTGGAACCTAATTACACTAAAGAGATTCTGTGAAGCAAAAGGAATTATCAACAGAGTAATCAGAAAACCTACATAATGGGAGAAAATATTCACAGACTATATATATGGCAATGGTCTAGTATCTAGAATCTAAAGGAACTTAAACAATTGGAAAAACCAAAACCAACTAATCCATTAAAAATGGTCAAAAGATGTAAACAGAAACTTCTCAAAAGAAGACATACAAGTGGCCAACAAACACATGAAAAAACATGCTTAACTTCACTAACCATCAGGAAAATGCAAGTCAAAACCACAATGAGATGCCATCTCATACCATTTAGAATTTCTATTACTAAAAACTCAAAAAGTAACAAATGCTGCCTAGTAAAAGGAATGCTTATACACTGTTGGTGGGAATGTAAATTAGTTCAGCCACTGTGCAAAGCAATTAGGAGATTTCTCAAAGAACTTAAAACAGAACTACCATTCGACCCAGCAATTCCATTACTGAGTACATACACAAAAGAAAAAAATATTTTATTAAAAATGCACTCATATGTGCCTCTCAGCATTCTTCACAACAGTAAAGGCACAGAATTAATCAAGGTGCCCATTTGGGGTTCCCATTATAGTGGATTAGATAAAGAAAATATGGTACATAGACAACATGGAATACTACACAGCCATAAAAGAGAATGAAATCATCTTCTTTGCAGCAACACAGATGCAGCTGGAGGCCATTATCCTAAGTGAATTATGCAGAACAGAAAACCAAATACTGCATGCTCTCATGTATAAGTGGGAGCTAATCATTGGGTATACGGGGACATAAAGATGGCAACAGTAGACACTGGTGACTACTAGAGTGGGGAATGAGAGATGGGGCAAGGGTTGAAAAATGAACTATTGGGTACTGGGTGATGGAATCAATCATAATCCAGACTTCAGCATCATGCAATATATTCATACAACACAACTGCACATGTACCCCATGAATCTAAAATAAAAGTTGAAATAATTAAAAATAAATGAATAAATAAGTTAATAAACTTTTATTTTAGAATAGCGTTATATTTCAGAACAATTGAAAGATAGGACAGTTTCCCTTTACCCTGACTCAGTTTCCCTATTATTAACATCATATATTAGTATGTACGTTTGTCACAATTAATGAACCAATACCGATACATTATTATCAAAGTCCATAACTGAAGAGTCTCATTCTCTACCAACTGAGTTAGATAGGCTAAAGTCCCATAATTTATTCATATTTCCTTAGTTTTGCTTATCTCCTTTTTCTTCTCCTAAATTCCATACAGGATACCACATTATGTTTATTCATCATATCTCATTTGGCTCTTAGTTACAACAGTTTTTCAAATTTTCCATGTTTTGATGACATTTAAAATTTTGAGGAGCACTAGTCACACATTTTGTAGAATGCCCCTTAACTGAAATTTGTCTAATGTTTTCTCATGATTAGAATTAGCGTTATGGATTTTTAAAAGAAAACCAAGGGGGATCAAAGCCATTTTTACTACATCTTGTTAAGGCTACATACTATCTACTTGAATTGTCACTGTTGATATTTTTCTTGATCACCTGTCTGAGGAGTGTTTGCAAAGTTTCTCACTTTTAAGTTCTTCTTTTTTTTCCCCTTTCTATGCTGTATTTTTGGTTGGAAGTACTACATGCAGCCCGTACTTAAGGAGTGAGGGCTTCACCTGCTTGAGGGCAGAATATCTACAAAAATTATTTGAAATCCCTTTCTTCAAGTATTTCTATTCTCCTATATTAATTTGCTTATCCAATAATTTATTCATATTAGTGTGGAATCATGAATATTCATTTAATATTTTGTATTACAACCCAATACTACTTTATTAATTTTGTTACTGAAATCATTCCCTTTTTGTGGGTTGGGAGCTCTTCAGTTGGTGCCTTTGTACCACTGACATATCCCCGTTATTATGTTTTGTGGATTGTTTCTGTTGTTAGAAACGCTTTACTTTTTGAAAACACAGGATGCATCAGTTTTATCTTGTATATGTCTTACCCTAGTTTGAGAATTGCCACTTTTCCAAGAAGCTCTGGTAGTAGGAACAGATATAAGAAGCTAGTATTAGAAATCAAATTCTGGATGAAAGTGTGCTTGTAACTACTTAGGTGTCCTTGCTTCTGTACCAGTCCTAGAATCAAGGAATATGCCCTTTGCTCCTGGGACATCACTCCTCCGAGGCCATCAGTTGGTAGAGCAAGGAAATATGAAAGTATACAAACACTTGAACATATGCATATTGATATTTCTATATATAACCATCCATATCTAATACAAGGTAAACATAAATAAATTCACACTGATGTCTGTAACTCTAATCCATTACCACATGAATCACTCTCATTTTCTTTCATTGCTTATCTGTTGTAATCTCCTACTCCAATAGATAAATATGGTTCTTACCATGTACCATCCATTTGTTTAATTGTTCAATTCCAGTATACATTTGTTGTTGCAATATTGTTAAATTGTATCTCCACAGGTAAAAGCTTCATCAAAGAGAGTGCAATTTTTATGTCTAGTTCTTTTGTCTTCATTTTATAGTCTCTATTTATTTCTAAAGTTACTTAGGTCAGCACCTTTTTCATCTCCTTCAGTGAGGTTGTTTCACTAATCTGTAATATTGTAAAACTGTTTTACCCCATTCTGCCTTCCACTGGAGAATGCTTGATCTCCAAATTTTCACAAAATTTATATACATTGAGGTTCATTTTTTATGCCGTAATGGTCTCTTGGTTTTGACAAATTCATAATATCATGTATGCATCACTGCAGTATTATACAGAATAGTTTCACTGCCCAAAAATAAATCTCCTATGTACCTTCTATTAAATATTTTTCCCTTTACCCCAAACCCCTGGCAACATGTAATCTTTTTCTTAGCTCTATAGTTTTACCTTTTACAGCATGTCACAAAATCACAATCATACAGTATGAAGACTTTTCAGATTGGCTTCTTCCCCTTAGCAATATGCATTTGAGATTCTTGTTGTCTTTTTTTTTTTTTGCATGCTTCATAATATTTTTTCTTTTTTTTGCTGAGTAATATTTCATTGTATGAATGGGATGCACTGCAGTTTATTCACTCACTTGTTGAAGAACATCTTGGTTGCTTCCAATTTTTGGTGTTAAAATTTCAAACCCTAATAATAAAGTTGTCTATTTTCCCCTTCACTTCTTTCTGTTTTGGAGACATACATTTTGGTGATATGTTGTTAGGTGCATACACATTTAGTGTTGCTATGTATTCTTAGAGAATTAACCTTGTTGTTACCATGTGGTCCTCAGGCTTTGGAAATCTGTTTTTTGTCCCTTATGAATATAGCTGTTCTATATTAGTGTTAGCATGGCATATATTTTATATCTCTTTACCCTTAAAATATCTCTGTCCTTGTATTTAAAGTGAGTTTTTTACAGACAACTTATATTTGAGCTTTTGTTTTTTATTATTCTATCCTGACAATCTCTGTCTTTTACTTGGTATGTTTAAACCATTCACATTTAATGTGATGATTGGTTGAGGTACATTTGTACTTACCTTGTTTGAAACTCTTTTTATTCATTGCTTATGTTCTTTGTTCCCCATCTCCCATACATACCCTTATGCCTTCTTTGGTTTTAACTAAGCATATTATATAAGACCATTTTGCCTCCTCTATTTATGTAAAAATTGCAATTAAACATTCTTTTAGTGATTTAGAGTTGAAATATGCACTTTTAACTAATCTAAGTCTGTCTCCAAATAACACTACACTATCTTATGGGTAGTACATGTTCTCTTATAATAGAGAACTCCCAATTCTTCTCTCATCCCATGTGATATTGATGTAATTCATTTCACCCTGCTATACACTTTAATCATTTAATACATTGTTATTTACTATTGTTTTAAACAGTTTTCTTTCAGGCCAATTAAGGATAAAAAAAGTAAATATTTTATGTTTGTTTATTCTCAATTATTATACAATCTTGTTGATTATGTTATTTTTCTTTCTTACTAAGGCATTAAACCTGGATAAGGCAAGAGTCAGGAAGAATTTCCTTCTCCCAAAAGCAATGAGTCCCTGTCAATGTCTTTTCTTATGGATAATAGGTCATTTGTGGGGTTATGAAAAAATTCTGTGTATATTTCACAAAAGTTCCACTTCCTCTTCTCTTGTACTCAGATCCCTACAGTGAGAACCTGATGGGTTAATGACAGAAAAGCCCAACAATGTGTGGGTTTTTTCTAAGACTGAAGTGTCAAGGGGTTTCTCACTGTTAAGATAGATAGTCTACACAGCCTCAAACAATTTATCACATTTACCAACTAAGTGTTCTTACCACTTTATGGCTTCTGTTCTAGCTAAGCAGTTTCTCTATGTGCATCTGTCTCTCCAGATTTATTTTATTTTTTCTTTTTTTTTGAGACAGAGTCTCACTCTGTCGCCCAGGCTGGAGTCCAGTGACATGAGCTCACCTCACTGCAACCTCCACCTCCTGGGTTCAAGCAATTCTCTTTCCTCAGCCTCCCAAGTAGCTGGGACTACAGGCATGTGCCATGCCCAGCTAATTTTTGTATTTTTAGTAGAGATGGGGTTTTGCCATGTTGGCCAGCCTGGCCTCGAACTCTTGACCTCAGGTGATGCACCCGCCTCGGCCTCCCAAAGTGCTGAGATTAGGGATGTGAGCCACCACGCCCACTCTCCAGATTTGTTTGTGGCCATTCATCCTACAGTCTCTGTTTTCTGGTGGGTTCAAAAAAAGTTATTGATTTGTCCAGCTTTTTCTTGTCGTAAGAGGAGTGACAACCTCCAAGCTCCTTGCATTTTAGGGCTAACCAAGAAGTCTCCTAAAATAATTTTTTAAAACTTTTATAGAAGCAGAGATCTCAATTTTCATTTACATTGTGTTCCAATAGACTAAAAATAAACAAAAATGATCTCCAGTCTTCCTTTTATTCTCCCAAATTCTGTGAGTCCATAAAGAGATTAATTATGGCGTTTCTTTCTAACCGATGATCAAGACTTAACAGCACTGCAGTAGTCACTGCAGAGTCCTATATAGTTCAAGAACTGTTCCGTGATATTTCCATCCAGGTGTTCTCAGTGGAATGCAAAACCTAAAATTTGGCTTCTCTCCTCTAACCTAATTAAAATCCCTTCCAGCTCAACACATTGAACAAGACATTACATTGAGGGCATGTTACAATGGAAAATAAAATGACATGGCAAAATAGTTGAGCCAGGAGATTTTATGTTGAAATCTGAGTGAAACTCAGCACACACAAAAATTTCTACATAACTGGGTCATTCATACATATGTAAAAGGGCTTTGTAATTAATAGATTTTTTTCAGCTTGCATATTCCATTAATCATTTTTTAGGGTTTTTAAATATATTTTTGTAAAAAGCCATTATAACTTTAGCATATCTGAAAACCCCAGGCTATCCCAAGGTAAACATTGGTAATACATCTCTACCACAAAGATTCCATTGAAAAGTACTTCTTAAAATTAATTAATGCAATAATAAAAGTATAACATCAAAAATGTGTTTATTTTTTACTCCTTAGTAAAATTCCTAAATAGTAACATGAGCTTCTTTAGTTCTAATATCAAAGCCAGTAAACAAAATAATTAGTTAATCTAAAGCCAGACTGGTTTTCTTGTCCTATAGCCTGTGGAAGAAAATGGATTTTTTCACATACATTTCAGTTTAATAATCTATATATTTTTTTCATTCTGCCATGAGTCCTGCCATTTTGATTATTTGTAATGATTGCAATTTTTCTTTTTTTTTTTTACAAAAGGCTTGGTATTAACATTCTTTTACTTAAATGTTTGTTTCAAATGTTTAGTGGGATACTTCAACTGGTTTTGTCTTTAAGACATTTTACTGGCAAATGAGATACATGTTTTCTCAGCTTAGGCTAATAAGTACAAACTTGTCTCACAAATAAATGGGAGACTAGGTATACAGTATTTACTGAGAATAACATAAATGCATGAAGAGAGAGGTTCTAGTCATTATTTGAATCTTTAAATCTCTTCAGCCATAGTGGAAGATGAATTGAAATTCAATTATTTCTCCCCTAAGCACTTAGGACCCCATGAAACACTCAAGATGCTTCTCTCTAACACTGGTTTGGTGCTAAGATAACAAACAGTAAGAAATCTGTTTAGATTTAATCCCTTAAACATATAAAGATTATGGAAAACTAGACAAGCACCTTTATTATAAGTTAAATATGGTTTGTGAGAAAAGCTTTAAGAAAATTAAATACTGACTGAATCTTTGGTTAACAATTGCAGTTTATGAAAGATTGAGTGCCATATATTCACAAAGGTCTAGTTTTAGGTTGACTCAACTGACACATGAGGAAAATTAGTTTAAGTAGAGTAATTTAAAACAAAAAGCAAAAGCAGGTACTAAAATTTGAAAAGAGACTGCACTTGTTTTGGTACAACCAGCTGAAATTAGCAGATAAGTCTACTTAGTAGAAATCTAGGAAAATTACATAACATAGTTTATAATTGTGACATATAATGGTTACAACATAGAAACTGAGAAATAAGATTGATTGTCCTCATGAGTGAAAAATATATAAACACTGGATCTGATTGACAAAGTCATCAAACAGATGGATTAATTTCAGGTTAAAAATAGAATGAAACCTATCAAATATATTAACATATCTAAAGTACAAATGTGCTAGTCAGGCTGTTGAAGGATGTTTTGGTCTTTGGTCAGTGTCGAGAAACCACAAGAGAGAAAGAGATATCCTGACTCTAGGTTCTCCCACTCTGTCCTGGCATATGTATGTTCTGGACCAAGAACATGAGTAACTATATGGTCCTTTTAATAGGTATATCTTTATGGAATTAGCTATAGGTAGATGGATGAATCATGCTATTAAATTCTCCATTTATTTCCTATTTTCTGCGATGCCATACTTATCTGGCAACATTCTGGACCTAATTTTCTGTCCTCTATATCTATAGAAAAAGAACATGCTGATTATATTAGTCCATTATCACACTGTTAATAAAGACATGCCTGAGACTGAATAATTTATAAAGGAAAGAGGTTTAATTGACTCAGTTCCACATGGCTGGGAGTCCTCAGGAAACTTACAGTCATGGCAGTAGGAGAAGCAAACATATCTTTCTTCACATGGTGACAGGAAGGAGAAGAATGAGCGCCCAGCAAAGTGGCAAACCCTTTATAAAACCATCAGATCTCATGAAAACAAACTCACTATCATGAGAACAGGATGGGGGAAACTGCTCCCATGATTCAATTATCTCCACCTGATCCCTCCCATGACACGTGGGGATTATGGGAACTAAAATTCAAGATGACATTTGAGTAGGGACACAGCCAAACCATATCATTCTGCACTGTGCCCCTCCAAAATCTCATGTTCTTACAATTCAAAACACAATCATGACTTTTCAACAGTCCTCCAAAGTCTTAACTCATTCTAGCATTAACCCAAAAGTCCAAGCCCAAAGTCTCATCTGAGACAAGGCAAGTCCCTTCTGCCTATGAGCCTGTAAAATTAAAAGCAAGCTAGTTACTTCCTAGATACAATAAGGGTACAGGCATTGGGTAAATACACCCATTTCAAATGGGAGAAATTGGCCAAAACAATGGAGCTATAGGCCCCATGCAAGGTTGAAATCCAACAGGGCAGTCCTTAAATCTGAAAGTTCCAAAATGATCTCCTTGACTTTATGTCTCACATCCAGGACACGCTGATACAAGAGGTGGGCTCCCATGGATTTGGACAGCTCCACCTTGTGGCTTTGCAGGGTACAGCCCCCCTCCTGGCTGCCTTCATGGTTGGGGTTGAGTGTCTGTGGTTTATCTAGGTGCACTATGCAAGCTGTAAGTAGATCTACCATTTTGGGTCCTCCTCTCACAGCTCCACTAGGCAGTGGCCCAGTGAAGATGTTGTGTGGGAGCTCCAACCCCACATTTCCCTTCCACTCTGCCAGAGGTTCTCCATGAGGCTCTACTCCTGCAGCAAACTTCTGCTCGGACATCCAGGCGTTTCCACACGTCCTCTTAAATCTAGGTGGAGGTTCCCAAACCCTAATTCTTGTCTTATGAGCACCAACAGGACCAACAACATGTGGAAGCTGCCAAAGCTTGGAGCTTGCACCCTCTGAAGCAATAGCCTTAGCTGTACCTTTTCCCCTTTTAGCCACAGCTGGAGCTGAAGCATCTGGGACGCAGAGCACCATGTCCCGAGGCTGCACAGAGCAGGGGGCCCTGGACTCAGCCCAGGAAACCATTTTTTCCCTCCTAGGCCTCCCAGCCCATGATGCAAGGGGCTGCTGTGAATGTCTCTGATGTGCCCTGGAGACATTTTCCCCATTGTTTCAGTGATTAACATTCGGCTCCTCGTTACTTATGCAAATTTCTGCAGCCAGCTTGGGCCTGAATTTCTCCCCCCAAAATGGGTTTTTCTTTGCTTTACTTTTTTTTTTTTTTTTGATATGGAATCTCACTCTGTTGCCCAGGCTGAAATGCAGTGGAATAATCTCAGCTCACTGCAACCTCTGCCTCCTGGGTTCAACCGATTCTCCTGATTCAGCCTCCTAAGTAGCTGAGATTACAAGCTTCTGCCACCATGCCCAGCTAATTTTCGTATTTTTAGAAGAGATTGGATTTCACCATGTTGGCCAGGCTGGTCTTGAACTCCTGACCTCAAGTTATCCACCTGCCTTGGCCTCCCAAAGTGCTGGGATTACAGGTGTGAGCCACTGCACCTGGCTCTGCCAGGTTTTTCTTTTCTATTACATCACCAGGCTGCAAATTTTCTAAACTTTTATGTTCTGCTTCCTCTTGGACACTTTGCCAGTTAGAAATTTCTTCTGCTAGATACCCTAAATAATCTCTCTCAAGTTCAATGTCACACAGATCTCTAGGGCAGGGCAAAATGCTGCCAGTCTCTTTGCTAAAGCAAAGCAAGAGTCACTTCTATTACAGTTCCTAACAAGTTCCTCATCTCTATCTAAGACCACCTCAGCCTGGACTTCACTGTCCATATCACTATCAGCATTTTGGTCAAAGCCATTCAACAAGTCTCCAGAAAGTTCCAAACCTTCCCACATCTTCCTGTCTTCTGAGCCCTCCGGATCTCTAGGAAGTTCCAAACTTTCTCCCATTTTCCTGTCTTCGTCTGAGTCCTCCAAACTGTTCCAGCCTCTGCCTGTTACCCAGCTCCAAAGTCGCTTCCACATTTTTGGCTATCCTAATAGCAGCACCCCACTTCTGGTTTCAATTTAGTGTACTTGTCTATTCTCACATTGCTAATAAAGACATACCTGAGATTTGGTTAATTTATAAAGGAAATAGTTTTAATTGACTCACAGTTCAGCATGGCTGGGGAGGCCTTTGGACTCTTACAATCATGGCAGAATGGGAAGCAAATGCATCCTTCTTCACATGGTGGCAGGAAGGAGAAGAAAGAGTGTCCAGTGAAGTGGGAAGCCCCTTATAAAACCATCAGATCTCATAAGAACTCACTATCATGAGAACAGGATGGGGGAAACTGCCCCCATGATTCAATCTTCTCCACCTGGTTCATCTCATAACAGATGGGGATTATGGGAACTACAATTCAAGATGAGATTTGGGGCGGGGGACACAGCCAAACCATATCACTCATCAATCAACAGAAGCTTATTCAAGATAAATTACATTTCTTATTGTAAGAGGTAATGCATTGATTGGTTTTCTCCTTCTCATATATCAATCTTTGAGTGTTTTGTTAAACAAGAAATTGATCTTTTGCGGACATATCAGGCTTCCAAGTTCTCTAAGCTGAGAACCAGCTTTGGATTGACATATATTCACTCAGGTAAGGTAATGCCATGCTGTGAAAACCAGATGCCCTCCTATGGATGACACCCAAGAATTAAGTGAGGTCAATCTCTGTAAACGTCAACTATTCCATTGGTCAACTTTTGAAATGTGTGCTTGATGCTACCATGCTTCCCCACCTTAGTACATAGCACCATAAATTCTCATATAGAACAATAGCCCCTAAACTTGGTCTATACATTTATTTCCTACACAGCATAGAGTCAAAGTCATTCTTTAAAATATGAGACAATAAAATCCTTTGAAAAAAAGTTAATCATTACTTTTACCTACACGTCACATCCCTGTTCCTCATCAGTTGCTCTCTTCTCCTATTTCCCTGTTCTTATTCACTCTGTTCCAGCCACTCTGATCTTACACTCCTTGTCTGGAATGCTCTTTCTCTACCAAGTTCCATCCTCATTCCCCTCAGATCCATGTCGCTCAGATCTCTAAAATGCAGTTGAATTCATTGAGTCTCTTAATCTGACAGGCCTTATTAGATGACCATCCCAGTTAATATAGCACTGTTTTCCTTTCTTTTTAACTTTTAAGTTTGGGGGTACATGTGCAAGTTGGTTGTATAGGTAGACTCATGTCACAGGGCTCTGCTGTAAATATTATTTCATCATCCAGGTATTAAGCCTAGCACTCATTAATTATTATTTTTTGATCCTCTCCTTCCTCTCACCCTCTATCCTTCAATTGGTCCCAGTGTCTGTTGTTTCCATTTCTGTGTCCACGCGTTCTCATCATTTAGTTTCCACTTATGAGTGAAACATAATGCTATTTGGTTTTCTATTCCTGCATCAGTTTGCTAAGAATAATAGCCTCCAGTTCTATCCATGTTCCTGCAAACGACATGATCTCATTCTTTTTCACGCTGCATAGTGTTCCATGGTGTCCAGTCTACCATTGATGGGCATTTATGTTGATTCCATTTCTTTGCTATTGTGAATAGCATCGTTTTCAACCCTTTCATTTTCTCTGTATATATCTGTTATTTTCCTCATTTTTATGCAGAGACTTACCACCACCCAATATATCATGTGTTCATTTATGGACTGAAGATACACTTCCATAATAGCATGAATAACTTTTTGCTAACTAGTGCCTGGTATAAGGCTTAGCCCATAGATGGTGCTTAGTACATTTTTAAAATGAACAGTAACTAGAGAGAACTATGTAATAACAACAAGGCTATTTGATTAGATTCCAGGAATTTAATCCTGCCTTTGCCATTAATTAGGCATCTATGTGATCTTCAGCAAGTCATTAACACTCTAACCTTCAGTTTCTTTATCTATAAAATGAAACTAATAATAGTTCTATGGCTCAAATACTATATGTGAAATGGTTTTACATGACAAAGTCCTAAACGACTATGAGGGATTTGAGCAAACAAGATATCTAGACGTATAAACAGGATAATGGTAAGATTTAGGAAGAACACTGAATTCTGAGTGTGACATTCTGGCTATTAAGTCTTGGTTCTCCCACTAACCAGCTTTGTGATTTGGAGTTAATTACTCAATCCTGTTAAGATTCATTTATCCTAATGAGAGAGAAAAGTTTCTTTTTTTCAATAAGCTTGTTTTTCACTCATTTAAAAGAAATTGTATCCCAGTGGTCAGGAAAAGCAATATAAGTAAATGTACCAAGAATTATTTATTAATGATTTCTCCGTAATTCATTCAGTCAGTAGTTATTGACTGAGCACCTCTGTGTGCCAGCCTGTGGCCTAGGTGCTTGGGATGAATTGGGGCACAAAGTAGACAAATGTCTGTCCTCCATGGAGCTTACTTTCCAAAGTGAAGAGACAGATAAGAAACAATAAGCATAATAAAAAAGTAAACTAAATTGTATTTTCAAAGGTGATGTGTGTTATATGGACAAAATAACATAAATAAGAAACTAGGAATTGAGAATGTGTGAAGGGAAGGGGGTCAGGTTGCAATAAATATGGGGCCATGGCATTCGAACACACACTACCATTTAAAGACTTTCCTCCTCTTCCATTACTTCTTGTTCTTTATTTTTGGTTTCTTTAAATGTTTAAAACTATATTATAAATATGCTTTCTTAAAATTACAGAGCCTACATACTTCTACTGGAGTAACCAGTTGTAATAACATATCTTTAAAAAACATTACTGTAAAATCTTTTGAAATTCGTTTATTTAATCTTTCTATGTGAAATCTTTAATCTTAGTTACGAAATACAGTCTATATCATAGGCTCTCTTAATAGTGATTGCTTTCAAAAGAAGCAACATTTCCATTGCAAGTGAAATAAATAACATTATCTTTAAAATGTACGCATACTTTTTAGTCACTTGTTTTGAATCTCATGATTTTTATTACTAAATTTTCTATTCATGGAAACATCTATAGCGATGGATGGGAGAAGGCAGGGTAGAGGTTTGTTTTACTTTTTTTTTCTTTAAGACAATGTTCTTTGATAATTTGGCTTCGGTCTTCCTACAAGGGCTGCATACACAATGACCAGACAGCTTGCGTATCTTATAGCATGACGTAACTGAAAAAAGGGATGTCAGGTTTCCTGAGAGATATCCCCCCATCTCCCTAAAAACAATCCACGTAGAGCTTGCAATGGCTTTCCAGATAAATATAATCAACGGATCCTCTGTCAACCCTCTGGATCATTGTGTATGACTGAAGAAGGCACCAGAGGAGGACCTGTTGAGTTGGACCATCTTAGAGGTAGGTTGCTGAAATATGAGTCATATTTAGTGACTTTGGTCAACTGTTCATCACGAAACTTAGATATATTAATCAATCATTGCCTTAACGCAGATATTCATACTTTTGGACATTTTTAGTGCCCCAGGGAAGACCTACTGGTTTAGGGTATGACTAATTAAGAAAAGCCTAGAATGACAAAATAGTCACTGTTAGCCTAAGGTCTTAAACTGAAGGACCTCATCAGCATTCGTGTTGCTATCTACTTATAGCAACCCTCCTTACCGGGTATTAAAAACTAACCACCTGTGAGCTGGCAAAGAACACTGATGTCTATTTGTTAAGGCTGTTGGAGTTCTTGGAAGCGACCAAGTGCTAAACAAATGCTATTATTTATAGTCTGTCCCTGTTCAATGAAAAGGATCCACAAAACACTGCTGCCAAGAGTCACCATTAGTTACCCAGCCTGACGATTTCATTTCACTGGTTGAAACTAAGCAGCATGCTTTGAGCAATGAAAATCGTGGCATTCTCTTATGACTGGAAAAGCCTATTTCAGACCCAAGCTCCCTTTGTTTCCAACAGTGTTTGCACTCCACATGTTCTCACATGATTCAACATGGCAACCAAAGGCATTTTATAAAAGAATAAATTATGGGTGTGGCCAGCAACTACGTGTAGCCTCAAACCAGATTTATTTGCTTTTCTCACTTTTATTTTCGACTTTGTTTTTAAGATGTATTTTTGTTATTATGAGAAGACAAATCTCTATAGGTCAGATTCCCACCTGCCTTATATCTTGTGTTTGTTCCTTCACTTGGCCTGAAGCAATGTGTCGTGAAAGGGAAAGGTGTATGGTGGTGGGGGTGGGACCAAAAGTAGAAGAATGTATAATAGAATTATTTCAATCAAATTAGACATTTATTGAATATTTATAATATACATGACTCAATGTTAGCTATAATGTATATCCAGAAATAATTAAAAGTTTAGTCATTGAAGTAAGTAAATGTAAATACCATATGTGAAGTATAAAGTTGTATCAGAGAAGAAAACAATACATATTATCTGTGAGATAAGCAAGAGCGTCCTTCACTCATTCATTCATCCATTTGCTCGGTCACTTCCTATGCATTTGTAAAACGCATACCCTACACCTACAGAGAAGACCAAAATTAACAAGACAACCCCTCCCCTTGTCAGTTGTATGGTCAGGTTTTCAAACTTCCATGTGCATCAGAATTCCCTGTTAACTGTGTTAAGATACAGATTGTTGAACTACAACTTCAAGTTTTTAAATTCAATAGTACACATGTGGACCTGAGAATTTGCATTTCTAATACTATTCCCAGGTGCTACAGTTGTACTCTTGGGATCACACCTTGGGAACCACTGGATTAGATCCATGCTTCTCAAATTGAATGTGTTCACAAATCACCTTGAGTTCTTGTTAAAATACAGATTCTTACCCAAAGGAAAAGAAGTCATTATATGAAAAAGACACTTGTATACATATGTTTATAGTAACACAATTCACAAATGCAAAAATATGGAATCAGCTTATGTGCCCATCAACCAACATAGTGGATAATGTGGTGTATATTCCATGGAATACTATGCAGCCATAAAAAAGGATGAGTTCATGTCCTTTGTAGGGACATGGATGAAGCTGGAAACCATCATTCTGAGCAAACTATCACAAGGACAGAAAACCAAACACTGCATGTTCTCACTCATAGGTGGGAATTGAACAATGAGAACACATGGACACAGGGCAGGGAACATCACACACTGGAGCCTGTCGTGGGGTGGGGGAGTGGGGAGGGATAGCATTAGGAGATATACCTAACGCTAAATGACAAGTTAATGGGTGCAGCACACCAACATGTCACATGTATACATATGTAACAAACCTGCACGTTGTGCACATGTACCCTAGAACTTAAAGTATAATAAAATAAATAATAAAAAAATTAAAAAACACAATAAAAAATAAAAAAAAATTTAAAAAAGAAGATCATATAATCCTAGAAATAGACCAGCTGGAAGACCATGGAGTAGCAGAAGTCATTCCAACAATGACAGACCAAACTGCAGCTGGAATACCCAGTACAGTTCTGCTTACTAGACTTCAAGAAAGATCTGAAAGTGGAAAAGGAACCAAAGAAGGGCAGTTCAAGAGACCAAAGGGTGTGTGGAAGGTGCTGCAGTATGAATACTGTACGAATATTTTGACTCTGGTCTGAAAAGATAAAAGAATATTATTGAAAACTACATGGAATAATTGAAGTCCCTTCAAGTTTGAAAGTAAGCATTTTAGGACAAATAAAAGGAAATTCAACTTAGTACTTGTGGAAACTAATCCCTAAATATGAATAGGTTTATATCGATTCATGGGTAACAGGTACATAACAAATTATTGGAAACTAGGATGTCTGAATATCGAGGAAGACAGCCATAGTCCCTTACAGTGCCTCTGTTGCTCTGTCTCAAACTGAATTGGGTGGGAAAAGGTAGGGTCCAATATAAAAGTACCATTTCACCATAAAAAAAAAAAAAAGAAAATGTGGTGTATATACACAATGGGATACTACTCAGCCATAAAAAGGAAAGAAATAATGGCATTTGCAGCAACCTGGGTAGAATTGGAGACCATTATTTTAAGAGAAATAACTCAGGAATGGAAAATCAAATATGGTATATTCTTACTTGTAAGTGGGAGCTAAGCTATGTGGACTCAAAGGCATAAGAATGATATATGGACTTTGGACACTCAAGGGGAAGAGTGGTTGGGAAGTGAGAGATAAAAGACTACTCACTTTTGGGTTACAGTGTGGACTGCTTAGGTGATGGGTGCACCAGAATCCCAGAAATCAGCATTAAAAAACGTATCCATGTAACCAAAAACCACGTTCCCCCAAAACTATTGAAACAATAAAAATAAATAAAATGCAGATTCTCATTTAGTAGGACTGATGTGGGCCCCACATTTTGTATTATTCTATGCATTTCACTTTAAGTAGTAGGGTCTAGTAGGTGAACAGAAACTCATAAGTGAATATGCACAAAATACATTATGAAATAAATAGAAATTAAGACAAACTTTGAAGAAGGGAATAAATTTTCACAGGGAAGATTGTGAGGGTGTGCAGAAGGAACAGGCTTGGTGCAAGCTGGGGGTATGAGAGAGGGGAAGGGACTTGGTGCAAGCTGGGGGTATGAGAGAGGGGAAGGGACTTGGTGCAAGCTGGGGGTATGAGAGAGGAGATAGTGGCCAGAAAGGAAAGTGTAAGATTGTGTGATTTGGGCCTGATAATTTCAGGTAATGATGAACAACCCAGGGCATTTGTGTGGATTGGTACCTGAAGTGGAAATGGGAGCTTCTTGAGCTGAAAAGGCAGAGGGACTGTAAGACAACATTGTGGGAAGGCAATCAAAAGGGAATAGAGTTCCCAAAGAACTGGCAGATGAGATGCCACAGTAAAGAGGAAAATGGAGCCATGTAACAGAGGAGAGCTTTCTGAAGATCAGTGTATTGTCATAAAGGTCAGTAAATCACTTTGATGGTTGAGATTTCAGAAAACGTGAAATTATTGAGTAACCATGGGTCAACTATGATCCCAAAACAGCAGTGTTGTCTAAAAAATATGATAGTTTCTTCTCCTGTCCACCGCAATGAAAAGGAGTTTGTGCAGAAGGCATTGCTTCTACTAAAGAACCATGGGCGATGTAGATGTTTTCAGAGAAAGAAAAGCCTTCAGTTAAGACAAGCTAGCAAAAGCATAAAAGATAAAAAGAACAGAGATGGAAAGAAATGATGGTGAGCTGAAGTACCACATTAGGGAAAAAACAGTCACATTGATAGAGTGGAAATTAATTAATCTGATTGTGTCAAGAGTTCATGGAGGAGGGCTTGATCCACATCACCAAATTTCAGTAACAGAAATTGGTAAATGAGAGATTTCTGAGTTATCAACAGAAATAGGGGAGCAAAAGCATTGAGGGTTTTTTTTTTTTAATCAGTTTAAAGGATAGCTTTTGAAGTAAGTGACTCCAAGTTTCCAAACTGGGCAACTCTAAGTTTTCAAAGTTAAGCCCCTGTCTGTAAGGGTTCTAATGGAAACATTTATTTCCAGAGGGAGAATAGACTGTCCTCAAACTTGGCTGTCTGGGGCCGGGTGCAGTGGCTCACGCCTGTAGTCTCAGCACTTTGAGAGGCTGAGGCGGGCAGATCACCTGGGGTCAGGAGTTCGAGACCAGCCTGGCCAACATGGCAAAACCCCATCTCTACTAAAAATACAAAATTAGCTGGGCATAGCGGCATGTGCCTGTAATCCCAGCTACTTGGGAGGCTGAGGCAGGAGAATTGCCTGAACCCGGGAGGCAGAAGTTGCAGTGAGCTGAGATTGCGCCATTGTACTCCACCCTGGGCGACAAGAACAAAACTCCATCTAAAATGAATAAATAAATAAATAAATAAATAAATAAATAAATTTGGCTGTCTGGAATTAAGTTAAGGGTGTGAGTGATACTTGGAAATATATTTCCTCTTTAGACTCAGACCATTTTTCTAGAATGTTAAATTATTAGTTTTTGCAGTTTTCTGTCATGTTTTATTTATGCTTTAAAATCATTTCTATATAGAATTTACTGAAAGTTAAGGCACTTACTATTAAAGAACATGTGATAGAAATCAGAATCCTACCCATAACTACCAGCTCTTTTACCCAGGACAGGTTACACAGCCTCTCTCTGCTTCGATTTCTTCATATAAAATATAAATAATAAGACCTATCATCCTGTAGTACTTACTGTGTGCCAGACTCTGTCTTAAGTCATTTGTACAATTAACTCATTTAATTTTTAAGGCAATCCAATCAGGTAGGTACTACTATTATCACTCTTCTTTATACATGAAAAAAAAAATAGACATATAGATTAAGTTAGGAGGTATAACATTTGCCAGAGTGAGATTTTTGAACCTATGCGCATTGGCCCCCGAATCCAGTCTCTTAAACGTTATACTATTGTCTGTTGGTTAGAAAGAAATAATACTAGTAACTACCTTTAAAGGTGGTTTGAGAGTTAAATGTGTAAAGTGCTTGGAACAGTTCCTGGAACATAGTTAAAATTCAATAAATACTACATATTTCGCTGTTCATATCTCATTTTCATTTTGTAAAAATACAAAATCAAACGTTGAGGTCTTTTAAAATTAGTAATTGTGGTTTCCGTAGTTAATACGGAAGTCCTAGTTAATAAAAAGTGCTAATCAAAACCACATATCATCTTACATCTATTAACTTAATGAAATTTAAAAATAATACTATTCAAAGCTGCAACTGTTTAGCAAAATACATTGGCATACTGTTTAAATAGTAATGTTTTCCAGAAACTTGAAAAAGTATACACTCATTTACTACCCAGCCCTCTTGCTTCTTAGGTGGCAGGATGTTGTGGGGGAAGCAGTAAAATCTTTGGGTCAGATAGCCCTGACTCAGGTGAGAATGATAGTACAAACAGGTTTTTCCACTTACTAGTTAGGTCACCCTTGGTTAAGTTAGCTATCTCCAAGCATCATTTTTCTCATCTGCAAACTGGGAATATTACTTAAGAACTGTGTTATATGAGATAATTCAGGTAAATTACATACCTTGTTTAGATTGAACATGTATAAGTTTGCTTTCCTTAAATATTTGGACCATTGAACTATCCCAAGGAAATAATTCAAAAGAAAGGTGGTTGTATAACATTCTTAATTAATAACAAAAATTATAACCAAACCAAATGTTCAAAAATAAGGGAAATAATAAATGTAGTAAATTACATAGATATGATGAGATACTGATGCAGTCACTTACATAATAACTGGAAAGTGCTCATTAGATTATTTATTAATGAATAAGACATTGAAACTATTTATGATTATAACTTGTTTGTAAAAAAATTATGAACCTAGAAGATGGCATGGAAAACAATTGTTTTACTAAATTTTTCTTTGTTGGCATCATGATTATTAGAAACACTTCATTTGTGTAATAAATACTTATTGAAATATAAGTAGTAGCAAGTCACAATTACTTTTATCTGAGTATGTTTTACCTGAGAATATCTAAAATGCTCTGACATTTATATTTCTACCTGAGCTTCGAAGATCTTCCTTTACCTCACACTTAATTAAGATTATTTCAGAACCAAATTTGCTACAGTAAAAACAAATACATAAAAATGTTGAAGTTGTAAATTTCTTATCATATATCCAGTATCAAGTATTTAATAAATATGTGCAGAACAATATTAAGTAGTTTTGTAGCTTTCAAACTACAAACTCAACTACTAAGTTTACAATGAAAGTGAACTATTTCCCTTCTCCTATTGTTCCTTGTCCCCCCAACCAAATAGAATTTATGAATTTATTTAAAGATCAGCTATTTACAAATCTTCTTAAATGTACTTAATTCAGAGAGGCTAGGTATTAAAAACAATTATCGTATAAAATCCAAAAGGCATATGTTTTGCCAGTTTTATTTATGTGTTTATATTTTTGATATGTTTCTGTTTCAGTGTCTTAGTTTAGTTTACACAATAGCCCAATTTTACTTTTGCAAAGCAAAGCTTGGACTTGTTTTAAAAAAGTGTTCTATAATATTTTTAGCTTTTTCAGGCATATTCTGTACTAACAAGCAGCAAAGAATGCAGAGCTTCTATGAAAGAGAGAAAGAGCAAAAGAAAAGAAGGGAGGTCAAAAGCTGAAGGGAAAAACAAGCTTTCCACTTCACTGCTTTAAAGCATTTAAGACACAGAGGTAAAATTGTATGTACATTTTATGTAGGAACATAGGCTGGCACCTTGCATATCATACAAGAGGTTCGGTAGTGCATTTATAGAGCATCACTGAAGCCTTTTGTTCAGCAAGAAAAAAATGATTGAACATCTGACTGTAAAAAGTGTGTCAGTGTGACTGCAACATTTACAATGGACCACATTTGCAGCAGTACTAACTTGAAGATAAATCGTGCATTAATATTTCACATTTTGTTGCAGAATTCTCAATTACAGCCACATCAGCCTCTATAGGGTACTAAAAAATGAGCTTATGAAGGTACAAAGATTTATCATATTAGACAGTATCAATTAAGATGCTGAAAGAAAACCCGTCAGTTTTGATTGTTCATCATTTAGTTTGAAAAATTTTGTCTCATTTATTGCCTGAGATAACAAAAGGGTTAAAAGGAAAAAAGTAAAATAGAAAAATACATCTTATGAAAATTTTTTTTATAGAGGCAGTTGCAGTGTCATGGAAAAGTTGTAAGAAAGCATATTTCCTCATTGAAAGCTTTAATGAATAATATATTCATTATTTATGTAGTTAAGAAGTAAATGACACTACTAAATTCAAGTGCAAAGACAGAAGTTTCTTTGAGCCAGAAAATAATAAAGAAGAAAGAAAAGCTAATGATGAATTTCAAATAAAATATTTAAAGTTTGATGTTTTTAAGGAAGCTGTAAAAATTGAACACATTGATAAAATGTCAGCATTTGATGGAGGGTTAAATTAAATGCAATCAACAGTCTTAAGGCATAATATACTTGACTTTAAAAGAAAGAGTTCCCATAGTCCACTATTATAAACCTGTATATGTTCTATTATTTATTCCCATGATAAATCAACATCTGTTTAAAAAGATTAAACACCTTTTCTAGCCGGCCATATGGCTGACTAAATAATCACGCTAGCTTCGGTTTTGTATTTCTTGACTCAAAATGCTTTCTCAGTCTTAACATTATGATGATGCTGGTTTTGCCCTCAATTATGAAAAATCTGCCTGAGTTAATGGAATTTGAGAATGGGTGTTTGCTGTTCAACCTAACAGATTAGGTTTACTCATTTGAAACGAAAGAAAAAAGAACTGGAAATTTGAAAGTGGCAAGAGATTTTGAGCCCTTACATTTATTCTTCTAAGCTTAATGAATTCATTCTGAACTTCAAATAATCTAATTCACCATAAGATAGTCAGATTAAGTAGAGAATGGAAGGCGAACAATAAAAATAAGGATGGAGCAAGAATTAATTCCCACAATCTAAGTTATCCCCCAAATATTATGGTTTATGGTAAAACACACATGTTAATAACTGTCATTTCCAAAACCTTGACTAACCAATAAGTACACATCACCCATGTCCATTTCTCATTCTATTTTAATGGAACAAAGTGGCTTGCAGAGGTTGGGAAGTGTGTAATTACATAGACAGAGTCTTTGCACTTTGATCGTAATTACAGTATTTTATCTACCCATCACTTGTTGCTTGAGGACTTTTTCATGGTGAATTCTTTAAAGGAGATAGAAACCCTGTCCAGACAAATTTGAGCTTCAAAATAGCTAATCAGAAACTTGGCTCTCTTGTCCTCAAACAGAGATTGAAAATTGTCACTTTAATCTTACAATCCATTTGGCTTTGAAATAAAGTGAGAATGTGAAGTCTTTCTTTGGGAGCATGCATCTCTGTTTTTCATTATCTCTAGTTACCTTTTTATGAGCATGTATTGGGGCATTGGGTCTAAGCTTGCCTCACTGTAGGTAGTGATTTTCAAAACTGGGTGTGCAAACCAACGAATCATCTGGAGTGTCTGATAAAAATGCTGAACTTGCATTCATTCCCTTGGCTCCCAATTTCTCAGAGAGAGGCATCGATGTAATCTCAAACCCAAATTAACTGAGAACCTTCCAACACCAAAAAGTCTAGAATTATTTCTCCAAGTGTGGTCTGATAACCACCCGAATCAAAATTGTCTTACAGTTTACAGTGCATTTCCAAGGCTCCACCCAAGCCCTCTCAATATCTGACAACATCAGAAGTGAGTATGTGCATTCCTGTGTTTCCTGGATCTAAATTTGGCCTTCAAAATTTTAGAGCTGCCATCTAAGAGTCAGATATATCTCTGTGTAAAAGAGTTTGAGGAACTTTAACAGAAACTAGTAATAAGAATCACTGTTTCAATTTACTGCCTCAAGAGCAGATGCTTGCATCTGCAGTCCCCGGGCTAGCTTGTCCAGTGTTTTTCAGCCCCACCTTGTACCTTGTATTATTTCTATACAAGTACTTTTACCTTGGATTCCCTGAGGTCTAGGATTGTATTTCACTCATATATTCTACCTTCCCCACTTGGCACCATAAAAAAATAATAAATTCATGGGAAGGTTTAGTTAAACGCATCAAAACAAAACGCAGTTTTCTAGTGTCCATATCTACAATTTGGGGATAACAATTCTTACCTTGGTGGATTAGTTTCCTATTGCTGCCATGACAAGTTACCACAAATTTAGTGGCTTAAACTAGCACAAAGTTAGTATCTTGCCGTTCTGCAGATCAGAAAACTGATGTGGGTCTCCCAGAGCTGAGATCAAGGTGTTGGCAGGACCTCATTGCTTTTGGAGACTGTAGGAGAAAATCGGTTTCCTTGCCCTTTCCAGCTTCCTTGGCTCCTGACCCACTTCCACTTTCAAAACCAGCAATAGCCTGTCAAGTCTTTTTTTACAACATGTCACTTTCACTCTTCTACCTTCCGCTTTCTTGTGATTACATGGTGCCCATAGGGATAATACGAGTTATTCCACCTACTTTAAAGTCAGTTGATTAGCAGCCTTAATTCCATCTACAACCTTAATTCTGCTTTGCTGTGTAACATAACATATTCACAGGTTCTGAGGATTAGGATGTGGCTATCTTTCGAGACTATTATTCTGCCTACCATATCTGCCTACCTCCCAGGTAGGTCACATGTGCAATGCATTGGGAAACATTTTGTCAACTGTAAAATTTTATACACATCTAATAAAATGCTATGTTTTGTGTTAAAGAGAGCTTTGAACTGGTAGTCAAGGGACTTGAATTCTCATCCTGGTTCTGTTACTATTTTGCTGTGTGATCTTTGACAATACACTTAACCACTCTGGGATTCAGATTCCTTAATTCTAAAGTATAAGAACTGAGGTGGACAAGCCAAGATGATGTCAAGACCCATAATGATCTTTCTTCCGAAAGTTGATATAAAGTGGAACTTGAGGTATGCTTACATGAAGACACAATTGTTGGAAGGCAGCTCCAGTCCACTGGCACACTATACACGTAATATAATAGTAGAACTGAACAATACAGCAGGTCATGAAAAATGTTTTGTTTAACGTCTTTTCCATATAACGCTGATGAGAAAAAAAAAATTCAGTTCCCAGCTGAGGTCACTGTCTATGTGGAGTTTTTGTGTTCTCTCCAGGTCTACATGGATGTTCCAGGTATTCCTATTTCCTCCCACATTTCAAAGATATGCACATTAGGTTCATTGGTGTGTCTAAATTGCCCCATTGTGAGTGTGTGTGTGTGTGTCCTGCAGTGCAATAGCATCCAGTCCAGGGTTGGTTTCTACCTTCCACCCTGAGCTGCTGAGATAGGCTCTGGCCCTGAGACCCTGAACTGGAATAAGCAGGTTGGAAAATAATTAAAGGAATGAATATACATTATTGTAAAATAAAAATTCACAAAGTCTATGATAATCATAAAATACATGATGATAAACGATGCAGTCAAAAAGTGCTCAGTAAGCCTGCTATATTTTCATTTGATTTTGAACTGTGTGGTGGTAAGAGGTGCTCCTTACAATTTTTGCTTTGCAAAGATTTATTCCTTGATTTAACGTACTACCACTATGACCATCACTCACTGATTCACCAAAAATTGGGCAAATAATTATCTTACTTCCTTGTATTAATCTTTCTTAAATACATGTGTAGCTCACATTTATCTCAATGTTTAATATTAGAAATCTTGTGGGTCTATATTTAGAAGATTGGTGGCGGTTTTGTGACCCGAAATATGCCATAGAAACTTAACTGTTGTTTATATCAATTAGCCTATGGTAAAATTGGTTTCGTTAGTTACATACGGTTTTGCTTAAAATCACAATCTCCAAGAACCTATCAGTAATGTTAAGTGAGAACTTACCGTACACTAAAGGGGTGTATTTCAGAGTTGAGTTGAGTTTATTTCTCAAAGTTCTAGTTGTGAACAGTAAATGAGAGGTTTTTATCCCTACTTAACTCATGAGGAACTTTGATTTAGATAGCTTAAGTGATTTCATGAAGGTCACATAATCACTTAGTGGTGGAGTTTACTTACTACAATTGAGATCTTTTGCAAATCCTTTGTGCACTCTGCTAAGATGACTCTCTGCTATTTAAATGCACTCACCGCTCAGACGCAGCGCATGGTAATAGAGCGGCATTGTGCTTTTGGCTAACCACGGTTGGTCATAAATATATTTTGAAGCTTATTCATTAGAGACTGAAAAATTTTTTTTTGATTACAACTGATGGATATATTAGATGCTGAAGATAAACTGTAACTTAATATTTCTTTAAAAGTGTGTATAAACAACTGTGTATAAACAACATATGCAGACTGTAGCATGTTGGCTCATTCCTTTCAGTCAGAGAAACTTAGTGATTACGGAGATGGCTAAAAGCCAGTGTGCTCATTGAAATGGATGGATTCATCATTTACCTCATATCAAAAATTATATTATTAATTACTATATCAATTATTTTGGAAGTCTTCTTATGTGCATAAACAACATCATGGCATACTTTTTTAATGTGTGTAGTTGTCATGATCCTGGCAGGAAAAAGAGCATGATACTGGCAAGAAAAAAGATATTGAGGAAAGTTTAATGAGGGGGTAAGGAATATGATGTGGATCCCTAGAATTAGCAATGGCGGGAAATGGTTACTCCTCCTAAGCTTGAAGAAAAGGAAGGGGAGGGAGTAACTACTCAAAGTCAGGGGACTCGGACCTGCAGCAAGGGCCTCTGAGAGGATCTGCAGCCTTTAGCCAAAAACCAACAGGGAGTCAGCCAGGGAAACCAATATTCCAACTTCACTCTCCTGCAGGAGATTGCTGCTGGTTGAATTCAACAGGAAACCAGAGAAGAAAAGACCTGTTAAAGCAATTATCAGGAGGCAGCTTCTTGAGGCAAAGAATGAGAAAGAAAAAGAGCAGATGTGGAGGAGCAAGTGAAGGACGCCCAACACAGAGCTGCATCTGCCTTTAGGTGATTTTAACTTACAAATGAAATGATCTTCCACTGTAACTTCATTGTCATCACTCTTCCTTTTGGGATATATTTAGAAAGTACAGCTAATAAAGTTGACCTTTACGCCAGTAAAGAATAAAAATCATAACAAATATGTAATTCACACACAAAAAACACACTTCATATTATCCATATAGTATTTTAATAGTTCGATGCTTCTTTGGAATACAGGATGACTAAGAAGAAACAATACAAAATATTTTACTGGTGGTTCAAATTGAAATGATGTTTACTTTTCTCTAATTCTTAGCCCTCAGTGATCACATAATTTCAAAATTTAATTTTGATTCATGTTTATCATTTTAACTGGTTTATTTTTTGAAAAAAATACTTTGAAAGAATTTAATCTATTAAAAGTACTTTGTTAAAAAATAAATTTTGCAAACTAGATGGAAATTCTAGAAATGAAAGAATGGAAAATTGCCCAAGTTTTAGCCCAAACAATAAATTAACAAGGATGTATCTTCTGAAGTGTTAAATTTTAGATTCATTTCCAATATTCACCTAATACAAAATAAACAACAAACAGAATTTATTGTGTACAAGTTTCTATTCATAAATTAATGGTAACGAACCCACTGACTTATTTATTGAACTTTTATAATTTCATCTATAGTTCAATATTTTAAAAATTAAGTTAGTATTCAAATGGTAATGTGATTTTATCCAACTTTTTTCCTCTTTGTATTGTTAATATTATCAAAAGGGGAACTTAATAAGCTCTAAGGTGTTAACTGCCTTTTTGGTTTTCAGAAAAGTTTTTGCAAAGACTAAAGTAAATTAGCATTAACATCAGGGCACAACTAAATGCTCAATATGGTAATATGTTTAAGTGGAAAGGAAAAAAAACAGAGGATGAAGTCCCAATTTTAACTTAGAGAATGATTACCATCATCCTTTGAAACATGTATTTAAACACTTTTTTGGAATGGCATTAACATTTAGTAATAAAAGATAACATCTGTCATTTTTTTTTCTATTCTGTAAGGGAATTCATAAATTAAGGTAGCTTGGAGTTAAAAATATCAAGATATCCTGTTCTTTCTTTAAAAAATTATCTTTCATGACTTCTTTCTAAACACAAGGTCAGTAAAGACAAATTTAACTATGTAGATGACTATGATTATGGAATGATTAAATTTGGTCTTTCTTAAAATAGCTTTTTGTAAACCGAGAACTACAACGGTTGTCTGCTTACAAAAACCAGCTCAAACCCATTTACTCATGAGGTATCAAAGAACATATTGTTTGATCCTTGCTTTGACCATATACATTATCATACTAATTCCTTCAGTGATATTTCATTTATTCACTTGTTTATTCACTAAGTAATAAAGGTTGGAAAATAGTAATAATTCAGTCCTTAAAACACATGACAAACAGTTAAAATACTTGAGGAAAATATATT
Organism: Homo sapiens; assembly: GCF_000001405.40. Lineage (NCBI taxonomy): Eukaryota > Metazoa > Chordata > Mammalia > Primates > Hominidae > Homo > Homo sapiens. The sequence goes on along the minus strand of NC_000003.12, from coordinate 189,633,918 downwards.
TTAGATTAAATATGTAAGTACTGCAACATTAAATAAATGAATGTAACAGTCACATCTAATTGGTTTTTGTATTTGCAATGTCTTCCGCAGAGCAGATGCTGAGTAAGAGCTATGTTTCATCACCTTAATGTTTTTGCTGGTTAAGCTTGCATTACAAATGAGAAGTACATATTCTTGCCTAAAATTATTTATTAGGCAAATAATTGCTCCCTGGCCATTCTGAACCATAGTCTCACAGCTTCTCAACATGCCCTCCCCTGCCTTCCCCAAAAGTATCAGGCACCATGATTAAAGCCCAGGGCATTCTAGGAAAATTTAAAACTACTTAAAAATACTATGTAGCCATAAAAAAGAATGAGATCATGTCCTTTGCAGGGACTTGGATGGAGCCGGAGGCCATTATCCTTAGCAAACTAACACAGGAGCAGAAAACCAAATACTGTATGTTCTCACGTGTTAAGTGGGAGTTAAATGATGACAACGCATGGACACATAGAGGGGAACAACACACGCTGGGGCCTTTCAGAGGGTGGAAGGTGGGAGGAGGGATAGGATCAGGAAAAATAACTAATGGGTACTAGGCTTAGTACCTGAGTGATGAAATAATCTGTACAACAAACCCCCATGACACAAGTTTACCTGTATAACAAACTTGCACTTGTACCCCTGAACTTAAAATAAAGGTTAAAAAAAAACCAAAAATACTATGATTGCTTAGAATATTACAGTATGTCAAAAACTGAGATGACATTTGCTTCATGAACTAATAGATCGTCAAGGTAATATAAAAAGTAGTTTCTCTATTTCTTTATATTTATAGGCCTCTCTTATCATTAGAAATGCTTCTAGAGAGGTATGTATGCAGGATTGAAGTGTGGGTTATTAGTCAATAGAAGGAAGTTTCTTCTAAAGCTTCCCTGGTTCCAAGTACCTAGTTTAGGAGAGATGCCCTCAAGAGTAGCATTACACAGTTACTATTTCATCACAATTATCTTCTTAGAACTATTATTTCCAAAGATGTTTAATGGAATAGATAATTTTGAGATTAGAAACAATTTTGAGAACCAGAAAATCTTTGGTGTTTTTCTTTTTAATCAACCCAATCCTCAACTGCAGCTAGATCTAATTTTCACATTATACAAGAACATAAATCCTAGAGCCATTTATTTGTGCTAATATTGTTGTTTGTGGTAAACAGCAAGACACGAATCAAGCCACCACCAACAAATTCCACTGAAACCTTGGAGACCCCAAACTTGCTTCCCCTCTCTCTTTTTTCACCCTTTTCTTTTTATCTCCTTTATTCTATTTATCTTTCTGCCTTGCTCTTTCTCTTCTGCCTTTTCGCACAACCCACCAGAAACCTCACAGGAAGAGAAACAATCTACATAGCTCACATTAGTGTTCTACGTTGTAGCAAATCACGTTAAAGGAAGATCACAAATCTTTCACACTCTACTAGTCTACAGTAAGTGAGTCCTGCCCAGAGAGAGCAGAATCTGCTTCTAGTATCAAGCTCCAACAGACACAGGTGGTAAATGGCAAGTTAACCCTTTGTAACCTCACCATTTTCAACACGCAAAGGACCTCTCTCATTAGTCTTATAAAATAAAGTACGAAATCTCATGCTGTTAAACTAACATCACATTGCTACATATGACTTGAATATCTCCCATAACTTTATGACTGGAAAAACACTGTTCAGATTTCATTTACCAGTTTAAAAATAGCAAAGTCTAATTTGAAGCACATACACAATTGTGCACCCTCACTAATATTCTCTCTTAGTACTAGGCAAATGTTTCTAAATAAAATTTACTACAATCACAAGCTTTAAAAGTCAGATTTGTCAAAAGATTTTCATTATCAAACATACCAAAAAATATTCCTTATAAAATGCAATGACAAGCCACAATCTGTTTGGTACAACAATGGCTAGTTATCTATTTCTTAATGTATAAATCAAAATTATTTGGTGTTTATTTTGACTTGAAGATTATCCATACATTATTATATCCCTGCCCAGTGAAATTTCTTATTGAGTGAGTAGGTGCTGAACAAGGCAAATAATATATTTTAAACATTCTTAAATGGCGTGATAATTTTTTTTAAATGGGAAGATTCGCTTCAAATTTTTTCACTTTGTAGATCCAAATATCAACCAAAAAAGACATTCAGAAAATATGTCCACAGACCACTTTAAGTCCACAGAAAGTCCAAAATAATATCACTGTGCTGACTAAACAAGGAGGAATTGTTCTTTGTACACAGCTGACACATTCATAATACACAAGGCACTTCAATTAAGTTTTGAGAGAAGTTATGTCACATTCAAACTCACCGCTGGATGTAAGGGTCAGGGCAGTACTGTAGGGTGGCACACCGTGAAGTTTCAAAATTCATTTCCTTCAACTGTCTTTGATATCAACGAACGGAGAACAATTATATAAAATATACACATATACCTGTGTATATATAGATATAAAGCCGGGAGGCTAAAAGCAATAGGGTCAAATGCTATCAGACATAGAAGTTTAGGCACTTCTCTCCTTCATACATATTTGCAAAGAGGCGGAGCGTTTCTTGATTTTAGCCAATGAGATTCATCAATTGACTAAAACTTCATAAACACTCGATTCTTACCAGCTGGGCATCCTCTCTACTGTTGTTCTTCCCCCTCTCTCACGGCTTCAGAGTCCTTGACGTATAGTAGCCACACTTGTTGTTGGCAATTTGGAGCTGGAGGCATCTCTGAACTTCTGATCTCTGTCGTGATTGGATGCTGGCATGAATGGCATCAGAGTTTAATTTCAGCAGCCTGGACTTTTGTAACTGAACTGAGCTGATGAGTGTCCACCCTGCTCCAGCTACATAACACTTCCTTGTATCTGGATACTGGTTTGATTTGAGGATTTCTGTGACTATTTCTGGGGCTAAAATGTTTTGTAGAGCTGCTTAGGGAAGTTTTGTTTTGTTTTGTTTTTTCATCTATTTCCCTCCCTCCCCGCCCTTCAGTTTCCCTTTCAGCCAACCGCCTGTTGTGGTCACAATCTCAAATAGCAAAGACAGGGAAATTCCTTGATTATATTTAACTTAGAACTCACTCTTCCTCTCAGCTAAGAGAAAGAGATATCCCTTTCACATCCCCTTAGAAGCTTTGCCTGACCCGAATAAAAGAAAATAACCTTTATTGAGTTAAATATCCTACCTCAAACACATGCACATGTACTTACATATAATATAGTAATTTTCTTAAAGATATTAAAATTGGAAATAATATATTATTGTAGAATATTCTGAAGTGCACAAATTATTTCAAATTGCCTGTTAATAAAAATATTCTAGTTTATTTTAATCTCTCAGTCGGCTCCACTCTATTCTTTATGTCTTACAGTTTTTGCTGTTTTTGGTTTTGCTTTGACTTGACCTACTTCGAAAGGAAACCATAAAATTGTTCATATATTCCCAAATCAGTGTAATATCAGGAAAGTCTACACACAAAATAATTTATTTCCTTTCTGAATATGGGCTGTAAACTTATCCTGGTTTTGTGGATTTGGAAATTGAATGAAATATGATTCAGAAGCTCAGTTAGGATAGACTCCAACAGGGGGAAAAAAAACCACTCTGTGTATCTAACGGTCACTAACATGGTGAGTTCACATCTTCCCTTCACCCCCTAGTCACAGGACACACCTGTAAATAGGTGACATCAGTAGATGTCAAAGTTGTGAGACAATCTAAAGCCCTTTCAGAGAAATTTGACATTTCCCTGTAAGTAAATCTAACTCAAAATGTGTTTCATAAAAATATTTTATTTGTTGCTTCAGCCAGGATGGAAGGGAGAAGCTATTTAAAACTTGACATTCTCTTCCTTTACTTAGCCCGAGAGCGGCTAACATCTGTGAATTGTGAAATTCACAAACAGGCCAGCCTGAGCCCCAGCCAAATCAAACAGCTTGCTCCACAAAATGTAAAACTTAAAGGGAAGATTGCTTAACTAATTAATTATAGATTTGTTAATTGCAGTTAAAGAGTTTGGCTTTCTTCCCTGCTATTAGCAAATATAGATGACCTAAATAGAAGGTTCTGAAATTAAAAATAATCAATTTCCTGTGACCACAGCCAAGTGATTCCATTTATAATGAAAGGTGGAGTGAAGATTTCTAGTGCAGAGCTTCTCAAGTTTTAATGTGCCCGTGAGGCACCTAGAAATCTTGTTAATGCAGATTCTGGTTCAGTAGGTCTGGGGTGAGGCCTAAGACTCTGCATTTCTAACACGTTCCCAGGTTACTTGATGCTGCTGGTCCTTGGACCACACTTTGGAGTGGCGAGCCCTAGTGTTCCTTCTAGCTCTGATATTTACAATTCGACGTCTCTAGGAAATGAGGAAGAACTCTTCTAAATATTTTAAATTAACTTCCAGGGATATAGACTCCCAAATAATCAATTTGCAAACATCTCTAGTGTGTTGTGTCTTTAAAATTTAATTAATTTTTGTTTTTTAAAAGTTATTTTTATTTATTTATTATTTTTGAGACAGCTTCTTGCACTGTCACCCAGACTGAGTGTAGCAGCGCGTTCATGGATCACTGCAGCCTCAACCTCCTGGGCTCAAGTGATCCTTCTGCCTCAGCTTCCTGTGTAGCTTGGACTACAGGTGAGCACAACCATACCCAGGTAATTTTGTTTTGTTTTGTTTTTTTAGATATGGGGTCTTGCTGTGTTGCCCTGACTGGTCTCAAACTGCTGGACTCAAGCTATCCTCCCGACCCGGCTTCCCAAAGTGTTGGGATTACAGGCATGAGCCACCACACTCATCTATTTTTTTAAAAAATTTAAAAGGTTTATAGCCTAACGTATTTAAATAATATCATTTAAACGTATGTCATGATTTCAATAGTTGTTATTTAAAAATCCTAAAGTTACTAAGCTAAGAGGAACAGAAATTAAATGGCAACAAATTTTAAATAAGTAATTATGAAAAAGATTGGCTCCTATTGCATTATGGAAATAAATGGCGAGAGTTGACCCAGGAAAAAGAGGCAAACTCTCTAGAATTCAACAGAACACCAGTAGCATGCAACCATACACGATCAAGTGAAAAATAAGTGGCAATCATATTATAATTACCATAATTGCTTCTTATATTTATAGTTCATCCTTATTCTCTTAGGGGACTAAGGTTACTATACAAATGCATGAATTATATCTTTGATGTGCAAGGTGGAAACTTTTCCAAGACTTTAGAGTCTTTTAGGCAGAAATTGTAATATAATAACGTACATAGAAGTCTAGGAAAAGCAATTGCCTTTCTGACCATGACCTGCCTGTTTAAATGATGTTTGTGAAGACTTTAGATTTGTATGGAGGGGAGAAGAAAGTACTTAAGGAAGGAAAGGTGTTTTGGACTTGGACCACTGAGCATAACGTAGGAGAAAGGGACACTTTGTTCTTCTTGACTCCTAGGAGCCAAGAACATGCACTCTGCCAAACTCAGGTGTCTATGATACAAATTCTTCTCACTTACATTCATGAAAATTATTTTACAACTGCTCCCCTTCATGCACTTTCCTCTAGGTTGCATATTTTTCTGGTTGCTCTTGTGCCTTGGATCATATTCTGCCCTCCACCAGGAATGTTTTAAAACTCCATCTGCGCATATTCACATCTTGCTCATCCTTCAAAGACCAAAAATTCTCCCTCTTTTTTCCACATAAAAGAAACCTTCCCCACTTCTACTGTCCTACATAATTATATCTGCACTTTTTTGTGTAAGGTCACCTATAACTTTCTTCCTGGAGTCTAGCTATTTTTGAATAGACTCATCTCCTGTACTGGATTGTGAACAGCTTGAGGGCAGGCTTGCTATTCTAATTCATCTCTGTGTTTTCAGGAGCTAGCAAAAATATTGCACCTAATGGATGAATAACATGTTTATGTATTTGCAAAAATCATCTCATAATAAGTATTGCAACTGATTAAAAATAATTTCCACAAAACACTTGACCTCTTAGAGTTACTTTATGAGGTATAATTTACATACAATGAAATTCGCCAATTCCAAGTGTTCAGTCTGAGGAGGTGACACATTAGACACCGAGTAGCCTTCATCGCAATCAAGATTCCAACAACCCTATTACCCCAAAACTTTCCTCATACCACTTTGCAATCGATCTCCCCTCACCCCTGGCCTTAGACAATCACTGACTTGCTTTTTGTTTTTATAGATTATGTGTATATTTTCTAGAACATTGTTTTCCAATAGAACTTTCTGTTATAAAGGAAATATTCTATATTTGCACCGTCTGATGTGGTAGCCACTAGTTACATGTGGCTAACGCTACTGAAGAGCTAAATTTTTATTCTTACTTAATTTTAATCAACTTAAATTTGAATAGCCATGTGAGGCTACTGGCTACTATGTTGGACAATACAATGCTAGAATATCACATAAATGCAGGCATATGGTACGTATTCTTCTGTGTCTGGATTTTTTTTGCTCATTGATGCCATGGTTTCTGAGATATATTCATGTTGTCAACTGTATCAGTAATTCACTCTTATTATAGCTGCTGAACCTGTGGATCTCTCGTTTGTTTGTTTAGCTATTAAGAATGAAATCTGGTCTTAGATACACAATTATGGCCAGAAGTCCAACAAACTTTTTAAGAGTTCAATCATCACATATCCCAGAACTTGTTCTTGGTCCTCCTGAGGTCTTTGGCAAAATAGTAGCTTCTTTCTTCCAAGACTGCTATAACTCTGAAGGAGAGAGCAAATGTTGTGTAAAGCAGTTGGCTAACCTGGGGTTAGTACGAGCTCTGGTACTAACTTACTCCCAGACCTCAAGCAGGTAGCCTACTCTCTTTGAGCCTTAGATACTTTATTTTTAAAGGGGAAGGATGTATCAATCAGGATTCCTTGGGTATAAACAACAGAAACTGATTCTGCCTACCTAAAGCCAAAAAACACACAAACAAACAAACAAACAAAACATGAAAATGTATGAAAAGAAATATGAAAATTCACAGACTATAAGAGACAGTTGGAAAAAAAACCACACATCTCAGAAAGGGCTGTAACCAGGATAAATTATAAATTCAGGGACTTAAGAAATAGGAATGGACAGTCACTTTGCAAAGCCACTGTAGGCGTAAGTCAGATTCAACAGCTTTTTTTGAACTTCAGCTATTCAGCTTAAGATTCAAATTCCCAAAAGAAAGATGCCATGTTTGGCCAGGAGAGGCCTGATCATCTGGACTGATGGCCCTACCATGACTGAGCAGAGAGTTTTCAGAAGAAAATAAAGGTTCTGTTAACCAAGGAAAGAGCAATAGGTACAGGGCAGTGGAAAACAACAGATGCCACCACAAGAGGCTTAAAGCAGATGATCTTGCATGTTCCGTAGAGCTCTGGCAGCCTGTGACTATGAGATCAGAGAAACTGAATTCCTTTGTGTCAGGGTAACTGAACCTCAGGTCCTAGCCTTTCCAGGTCATCCTGCATTTATAGTGAGGAGAGCAGGAAAGAACCTTCAAGGAGAGGAGGTGGTGGAGTAAATTCACCAACTATTGCTCAAATTGAAGAGACTGAGTTTGGTGATTTTTAATTGTATGACACTTTTCTGTACATAGCTGCAGCTCAACCACACAATCTCTATTTTAGTAAAGTGGAAGCCAAAGTTCTGTCATGGGGAGGATCCTGCTAACTCTTCCAACTTTGGACCTAATATTTGCTACAGTCTGACATCGATTAGGAGTAAAGCTGGGCCTAGAACTTAAGTAAACTGAATGGTATTCGAATGACTTTAATTCAATGAAAAAGCAAGTGCATTGCAACCTTAGCCATGTGCTTCTTCTGATTTGACCTCCATCTCTCTTCAGGTCACTGAAATTCATCAAATAAACATTTATAGTTAAGTTAATGTCAAGAAGATGCCTTAAGGGAGTGTCCGAAGGAAAGAGGGCATGCAAGGGAACAGAGGCCAATTGGGGCAGGAAGAGGTTGGCAGTTTCTTTAACAGACAAACCTGATACCCTCCAAAGTCACACCCAGTGTCCAGAAGCAATGTGGGTGGGCTTCTTTTCCAGACATCCCTGAACAGCTGTGTGGGGGCTGCTCCTCACTCCCACCCCTCCTTTGCTCAAAGCTCACGTGAGTGAGAGATAAAGAAAGAAACACAGGAAGTCCTTATTTGGCATTCCCCAGATTTTTTTTTCCCTGAACCATTTGTCAGTTGCAGATATGTTGCACCTTTACTCTAAATGTCTCAGTGTGTATTTCCTAAAATGAGGAAATACCTTACATGATCTCAGTTCAATTATTGAAATTAAAAAATTATATCCATAAAATATCATCTATTCTACGCTGCTTATTCAGATTTGACAATTGTCTTAATAATGTCCTTTACACCAAGGAAAAATCTTGGATGATATGTTGCATTCAGTTGTCCTTTTTTTTTTAGTATCTTTTAATTAGGAACAGTTTCCCAGTCTTCTTTGTGTTTCGTAACACAGATATTTTTGTAAAGCACAGGCCAGTTGTTTGTAGATAATACCTTAGTTTAGTTTGAATGCACTTTTGGCAGAAATATCACAAAAGTGATGCCGTGTCCATCTCAGTGCATCATATCAGGAATTGCTCTCTTTTTAACGCCTACCAACAGGTTTTCCCCAGGCCTTCTTTCAGATTTACTGTGAACCTAAAACATTTAAATGTCAAGATTTGCAGAGTTCCTTCCAAGGTCCAGGGAAGTACCTTAGCAATATGTTTACATTGTCATAAATTGTAACATAGACAAATGTGAAATACTGTATCTGCAATATTTTAATATTATTATCCATCTCTACTCCAATACTCCTTTCATCACCTTTTACCTCAAGAGAGTTGTGATGGAGTGGCTGTGGGATTTTTTAGGGTCCAACTAAGAGGAAGTTGAATAGGGAATACTTTTAGTTTGGGTTTGAGAGGATACACTAATGTGTTTTGCAGTTACATTTATGTATAGCTAAATTATTGCTACTCATCCTGGTGTAGAATGGCTTCCAAGAGCACACCTCCTGCCCATGTGTGTTGGTTCAACAATGGCTGGAGACTACATCAAAATATGAATATGTCCTACAGTAATTGGCATGGGAAGTATGTGAATGCTTTTCCCTTTTTACCAACCATGAAAAATGTGAGTGGAGAAATTAATATCATCAATATTTAATCAAAACCCCCTCTCTATTCAGCATATGCAATTATAAATGCACCACATATTATATGCTTATTTATGATGAGAATGCATGAAATAGAATTTATCACTATTCTTGTGTCTGTAGGAAAATAAATGGGGTAGTGCTGCAAACAGCAAGTATGTCTATCAAGCCTTAGATTGGGGCTGCAGGAGGAAAGGCTGTTATATATTATATTAAAGATTCTGTTCAACCCCAAGAGTCTATGATTTTATGAGTATAAACTTCTTAAAGGCTATATTGACATATGATTCATCTATTATTCTATCTACATAAAATCACTTTGTTCTAAAATGATTTGAGTTAGCTTGTGAAATACTTATAACATTAAAAACCACACATATGTAAAGTTATGGGGGTGGGGGTGACAGGGTAATGAGGTAGCTTAATGAGTATAGAGTTTCAGTTTTGCAAGATGAAAAATTTACGTGATCTGCTGCAAAAGAATGTAAATATATTTACCACTATGAAACTGTACACTTAAAAGCAGTTAATATGGTACATGGCATTAATATATGCTTTTTACCATAACTATGGATTTCTAAATAATTTCAAAAACATATGTAGGTATATGAGGAAATTAATACTCAGCATAAACATCAATGGTAAGTAAAATAAGACAAAAATCAAAGATAGTGTTTATTCACAAACTGTATAATGTGAAGTTCCATACTTGTGCTAAAGCGCCATGAATTTATCTGTGAACTTCTAAACAGCCAGTGTAAGAGGACTTATATTTATTTATTTATTTTTTACCCACAATAATAGCTTTGACTGTTGTTATACATAGCACACTCTAGGTTTTGAACGAATAAAAGGAAACATAATACATACTGAGTCTTCCAAATAAATTGACCTTTAGTGTGTCTGGTCTCTGATTATAATGCATTTGGTTGATTGCTTATTGCAAATACATTACAGTGAATGATGTTGTGATGGGACCTAAATTCCTAGTGGGGTTTCAGTGTGATTCTCTCACAAGACTACATAGCACTCATTGATTTGATAGCTGATTAATGGATTCAACATGAATATTCTTTTAGGACCTCCTCTGTGTCCCCATCAGTGTGCTAGGGGCCATTGGTAACAAGTTGATCAACAAAATCCATTTCCTATGCTCAAATAGATCCCAGTAGAATCAAGAATGATCTTCTTTTCCTTTTATCATCTTCAACTTCATAGACAAAAGGATAACTATGGCATGGCTGTGACCCCAAGTTAGTAATGATCAGTTTGCCTACTGGGCTTTTGGTTTGAAATATCTGGTAACCTGATGAAGACTGATGCAATAAGAATATGTTTACAGTATTCATGAAGCATGTGTGTAGGTGGGAGATAATAAAATGAAGCATTCTTATTTACCTTCCCTTGGTTAGTTTGAGCCCATAAGACAGCTGTTGCTGAACCTCTCTTTCAGACATAGATTCACAAATTTGTGCCTTGTTGATTTGGTACTGATCATCAGGAAGTCATAAAAGCCACAATTTCTGGAAGGCAAGGAGATGCAATTGAGACAAGGAAACAAAAGCCCAATGTGTATATTTCAAAGCCTATGGCAAAATGATTTCTTTTGGGGGTGTAGCTTCTTGAAATATAGTGTTTACCTAGGGAACACAGCTCACAAAAGAGGGGCTAGAGAGACATTTATCAATTTCTCTTTTTGAAAATTAGCCATACTGAAAGTTAAAAAGAAATTTAGAGATCATTTACTTAGAAAAAAAATCTTAGAAATCAGAATGACTTAAAAATAACAAGGCTTTGTATCGTGGTTTATCGTACAGAACACTTTCACAGACAGTATCTCATTGCAACATCTCAACTGTCATGCGAAGTAGATGGCTAGAACAAGTGGTGTCATTACCTCCATTTCATGTGTGAGGAAGCTAAGACTCAGACGGCTTAAGAAACAAACTTACAATCACACGATGAAATAACCATCAGCCGCTGTGGCCTGTAATGGACCCAGCTCTAACTCCCAAACCCAATTCATCCACTCAATGAAATAACATTAATTAAATGCCTATGGTATGCCTGGTGTTGAGACGGGATTTAGGAAAATAAAGATAAATAAAACAAAGATCTCTCCTCTTTATATTGCATCTTCAAAACCAGAATTTTTATACAGCTTGCCACTTACTAAATATTTTATGTCCATTACCTATTTAGATAACTACTAAAAACCCTAGGAAATAGCCAAGTTAGGTTAACTGCATTTCACACAGGAAGAGATAGTTGGTGACTCTGCATTAATCATTCAGCCAGATAGTGGTAGAGCCAGGATCTGATCTCAAATTAACCCATTTCCCTGACATTTATGACCACATTTTTGCTTTTGACTCTCAAAAAGATTCATAATACATTTGTGCGCAGTCAAAAATCTCAGAGTCCTACGTATGCATGGTTTCCAGCACATGTCCCTCAGTGTCTCTTTCCTGGTCCAGTTAGCAGGATAACATAAGCCCTGCGAATGCCAGCCCACAAAGGAAGGCATGAGCTCATGGCGGGCATCCACATTTGGGCCAGGAGTCAAGAATGTTAACTCTGCTTATTTTGAAATCTGGGGCGTGCGCACCGTTTAAGCATGTGGGGGTGGATGCACTGATCAAATGCTTCTGTGGGATGGACATGATTCTCAGGGCATCTTTACAGGGGAATCCCCACGGGGTGACCCCTGAGTAGGTCTTGTTTACAGCAACATCTCTGTGTCAAGTTTCTACGAGGTAAATTTAAAGTGCTACCTTGCAGGAATAGCCTCAGTCTGAAAACACAACTAACCTTCACTGTCTTTGGTTAGTTAGTACATTATTCTGTTGCTCTGCTACTGATTTATTTAATCCATCTGAATTCTTCTTCAGTTATCTCTTATATTCTACTTCTGAATAGTATAAATAATTTTCCCCATGGAACTGAATTACCATTAGTATTGTTATAATAATTGCAACAAATATTTTCAAAGTAAAAAAAAATCCTTCTTTTCCAGATCAAGACCCTGAGTATACATAGAGAGGGAAATATGAGAAGAGAGAGAATAAATATAGAGTGATAATATTTATATAGATATGTATGCATATATGCACATTTATGTGTATATGTGTATATGTATATATTGCACATAATGTACATATTTACTTATATTCATATGTGTATATTTCTCTCTATATATAAAATATACTATAGTGTAACATGTATAATAAATATGTATATAAGTATGCATGTGTGTATGTGTGTATATATATGTATGTATATACAGAGAATATTTATTGGTCAAGTTTATTCTCTAATTTTCTTCTTTTCTTACTAATGTCTTCTACATAATCAAGGTAAAAAATTATTTTTAAAACCAAAAATAAATCATCTAATAGAAGAAGCAAAGCAATCTATGCAGTGTATTTCCATGGTATGGAAAATGTAGATTTTCCATATCACAAAGGCAAAGGAAAAGAAAGAAAATTCATAAGCTCCTAATTGTAATTATTTCTGAATTATGGAGTGAAAAGAATATTTTCTTCTTTATACTTTTCTGTAGTTTTCAAATTTTGCACAGTCAATGGGCATCATTTTTGTATTAACCTACAAGAAATAACCATTACAAATACTTTCCTGGAGAAGCTTTAGTCATGGGATAAATGTACATGAAAGAAAGTGTCTTAGATGGTTCTACCCTATAAAAACTATACAGGTGAAAGCCATTTTCTTTCAAAGGTGTGCGTAATAGATGAGTGAAAAATATTATGCCAAGATGAATGAAAGCTAAGAGAATGTGTCTCAATTTCCTGATGAACTGTCTTGTGGACAACCTCTGGTTCAAGAAAAAAAATGGCCATCATGAAAGATGTGTGGTACGGAGTGTGGGAGCTAAGAGAGTGGAATGCACAGTTGATGGCAGCCTCATGCACTGCTCCTTGGATTCACTCTGCTGTCACATTTATTGAGGCCACACTTCTGGGCTGCTTCCAACCAAGGACTGAACCTAGTAGGGCTACAAACAAGGCCCGTGCTGGCAGCACATGGGACATCTTTGATGCGTGATTTTTGACTCAAGAATGCCTCATTAGCCTGGACAAATCTTCCTTGAAATGGCTTTCAATCTGAAACTATTTCTATTGAATTCTCTTCTTTTCTCCTCTACCTCATGGCTGTCAGAGAGAGGTTTTTTTTTTTTGTTTTTTTTTTGATGGAGTCTTGCTCTGTCGCCACACTGGAGTGCAGTGGTGCAATGTCACCTCACTGCAACCTCCGCCTCCCAGGTTCAAGCGATTCTCCTGCCTCAGCCTCCCGAGAAGCTGGGACTACCATGCTCAGCTAAATTTTGTATTTTTAGTAGAGATGGGGTTTCACCATGTTGTTCAGGATGGTCTCGATCTCTTGACCTCATGGTCTGCCCGCCTTGGCCTCCCAAAGTGCTGGGATTACAGGCGTGAGCCACCACGCCCGGCACACACTACCATGCTCAGCTAAGTTTTGTATTTTTAGTAGAGATGGGGTTTCACCATGTTGATCAGGATGGTCTCGATCTCTTGACCTCGTGGTCTGCCCGCCTCGGCCTCCCAAAGTGCTGGGATTACAGGCATGAGCCACCACACCCAGCCAAGAGTTTTTCTTACACTCTGAAGTGCCCCCCTTCTTCCGCTCTTTTTTTCATTATCCTCCACAGGCATTCTCACTAGTGCATCTTTTGTAAACCCAATCCCTTCTTTAGCTCTGCTTCTTTGAGTACACAAAGTGACGCAAGTGGTCCTGAGAGAGGTCCAAGAGTGGAGAACGAAATGGGGGTTTTGGGACTGGCCCACTCCCTTATCAAGCAAATAGGATGGCTTCCTGAAGTACGTGGACTTTGGACAGTTTGGGGCTGAAGGAGAAGGCATGATTGCTATACAATTTACTGAGGTTGATCTGGAAAAACATCTATTGGAGGGAGAGATGCTTGTAGGTCCTCAGATTCGGGCTTTTGGCAGTTATGGTGGGAACAGTGCCTACAGATATGGTTCTTAACAGCACCTACAAGGATAGCAGAGCTTTATGGTTACTGCTAAGTTGTACTGATACCTTGAAGAGGGATATTGAAAAACTTAGGGCTCTTAACAAGCAGTTAAAGGCTAAGTGTGAGAGTCAGAGGACATCTTTGGTGTCTTACAAAAAGACAAGGCCCTCTTTGCAAAAACAAAGCTAAGCAGCCCACTGAAAATGTGGTAGTTAGAGTCAGAGAGCTCTAGAGACATTTGAATGTTTAGCTAAGGCTGGTTGGAAACACCTGAGACCTGGAAATATAGATAGGGGCATTAAGTGGATACCCCTGATAAGTTGGTTTTGCAGACTCTCCTAAATCCTCAGAGATTATGGAGATGGACCACCCTTTCCTAGTAAGAGCTAGTGCTTCCCTCACACTGAAAGACATCGCAGAGGCATTACTTCATAAAGCAACATATATCCCCCCTCTCAAATGCTTTTACTTCCTTTTTGGGCTGCCAGGTCCCAGACAGTGCTAATTTCCAGCAGAGCTCAGCTGAAGACGTACTGGTCATGATAAAGTAAAGCATGAATAATATACCAAAGAGTTGCCAGAATTAGCTAGCATGTATCAGCAGAAGCCATGGACATCCCTAGAAATTGATTTTTGCAGGTACTTGATTGAGGGGACTAAAAAATAAGTCCACATAGGAAACAGTTTATTGACTTGGGGGCATTTTCTTATGACGTGGGCTTTAACACCCTGTTAAGAACCACCGTGCATAGGGCAAGCTCACAGCTAGGGTGGCTTGAAAAAGTCTGGAAAAAGTGATGATCAATGCTAAATGAAGAGAAATTTCATGGGTTTCCCTACAAGACGGTAGATAAGAAATAAAGAGGCTGAGGGAAGAGGACATGGCTAGAATGGATATATAATATGAAGCCAGAAAATTCACCAGAAGACTATGTTAGATGAGGGAGCCAAGTGGACACTCGAAGGTCATCAAGATTCACTAAGGACATCAGGAATTTGCTAGTTGGAAGGGTAACAGGATCACTAAGTTCAATCCTGGCTCTCCTCTGTGTCTCAGAGCTGGGGGTAGGAGAGGTGGTCATAGACCTGGGACTGTTAATATCCATGTAAATGATGCCCCTCTACCCTCAAGAACAGAGGCCAAGGGTGGCACTTACCTACCACATGCTAGGAGGCCATATTTACCATTATGACCAGCAAGGTCAGAGTCACAGCCAGGGGGCTTGACCTGCAGTGAGTTCTGGGAATGGTTGATAGAATATGGCATTCCTAGAGGAAGAATAAGGTGGCAGCCAACAAGAGTGCTGCTTAACAGCTAAGAAAAGGAAAGAATGGGTCAGTAGGAGGCTGAGGATGTTCATCCCAATACAAAGAAAGACTTTCTCATTAGATTCTTTGACCTGAGCCCATTTTGAGATACAGAATTTGTTGACTGAAGAGGTAGCTGGGTTTCTCAGTGAAAGAAACCTGTAAGTATATATAGTGTGGCAATTCCATTAGGCTTCTCTAAACAGACCTATAGCCAGGCACGTCAGAAACATATACTGAACTCTGCTCTTAGAAGGGCCCCTCACTTGGTTTAGTGTTTTACTGTTACCATCTTGAAATTCTTTAAACAAAGGATCCCACATTTTTATTTGTACTGGATGCTGCACATTATGCAGCCTACTGCTGTTGACTTGAGTAACTGTATATTGGGTACAGACAGTTTGAGTTAATGTTGCTATCCAGGGACCTTAAGAGTAATCATGGACCTGTGGAAGCTCACATGGCTAAATAATAAATAAATTTATTATTACAATCCAACTCATAGGAAGCTTACTGTGTTTGAAGACCCACTTAGTTGTCACTTTTTCAGTCCACAAGAATTTTGTTGGAAATGACATACTTGGCAGCCAGAGTGATGCCCACATTGTGTCCTGGCCTTTGGAGTAAGAACTATCAGAGTCAGAAAGGTCAAGTGGAAACCTCTGTATCTGCCCTCTACTCACTATGCCAAGGGAGTAAATAAAGGGTAATATTACATTCTAGGAAGATGGTAGATGTTAATGCCATCATTAAACAGCCAAAGAATGTTGAACGGGGTAAGTAGAGTATCCTTATTATATCTCTCTTTATTGACTCAATATGACCCCTAAAAAACTCAGAAAAATCCTGGAGTGTAGACTTTTGCAACCTCAATAATGTAATAGCCTGATTGTAACTATTATGGGAGGGTGACATCTTTGCTAGAGCAGATAAAAAGACCTCAGGTACAGGACAGGTAGCCATAGATTTGGATGAATATATTTTTGTTTATTCTCATGATAAAAGAGGATCAGAAACAGTTCACATTCATGTGGGATATACAAAAATACCCATTTATAGTTTTTCCTCAGGGCCATGTTAACTCTTCTGCTCTTTGTCATATTGTAGACTGAAGATAACTGGGCTGCTTGGTCAACCCACAGAACGTTGCACTGTATGCGTTACATCAATAAGATCATGCTGATCAGGCAGGGCAAACAATAGATGGCTAGTATACAGGAGGCCTTGATAAGACATTTAATACATGCATTCCAGAGGGTGGGGGATAATCCCCATGAAGATTTAGATTCCTGACACTTCAGTGAAGCCTTTACAGATCCAATGGTCAGGAGTTTGCCAGAATATATATTTTGCAGTCCCATACCACAAAGAAGGAAGCAGAAAGCCTGATAGTTATTTTTGGGTTCTGGAGGCAACATATTCTATGCCTAATGCTCTGGTCCATAATCTGAGTGACAGGGAAGGTTTCAGGTATCTGGTGGAAAAAGATGTAGCATGAAACTTATGCTAAGCCCCAGTGGAGACTCACAATGCAAGCTCTGATATTCAGGAGTAGGACAATGCCATCTACAGCAGAGAAAATAATACATTTTTTGGTTAAACAGCTCATGGAAGCAATGAAAACTTGACCGTGAGGCTCTACATGACCATATGTCTGGAACTGCACATCATGAGCTGGATTATTTCAGTTCTTCTAAGTCATAAAATCAACCAAGCATAAGTCAACCAAAAGACGAAAATGATGTGCCCAGATTGAGCCCAAGCAGGACCAGAACTTAGCTGCATGAGCAGTAACCCGAATATCCCTATTACCCACTGCAGTTATATGAGCAATGTTTCCCTACTTCACTTCTAAGACTGGATGAAGGAGGTAGAAAAGGTCTGAAAGTGCTCTCCAGCCAAAGACAACCAGCTGTATCTGTTGGACTCATTATTTGTTGTAGCAAGGAAGAATATATACCATGAGGATCCATGGAACATCTCAATAAGAGGGTGTTAGAAAGAACTTAATATAGGATTTAGGTTAGTGTTAGCTTGTTGTGGAGAGGGTTCAAGGAATTAGGGCTTTGCTGTCTACTCAATGCTGTCAGAAAGTGGGACAATTCCATGACTGGATATCATAATAAATCTTATAAGGCAGGATGCAGGAAATGAAGCTAGTTATAATTAGGTAAAGAAGCAGCAGTAATGCAAATTAGCTAGGATGAGAGGATATGTGGATATTTTTGTGGTTTGAACAGTTTTTTTAAATGTGTTTATAACTGATTACAGAATGCTCTTATTTTTGTCTTGATCCATGACACTCATGAAGAGACCTTGTCTGATGCTGATTTCATTAAGTAGTTGTATGTTCAGTAAGAAGACACCAAAATCTAACTGTGAGTTCTAGGCCAGCTTCAGCAACGCCAGGCTCAGCTAATAGTGCCAGATCGGGTCTTAACAGTCAAGCCCTGCTTTTCTCCTTCCCAAGGCCAGGCTTACTTTACAGATAGGTTAACTTGGTAAGTGGTTGAAGGCCAAAAATGACAGTGGCAGCCTTCAAGAACATCTGAGGACAGCATTGGAAGTCAATAGAGAAGAAATCTTCCTAAAGTGTGGAGTTGTGACTTAGGAGCGTGGGCATCTACTTCATGAGGAAGGAGAAATGGCCTGAGGTAACGACATAAATAGATGCTTGAGTCAAGACCAATGGCCTGGCTATCTTGTCAAGGGCCTAGAATAAAAGGAATGGGGAGATTGGAGACAAGGAAGCCTGGAGCAAATATATGGACATATGGGAGTGGAAACTGAGTATGAACATTTTGTATCACACATTAACTTTCATTAGAACTCAGGAAAAAAGACCAAACACATAAAATTATGTTAATGTGGTATGTGCCAAAGCAGGAAAAGAGACCAAACACACAAAATTATGTTAATGTGATGCGTGCCATTAAAGAAACCTGAAAAGAAGCAGCAATTATAAATAATGAGAGGGAGAGGCGACAGTGATAGTGGTAAGCCTACGTGACATTAAATAGTTGAGAAAGACCTTTCTGAAGAGGTGATCTGAAGGCTGATGTGAAAGGTGAGGGAGGAACATGCCAGGTGGATGGAGCAGCACATTCCTGCAGTCAGGTAGGGGAAGGCCAGGAATATTCAAGAGACTGAAGAAGACGGTGCACATGGGCTAGAGTGAGTGAGAGGGAGATGGCACACGAGTCTTACATATTCAGAAGCCAGGTTATACGAGGCCAGAAAGGGAGTTTAGGTTTTATTCTAAGAGTAATGGAAAACTTTTGAAATTACCCAGGATGTGGTATAACCCAAATTCATGTTTTAAAAATATTACTCTGGTCTGACTGTGGGACAAGAGTGGAACACAGAGATTTGTTAGGAAGCTACTACAATCATCCTGTGGATTAATAACAGTCCAAATTGAGCCAGGACCTCACCCTACTTTGTGAATGCATTCCATTGTCTGTCCTTGAGTGGGAAGTAGCTGTGTAGGTGGATGGCACAGCCTTTCTTTTATAGCTGACTTTCCAGTGTCCAGTTCGGTTCCCAAAGTACATGTGGTATGATATACATATAGTTCAGCAGGATAAGTACCACGTTAATATTAGGAGATTACCCCCATGCCACATGCTTTCAAATATCTGCCCCCACATCTTATATTTTGAAAGTAAATTTGTACAGTCAATTTCAGATTAAATGTACTCCACATGAGCCTCTGTCCCGAATCCAGTATTGAAGTAAAGCAAGAGATACAAAATAATGAAGGAAATTAAATGTGTGTGTACACATATTACTGTATACATAGGACGTCTTACAAGGGAATGAATGCCAGAAGAAAAGAAATAAAGAAGTTCCCACTTAGTCCTATTAAGCTAGCAAAGTTGCCTGGGGTGCTGTCAATACAGGGCAGCTATATTAGTCCATTTTCATGCTGCTGATAAAGACATACCCAAGACTAGGCAATTTACAAAAGGAGGAGGTTTAATTGGACTTAGAATTCCACGTGGCTGAGAGGGTCTCAGAATCATGGCAGGAGGCAAAAAGCACTTCTTACATGGTGGCAGCAAGAGAAAAATGAGGAAGAAGCAAAAGCAAAAACCCTTGACAAATCCATCAGATCTCGTGAGACTTACTCACTATCAAGAGAATAGCACAGGAAAGACTGGTCCCCATGATTCAATAACCTCCCTCTAGGTCCCTCCCACAACAGGTGGGAATTCTGGGAGATGCAATTCAAGTTGAGATTTGAATGGGGACACAGCCAAACCATATCATACTGCCCCAGACCCTCCAAATCTCCTGTCCTCATATTTTAAAACCAATCATGCCTTCCCAAGAGTCCTACAAAGTCTTAACTCATTTCAGCCCTAACCAAAAAGTCCACAGTCCAAAGTCTCATTTGAGACAAGGCAAGCCCCTTCTGCCTATGAGCCTGTAGAATCAAAAACAAGCTAGTTACTTCCTAGATGCAATGGGAGTAAGATATTGAGAAAATACAGCTGTTCCAAATAAGAGACAGTTTGCCAAAACAAAGGGGTTACAGGGCCCATGCAAGTCCAAAATCCAGCAGGGCAGTCAAATTTTAAAGGTCCAAAATGATCTCCTTTGACTCCAGGTCTTACATCCAGGCCACACTGATACAAGAGGTAGGTTCCCATGGTCTTGGGCAGCTCCACCCCTGTGGTTTTGCAGGGTACACTCTCCCTCCCAGCTGCTTTCATGAGTGTCTGCCACTTTTCCAGGTGCACTATGCAAGCTGTCAGTGAATCTACCATTCTGGGGTCTGGAGGACTGTGGCCCTCTTCTCACAGGTCCACTAGGCAGTGCCCTAGTAGGGACTCTGTGTGGGGGATCTGACCCCAAATTTCCCTTCTGCACTGCCCAAGCCGAGGTTCTCCATGAGGGCCCTGCTCATGCAGCAAACTTCTTCCTGGGCATCCAGGCATTTTCATATATCTTCTGAACTCTAGGTGGAGGTTCCCAAATCTCAATTCTTTACTTCTCTGCACTGGCAGGCTCAACACCACATGGAAGCTGCCAAGGCTTGGGGCTTCCATCCTCTGAAGCCACAGCCCAAGGTGTGTGTTGGCCCCTTTCAGCCATGGCTGGAGCAGCTGGGACAGAAGGCACCAAGTCCCTAGGCTGCACACAGTGCAGGGACCCTGGGCCCAGGCCAGGAAACCACTTTTTCCTCCTGGGTCTCTGGGCCTGTGATTGGGGGAGCTGCCATAAAGGCCTCTGACATGGCCTGGAGACATTATCCCCTTGCTCTTGGGGATTAACATTAGGTTCCTTGCTACTTAAGCAAATTTCTACAGCCGGCTTGAATTTCTCCCCAGAAAATGAGTTTATTTTCTATCACATAGTCAGGAAGCAAATTTTCCAAAGTTGTATGCTCCACTTGCCTTATAAAACTGAATGCCTTTAACAGAACCCAAGTCACCTCTTGAATGCTTTGCTGCTTAGAAATTTCTTCTGCCAAATACCCTAAATTGTTTTTCTCAAGTTCAAAGTTCCCCAGATGTCTAGGGCAAGGGCAAAATGCCACCAGTCTCTTTGCTAAAACGTAACAGGAGTCACCTTTACTCCAGTTCCCAACAAGTTCCTCATTTCCATTTGAAACCACCTCAGCGTGGACTTTATTGTCTATATTGCTATCAGGATTTTGGGCAAAACCATTCAACAAGTCTCTAGGAAGTTCCAAACTTTCCCACATTTTCCTGTCTTCTTCTGAGCCCTCCAAACTCTTCCAACCTCTGCCTCTTACCCAGTTCCAAAGTCACTTCCACATTTTCGAATATCTTTTCAGTAGTGGCCCACTCTAGAGTACCAATTTATTGTATTAGTTCATTTTCACGCTGCTGATAGACATACTCAAGACTGGGCAATTTACAAAGAAAGGAGGTTTAATTGAACCTACAGTTCCACATGGCTGGGAAGGCCTCAGAATCATGGTGGGAGGTGAAAAGCACTTCTTACATGGCAGCAGCAAGAGAAAAATGAGAAAGAAGAAAAGTGGAAACCCCTGATAAAGCCATCAGATTTTATGAAACTTATTCACTATCATGAGAATAGCACAGGAAAGACTGGTCTCCATGATTCAGTAACCTTCTTCTCGGTGCTTCCCACAACATGTGGGAATTCTGAGAGATACAACTCAAGCTGAAATTTGAATGGTGTCACAGCCAAACTATATCAGCAGCACTTCCCAAAGGAACACAGTCCTCAAGAGAATTTCTGAACCCTGGATACAGTCCGTTAGGCACGAAAAAGAAATAAAGCACATCCATATAGAAAGAGAACAAGGCAAACGATCTTTGATTGCAGATGACATGATTCTATATCTAGAAAATCCTATATGCTCAGCCCAAAAGCTCCTCCAGCTAATAAACAACTTCAGCAAAGTCTCAGGATACAAAATCAATGTACAAAAATCACTAGTATTCCTATACACCACCAACAACCAAACCAAGAGCCAGATCAGAAAGGCAATCCCATTCACAACTGCCATAAAAGGAATAAAATACCTAAGAATACAGCTAACCAGGGAGGTGAAAGATCTCTACAATGAGAATTACAAAACAATGCTCAAAGAAATCAGAGATGACAGAAACAAATGGAAAAACATCCCATGGTGATAAATAGAAAGAATCAATATCATTAAAATAGCTATACTGCCTAAAGCAACTTAAAGATACAATGCTATTCCTATCAAACAACCAATGACATTCTTCATCAAAGTAGAAAAAACTATTTTAAAATTCAAACAAGAGCCCAAATAGCTAAGCCAACTCTAAGAAAAAGAACAAAGCTGGAGGCATCATGTTACCTGACTTCAAACTATACTACAAGGCTACAGTAACCAAAACAGCATGGTACATAAACAGACACATAGACCAATGGAACAAAATACAGGGCTCAGCAATAAGGCCTCACATCTATGACCATCTGATCTTTCACAAAGCTGACAAAAACAAACAATGGGGAAAAGACAACCTACTCAAAAAATGGTGCTAGGATAACTGGCTAGCCATATGGAGAATATTGCAACTGAACTCCTTCCTTAAACCATATACGAAAACCAACTCAAGATGGATTAAAGGCTTCAATGTAAAACCCAAAACTATAAAAACCCTGGAAGACAACCTAGGCAATACCATCCTGGACATAGGAATGAGCAAAGGTTTCATGACAAAGACACCAAAAGCAATTCCAACAAAAGCAAAAATTGACAAATGAGATCTAATTAAACTTAAGAGCTTTGGCACAGCAAAAGAAACTATCAATAGAGTTGATATGGCTTGGCTGTGTCCCCATCCAAATCTCATCTTATATTCCCACATGTTATGGGAGGGATCCAATTGGAGGTAATTGAATGATGGGGGCAGGTCCTTCCCATGCTGTTATTATGACAGCAAATAAGTCTCAGGAGATCTGACAGTGCTATAAGGGGGAGTTTTCCTGCACAAGCGCTCTCTTTTTGCCTGCTGCCATTCATGTAAGATGTTAATTGCTCCTCCTTGCCTTCTGCCATGATGGTGAGGCCTCCCCAGCCATGTGGAACAGTAAGTCCATGAAACATCTTTTTCTTCACAGCCTAGGGTATGTCTTTATCAGCAGCATGAAAATGGATTAAAACAGTAAATTGGTACCAGTAGAGTGGGGCACTGCTGAAAAGATATCTGAAAATGTGGAAGTAACTTTGGAACCGGGCAACAGGCAGAAGTTGGAACAGTTTGGAGGGCTCAGAAGAAGATAGGAAAATGTGGGAAAGTTTGGAACTTCCTAGAGACTTGATGAATGGCTTTGCACAACATGCTGATAACGACATGGACAATAAGGTCCATGCTGAGGTGGTCTCAGATGGAAATGAGGAACTTGTTGGGAACTGAAGCAAAGGTGACTCTTGCTACGTTTTAGTAAGGAGACTGGCAGAATTTTGCCCCTGCCCTAGAGATTTGTGGAACTTTGAACTTGAGAGAGATGATTTAGGGTATTTGGCAGAAGAAATTTCTAAGCAGCAAAGCATTCAAGAGGTGACTTGTGTTCTCTTAAAGGCATTCAGTTTTATAAGGAAAGCAGAGAACATTTTTGCAAACTATGCATCTGACAAAGGTCTAATATCCAACATCTATAAGAAACTTAAAAAAATTTACAAGAGAAAAACAAACAACCCCATTAAAAAGTGGGTAAATTGCATGAACAGACACTTCTCAAAAGTAGACATACATGCAGTCAACAAGCATTTGAAAAAAAGCTCAATATCACTGATCATTAGAGAAATGCAAATCATTCACAATTAGGTACCATCTCACACCAGTCAGAATGGCTATTACTAAAGTCAGAAAATAACAAATGCTAGTGAGATTGCTGAGAAAAGGGAACACATACTCCGTTGGTGGGAGTGTAAATTAGTTCAACTGTCATGGAAAGCAGTATGGGGATTCCTCAAAGAGCTAAAAGCAGAACTACCATTCTACCCAGGAATCCCATTACTGGGTATATACAAAGAGGAATATAAATCATTGTACTATAAAGACATATGCATGCAAACATTCATTGCAGCACTATTCACAATAGCAAAGACATGGAATCAACCTAAATGCCCATCAATGAGAGGTTGGATAAAGAAAATGTGGTACATATACACCATGGAATATTACGCAGCCATAAAGAAGAACATGATCAAGTCTTTTGCATGAACATGAATGGAGGTGGAGGTATTATCCTTAGTAAACTAATGCAGGAACAGAAAAACAAATACTGCATGTTCTCACTTATAAGGGGAGCTAAATGATAAGAACTTATATACACAAAGAAGGAAACAACAGACACTGGGGGATACTTCAAGGGGGAGGGTCGGAGGAAGGAGAGGATAAGAAAAGATAACTATTGGGTACTGGGCTTATGAAATAATATGTACAACAACCCCCCATGACATGTGTTTATATACGTAGCAAACCTTCACATGTACCCTCAAACCAAAAAATAAAAGTTAAAAAAAAGTCAATGGGTGATAGTAACATACCCATTTCATTGATAGCATCATGGTTTGATTCTTATTTATGCACTATTAATTGTATCAACACATTGAATATTACCGTTTTTCAGGAGAAAAAGGGAAAGCATTCAATCAGATAAACTTGGCTGACAATTTGTCTATGTTACATGAAACTCATCCATCACCCATACATGGAAAGATGTCTAAAAGGAGATTCAAAGAGATAATAAAAAATTATACTCAAGTGATTTCTTATTTATGGTGTGTATTTTTCATCAGAAACTTGCCCACAGCGGTTGTGAATTCAGAGAATATAAGAACACAATGGTACAATCAGTCTGGAGGTATCTCAATTAGACAGCAAGAGAAGGTCAAGAAAAAAATTCATTGTATGAAACTACAGTGTTTTCCTCCTGAATCCTAAGATTGAAACTACTTGTACCCATGCATTAAATTTGTACGTGGTGCTCCAAATCTTGGAAGGAATACTCTTACATGTTACCGAGAGGCAGGGGGTTTGTGAAGCTTTTAAAATGTACTCTTGATTTTAATATTGAAGTGCTGTGAATGTGGGTTTCTTTGGAAAGATATTAAAATATTATTAATTGTAATCCTGAGAAAATAAATGGGGGCTTAGTGTTTGGGTAATAAATTATGATATTGCTGAATAGAGCTCTAGCTACAAGTTGAAAATGAAACCTAGGGTAAAATAACTTCAGAAACAATTTATGTAAATAGCTGATAATATATTTAAGTCATATTCTGCCTTAAATTTGTTTGGAAATGAGATACAAAGTATAAAAGTCAAGTTCACAAAACAGCCAAAGAAAATAAAACTTACACAAATTTTTGCATCACCTGTCCTCTGAAATTTTGATCTGTTGTTATCTAATGCCCTTACCATTGCCTTATCTCTCTGTGTTTATGACTCTGAGAGATATCGTAGCCTCAGAAATCCCAGTTTATCATGTGTCCAATAATTCTGGTGCATGAGCTGAAGAATTAATCACAAGAAAACTCAATTCTAGAACTCTGATGACAGATGAGCTAGGAGGATGGGAGTTAATGAACTGAAGTTTTTACACAGACATTATCCAATGCTCTAATTCCTTACAAAAGTCCTCTTTACTCAGTCTGATGTTATACTAAATAAATACCCCTCCCCAAGATTTCCAAGGAGTTTTCAAGAGTGCTCACACCATCTACCCCAACACATACATGCACACACAGTACACACAACTTTTTTTATCTGTTTTAATTAGGAACTGAAATTTGATTACCTCCATAAATTACTTTATTTTTTAAAGCCAGGTTATTGTAATTAATGAACTTATAACCTATGAATTAGTTGTTATCAGAGATCTTCATATCTTAAACAACTTAAGAACCCTTTGCTCTGTTTGTAAGGGCTGAACCTCTCAAGTCTAGTACACTTTCTTTGAGTTAGATATACTGTTGAGTTATGTTTGCCTTTCATTAACTTTACCAATGAATATTAGAATATTAGAGTCATGAGTTTTGAAAGAATGTATGTGATATTCAAAAATATTTTGTGCTCATCTTAAAACTATATAAATACATTAAAGTGATAAACATTATAATCCTAGAATACCTATCCACTGTTCTATGTTTTGGCATTTCCTCCTGGGTTTGGCTTAAAAGTATACATTTTTATATGTACGATAATTTTAAATATATATGTAATATTCATAATGACATACACTATTATTATATATTCTAATTTTTCATTTAATCTTATAATAGAAACAAATTTATATACTCACTATAGTCATAATTACCATTTTAAACTGTTTCATTTTTATTGACAAAATGCTTCATCTTACTTATCCATTTTACTCTAATAAAAATTATTTTTTAAAAAATTTCACAACTAGGAAAAATTATTTGTAATAATAAATAACTGCAATGAATACCTTCTCACAAATAACCTTTTTCTATTAAGTTTTTAAAAATAAACTTTTTATTTTGAAATGAATATTGATTTACAGAAAAGTTGCAAAGATAGCACAAAAGTTCCTGCATTTTCTTCATTCAGCTTCTATGACACGCTTGTCAATATTTTAAAAATTAACAGTAACTAAACTATAGACTCTAAACAGATTCATCAGTTTTGCTACTAATGTTCTTTTTCCTGCTCTAGGATCTAATTGAGGATATCACATTGCATTAAGTCTTCACGCCTTCTCAGTTGGCTCTGCTCTGTCAATTCCCCAATGACAGAGCCTCAGACTTTCCTTACATTTCATGATATTGAAATTTTGAAGAACCCTTCTCAGGTATTTTGTAGAAATACCATTTCTCACTGGCACCTGGTTCTAGGTCACAGTCATTTCTTCACCACATGGGCCTCTCCAACATAACAGCTCACTTCATCAAAGCAAGCAAGTCAGGGAAGCATGAAAGAGAAAGTACTGGCATGACAGAAGTCATAGTCATAATCATGGTGGTGACATTCCATCACATTTATATGGGTGCCATTTATTAGAGTGAATCACCACACCCAGCCCTCCCAATGAAGGAGATATAATTACACAAGTATATTAAGAGATCATTGCGGGGTTGGCCCGTCGCGGTGGTGCACAACTGTAATCCTAGCACTTTGGGAGGCCGAGTCAGGCAGATCACTTGAGGCCAGGAGTAGGAGTTGGAGACCAGCCTGGGCAACATGACAAAGCCCTGTGCCTACTCATTTTGTACTAAAATTACAAAAATTAGCCAGCTGTGGTGGTGCAACGGAGGCTGAGGCACGATAATTGCTTCAACCTGGGAGGCAGAGGTTGCAGTGAACCAAGAGTGCGCCACTGCCCTCCAGCCTAGGTGACAGAGCAAGACTCTGTCTCAAAAAAAAAAAAAAAAAAAAAAAAAATGGCCATCTTAGAAGGCTGTCTATCAATTACATAGCTATTTTATGGGCCATGCATTGTAATTCCAATATTTGAAATTTATGTAGGCCTAGCTCTGCTCTGGTGTTTTTATTGCTTCACACTCATGGTACCTTGTTTCCTTGTGTGTTTTGTTATTTCCAGCCATGAACTGTTGATTTTAATGTTGTATTTGTGGATTTTTTTTTCCTGAGGCCTGGAATGGAAGTGAATTTCTCTTGGGAAGGTTTTGTTTCCTTCTACCAGGTGCCTATGAAAATTATCAATTAGTATGCAATTAAATTTTCATCTTGAGGTGTTTGGATCAATAAAGTAGAGTGAATTTAGACTGGAAACTGCATCAGAGTTAGCTTGAGATTGTAAATTATGAATAGCAATGTTTCTTTCCTCTACCATGTGGTTAGGTTTGTGATATTTAATTTCCTTTAATGTCTCTTGGATGACAGGGAAGAAGTTTATTTTTGTTTTAAATTTTCTATTGTGTATGGTCTTTGGAACCACAGTGTTATGGCAGGAAGATATCCCGGTAGTTGTCTTACATTGGGTCAGTATTTTGTCTCCTATTCTTTCTGCCCTTTGAAACTATGAACACCAAAGCTCAAATTTACCCAAGTAAATAAACACACTCAGTGTAAAATTTGCCTTTGATATTCCATCATATCTCTTAGTGCTTATCTTCGCTTACTGCTTTGTCTGAAAGACTTCTTATTTTTTTTTCTAGCCATTAATGGATCTAAACTAAAAAAAATTTTAAACACATTATTTTACTAAGAATTTAGTTGTTTGCAATGAGATTCGATCTGGTTTCCTGTCCCATCATTTTACCAGAAATAGAAACATCGAGGGTCTCTAATGGTTCATTTTATTTAACAAATATTTAGTGATCACATAGCAGGTACCAGAATCTATATTGCGGCTTAGAAAATCAGATACTCTTGTATCATCAAGCAGCTCACCTTTTAACAATTCTGGAAATTGTAATATAATGCAATGTAAATTCCACAGTTAAGCAAACATATGACTCTGGAGGCACAAAGAAAGGCACAAAGAAATCAGCCAAAAGACACCATGGTATATATCTGACTTTCACATTTTGGGGAATAACTGAGATATTCTTGCCTCTTCTCCAAATAGCAATGACTTATACAGAGATCCTTGACAAAAGCATACTTCTGATAAAATTTTTACTAATAATGTGAAACTTCTTGTTAAAGATAAATAAAACAGTCTATTGAGTTGGCATAATCAGTGGCCTGAAATTATAAGCCTGAGTTTCCTTCTTGACTAATATTTTCAGTAGACAAGGCAGGCATTTTGTTTTTTATTGTATTTGTAGGAAATTATGCCCCAAGAAGGACACAGGCCTTTTTTCCTTCTCCTCAGTGTGTGGTCTCAGCGAGAAGAGATACCACTAGAAGAAAACCAAGCCACAAGAGAGCTCTGAGACCCTCAGTGGGAGTCACTGGGTAAAGAATACAACACCAGAACCTTGTCATTGGCACAATTCAGGAGAAAGGGAAATAGGATGTTGAGATGTCAGTTTGAAGAAAGCCCTGCCACTTCTTTCCTGGGTGGCTTAGGAAAATTCTCTTTGGTCCTTAGGTAAATAAACCATGTAAAGTGAAAGTCAATCTGTTTATTTCCCAAGACTTTTAAAGAATCAAATAATTTATATGAAAGTTTTACAAACAGCTTTACAAACTGTAAAGGTGGTTTTCCAATTTTGTTAATATTTTTGCCTAAGAAGTAACAAAATAAGATATAGTTGCATTAAATGGCTCATTTTCTAAACTCAATCTCAACTTCTTTCCCCTCTCCCGGCAACCTAAACCTTGCAAACTCATGGTTAAATTTTAGATATCTGGTTGTCTAGGGGTCGGGTTCCACAATACTTTTAACCAAGACCTTGTTTATATCTTCCTAGAGATTATCTCCAGGTAAATATCCAAGAAAGAAAATCTACAGAGGCCTAGATTTATCCTTTACTCATCTGAATTTGTGTGGAAAATTTCCAGGCCTCACATCTATCTCTATTTTTTACTGAGAAGTGTCTGAATTTAGCTAGATGGTAGAGATTTGGGTGGGAGATGGTGGTGAAGAAGAGTAAGGTCATATTTTACAAATCTACCCATTTAATGAATGAGAGCTAAATAGTAGGTAGAATTTAATGAGCACCTCTCTGCCAGACATACTACATTTATTTGTTCTAATTCTTCCACATACCCTGCAATCTAGGTTTAATTATTTATTTCACTGATGAGGACGTTAAAACCAAGAGAAGTGAAACAATTTCTTAAAGGTTCCGAGGTGGGAGTATGGAATGGACACGCAAGGAGGTAGCAGATCTAAGATTCAGGCTCAGAATTGTCTGACTTCAACGACCATGTTCTTTGCACACTACTTCCCTGATGGTAAAATAATTTTGTCTTTTCTACTAATTCTTTTTTTGTGAATATATATATATTTTTCAAGTGTTCTATTTACCCATTTATTCATTAGCAGATTGTCTCATTAAAATTATCAATAGAAACTTGGCTGGAGTGTTAACTTTTGGGGGCTAATCTTAGGAAAAGAAAATTTTTTCGATTTACCTTTTCTCTTCTTTTCTTTTTGTTGGTTTTGTTTCTATAATGGAAACATGAAAAGGCAAACATTTTATTTTCCAATGAGGGCTAAAAGCTTGGGACTTGAGGGATGTATATACTTTTCTTACAGTAAAGTAGTTTAATACTTAAAGGTAAAACTATATAGGTGAAATGCTGAAATAAGTCAGAGGGTAGGAAAAAAAATCTGTAACTCCAGGACTGTGCTTCTTTTTTTTTTTTTTTTTTTTTTTTTTAATGAAGGCAAAAACCACTGAGATAGAATAAAACTCCAAAAAGTGACTGCTTGATGTTTACATGGGGTGTCCGGTAGTTCCTGGCAAGGGAAAAGCAGAACTTAGTTTGAGCCACTGTTCTCTCAACTCCTGTGATAAAACAAAATACCCTCTCAGAGGAAGAAATCTTTCTGCTTCCCATGCTCTTATTAACACTAAGTAGAATTAGTAATAGTATAACTACTATGAAGGAAATAGGTCTTCTGATAAACTCAGAAGGATAAGGAGAAGAAGAAAACAGAACCCAAAAAACCACAGGAATGAGGTAGTCCAATTTCTTCACCTTATAGATGAGAAGAGAGAGGCCCAGAAAGTGGCAGGGACTGGCCTGGGCACATATAAGGAGTTGGGACTAGGATACAGCTATCCACTTTGAGCCCATTGCTGGTTCCACTGCTGCATTAGTATTTATATAGAGGATAAGATAAATGGACATGTAGCATTTTGAGAATCAGCACGTTTGCCTGTCCCACTATATAACTGGTTTTCAACCTTCTTATAATCCTAATAACTGAGTCCTGGGTAAAAGAGCCTCCATTCTTTTGCATTAGACGTTCTCTCATTCAGAGTTTATATAGCAGTGCAGCTGAGAAGTTTATAAAGTTTCAAAATGAATTTAAAAGTTTATAAATGAATTTATAAGTCTAAAAGTTTATAAATGAATTCTTAACCTGGGAAGTTACCTACTACTAGCTCTATGCCATTAAACATAGAACACTAGCTCTATGCCATTAAACATAGAACACTAGCTCTATGCCATTAAAGTGATGCCTGTGCCTCTATTTTAAAATAGAGTGTTCATTATTAAACAGCAGACTCTACGAACGATATAATTTAATACAGCACAATCCAGAATTTGTGAACGGAACTTCTGGTACAAAAAGAGTGTATGAAATCAGTGTCATGATGCAACAACCATTCCCTGCAGCCCAAAGAAGAGGCTTCAGAGTGCAAAGAGAATTAATACTTGCTGGCTCGGATGCACGACTGGCTGCACAAGGTGATTTTACTGTGTATTATACTTTAATTATAACTGCACTGTAGCCATCTGCTCCACTTCATTCCCTAATTATAGATGTAAAATGCATTTCACAAATCCCACCTGTAAAAAAGATCTAAGGGATTTCATAGCAGGCTTGCTCCTCCCTCCTCCCTCCTTTCTTAGCCTCTGCACTCTTTCTTCAACACATATGAGAAGACCAAGAAAATGTTTGTGATGCACTGATCACCCCAGAAAGTCTGGGCTTTCTGACACTGTTCCATCCATTAATATCTCTCTTCTACATGTTATTATACACACTGTGGCCAGCCCTTTCTAAGCCATGGTCACACATGACTTCCTGTTCACATGTAATTTTCTACACGCTCTCCCTCCTATTATTTTTGAATTAGCCTTTTATTTTATTTCCAGCACTATCACTTCAAGTATCTCCTAGCTTTTTCTGTGAAGCGTCTGAGAAAGCTGTTATTGTCCTCATTTTTCAGTGGAGAAGAGAGGAGAGATGTAGAGAGTTTAAAGGTATTATTTAAGGCCACACAGTTGATCAGTGGCAGAAGTAAGCTAGAAGCCACACACACCTAGAGATATTTATTCCCACTCTTTCACACTCACTACTATCAGGCATCATTTGAGAGTGTTGTTTAAATTTCCATCAAGATAGCAGAAGTGTGCTGGAGCCAGCTCACACTGCCTCAGAAGAGCATACCGTGGGCATCTCTTTCCAATCCCATCTTCAGTGACTTCTTATTGGAAGCTGGAAGTTGGCTACGTTGGTAGTGTGAGATGGACACATACTATAAAAGCTCACATTGCTTCCTCAGGAGAGAGCTGTTAATAATTTAACATTCAGTAGAATGCTACTGAATGTGGGAAATGGATCTATATGCTCTCAGGAAAGTCACATATTTAGAGCATAATACCCTCTTCACCTCTGAAGTTGAATAATGTGAATATGAGTACTACTCATGAATGAGGAAAAGCTAAGCAATTTAACCAAACAAGTATCACTTCAATGTTCTAAGGATAAAAATAGTAATCCAAGAAAATGAGGATTCTTTCTGCAGATGGTAAATTCAGAATTTTCTAATGAACCCTTTGGCTGTAAAAGTCTCTCTGGTTTCCAAAGCAATCTGCAAGTTAGAAATTTAGGGTTCCAGGGAGGTTCAGGATGATGTACAGTAGTCCCAAAGCAGGAGGCTCCAAAATGACACCTGGTCTTCCGCATCCAAGTTTACTTCAACCAGACACTGGCATATGAGGAAATGCCTCTCTGAACGCTAGATGTGGACATTTCTGAAGGAGAGTAAATGAGCACATGTGCTCATTTTTCATGGGTGTTAAAAGGGAAACAATTTAGAAGCTTTAAAGTTCCCTCTCCCCGCGAAATTCTCAGACTTTCCAAAAACATAAATTCTAGCTATGCACAAGATTGCAGCTCAAGTCCAAGAACAGTCATACAAAAGAACACATCCAACCTGAACTGAAGAAGGCTTTAAAACATCAACTATGGGATTAAAAATAAGCAATGACTTTCTAGAAAGAAAATGAAGTGTAAGCTTTTTACCAAACATGTTGTGCAAATACCAAATCACAAGGTAATAGAAGCACAACACTAAAATTCAACACATGTTGTACTGATTAGAGATTCAATTAGTTTCTCTATATAGCAAAGACAGCTGTATCAGATGGTATGTATGCTCTTTAATGGACATCTGAATTTATATATGTGCTGATCTCAAGAAATTTATTTGTGGTGACCTCCAAAGTATGTAGTCAAGGCTAATAGGAAAATTGAGTATAAATATATAATCACAAGGTTCTTTAGATGCCTTTTTGCAACTCTTATTGAACCTACTTTTGTAAAATCCCTAAAAGTTTATTCAATTAATAGAGTACTGGCCTGGTAGTAAGGAGTTTTAGTAGACCTAGATCGAACATTAATTAGAATAAGGGCTTCAGAGAGCATCTAAAGCAGGGAGAAACAGTATAAAGAGGCAGTAGAGTTTAATAACAAAGAGAATGAATTTGGAAGCTTGGCTACCTGATGTGACTTTCACCTCTGATACTTACTAGTTGTCACACCTTAGAGAAATTACCTAAACCTTAGTGCTTTGGTTTTTCTATCTGCTACATAGGTACAAAACAGTACTGCACTTCTCTTAAGGCCATTGCAATAATTAAAGAATTATACATGTAAAGCACTTAGAATTGTTTCTGACATATAGCATGTGTACAATTCATGTTTAACCTACAGTACAATCAATATCCTCATTTTATAAGATAAAAAAACCTAAAGCCCAGAGAGGTTAAACACATTATACAAATTCACATGGCAAACTAGAGACAGAATTAGGATTAGAATCCATGATCCATTTCTATTGATCCACCCCCTCTCCCAACAGTGATGAGTAGGTTATTTGCATTTATTAAATTCAACAAGTTTTGTCAAACTCTTCTGGGGGTTGGTGATGCTCAAAAGGACTTGTCTAATATAAAAGTAAATTATTGGTTTAATTATCAGACAAGATCTTTGACTCTCAGTAAAATAAATGTTTTTGCCTCTTCGACATATTATTTCTCAATTACGTGATTTTGAAATGGTATAGTATCCATTTTTGAAATACAAAAATTTATTCTTGTAACAGCAACAATAATAACTGAAAAGATCCCACAGAGCATATGCATACAAATGATATAAAAGTGTTTGACTCGTTGAGGAAAATAAATATAGTACATTTAAAATATAAAGCTGAGGAAAGATCAAATGGAGTGCAAAGTTTGGTGAACAAACAATTTTCAAATCTAGTGTTTTATCCAAGCAATGTCAAAGTAAGTTGTCAAAGAAACTGATATGAGGGTGTTCTCTGTATCCCTAGAGATAGGAAACTCTCTTGAAAAAAATATGGGTTACTAATACAGAATCTACTAATGGTTTTTCTTTGGTAAACTCCCTAATCTTCAAATCTGACAACTGCTCATAGAAGAAACTGGTAGACCTCATTAATCATGACTGCCATGATCGCCGTCACTGCTACTATCCTGTTGCTGATTGGGCTTCCCATCACTATTCACTTTGGGTATTCTCCCACTCTTGTAAGAAAGAATATTATTAATTCATTATTTTATTGAAGCACTCCAGTTTCAAAATGAGGATGATGGCTGGCAAAAACAGAAAGAGTCTCTGAGAAATCAGGCTGTGGTTACAAGTCCAAAGCCATGATACATTATGGGAATTGATGGGTCCACAAATTTCAAAGAAGCTGACACCCAAGACTATTGATGACCCTTCCAGGCCCAGTTGAATACAAGGATGAGGTTGAGAAAGCAAAGTGGCTGGTTGTAACAAGAAATTGGCCAAAAGCTAAAGAAATTTGCAAGCAGATTCTAAGAACAAAGAGTAGGAAAACAGAAACAGAACAATGAGGTAATTATAAACGTAAAGTTTGAATTAAAGGTGGATGAAGGGAAACTGATATCTAAGGAGGTAAATATAATGTTGAAGCAAGTTACAAACTTTAAGAGTGAAAACATGAAAAAAAGGTCTGAGAAGAGGAAGGACTCTGAAGTGAGCTTGGACATTATCCAAACCTGCTTCCTCCTTCAGCCTCTGCTTTGCTGTGGGCAAGGTTAGGGTACCCTGCAAAAAGCCTTCGCAGTTACGCCTCCAATCCTTGGGAAATCCCTCTAAGATATGCCTTCCACTTGCTATTCTCCAAAAGCTGACTCTCTGGGGCCTCTAGATTCTGCCCATAGATCCAAGAAACTCTATGATTCTGATTTCTGTCTCTACACAGACTATTCAGATGAATGCCTTACCTGTGACTATGGTCATTCAGATTTCCTTTGACCTTGCATATCCTGGACTGCAGGCCAGGCTGCGCCAACACTCTGCTGGCTCTGGAATTCTAGTTTAGTCCCAGCCCTCTGGTTCTCACTGGACAGTATTCAGCTGGAGATAGTGGTTTACTTCTGTTATCGGGCTGATATCCGGATCTCAAAGGTGCTATGTATGGTTTCATAATGTTGAAATAAGCTTGTATGTATATTTGTTTGTGCCTTTTTTGGTGATTAAATATTTTTCTTTGATTAAATATTTTTCTTTGACTTTAGCCTGCTTGAAGTTCAGGGAGCTTATTGAATCTGTGGTTTCATGTTTTATTACGTGTTTTCAAAAATGGCCACAATTTCTTTCTATATTGCTTTATCTTTCACTCTCTTTCTCTCCCCTACTTCTTCTCTTGCCTCGCCTTTCCTTCCCTATTTTCCTCTCCCCTCCCCTTCTCTCCTCTCCCATTCCGTTCCCTCCCCTCTCCTGCTGTCCCTTTCCTCCCCTCCTCTACTCTCCCTTCCTCTCCCCTCCTCTCCTCTCCATCTCTACTCCAATTATATGCATGCTAGATTTGTTTTATTTATTGTGTTTCGTATGTTTCTTAAAATCTTTTCTTATTTTTCATTTTTTCTTTTTACTGCTTCAGTGTAGATATTTTATGCTGACCTGTCATTCAGTTCACTAGTCTGTTATTTTGCTTCTTCTCAACAGTGTATTGAATTTATAAGTTCATTTCAGTATTTTACAGTTCTATAACTTCCATCTGACTTTTTGTAAATTTTAAGTCTCTGGTAAAATTATTTACATCTCCTTCTATTTTTCAAAATATTAATTCTAACTTTTTTTTTTTTTTTGAGGCAGGGTCTCACTCTATTGCCTAAGCTGAAGTATAGTGGTACAATCATGGCTCACTGCAGCCCTTGACCTCCTGGGTTTAGGTGATCCTCCTAACTCAGCCTGCAGAGTAGCTGGGACTACAAGTGTGAGCCACCCCATCCAGCTAACTTCTTGCTTTTCTTTAGTATAGACGGGGTTTCACCATGTTGCCTAGGCTGGTCTTGAACTCCTGAACTCAAGCAATTCACCCAGCCTGGCCTCGCAAAGTTCTGGAATTACAAGCATGAGCCACCGCACCAGGCCAATTCTAGCTATTTTTAAGTTTCTCATAACTACATTATCTAAACCACCTATGAATCTGTTTCAATTATCTACCTATTTCTCTAAGGTTTTGATCATTTGATTCTATTTTTACCACATTTTGTCATTTTAAATTTGATTTTAGAAGTTTTGGACAAAACATCTTTGAGATTCTACATAATATTATCTTCCTCCTAAAAGGATTAAAATTTCCTCTGGTAGAGAGAGTTTGAGCATATCTCTTTAAACCTGTCAGGTACTGGTTTTGGACTATGTGTAAGTCCTATTAATATTAAGTCATATTTATTTCAGCTTTACCCATATTTTGGAGGCATAGTCCTTACTCTTAATGCATGGTCCTTTAGATTTTTATCTTCTTGGGTTTCAACTGAAAACTGAGTACTTACCAAGGTTTCCCCACCTTTGTGAAGGCTGTCCAGTCTCTCTGTTCCCAGCACTTCATAGTTTTCAAAATCTCTGATAGGGTGTCCGGAATTGGTGGGTTCTTGGTCTCTCTGACTTCAAGAATGAAGCCGCGGACCCTGGCGGTGAGTGTTACAGCTCTTAAGGTGGCGCGTCTGGAGTTTGTTCCTTCTGATGTTCGGATGTGTTCGGAGTTTCTTCCTTACGGTGGGTTCGTGGTCTCGCTGGCTCAGGAGTGAAGCTGCAGACCTTCGCAGTGAGTGTTGAAGTTCTTAAGGCGGTGCGTCTGGAGTTGTTCGTTCCTCCCAGTGGACTCCTGGTCTCGCTGGCTTCAGGAGTGAAGCTGCAGACCTTCACGGTGAGTGTTACAGCTCATAAAAGCAGTGTGCACCCAAAGAGTGAGCAGTAGCAAGATTTACTGCAAAGAGCAAAAGAACAAAGCTTCCACAGTGTGGAAGGTGACCCCAGCGGGTTGCCACTGCTGGCTGGGGCAGCCTGCTTTTATTCTCTTATCTGGCCCCACCCACTTCCTGCTGATTGGTAGAGCCGAGTGGTCTGTTTTGACAGGGCACTGATTGGTGTATTTACAATCCCTGAGCTAGACATAAAGATTCTCCACGTCCCCACCAGACTCAGGAGGCCAGCTGGCTTCGCCCAGTGGATCTCCCACCGGGGCTGCAGATGGAGCTGCCTGCCAGTCCCGCGCCATGCGCCTGCACTCTTCAGCCCTTGGGTGGTCGATGGGACTGGGCGCCGTGGAGCAGGGGGTGGCGCTTGTCGAGGAGGCTCCGGCCACACAGGAGCCCACAGAGCGGGTGGGAGGCTCAGGCATGGCGGGCTGCAGGTCCCGAGCCCTGCCCCACGGGAAGGCAGCTAAGGCCCGGTGAGAAATCGAGCGCAGCGCTGGTGGGCTGGCACTGCTGGGGGACCCAGTACACCCTCCACAGCTGCTGGCCCGGGTGCTAAGCCCCTCATTGCCTGGGGCCGGCGGGGCCGGCCGGCTGTTCCGAGTGCAGAGCCCGCCAAGCCCACGCCCACCCGGAACTCCAGCTGGCCCGGAAGCGCCGCGCGCAGCCCCAGTTCCCGCTCCCACCTCTCTTTCCACACCTCCCTGCAAGCTGAGGGAGCGGGCTCCGGCCTTGGCCAGCCCAGAAGAGGCTCCCACAGTGCAGCAGTGGGCTGAAGGGCTCCTCAAGTGCCACCAAAGTGGGAGCCCAGGCAGAGGAGGCGCCCAGAGCGAGCGAGGGCTGTGAGGACTGCCAGCACGCTGTCACCTCTCAATAGTGTTTTCAGTTTCCAATCTACTGTTTTCTTATGGATTTCTAGTCCTGGATATGCCCAAACTGGCACTGGACAGTGACTCTAAGAAATATTTACAAAGATGTTGGAGTTTATTTGGGAAGTTTTGACTTCTCTGGGATCTCGTACCTTGTGCCCTAGCCACTTGGGCAACCACAACCTCCAACCTCTGTCTTCTCTACCTAGTAATGTGCTTTCTACTTGGGTACTTTACCATCCACTTTCAGATACTGTACTATGAAAACTGGAAAATTCTTCCAGGTAAAATGCCAGGGTAAATTTGGAGCTCAGTATTTGTACTTTTATTATTTCCAAGTTCATAGTTCTCAAATCAGGCCTACATTATTTGCTCTTATAGGCCTTTAAATACTTGCTTTATAGACATAGTTTTAATAGTTATAATTGTCTTCAGCAGGAAGGTTACTACAATAAAAACTATTCTCTCATGGCTGAAATTCAAAGTTGATTAGGTAAGTTTAAATATGTAAATAAATGTTGATTTAATAATCTACATATAATTTATTTATAATCTATATATGACTTAACATATTTTCCATTTTAATAAAGTAGATTGAGGCAGCTAATAAAAAGGGCTGTTTGTGAGATTTGTTTACCAAAAAGAAATTAAACATTCGATATTAAGCAAAAGAGAACTAAGCAAACCATACAAACCATATGGTTCTGTGACTGAACTTCAGTTTAAATCTGAGTTTCTAGGCAGTCTAGGCACAATAGGAAATACGATCCAATAGATAAACTTTGTTATCAAAAAGGAAAGAGTATATGCCAGTTACACAGAAAGATACCTTTTCATACAATGAGATTTTAAATGAAAATATTTTACATGAGACTTTCTCTAGAGGTTTTATCTAAAATGCTGAAGTAATTTCTTATATATTAAAAGTTAGAGTGATATCATTACATAATAACGGTAATATACACATAATATTAGTTTGCATTAACACCAGCTGACGATAGTCAAACATTTAATGAAACATAAAGTATAATATAAGCTTCTGCTTTTCTCTTTTTTTCTCTTTATTAAGATGTAACTGGCAAATACAAGTTGTGTGTATTTAAGGCATACAACATGATGTTTTAATATGCATATATACTGTGAAATGATTACCACAATCAAGCTAATTAATATATCCATCAACTCAAATCCAACAACACAACATTGTATATGTTTGTGTGTTGAGAACATTTAAGATCTACTCTTTTAGCACACTTCAAGTATTATTGTTAACTATAGTCACCGTGCTATATAGATCTCCAGGATTTATTCATCCTGCATAACTGAAATTTTGTACCCTTTGAGCCACATCTCTCATTCTCCACCCCTGCTCCCCACCACCAGACCCTGGCAATCACCATTGTACTCTCTGCTTCTATGAATTCAACTTTTAAAAATTCCACATTTAAGTGAGATTGTGCAGTATTTGTCTTTCTGTGCCTGGCTTATTTCACTTAGCATAATTTCCTCTAGGATCATCCATGTTGCCACAAATGATAGCATTTTTTTTCCTTTTTAAAGTCCACTGTGTGTGTATACCACATAATCTTTATCCATTCATTTGTTGATGGACACTTTATTCCATACCTTGGCTATTGTGAATAATGCTACAATGAACATAGGAGTGCAAATACCTCTTCAAGTTACTAATTTTTTTTTTGGATATATATACAGTAGTGGAGTTGCTGGACATACAGTAGTTATATTTTTTATTTTTGTATGAACCTTTATACTGTTTTCCATAATGGCTATCCAAATTGACATTTCCACCAACAGTGTACAAGGGTTACCTTTTCTTGACATCCTCCCTGACACTTATTATCTATTGTATTTTTGATAATAACTATTTTATCAGCTGTGAGATAATCTTATTGTGGTTTCGCTTTGCATTTCCCTGAGGATTAGTGATGTTGAGCATTTTTTCTTATAACTACTGATCATTTGTATGTCTTCTATTCAGGTCCTTTGCCCATTTTTAAATCAGGTTATTTGTTTTGTTGCTATTGACTTGTTTCAGTTCTTTATATATTTTGCATAAAACCCCTTATCAGATAAATGGTTTGAAAGTATTTCCTCCTATTATGTAGATTATCTTTTCACTGTGTTGATTGTTTCCTTTACTGTGCAATAGTTTTCTAGTGTGATGCAATCCCACTTGTCTATTTTGCTTTTGTTGGCTGAACTTTAGGAGTTATATCCAAAATATAATTTCCCACACCAATGTCAAGAAGCTTTTTCTCTATGTTTTCCTCCAGTAGTTTTACAGCTTCAGGCCTTATGTTTAAGTCTCTAATCCATTTTGAGTTGATTTTTGTGTATTGTGGTAGACAAGGGTCCAATTTTATTTTTCTGCGTGTGGATATTTATTTTTCCTTGTAGCATTTATTAAAAGGACTATCTGTTACTCATTGTATTTCTTAGTACCTTTATGGAAGGCCAATAAACCATAAATACCTGGATTTATTTCAAAGCTTTCTATTTTGTTCCATTGGTCTATAATGTCAGTGTTTATGCCAGTACCATGCTGTTTTTATTAAAGTAGCTTTCTGATATATTTTGAGATCAGGTATTATGACACCTCTAGCTTTGTTTATTCTGCTCAAGGTTGCTGGTTATTTGGTGCTTTGTGGTTCCATATGATTTTAAATTTTTTTTTCTTATTTCTGTAAAAGATGGCATTGGAATTTTGTTAGAGATTGCATTGACTCTGTATGTTGCTTTGAGTAGTGTGGGCATTTAAACAATATTAGTTCTTTGAATCCATGCATACAGTAAGTCTTTTCATGTATTTGTGTCTTCTTTCATTTTAAAATCAATTTTTTGTTTTCAGTTTTCAGGTCTTCTACCATATTGACTAAATTCATTCTTCAGTATTTTTTTAGGCTAAGTAGAATTGTTTTCTTAATTTGCTTTTTGATAGTTCGTTGTTAGTATATAGAAACTTAACTAATTAATGTAGATGGATTTTGTATCTTACAACTTTACTGAATTTATTAATTCTAACGGGTTTTTTTTTGGTAGTGTCTTTAGTGTTTTTTTTTTAATATACATAATGTATCTGCAAACAGACAACATTGCATCTCTTCCTTTCTGATTCGGATGCCAATTTATTTTTCTTGGCTAATTGCTGTGGCTAGGAGTTCCAGAATTATATTAAATATAAATGGTGAGAGTCAGCATTCTTCTTTGCTAATCTGGGAAGAAAAGCTTTCAGCTTTTCACCACTGAGTATGATGTTAGCTATGGCTTATTGTATATGGCCTTCATTGTGTGAGCTACATTCTTTCTATATCTGATTTGTTGAAATGTTTACCATTAAATGATGTTGTATATTGTCAAATGCTTTTTCTGGATCTATGGAGATGATCACGTAATTTTATCCTTCATTCTGTTAATGTGATATATCACATTTATTGATTTGCATGTTTTGAGCCATCTTTGCATTCCTGGAAAAAATCTTGATTGTGCTGTATGGACCTTTTAATGTTCTATTGAATTTTGTCTGCTAGTAGTTTGTGAAGGGTTTTTGTATATATGTAAATTAGGAATATTGGCTAATTTCCTTTCTTTTATTATGCTTGTCTGACTTTGCTATCAAGGTAATGCTGGCCTCATAAAATACCTTTGGAAGTGTTCCCTCCTCTTTAATTTTTTTAGAAGAGTTTGACAAGAAATGGTGTTAATTCTTTATAAATGTTTGTTAGAATTCACCAGTGAAGGCATTAGGTCATAGGATTTTCTTTGCTAGGAGGTTTTAGTTTACTGATTAAATCTCTTTACTCATTGTTGGCCTATTCAGATTTCCTATTTCTTCATAACTTAGTATTGTTAAGTTGTGTATTTTTAGAAACTTATCCATTTTTTTCTAGGTTGCCCAATTTGTTGGCATATGATGGTTCATAAAAGTCTTTAGTGATCCTTTGTATTTCTGTCATATCAATTGTAATGTCCTCTTTTTCATTTATAATTTTATTTGAGCCCTCTCATTTTTTCTTAGTCTGGGTAAATGTTTGTCAATTTTGTTTATCTTTGCAAAACTAACTCTTACTTTCATTGATCTCTTCTATAGGGTTTTCTTAGTCTCTGCTGTTATTTCTGCTTTTATTTGTGTTATTTCTTTCCTTCTACTATGTTTGGGCTTTCTTTGTTCTCCTTTTCCTAGATCCTTGAAGTGTAAAATTGGGTTGTTGATTTGAGATTTTTCTTCTTTCTTCAAGTAGGCATTTATTGCTATAAACTTCTTACTTAGAAATATTTTTGCTGTAGCCAGTGAATTTTGGTATATTTTTTTCTTTCATTTGTCTCAAGATATATTTTGATTTCCCTTTTCCCCATTGGTTGTTCAAGAATAGGATGCCCAATTTCTACATATTTGTGACTTTTTTCTGTTTTTTTCCTAGTATTTCTTTGGGTTTCATACCATTGTGGTAGGGAAAAGGTATTTGAGATGATTTTAATCTTCTCAAATTTGTCAAGACTTATTTTGTGGGCTAATATATAAAGAATTCTGAAGAATGCTTCATATGTTCTTGAAAAAATGTATGTTTTGCTGCTGTTAGCTGAAGTGTTATGCATATGTCTATCAGGTTCATTTGGTCACAGTGTTGTTTAATTCTGCTGTATCATTTTTGGTTTTCGGTCTGGATGACATATCCATTGTTTAAAGTGGGGTTATATAAGTCCTCTACTATTACTCTGTTGCTGTTTACTTTTCTCTTCATTTCTGTAATATTTGCTCAGTATATTTAGGTACCCCAATATTGGGTTCATGCATATTTACAATTGTTATATCCTCATGATGAACTGATTCTTTTATCATTATATAATGACCTTCTTTGCCTCTTGTGACAGTTTTTGACTTAAAGTCTGTGTAAGTATAGTCACCCCTGCTCTCTTGTAGTTACCATTTATGTGGCATATCTTTTCCCATCTCTTCACTTTCAACCTATGTGTGTCTTTAAAGCTAAAGTGAGTCTCTTGTAGGAAGCATACATTTTGATATCTCTCTCTCTCTCTCTCTTTTTTTAGTCACGTTTGCCATTCCATGTCTTTGATTGGAGAATTAAACCCATTTATGTTTAAAGTATTATTGACAGGAAGGAATTACTATTGTCATTTGGTTAATCATTTTCTATATACTCAGTAGTTCTCTTTTTTCTTTTTTTGGTGTGTGTTGATGATCTTTTTTTTTTTTGTAGTGGTTTGCTTTGATTCCTTTCTCTAGATTTTTTTGGATATCTTTCATTGGTGTCTGTGTATTTTAAGAAGTAAGCACCTCTTCTAATCTTTACAGACTGATTTTGGTAAGGAAAGCCCTTTACCAGTCAGCTGGCTTAATTTTGTGTGAGCAGCTCGTTGGGTCTGTGGGTAGACATGCTGTTTCAGTCCTCAGGTGGGCTGACCTGAATCCTGGGTCAGTTGGCAGGCAAACCTGGTTTCTGGGTTCACAAGGGCTTGGCTGGTGCTTTGTTCCAGTGAGGATGGCCTGGCACTAGGGCGGGCCTGGAGCTGCGGTTTGCAGGAGCCAGTCTGGCACTAGAGTTAATGGAGTATGTCCATGGCAAAACCAAATGTTGACTTTACTCTCCTTCCTCTACCTTGAAGGTATCTCTCTCCACAGTGCACTCCAGGAGCTTGCAGGAGGCTGACATGGGTAGTGTGAAACTGTCCTTTATAACCTCTTCAATGTATCTTTTATCATTTCTGTGCTCCACCTAGGCACCGCAATCTCTCATCTGGAGTCCTTATCTGTTGTGAAGTTATTTTTATGACTGGATGGT
The DNA here is from genome assembly GCF_000001405.40 of Homo sapiens. NCBI lineage: Eukaryota > Metazoa > Chordata > Mammalia > Primates > Hominidae > Homo > Homo sapiens. The sequence continues at coordinate 189,590,127 of NC_000003.12, read as the reverse complement.
TTTTAAATTCATTTTTCTTTGAAAGGATATATGCTGGAGACTCTTATACCACCATATTGCTGATGTTACTTTCCTCTCTGCTATGTTTTCCTTGAGTCGTATTTTCATTCTTATAGCTTTGCAAAATCAATAAAATATAATCATTTGAAATGCATATTTATTTTGTTATGCATTTAATTTTAACAACAATATATGAAGGCATTTAGGCATCATGGAAATGTGTTTTAGATACATATATATATATAAAAACACTAACCTGATAAATCTAGAAACATGTTTGTTGATAGACTGGCCTCAATATTGCTAATAAAAAGATCATATATAAGAGGTCTGGTCAAACTTATTGCATGCTGTTGTAAGACTTTTATGTGTTAGTGGATGCAACTGGCTTGCTAACACAGGTATCCTTGTGTTTGTTGAATGAAAACGAATGTATGAATAAATGAAAAAGTGAATGGATTTTGGATGCAGACTTTACGATAGTGTTCACCTCCAGAGAGAGTTCAATGAGCCCACCTGCGGGATTTGGAGGGCTAGGTGGGTGAGGAACCAGACATCTCAGTACCCTACTTTCTAATTTTATCAACATCTTATATAAGCCATGTGTAACATTACAGTGATACCTCAATTAACACAACCTTTGGAACAAAGGTCCCTTATAATCAAGTTGGAAGCATTGACAATAACTCATAAACTTGCAAAGCATGCTACCATGTGTCACTCTGCTCTGTGTCAGTATTCCAGTGAAGCCGCATGTCTGCACTTGGCAGATACCATTGTGCATAGCTGCCACTGGCACCCACAATCAATAGAACTGATACTATATTCCTGTTCAACTTGTTCTCTCCTCTTGGCTTTCTTTTTTCTGATCTCTTTTCAACATTAATGGCTATATCTCCTTCCACTCAAGTGTCTGATGTCCTTCTGTTCTTTAGCTTCTAATCCCCACCCTATCAAAATAAAAAGAGGTCTTGTGGATAGCTTTTCATACTGGTGACTTGCCTGATTGATTTCAGCTAATTCTGAGGTAATACATATTTATATACCAGGCAGTGCACATTATAAAACCACACCTGCCAATAGTTCTGGGAAGGGATAACACATGGTTTAGAAAGATCACTGAAAAAGAGCATTGTATGATCTATGTCATTGAAGGCTGTATTGCTGAATCACCACATGCTATTGAACTGCCAGTCCTTTTTGCTGACCTTGTTTCCACATTTACAAAATGAGAGGATCGATGATCTCTAAGGATCTTTCCAGATCTAGCTTTCTTGGATACAGAATTCATAACCGAAAACCTATGGAGAGAATTAGCTGTTTCTCTCTCAATTCCAAGATTCGGGAGAACTGAAAATGCATAGTGCCGGCTGATGTTGTTTTATCATGCTGAGTCACAGAAGAAATTTTTTTGAAAATATTTCTCTTGAAATATAAAAGGAATTATCACTAGGGTGCTTAGTAATAACCCCTTAGGGAAAAAGGCAGAGAATTACAAAACCAAGTGGCATGACACCACTACTATCTTCCCAGAATCTGGATAGAAGTTTCAAGAGTCAGGACGTGATTCACAGTGTTCTTTTTTCTTCTGCAATCATGGAATCATGTATCCAAATGCAGCCTTCATCAGCCTTTTTTCTTGAGTTTCAGTGATAAGAATATCTCTCTTGTTAACTCTGGACACATACTGAGTGTGAAAAAAAATTAGTAGCTTCAAACTACTAAAAATCCAACCAACCAACCTAACGTATCTTAAGTTGTAAAACCCAGCTTCCTCCCACTTAGTTTCTACTGCCCTTTTACCAGCCCTAGGCATTTGGAAGGTGGAAGGGGAATTCAATGTACATAATTTCCTATTACTGGATTTACATGGCTTGTAAGGCAAAACTGGGCATTTTGCCTGTAACTCTTCAGAGAGAATTTATCAGGCACAGACTCTGAGCTTAGAATTTTACTACCACAAATATAAGAAACTTAAAAAGGTAGAAAGGCATGTTTCCCTGGTGCTAAAATATTTAAAGGTATTCTCTCTTACCCTCTCCAGTTGTTCTGTCTTTACAGAGTACTGAAATCTCAGACTGATGAGGATCTTATAAGAAAGGTTATCAAATGTTCTGTCTGATGCAGTCTTCCACAGCCCCTTGAAGTAATATCTAACTTTTGCCTGAACATTGTCTTTGATAGGGAACTCATTTCCTCACAAGATGGCCAGTTCTATTTCCAAATGGCATTGATTCTAACAGAGTTCTTCTCTCTACATTAAAGTAAAATATGACTCACTACAATTTCTACCCAATGAAATGTTTAATTCTCCCTCTTGGGGCCTCATGTTAATTCCTCTTACCCTTGATATTCCTTAAAATATTTAAAGACAGCACAGTCTCTGAAATGAAGTTCCTTGAATTCTCCCAGAGAAGGAACTTGAATTACAAAATTGGCTAGAGAGGAGATGACAATTATTTGGATGTACAATTATTTCCAGGTGGTCACAACGCAGTTATTATTATTAATGCAGATGAAGTGAAAATTAGGTAGCAGGAAAAAAGTGAAAGGTTCAATTCCTCATATCTTAAATAAGTTAATGAATCAGTCGATTCATCAAAGCAGCAAGAACAAAAAAGCAGTTGGTGAGAGCTCTATTTTGGCAGGAGGAAAGCTCAATTTCACATCCACTATTTTATGCCTATCTCCTCTCCCTGTGTTGCTAATTATCTAAAATGAAAGTTTTGCTGCTTACTAATGACTAGAAAGAGAAGAGAGAGATAAATTGGTAAAGTTACTAAAAATAATCTCAGAGATACACAGAGGTTGACACAGAGGATGACACACTGAGGGTGCAAAGGATCATTTTCTAGATTGGAAAGCGAACCACATCAAATATTGCAAAACTGAAAAGGGAAAACTAAACTGCTCTGCATTAGGACCATACATAGAAGTGAAAAAGCACAAAGTAAGGGTGATGTGATTAGCAGAGGCACAAGTTAAAGACATAGGACTTTTGTTGTTGTTGTTGTCGTCGTCAAGTAGTGTGGCTATTTGAAATGAATAGTACAAATGTAGGCTACGTTCATGACAGGGTGTTTCCAAACAGAGGAGTATCGTGTTCCAAACCAAGAAACCATACCAAGGGTACAGTTCTAGCTGCCATGGCTTTCAAGAAAAGCAAACATCCTGGAACATTTTTGGAGTAATTTGACTAGGTTGGAGAAGTAACAAAACTATACCTTTACAAAGAGGAATGAAGGCTTTTGTAAATATTCATCTTGGATCAGAAAGAGCTCATGGAAAAACTTGAATGATTCTTCTGGAAAGGACGAATTAGAGGTAATAAAGGGGGAGAAAATTTCAGGAAGGCAAAATAAGGTTCAATATAAGGAAGCGCTTTCTAAACAGAACTATCTAACAATACGATAGGTCAGCTCAAATAGTAGAGAAATTGAGGCTAGGTCCATTGCTACGGATCCTGCTTTAGGGGAAATTTAGGCATCTGATTAACATTCCGGCTCAGTAGGTCCTTAAAATATAAAACTTTACTTCAGAACAAGATAACACCTTGAGACTTGGATTTGCTGTAGTCTTAAGACAAGTCTCATCTAACTAGGAGAATGACCCTAGACTAGAGACACAACTTTTAGTTTGTGCTCTAGGCTAAACAGTTTTGTAACTTTAAGCAATTTCTTTTCCTCCCTGGGCTTGGCTTTTCTTCTACAAAAGGCAGGGATATGTACTTAGATCATTGATTTTCAAACTTAAAATATTACCCGGAAGCATAAATAATTAAAATAAATTAATTAAGGAATACACTGTTGGTGGGAATATAAATTAGTACAGCCACTATGGAAAGCAGTATGGAGGTTCCTCAAAAACATTAAAAATAAAACTACCATATGATCCCAAATTGGACCCCACTTTCCACTCCTTGGCAATATCTTGGAACATCGCATTATAAGTTTGCCTTGTCATCTCAAAGGAACTCTGAGTTGCTTGTGACAGCATATTGAAACATGCTTGGGGTTGGTTAGGAATCATAACTTCTCCACTTGCTAACTGTGTGATCCTGAGAAAATGACTTACCTTCTTTGAGCCTCAGTTTCCTCATTTGTAAAATAATAATGGGTATGTATGCCAATTAAAAGGGGTTTGAGGGAAGATCAAATGAGATAATGTATGCTAAATGCCTGGTACAGAGGGAGTTTCATGAGTTAATAATTTTATCCATTCTTTCCTTTGCCCCAAAGGAAAGGCAATTCAAACACTTCTTAGGGGAAGCTCTCGATTTTTGTGACTTGGTTGTCGCTACTGCCTTTCTTCCCTTGATCCAGTCCTCATTCAGTATTTATAAACACTAAAATAGGAAAAAAGATTGGCTAAGTAAGAAGGAAAGAGCATTTTTTTTTCATTAGGAACACTTTAAAGAGTGTGTGTTTACATATCTGATCTAATTTGATCCTCACAACAACATCTTGTGGAAGATATTACTCTCTCTTACAGCTGAGAAAATGGAGACTAAGGATTCAGTGACTTGCCCAAAGTCACTTCACTAGCTGGAGAGAAACTAAGACTCAAAATTGCTCTGTCTTTATTTTGAAACTCAAGATTTTTGTGTTCTATGTTGTTGTTTAAGTGGATCCTTCTTGGTTTCTGCCCTTGGGAAAGTCTTAACGCTTCCTTTCAGTGTGAGTCTGGGGAAGAGGAGGTGAGATTTCACTCTAGATCAGAGAGGGCAAAGAGCAGCTAGGTCTGCCTTGTCCTTACAGGAACAGTTTCACCTGGTCTTCCCTCACCTGTGGGAACTCTTCCTTCTAGAGCTGCTCTGGAACACTAAAATGTATAGCCTTATCCCACAGGAATAACCATCTTCCTTGCTCATTGTCGCAGCCTGTGTCTGGGGTGTTAAACTCTCTTGCAAGGGAATTTTAACATTTTTTTCAACTTTGCCCTTGCTTGTCTTTAGAATGATCCACAGCTCATTGTCCGCCCCCTTATTTTTGGATTTTGCAAACACCCTAAGGCCTTTTGAGGAAGAGTCATGCTTCCTCGTGGGGTTGTCCCTGAAGTTCATTAAAGTCTGTTTCTCCTGGCACTGCAGTGATGATGTCCCCTATGCTTTTGGCTGAGACCCACAGATCTAGCCTGATCATTGAAATAAGCTGAAGCAATTCAGCAATCCCAAATATGGGAAGTCTGAGTATAGGAAAACCCATAAAACTTCTGATGCAATGGTTGCTGACAGATTTCACCTACCTTCCTTCTCTACACACCCAACTATCCACAACTCACCCTAATATGCAGTTCAGAGTCACACACGTGCTTCTGAAGGGAGAATTTGGCACCAGCTCTCCATTCCCTAGGGCATGGCTGGGGATTATGTTCAACAGATAACTCACCACTAAGGGTGCATTGTATGAAGACAACCATTTCAGGTAGGGCTGGTTTCTTCACTCAGGCTGAATTCATGACATAAGAACAGACTGCTGGCTTTTTTTTTTTTTTTTAATTATACTTTAAGTTCTAGGGTACATGTGCACAACGTGCAGGTTTGTTACATATGTATACATGTGCCATGTTTGTTTGCTGCACCCATTAACTCATCATTTACATTAGGTATATCTCCTAATGCTATCCCTCCCCTCTCCCCCCACCCCACGACAGGCCTCGGTGTGTGATGTTCCCCATCCTGTGTCCAAGTGTTCTCATTGTTTAATTCCCACCTATGAGTGAGAACATGCGGTGTTTGGTTTTCTGTCCTTGCGATAGTTTGCTCAGAATGATGGTTTCCAGCTTCATCCATGTCCCTACAAAGGACATGAATGAGCCTGAGTAGCTCAGTCAGTAGAGCTATTAGGCTTTTAGCATGAGGATCCAGGGTTCAAGACTGCTGGCTTCATGCTGGCCTTACCAGGAGCTCACTGACCTTCCTTCCTCTGTGTGATAGATAGAAATATGCCTAGGAGCTTTAGACAGCTGGTCACCATTAGCTTTTTCCTTGTTTTTGTTTTATCATGAAAAAAAAAAACGCCCTTGTAAATTAGTATTGAGACAAAAGCATAGATTTTTCCAGAGTCACCCCCTCGTTGAAAAGCTCTGATAACTGCACAGTAATAAGAAAATTTCAGGCAAAGAGCATGGCAGAACTAGCATCAAGCATGATTTTTTCCTGCCTGTCCAATATTCTCAGCTAAGTTGCAAAAACTAGAAGATTATCAGGAGTGTTGGGGCCATTGCCCTCTAACAAAAGGGGAGGTTGTGAAGTATTTTTACCTCTACGCTTCAGACAATATGGAAATGCGGATTTATTTCCTGGGTTTCTACTATTTGTCAGACCTTATGCAAGTGGTTTACACATTTGCTTTGTTTGATTGTTATGATAGCATAGTGAAGTAGATATTGTAATGACAATTTTCAGATGACGGAATTCAGCCTCCGAATACCCAAAAGTGGGTAAGTGGGAGTTGGGCTTCAAAACTTGCGCCCTCTGACCACAGAGCTTCATCATCTATTCCATGTAGAATAAGTAGCCATTGCATCTAGATTTCTAGTCCTTGCTAATCTGTTGCATTCCAGGTCCTTTGAAAGTCCTCGTAGTGAATTTATACTGAGCATGTATTTAGTGCCATCCACATATCCAGTACTTGAGAGGGTATAATAAAATTAAAAAGCAGCTGAGATCCTCTCCTTGGAAAATTTCAAAACTAACTACAGAGAAATACATGCAGCAAATTCATAAGGAGGTTTGGAATTGTACAGCGAGATAGCAGACTGGACCAGGGGGACATTCAGTGAGGGAGGGATGATTATGGCTCCCACGAAGTCTTCACTGAAATACTGGTTTCTGAAAGAGCGGAGCCTGTGCAGGGCAGAGAGCTGGGCCTGAAGAAGATTAAGGGTCAGCCTTATGCATCATTCAACTGTCTTTTCTCCACAGCAAAGAGAGATTTCTTTCCAAAGTCTTTATTTTAGAACGTGTGAAATCACAGAGATGGTGTGCGGGACACAGCCTAACTTCTCAACACAACAGACTCATCTACTCTCTAATACTTTAGAGACTAAGGTAGGCAGATTATAGAATGCAAGCTGGGTCTTTCATTCTGGCCCAGCTGTGTGACCCTGGCAAGTTCTTTGTCTTCACTAGTCTTCAGTTTCCCCAACAATTAAGGCAGGGGAGGTTTCAAAGGATAATCTGTGAGGTTGCTTCTGATGCTGGCACGCTATATGTCCTCTCTCAGATAACCCATGTTTCTAGGTATAGTGGAATGAGCACTAAAATGAGAGTCAGGAGCCAGTGATCCTAGGACTGACCCGATGCTACGTGTGTGATCTTGGATAATTGTTTTTCAGTTTCTGAGTTTCAGTTTTCCCATCTATAAAATGAACAATCTGGAAGATTTATCTAATGCCCCTTTCTACTGTGACATTTAATGAATTTAAATATTCTGTCTAAATTATTTCTAATAGAAGTATTCCTTTAGATAAGAAAATAAAAGAAACAAAATAGACCTCCTGAAGGCACCAAATTGGTTATTTGATGTTATTCAATTAAGTTGGTTTTGACTGGAATTTAGCATCTTTTGCTCAAACAATGAGTCAGAAAATTAACTAGTCTCTGCTTTAATTAAATAATAATTCTGTTTAACGCCAATTAAAATACCACATCTGAGTCAATTTGCTGCAGCAAGGTGTAGTTAATGCAGGAAACATGCTCCTTTGCCTTGTGGAGCTGGGTCGATGACTGAGATGTTGGCTTTACTGATTTCCAGATAGGCACTCAGGGCTCTGAATACAGGACAAAAATTCCCAGAGGCCATGGGTGCAACCTTCTCTGATGAAATCGTGCATACCTTAGCTTTCTTCATCAGATTAATTTGCATGTTTTACTATTAGCATTAAAAACACTGAGAAAAATCTAATAACAGTATTTAGCTTTTCAGGCCCATTTTCAGAAGCCAAGCCACATTTGCTTGGTGCAGCGTTCTTCCAGAAAACTCGAGTTATGGCTGGACTGAAGAGGCTATTTGACTTCTCTAAACTTAGTACGATATCACCCATTAGATTCCTGCAGAGTTGAGATAGTGGAGTCATTAAATTATAATAAGAAAGATTTCCCTGCTGTTGCAACCAGATTCAATCTTTCCTTTGAAACAATATGGATTTGATTTATGTTAGTGTAAGGCAGCCACTATATCCCATGTTAAATTTTATTTTCATGTCTAATTGTGTTATATACCTTTTTGATTCTGTCTTATATTCTTGATTTAATAGCTATACAGTCATGTGTCATATAATGGCATTTTGGTCGACAATGGACCACATATGCAATGGTGGTTCCATAAGATTATAATACCATATTTTTCTGTACCATTTCTGTTTGGATACACAAATGCTTATCACTGTGTTTCAATTACCTACATTTCTCAGTACATTAACACATTGCATAGGTTTGTAGCCTAGGAGCAATAGGCTATACCATATAGCCTAGGTGTGTGGTATAGCAGGATATAGTGTGTAGGTATGTGTAAGTATACTCTATGAAGTTCACACAATGACAAAATCACCTAAAAACACATTTTTCAGAACAAATCCTTGTTGTTAAAAGAGGCATGACTGTATTCATAAAGGCTTCTTTTTTAAAAAATGAAATTTATAATTTGTAATTTTCCCATGCATTAATACTTCAGGGGCTTCTATGGTCTGGGTGTTTGTGTCTCTCAAAAATTTATATGTTGACATTCTAATTCCCAACATGATGGTATCGGGAGATGGGGTCTTTGTGGAAGTGATCAGGTCATAAAGATAGAGCTCTCAGGAATGGAATTAGTCCCCTTATAAAATAGGTCCCAAATAGGCTTGTTCACCCTTCCCACCATGTGAAGACACAGCAAATGGGTGCCATCTGTGAACAGGAAACATGTCCTCACAGGGCACCAAATACGCCAATGCTTTAATCTTGGACTTCTCAGACCCCAGAATTGTGAGAAACAAGTATATTAAGTGAAGTCTTGTTATGGCAGCATGAACAGACAAAGACAAGCCTCATGAGAACTTTTGAACTTTGGAAAGTCCTTTATTTAAAGATAAGAAAGCTGAAGCTCAAGGAGTTCAAGTGGATTGCCCGACACCACAGATCTAGTTCTTCCTCTAGCTGGTTGCCTCTAGACACTGCTGTGGAGTTAGTAGTAACTTGACAACTATTGAAAGGAAAAAATGGAAAATCCTGTTCTTCCTTCCTGAGGGAAGTCCCCTAAGGATCATGGAATTTTAAGGCTATACATAGAAGCGCTTTTTTTTTGTCTCTCCACATAAGCAGTCAATGATTGTCTGATAGTGAGATCTGAAACAGCCAATAATAAGTCAAATATGGCCAACTAACAATAACTACAAAACATTTGCTACTTCTCCCTTGAAAGATGGCGACTAATTCTTTCTCCCTTGCAACTGGACTGGCCGTCATGATTTGTCTGTTCAACAGAATGTGGCAGAAGTGATATCCTGGGACTTGCAAGGTTAGAACGTAAGAGGCCTTGCAAGTGGGACTCCTGGAACGTGATTCTCTGGAAACCCTCAGTTGCCATGTAAGATCAACTACCTGAGATTTACATGCCTGTAAGACCACACAGATAAGTACTATTGTCAGGCTCAACTAATTTCAATCTTCCAGTCATCATTGCCAAAGCAAAAGACATGTGAATGAAACTGTCTAAGATACTCTAGACCGGCTATCTCCAGTTAAATACTATTGAGCAACTTCAGTCAATGCCATGTAGAGCAGAAATATTGCTCAACTGAGCCCATCCAGAAGTCTTGACCCACAAAATCAGGAGATATAACAAAATAGTTTTTGTTTTAACTCACCTGGCTTTGGGGTAATTTGTTATTCAGCAAGAGATTAGTGGGACACCAAATTATAAAGAAGCAAGAAAGGGAGTAACTATAATATTTTGTAATATGCTATTTTTTCTTCAGTGAAATTATAACCTGAAATTTACAAGTCATGGCTTCTTATCTATTCCCTATTATTAAGAAGTCCACAAGTCAACTGCCATTGCCCAAGTCTGTGCCTGTTTGTTTTCTGCCTTTATAAGTTCAATAAACCTTCTGAGAGTACCATGTGCCACACATTGCACTAGGTAGTGCCAATGAGGTTACAGCCTCATATGGAAGAAAAGTGAAAAATATGGGTAAGTACAATAGAGATAGTTGCCAAAATGGTTAACTACATGGGCTCTAAGTCAAACTACCAGGACTGAAATTACTGCTGCAGCATTCCTTAGCTGATGAAAATTGTTTTTAGCTTCTTACAACTTCAATTTCCTCAGCTCTGAAATAAAGATACAGTAAGAAATTATCTGAGAGATTTCTTTAGAGAATTAAATGGAATAAGATTTGGAACAATTATTAATTATAAATGATTATTTGTGTAAATAATCATAACATACACTATATGTAATTTGGGTATACAAAAGGAGCAGTGGGAGCATCAAGGAGGGACACACTTAAGGCATGAAATTTTACAAGGGGTTCAGGAACAGTGGAGCTAGCTGAGGGTCTAAATGTGCAGAAAAATAAATCCATGCTTTAAATAAGTATCTTCCTCTGTATGGCAAACTGCTGGCCCTTCCACGGTGTGGAAGGGGTCTGAAGTAGTCAGCTTGCCAAAAGTGGCTATTTGGTTTCCAGGAGAAATGGTGCCATATCAAGGGATCAGTGCAGGTCCCTTTTGCTGACACTGTGGATATTCAGAGGCAGCAATAGCTAAGTCAGTCCCAGTAAGTCATAATCCATGCTGTTGAGCCTGGGCATAGAGTTTATCTCTGCCACCATGGCCACTCCATTCATATTCCCTTTGTGCCAGTTCTGGAGTGGTCAATGACAAAGGCTGCCTAACTTCAACCAGTCAACTTTGTGTATATAGTTATTCAGTGCTTTTTTATTGGTGGATGATTTCTGGTGAGCATTAATTTGTGATACAAACATATTCTCACATTGTGCCTACCCCTATATATCCACCTAAATGCCATTATCCCATATTTTTTCCCCAGTTTTCTTGACCAGACATCTAGACCATTGGCCACTACCCAGAAATATATATATATATATATATATATATATATTCTTTCAATCACATCTCCTTCCACATATAAGGTGTAACCAGATTTGTTGCTCAATTCCATGCATTGGAAACATTGTTCTTCTCAACTCTTTTTCCGGGATATCATTAAATGCAGCACATTCTGTTTTTGGTTTGCGCTCAAAAATCAAGCTGACCAATTGTAACCCAAGCTTGAGTTTTTTCCTCCTCTTTCAAGGTCCCTTGTATGCTCATAGGTGCAGGCCAGGGAAAGGTCACTGGTACAACTATGGTGGGTGACATAGAGATTTGGATTATATATTCCTTCAGTTTATTATGCCCACTGGTCCTTCTCAGGCTCAATCCTAGATATATTATTTCCAACTTAAAATTAACTAGTGCTCAGCATACCTGCCTTTATTATTTGATTGGTGTCTCAGAATCCAGTTCATGATGGATAGCTCCAGACTAATAATTACCTGATATTCCATGGTCAAACATCTTACTCTACCGGGGACCACTAGCCTGCCAATAGCTATTTTTCAAAAGATAAATAATGCTCTACTGCTGAAGGCATAGATAGTCTCGCTCCAGGATCACATGGGCTTGTGCTATAATTCTCTACCTGGAGCTTTCCATAATCTCCATACTGTAGTTTTTCCTACCAGTGACACCTGTGACATCATAGAGTCTACCAGATTATTTGGCTCAAGTGACAAAACAAATTGTTCTGTGGACTGGATATGCTACAAAATCCTTTCCTGCTCCAGCCCCCACTCAAGGCTGAAAGCCATTCATGTCACTCAGGATATAGGACAGAGTAGTATTCCCGTGTAGTATACCTAAGCATGTAATGTTTTGTCTCCACAACCCAAAAAAGCTCACCAAGTGCTACGCTTACTTCTTTGTGGGGTGTAAGATGAAACAATTTTTTTTTACTTTGGAGGGAATGTTGTGCATAATTTTACCCAACATGAAATGAAGAAGATAGGGACACCTGAAGGGAAAGTAGGAGGAAGGAAGAAAAAGAAAGAAGGAAGGAAGGAAGGAAAAGAAAGAAGGAAGGAAGGAAGGAAAAGAAAGAAGGAAAGAAGGAAGGAAAGGAAGGAAGGAAGGAAGGAAGGAAAAGAAGGAAGGAAGGAAAAGGAAGGAAGGAAGGAAGGAAAAGAAGGACGGAAGGAAGGAAGGAAAAGAAGGAAGGAAGGAAGGAAAAGAAGGAAGGAAGGAGGGAAGGAAGGAAGGAGGGAAGGAAGGAGGTAAAAGGAAGGAAGGAAGGAAAAGAAGGAAGGAAGGAAAAGAAAGAAGGAAGGAAGGAAAAGAAAGAAGGAAGAAAGGAAGGAATGAAGGAAGGAAGGAAAAGAAGGAAGGAAGGAAAAGAAGGAAGGAAGGAGGGAAGGGAGGGAAGGAGGGAAAATTGAAAGTGTGAATTGTAAGGAAAGTTCAACAAGGGTGTCAGAAATCCTTGGACAAAAGTTACTCCTCAAGGAGCCCTCACTGTCTGGAAATGGGCCTACTTTAACGTCCCTGCAATGCTCAGTCTTTGGCTGGGAGCACTTGTGGGAAGTGTAGCCCTAGTGGAAATGCTGTAACGAGTATCAGAGCACACAGCTAAAGCCCAGGTAAACTATGCTCACTACAGTCAGAAATTAGAAATAAAAACTGCCTCTTATTGTTCTGTTGGCTCAAATTGAGTTTAGAATTGGACACCAAGTCACGTTAGCACCCTGTGACTGCAAGTACCCACTCAAGCAGGAATTATTCCTATATTAGTGGAGGGATCTGCCAAATCCCCTAGGCTTGTTTCAACCAATCTCTACATCTTACTCAATTCTATTAGCTGTTGCATCATTTGTAGACAAGTAAAGGAAATGCTTTATGGAAATTTTGATCGAAAAAGGCAGGGTGGTATTTTTCACTACTTTCACATGTGTCACCTGAAAATCATTTCTAGAAACTTTCCATGAATGGTCTGGGCTACAGAATAGGATTCAGAATACTTTTTCTATAAAGAGTCAGATAGTAAATAATTTCAGCTTTACAGTCCATATGGTCTCTGTTGCAAATACTCAACTCTCCCAGTATAGAATGAAAGCAGCTCTAGACAATATGTAAGTAAATAGACAAGAGTGTGTTCCAAAAAATAGGAGGCTGACAATATTTAGCCCAAGGGGCCATAGTTTGTCTGCTCTTGTTATAGTGGAAAGGAACCAAGAATTGAGGCTCATGATTCCTGTGTTTAACTCTTCTAATTAACCTATTGTTACTCTGGGAAGGTTATTTTTCCCATGTTGTCCTCAGTTTTCCCACATGTAGAATATGCTTGTGTCCACAGCACCTAGCACAGGTCTGATGCATGGCAAACTATAAGGTTTGCTGAGTCAGCAAATGCATAACTGCATGATAGCTTTTGGTTCAATGGTTGCCAGTTTTCTTCCAAATCAAATATTCTCTGAAAATGGCAGCTAATCCAGGGAGTTAAATTTATCTCTAGACCTCTACAAATCACGAATTCTGCATATTCCCATGCTGATGAGATTAAATAAAAATGTAGAGTTTTAGTGATCTAAATCAAGCATGTGTAGGCCCACATTCAAGGGCATTGTTGAAGGGTTTGAGATGTCTCTCCAAGCTTGTTAATTATTCTGACTCAAAGGAATCTCAAAAGAGAAAACAAAAAGTCCAGTTTGGAAATTAGCAAGATCGTGTTCATGTATCTTTGACTTTACACACATATTCTTGTTTGGTGATACAGACTTTATCATGTTTGCCATGAGCTACTAAGCAAATTCACCTGTCTTTCTCTCTTATGTAGCAAGCGAGCTCTAAGACCAGTCTTTTACGTGTGTCACAAGAGAGGAATAAGCCAAACATCAGAGGAATTTTAAGAATTCTGCCACAGGTGTAAGAAAACAAAATTATGAAATGTGAGAATGGTAGGTACCATATATATCTTCTAATCCTCATTTCACACTGGGGAAATTAAAATGCAGAGTGACCTAAAAAATTATACATAAGATCCAGTCACGTCTCTCTTTAAAATCTTTCAATGGTTTCTTAGTCATTCATTCACTCAACAGACGCTTATCTAGCATCTGGGTTGTAGAAATAGCATGTGGGGTGTATAGTGAAGATTTAGTGCTGAATAAAGCATGCTTTTCCTTTTCTTGTGGAGCTTTCATTCTGACATGAATAAAAGTATTTAAAAATTATTTTAAAATAGTTATAAACTTTGAAAAGTGCTACAAAGGAAAACAGAAGGGTTGTATAAAAGGGTGCGCCATGATTCAGATTGGCAGGCAGGGAGCACCTTTCATTTAAGCTACAGTCTAAATGATTAATAGAGGTATCCTAGACAAAGGAGAGGAGTAAGAGTACCCTAGGAAGACGGCATAATAACATATGGGAAAGTCGTGAGACAAAAAAAGAATTAATTGCTTTCTAGTAACCAAGTACACTGTGCCAGGGTGAGGAGAAAAGTAGCATAAAATGGGTTTAGTGAGTTAGACTGGGAACAGATCAGGCAAGATCTGAAGATCATATTAAGGACGGGAATGCATGAGAGTACTCTCATTTTCACTAAATATGATCTCCTACTCTGGCTAATTTGTGGAGTCTGTTGGAAACAGGCAAAATACAAACAAAGTGAGAACTTAGGTGAGACTAGTGTCGTGGCAGAGGAGATGGAGAGTCATGGAAATATTTGAGACATTCTTGCATCATCACGGCTTGACGAATCATTGGAAAAGATAACTTTTGCTAAATGTTATCATAGCTATATGGTATGATAGAAAGAAGGCATTAAGTAAATGTTTGTTGATTCAATTATCAAGACCCAAAAAGGTGAAGTAAGGTCACATGGTCAAGAAAGCCAGAGCTCAATCTAGAACTTAGGTTTCTTGACTCTTATCCACGGACCCTTTTCCTGCTCACTCTTCTGCCTCCAGGCCTTACCAACAGTAGAATTTTGGTATGTTAGTTCTCCTGCACAAATGAAAATGTATACAGTTTGATATCAATGAGACCTGAGTTTAATTCTGCCGTTTTTGGCTTGTTACTCAGGAACTTCTTTAATCTTTTAGTAAATTAATTTCCTCATATACAAATGGTGAGATCTAGTATTGACTGAGTGAATGCTAACGACTAGGCTCAGTTTTCATGGTAAGAACACAACAGTGAACAAAACTATCAAAATCACTTCATTTGTAGAATTTACTTTTGTGTCAAGGAAGTCATAAATGTGCTATTTATTGTCGCCGCTCCATCCCTACCCCTCATCTCAGTAACATAGGGGACTAGAAGCCTACATTTCTCTAACTCACTGGTCAGCTGGCATCTCTGTAAGTTCTACAAAAAAAGGGCATTTGTGGAAGACTGAAAAGCAGAAGACAGGAAAAGGTTTTTTGCTCTGTTTTTGGAGGTGCCTCAGACAGTGACAATAGTAATGGCAACAAGGGTTTCCAGATTCACCACCAGGCAGCAGACTCTAATGTACCATATCAACAAAGACCCATTTAGGAAAAATAGGAGCCACTTAGACATTTCCAACAGAGAACATTTATTGTAAGGATTCAGTTATTTAAAATGTTGAAATAGCTGAAAGGTGAAAAGAGAAACAGGAAATTATCGAGAAGTAGGAATTGCCATCCCAATAACTAGAAGGGCAAAAAAGGAAATGTTTGTCACCAGAATAAAGGTACCATCCATCTTAGCCATGTCTATGAGACTGCAGGAGCACACGCTGCTGCTTCTGCTCCTATTGAAATCTTTACCACTGCTGCTTTACAGGAAGCTAGAAGCCTCTACTCCTACTGGCACTGTAGGTGCCCCAAGTCCAAAGTCTATTACCACTGTTACCCCAAGCTAAATTCCAAGAGTGTTAGGCCATCAAGACTTCAGGAGCCCCTGCTGCTGCTTCTGTTGGAATCCCACAGACTAGGATGGTACCCTGGAGCCCTCAGTGATTGCCAGAGCTATTGGTGTGATCCAAGATAGGGATAGAAACAAAATAAAATGACTTCTCTTTTTCCTCCTGTCAGTCTCCTCACAGATCCTCTCAATGACAGAATCTATCCAGAAGATAAGTAGTAAGGATATCTGGGAAATGTAGCTTAGAAGCTTCTAGCCTTCTGTCATTTAGAGGAACACGGAAGGCAGAGAAGGAGCAGCAAGCCAATAGACAAACAACTATTCCAGTAAACAAAATGTATAAGTAAATTTTATACTGGCCAGGTGCCGTGACTCACGCCTGTAATCCCAGCACTTTGGGAGGCTGAGGTGGGCAGATCACGAAGTCAGGAGTTCGAGACCAGCCTGGCGAATGTGGTGAAACCCCGTCTCTACTAAAAATACAAAAATTAACTGGGCCTGGTGGCGGGAACCTGTAGTCCCAGCTACTCAGGAGGCTGAGACAGGAGAATCATCTGAACCTGAAAAGCCGAGGTTGCAGTGAACTGAGATCTCACCATTGCACTCCAGCCTGGGTGACAGAGTGAGACTCCATTAAAAAAAAAAAAAAAAATTATACCATGTTAGAGGGTAGCAAGCAAGTACTATGGAAAATAAAGTAGGGGAGGAAGATGGAAATTGCTGTGATGTGGAAGGAGGAAAATTTTTAAATAATATGATCCCTATGGGTGTAAGTGAAAACATGACATTTGAATCAAGAGTGAAGCAGGTGATGGAAGAAGCCATGTGGATATGCTGGGAAAGAGTGCTCCAGGCAAAAAGAACAGTAAATGTAAGGGCCTTGTGGCTGAAGTTGGCCTGGGGTGTTGACAGAACAACAAGAATGCCAGTGTGACCAGAGCCCAGTGAAGCAAAAGAATGTGCAGAAAGACCAGAAGTCAAGAACAACAGGAGAGCAAAGAGGAAATGGGACTGCATCAGGCCTTATAAGCCACTGTAAAGATTTATTCTTTCACTCTGAGTAAGAATGGGAGCTATATGTAGGTTTTTAAGCAGAAGAGTAATAAGAACTGACTACTAGAATAATAGTGTTCATCTCACAGAGTTACTATAAAAAGTACAGTGTTTAGAACATTGTAGGGAAGATAGTACAAAAGTTATTGTTAATCCACTTCTTATGATGAATACTAGACACTGTAAGTATACCTTCTGATGGAATCTGCTGTTGTCTGATCCCTTCAATACTCTTAATTATATAAATATCTCCTCCTTCTTCCAATTAAGGTTTGGTCATTTTGCTGAATAATTAGACTGTGGAGGAGTTATGATACAGCAGTGAGAACTCCAATCCATCAGATAACTAGTAATCTTGTCCACAAAGTTATTAAATTATTCCCTCATCAGAAGCTTAGTAAACTGTCCTCATATGTCCCTGTACCCTTTAACAGGCAGGCCCCAGCCAGCTTTCTCACCCTTCATTGTAACCTCTCATTTACCCTAACAGCTATTTACATTAGTGTGTGTCTAGGAGTCTTTTTAGGCTCTGATCAGATGCTAGAGGAATCAGATAATGCATTGTCATGATTCACAGGGACAAGTAGGAAATAATTCCAGACAGTCAACTTATCCAGGTAACCAAAGGTGTAAACACTAGGTCTTTCAAACCAGCTTCAACCGTACGACAAGAATCAAAAGAGTGATGAATCATTTGCTCTTTAGTCTAGAGTCTAGACCCTTTATCACCTCAGCCTACAACTATGACCAGTTCTTACCAGTCAAGTACTTTGTAAATCATACAGATTTCTAAACTCTGCATTGCTTATTAACTTTGTCATTTTCTATGGGAAACAGGAATTGAGAAAGACAAAGGGAGAGAAATGACAAATATCCTAAGAATGAGTTCTGTAAGACTTTAAAAATATTTCTCAAAATTTAGCATGCTCCAGAATCACTTTTCAGGCTTGCTGAAATGCAGGTTGCTAGGTCCCACCTCCAGAGTTTCTGATTCAGAGTCTGGGACAGGAACCCAAAATTTGTATTTCAAACACATTTCAGGTTGATGTTGCTACTCTGGGGACCAAACTTTTGAAAACCACTGCTCTAAAGCATTGACCTTCAAAGAATTTGTTAGCATGTCTCAATATAATTTTGAAAATGTATGTACCTTTCTTTACATTTTTAAGTTGATATTTTAAATTTTTCATCATAAATTGAAATAGCCGCAAAGTTAATAATTTTCAAAGTACTATAAATATTGACATTTTAAATAAAGACTATTAGTTTTTAAATAAAACTTCTAAATGATTCTAATAGAATATAAATACCACAGTGATTTAATCCATAAACTCATCTTTTAAAAAATACATGAGAAAGCTCATTCTTAATACCATTTGGAAATATGTCATTCTATTTTCTCCTTTCAATCATACATTCATCCCATTGCCCTTGTATTATTTTATTCTCTTGTAGTATACTTTTATCTATAAAAATTTTAATATGATTACTTATCTCTACTTGTCTGTAATAAAGCACACATATAAATTTAAGCCTATTTTTAATGACCTGTGACCATAAGACACAAGTGCTAAAATATTACTTCTGGATTAGGCTATTATAATGATTATTATTAAAAATAATTAAAGCAACTGATTAAAGTAGACTTTCTGATATCAATATTCTTAACGACTACTTTGTTGGGATCCCTCAGAAATTTTATACCTCAGGTCTTGAGACCAAGGAAGATAAGAGACAGATTCCCTGTAGTTGTTAGTGAAAGTGATGTCACAGTGAGAGAGTCAGATTGTAAGAACTGTGTGAAGTCCTCAACTCCTGGATTTTTCTTATGGAAAAAGAAGATATGTATATACTGAAGATCTAGAAATTATTTTGCTTAAAATTTTGTATCATTCCTTTGTGTCCCTTATGCTGCTCTGTGTACCTCAAGGGGTGATCAAGACTCCAGTTTGAAGATTACTTAGAGACTAAGGCATTTGTTGGTTTCACTTTCTACATCTCACTGACATAGGACTCTACATGATTTTGAAGTAAATAACTACTTCTTCTTTATTCATAACAATAGTCACAACTAACATTTATACATCACTTTTCAATTTATGTCACCTTATTGTACATTACCTCATTTTATCCTTACAAAAACCTATAGAAAGGTAGGCAAAGAAAACATTATTGTCCTTATTTCAGAGTGGAGAATTATTTTCCAGGAGTATATTGCCTAGTGCCACACAGGCAGTAATAAAGCCTAGTTTCAAATTCCCCTCACTCTAGTTCCAATTTTCCATTGAATTGTACCAGACCTGGGGCTCTCTTAGGAAATGACCAGATTGAATAACACAGGCTCATCTTCCTACTCAGGAATAGGGGATGTTTGCATTTTCAAGGTGAGGGCCTTGAATGTTAGCTAATGAAGAACAACAGTTAAACTGGAGACAGAACTGGTGAAATAAACAAAGGCTAGAAAGTAACTACCAGAAACAGAGAAAAGCCTCGAGCCTTGCTGTTTCTCATTATCCTTTGGGGAAGAGCTTTTCACCCCATCCTTTGGGGGATGATCCCAAAAGATTGACTTTATAAATATTCCTCCCATTCCTGAAAGCAGTAATGTGCAAAGGGATGAGAGGCACCTTAAGCACAGTTTGCAAGAACTGATGATGGCGAGGCTATCTCATCAACAGTTAGTTTTCATGCTATAAGGCTTCAAATTAATAACCCTGTTCCCCCAAAACAAAACATCTTAACTTAAATATTGAGTATGAAGTGGGAGCATAGCATTAACATAATCTGTTACATGTGAAATTACTTTGGAATGCTTTCTTAGATCTTCTGCAAAAATATTTATTTCTGGCTCAACTTATGGTATTTCTGTAATATTTCTTTGCTGTTTTTATTATATTCTGTAATCAGCTTCTCCAGCACAGGTCACTCAAGCAAACCTTTGGTGAGCATCTATTCCGGCCACAGGAAGGCTGATCTAACAACAATGTGCAGATTGATATGGGTGCCATGTGGGACCTCCTTTGATGCAAAGTCAAGGAGAGGGTTGATAAGGACCTAGACAGTGGGTGATGTTTCAGTAGAAAGAAGAAACCGAATGTAGCTGGCACTGTGTGGTTAGGATATACAGGCACTGGTTGTGGAAAAGATGTGGGAGAGCCCCATGTGAAGGATGTATAAAGATGGTTGAATTGAATGAAAGTGAATTACATTTAAAGTCACCATCTTGGCATGAAGAGCTTTACTTGATATGGAGCTGAGGAGTGATTCTCACACTATTTCAGGTGACTTTCTTTATTTCTGACTCTGTCTCACCTGGGCAGCTTTGTGTGCTCCTTCTGTCCTGCGATGCTAGGAAAAATAGTAAAAGCCTGTACTGTGGGCATGTTACACTCCTCGGAGGACAGAAACACTTGCACAGCATAGTGGAATACAGCTTTGGTCTTGTATTGGGAAATTTGACTTTGTGTGTTGGCGCCACTGTTTACCAAATGTCACCAAGCCAAAGTTCACTAGATAATAGTGAGGACAAAATAAGATGCCAGAGAGTAAACTGTCTAAACTGTTGTGTACTATGCAAATAATATGAATATTTATAACCCGTATGGCTTATTTAATTTTTTATTTAGAAAGCAATAGAAATACTTAGATAGAAAAGGAAAACTGAGCAATAGAACACTAGGTTTGACTGAAATGAAAGTGTTTTTTTAGTCTTGAATGAATTTTGACAGGTCACCCTGTCAGCTCAATAGATTCTGTATAGCCGGAAACGGTAAACTACAAGTTTTCTAATTTAGATCTCTTCAAGGGGGATTTACTTAGGAATTATAACATGACAAAACAGCAGCCCTGCTTTAGAGGAAGCCAACAACATCATTGCTGGCTCCAAATGAATGGCTGCCATGGACAAGCACTCCTTGTCATTTCCTTTTCTCGTGGCGCTTTTCTTTGCCTCCCCAGAGTCAAAACAATGGTAACTGAGAAGCTGGCATCAATGTGATTGACAGTAAGTATTCCAAGACAGCTGGTTGATTGATTGATGGACGATGATGAATGTTGTCTAAAAGAACAGAAAGCTGTTTCCTTTTTGAAACCATTCAAATTTGGACAACGTAGGCCAAGAATCATACATTTATAAATTTAATGAGCATAACATTTTCAAATAAGCAAACAATGATCAAAATCACCACCCACCAGGAATCACATACATTGATAAGTGTCAAGATATTTCAAACATCAGAAAGCTGCTTTTTCACCTGCCCAGATTCCACAAGTCCCAGTTGATGAAATGACATACAGAGAATATGTGAATGCAGATTCTGCTAATGATAACCATAGCCAAACCACATGCCTGTGCAGTAATTTTTCTTACTTTATCTTATTGCAAACCCTTTAGTTGGTGGCTAGGGACGGTAACCTTCAAGATCACACAGCCCAAAAGCTTCATTCTATTATAAGTGGAGAAGACCAAAGCCTTACTAGAGAATGTCTCATGGCAAATTATTGGTGGAAACATGATGACCTTTGCCCACATCCTTAATGTCCAGTGTTTTTTGATTTATGCCACTAAATCAGTAAAGATCCCAACAGGACACGGATGTCCCACTCTGAATAGGTGGGTTTATTTTCAAAAAGAATAAATATAAGTGTGTAAGTGAATTGTAGGGGAAGAAAAAGAGATGGTATTTAAACTGAGTCTAGCAGTGACAGTGCCCCATCCCAAGGCCCAGTGAAGCAAGAAATGAAAGAAATAAATCTACAAAAAGAGACACCCACAGAAAGGGCTGCTGAAAAAGAGCAGGTTGCCCTCTGTGAAGGGGCACAGCCAGCCTGAAACTTCACAGGAGTTGGGGACCAGAGAGATCAAGAGCCTCACTTCTGTTTCCTCCCAACGTCTGACCTCTCACTGGGGCTGACCACTAACTGAACCCAACTGGAAAGTAGAAGGCATGTTGACACAGTCCATGGAGTTATGCTCCTGGGACAAAAAGCCAGTGGTGTGTGAGTATGGAAGAGGAAATAGATGATATCTGGCACAAATGCACACATTACTATTTCTCAATATATATTTTAATACACAAAAGCAAGAAAAAGACACAGGAAAAGATAGCAAAAAAGAAAGTGAGAGAACGGAATATAACTCTAAGTCAAGCGTAAAAAATGCTATATGGAGGAACTTATGGGAATTTCCCATTGACCATCTGCTCTTGAATATGTGTAGGGGAATTCTAAGAGGCTTTAGGTTGCAGGGGCTAGAGTCAAAAACAACATTTAAAGTTGCAGCTGTAGTTTATTTTTATTTGAGCAACTTGTTACCCATATTTCAACCATTGGGAAAACTTGCTGGCTGCACTATCAGGGCTACAGAAGACCTTCTAAAACATAGTGTATTCATCATCTCCCAACAGTCCTGTAAGATAACTGAACCAGTTATTTTTCTTTCCATTTTATAAACAAGGAAATAGACCCAGGCAAAAGAAATGGTGACTTAATGTTATCTCATTTGCACAGCTAGCGAGTGGCCTCAAATTCAAGCAGACTGATTTCAGGTTCAGGATTCTTTGCACTCTACCTCAAACCTCCTCACTTATACATATTCATAGCTTCAAGAAGTATGATTTCACTTGTCTGAACTCAATCTCTGATGTAGTCAGCTGTCATACATAGGCAACTCTCTGTACACTTATAGTCTTTCACATGATTCTGTCAGGGAACTTGGGAGTTTGAGCTAGTGCTTTGTAGCTTGGAGGCACCATTTAGAAATATAACAGAGAGCATTTTGGTTGTCACAATGACGGGGTCATGCTGTAGAATTTAGTAGTTGGAGGCAGGGATTCTAAACATTTAAGTATCGGTCAATATTGTACAATGAAAAATTGTCTTGCCCAAGTATATACCAAAATCCCTCTCATGGAGAAACACTTCAATTTAGATTGTTCCTCTAACAGTTAGCCAGGACACTGTCTAAAGAAGTCCTTATTATACTTTAGTATATAGAATGTTCTCCTGAAGCATGTATAGAAAATGCAGATTACTTGGTCTCCTCTCTGAAAATGCTGATTCAGTATCTGAAGGTGTGGCCCAGAATCTACATTTTAAAATGTGTATTCCTTTACAGTAATTCTACAGATAAGCTGTGTGAAACACTGGCCCAAGCTTATCAAGAGAAAGCATAACCCAAAGTTACTTACAAAATTAAAAATCTTCATTTCAAAGTCCTTTAGCCTCTTCTTATCCATCTATTTACTTACCAGTCTGCCTGTTGGCCCATCATTGGTCCATCCAATCTACATGCCCATTGAGTTCTGACACTGAGAACATATTTCTTGGTAACAGTTTTTCCTGGTCACGTCTCCTATCTTCTGCCCTTTGGTTTTTGGACAAGAATATCTGCAAATATGCAGCAGAGATCAGAGATCAGTGTTTCCTAAAACTCCCCAGTTAATTTCAATATACATCCAAGTTAGAGAAATAGCAGTTTAAATCTTTGCTACTCAAAGTCCGGTCTGCAGACCAGTATTACATAAATCATCTGGGGATCTTGTTACAGTGCAGATTTGGATTCATTAGGCATGGGGTGGGGCAAAGAGTCTGCATTTCTAACAAGCTTCTAGGTGATGCCAGGTGAGTGAGGCTTCTCTCCCAGTTTCTACCCCTGGACTCTACGTGGGCTTTGATCCTCATTAACTTTGACTGCACCAAGCCTTCAAATCTCAGGGTCAAGAATATTGACTACGGAAACCCTCCCACCTAGCCCAGACCTGCAGGGGACTATTTAAGGTACTGTGTGAGACCCTGTAGGTTGAGAAGTTTATGATTAATTTTGTAGCATTGGAAAATTGTAGGAAGTCACTACAGACTATCAAGCAGCCACATCTCTGATATGACAAAATGACAAGCTACCACCCCTGTTAACTGCCCTGCCCACTCTCTGAATATGTGTTTCTACCAGTATCAATATGATGGTTGTCAAACATCTGGCTGCTGAAAGAATGGTCATGAATGGAAGAAAACTTTTGCCACTATCTCTTTGTTTAGTTTTCAGTACCCCAGCCAATCCCAGAAAACAATACACTGCATCTTCACTTCTTGAGAAGTTCTTGTGACCTCTATCCTCAAACAGGATGAGGGTCTGTTCCTCTTTAAAACTACCTTTACCTGGAAGAATTAATTATTCACTGGAATCTAAGATCTGACTATAGTCACCATATTACTTATTATTTTATGTTCAACAGGCTATCTATAAAGTCTGGGGACATACATGATATTACCTTATCAGTTTTATATATTGGCGACATTCTTGACATGCATATATTATTAGGCATATATGCTTATGTTTCCAGACTTTATGGACAAGCCATATTTTTTCATGCAAATTCTCTTGTGGACTGTATATCACTAGAGTTCAGGGCTTTGTCTAACTTATTTTTCTATTCTCAGCATCTAGCACCGCTCTTGGCATATTTTTGAAGTCCAGTATAGGTTGCTAACTTTGAAAAAAAATTATAAAATTATAAATTTAGAATAGGAAACTTTATTTTTTAATAAAAAGGTTACATCCTTCAAAGTGGTCATCCTGCAGGCTGAGAAGCACAGGCCCTTCAAACGAGATTGGGTAGGAGCTTTATGCTGAGTGCATTGGCTAAACATACATATTCAACAGGTTACGAGAGGAGGTGAATATTCATGAAGGTGGTCCGGACGCATGTGTATTGAACAAACATGCATGTTACATATGACCCACGTTCATATATAGAACAAAGAAAGAAAGAGAAAGAAAGAAGGAAGGAAGGAAGGAAGGAAGAAAGGAAGGAGGGAGGGAGGGAGGGAGAGAAAGAAGAAAGAGAGAAAGACAGAAAAAGAAAGAAAGAAAGAAAAGAGAAAGAAAGAGAAAGAAAGAAAGAAAGAAGAAAGTTCACCTTGGAGTAGGGACAATATTTAAATGTATTATAATTAGTCCCTATCCATCTAAAGGTCTTTTCAGGACACAAGGAATTCCAGTCAGTGCACAGCCTCTGTAAACCAACCAGAGCCAGTCCATGGTCAGTGGTCTTCTTATCAGAAGAAAGTTACTGAAATCAGTCACTTGTCCAATCAAAGCTATAATTATGGCAGGTAAAACAGTGAGGTCAGTGAGTGTATGGTGGTGAGCTGAAAATTGTCTTAATATTGCTTCTTTCAAGACCAGTGCTTGTTTAGATGCTAAAGAAAAGCCTTGTGGCATGGTTAGAACACAGTTTATTCTTTAGTGCAGGCATGTGACTTAACTCTTGCATGGCATGGCCTTAGGTCCTGTTTATAATTTGATAGTCTATTGTCATAAAGAGTCTGTTCTGTCAGTCTTGTGGTCTCTATTTTAACATTAATGCTGGTCAGTTATGTCTAAACTGCAAAAAGGAGAGGGGTTAACAGAGTATGTTTGACCTCCTGTCCCATCATGGGTCATGGCTGGAAACTCAGTTTTTAGGTTTTTCTGGAATCCCTTGGCCAAGAGGGGGCCTGTTCAGATGGTGGGGGCTTAGGATTTTATTTTTTGTTTACAAGGTCATCAAAATGAAATGTAAGTTGATTGCTTTTAATGATGCCTTTGTCAATAGATTCAACTGAAGAAATGATGGGGATACTGAACACAGATCCTACCAAGGGTCACTTCACATTTAAGTGCGGAAGTAGCCTTCCCATAGTCTTAGGCAGCAAACTCCAGGCTCTTAACTCCAGAAGCAACCTCGGTGTTAGGTCTTTTTTGTGGCAGATGGATAGAGGTCTCTTCAGGATAGTTGTAAAGGGTAGGCTACAGAGATGCTTGAAATATGAGACATTGCCCTGTAGTCAAAATTCCAACATTGAAGTTAGAAGCCTAAGGCCTTTTACCCAGAGATGCCAAAAAAAGGATATAATCCCAGAAGGTCAGGCTGTCCCAATCCTTGTATATGGATATACGTGAGAGGGTGTAGTCTCCCTCGCTGTCATTCACAACCATTCACTTGGACAGGAAAAGCCTCTGTGAACATGTTAAAATAAAACTTCCCCCAGGCTAACCAATTGCAGCAGAAATGCCTGTGGGTAACCAAACCCACAGTCACATAACTAGTAAAATGATTCAGTAAAATTAGTCAGTCTCTCTTTCCATTTCCACACCGAGGCAGAAGAGAACAGCCACCTGTGGGCTGTTAAGTCAGCACAGCATTTGTGTAGCCAGAAAAAAATGCAAACACAGGGAATTCTCCTCCTTCCAGGAGTGCCCTTGTAGGTTGTACTTATCCTGCTGAGCTACGTCCAATTGCATCTCTAGGCAGGACAGCTGCAATTCCCAAGAATCTGAGTACTAACAAGTCCTTGAATCACCTGATTATGAAACTCATAAAGTGCTGAGATAGTGTAGGGATGGGTTTTTAAATTCTATTGTACGAGTAACGTATGCTCAATGTAGAACAATTAAATACAAATAAGAAAAGAATCGAAGAAGAAAATAAAACCACCTGAAACAAAAGCTCAATTAACATTTTGGTGTATATCCTTTAAGATCTTATGCATTATGTGTATATGTATGTATGTAACATATACACAAATAATTGTATATATAAAATCATATTTATATCAAGTGTGAGATCATGTTATACATAGTTTTACATCTGCTGTTTTCATTCCACAATTATATATCATTAAAGTCATTCCATGACAGTTAATAATATTTCATTAAATAATTGTTACAGTTGCTTAGGATTCTGTATCTGTGTAAATAACTGATTCATTCTTATTAGACATGTAAGTTATTTTTAAAAATTTATTATAAACAAAGCTGTGATAAATATTTTTTTAGCTACATCTTTCCACATGTATTTAAATATTACCTTTAAATGAATTATTAAAGTAGAACTGTGAGGTCAAGAGACAAGAAGGGTCCTGCCAAAAAGTCCTCCAGAAAGTGGGTGCAAGTTCACTCCTATCGAATTATTTGAGAGTCCCTGTATTTCCCCACAATACATTCTCCCAGATAATCATTTAAAAATCTTTAAATTTAAAAGTGAATGTATCTTATTTTAATTTTAATTGTTTTGATTACTGGTGAGGTTATTATTGTATTTTTTTTTGCCATTTGAATTTCCTTGTGAAATTTCTGTTCATGACTTTGGCCTGTTTATTCTTCATGGTATTATTGTTTTCTTACAGAAGTGTAAAAATTATACTTTAAAGCCAACAATCCTTTGAAATAGTTATTGAACATGTTTTCCTATTAATCTTTAGTTTTTAAACTTCGTTAATGATGTTTTCCGTACTATAGAAGCACCGCTTTTTAACGTGGCAAATCTATCAATTTTATTCACATAGTTTCTGCCTTTGGTATTTTAACTTAGGTAACAGAGTTCCTGCTGCAACTGAAAAACTAAAGCTAGAAAAACCACCATTTTCAAAGTCAGGTATTGCCTTATTTGAAGAGACTCTCCTAGGTAGTGACTAGCTATGGAAATGCGACTAAAATATTCTTCACTGTTTACAGTTCAGGGCCAAGCAAGTCCTATTACAGGGAAGTAAACTGGTAAGTGCAACCAAGTGACAGGAAGTTGCCAAGACAAAAATACTCAAGAAGAAAATCTCTGCATAGCATCTGGGCTTATAAACTGTGAAAGCAGCCTAATAGTATACTTCTAAATGTTTAGCTGCTGGCTTTTTTGTGAAAAATGGATGCATATTTTTATGTATATAAGCTTATTATAAATTTTATTGACATAATGTTTACATAGCACAAAATTATAAATAATAACAGAATATACAATAGAATTCTGTTATCAGTTTTTGTTAAACTCTTGTATAGCCAACCTGTGGTTGCAACTGATGGGTGAATATAACTCCAGTATGAATATTGATTGGTATTGTTTAGTGAGTAAGACAAAAGTGAAACAACAAAAATATTCCTCAGAACTTTGGTTTGTCAATTACCCAAGCCACTTAGGCATTGAATCAAATAATAGTTTTCAAATACTGAAATAATAGTTTCTCAATTTTTGGTGCTATTCACAATACAATGACCAGAGACACAATGCAGTTTTAATCTGCATTATAAACACTTTCTCCATCACTTCCTCGTCAACAAAGCAATAAATTAAGCCTCTATTTGTACTATTAGCTCATTTCTGCGGTGTAAATATTCCCACAATGGCTGATTTCAAGATGCCAACCTGCTGTCATGGAATGTGAGTTTGTAAGAGATGCAAACCCCAAGAGCATAGATCATAGTGGATGTAAGAAGTGATGAGTTTAGAATATCCATTGTCTCTGATTTTAATATCATTTAGTTCTAAATGTATGTACTTTAATTTTTAATAACAGCTATGCTTGACCACTAGCTTGAAAGATTGCTGAATATCTAATAATTGGCTTTTATAGGCCATAGACGTCAGTTGCAGCATCCCACACATGGAAACTCCATGTTCAATTTCAAGATTTTTGTTTCACAATTAATGTAAAACAATTTTTTCTCCAACTTTGTTAGTCCTGAAGCCTTCAGAAAAGTTACATTGTTACTAAAGAGAACTGAGGGAAGATTCTGTGATCGAGCTTGGAGTTCAGTAATAGAGTGTATGCAATAGCTCCCTAAAGTTGCTAATTTAGAGACATCAAGAGGTGACCTCCTGAAAAAGAGAGTAGGACTGTGGAGCAAGACCCCATGAGGAAGTGAGCTCAGATTTATGGATTGCATAATCATTCCCAGGAAATACCCATGATAGCCTGTAATGAGCTTGCTTTCCCTGCTATCCAACAGCAAATGAAGCTTAGGACCCTTCCCCGAGAATTTGACTTTAAAAAGGAAATATGTATTTCCATGAACAGAAACTCATAACTTTAAATAACTTTATTGAGGCATCATTTACATACAATAAACTGCACATGTTTAAAGTGTACAATTTGTTTTTTGGTTCCATATGAACTTCAAAGTAGTTTTTTCCAATTCTGTGAAGAAAGTCATTGGTAGCTTGATGCAGATGGCATTGAATCTATAAATTACCTTGGGCAGTATGGCCATTTTCACGATATTGATTCTTCCTATCCATGAGCATCGAATGTTCTTCCATTTGTTTGTGTCCTCTTTTATTTAGTTGAGCAGTGGTTTGTAGTTCTCCTTGAAGAGGTCCTTCACATCCCTTGTAAGTTGGATTCCTAGGTATTTTATTCTCTTTGAAGCAATTGTGAATGGGAGTTCACTCATGATTTGGCTCTCTGTTTGTCTGTTATTGGTGTATAAGAATGCTTGTGATTTTTGCACATTTATTTTGTATCCTGAGACTTTGCTGAAGTTGCTTATCAGCATAAGGAGACTTTGGACTGAGATGATGGGGTTTTCTAGCTATGCAATCATGTCATCTGCAAACAGGGACAATTTGACTTCCTCTTTTCCTAATTGAATACCTTTTATTTCCTTCTCCTGCTGAATTGCCCTGGCCAGAACTTCCAACACTATGTTGAATAGGAGTGGTGAGAGAGGGCATCCATGTCTTGTGCTAGTTTTCAAAGGGAATGTTTCCTGTTTTTGCCCATTCAGTATGATATTGGCTATGGGTTTGTCATAAATAGTTCTTATTATTTTGAGATATAAAAAAGAGCCCACATTGCCAAGTCAATCCTAAGCCAAAAGAACAAAGCTGGAGGCATCACGCTACCTTACTTCAAACTATACTACAAGGCTACAGTAACCAAAACAGCATGGTACTGGTACCAGAACAGAGATACAGACCAGTGGAACAGAACAGAGCCCTCAGAAATAATACCACACATCTACAACCATCTGATCTTTGACAAACTTGACAAAAACAAGAAATGGGGAAAGGATTCCCTATTTAACAAATGGTGCTGGGAAAACTGGCTAGACATCTGTAGAAAGCTGAAACTGGATCCCTTCCTTACACCTTATACAAAAATTAATTCACGGTGGATTAAAGACTTAAATGTTAGACCTAAAACCATAAAAGCCCTAGAAGAAAACCTAGGCAATACCATTCAGGACATAGGCATGGGCAAGGACTTCATGTCTAAAACACCAAAAGCAATGGCAACAAAAGCCAAAATTGACAAATGGGATCTAATTAAACTAAAGAGCTTCTGCACAGCAAAAGACACTACCATCAGAGTGAACAGGCAACCTACAGAATGGGAGAAAATTTCTGCAATCTACTTATCTGACAAAGGGCTAATATCCAGAATCTACAAAGATCTCAAACAAATTTACAAGAAAAAACAACCCCATCAACAAGTGGGTGAAGGATATGAACAGACACTCCTCAAAAGAAGACATTTATGCAGCCAACAGACACAGGAAAAAATGCTCATCATCACTGGCCATCAGAGAAATGCAAATCAAAACCACAATGAGATACCATCTCACACCAGTTAGAATGGTGATCATTAAAAAGTCAGGAAACAACAGGTGCTGGAGAGGATGTGGAGAAATAGGAACACTTTTACACTGTTGGTGGGACTGCAAACTAGTTCAACCATTGTGGAAGACAGTGTGGCGATTCCTCAAGGATCTAGAACTAGAAATACCATTTGACCCAGCCATCCCATTACTGGGTATATACCCAAAGGATTATAAATCATGCTGCTATAAAGACACATGCACACGTATGTTTATTGCGGCACTATTCACAATAGCAAAGACTTGGAACCCACCCAAATGTCCAACAATGATAGACTGGATTAAGAAAATGTGGCACATATACACCATGGAATACTATGCAGCCATAAAAAAGGATGAGTTCATGTCCTTTGTAGAGACACGGATGAAGCTGGAAACCATCGTTCTCAGCAAACTATTGCAAGGACAAAAAACCAAACACTGCATGTTTTCACTCATAGGTGGGAATTGAACAATGAGAACACTTGGACACAGGAAGGGGAACATCACACACTGGGGCCTGTTGTGGGGTGGGGGGAGGAGGGAGGGATAGCATTAGGAAATATACCTAATGTAAATGACAAGTTAATGGGTGCAGCACACAAACATGGCACATGTATACATATGTAACAAACCTGCACGTTGTGCACATGTACCCTAGAACTTAAAGTATAATAAATATATATATATATAAAATAAAGTGTACAATTTGTTGAGTTTTGAGATATGTGTACATCCATTAACTATCACCACAGTCAACATAATGACCATTTCCATCAATCCCCAAAGTCTCTTCAAACTCCTTTGGAATTCCACCCTCCTGCCCCTTCCATATTTGCCAGCCCCCATCCTTAGACAAACACTGATCTATTTTCTGACAATATAGATCAGTTTGCATTTTCTAGAATTTTGCATAAATAAGATTACACATTATGTACTCTTTTGTGTCAGTCTTTTACTCAGCATATTTATTTTGAAATTCATCTATTTTGCCACATACATACATCAATAGCTTTATTTTTTGGAATAGTATTTCAAATAGTATAGACATAACACAATTATTGTTTACCCATTTACCTATTGATGAACATTTGGGGTGATTCCAACTTTCATATTACAAATAAAGCTGAGATGAAGTTTGATGACAAATGCTTAGTGAAGATACACTTACATTTTGCTTAGGTGAATAAATACCTAGCAGTGGAATGTCCGAGTTAGGCTATAGGTCTACATTTAACTATTTAACGTTTAAGAAACTGAAAACTATTTTCCAAAAAAGTTTGACAATTTTACAGTCCCATCAGCAGTGTATGAAAGTTTCAGTTGTTCCACATCCTTGTCAACGTTAGTATGGTCAATCGTTTTAATTTTAGCTGTTGTAATAGGTATGTAGTGGTGCTGCATTTTCATCTGGATCTACATTTTTCTTATGTCTAACAAGGGTAAGTTTCCTTTTCTGTGCTTATTTGCCAATCATACATCTTCTCTGAGTTATCTGTTCAAGTATTTCCCCCATTTTTGTCTTTGTTTATATAGTTTTTACTTTTAGGAATACAGTAGTCCCCTTTCCATGGTTTCAGTTACCTGCCGTCAACTGTGGTCTGAAATATTAAGTAGAAAACTCCAGAAATAAACAATTTGTAGGTTTTCAATTGTGCACCATTCTGAGCAGCATGTTCTGCTCTGTCCCACATGGCATGTGAATCATCCCTTTGTCCAGCATATTCACTGTGTAAAACTACACGCACTTAGTCATTTAGTAGAAGTCTTGGTTATCAGATAGAAAAACCATAGTATATATTAGGTTCGGTACTATCTCCTATTTTAGGCATCCACTGGGGGTGCTGAAACATATCCCCCATGGAAAATGGGAACTACTATATATATTCTAGATACAAGTTTGGTATCAGATATGCAATTTGAAACTATCTTCTCACAGTCTGATTCTTGTTTTTCTACTTCCTTATCTATGTCTTTCAGAAAGTAGAAGTCCTTAAGTCTAATTTATTGTTGTTGTTATTGTTTTATGGATTGTACTTTTGGTGTGATAACTAAGAAATCTTTGCCTTACCCAAGATAATAAAGATTTCCTCATGTGCTTTCTTCTAGCTTTATAGGTTTAAATTTTACCTAAAGAGATTTCAATGTTTGTTATTGTTAGCATATAGATACATATTGATTGATATAGTTGTTTAGGTTTTATGGTTAGCTCTGTGATCCATTTTGAGTTAATTTTTATATATGGTGTGAGGTATGGCTCTACATTCATTTTTGTATATGGATATCCAGTTCTTCCTACAGCTTTTCTTGAAAAGACTATTCTTTTGTAACTATATTACTTTTGCATCTTTGTCAAAAATCAGTTGCCTGTATACATATGGTTCTATTACTGGAATCTGTTATATTCCATTGATTTATGAGGAGTCCAGCTCCAGGCCAAAATTCTGTGTGTGAGCCCTTAGGCCCAGTCATAGGCAATTACAAGGCTTTGACTGGCAGGCCTTATGGGCGAACTTGTCCTCCCCTCACCAGACTTAGTGCACAGGAACTTTATTCCAGTCTGAACGGAATTTCAGTCAAAGACATAGGCCCTTCTGGGCCTGTCATGTTCATGTGCATATCGACATTATTCCTGGCACCTCCATTTAGAGGCTTCTTTATCAGGACAAAGCTGAAGCACTTTCTACTCTACTTCATGAAAACCTACTTTATATGGCTGTCCGAGCTGAGGGACTGCTTCTCACTCTGCTCATCACTTTCCCACTCCAATCTCTCCTCGTCATCCAATCTTAGTAGTCCAGGTTCACAAAAAGCAGGAGCCTTTTGTTTAGACTCTTCAGCAGTGAGAAAATTTCTCTCATTTGTGTTGTACATCCTCTCACTCTTGTCAATACCATTCTGTGAGGAAAAATAAAACACTAGGACTTAGCACATGTCTCTTTTACTTTGTCCTGGAAAGTGAATAAAAGCTTGATTGCAAATTTGCTACTTTAAGTTTGGCTCATTGTTCTTCTTTTTTTTTTTTTTTCCAAGATGGAGTCTTTGTCACCCAGGCTGGAGTACAATCTTGGCTCACTGCACTGCAACCTCTGCCTCTCAAGCTCAAGCAATTCTCATCCCTCAGACTTCCGAGTAGCTGGGATTACAGGAGTGTGCCACCATACCTGGCTAATTTTTGTATTTTTAGTAGAGATGGGGTTTAGCCATGTTGTCCAGGCTGGTCTTGAACTCCTAGCTTCATGTGATCTGCCCACATCAGCCTCCTAAAGTGCTTGGATGACAGGCTTGAGCCACCATGCCTGGCCTAAGTTTGGCTCATTCTTCTAATTGACCATCTTGGCAACTGGAAGTTTCACAATCTAGTAATCTATTTTCTGTTAATGCCACATGCTTTTAATTGCAATAGCATTATAATAACTCTTGATATGAAATGGTGTTAGTCTTCCAACTTTGTTCTTTTACAAAGCAATTTTGCATATTCTAAGTCCTATAAACTTGTACATAAATTTTAGAATGTATTTTTCAATTTGTACAAAAATTCTTGTTAGGCTTGTGATTGGAATCCATAGATCAATCTGAGCAGAACTGTCCAAATATATATTAACAATATTAAGTATTTTATAATTTTTAAGCTATAATTTTCTTATTTTCAATGTATTTGTCTACTATTAGTATATATGTATATGTATGTATGTACAGATTTCTCTATAATTATGTATCCTGCAATATGGTTAAACACATTAATTCTAGTAGCTTTTGGTGGATTTCATAAAATTTTCTCAATAAAGATAGTTTTACTTCTTTTTTTCCCATCTGGATGATTTTATCTTATTGATTTATTGATTGATTGATTGCCTGAATGCACTGGCCAGAACTTTCAGTGCAATGTTGAACAGAAGTGATGGCAGTGGCAGGCAGTCTGGTGTGGCAGCTGCCCTATTGCTGGCAGCTGCAAGCAGGGTACTGGGAGAAGGTGGAAAACCTCCCCACCAACTTCCACAGCCTGCAACCCTGGAGGCTCCCCCGATGGGGCCCAGCCAGTCCCATGGAGCTCTGATCTGCCCCTGAGGGGAGGAGCCATAGGGAAAGCTCAGGAGAATGTCAGGCCTGCTCTGGATGCTGGCCCAGGCCTAGCAAGGACCTGGAGTGCCCCAGGCTGCAAGGGGGCATGGCAGGGTGCCATGCTCCATGGAGCCACCAGAAACCAGGGAAAAGTGGAAGCCCTGCCTCTTCCACGTTGTCAAGGTGGGAGCTCCCCCGGTGCAATTTCAGATGCCCCAGGTGCAACTGCAGCTGCCCAAGCTGCGGCTGCAACCCGGGCACCCCTCTGCTCTTGGGAGCTGGGAGTAGGCAGGAGCCCTGCCCTCCTGTACAGGGCTGCAGCCAGTGGAGTCATGGCTGCAGATCCTAAGCAGGTAGGAGTCCCCCCATCCCCCACAGATGCAGCTGCCCAAACCAGGGCTGCACACCCAGGCATCCCTGCACTCTTTGGGGGCCTAGGAATGGCCCCCTTGACCTTGCAGGCTCAGAGGTGCCTGCTCCCACTGCCTGGCCTCTCTTTGTTCCTAGTTCCCTTTTTGATCTCCGAGTGGGGTTGGGGCAGGCCTCTAGCACTGTCACAACCCAGACCATGTATGCAAGCTCAGGGTAGTGCTGATATGCCAGCCCTCTGCCGCCTTGGCCTCCTCTGATCTTTGGGCACCAAGGAGTGCCAGAGGAGAAACTGAAGGGGGGCTGAGGGCAGTTGGGCACGGGCTTGCAGGTGCCCCTTGGTGCCAGAAGCCTGCTGCCATGGATGGCTGCGGGAAGCAGACAGGCTCCTGGGCAGAAGGGAGCAGGTCCCCAAGGAAGCCAAACCTTCAGGCCAGGCAGCCCTGAAGGCTGATAGCTGGGATGCCAGACCCATGGACCAGAATGGGGACTTATGGTGCCTTTTTCCGGGCTGCCCATGGACCAATCAGTAGGCACTTCCTCCCCTCTGAAGTCTGTAAAAGCCCCAGGCTCAGCCAGAACAGGGCACAGGATGGAGAGAGGATGGCCAGCTGTAGAGAGGAGCTACCCTCTCTGCTGATAGCAGGAGACAATCAGAGAACCAGCTACAGAGAGGAGCTACCCTCTCTGCTGAGAGCTTCAGAGACCTGCAGAGATGTCAGAACAACCTGACTGCAGAGAGGAGCCACCCTCTCCCGGGCCTGCTCTCTGCTGAGAGTTGCAGAGACAACAAGAGGATGGGAGGACATGTTGAGGATTGAAGATCCACACACTCCAGGGCCTCCTCTCTGCTGAAAGCTGAACACTTGAGAGGATGACATTTGAGGGGAGACCTGTGGGTCTCCTCTGAGCTGTTCTAACACTAAATAAAGCTTCTCTTTATCTTGCTCATCCTCCACTTGTCTGCATACCACATTCTTCCTGGATGCAGGACAAGAGCTCGGACAAAGGTGCCAGAAGCCACAGATGTTTCTGACCAGAAAAACGACACCCCAAAGATGCTGTAACAGAAGTGGTGAAAGCAGAGATCCTTGCCTTCTTCTTAATATTAGAGGGAAACCACTCAGTTCTTCATTATTAAATGTGATATTAGCTACAAGTTTTTCACAGATGTCCTTTTTCGGTTTCTCTTCTATTCCTAAAACGCTGAGTAGTTTTAATCAGTAATCAGTGTTGGCTTGCTTTCTCTGCATCTATTAAGATGATCATTTAGCTTTTCTCTTTTAGTTTGTTAATATGTTGAATTATGTTAGTTGATACGTGAATAATAAACAGAACTTTTCTTTCTGCAATGTAAATCCCACTTGGTCACAGTGAATTTTCCTTCTATGGTGTTGAGTATGACTGGAAAAATATTGCTTACAATTTTTCACTAGAAATTCAATTTCACATATATATTTAGATTATGTATTTCTTCTTGAGTGAGCTTTAGAAGTTTATGTTTTTCAAGAAATTTGTCCATTCTAAAGAGTTGAATTTATTGGCATAAGTTGTTCGTATATTTTATTATTATCGTTTTAGTGTCTATTTGCCAAATGTGTAGTGATGTTATCACTCTCATTTCTGATATTGGAAATTTGTGTTTGTTCTTTGTTTGGTTGGGTTTTTTTGTCAGTCTAGCTAGAGATTTATCAATTTCACTGATCTTCTCTAAGAACCAGCTTTTAGTTTCATTAATTTCTCCCTTGTTTTTCTGATTTTTGTTTCATTGCTTTCTGCTCTGATCTTTATTAACTCCTCCTTTCTTACTTTCAGTTTAATTTATTCTTCTCTTTAAAGTTCCTTTAAGTTATGGCTGAAGTCAGTGATTTGATACCTTCCTTTTTTTCATAGGCATTTATGCTATAAGTCTACCACCACCACCACCCTAAGATACGTTTAGTGGCATCCTACATATTTTGATATGTCGTAATTCCATTTTATTCAGTCAAAATATCTTGTAATTTTTCTTTTGATTTCTTCTTTAACCCATGGGTTATTTAGAAGTGTGTTATTTAGTTTTCATATATTTTGGTGTTTTCCAAAGTTCCTTCTGTTATTGATTTATAACTGATTTCCGTATGATCAAAGAGAACACTTTATGTGACTTAAAGTATTTAAATTTATTGATCTTTATTTTATAGCTCAGAATATGTTTGATAGCTATTGCTTGAATGTGTCTCTTCCAAAATTTAGGTGTTTGAACTCAATGGCCAGTTTGATGGCATTAAGATGTGGGGCCTTTAAGAAGAGATTAGGTCTAAGGCATTCTCACCTGGTGAATGGAATTAGGTGTCCCCATAAAGGGGTTTGAAAGAGTTGATCCCCTCTTGTCTTCCCATTTTCTACACTGTGAAGATACAGTGTTTCTCCTTTTTTGGAGGATGCAGCTCCTACTACACACAAAATGTCTGCATCTTGATCTTAGATTTTCAGTCTCAAGAACTGTGAGAAACAAATGTCTAGTGTTTATAAATACCCAGTTTCAGGTATTATCTTAGAGTAGCAGCAAAGGACTATAACATTTATCTGGGTAAATGCTGCATGAATGCTTGAAAAGAAATGTCTTCTGCTGTTGTGTGGAGTGTTCTAGAAAGGTAATTTAAATCAAGTTTGTTGATAGTGTTATTGTTCAAAGATTCTATATCTCTATTAATTATATATCTCCTTGTATTAATTATTGAGAGAAGGATATTGAAATATTTTACTTTAGTTCTTAATTTGTCTAGTCTCTTTGTAGTACGATTGGGTTTTGCTTCATCTTTTTTGAAGGTTTGATATTAGGTGCATAGACATTTAGGATTGTAACATCCTCTTGGTTTACTCTGTTATCATTATGAATGGCTTTCTTTGTCCTAGGTAATATTCATTGGTCAGAAATGTACTTAGTCTGATACTAAAATAGTGATACCAGTTGTCTTTTGAATAGTTTTAGTATTGTATATCTTTTCCTACACTTATGCCTAAATTAGTGTCTTAAATTCAGTTTTGAGTAGGCAGCATATAGTTGTATCTTGCTTAATATTCAATATTATAATCACTGACTTAAAATCAGTGTTTAATTAAATTAATGTACTTATCGATACGGGTAGGCTTAAATCTACTAAACTTGCTAGTTGTTATTTTTCCATAGCGGTTCTTTGTTCTTTTTTCTCTCCTCTTTTGGATTGTCTATTTTTTCTCTCTCACTTTTTTTTCTTTTGCTTACCAGCTACAATTATGTGCTGTGTTCTGTTAATGGCTCCTTTAACTTACTATTTTTTTACCTTCAAGTGATATTATACTACTTGACTTATAATATAAAACCTCACAAAAGTGTTCTATCTGTGCTATTGTGAAAATCCCTCTTCTGGGCTAATGTTTTCATGCATTTTATTAATACTTCTATATATTATCAGCTTCACAATACATTTTTAACTAATTTTGCCTTAAATAGTTTATCTTTTAAACATATTAAAATAAGATATAATAATTTTTGTTTACCTACTTGGTTACTATTGCTGATATGCTTCACTTATTTTTATAAATGTAGGTTTCATGTGTTACATTGTTTTCCTTCAACATTTCTTATAGTTTAGGTATCTGGTGATGAATGCTTTCAGATTTTACAGCTGTGAAATCGTCTTTGTTTTTCATTTTTTTTCAAAAAATATTTTCTATGGATAAAGAATTATGAGATACCAGGGGATTTCCTTCTTTTTATTACTTTAGAGGCATTTCTCCAGTGTTTTCAACTTGCATCATTTCTAATAAGAAATCTGTTGTTATCCATATTTTTTTCCTACTCCATAATATGCCTTTTTTCTCTGATTGTTCTATTTAAACATTTTCCTATTAATCACTAGTTGTAAGTAATGTGATTATGATGTGCTTCGGTCTGTTTCTGTTCACATATCTTGTACTTTGAGTTTATTGAACTTCTTGGGATTGTGAGGATATATTTTTTTCCTTTTAGTCTTTTTTTACCCTGTATTTCCTCTTGTATAATTTTTATTGCAATTTCTTCAAGTTCCCTAATTTTTTTTCCTGAAATGTATAATCTACTCTTCATCCTATCTAGTGTAGTTTTCATTTTAGACATTGCATTTTTCATTTCTAGAAGTTCAGATTGCATCATTTTATATCATTCATATTTCTATTAACATGTTCTACATTTCCTCTAGCTTTTAAAACATATCGAATGGAGCAATAATTATTTTAATATTTTTGTGTGATAATTCTATTATCTGTGCCATTTCTCCGTCAGTTTTGATTGATTGATTTTCCTCCTTATGATAAGCTGTATTTTCCTGCATCTTTAATTTTCTGGTAATTTTTAATTATAAATTTTACCTTATGGGTACTGGATAGTTTTGAATACCTTGGCTTTGTTCTGGTGTACAGTTAGGTTACTAGAATGCAATTTCATCCCCTTGGATTTTTACTATTAAGCTTCGTTAGGTGAGACCAACACAGCAGTTAGTCTAAGGTTAATTATTTTCCACTAAAGAGACAAGACTATTCTTGGTTGTCTGATATCCCTCTGAATTATGAGGATTTCCTTTCTGTCTGCTGATAACATATACTAACACTGTGTAAGCAATAATTACTTTTCTCTCAAATACTTTTAGGTCCCTCATCCCCCACTTCAAGAAGTTTCTTTACATGCATGGGCTAGTCAGTGCTCTGATGAATGCTTGAGGGGAACCACCTGAACATATCCATAGTTCTCTCCATGTAGCCCTCTTTCTCTCTGGTATTCTGCCCTGTGAACTTGAGCTTCATTGGCTTCCCCAGATTCCCAGTTTCATCTGCTCAACTCAGGGAGACCTCTGAGCTCTGATTGGATTCACCTTTCCTGCAATCCAGCCTTGAAATTCTTTCAAGGAAGTAAGCTAGGGCAATTATAGGGCTCCCTCTTCTATTTCCTGTCTCTTAGGGATCATTGTCTTTCATTTCCCTATGTCCAATGTCTTCAGTACCACTGTTTATACGTATTTTGACTGTTTTTTTGTTGTTATTTCAGGTGTGATAGGAAGTCCAGACCTTGTCATTCCACTTTCACCAGATGCAAAAACCTAGAAATAATTTTAGTGTCATAAAATATATCAATATATTACTTTATACTTTTTGTCTTATTTCATATTTCTTCCTTATTTTGTTCTACATATTTTAAAGTGCTACCATTAAAATTTAAGTTATTAATTGGCCTAGGAAATATTTTATATATAATATAAAGTAGGAACTCAAAATCAGTTTTTAACATTTTCTCTCACAGTAAACTTAGTAACCTCTGTTGAATGAAGACTAATTTCCTCAGTGATATGCAAAGACATTTCTGTCACATACCAGGTTCTGATATGTAAATATCTGGTTTTAGAATTCCTAGGTTGCTTCATTGGTTTTTTTTTCTATTATTGATATTATTTGGTATGCATTAAATATTTAAGTTTAGAATCATGTCTTAGTCTGTTGAGGCTGCTGTAACAAAATATCATAAACTGTGTTGCTTATAAAAACCAGAAATTTATTTCTCACATTTCTGGAGGCTGTGAAGTCCAAGGTTAAGGTGCTGGCAGATTCAGTGTCTAGCAAGGGCCTGTTCTCCTAGATGACACCTTCTTGCTTCATTCTCATATGGTTGAAGGTCAAGCTGTCTCAGGCCTCTTTTATAAAGGAATTAATGCCACTCATGAGAGCTCCATCTCTATGACATAATCACCTTCTGAAGGTCTCACCTCTAAATACCATATTGGGGATTAGGTTTCAATGTATGGATTATAAAGGATACAAACATTTAGATCATAGCAAATCTTAGAGTACGGTAATGTATTTAGTGTGTTTAGTGTATCACACCTGAAACAACAACAACAAAAACAGTCAAAATATATAGAAACAGTGGCACTGAAGACACTGGACATGGGGAAATGAAAGACAATGATCCCTGAGACGCAGGAAGGGGGAGCCCTCTAATTACCCTAGCTTACTTCCTTGAGAGAATTTCAGTGCAGGATTGCAGTAGTGCAATACATAGGTAATGTATTCATTTTCTGTTCATTTGCATAGGCTTTATATTGTAAAAACTTTCTTGAATTACTTATACCATACTTGCCAATGGTCTTCATCTCTTTGTGAATTTGTTTCTGAACATCTTGAATTTACTTCCCCTAATAGTAAATTTCTTAAAGGAAAGAATAGAGAAATTTTTTTGTTGATCTCTTGCTTAGTTAATGTTATCTAACGTTTTCTATCACATAGGGTTCAGATTACTCTCAATGAAGTTCAAGAGGCCCAGTAGACCTTATTTGTTAATATTTCAATTATTACCTTCTTCCATACATCTATAAGTTCTGGTGTGCTTGATCTTGTTCTACTTGAAAGATCAATTTCCCCATAGAACTGATGTTTACAGTTGATTAGATAAGCATAAAGTTGACCCTCCTGGTCATAAAACTTGAAACTTACACTTGACATTTGTCTTATCTGAGTACCTTTCCAGAAAACTGACCAACAGGAAATCCCAGATAATATCAAGAAACTGAAACTTACCAGATCACTGCATCTAGACAGTGAGATGCTAGACCCTTCATCAGTCATGATTACCTAACCAGCCAACCTCTTCCTGTTGACCAATGCCTTTTTCTTTCCCCTCCCTAATTCCTATTTTCCCCACATGTAGCTACAGTGTTTCCCCTCTATATAAATCTCAATTTTAGTCAGTTGGGGGAGACTGATTTGGGACTTATCTCCTGTCCTTTGGCTGACATCACCGGAATATAGCCTTTCTTCCCTAGCAATACTCATTGTCTCTGATTGACTTTCTATGTGGTGAGCCATGAAACCGAGCCATGAAACCTAGACTGAACCCCTGGCATTTTGGTAACAAATGTGTTGCTTGTGGCTCAGCTGACATGGAATACAATTTTTGGAAGCCCTCCTAGTAGCTACCTGATCATTTTCAGCTGAAGGTAGGTTTTGGTTTATTTCTCTATTTGGCCCAGCTACTGCCATCCCCAGCCAGATTCCTAATTGCCCAGGAAAAACAGCCTTTGAAATTTGGCACCTGCTTCAGGACAGGTGACTGTCCTTTGTGAGTCCAGAAAGCAGGAACTTTTCCTCTCAATTTGGGAAATCCTAAAGGAATTTCTGTTTGCAGGTTGAAAAAGTACAACCTACTGAGAGAGAATGCACCCTGGCTTTTTCAGTTTGGACACTCTTGGGGCTTGGCTTGTGGGTTGCTGCTTCATTTGGATTCTAGTTTGTTGATTGTTTGGTTGTGTATGTGTTGATAGGAGGTCAGGGTTCAATCACAGGGTGCAGCCCACTGAGAAAAATTTTTCAAAGTTGGTCTGAATGTAGTTGTGGGCTGATGGAGTGGGGGAAAGTCTGTTATATTACTCTGAATGTGCCTGATCTTGTCTGATCTCAGAAAATCTTTGAATTACAGTGGTAAGTTAACATTGGATTTATTTTCCCCTCAAACAGGAAATTAGGATGGAGTTCCTTGCATCTAGGCTTCTGTGCTGCTGTTCTAAGCAGGGTAGGGCCTGCTTAGTATGTGATATTCCTCTGTGGTGCTATTTGGTCCTAGTGTTCTTTAGAGTCTGGGGAGGTTTGGCCTTTAAATTCAAATTCTCATGGAAACTTCTTTACCCAGAATTTGGGTTCACAGCCTTCTCTGGATTACTTATCAAAGCAAACAAAGTTTAATCATGTGAACATGTTTCTAAACTGGTGAATTTGTATTGCTATCTCATGGCTTTGTATTGCTAACTCATGGAGTTCTAAGGTAAAAGCTATTAGATCTTTGCCTATATGTGTGTATACAAGTTTAGATTTGTTTTGGTATATGTACATTTATTATGTTTTATGTTGTGTCTCCTGAATTGGCTTATAAATAAAAACTGCACTCATAAAATAAGTAAACAAGTCCAAATATTTTTCAAGTTCACATGACTTAAGTAAATCCTTAATAAATAAGCTTTAAAATTATTGGTAAAATAAAAGGAATTTACTAGGGATGTCTTTGGAATTGTCAGGACATATTTTTCTGGTTTTTATATTTGTCTGTGTCAGATATTTTAGGGTCTCAAGGTTTGACATGGAAGGTTATAAAACTATAAACCCAGCCAAAACAAAATAATCTTTATGTAATTTTTTTGACAATTATGACTAATTAAATGTCATTGGTTTAATAAAAACAGCTGAATTTTCTGAGTTTTTGGCAAAACGCCCATGTGTTTAACTTTAAGGTTCTTAAGTTAACCCCTAATATTCATATTCACAGGCTATAAAATGATGGTTACTAAGGAAATAACCTGAAATGATAACTAGCTCTGTTAAATATCTCAGTTTTCAGAAGGAATGTAGATAAACTGCTAAAAACAAAAGAACTGAGTAAAGGTAAATGGGATAAATGCTTGTCAGTGAACTTTTTGTGTAATTTAAAATTTTTAAATTATTTCTAATGCTCATTGAGTGCCTGGATCATTTCTAATTAAGAAATAGTTATAATATGGAAAAGCATGTTTTTAAAAATTGTGGAATGTTCTCAGGTATAAAATACTAATATTTGATTGATCTGGATTTTTTGCTTCCTGGTTTTCACCAAAATTTAAGATTAATAAGAATAATAATTTTAGTTAATATATTTATTTAATTAATAGATAATTCAATTGAATCAATAATTTAAGTTGGTTTAGGAGCTTTTTTCTTTAGGTAATGAGGAAATGTGATATGGGTACAAAGTTTTAATGTTCAAAAATGATTGGCCTTGTCTTTAAAAAAATTATGACTGTAATTTCTCTCAAACTACTTTATATGTGTTTACCATTGTTAAATTTAAGTGACATTTCCTTGAACTAAGCAACAATTTTAAAAAGTGAGATTTTCTAGTGATTTTTGATCCCAAATCTTTTACTACTCTTTGAACTAAGCAACAATTTTAAAAAGTGAGATTTTCTAGTGATTTTTGATCCCAAATCTTTTACTACTCTTGGGTCTTATTGTGTATGCTTGAAAACAAAATATGTACAAGTATTGCGTTGATTTGAAAATTCTAGTTGTGAAAGCTACCTAATCATTTGTCAGTACTATATCTAAAAGTCAGTCTTGTAAATGAGTGATGTCAATCTTTAAAAATAGCTAAAAAGAAATTATTGTGTGCTTATTGTTTCTGTGGTTTTGTTTTCTAATAGTTAAGCGAAAGAGATTATTTATGCTAATACTGAATTTCCACAACTGATATTTGCATTTACCATTGTTTAAATATTGAGAGAAAAGTTAATTGTCTTACTTTAATAAGGATGGCATAGGAGCTATCATATTTTTTATACATTTTGTCATAATTTTGTCACTAGAATGCTAGAATGCTAACTACTAGGCATATGCGAGGAGTAACCTAACCACTTTAATACAATGGCTTGAAGTGCTGCAGACAGTAACTCCTAGACACCAAATCACAATATTTTCATTTTTGACATGTTAGAAAGAATAATGGGACTTTCTGCAGTGTTAATAAACTGAATCA
This sequence comes from Homo sapiens, assembly GCF_000001405.40. Taxonomy (NCBI): domain Eukaryota; kingdom Metazoa; phylum Chordata; class Mammalia; order Primates; family Hominidae; genus Homo; species Homo sapiens. The sequence continues at coordinate 189,545,778 of NC_000003.12, read as the reverse complement.
CTGATTTCTAAATGTTCTTTCTTGTGTTTCTAAACATTTCATTAAACATTGGCTTCTGTTCTTAGCATAAATGCATATACTATAATTTATCATTTATATTATAGATAAAAACATGTTACAGGAAAGTAGTCTATCTGCATATCACAGGTAGAATGTTCCTTTAATATAACTTTATTTCTGTATTGCTTTTAAAGTCTTTTGATTATCACTTTGGTTAAATGAATAACTATTATTTTATAATAACTTGTAGTTTTGTTTTGATCAAATATTTTGAGCCTTTTAACATCCTTGATAAACACGCTATTAACTAATCTTTGTGCTGTTAAGTTACAAGGCTTTGACTCCCGGGTCTGAAAAAGGCACCAACTCCTACTAAAACTTGAGCATTAATGCCAGTAAAAGCTTCATCTTTAGGTCCAAGAGAAGGTGAAAATCAAAATGAACTGCTTTTGTGAGGCACATGGCCAGAAATTAAAACTATTCAATCCCTCTAGGTCCAGAGACTATCACAGAAGAGGTGGGTGCATGAGTTGTAAAGGCCGATTTTGAGGAATAAAATTACTTCAGACTCTCCAGATCAAGGATGGGCACGCAGATACCTAAACATCTGACAAATTGAGGATTTTTTGCCTCTCTAAATTTCTTAACTCAAATGGGTTTAACAAAATGCTTATGTTTTGTATGGCTAATTGCTACAAGTTAGTGTCTAAGACCAGAATTAAATTATGCAACCTCACTTTTTGGCCTTTGGTTTTTTGGCTTTTATGTTGCTTAAAAGATTTTAAGGGTTAATGAGTGCCTTCTCACCTCAATCAGTACCTGGATAAATGTTTCTAGAATGTTTAATTGGCTATAAGTTTTTTGACTGTAAGTCCCTTAACCATAGAGATCTCACTGAGGAACAGGATGGACCTGGGGCAGGTAGCCACATGACCCCAGCAATGATATGGGACAAAATAAAATTTAGTAATCAATACTGCTTCTGGCAAATCTTGGCCAAGAAGCGGGAATGTAAACTAAAATATAATCGTAAGCCTATGATATGGTTGGCTCGGTGTTCCCACCGAAATCTCACCTTTAATTGTAATCCACAGGTTTTAAGGGAGTGACCTGGTGGGAGGTGATTGGATCATGGGGGCCATTTCCCCCATGCTGTTCTCATGATAGTGAGTGAGTTCTCACAAGATCTGATAGTTTTACAAGGCAGTTTTCCCCGCTCTTGCTGCTCTTGCTCACTCTCTCTAGCTTGCCACCATGTAAGACATGCCTGCTTCCTCATCCACCGTGATTGTAAGTTTCCTGAGGCGTCCCCAGCCATGCAGAGCTGTGAATCAATTAAACCTCTTCTTTACAAATTACCCAGTCTCAGGTATGTCTTTACAGCAGTGTCAAAATAGACTAATACAGCCTCTCTCCTAACTGACCAGATCCCTTTTGTGGCAAAGGGGACCTCAGAAAAAACCCTGAAAACTGAGTTCCCAGTCATGATCTGATGGGAGATCAGACACCTCTTTATATCACCTTCCTTTTGAGGTCTAGACACAACAACTGACCAGAACTTTATAGGCTGTGTTGAGGCCTATCCTATTAGGAGTGAGAAAGCTACTGAAGTAAAGGCTCTAATGAAGGAAATAGTTCCTTGATATGAACTTCCACCACAGTCATTTTAGTGTTCTTTTATGTATTTAAATTTTATATAAATGGCATCCTATTGTATGATTTTTGCGGTTCCATGTCACCGCAAGCAGCCCAGGACATAATTAGCAATCATGTTAAATATTATGAACAAAATAATTTATTTCATTTTCCCTTATCTCTCTCCTTTCTTTTCTTTCTCTTTCCCTCCCTTTCTTTTTTACTTTCTCTTTCATTCTGTTTCCCTCTCTTCCCATTATTTCATTTGTTCATTGATGACATCCAATTCCTGTTCTCAGTTTCAATTTTCAGACTTGTTTTCTCCTAATTCCTTGCATATATGCTATACTAAAAACTCCTGGACTAGTCTCACCTTTCCCCAAATATGTTGTGAATTTGTATATCTTGGCTTTAGCTCATGCCTTCCCTTAACTTAGAATCTTGTTTCTCCATGTCTGCTTGCCCATGTCTCCATTTCTCAAGAGTCAGTTTAGATGTCATTTTCTGTATCATACCATGTTGGGTTATCTCAGCCATAAAAATCCTCCCCTATATTTCATGCCATTCCACGTCATGCACTGTAAATGGCACAACATTTCTGGAGTTGAAGCTCAGATCTTTCTCTATGTATGCTATTTCAATCAATCTGACAATTTTGAGCCTCTAATATTTTACCTATAAATGAGGAAAATAATTCCTATATCAAAAGACGGTTATGTTGAATAAAATTAACTAATATAGGGATGGAGAGGTTGAGATAGGTAGGAGATGCAGTAGAGTCCCATAATAGACTCATTTAATTTGAGAAGATACACAGAGAGAGTAAGAGAGTTCATTTAATGAACATGCAGTGGGAATACTGCATCCCTGCCATTCTTTAGTCAGCCTCAGCTCCTGAATTCCCTTGGTTCCATGATCATCTCATTGGGCTGTATATGAAGCTCATATTTTAAAGTTTGTAGATATTTAGTGCTAAATGCAAATTAATTACTTCATCTGCTATTCAATTGATGAAACAGCAATCTATTCAAGCCCTGGATGAAAAATTGAATGCATTGAATCTACTGAGAGACAGAAAGCTCATCTTTAAAGGATACATTTTGACTGTAGATGATTTCAGAGTTTAGAATATAATCCTTGCCTGAGGTACCCTATCTCTATCCCAAGTAACTAACTGAATGTGGAGAGAAAGATCAGTCTTAGGATTTCTGGTTTCTGGCTTGAATAGTAGGTAAATAATGGTACAGTTATTAAAGATAAGGAAAACATGAAGAGAAGAATATTTTAATGGTGTATGAATATGTAACAGAAACATTCTGGCAGAAACTGGGATACATCTGGAGACTCAGCCTGGCAACAGGAGTTTGGGGAGAATTGTTTTCTTAGAATTGCCATAAAAATGGCTACCTTCTAACTACTTACATTTTCCAGTTTCTCCATCCAGTTTCCTAGTTTCTGGTAAAAAGAATGGGATCAGCCCAACCTGAGTCTGTCAATTTTGTCCACTTAGGCAGAAGGAAATATCACAGGCTAGGCTGTTACCCCAATGTACATCTACTTCTGGAGAGAGAATAAATCAGTTTTCAGACATGTCAAGTTTGAGGTCCCTAAAGGAGAAATTTTCAGGGATCATTTGGTTATATGGGTGTGGACTTAAGAAAAACTTGATTCCCCAAAATAGAGCTATGAGTGTTAAGAACACAAGGTAATTTCAGAAAAGAATGAATGTGTGTGTAGACTGAGAAAAGGGCTGCATTCCGAATCTTTGAGAAGATTTTAAAAAGCAAGTGGAGGAAAAGTAGAAGACATCCCGGGAGACTGAGAACAGTATGAGAGCTACACAACAAGGGACGTGTGAGGGCTGGAGTGCTTATAGGCATACAACAGTGACCCAGAAATTTCTCCATTCCAGCGATACAGTCTCCCTTTGAAGGCTTACAACAAAAACAAATTTCAAGTGAACAAATCACCATCTATTTTGAAAGAAAGTTGTATCTAGAGAGAAATCTTAGAAGTATCATTTTTAGGACCACGGAATAAAAGATGATGGAAAATTCAGGTTATAGTTTCTTTTGCCCCCTCAAACTTTAATCAGCCATGATCACTCTCGTATCATCTCTTATAGATTTGCTCTTTTGACAACATCAAAAATGGAAAATAAGAACAAATAAAAAGGCACTAACAGGAGAGTATAGAGCAGAAATGTTTTATCCAAAGCATTGATGAGCTTTTCTAAGCAGGAGTCTGAATTTAGAATAGCACAAAACTCTCTAGTAAAAACTAGAATTCATATAGATATGGAAGAAAATGTCTTGTAAATTAAAAATACCACAGGTTTATTTTTCTGTGTGGCCCTAGAATATAAGAGACGTATGTCCTAGGCTGTGAGATTCTTCTGATTTTTGCGAATAAGGGAGAGGACAGTATCAATAGTGACATAAAGGATTGTTTTAATGAAAGTGATAGGCCTATAACATAATCTTAATTTTTGTCACAAATCTGAAGAGTGGAAAGTTAAATTTTAAAGTTCAACCAATACATCAGTTTTCATAATAAGCAACTAGCCAGTTGTTTGACTTAATTTAAACACCTTCATGCATTCTTCGTACAGGCTTATATGTGTCAACACAGTTATGTCAGTAGAAGAAAACTTGACAGGAACAAAATATTGAAATGGATTAAAAAGCAAACTACAAAAGATCAACCAATTCAAAATCTCAAAGCACAGTATTTATAGTAGAAAAAAGGAAAAAATTAATATTCACTCTTAAATTGTAGGTGAATATGGGATGTGTGAAAAGCCCTACTACAACTACAAAGTACTCAGATAAACAGCAATTCTTTGAAAAACATTTTTTTCTCAGTTAGGGTAACTTTTTTTTTCTTCTTTTTGACAGTTAAACATACTTTGAGACTTATTTCTTATGTTATTGAATATGGAAAGATCCTTGACTGTAGGTAAACTTTGCCTCAGAATCTAAGACAGGAGGCTATGTTTTAGAAACTGTATTTTAACCTGTAACATACAAACAAAATAATATCATATAATTTCATAATGGAACATCACCATATTACTTGTGATATAAGCTAAAATAAAGAGTTATTGATATTTTTTTTAAGATCAAAAGAACTTTTGAAAACAATAGAAAGCAATGGGTTATGAAAATCTACTGCTAAATTATGGCTAATATCTTATGTATTAGTTCATTCTTGCATCGCTATGAAGAAATATCTCGGACTGGATAATTTATAAAGGAAAGAGGTTAATTGGATCATGGCTCTGCAGAAAGTACAGGAAGCATAGTGGCATCTGCCTCTGGGGAGGCCTCAGGATGCCTCCAATCATGTCATGGAGGAAGGCAAAGGGATTGAGGTATCTCACATGGCAGGTGCAGGAGCAAGGTGAGGGGGGAAGGTGCTACGCACTTTTAAACAACCAGGTCTCATGAGAACTCACTATCATGAGGACAGTACCAAGTGGGATGGTGCTAAACCAGAAGAAATCATCACCATAATCCAATCACCTCCCACCTCACTCCACCTTCAACATTAGAGATTACAATTTGACAGGAGATTTGAGGAGGGACACAGATCCAAACCACTTCATTTTCTATGTATTTTTAATGATTAGGAATTGTATCCTCTATCAGTTTTGATTTTGGAGGCTTAATTCCCAAATAGGTTGTTTAGCTTGTCTTTGTTCTTTGCTGCAGACAGATAAAAACATTAACCCTTTTCTATTGTTGTGAAACTACTTGGCCCTGGAGGCAGAGCTGGAAAGCTCTGGAGATTGTGGGAAGCTCTCAGGAAATCCATACCATCTTTGGGAAATTAGAAGTTTATAGTAATAAAATTGGTGCTCAATAACACATTCTTTGCATAAGATAAAATTGTATAGATGAAGAAAGATAACCAAAAAGGGCTTTGGCTTGTTCAGTGTCACATAGTCATGTAAGGGAGGGAGCTGAGACTTAACTTCCTGATCAAATGGTGAGTTTCCTATTGCTTTGCTCAGGAATTGTCATTTGATATTGGCTTATTTACTGCGTAGCATAATATAATGGGGAACAGCAAAGCAGCATAGATTTCAAAGTAGGAAAAACTTGGATTTGAAGTCTGACTTTGTCATTGAGCTGTTTGGCTTATGCACATTATTTATATTCTCTGTGTCTCAGCTTCTGAGCTATAAATCCCTTAATTATAAATAATAATATTTTATCTCCTAGTGCTATAAGGATTAAGTGAGACAATGCATATAGTGCTTTGAACAAAGATCAACCCATAGTGGGCTTTCAACAAATGCTATTTCTCTCTGTCTCTCTCAATAAAAGGAAAAAAAAATGTTGTTAATCAGTCAAGAAACTTGGCTGTAGTGACAGAAACCTAACACAAGCCAAATAGAATAAAAAGAAGCCTGAAATTCTCAAACAATCAAGCTGTGGGAGGGGCAGGCAGCCTCACAGAATATTAGAACCAAGGAACGCAGCTAGCTCTCTCCCTATCTCTCCTCTCTGCTTCTTTTTGATAGCTTCCCTATTTACTCCGTTCACATCTCCTTTCTACCCTGTTAGAAATATGGCTTCTGACAAATCTGACTGGCCCTTCCTGCTTTACTACTGTAGAGGGACTGAGAGTATTTTTCTGGTCTCAAATTAAAACACTTGATCCTCATTGGCCACTCCAATTATGGAATAATCACCCCAAGGAAGAAAAGGAGAATTCCATTATTGCCTCAGCTTGAGTATTGAGAAAGGGATGTGGTGTATTGTTGAAGTGTTTGCTATAAAAACACAACTAATTATAATGTTGGGTGAGATAATACATTGAAAAAGGAAACGAAAATAGACATCGACTGTATAAACTTTAAATACATGAAATAATACTTTTCTCATTTTATGTATAGATATATGTAGTAAAAATAGAAAAATATGTATAAAAATGATGCATGCCACATTCAGACAGTGATTTCCTTTGGGAAGAGAGATACAGAAGGAATGTAAGCATACTGCACAGGCAAAAGTTGGAAGTATGTCCCCTGAAAGCTGGAACAAGACAAGGATGTCCATTCTCAGCACCTCTATTCAACATTGTACTGAAAGTACTACCCAGAATAATCAGGCAAGAGAAAGAAATACAAGGCATCCAAATAGGTGAAGAAGAAGTCAAACTCTCTCTCTTCTATGATGATATTACTGTATACCTAGGAAACTCTAAAGACTCTGCTAGAAGGCTCCTGGAACGGATAAGTGACTTTAATACAGTTTCAGGATACAAAATCAATGCACAAAAATCAGTAGCATTTCTACACACAAATAACGTTCAAGCTGAGAGCCCAATCAAAAACACAATCCCATTTACAATAGCCATGAAAATAGAAAGATACCTGGGAATACATCTAACCAAGGAGAAGAAATATCACTACAAGAAAAACTACAGAACACTGCTGAAATAAATCACAGATGACACAAACGGAAAAACATTCCATGTTTATGGATCAGAAGAATCAATTCTGTTAAAATGGCAATACTGCCCAAAGCAATCTACAGATAAAACACTATTCTTATCAAACTATTGATGTCATTTTTCATAGAACTAGAAAAAAAAATTCTTAAATTCATATGAAACCCAAAAAGAGCCTGAATAGCCAAAGCAATCCTAAGCAAAAAGAACAAGACCAGATATATCACATTACCCGACTTCAAGCTATACTACAGGGCTACAGTAACCAAAACAGTATGGTACTGGTGAAAAACAGATATATAGAACAATGGAATAGAACAGATAACCCAGAAATAAAGCCATATACCTATAGCCATGTGATCTTTGACAAAGTCAGCAAAAAGAAGCATGGGGAAAGGACCTCCAACCAATGGTGCTGGGATAGCTGGCTAGCAATATGCAGAAGAATGAAACTAGACTCCTACCTATCACCATACACAAATATTAACACAAACTTGAGTGAAAATTTGAATGTAAGGACCTCAAACTATAAGAATTATAGAAGAAAACCTAGGAAACACCATTCTAGACCTTGGCCTTGGCAAATAATTTATGGCTAAGTCCTCAAATGCAATTACAACAAAAACAAATATTGATAAGTGGGACCTAATTAAACTAAAGAGCTTCTGCACAGCTAAAGAAACTGTCAAGACTGGGCACGGTGGCTCATACCTATAATCCCAGAACTTTGGGAGGCCAAGGCGGGAGGATTGCTTGAGCTTAGGAGTTTGAGACCATCCTGGGCAACATGTCAAAAGCCTGTCTCTACAAAATATACAAAAATTAGCCAGGCGTGTTGGCACGTGAATGTAATCCCAACTACTTGGGAGGCTGAGGCACAAGAACTGCTTGACTCCATGGGGCGGAGGTTGCAGTGAGCCGAGATCATGCCACTGCACTCCAGCCTGGGCAACAGAGTGAGACTCTCTCAATTAAAAAAAAAAAAGAAAGAAAGAAAGAAAGAAAGAAAGGAAGAAAGAAAGAAAGAAAGAAGGAAAGAAAGAAACTGTCAACAGAGTAAACAGACAACGTACACAATGGGAGAAAATATTTGTGTGCTATCCATCTGACAAATGTCTAATATCCAGAATCTATAAGGAACTTAAACAACTGAACAAGCAAAAAACAAATAAAGACATTAAAAAGTAAGCAAAAGACATGAACAGATACTTCTCCAAAGGAGACATACAAGCAGCCAACCAACATGGAAAAATGCTCAACATCACTTGTCATCAGAGAAATGCAAATCAAAACCACAATGAGATACTATCTCATGCCAGTCAGAATGGTTATTATTAAAAAGTCAAAAAACATGCCGGTGAGGCAGTGGAGAAGGGCAAATACTTATACTATTGGTGGGAATGTAAATTAGTTCAGCAACTGTAGGAAGAAGTTTATAGATTTCTCAAAGAACTTAAAAACAGACTACTACTTGACCCACTAACCTCATTACTGGGTATATACCCAATGGAAAATAAATCATTCTACCAAAAAGACATATGCACTTATACATTCATCACAGCACTCTTCATAACATCAAAGACATAGAATCAACCTTGGTGCCCATCAACAGTGGATTGCATAAGGATAATGTGGTGAACATACACAATGAAATCCTACACAGCCAGAAAAATAATAAAATCATTTCTTTTGCAGCAAAATGGATGTTGCTGGAGGCCATTTATTCTAAGTAAATTAATGCAGGAGGAGAAAACAAAATACTGTAAGTGGGAACTAAACATTGGGTATTTGTGGACATTAAGTTGGCAACAATAGAAACAGGGATCTACTACAGGGGTGAGGGAGGGATCGGAGCCAGGGCTGAAGAACTAACTATTGCGTACAATGCTCACTACCCAGGTGATAGGATCAATCGTACCACAAACCTCAGCATCACACGATATGCTCATGTAACAAACCTCCACATATATCCCAAGAACTAAAATAAAAATTGAAATCATATTTAAAAACAGAAAAGGGATGGGGAAAAAGTTTTTAAAGAGAAATCTTTAAAGTTTTAGTTAGAAAAAAAGAAGGAAAAGAAAGAAGGAAAATGAAGGAAAAAAGTGAAGGAAGAGTGGGGAAGAAGAGAAAGAAAGAAGGGGAGGGAGAGAGATCTGAAGAAATTATAATGCTTTTTAATTACATCAAAGTTTTATACTAAGGAGAAAAAGAAAATATAATTGTATCTTACAAGAAACCACACACATAGGCATTTTTAGAAGTGGTGGGGAGGTGTTGGTGAGACAAACACAAGACATTCACTATATTTCAGTTCTCTTTTATTTTCTACAAGCTGCTACGATTTAAAACAACACAAACATGGAACAAGATAACCTTGCCTTACCTGGATTTAAGGTATTACAAACACTCATTGATACAGTTGTATATTTTATTCAACAAAGAAGTTTTCCCTTTTTAAAATGCTATTATGAAAAGTTCTACACTGGGTACTGAAATGAAGGCTGACTGGTTGATATTAAAATAATCAGTAATCTTTTGTGACAACAAAAAATGAGATGCTTGGCCATCAATTCCTAAAGAATATAGATAAATTTTGTGTGAAGATCAGGAGCCATGTAAATAAAGAAAAGATACAGACCTCAGATTAAATTTAAAAATAAAAATTATAGTTGTCAATTGAGAGATAAACAAGACACTTGCTTTATCATGAAAGAAAACAAAGGAAAGCAGGAAGGAGTCTTTCACATGAACAATATTTCTACATCTTTTACGTGGTTTAACAAAATGTAAAGGCAGGCTAAGTGGATAGTAAGTTTTGTGCTTACAATTTTCATGAAGGAATTGGTGCTCTTCCTTTTAAGCAAATATGACATAAAATTAAAAGTTTAACTAATAAAAGAGATTATTTGTACTTTGTTTTGTAGAATGACCTAAAGTAAGATTACTTTTTAAAAAGTCTTCCTTAATGCACTGAACATTACTCACGAAACAACTTTTGGTTATTTTCTGTCCAGATCCATGGATACATGTATACTTTATGTCCTCACATTTAATTGAAGAGACAAAATTAAAATATGTGAAACATCAGATCCAAGAGAGAGTGAAAAACTGTTAGAGCTTACTCTGTAAGAACTCTGTAACTGGGACAAGTAGAGGAAGGGGTGACTGCAGACTAGGGATTCAGCTGGAACAAAGGCATCAATGTGGAATGGCCATGGTGGTTGTTTAAAAGCCTGTTCAAATATGACTACATTTACAAGAAGTTTATATACATACATTGTGCTAAATATAGTAATTTTGTCTAATGTATCTTTAAACACAATGGAAGAATTTTTTAAAAATGTATAAAAAGAGCCACTGGTTCCCTTCTATGTTGTTTACTCCATGCATTTTATTTTTGATTTTTGTGTATGCATGTGTGTTGGAATAGGGGTCATAATCCTGTAGAAAAGAACATCCTTTTACGTGTCTCATGGAAATAATTGCTGGTCTGCAGTTCCACCTTTGGAATTATTTTCTCCTGAGATTCATGAAAGACCTTGCCCCGCACTGTATGTTGTAAGCCTGGATAAAGCCTTATGAGTTTCCCTATGATGGTCAGGGATGAACAGATTGCCAACTTCTCAGAGCTGAGTTCAAATAAGTCTTGGATTTTGCTCCCTCTTTGGAACCCAGCACAGTGTCTGGCTCATGGTAAGTGCTAACTCGAGTTTGGTAAATTAACTAACTAATTGATTAATAGACATAGCCAAAAGAAACAAGACTAATTTTTCAAATCTCCTATTGAAAGAAATCTTCTCTTGGCATCTATCATGCACCAGTTCAAGAAGGATTTCATTAATGGACATTACCACATGGCAAGGCATTTTGTAATGTGATAAGGGGATTTTTGCCTCTAAGACACCTGTTTGAATCCATCCCAAGTAGATAGGGGATGGAAGTTACTGCTGCCAATATGAAGGGATCTAGTAATGGATTAGGGTTTAGATCCCAAGGAACAGGTGCCCTTGTCATAAAATCAGCCATAACTATGAACCAGAGAAGTTAGAGTCTGAAAGAGCCACTAAACATAGACTAATCTGAGCGAGCCCCGTGAAGGGAGCTTTTGGTCCCAATGTAGTGACTACATATGGTGCATGGAAGATGCTCAGAGAACTGGAGTTAGTAGAACTCCATTAGAACAAAATTCTAGCCCTGGTTCTGGGATGACATGGCTTTTTTATTATGAAAAAATTGTTCCAGGCTCATCTTGTACATTTCTTGTGGCAGTTCTGGAATAACTCATTTCTCAAAAAATCTGTGGTCTTTTCTTCGGAGATTCTATTTCAGCATCACAATCTGGGCACTACCAATGTTCAATGCTACTTTACTGGGCATTGTTTCTAGGTGTTTTGAATGGAAAGAACTAAGAAACATATATGTATTTAAAGCAAATTATCTCATAAGATTTTACTGATGCTTCTAATTCAATTTCAGACTACAGAGACTTTTTCTTATCCTCTTCTGTGTTATGTTTGTATTTCCTTTCTTTGAAAAAGAGAATCTTGGGTCTCAATGACATAGGAGCTGATGGAAATAACATATCCCACATTATTTATTTTCTTTATCCCTTAATACACATGCAACAGTCTCAGAATAACAATACTAAAACCGCCACAACCAATATAATTTCTGAAGACAGGTAAATAGGTTTTTCTTAAGTTCTTGTCGTTTCTTTCCATTTTTAATGGTTGTGCTATATCTCATGCTTAAACACACGGCCATTATTTACTAGGCTTTTCCTTTTAACTCTCATTTAGTCTTAATTTTTCTAGTAACTGTTCATAGCCGGACCTTATGATAGTAACCCTTTAATCATTTTGCCTTTCTGAAACTTGTTCTCTAACAATTCTTTAGAATGAGCTCACAGGAAAAATACTCCCTGAGTTCTTACATATTGATTGCTTTGTGTTTGCCTTTTATATATGAAAGTCAGTCTTTCTGAATACAAAACCCTTGGCTTACATGTCTTAAGTATCATAAATATGACACCGAATTTTCTTTTGGCATAAAGCATTGCTGCCAAAAGTTTGATGTTGTTCAGATTTTCCGTTGCTTTCTCGTAGTGCTCAGAAAATATGATTGGCTTGCTTTCTGAGACTTTCTAGTTCTGATTCCCTCTTCACAAGTATTTGACTCTTCTCTTTTCTTTGTGTATATTGTGCCTACCTTGTTCAATTTTGGTTGTCATTTCTCCTCTGTGGAAGGGCCCTGGAAAGGAATCCTGGCTAGTTGATTTCATGAATTTATAGTGGCTTTATAGCCTCTTCTGGCCTTTCTTACCACGGGCTCCTTGCACTCACTTGGGAGTGGCAAATCCTCCTAGTTGCAGTGCTATTCTAAAATTGAAATTCTTTGATTTACAGTTAATACCCATTATCTATTTTAAGTTTTTTATCTTTTCCTGTCTATCAGATAGATTCCCTCTTTGTTCAATCACTCAGACGTTGATATCATGCTGACCAATGGTGTATTTTGGCTTTAGCGGTTTTTTGTTACCTAATTTAATGGTATATGTTGTTCATGGGTTTTCATGTTTTCACTGTGTATTTTGCTCTTGCTCTCTAGTTGCTCCGTTTCTATGTGGGGGATTTATGATATTAAAAAACTATGCTATCATCACTATCTTCCCACTATAAGACATTAATTTTAAGTGGCTTAAGAGAGCTAAGAAATTCTGAAGAAATATTCCTACACTTCCTTCAAATTATATTGTGGAAGTCAGCTGTCCTAAGCTAGAACCAAGATAGAACTTAAAAATGCCTGATCACTGAATTACTAAACCAAGCTGAATTTACTAAGTAAGATTTGCACCATAACAGACAGGCATCATATCACTCATTCCTTCACAGGCAACGTGGCAGATAGATAAGTATGTTTAGGGACATCATGTGGAATCAGACAAACACATCCAGAATAAGGAACATTCCATAGTAAATTCAACCAGGATTTAAGCCAAATAAATGGGGTAGAAATCAAAAGGTGAGAAGGAGAAATTACACGAGACTGAAAGAGTCGTAACAACCAAATGCATTGTCACATTGTCACAAAATAGATTTTTACCTCAAAATACTGTGTAAATGTACATTTTAATGTGCTATTTTTCTATTGTGGATGAAGGGAGCCAAAGAGAATAAAAAAGGAAAGTTCCCAGGCCAAGACTGTTATCTGAGGGAGGGACATGTTGATTCTTCAACTGCTGCTGATGGAAAGTGCAAGTAGGGGAATACCAAAAGTCTGGGATATGGTGGGTAATCCCAAGGTGTCTTTGATCACATCTTTAATGTTCAAAGAGATTTATCCGAGCAGCTTATCTTTAAAAAAAGCATTTCTTTCTTCTTGTTGTTTCATAAAAATAATTTCAAACTTAAAAGTTGTAAAAATGGTGCAAGGAATTTTTTCCCTGAACTATTAGAGAGGATGTTGCTGACACAAGGCAACACTTAGGCCCTGAGAACTTTAGCATGCAATTCTGACAAAAATCATCTCTTATGTCACAATAATACAGTTATCAAAATCAGAAAATGAATGTTGATCCATTACTACAATCTAATCCTCAGACCCCATTTACCTTTCATTTAATCGTTCCAATAATATTTTTTTGTTTCACAAAAATCTGATATATGATAACATGTTGCCTTTAGTTGTCATTTGTCTTTTATTTTTTTCAATCTATAACAGTTCTTCAGTCTTTCTTTGACTCTCCTAACCTTGACACTCTTGAAAATCGAGTGCAGCTCCATCTATGACTCTTGATTGTGTCATCAAATAGCTGTGTTGTCTTAATTTGTTCATTTGCATGTCATTTTCATTGTTTGTAGCAGGGTTGGACATCATGACCTCCACAGCCCTTTCCAGCTTTAAAATTTCTAGAATTTGCTATATGCTTGCTCTATTCCATTAGGCTTATTTCATGCCTAAATACAGTCCTTTATTTTGCAAAATAAAAACTTGTACATGGTTAAATGTGCATCTATTCATAGTCCCAGAATATACCATCAATGGTAGGACAGGAGCCTCCTGTTTAAAGAATAGTATGCACATATCTTTGACCATTTTTTTAATTAAAAGAAGACAGTGTCAAAGACAGTAAGACACAGAGACTTGTGTTCTATAATTAGACTGAGTCAACAAGTTTAAGCCCAAGAGATTAAAAGCTTTATTGATGAATCAGTACCTATTGACTGTAGCTGAATTCCAGAAAAACCTTTTATGTGGCCACCGTACTCTTTCCACCAGAGCGGCTTCTAACAAGAAATCTTCACATCCTAAAGAGCAAATATGAAATTTAAAAAAGGGCTGGCTCCCCACCCCTTCTCATCATTGATTACTTCCAGGACTTTTCAGACTATATTCAACCTGAGTGGCAGGGATGAAGTTGCCTCCTCTTCAAGTAGACTGCCTCCATGGACCCCTGCCTTGCTTGGGCACCAGTTTTATAACAGACATTGGTAGAAATCAAACAAAACCAATTCTCAAAGCTGCTGGCTTTATTTCACCAACGTGAACCTGAGGCATGCTATGCTGTTACAGCACTTGAAAAAAAAAAGTCTAAGTCAAATCAATCTCCAACCCACACACACTCCCTCAAACCAAAACACAGAGTTAGCACAATCCCAAGGTGGTCGAGTGGTTTAACCACAAATATCCTGGAGGCCTTGTGATGCGACTCTTAGTTTACACAGATAAAATAGGATGGCTGGGGCTCCCAGTTAGCACAGGGAAGGAAGGAAACTCTAATGGATGGGTGCCCATTGTGGTTAAATGTGGTCAAATCCGCCTTTGGACAGATACAATGGGAGTTCCATGTCTGAACAAAAAAGAAAAGCCAAAGAAAAGAGGAAAAATTATTTATTCTGCAAAACATGTGGCACACGTTAGAAATTGCCAGGTTGAGCAGGATTAATAAATAGAACGGAAATAAAATATAAATAAGATATGAAAAGTATTCTCTAGCCTAGGCATGACACAAAGTAGAAACTGTTAAGTGCAGCAAAAATAGAGAAAATTACATAGAAAAAAGCTTAAGAAAGGAAGAAAAGGAAGGAAGGAGAAAAGAAGGAAGAAGGAAGCGGGAAGGAAGGGAAAGAGAAAATAAGGAAGAATAGGAGGGCAAATAAAGGTGCTTACTTCTTTCTTTAGAAAGGGAAATGTCAGGGAATTTATACTGAGATATTTAAAATAATTTTGTATTAGAAATACCAAACTAATGAAAAGAAAACTGAGCTTGGGTGCAGTTCTTAAAATAAATGTGTTTGCAGGCGCTAGGTTTGAAATGTGTTGTCTTGGCTCTGTGTCCCACTGGAAAAAATGACTTACCCTCCCACAAGAGGAAGATAGACTCACAGACACAATGTTTTCATATTCAGAAACCAAGAGGCACATGATTTGTTTCAAGAAGCAGCCATCCTTATACCAAAGGTGAGGTTGACGCCTATCCACCTGATAATCCAGCTCTAAGGTGTTAATATATACATTACTGTCACCAGACTGGGCATTCGCTTTCACCCTTCTGGAGTATGCACTGTATTTTCTTGGTCTGGGACTGTTCACCCAGCACCGTATTTTAGGGACTCCATCACAACCATCTCTGCACATCCAAATCTTACTCATCCTTAAGACTTGTTCTATGGTCACGTCCTCTTAGAAGCTTCTATGACACTGCAACAGGAAGTAATCATTACCTATTCAAAATTTCTTAGCATTTTTTCCCTCCCTGCCTTAGGGCCCTTAATTGGTACTGCCTTGTTTCATAGCTTTTGCTATGTTCTACCTTCTCTGTAAGCCCCACAGGGCACAGGATCTGTTTTGAGTTCAATAAATTTGGTAACAAGTGAATAGCTCTACTGATATCATAGCATGGCTAACTCTAGTGATTCCAATACCAGGATAAGTTAGGTTGTGCTGCTGTACAAATGAGTTCAATTTCAGTGACTTAAAACAGAAGAGGGTTATTTCCCACTCATAATGCAAGTCTATTGTGGATTGACAAGAGGTTCTTTTCTACGTTATTCTGACTCAGGTATGTAAGCTGACAGAAACTTCAACCCCTGGAGCATTAGCAATTACTATGGCAAACAGAAAGGAAAATGATGAATCAGGTGTCAGTTTCTAAAGGCTCTTGCCTGGAAATGACATATTATGCCTCAATAGGATCACATTATATTGGCCAAAGTTAGTCACTAAGATACGTCTTATTTCAAGAGGACAAGACAATGCAATTTTGCTATATGCCTAGAATATTCAGTGAGCAGCTCTAATGATTATTAATAAGATCACATTAAATTAACTTTATATCTTCAAGTACAAGCTTCTTTCATTCACTAAATAGGAAATGATGGTAGTTGCCTAGAGCCTTGGAAAAAAGTCAGAAATCAAAGGATTTCATCCAACCAATTGGTGGCTGGACAGCTATATAAATAGTTATAAATATTATAGACAGATGTATAAATAGTTATAAATATTTTTCAATAGGATAGAAATATATAAATAGTTGTAAATATTTTCTAATAAGATCTAAGAAGATCTAAGAATCCTTTAATTTACTGTGTATAATGCAGTATGCTATCATTAGGAATAGATATATTCTTTTTCTGAAGGAGCGAAATACAGGAAACCACAAGAAAGTACTGTATTCGACTTAAAAATGTTAATTAGTTAAACATTATTTAATGAATTGTGTGTGTTTCTGCTTCTGTTAACAGCATAGGCCCCAAAGAAGACAGAAGTGGACGAAAAGATTGTAAATGCAGTGTTTGTAAGACTGAGTGATTTCACTTTTGGCAAAGAGGTCTGTCAAAAGAAAGGGACATGACACAAAATGTTATTTTGCTATCGACTTTAAAGTTAAGTTGTTGAATTACTCCCAATACAAATACTCACCAAAACAGAGATTGGTGAGATTTTGCAGGCCCTACAATTTTTTCTCAAATAAAAATATACATAGATAAACGTGTCTTTCCCCATTCAACAATGGAAACACAAAAAGTAGAGGGTGTGCAGAGAGGAGAAAGGAGGAATGGGCAGAGCTATGAATAAGGAGCTAGACTGGCAAAGGCAGTTAGTTCAGGATCTAAGTCACAGCTCAGCTACTGTCACCAGGCTCACCAGACAACTCTTGGAGCAGAGGAAAGTTCTTACTATGCAGAATTTGGAAAACAGGTATATCCTTAAAAGAGTTACAAAGGCACTTTGGGAGGCTGAGGCGGGCGGATCACCTGACGTCAGGAGTTTGAGACCAGCTTGGCCAGCATGGTCAAACCCTGTCTCTACTAAAAATACAAAAATTAGCCAGGTGCAGTGGCAGGCGCCTGTAATCCCAGCTACTTGGGAGGCTGAGGCAGGAGAACCTGGAAGGTGGAGGTTGCAGTGAGCCGAGACTGCACCACTGCACTGCAGCCTGGGCAACAGGGCAAGAGTCTGTCTTGGGGAAAAAAAAAAAAAGAGTTACAGAGGACCAGAAAGTCACTTTTTAAAATGGGACTGGGGGAAGAAATACAGGCTTGGTCATCAAAATGCTTTGAAACATATTGATTTGCTAAGTCTCATGAAAACTCCCAGGTCAAGATGCATACATGGTTTCATGAAAATTTCTCAATGTCCCTATAATAAAATTACAATTTTCTCCATCCATGGATTCAGCTAATTCAAGAAGGGGTTGAGATACAACATCTTCAGGAGTTCCCAGAGTCATTTTATTTGCTTACAATATCTTCAGCTATGCCCAGTAAACCAGCCTCTTCCTATGTGTGCTTGCCTAGACTCAGAGGCTGGAAGAGATCTACTCTGAAGACCCTGGCCCCCCACTATAGAACACATCACCTCCATTTCTAACTTTTGATATACAGGAATTTTTCCAAAGATTTATTTTGTATAAAGGATTCTACAGCTTTAAAAAATTAGTAGTGCTATTCTAAAATGTTACTTAAGGCAAATCAATTTCTTGACTCAAGAAACATAAGGTAGATACCTAAGGCAGATGCATAATGAGGTGGGCTGAAGAGTTTAGGCCAGGGAGTTCCACTTTCTTTTCTTCGGTTAGGCTGAGTTTCATTTTATATGCCTTCTGAGGCCAATGATAGCACCAGTATGGGAGTCTAGGCATTCTGAATGGACTAAGTGTGGCAGTACCTTAATGCAATAATTCTAAGACTTTGTGATTTCATGAACCACAGCAAAGAATAATAATAAGTTAGGAGGTTGGTGCACAATTGTCATTATTTTTTGTGGGGGACAGTTATGACCAGGGATACTCCTAACCTGTGCAGGGCTTTAGTCAAATAATATTATGGGTCACTGTCTATATAAACAATTTGATTTTTTTAAATGTATTACGAGTCTCAGGCCCCTGTGAGGTATAGTGACTTATTGATGAATATTAAAATACTGGGTAGAGAAAAGTTACTTAATGTATTTGTTTATTGTTCAATCAGTGTGTTTGATTTGTCCTTTCCTTTCTTGTTACCCAAACCTTGCTGAGGAAAAAATCTAGCAATTCTCCCGCCTCAGCCCCCTGAGTAGCTAGGATTACAGGAGCTTGCCACCATGTTGGGCTAATTTTTATATTTTTAATAGAGACGGGATTTCGTCATGTTGGCCAGGCTGGTCTTGAACTCCTGACCTCAGGCGAACCACTGCCTCGGCCTCCCAAAGTGCTGGGATTACAGGCCTGAGCCACCATGCCTGGCCTGTTTTAATTTTTTATATTTATGGTGTACAAGTGCAGATTTCTTACATGTACATATTGTATAGTGGTGAAGTCTGGGCTTTTAGCGTACCCATAACCCCAATAATAACCATTGTACCCAATAGGTAATTTTTCAACCCTCACACCCCTCTCACCTTCCCACATTTTATAGTCTCCAATGTCTATTTTTCCACTCTGTATGTCCATGTGTGCTCATTGTTTAGCTCCTACTTACAAGTGAGAATATACGACATTTGACTTTCTGTTTCTGAGTTATTTCACTTAGGATAATGACCTCTAGCTCCATCCATGTTGCTACAAAAGACATAATTTTATCTTTTTTATGGCTGAATAGTATTCATTCTTTTTTATGGCTGAGTGTGTATACACACACACACACACACACATATGTGTCCTCTGTTCATGGACATTTAGGTGGATTCCATGTCTTTGCTATTGTGAATAGTGTGATAAACATATGAGTGCAGGTGTTTTTTGATATAGTAATTTAATTCCCTTTGGGGATATACCCAGTAATGGGATTGCTGGAGCAAATGGTAGTTACCTTTTTTGATTTGGGCGAAATCTCCATACTGTTTTCCACAAAGGTTGTACTAATTTAATTCCCTCAACAGAATAAATTGTTCCCCTTTCCCTGCATCCTCATCAACATCTATTGGCTTTAGACTTTAATAACAGACATTCAGAACGGTGTAAGATGGTATCCAGTAGTAGTTTTAATTTGCATTTTACTGATGATTAGTAATGTTGAGTATTTTGTCATATGTCTGTTGGTCACTCATATGTCTTCTTTTGAAAAGTGTCTGTTCATGTTCTTTGCCCATTTTTTTGTTCTTTTTCAACTTTTATTTTAGAATCAGGGGGTGCAGTTTTGTTATAAAGGTATATTGCATGGTACTGAGGTTTGTGGCATAATTGAACCCACCACCCAGGTAGTGAGCATAGTATCCAGTAGGTAGTTTTTCAGCCCTTTCCCCTATCCCTTTCTCCCCTGACACAGTAGTCCCCAGTGTCTATTTTTCCGTATTTATGTCCATGTGTACCCAATGTTTAGTTCCCACTTACAAGTAATGTTAAGCTCCCACTTACATGCAGTATTTAATTTTTTGTTTCTGCATTAGTTTGCTTAGGATAATGGCCTCCAGCTACATCCATGTTGTTGCAAAGGATATGATTGCATTCTTTCTTATGGTTGCATAGTATACTGTGGTGTATGTGTACTCCATTTTATTTTATTTATTTTTGAGACAGGGTCTCATTCTGTCACCCAGGCTAGAGTGCAGTGGTATGGTCACAGCTCATTGCAGCCTTGACCTCCTGGCTCAAGCAATCCACCCACCTCAGTCTCCAGAGTATCTATGACTACAGGCTTGCTCCAAAAGGCCCCACTAATTTAAAATTTTTTTTTGTAAACACAGGCAAGCCTGTTGCCCAAGCTTGTCTCAAACTCAAACTTCTGGACTCAAACAATCCTCCTGCCTTGGCCTCCAAAAGTGCTGGGATTACAGGCATGATCTACCAGGCACAGCCCCATATATATGTGTGTGTGTGTGTGTGTGTGTGTGTGTGTCTATAGATATATATACACACATATTTATATAATATATATATAAAATATATATGTGCATATATATATATAATCTCCTCTACTGTTGATGGGCGTCTAGGTTGATTCCATGTTTTTGTTACGGTGAATAGTGATGCAAAGAACATGCAGGTGCATATGTCCTTTTGGTAGACTGACTTACTTTTTTGGGGGCATATTCCCAGTAATGGAATTCCTGGTTCAAATGGTGGTTCAACACATAGTTCTTTGAGAAATCTCCAACTGCTCTCCACAATGGTTGGACTAATGTACATTTCCACAAACATTGTGTAAGTGTCCCCTTTTCTCCACAGCCTCATCAACATCTGTTATTTTTTGACATTTTAATAACCATTCTGACTGGTTTGAGATGGTATCCACTGTGGTTTTGATTTGCATTTCTCTGATGATTAGTGATGATGAGCATTTTTTCATATGCTTTTTGGCCACTTGCATGTCTTTTTGGAATTGTTTATTTATGACCTTTGCCCACTTTTTAATGGGATTATTTGTTTTTTGCTTGTTGAATTATTTAAGTTCCTTATAGATTCTGGATATTGAACCTTTGCCAGACACATAGTTTGTGAATATTTTCTCCCATTTTGCATATTGTCTGTTTACTTCTTTTGTAATTTATCTTACTGTGCATAATCCCTTTGGTTTATTTAGGTCCCACTCATCAATACTTAGTTTTGTTGCAATTGCTTTTAAGGACTTAGCCATAAATTGTTTGCCAAAATTGATATCAAGAAGGGTATTTTCTAGATTTTCTTCCAGGATTTTTATAGGTTGACATCTTACATTTAAGTCTTTAATCTTATATTGAGTTAATTTTATTTTATATAGTGATCAGTAGGGGTCCAGTTTCCTTCTTCTGCATATTGCTAGCTATTCCAGCACCATTGATTAAGTAGGGAGTCCTTTCCCCATTGCAATTTTTTGTCAATTTTGTCAAAGATCAGATGGCTGTAGGTGTGTAGCTTTATTTCTGGGTTCTCTATTTTATTCCATTGGTCTATGTGTTGTTTTTGTACTGGTCCCATGCCATTTTAATTACTTTAGCCTTGTAGTATAGTTTGAAGTCAGGTAGTGTGATGCCTCCAGTTTCGTTCTTTTTGCTTAGGGTTGCTTTGGTTATACAGACTCTTTTTGGTTCCATAGAAATTTTAGAAGAGTTTTTCCCAATTCTGTGAAAAATTACATTGGTAGTTTAATAGGAATAGTGTTGAATCTGTAAATTGCCTTGTTTGCCCATTTTTTAAACGGTAATTGTTTTTCTCTGGTTGAGTTATTTGAGTTCCTTGCAGATTCTGGATATTAGCCTTTTGTCAGTGCATGGTTTGCAAATATTTTTTCCCATTATGCGAGTTGTCTGTTTACTCTGTCAGTTGTTTCTTTAGCTGTGTAGAAAGCTTTTAATTAAATCTCATCTTTCTATTTTTGTTTCTGTTGGGTTTGCTGCATTTAGGTTCTTAGTCATGAAATCTTTGCCCAGACCAATATCCAGAGGAGTTTCTCCTAGCTTTTCATTCAAAACTTTTATAGTTTTCAGTCTTACATTTAGGTCATTAATCCAACTTGAGTTAATTTTTGTATATAATGAGAGGTCCAAGTTCATTATTCTGCGTATAGCTATCCAATTTTCCTAGCACCATTTATTGAATAGAGGGTAATTTCTTGAGTGTATATTTTTGTTGACTTTGACAAAGATCAGTTGGTTGTAGGTATGTGTCTCTACTTCTGGGTTCTCTCTTCATTTCCATTGATCTTCTTGTCTGTTTGATTTGGCTCTCAGCTTGAACATTATTGGCGTATAGGAATGCTGCTATCTGTATATAAATTTTGTATCCTGAAACTTTACTGAATCCATTTATTAAATCTAAGAGGTTTTTGATGGAGCATTTAGAGTTTTCTAGATATAAGATCATATCATTAGCAAATAGGGATAATTTGATTTCTTATTTTTTAATTCAGATGTCTTTTATTTTTTCTCTTCCCTGATTGCTCTGAAGAGGACTTTCAGCACTATGTTGAATGAGAATGGTGAAAAGTAGGCATTCTTGTCTTGTTCCAGTTCTTAGAGGGAATGCCTTTAACTTTTCCACTGTAAGAATGTTGTTGTTTGTGTATTTTTCATATATAGCCTTTATTATGTTGAGATATGTTCCTTCTATGCCTTGTTTGTTGCAAACTTTTATCATAAAGGGCTGTTGAATTTTATCAATTTTTTAAGTGTGTTTATTGAGATGATTATATGGTTTTTGTCCTTAATAATTATGTTTATTGACTTGTGTATGTTGAATCATCCTCACATCCCTGGGATAAATCCCAACTGATCATGTTGTATTTTCATTTCGATGTGCTGTAGCATTGTATTTGTTAATATTTTTGTAAGGATTTTTACATCTATGATCATCAGGAGTTTTTATTTGCAGTTTTCTTTTTTGGTGTTGCTGTGTCCTTGTCTAGTTTTGGTGTCATAGTTATACTGGTCTCATTGAATGAGTTAGGAAGGCTCCCCTCCTCCTTGATGTTCTGGAATAGTTTTAGGAGGATTGGTATTAGTTATTCTTTGTAGGGTAGTGGAACTTGGTTGTTCATCCATCTAGCCCTGGGCTTTGTGGTGGTGTGATTGTTGGGAGAGTTTTTTTTGTTTTTTTTTTTTTTAATTACTGATTCAATCTTCCTACATTACAGTTCAGGAATTCTAATTCTTCCTGGTTCAATCTCAGGAGGTTGTATGTTATCAGGAATTTATCTATTTTCTCTAGATTTTCTGGTTTGTGACCACAGAGTTGTTTATAATGGTCTCTGATGACATCTTGAATTTCTGTGGTATCAGTTGTAATATCTCCTTTTTCACTTCTGATTGTGTTTATTTGGATTTTCTCTATTCTTTTCTTCATTAATCTAATGTCATTTATCAATTTTCTTTATGTTTTTGAAGAATGAGCTTTTCACTTTGATGATCCTTTGTAATTTTTTGTCTTTATTTTATTTAGTTCTGCTCTGATTTTTTTATTTCTTTTCTTCTGCTAACTTTGGGTTTGGTTTGCTCTTGTTTTTGTAGTTCCTTGAGGTGCAACATAAATTTGCTAATTTGTGATCTTTCTACTTATTTGATGTAGGCATTTAATGCTATGAACTTCCCTCTTAGCACTGCTTTTGCTGTATCCCACAGATTTTGGTATGTTGTGTTTTCATTTTTATCCATTTCAAAAACAATTTTAAATTTTTATCACTAGAATGGATACATTAATTAATGAATGGAGAAATTAATTCTTCCTTGACCCAGTGATTATTCAGGAGCATTCTGTTTAATTCCCATGTATTTGTATAATTTCTAGTGTTCCTCTTTGTATTGATTTCTAGCTTTATCCAACTGTGGACTGAGAAGATACTTGATATGATTTTGATTACTTTTAAAAATGAGTTAAGACTTGTTTTGTTGCCTAACATGGTTTATATTGGAGAATATTCCAAGTTCTGATAAAAATAATGTATATCCTGTAGTTGTTAGGTAGAATGTTCCATAAACATCTTTTAGGTCCATTTGTTCTAAAGTTTAATTTTCATTGTTAATTTTCCATCTCAGTGACCTATCTAGTGCTGTGAGTTTGGGGTGAATGTCCTCCCACTATTACTGTATTGCTGTCTGTCTTTATTTAGATCTGGTAATATTTGTTTTTCAATTTGGGTTCTTCTATATAGGTACATATATGTTTAGGATTGTTATATCCTCTCACTGAATTGATCTTTTTATGATTATATAATGACCTTCTTTGTCTTTTATGATTATATATATTATATATGTCATTTATTATTGTATAATGGCCTTCTTTGTCTTTTTAAAACTATTTTGATTTGATGTACTTTAAAAAAAATTTAATTAAAAAAACTGTTTTTGATTTGATGGAAGTATTGCTGCCTGCCTTTTGTTTCTGTTCCTATGGAATATTTTTTTCCATTCCTTTACTTTCTGTGTACATGTGTCTTTACAAGTAAAGTGAGTTTGTTATAGGCAGCATATTGTTGGATGGTGTTTTTAAATCCATTCTGCCAATCTGTATACTTTAAGTGGAATATTTAATCAATTTACATTTAAGGTTAATATTGATATGCAAGGCTTTTCTTCCTGCCATAACGTTAATTCTTCTCAAGTTGTTTTATAAATTTTTTGTTGCTTTCTTTTTCTGTGTCTTTTTGTCTTTGTGGTTTGATGAAATTCTGTCATGTTGCCATGTGATTCTTTTTTCTTCCTCCTTTGTGTGGATGTTCTATGAGAATTGTGAGTTTTTTTGTTTTTGTTTTCTCTTTTTTCTTTTTATTTTTTTATTATTATACTTTAAGTTTTAGGGTACATGTGCACAATGTGCAGGTTAGTTACATATGTGTACATGTGTCATGCTGGTGCGCTGCACCCACTAACTCGTCATCTAGCATTAGGTATATCTCCCAATGCTATCCCTCCCCCCTCCCCCCACCCCACAACAGTCCCCAGAGTGTGATGTTCCCCTTCCTGTGTCCATGTGTTCTCATTGTTCAATTCCCACCTATGAGTGAGAATATGCGGTGTTTGGTTTTTTGTTCTTGCGATAGTTTACTGAGAATGATGATTTCCGATTTCATCCATGTCCCTACAAAGGACGTGAACTCATCATTTTTATGGCTGCATAGTATTCCATGGTGTATATGTGCCGCATTTTCTTAATCCAGTCTATCATTGTTGGACATTTGGGTTGGTTCCAAGTCTTTGCTATTGTGAATAATGCCACAATAAACATACGTGTGCATGTGTCTTTATAGCAGCATGATTTATAGTCCTTTGGGTATATACCCAGTAATGGGATGGCTGGGTCAAATGGTATTTCTAGTTCTAGATCCTTGAGGAATCGCCACACTGACTTCCACAATGGTTGAACTAGTTTACAGTCCCACCAACGGTGTAAAAGTGTTCCTATTTCTCCACATCCTCTCCAGCACCTGTTGTTTCCTGACTTTTTAATGATTGCCATTCTAACTGGTGTGAGATGGTATCTCATTGTGGTTTTGATTTGCATTTCTCTGATGGCCAGTGATGGTGGGCATTTTTTCATGTGTTTTTTGGCTGCATAAATGTCTTCTTTTGAGAAGTGTCTGTTCATGTCCTTCGCCCACTTTTTGATGGGGTTGTTTGTTTTTTCTTGTAAATTTGTTTGAGTTCATTGTAGATTCTGGATATTAGCCCTTTGTCAGATGAGTAGGTTGCGAAAATTTTCTCCCATTTTGTAGGTTGCCTGTTCACTCTGATGGTAGTTTCTTTTGCTGTGCAGAAGCTCTTTAGTTTAATTAGATCCCATTCGTCAATTTTGGCTTTTGTTGCCATTGCTTTTGGTGTTTTAGACATGAAGTCCTTGCCCATGCCTATGTCCTGAAAACCCTAGAAGAAAACCTAGGCATTACCATTAGGGACACAGGCATGAGAATTGTGAGTTTTATTGAGACTTTGTGTCCCCAGTCAAATCTCATCTTGAATTGGAATCCCCATGTGTCTAGGGAGAGACCTAGTGGGAGGTGATTGGATCACAGGGATGGTTTCCCTCATGCTCTTCTTGTGATAGTTAGTTCTTGCAAGATCTGTTGGTTTCAAAAGGGGCTTTTCTTCTTTTGCTCACTCTTCTCTCTCCTGCCACCTTGTGAAGAAGGTGACTGCTTCCCCTTTCACTATGATTGTAAGTTTCCTGAGGCCTCTCCAGTCATGCAAAACTGTGAGTCAATCAAACCTCTTTCCTTATAAATTACCTAGTTTTGGGCATTTCTTTATAGCAGTGTAAAAATGGACTAATGCACTTATATTTCCATGTGTGTTTATTATGGTGAATATCAATCTTGCATTTCCATGTGTAAGACCCCTTTTAGCATTTCCTATAGTTCCAGTCTGTTGACAAATTCTCTCAGCGTTTTCTTATCTGGGAAATACTTTTATTTCCCCTTCATTTATGAAGCTTATTCTGGCAGGATAAAAATTCAAGACTGACAGGTTTTTTTTCCTTCACTTTGAAAATGCTATTCCATTCTTTTCTGGCCTGTAAAATTTCTACTGAAAAGTCCACCATTAGTCCAAGGGGATTTCCTTTATAGGAAACTAGATGCTTTTCTCTTGCTAATTTTAAAATTCTTTCCTTTACTTTTGCTTTGGATATTCTGAATATGATATGCTGTAGTGAAGTCTTTTTGCAATGTGTTTGCCTAGGGATCAATAGGCCTCCTGTATATGAATGTCTAACTCTCTTGGTAGACTTGGGAAGTTTTCATTGATTATTCCCTTAAATAGTTTTTCTAAACTTTTCCTCTCTCTTCCTCCTTGTGAATATTGGTAATTCATAAGTTCAATCACTTTATGTAGTTCCAGACGTCTCAAATACTTTGTTCGTTCTTTATTATTATTTTTTCCTTATTTTTGTCTCACTGGTTTATTTCAAAAACAGTGTCTCTAAGGTTTGAGATTCTTCTGCTCAGTCTAGTTTATTATTGAAGATTTCAAATGTATTTTGTATTTCTTCCAATAAATTTTTCACTTCCAGAATTTCTGCTTCTTTTTTTTTTAAAGATATTTCTCTCCTTGGATAATTTTTTATTCATATACTGAGTTGATTTTATGATTTCTTTGTATTTGTTTTCATGTTTTTGTTGAATCTCATTAAGCTTCTTTAAAATCAATATTTTGAATTCTTTATCTGGCATTTTTAGAAATTCTTTTTGATTGGGACCTGTTGGTGAACAATTGTCGTGGTCCTTTGGTGGTGTCATATTTCCCCATTTTTTAATATTTTCTGTGCACTTCCATTGATATCTGTTTACCTGGGTAGCGGTCACTTGTTCCAACTTTTTGAAATTGCAAAAGATATATGTATGTGGTTGATTAAGATATTTTAGCTTTCATTTTGGGTGCCCATAGTAGTGTGATATTTGTATTACTTCTTCAACATTATACAGGGCAAGTGGTATCTGATTTTCTTGGTGACTTAGGGTCCAGTTATAAATTGATGTTGTAATGAAGTTTAGCTGGGGACTTCAATTCCAACCCAGCCAGATGTGCCCATTTTTAAGTCCCGTAGCAGCTCACCCTGGTTCTAATGTTAGTGGGTCCTAAGGGTTGATTCTTGGGCCTCCTAGTGGCTTGCTCAGAAGCTAGCAGTGGAATCCACAGGCCAGGTGTTTTAATAGGTTCTCAAGTTCCTGGGCAGCTGTTGTGGTGTGAGTGATAGCAGTAGTGATGGAGCAACCCACTAAAACCCAGGAAGTCTGTGTTGGTGTTGTTAGAAGCTGTGATGGGTTGGGCAGGCTAGTGCCCAATCCCACAGCTACTTGTAGGAGGGTAATGGGTATTGTCCTAAGTGTGCTTTGGAGAGGTTTGTTTCCCCTTTTCCTCCTCTGGCTGGGTGACAGCTGCAGCCATGTTGCCTCAAACTCAACTCAAGTATGGGCACAGCCCAGTGTTAATATCTCAAAATCGTGCCAGCTGTGGGCTTGTGACTAGAGAGGGTGGAGCCCCTCTCAGGCAAGCATCATGGGCAAGAAATTGTGGGGAGTGTAATCTGCTCGCATAGCAGTCTCACAGCAGCCTGTTGTAAGGCAGTGAGTATTGTCCTAGTGGTACATAGAAGAGCCTGCTTTCCCTGTTCCTCCGTGGCTGGTGGCTGCAGCCACATCCACTTGAATTCGGCCTGTGGGTGGGGCACAGCTCAGCATTAAATTCCCAAAATGGTGTCTTAGACCTGAGACCAGCAGGGAGTAGCACCACTCATGCAAGCAGCATAGGCAAGAAGCTGGGCAGAGGATAGTGGATAGTCTGCTTGTGTCTGTTTCACAGCAGCCTGTTATAGGGCAGTGGATATTGTCCCAGATGTGCAAAGGACAGCCTTGTTTCCCTGTTCCTCATTGGCTAGGTGGTAGCTGCAGCTGTGTCAGCCCAAACTCAATCTGACGGTGGGGCACAGCCCAATGTTAAATTCTCAAAACGTCATAGTGACCCTGGGACCAGAGAGGGTAGGGTCCCTCCCAGGAAAACGGCATGGGCAAGAAGCTATGGGGAGTGAAGTGGGCTCATGTCTCAGGCTCAACAACATTCGACAACAGGGTGGTAGAGCCCCTCCCGGGGGTGCATGTGAGCTCCTGGTCTCCCTCCTCCCTCCATGGAGTGGCACAATGACAGCAGCCATTTGTGGATACCCCATATCTAGGCTTTCAAGGTGGTGCCTAGCTGAGGCTTTTCTAGGCTTGGATGCCTGTGGGAATCCATGTGGGCTCCTCTTCTGGAAGCAACGTTTCTGTGCAATCTTTCAGCAGCTCTGTGTATAAGTCCTGAGGCCCTAGTGGGTCAAGGTTTTCTCCCATATCCAAGCTCATAAAAGCCCATTTCAGAGACCTGGGGCTTTCATTCTTACTGTTGTTTTCTATTCCGACTCTTGGTCAGTCCCTGCCTAGTCATGTTGCCTCAATCTCTACTTACTTCTGGTCTTCCCATCTGTTCTGTGGTGAATCCTAGTGTTCTCTCCTAGACAATCTGTTCAAAAAGTATCTACTCCCTTTTCTGGTTCCTCTCCATGGAGAAGGCACATGCCACCTGCATCTAGTCAGCCATCTTGCTCCCTCTCCTTGTAATTTCTTTCAAAAAATACTGTGCTCTTGATAATCTATATATTCATATGTATATCTTTATACTGTTCATCTGTTTCTCTATCCCTATCTATCTATCTAATCATCCATCTAGCTATCCATCCATTATCTAGCTAGCAAGCTAGCTTTATATTTTACTGTGTCTGAGAATTTTTTTCCAGGGTTTGAGATTTTTTTAACCAAGGATGCATCTGTTTATTCATTTTGGAAAAGTAATGGCTTAAAACTTTGCTGGATTCATAGTCCTCTGACCAACACAGTTCTACTCATGCCTCTCAGGACTAGAAAACTCTCTACTTTCCTCAGTCACTGTGATGCATTCAGCCCACAAGTGTTATGCAGAAAATTTAAATACAAGTCTTTAATTTAGCACATCCACCCACAAGGTTCCAGAAGCTTAAGTCAGCATGAGTCTTTGAGAAAATATCACCCTGGAAAAAATAGTACATGTGAGAAAAATACTGTGAATTTAGAAGCATTTGTTTTACAAACTACAGATGCAGAGTGAAAGAAAATGACATCTCACTTTGATATTAAGCATTCCCCCATAACACATCCATCTGCAACATGTTTTGCAGTCACTTACCCGCTAAACCTCACCGCACACAGATTTACACATGAGGCACAATACAGCTGACCCCGTTTTACAGATGGAAAGAATAAAAACACAGAGATATTAAAGGAATTTCTCAAAGTTTCCAATCAGTTTTCAGACATCTGCCATTGGGAAGGAGTGAATTAAATAAGCCACACAAGTTATTTTATTAAAGTTGAAAAATAAAATTATATGGACTCCAATTTCTTCTCTTTAGAAGGGCATTTTTGTTTGAGATTTGGTTAAAAGAACAGTCAGGAGATTTGTCTTAAAGCCATTTTTTGTGTAACAAAACTACAGTCTTTAATTAGATCGTGTGTTTATTTGGGGTGGGTTGGCAGGAAAGGCAGTGTGTGCTCAGTGATCTCATCTTTACACTAAAGGGGATGGACAAGATCAGTAGTTCTCAAAGTATGGTTTTCAGACCAGCAGCATCAGCATCACCTGGAAACTTGTTAGAAATGCAAATTCCCATGCCCCACCATTTAATTACTGAATCAGAAATGCTGGGGATGGGCCATGAAATCTGCTCTTGACACCCTTCAGGTGATTCTGAAGCATGCTAAAATTTGAGGACTAAAGTTGGACTAAAAGTTCTCTAAAGGCCTTCCAGCTCTACAATTCTGAATCCATCATGTTATTAATATGATAAACTGTATCTTTTCAGGCTGCGCACGGTGGCTCACACCTGTAATCCCAGCACTTTGGGAGGCCAAGGTGAACAGATCACTTGAGGTCATGAGTTCGAGACCAGCCTGGCCAACATGGTGAAACCCCGTCTCTACTAAAAATACAAATATTAGCCAGGTGTGGTGGTGCATGCCTGTAGTCCCAGCTACTCAGGAGTCTGAGGCAGGAGAATCTCTTGAGCCCAGGAGGCAGAGGTTGCAGTGAGCCGAGATCATGCCATTGCACTCCTGCTTGGGCAACAGAGCAAGACTCCATCTCAAAAAAAAAAAAAAGATAAATTACATCTTTTCAGATAATTTTAAAGATATGTTAGTTCATCTTCATGCTTTGTGAAGAAAGTCAGTATTAGTATTCTCTATTTTAGTGGCACAAAAGTTGAGGTACAGGCTACAAAACTATAGGAATCAATATGTGAAACAGTGTAGTGTAATCTCTCTCTTCCCCAAAATAGAAGGCACTTATATTTTCATTTTGCAACTCACATTTTGAAAACACAGTCAACAAAAGCAAAGAAATCCGCAGACGTGGAACTCAGGGCTATCCCGTTTATTTAATGAACTTGGCAAGAGAGTACCTATTTGTGCCTTGCAGCCTGCAGGTCAAATGTAAGCATAATATTAGCTACTGGTTTCCACTTCAGTCGCTGGTACACACCTTTTGAGTGACTTCACCCATCACAGGACATTTGCATTATTGGCTCACAGCTGACTACCATAAAAGATGGTGCACTCCTTGAGGACACGAATTGAGTTTTACCAATTCTGAATCACCAGTGTTTAGCACTTATCACATCTATGTATCATCAGAACATAGATCCTGTGTGTGCCTGCCCAAATCTCATATTGAATTGTAATCCCCAATGATGGAGTTAGGGCCTAGTGGGAGGTGAGTGGACCATGGAGGTGAATTTCTCATGAATGGTTTAGCACCATTCCCCTTGGTACTGTCCTTGTGATAGCGATTGAGTTCTCATAAGATCTAGTAATATAAAAGTGTGTAGTACCTCCCTGCTTGCTCTCTCTTGCTCCTGCTCTGGCCACGCAACATGCCTACTCTACTCTCCCTTCCCCTTCCACCATGACTGGAAGCTTCCTAAGTCTTCCCCCAGAAGTAGATGGTGCTATGCTTCCTGTTCAGCCTTCAGAACCATCAGCCAATTAAACACTCCCCCCTTTTTTTTAAATAAATTACCCAGCCTCAGGTATTTCTTTAGAGAGATGAGAGAATGGCCTAATACAATATTGTTCTTCCTTATCTTTGCTATTACGTTAACATGAAATAATAATAAACTTTTATTTTGCCCTCAGATGCTGATCTTAAATAAATTTGCGAAGCAGAGGGACTTTAAATGAGTTGCATGGCCTCATAGTTCTTTCCTATCTTTAAACTTCTTGGTTTAACAAATAATTGAATGGAATCAATCTCCTTTTGACTGACAGTTTTGACAGCTGCTGTTCTCAAGATGTCAATGTATAATCTGTTATTCTACTTACCAAAATTTAAAACTGAACAGAGACATATGTACTGTCAGTCTCATTCCTATGATCCCCAGTTCCTCCCTTCTGCCCTGTTTTATCCCTTTCCTCCCTCATGTCAGTGAAGCGCCTTTAAATTCTGAGCAATTCCGAAGCTCCTGTGCGCCAAGCTAGAAGTAGGATTAGAGCTCATCTTCCCTGAGTATTATTACAGCGCTTTCACAGTGAAGTCTCCAGCTTTGCAAACTAACGGGGCATCATAAATGTAAAGCTGTTCAAATAATAACGAACCTTCTCTTTATGCTTAGCCAAGGGAAGGGAATATTAAAGTGAATAAGAGTAATAATAAAAAGCAAGTTGGCAGCATGGGTATAATTAAACTGAATAGCTCACACACACAAAATAAAGCTCTGAACATTGACTTCCTCTGGGACACACCCCAGTACACCCAGACCTCGCCTCAGAAAGGTATGCACAGCTTGTCATCCTGATGTAAAACAAACACCTACACTCACCCTCTCATCTACAATAGAAAGACAAATTTGGCTCTTGAGTGAAAAACTCTTCCAGCCCTTGGGAGCAAAAAACACCTATATTTTTTTTATCCTCACTATTCAGGATACCAAAAATGAAATTCCTCGAATTGATAGGACCACTGGCTCTGATGAAAGGGACCCGATGCAAGGGTATGCTATTTGCATTCGGTGTTATAAGTGCACTTTTGTCTGTGCCAGAAAGAATAACCAGCAGCATGGTAGGAACATTTTGACCCTAAAAGCTACTCTGCAGATCACCTGGTGCCCTTTCCTTCCAGAGCATTCATTAGAATGTGTAAGCTCTGAGAGAGCAAAGTCACCACAGGTGATGTTGCTATCATCTGCACTTTCTCCCCTGAGCCATTTTAAACCCCATGAAGAACCAGTCACTTAGACTAGGTTACACCCACCTTACTTTCTCAAGAGCTCTGGGCCTAAATCACCCTGGGATGAAGATTAGGAAGTATTTCCTCATTGCTCTTGATAAATTGAGCTTGTGAGAGCATGGTCTCCAGATTATTTGTAATTTGGAGACTTTGTGCTTTTATTTACCCCATTTCCTCCAAAGAGACTATTCACAGAGAGGCCTCTTCTAAGATGCCCTTACTTTTTAGGAAAACAAAATATTCACCAAAAAAGAATTATGTGTATGAAGTGTAAGATGCTTTAACCTCAAGAGCTTCTCTTGTTCTTTTTTTCCCCTTCTTGTGCCTTTTTTTTTTTGAGACAGTTTCACTCTTGTCTCCCAGGCTGGAGTGCAGTGGCATGATCAGGGCTCACTGCAACCTCTGCTTCCCAGGTTCAAGCAATTCTCCTGCCTTAGCCTCCCAAAGTGCTGGAATTACAGGCATAAGCCACTGTGCCCAGCTTCCCCTTTTTGTACTCTTGAGACTCACATATCCTCTATCTAGAGAACCAAAGAGGAAAGCCTGCACACTTCCATGGACATGAGTAATTACATCAGTGCTCCAATTGCATTGTTCCATAGCTGTTCTCAACCTGGAAAAAATACCTCTGCAGTGGAGCATGGCTTAATATAGAGTTTTCTCTCCAATCATTCAGTAAAATCATAGTCAACTGACTGGTTCTCAAAGCTGCCAGTTTCATTGAAAAGAAAGGTTTTCAGAAAAAAGCAGAACTGTAAAGGTCTTCTACTCTATTGCCCCCATTTGACAGTTGGTGGAGTTGACAAGCCTAGAGATGTTTATCTGAGATCACTAAGAGAGCTCAAGTCACACTTCTGGACTTTCGTTATAAGCTTTCTCTTTTTCTCTTGTGAGATACTTGGTAGTCACAATTTTCACACTATTTATCATGGAATTCTGAAAATATTAAGCCTAAGATAAAACAAAATTAATTGCTCATATTCTAGAAGCTTCCTTAACAACTAAGTGATTTTGAGAATTTGCATGCCTTCTTCAGGTCTATGTTTCCCTGCTAATAGGTGTGTTGGAGTAGTGATACCAAACGTGTCTTCAAGCTCCAATGATCTTTGGTGTTCTACTCAACAACTGATGCTTATCAAAACGAGTGTTGCTTCTATGAGTATGGATAACCAAGAGTTAAACAAGTGAATTCTGTACACAGGATTAATGTACATGTATTATGCACATAAAACAATCCTGAAGAGCATATTGGAGCTATTGTGTTAACATTTAGCTAATTTTATATTATAATAATTTCATTTTATAAAGCAAGAGAAATAGAACTCCTGAGAATATTTGAGTCCTAGGTTTTCACCAAGCTAGAGTATGGGCAAGTCACTTAACTTCCCTGAGCCTCAGACATTTCATCTGTGAAATGAGAGCAGATGGTAGGGTAGGGAAGGGTAGGCCAAGTACATAGATTTTTTTTTTTTTTTTTTGAGACAGGGTTTCACTCTTGTTGCCCAGGCTGCAGTGCAATGGTATGGTCTCATCTCACTGCAACCCCCGCCTCCTGGGTTCAGGTGATTCTCCTGCCTCAGCCTCCTGAGTAGCTGGGATGACAGGCGTCCGCCACCACACCTGGCTAATTTTTGTATTTATAGTAGAGACAGGGTTTCACCATGTTGGTCAGGCTGGTCTTGAACTCCTGACCTCAGGTGATCTGCCCTCCTCAGTCTCCCAAAGTGCTGGGATTACAAGCGTAAGCCACCGCACCCGGCCCAGAGATCTTGCACTACATTTTCTCTAAGAGACCTTCTAGCTTTTCCATTCAGTGAGAGAAATCTGGCATTAACTCTCTAAATGTTTGTGTCTTTGTATGTGGAAATACGCAGGTCATTTGGACACAGAAGGCAAAAGATTGGGGCAAAGAGAATTGGAGGCACTGGGTAGAAGGGTAGAAGTTCTAGGGAGTTCCCTCCTTTTTGGTGAAGTTGTCTGTTTTTTGGGGAAGGGAAACAGTATTGATGGAGGCAATAAGAAGCCAAGTGTTAATGTAAATTCTCTCTTTTTGAGACTTCTGCTTCTGAATCTGTTTCCCTTTAGAAGTAGAGTCCCTGGGCAGCTATAAGTAGCATTCTTCATATGAACACAATTATAGTTCCAGAAAGCTACATTCTTATTCATGTGTGTGAGTGTGTGTGTGTGTGTGTGTGTGTAGGTTTATAAAATCAATCTTATACATTCTTAATTTAAACCAAATTTATGTAAGTTAAATTTATTCATATTACATTAACAGTAATTTTAGCTAAATGATTTATTAATTTTTTCAGTAAAAGAAAAAATCAAAGGTAAACAAATAAGAACATACATTTAGACTTTGTGTTATGGTGTTGAAATAAGCCTTTTAATAGAAAATTGTTAAAAATACATTAAAAAGTTAGGAAAAAATTATTACCAAAAATGATTTTATCTCTTAGGAAATATCACACAGAAGCCACAACAGAAAATAAAATGTGTACTTATGTTGGGACTTCAACCACAAACATACCGATAAGCTGAGAGCTCTTGGCACAAGATTGGCATAATCATAAACTAGTTGGCTTCCAAAGCTGACAAAGTCTCACACTCTGTGGCACACTTAGACCTAGCTGAACAATACAGAAGTAAGGTCAGGAGTATACAGAGCCCACTAGAGCATCTTCATCACCAGGCCATACTGAGAATAATTTCATTAAATACCCAGGAGCACTCTTTACCACGGAAATAAGTCACCTTTCCAATACAGAAAACATTTTGTCAGGAAATGCAGTAGGTCTGCTACCTTGGCACCATTTTTTCTCCTCTCCTAGCCATAGTCACACTCCTAATGGCAACTGGCAGATTCTGGTGGGTATGACATGCAATGGAAGTCAACACCTTGTATTTTGGGACTCAACTACCACAGACTACCTGATTTACAATGTAAATAGCATGACCGTTATGTAGATAATAACAGAGAACAATTAACTACGCATAGGCATTTTAATCAACCACGAGTCAACATGTGTGGTCAAAAATAAACCTATTTGCTTAATGACCTTAAGGAAATTATTTCCCTTCTCAGGACCTCAAAGGAAATGGACCAGATCAACGGTGCTTAACACTGGCTGCACATTAAAATATCTTGGGGACCTTTGAAAACTATTGATACCCAAACCCTGCCCCATGCCACCACTATTAGAATCTCTAATGGTAGGGTCTGGGCATTGGCATTTATTGGAAGCTCCCTGGTTAATTCTGATGTACACGCCAAGACTGAGAAGCACAGGTTCCTTTTGAATACAAGCAGGGAAGAGCATCAGTGAAAGTCAAAAATTGACCTTAAGGTTAAACTGTGAAGTTGAGACTATAAATGGGAAGGCTGTTTAGAAGGGAACATGCATATGTTAGAACCACTCATTAAGGTCATGCCCCACAATCTTGCTACTGTGCAGACAGTGCCTGAAAAACCCCAAATTAAATAAAGTCTCATGGAATCAATTAACTTTTTTGAGAGAAACTGAGATTGCTGCTGTCTGTGGTAATATTCAGACTGTAACGCTTTTTTAGTTTTCCATGAGTGGAGTTGCTTAAGAATTAATACACCACCCAACAAAATAGCACCCCAAAAGTGCTATTGCCTCATTCTGGCAATGAAAGCTGTATTTTCCCTGAGGCCTTTCTTCGTAGGCTGGAGTTGCCATGGGAAGCAAAGCTTTACTGGGATGCCAGAACAAACAGGCTCTGAAACCATCCCAGCATAACTTACAGAGCTGCCTATAAATCAAAGAGAACCCTAAGGTCAAAACCACTTAAACACACACACACACACAGACACACACAGACACACACACACACACTCTCACATATATGCATACTCCCTGAGAAATATTACAAAAGGGGAGATGGGTCAAGAAAATCCAACTAAAATTGCTGCATGAAACTAATAACAGGTATTTATGTGCCCCTTTCATCCACAATTCTCCAAGGACAGAGTGTGCTAAGATTACTTGTCTTTTGAAACCTTTCCAGTGTTCTGAGGGATAAAAAAGGAGTAAGTTTGCATATGAAATCTGGCAAGTGGAAGTGGCCGTAAGGGGTCATCTACTCCATTCTTTCAAGCATAGTTATGATGAAATGCAGTCATTTCTCTCCTTCTCCTTGGCAAAGTCAATTCTGCACCATTCCAAGGTGTCATCTTCTAACCAGCCCACTGTTTTTCTCTAGAAGACTGCTTTTTTTTGTTTTTTGTTTTTTCTGCCATCTCCCAAATTCACACTTTCTAAATGATGTGAAGACCATGGACAGCTAGTGAAGAAAGAAGGTAGAAGCAAATGGGTGGGAAACAAGCTTGGAATAATTCCTGGGTCAAAATAAAGATTCTTGCGTATGATTTTATTTTGTTCTCATTATGCCTGGCTTTTTCTTGGATATTAGTCAACAGGGAGCTTAACTAGAATGTAAATGCTTAGGACTAGTGTACTTATAAAAAATCTCTTCACTTTCTTCTTAGGTCTTCCGTGACTAGACTTGTGCCTCATCTCCTTACTTGTTCTAATTCAACTTCTCTAACTCAACGATACAGTGAATGTGCAAGGCAGCTACGGTGCAGTGAAAGGAAGCTTGCTCTAGTTCTCTTAATTGAATTCCAATTTTTCTATTCATTGGCAGGGTGACCTTGGGTGAGTTATTTTACCTATTTGATCTTCAGATCGTACAAGGTTTTTATGTGGATCAAATGAGTTATGAAAGCTGTATAGTGCTGTAAATATGTAGGCTGTTTTCTCCTCTCTTCCTAATATTAACAGAATAGAGTGATAACACATTCAAAATCTTCTAAAGTACTTCCTCAAAAAACTTTTAGAGTAACTGGGGGAGTCCTTTGTGGTCAAGTACTGGTCAGGTTTGTTTTGCTCACAGTCACTAAACCATAGTTTTACAATTATTCATATAGTGCAAAGGTTTTGTACCTGCATCTTTTTCTCTAACATATATTTTTCCCAGGTTTTTGCTGGGACACTTTAGTTAAAACAAGGCTTCAAAGAAAAAGTCCTAAGCTAGTGGGAGAGGTTCAAAGGCTTCTTGCAGGGTCAATTAGCACCTATAAAATTTATCTCTGTTTTTTACTAATGGCTATTAAACTAAAGTGAGGGCTAAAGATGACTGATAACCACCACTTCCTCCAATTGTTGTTATTTAAGTGGAAAATAGCTCTTAACTCTCTGCACTTAATATTCAACGTGTGACAAGTTTAAGATTCAGCAACTATTGTAGATTTGAGGTTCTTTTTAAAACTTTTTACTGAGTTTATTAAAGTAACTCATGTCACTGTGATAAGAAACCTGCCATTGATTTTTAAAAAATGTAATGGGTACATGTTACATGTATGTATTTATTGGGTACATGTGATATTTTGATACACGCATACAATGTATAATAATGACATCAGGGTAATTGACATATCCATTATCTCAAGCATTTATAATTTCTATGTGTTGAGAACATTCCAATTCGACTCTTAGTTGTTTTAAAATATAGAATAAATGATCGTGGACCGTAGTCACCTCATTGAGCTATCAAACACTAGATCTTAGTCATTCTATCTGGCCATATTTTTGCACCCATTTACAATCCCCACTTTCCCCTCCCTGCTCACTAACCTTCCCAGCCTCTGGTAACCGTCATTTTGCCCTTTATCTCTGTGAGTTCAATTGTTTAAAATTTAGCTCCCACATGAGCGAGTACAGGCAAAATTTGTCTTTCTGTGCCTGGCTTATTCCACTTAACATAATGCCCTACATTTCCATCTGTGTTGTTGCAAATGTCCGGATTTTATATTTTATGGCTGGATAATATCCCATTGTGTTTATGTACCACATTTTCTTTATTCATTCATCTGTTGATGGACACTTGATTCCAAATCTTGGCTATTGTGAATAGTGCTGCAATAAACATGGGAGTATATCTCTTCAGTGTACTGATTTCCTTTCTTTGGGGTAAATACCTAGCAGTGGAATTGCTGGATGATACAGGAGCTTTATTTTCAGTTTTTTGAGGAGCCTCCATACTGTTCTCCACAGTGGCTGTTGAATTTCTTTTATTATTCATTCTTTCAGGTAGAAGTTTTGCTGTGTACTTGGCATCAAATACAGCTTAGGTGCCTGCCTTAACATTAAGTAGGCAAGATTTCCAGATGAAATGAGTACTGACCTCCATGTGTTCTCTGAAGAGTTCCAAAATCAAGTAGGCACATTAATATCAGAGAGTATAGAATATTGTCTATGCCGTAGTGCAAGACTGAATAAAATCTCCCCTCTGCCATTTCACAGCCTCCTGATCTTGGGCAAGTTAATTAAGCCCTCTTTACCTTTATTTCCTCACTTACAAGAGGGAGTTGATGAAAGCACCTGCCTCCAGGCATTGTAGTGAGTTAAAAAAATAATTAAAAATTGTGCAGTGGCCACTAGCATTTGGTGACCATGTGAATGAACTTTTTATTTGATAAGGTGAGTGATATTTAAAGTCAATAATTAATTTTAAAAGTCTGAACAGTGACTATGTTTAAATGATCTTTTCTTATGTGAACAACTCTCAAATTATCATGTAATTATAGGTATGTATTTCTATATTATATATATAATGATTCAACATGTGGATTTTGCTTTGGGTCTTATTTGTATTGTCTGATTATAGAATTAGCACATTCAAAGTCTGTTTTTGAAAAAAACAAACATATGAAGGAATAGAAAAAAACACTTCATCTGTACACAGTTACCCAAAAGCATCTGCTGTTTTGTTACATTCTCTTTTAAGCAAATTTTAACATCAGGAATACTACTGAAATAGAAATTAAAAATGAGTATTTTTGGTTTACATATGTATATTTGCTATATATAAAATTTCCCGCAAAGACAAGACAATTACTGGTTATTTTGCTCATTTATATTTGGCTCTTTCATGATCATTTCCACTTTCCTTTGATTCTTCAATCCCTTTAGAGCAGGATTCTCAAGTCTGACTGTACATTAGAATCACCTGGGAGTTTTAGCAAACTACTGAAGCTACCACTACTGAGGTTTCACCTCAAATCTATCACCAGAAAATTTGAGGTAGAGCTGGGCATTTGTGTTTTTTAAATTTCCCCAAGTGATTCTAATTTACAGACAAAGCTGGGACCACTCCTCAGAAAGGCTTAATTCTTCCCATGGCTCACAAAATGTTAAGTCCTTGAGTCCCTGCCTAACACATCTTAGGAGAAGCTTTTGTTGTGTACTTCACAACAACCATAGCTAAGGTGTCTGCTTTGCCATTAAAATAAGTTGGCAAGATTTCCTAATGAAATAAATACTGACCTCCAGGTGTGCCCTGAAGGGTTCCCAAAATCAGGTAGGCACATTAGTATCAGGTAGTACAGAATATTGCCTATGCCACAGCGCGTGGCTGAATAAAATCTTACCTCTATCATTTCACAGCTTCTTGATGTTGGGTAAGGTTTCCATTTCCCTTTTCTACCTCTGCTTCTGCTTCTTTCCTACAGAAGACAAATACTTTTATTTACCAAGGTGTCCTGGGAATATTTCCTGGCGAGAAATCCCTGCTCCAAAGGGGAAAGTCAACTGCATTCCATACTCACTCTTCTGGAAAGGATGAGCCACATCACAAGAAGAAGGGGAAAGTGAAGGAAAAAGATGAAGAGCAAGAAAATTTCTGAGAAGTTTAGTGTAGAATGGGCATATTTAGTGTATGATAGACAACCATCTATGGCCCCTTCGAGGTAACTTACTCTAAAAACACATCATGTTCAAGATTTCTTGAGTTGGAATTTTTGTTCGGTTAGTCAGTTTGGAGTTTTGGGAAATGTGTGTTTGGGCAGAAGCAGTCCTCAGGGTAGCCAGGCTATATTCATTCCTCTTCTTCCCCAAATCAATTTACTCCAAGTGTGATATCATGAGTTACCATTTACTGAGGGCTTCCTGTTTGCTGTTCTAGGTGAACAAACTTCAAAATAGCATGTCAGTAGGGATATATGCTCTAGGGAAAGAACACTACTTGTGTTTTCATGTCTATGCCATCATTTGCCACCCTAAAGTTCCTGCTTATGCTTCCTTTGGAAGGATCTCCTATTCGTCATCTCCTCAACACTTCCAAACAAACTTCTAGTTTCAGTGGAAATACACATTCCTCTTCTGAATGCTCATCACTATTGACCTTTTACGTCTCTTCTGGTCTACTCTCTTTTTTAACTTTAATTTGAGTTCTGATGTCTATGTCTAATAATGTTTCATGAGCTCCATTAAACTATGAACTTCATGATGTGCTTTCACAGTAATGCTCAGCACAGTGCCTCACACAGAATATGCACTCAGTAAATATTTTTGGAATTAACACATTTATTCCCAATAAACTACAGTTATCTTTCTCTTGTTCCCTTTTTCTGTCTCCCTTTAGTGAAGAATATAAGTGCGTAGATGAGGTGTACCTAGAGACATTAGCATTTACCCTGACAAAAACATTTATTATCATTCTAATTCTTATTATTTAATGTTTAACAAGTTTTTACATAGTATTTCTTGCAAGTCATAAAAGCAAAACATTTCTCTTAACTCTGGCTAAGCCATGTTGAAAGAAAAGAGGATAGATTAGGGGATAATAAGAGGAAAGCTCTTGATAATCCCTAAAATAGTTGCCTGTCACTGTTGTCTAAATGAAGAATAAATATGCAAAAACACAGCAACTTGAGGTTTCTTCTGTGAAAAATAAAGTTCCAACTTCCTCCCTTGTGGTATTTAATATTGCTGAGACATATGACACAAAATGAGAAACTTCATAGTTGGTAATCATATTTAATAATGGTTCTTAATATTATCAGAGTTCTTTACACTTATAGTTCACTTCGCACTCATGGATTGATGGCCCAGATGAGAATAAAGGACACAAGAAGTTGGTTTATCCAGAAGCTGAGCGCTATAATTGAAATAAGAAACTGGCATGGGTATGCTTGATGAAAACTCGTGGATAATGAAGTTCAAAAAATTAATTAAAGAAATGTTGAATAAGAAAGACAAGCAAGAAGAAAAAGTCACCATTAAACTATTACTCAGTGATAATTATCTTTACAATGTTGGTACATTCTTTTCCATTTTTAATACTTATATTTTCTACAAATACAATCTCTAGGCACATTTGTTTAAAATATAAGGATTTTTAGACATATACAGTTTTATGTTATGCTCTTGTAATTTCGTACCAAGTATATTTTTTTCTGTATAACCACGTATCATTTGAAAACATTATTTTTAATGGCTCTGTAGTATCAGAATATTTGGATATATTATAAAATTATTCATTTTATCTGTTGATCATTTAACTTCTCAGTTTTTTATTTTAAAAAATTCTGTCATAAATGATATTTCAATAAATATCTACATATCCATATGGCTGTGCACATCTCTGCTTACCCTCTTAATTCATAATTCTAAATATAAAATTACTCTTTTTTTTTTTTTGCAGCTTGGTAAACCTACAAAACTAAAAGAATGATAATATTCCAAGTAACCTTTAGATTGTAGTTCTTTATAAGCTCTGAGGTTGAGGGCATATGCAATGGAAAGAGCCATGGCCTGGAATTCAAGAGAACTGATTTCTAATCCAAGGTCCACCTCCAGCTCACTGCAGGCAGCAGGAATTACTGCTCTACCTCACAGGTAAATTGTGGGGATTCTCTCAGTTATTCATTTTAAGAACAATTTGATCAGAGATTTTTTAACTTTTATATGCATCAGAATCATCTGAAGGGGACTGTTAAACAGAAATTGCTCAGACCTATCCCAAGTATGCCACATTTAAGTCTGTCTGGGGTCTAAGAATGTGCCTTTCTAGCAGTTCCAAGATGTTGCTGATGCCTCTGGCCTGGTGACCACATTTTGAAAACAACTGAATCCGAGCATCTGTTTAGAGGAGGGATCAAGGTGGTGATGATGCAAGGAAAATGTCTTCATTTATTTAAAACAAAACGTGTGGGGTGTAAGAATCAAAGCAGAACATTTAACTGGAAAAGAAAAGAGGAAAGGATCACTAAATTCTCTCTGCTTGAGTCCAACCATGCCCTTTAAGAATTTTGCTGATTCTTCCCCCACAGTGCCACAACACAGAGATAAGGTGCTTTCCCTTTGATGTTCTAGGTCAAATGTGGTTTTGTACCCCATATCTTGGTTTCCTTGAAAACAGCTGAGATAAGATAGAATTGTTCAAAATTACTTTATGAACATAAATGTGAATTGAAGAGAACAAATGATAATAAGCAGAAAAGTGCCTAGCTTACATAGTATGAATATGGGAATAAATCGATTCCAATATTCTATAATAATTCTAACACTCTATTAGTTAATTATCTCCAAAATTGTAGGTCCGAGCCATTGTACACCTGGTCTCCCAAGCTGTCTTAATTTCAGCTGTATGGCCCCAGGACAACTTTATATACCTCTTGCCTGGCTCCCTTGCTTTCCAGAGCTCAGTCAGCCCTTACGGTCAGAACCATGCCTTCTTTCACCTTTCACAAGCTGTCTTCTGGTCACTGAGACTAAAGCTGTTTAAGGCCAACCCACTTGGTTTCACTTAAGGAACATACGTCTTCCTCGAGAGACTAGCAGGACTTGAAAATTGATAAAAAGTTGAACCAGCCTAAGTCCCTCAACACCCAACCTCTTTTCACCATGTATATATAGTCAAAGAAGAATAATGTTTTCATCATAGCACAATTCTAGCTTGTGTCTAATAAGAACTGTAGACCTATGGGAAAGAAAGAAATAATGGTGTTGATCTGTCACTGAATATGAAGCTGTCCACAATTAGACTAATAAATGGAAATCAGAATGCTTAGCCTCTGCTTACTGAGTGGATTTTAATTAAGTTGTTAAAATCATTTTGTGTGATCCCAAGGGATGAATCCAGGACTGATGTGTGAACACTACAGTGCAAGGATGGGAGAAATAACACTTACTGAGCACATATTGTATACTGTGATAAATTGTGGCATGTACTTTCTGAGAGATGAAGTTGTTTAAAAATAGATTCATCTGCCTTAAAAGATAATGGGTTGCCTGGTACTGGAGGCATTCAAATTCGATTTTCGTTCAATTTCTACTTTTTCCAATAATCCTTCTGGTTACTCCACTTTTCTGGATCCTGGTACACTTTTTATTTTGCTAATGCATTTTTCTGCTTCTATTCTTACCTCCTAAAATCATTGCAGTTAGAGTAATAATTTAAAAATGTGAAATGCATCAAACTATACTGAAAACACTTCAGTGACTTTTAAATACAAATCAGAGCTCTTAACATGCAGTACATGGCCTGGCTGGCGCTACCTTTCTAATTCCATTTCTTCCACTCTCCTCCATGTACCCCAGGCTCCAGACATGGAGCCTTCTTTCTGTTGTGTGGACAGGCCATGCTCAAGCTTTCCTCAGCCCATTTGCACTTTCTGGGTCTTCCGTCTGTGATAGTCTCCCCTCAGAACAACACCGGCCCCAGTTCAACATTGGGATCTCAGCAAAATGTTTCCCCCTCAGAGAAACCTATTTTAATAGCCCTTTATGAAATATAAAAGCCCTACTTGCATTCAATCACTTTAAAACCTATTTTGTCATTGTATTCTTTTCATGTCCTCCACTTATACCACCAGAATGTGTGTTCCAAGAAAAGAGAGGCCTTGTCTATTTTATTCAGAACTGCATTTCTAGCACTTAAAGTGGTGTCTGGATGGGAAAACAAGGAAGGAAGGAAGGAAGGAAGGAAGGAAGGAAGGAAGGAAGTGAAGGAAGGAAGGAAGGAAGTGAAGGAAGTGAAGGAAGGAAGGAAGGAAGTGAAGGAAGGAAGGAAGGAAGTGAAGGAAGGAAGGAAGGAAGTGAAGGAAGGAAGGAAGTGCAGGAAGGAAGGAAGGAAGTGAAGGAAGGAAG
The DNA here is from genome assembly GCF_000001405.40 of Homo sapiens. Taxonomy (NCBI): domain Eukaryota; kingdom Metazoa; phylum Chordata; class Mammalia; order Primates; family Hominidae; genus Homo; species Homo sapiens. The sequence continues at coordinate 189,501,052 of NC_000003.12, read as the reverse complement.
GAAGGGTTAAAAGGTTCTAAACTACCTATTTTAAGCAGTTTGTTAGCCAATACGTGTTTACCAAGTATTGCACAATTTCATTTTCAAGCTTTAAATGGATTTTAAAGATAAACTGACACATAACCCAATCCATGTCCTTTTTCCTACAAACAAATTGTCTTATTTAATCACTCTGTTACAGAGATGGAGAAATTGAAGGCCTGTGCAGTTGACTTGCGCAGGGTCATGTGGCAAAGCTGAGACATGTTTTTTTCCACTGCATCACCCTGGAATTTCTTAAACACTCCAACCAGACTTACACCTTTCCTCTAAAGAAAGCAAGAGAGAGTTCAGAGTCCTTATTTTTAAACCTGCATTAAATGGAAACCTTTGGAAGAGCAGGTGGTGGTAATGCTATGAATCTGGCTCAGCAAGGGAACACTGAGGTCATGATATTTTTCACATTTAGTAACTTCAAAAATATAGAGATGACGTAAACTTCCTAAGACTTGTTGCCAGCCTAGCGATACTGGTAACTCTGGGCAGGAGGGCACGTCATTGGTCATGACAGACACATGCATGGCCAATGAGCTCTCTCTAGTCAAAAGAGATGCTCTGGTAATGTTTTCAGATAGCTGTCTTGGATTCACATCCTGCTTACAGTAACACTAGCAAGGCTGCTTAAATTTCCTGTTAGATACATGACAAAAATATCCTATGATGTGAAGAAGTTGCTAAGACCAAATAGTACCTACTTCATAGAGTCGAAAGATTTAATGAGTGAAAACATTTAATATGCTTTGCACAATCTCTGGTACTTAGTAGTGCTCATTAAATGTCACTTTTTAAAATAAAATACTAGTTTAGATGAAAGTGCATTTTAATGTTCTATATTTCTGAGTTAAATTGGGCTTCTTATCTCTCTGCCTGCTCCGATCTCTGCTTACAGTAACACACTTGACAATGGAAGAATCATGTAATCATAGGTCAGACCCTAAAGGAACATTCAGAATGGTCGCCTGCTTACAAGTTAGGTGACTGAAGCAAACAGAGAAAAATGGCAACAGACTGAGAGACTTAACCCAGGGCAGTGATAGAACCAGAATTTGAACTCAGATCCTTTTATTCCAGTTCATTGCTTTCTTCCTTTACCCAGACAGCAATGTTATTGCACCTTGCATTTGGCCCATTTAACAATTTAAAAATGCTTTTTAACATTATAAAATATTTAATTGGAATACAAAGGTTAAATACATTCAAGATGTACAACATGATTTTATATATCTATATATTATGCAATAATTATGATAATCAAATTAACATATTCATTACCTGCACATGAGATCCCCAGAAGTTGTTCATTTGGTAAGTGAAAGTTTGTACCCTCTGACCAACATCCCCCCCCTCCATTTTCTCCATCCCCCAGTCTCTGACAACCACAGTTCTACTCTCTGCTTCTAGAAGTTGGCCCATTTGTAAAACTTCCTTCTACATTAAATATTCTTTGCCCCCTGAGGATAAGATAAATAACTCTATCTTTACACTAGAGGCCTCAGTAGGTTTGCATTCATTCTTCCCATCCTACTAGAAGTTCTCATAACCTCGTTATATGTATTTCATCACATTGGGAATCACAAATAGTACATCATATTTAGGAACATGTCCAGGTCTAATATCTGTGACATTATATTCATAATAATGATTTCAATCAAGATATTCTAAAATAGTTTCTAAATGTGCTTTAAAGATGTCAGTAAAATGTGAACAATAAGTAACATCCAGACGATTTTCAAATGGCCTTTAGAAAGATAGGTATCAATAATTTAGAATTATAGTCTGTGTAATATTTGGTTCCCAAGCAAAAACGATAAGTGCTGAGTCACTGGAAAGGGTAGAGGATTTTAATCTTAAAGTGTTTTAGTAACATTTGTGTTGCTACTTATAGCTTAAATTTTGGAGAATTAACATTTTCTATTCGTGTAGAATCACCCCTGGGCTAATTCTAATTTGTACCCTCATCATTTTTTGAACAAGTCCCCATGAATTTATAATCAAAATTAAGAAAACAAAATCATTTTGCCTGACTTTACTACGGCAATGTGCTTCTGTAGGTCTGTGGATGTAGACTCTCATAAATCAACTAATATTTTTACTATTGATTTGCATATGAATTTTAGGATATTTTAGCTCTATTTGATTGACCTTCAACTGGCATTTAATCATCAAATGGGAAATTAAATAGTGTATTTATCTCTGTGTTGATGAAGATAGACAAAATTCATACTCATTCCTTAGCTGTTAGTGACGTCTGCTTACATTCTTCAGGAAGGCATTTTATCAAAGAGAGTAACACTAGAGCGAAATTGGCGGAGAGTGTAAAAACCTGAGTTTGAGTCCCGGATCCAGTGCTTTGCACACTCTGATTGTTAGATAGATCACTTGCCTATTTCTGGGTTCAGTTTCTTGATCTGCAAAATAAGTATAGAATCTACTAGATTATTCCAATTTCTCCCCAAGAAGGTCTGTCAATTAGCACCAAAACATTTAGACAATAGCACAATTAAATTCCTTCTCCACTCCCTTGTGCCTGTAAATGACTTAGCTGCAGAAAATAGCCGTGTTTCTCTCGATGTAGACTTAGCTTCTTCCAACTGCAAGCAGCTGGGCAAATAGGCAGATGCATCTGTGCTACTGCAGAAGAAAATACAAGTTGTGTGTACTTCAGCCAGCAGTGTTCCATGGGGAGATAATTTAGGATTTTCCAGTGGCATATTCTAGTAGTCCCCAGACCCTGCCAACTCGCTTAATGCATTTGCACTACATTTCTTGTGGATACACTCCCTCCTTCTAGCTCAAATCCAATGCAGAGTTCAAATCTTCAACCCCTCTAAACTGGATCACTACAACAGCCTTCCCATCCATGCTTAGTTTCACTCTTCTGCAATCTGCTCTCCTCCTAGTTCCAGGTTGATCTCTCTAGAACCTAAATCTAACCATGTCCCAGACCTGCTTAAAGAGTCAAGAGCTCCTGATTAGTTTCAGAATAAATTCTTAATGATTTAGCTTTGCTTTCACATGATTCGGTACAATCTTATCTGACCTCAGCTCCCTCCACACTCCCATTTACACACCCCATACTCTACCTCAAGGAAACATGTTTCTCTAGAATAATGTTAGGCTATATTGATTGAGCCTTCTCAAGGTGCCAGATGCTTTTACATTCATTATCTTATTTAGTAAAAAAAATAGCACATCAAGATAGACATAATCTCAGTTTTCAAGAGAAGTTGAGTAACTTGCCTACAAGAGAGTCACCTGTAAGAGGGTTGAGTAGGGCACAGATATGTGTGTATGTCCCCAGGCTCTTTCTACTTGATTATGCTGCCTTTCCAGAGACACTTTACGCTTTCACTTCTTTACACATGTTGTTTCTTCATTCTGGAATGTTCTTTGATTTCTACTTGTTTGAATCCCAGCACTCATTCCTTAAGTCTGTCTAAAATGTTATATCATTTGATTTATTTTTTGTATTCTTCTAATGAAATTAATATTTTATCTTTTGTGCTCCAGTATTTTGCTTAGAGACACCCATAACATTATGAACTGTAGTAGAGATACTTGTGTATCTGTCTTAGACTCCTGTAAGAACGTAAGTTCCAGAAGGGCAAAGGCCATGCCAACCCTAAATCTGTTATTTAGTACAGTGCCTGGAATAGAGCGGATAATCATTTATTGTTGGAATAAACAAATTACATAAATAAAACATTTCTAGTTTATCTTTATTAACCTAATTTTAAAATTTGGTTATCACAGATATATAGACAATTCAATCACAAACTACTACACAGTACTAGGGTTGGCACAAAAAGAAAACTCACAAAAGAGCATAGCTCAAATGTCAAAAATAACTAATTTGCACTCAGAAATGTTATCCTAGTCGTGATAAAGCTGATTACTCCTAAAATAAACTGCAACAATTTTCCTGTAAATGACTCAAAAAATTTCAAATGATACCAAAGTTAAAAATAACCATTTTGTCTAAATTGCTCAAACATTCATTTGCTTCTAGTTTTGGAGCAACATAAACTTCCAATCCTTCTGTGTGGATAGGTGGTGATGTTTTCCTGCATGAGCTCACAGCTAAGCAGAGGGTTGAGCATGTTCCGGAATGAGTGCCACATTTTTAGTTTATAACAACAAGGATGGCTATTACAGAGATACAAGTGCACGGCCCAATTTAAGGCTTTTGTGGAAAGCATCACTGCCATCTAACATGCCAAGAAGATATCATTTGTACAGAACCTGCTAGCTATTTTAGAGAAGATGAATAAAGACAAATTAATGCCAGTAAACTGTGCTTCGCATCTCTAAAATGATATGAATGAAAGGAAAGCTTCCTTTTGGTAGTGATTGTTAAACACAGAGACTATCAGTTCCCCTCCACAACATCACTCCTCTCTCAGCGCCCCCTCCACAGCATCAGTCCTCTCTCAGCCCTTTCCACTTCTGCTTTGTGGAGACAGAAGTGCTTCTATAATGTCTCTGCCTCATATCTCTCACTTGGGAGCCAAAATAATATTTTTGCAACACAGGCTGTATGGTGTTGTAAGTTTTGACATGAATGTAAAACACTCCATCCCCTAGGATAGTAGAACAAGGCTGACAAGGTCGGCTTCACCACAGATTGGAGTCCTTCCCCATCCCACAATCCCACATTCTTCAGGGTACAATTGAGTTGTCACTTTTCTAAAGCATCCCAGGCCCAATTCAGACAAATCCCATCTCTGAATAGCTCTATCTCTTTTTGTTGTTGTTGTTTTGTATTAAGTTCTTTGCTTATAAAATTGTTAAAGCCCGAAGGGCAGAAACTATGTCTTTTTTGTTTTTGTATCCTGCAAAGCATCTAATGGAGTGCCTGATCAAGCAAGTGGTTACATTTACTGAATAAATTAATGAATGAGTGAACGAAGAACAAATTACCTTTTTTTTTTTTTTGCAACTAAATATAAGAAAGACTTGGACATAACTGCTTTTCCTCAGAGAAAAGTTTCTGACCTCAAATAATAATATCAGTAAGGAAGATTGAAGTTAGGTTGTGGCGAAATATAATGAAGCTTCAATTATTAAGAGATAAGAAATTATATCACACCAATGGGCAACCTTCATGTCTTCAAATGTGTGCTATATTCTGCTGGTTTCTGGTGTCCTATCCAAAGCTAGTCTTATAAATTCAGCTGGCTAGGCTTTCAAAGAACTGAAAAACAGAATTTGAAGTCAGATAAACTTTTTGATAGTGAAATCATAAAAAATGGTTGCTGTTCTTCAAAATGGTCATTTCTTTTCTCATCTCTCAGAGTGTTTGGGAAGCACGGCATCCTCAGGGTTACAGTAGAAAATCCAAGGTACAGAGATGAACACAATTAAGTCTATGGAGTGAGTGAGTGACTAGTGGAGAAGCAATATGAAAGCAGGGATTTGGCATTAAACTTGCATTATGATATCTTGACTAAGCCAGTCTTTCAGCTGCCTCCTCTGTAGAGCAAGAATATTCATCTGTTTTCTTTAAGCTTTGTAAGAACAATCTAAGAAGGAGGCTTTAGACCTCTCCCCAAATTCAAAATCTCTACAAGAGCTTATGACTTTGAAACCTGTCCTTGGGATTTTGAGATATATCTCTCATATATGTGAGATCTGACTTATCCAAGAAGTATTTTAATCTAGGCTAAAATATTTTGAGTCAAAATAATAACCTCCTAATTTTACAAAAGCTCCTTATACTTATTTAAACTCCATTAAATGAATTGCATATTTATGGATTCTTTATAAAAAAAAAAAGTCACTGAGTTGGAGTGAAGAAAGTGAGGCCAAAAATTAGGCCCAACTGGTATGTTCTCTCAGGACTGCTGTTAGTGGAGCTGGAAGAAGAATCCACATAGTCCAAGGCTGAAGATCAAAATTTATTGCAGTTTCAAATAACAGTGTTATCAACTCCATTTATTCATCAAATACATTTATTTATCATTTTTCCATTTCTCAATTCATTGCTATTTGGTTTTATCTTTATTGAATCCTTCTTCCTACTCTTCTCAAGTTCATTTTATTGGTGTCTTTCTAACTCATTTCCAGGCTTGGTTACTTTCTTTCTTGATTTGTAATGAAAGCATTAATAAGCTGTCTTTGAGTGTAGTCTTGGCTTTGAAGCATGAATAAATAATTATAGTCAGGCATGAATGACTGATGACATATCTATATGATGTAATATTATGCAACACTTAATATACTTTTAAATGATTTTTATCACAAGCAAAAAAAAGAAACACTTCCCAATTAGTTGTTAAGCAGAAACGAAAAGGTTTTAAACCATGTTATACCATGTTATTCTAATTTCTAAATGTATTTTTATGTATAAAATATGCTTGAAGGATACTCATCAGTGTTTATCTCCAAATTATGGCCTTATAGCCTAATTTTGTTTCCTTCCTTGTGCCTTAATATTTTCAATTTTAGAAAACATAATTTACTATTATAAGAAAAAATAATATTTTTTAAATTTTAAGAAAAAATAAAGGTTTATATTCAATTTTCTATCATTTTTCTGAAAGATTAAAGCGATTTATTAGCATGCATGGAAAATGCATGTGATATGACATGGTCTAAAACCCACTACTGGCCAGGCGCGGTGGCTCACGCCTGGAATCCCAGCACTCTGGGAGGTCGAGATGGGTGGATCACGAGGTCAAGAGATCAAGACCATCCTAGCTAACACGGTGAAACCCTGTCTCTACTAAAAATACAAAACATTAGCCGGGCGTGGTGGCGGGCGCCTCCAGTCCCAGCTACTCGGGAGGCTGAGGCAGGAGAATGGCGTGAACCCAGGAGGCGGAGCTTGCAGTGAGCCGAGACGGCGCCACTGCACTCCAGCCTGGGTGACACAGCGAGAGACTCCATCTCAAAAACAACACAACACAACACAAAACAAAACAAAACAAAAAAACCCCACTACTAAATGTGCATTATGATCTCAACTCTGCAAAAATATGAATTCACACACAAAATTATACAGAAAAAAGCAAGAATGTAAATAGAAAAAAAATAAACCACTGTGTTCCTAAATAAAGAATTGTGGATTAATTTTTTTCTTCAGTATTTTTCCAACTTTCTGCAATAAGATACAATGAATTGTATAAGAAGTAAACAAGAAATAGATACTACTAATTATAAAGACGTAGGCCCCAAGGATTGTACATGCCCACCTCGCCTCTAGGCTGGTCAAAGAGAATTCCAGCTGCCTTCCTTGTCTCTTTTCTTGCCTGTCTCCAGTTCAATCATTTATATTGCTGATAGGTTCTTAAGTCACTTTCTAATCACAGTGCTCCCGGAATCAGAACTCTTCAAAAATTTTTCACTGCCTATGAAATAGTTTGAAATTTTTGACGTGAGCAACCAGGCTCACTATTTGTATCCCCTGAATGTGTGCCTATGTTTGACATTCAGGTCAAACAACATCAAATTCAACTTGCCACTTGCAAAGACTTGAGTCCTACCGTTTTTCCCTTTGTAACGAAACCATTCTTCACTTGTCATATATCAAAATGTAATCAAAATTTCCCAGATGCTTCCTTATTGCCTCAGCTGGAATAACAACTTGCCCATATCTTTTAATGGCCCTTATATCATACTGCCTTCAATTATAATTATTCACATTATTGTTACATATGAAGTATCAAAATAAATCATTTTTAGGAGAATTCTCTACATGCATTTTGTATTTTCCCATTAGTTCTCTTCAAAGTACTGGGTCTTATCCAGCTCTATGGGCTCACAATCACCTCCATGGCGAGAGCTTGTATAGCTCAGGTGTTTAGCAAGATAGGTTTGAAAAGAATTATTCAATAAGGCTTTAAGTCATGATGCTATGATATCCTAGAAACCTAATCGTTGATTTTGTTTTTTGATTGTTGGTTGTTTTTGTTTGTCTTTATTTTTTAACTTAATTCTTTTTAAAATGTCCATAGGTTATTGGGGAACAGTGGGTGCTTGGTTACATGAATAAGTTCTTTAGTGGTGATTTGTGAGATTTTAGTGCACCCGTCACCCAAGCAGTATACACTGTACCCAATTTCTATTCTTCCATCCCTCATCTCCCTCGCACTCCCCCTCCCCAAAGTCTATTGTATCATTCTTATGCTTTTGCATCCTCATAGCTTAGCTCCCACTTATGAGTGAGAATATATGATGTTTGGTTTTTCATTCTGGAGTTAATTCACTAGAATAATGGTCTCCAATTCCATCCAGGTTGCTACGAATGCCATTATTTCTTTTATTTTTATGGCTGAATATTACTCCATGTATGTTTGTTTTTAGATGGGCATACAGCTAGAAACTTGGATATGCAGATACCAGAAGTGTATGATATTATTTTCTCTGCTTGAGAACTGAGGGGTTAATTCTATTCCATGAACCCAAACCTGATGGAAAGGGTCTCTAATTCAGAAGTATGTGTAACAACAGAGGTGAGAGTTGGCTGTGTGTGTTTGGGATACAGGGATATCTACCCAGTAAGGCAACCTGAACAAGTTGGCAGTATGAGGACAGAGGACAAAGCCAGGTGATTAAAGAGCAGAGAGAAATGAGCAGCAGGAGAATCTGGTAAGTCAGAAGTCCAATTCTCAGTAAATATCCAAGTCTATTCCAGGGGTTCCTTTTAGGTGTTCCCATGGTGTGGTGTATAGGAAAGCTGGCAGCACTTGTAGACCATGACAATGTGGTCCCTGCGCATATATTTTCCCCTTTCTTGCATACTAATACTGAGGGATGTGTTAGCTCTGTGTGAAAGATTAATGAAACAATTTTTAATACTTCAAAGTTTCCATGGTTCAATTAAAGCTGATCTGTCCCTGGGATTCAAGAACATCCTAGAAAATCTTAGAAATTTGGGGGTAGGCACAAGAAATAAATTACAAGGGCATTTGATACAGGACATCACAAACCAAAATGGAAGGGGATGGCTGAATAGCTCACTGCTTAGTCATGGTCATCTTGACCGGTCCTGCAGGCAGCATCTGATTCTGCAAGCAGAAACTGAAGGAACAGATTTATCTAAAATGCTCAAGGACACCATGGCACTTTCCTGGGCGTCCATGTTAAAGAAATAGTAAGAGATAGACTTCTCCCTATCTCTGCATCGAAGCCAGCATGAATGCAGTACAAGACGACTCCAGATTCTGAGACTCCTTGGATCCCTGGAGGCGTGAGGTGTAGCCCAATAGGTCTCCAGAGACTGCTGAAAGGAATATTTTAGCAGCTTCACCAGTAATAAGACCCCAAAACCCGCTGGAGCAGAAAAGCAAAGCAGTGACAGGCGTGATGTGATGAAGGCAAGCCAAGTTCATGAACACAAATGAGAGATATCCTTTGGAGTTTTCTTAAAATAATGGGGGAGAATGTTGAAAAAGTTGAATTTCTGTATATTAGGGTATAGCAAGAGTGAAGGATTAGAGGTGGTGTTATTAGGCAACTGTTAAGAGTTAAGTATTTGAAGCCTGAGAGCTTGCCTTTGAAGACCAGTTTCTAGCCTTGTGACAGTGGGAAAAGTATTTAACTTCATTAGGCTTTTATTATCTCCCTTGTAAAATGGAAAAGGCAATGCTTGTGTGCCTCTGTATTCACTAATTTTCTTTGACCCATAGGGAGCAACAACTTCACTTCACTTCCTTCCTTATGTCATACTCCTCTGTCCATCCTACCTCACTGGATCCTTCCTAGGTTCATCTATTAGCCAGAACCTGAGTTCACTGGGCATAGTGGCAATATCTTAAAGTCACATTTCAAGACCCTTTCCCCCATTATTGGTTCCACTTTAGGAAGCAGACAACACTGTGATTTGTTCCAGCCTCTAGTCAAGCTGAAGGCTGAGGCGGGGGTAGCACCAGGTCTGCTTCTCCTACAAAGACTTCACTCTCCTAAACTTCAGCATTCTTCTCTAATCCTATTTCATAAGAGACATTAAAAACATCAGCACTTACTTACCCATATGGCTGCTGATTCTTTGGTGAATATGCTTTTTGGCTGGGAACTCCAGAGAAGAGGAAAAATAAATGGTAGGATTTGGGTGCCAAGCCAGCCGCACCCTAAACCACACCCTGAATGCGTCATTGTGCCTTTCCATAAACTTTTCTGAGGATTAAAGAAGAGAATGCATGTAAAGTGCTAAGCACCGTCACTGGCATATAGTACTCACTCAATAAATATTAATTATTATTAATAATACACACAGATGACAAATATTTGCCATTGGCTATCTGTACTTAGTCAGGTAGTCCCCAAGTTTTGAAAAAACTGCTCTAAGGCTGAATATTTGAATATTTGATTTACTGAAACTGGAACAAAATGGGTATGTTCTAAGCTTACTGTGATTTTTTTTTTCCCTGTAGTTAAATAAGGAAGTAAGAATTTTTCTTTGAGGCATACCACTCTCACTTCTGGGCGAGTTCACTCTTTGGAATGTTCTGGCTATGCACAGGTAAGCACCTACTCTTTGACCTTTGGGGAGCCAATACTGGTGAAGAAATGTCAATGCAAAGTCCCCAGACCTGCCTTGACAGATTTTGCTTAATGAGTCATGCAAGTGGGGAGTGAAATCCACCTTCCTAAGATTTTCCCTTTCTATATTAAAAGTTTCTTTTAGGTCTCTGCTTGCAGTACTGAAGATCAGAGTTGGGGGTATCAGGCTAATCCTCAGGGAAAAGATCTGACAGGTGTGCCTCTGAAGAGCAGGCACTAACAGTGTGGGAAGGCAGGAGCCGCAGAGAGACACAGGCAGCCCTAACCCTCTCCTGATGTGATTTGCAGGTGGGCTCCAGGAAGCATTGTTGTCTAATATCCAATATTCAGTTTTCCCATTCTGGCTTTCCAATTTTCTTTTGCTATCTTCTTGTACTTGGTAAATGTTTTTGAACCTTGTGTTCAACATTTGGGGAATGGCAGAAGGGCCACGTCCATGATTAGAGGAATCCCTAAGGGGAGAGAACAAGTAGCTGATCAAAGTGGCCATGGAACCACAGAAGGTGGACCAAAAAGCAGACTTTACTCATAGTCTGGATAATCAGAACCTGTAAACATTTCCAAGAAATGTTCGGAAGTACTTCTGGAGGAGTAGATCTCCTGCAGCAATGTAGTTTGGGACATGCTTTATTATGTTTACAGGTTACAGAACAGGGTAATTTGGAAGGACAGAGAACTTGAGTAATTCTGCTCCTGGGTCTTATTTTTTCTGACCTTAAATATGTCCTCTTCACTCTGTAAGATCAGAGTTCTCCTCAGTAAAATGACAATCAATGTGCATTGCCTTTAGATACCACTTTACTCTTAATACTGTTGACTGCATTGCTTATTCAATCAGCCATTCGATCAAACACTTGTGTTTACCATGTTCAGGTACCAGAAAATACAAGAATGAGTAAGACATGGTCCTTGAACTCAATGGCCTTACATCTAAGGGAAAAGGACAAATGCACAAATAGATTATTTACATACAATGTAAATGTATACACAGGATGCTACGGAAACAAAAAGCAGAGGGGGAGTTTTGGGTTGAGGATACTAGATGTAGCTTCCCAGAGATGACACTGAAACTGATTCTCAAAGCTATGTCAGATTGTTCATTTGACTTGTGTACTCCCTCTCTTCAATTTCATAGAATAGAGTAAGTACAGAAAAGAGTTCTTTTTGCTAATTAGGGAAGAAGAGATTGCTAAGTAGTAGTAGCCATAGAAGTCACCTGTGGAGTAGGGAACCAGCATAGTGAAAGGCAACATGCTCATTTTCAGTAAGCTTGAGTTATTTTGACAGCCACTTACTTTGTCACATAGCCTTGGACAATGCAGACCACTGTGAACGTCATTTTCCTAATCAGTGAAAAGAAAATAATATCATTTCTTGCCTCCTCCAGAGGGTCATCTTGAGGAACAAATTAAGTGCTGAATATGGATGTGCTTTATAAGATATAAAGAGCTTTCTCATTAGTGGAGAATATGTTCTGAAGCATCTAGCCCTCCTTTAAAGTATGGGAAAATGGCTGGTGCAGGGAAGGACCCCTGCAGAGAAGCAGGCAGTGCTTCCCTGATTAAGCGTTCCTATCAATCTCCTGAACAAGTGGGAGATTGCAGTCCTGAGACGAGGATCCTGGAGGAGAAGATTTCCCCCCAAGCAGTTCCATAGACTTACGTGCCATGAGTGTGTATGTGGAAAACAGGATCAGCCGTGGGTGAAAGACAAGAAGGAAGGACAGTGTCAGCAAAGGTCTGAGTGTCATGCCTCAGTCACAAGGACAGCTGCCAGGGCTCAGAGGGCTGCAGAGCATAAGGACGACCGCTGGATTGAATTCGGACACATTCCTGAGGCTTTGCATCACATACCCAGGATGGTGGTCCTTGCTCATCTAAGCTCATTGCCCTACTCAGCCTCCCTGAATGTGTGCTTTCCAGGCTGTTGTATCTGCTTTCCTCCCAGAAAGGATTACTCATCTGTGCTCTCACAGCCATGCCGTCAACACCGGGGAGAGCTTCTGCTACCCTGCTGGGCCAGAGGATCTCCAGACCCATGGGTTATGAAACACAGGAACTCCACAGGCAGATTCCCTGGAAAGCGGACAGGGCTTGTGCAGCGTGTCCCTCACACCTCCAGTGTACCTAACACTTTACATCATGTTTGTACATAGAAAATCAGAAAGGCATGCGCAAGAGGGTGCTGGACCTTGAGTCATTCACCCTGAATCACCCGAAGGGAAGGGATATGAATTTATATGGTAACTACTAGTTGTTGGATGGAGTGCTAGGGTATGCTCCAAGACTCTTAAAATTTACCCTTTGTGCCATGCTTTGAGGTAGATATTTTAACACTATATTTCAGATGATGGAACAGAGACACAGAGAGGCTAGGTAACTTGTCTAGAGTCACTCAGTGATCAAGTGTTTAAACTAGAAATCCAGCCTGAATCATTGTCCCTGCAAAGCCCAAGCTCTCGGCCTCACCCTCATCTAGAAAATGATAGTGGTGGTCATGTCTCAGATCCCTTCTGTCTCCAAAGTGCTACCATCCTTTTAGCTATGTGCTCAAGGAGTAAATTATTTCATTTTTTGAAGTGTCAGGGCCATTTACATATTATTACCTGGTGTGCTCTCTTTTCTTGGTATATATTAGGTGTCTTAAAAAAAACTGTTAGATTGAATTGAATTTTCAAAGCTTCATATTTTTAGTCTTTAAAAGGATGATAATGTCCCCTGCATCAGCAGCTTCAAAGGTTGTTATGAGGCTCAAATGAAATCCGGTGTTTGGAAGCATGTTTTTTACATGTATTATTGTAGTATAATGCATGCATACTGATAGATACAACACATAACAATACTCAATTATTATAATAAAATGAACATCCAGCATCCAAATCAAGAAACAGAGTATTGCCAGAATGGGCAAAGTATTGCCAGATTCAGTTTCCTGAAGCCTCCTTGGGCCCCCTCCAGTCACTAGCCCCATAACCCAAGGATGACCAGTATCCTGACATCCAACAGCATAGGTCAATATTGCCTGTTTTTGTTCATAATTGAGTTGAATAATAAATATGCCCTTTTCTGTAGCTTCTTCTGCTCCACAGCTTGTTTGTGAGATTCATCTACATTTTTAAGTGTAATATTAGAATATTCTTTCTCATTGATGCATAATACTTCACTGTGGGACTATACCACAATTTATTTATACAGCCTATTGATGATAGAATTTTTAGTTTTTAAGATTTTTACTATTACCAGTAGTCCAGCTATAAACATTCTATGGATGCATTTTACTTGAATATATTCCTAGAAGTATACATATGTTTGACTTTTCCAAAGTAGTTGTATCAATTTAGACTGTGAAAGTTAAGAACATTTCTTCACCAAAAGCTACCACCAGGAGAATGAGGTGGCAACTCACAAGTGAGATAAAATATTACAATTAAATAATTTGACAAAGGACTTGTGTCCAAGATATGTAAAGAACTCTTGCAGCTAAATAAGAAAAAGACAGAACATCTTATAGAAAAATGGGTAAAATATTAGAATAGGCACTTCAAGAAGATAATATCTACAAGTCTAATAAACATGTGAATAGACAGTCAATGGATTTAGTCATTAATTAGATCCCACTTGTCAACTTTTGCTTTTGTTGTGATTGCTTTTGGTGTCTTATGAACACAAAGAAGGAAACAATAGACATTGAAGTCTACTTGAGGGTGGAGGGTGGGAGGAGGTAGAAGATCAGGACAGATGACTGTTGGGTACTTGGCTTAATACCTGGGTGATGACATAATATGTACAACAACCCCGTGACACATGTGTACCTATATTTGTCAAACCTGCACATATACACCCAAACCTAAAATAAAAGTTAAAAAAAAAAGAATTAAGTGCCGCATGTAAGAGAACTGTAACCATATGTGAGGCTACAATTGTAATGGGGCAGAGTGGAGGAACATATACAGACTTTGGGCATACTAGTTTCCTACGAGAGATCAACTAAGCAGGAGTAGTGTAAATAAACAAGTTTGAGCCACTTTCAAAATTGAAGTTCCCAACAAAATAGTCTGAGATAGAATTTTTTTAAGTGGAGATGTGTTTTTCAATGAGATGAAGATTTATAAAAGAAAGCCAAATGGGAAGTTTTTCTGGGAACAGCCCCTGTGGGGGAGCAAAGAAAACCTGATTGCGCAGAAGAGGGGTAAAATGCAATGTAGCCATAACAAAGGCTTCAGTCAATCTTACAGAAGGCTTGGAACTTGTTGATACTTCAGAGGTGTCCTAAATTAGTGTGAGCGGGCTAAACACTTATACCTCGACTTTGAAGTCATTTGATGAGGTCTCTTTCTTTTTTGTTGTTGTTTGTTTGTTTGTTTGTTTGTTTTTTTAAGGGTTTACATCTTTACATTCACTTTTTTAAAAAATCATTATACTTTAAGTTCTGAGGTACATGTGCAGAACGTGCAGGCTTGTTACATAGGTATACATGTGCCATGGTGGTGTGCTGCACCCGTCAACCCATCATCTACATTAGGTATTTCTCCTAATGCTATCCCTCCCCTAGTTCTCCACCCACCAACAGGCCCTCCCTGTGTCCATGTGTCTCATTGTTTAACTCCCACTTATGAGTGAGAACATGTGGTGTTTGGTTTTCTGTTCTTGTGATAGTTTGCTGAAAATGATGGTGTCCAGCTTCATCCATGTCCCTGCAAAGGACATGAACGATAGTATTCCATGGTGTATATGTGCCACATTTTCTTTATTCAGTCTATCATTGATAGGCATTTGGGTTGGTTCCAAGTCTTTGCTATTGTAAACAGTGCCGCAATAAACATATGTGTGCATGTGTCTTTATTCTAAGAAAGAGGAGGGAGGGTGGTGAGGCTGCTCTCTTTAGCCCCCAGGCAGTCCCAGGAGAGGAACTGAGCTGAGAGCAGTTAGCTGACAACACTCTTAACACCCAGGGGAATGAGTGTTCACTTCGTAAGATACTACCATGGTGTATCTTAAAAGTGGCTATACCATTGTGCATTCTCACCAGCAAAACATATAAAACAATTCCACTTATTCCAAATCTTCACCAACACCTTCTATTGTCAGTCTTTTTAACTGGAATTTCTGCATTTCATCTAACCTGTTACACTTACTGAACTAAAGTTTTTCACTATATTCTCCTCTTATACTTTTATCATCCTCCGTATTGTACTCTATTTTATCTTTATATTTATAATCTGTGACTTTTCCTTCTATTGATCAGTAGTGCTACAGGGTGATCAATTTTATTAACTCTTTTGAAGAGCTCATGCTTTCATTGGCTTTTTCCTATTGTTTGTTTTCTATGTCACTATTTTCAAATTTGTATTATTTTCTTCCAACTACTTAATTATGGTTTTATCATTATTATATTTTCAATTTCTTGTGCAAACTTAGATATTGTCTTTAGAGTTTGCTTCCTTTACAACTTAAGTGCTTTAATCTGGAAATTTTCCTGTAAGTGCATTGTGGTTAAATCCCATACATATTGTTATTCTGTGTTTTCATTTTCATGCAGTTTAAAATATTTTCTAAAATTCCATTGATTTCCTTTTGATAAATGATTTATTTATAGATGTTATTTAATTTCCAAACATTTGCAGATAGTCAAGATATCCTTTTTTGTTATTGATTTCTAATTTAGTTATATTGTAGTCAGAAAAAATACTTCATATAGTTGTTTGTTTCTTTGCTCGTTTGTTTTTTAGATGGAGTCTTGCTCTGTCACCAGGCTGGAGTGCAGTGGTATAATCTCGGCTCACTGCAACCTCCGCCTCCTGGGTTCAAGTGATTCTCCTGCCTCAGCCTCCTGAGTAGCTGGGACTATATAGGCACACGCCACCACACCCAGCTTATTTTTGTATTTTTAGTAGAGACGGGGTTTCACCACGTTGGCCAGGATGGTCTCGATCTCTTGACCTCCTGATCTTCCCGCCTCGGCCTCCCAAACTGCTGGGCTTACAGGCATGAGCCATGGCATGTGGCCTATATAGTTGTAATCCTTTTATATTTATTGAGATTTAGTTTACGGTCCAACATAACATGATGAGTGTTCCATGTGAGGTAGGGAGAAAATTTATTATATTGTTGGGAAAAGTGTTTAATGATACAAATTAGGTCAAGTAGATTTACAGTATTGTCATTCAATACGATATGCTCATGAATTTATTA
Source organism: Homo sapiens (assembly GCF_000001405.40). Classification (NCBI taxonomy): domain Eukaryota; kingdom Metazoa; phylum Chordata; class Mammalia; order Primates; family Hominidae; genus Homo; species Homo sapiens. The sequence continues at coordinate 189,484,319 of NC_000003.12, read as the reverse complement.
TTAGTCATTAATACAGGAAGTCGAAATTACCTGATGTCATTGTGGACTTGTGTAAGAAAATGAACTTTCTACTAACTACTAGTAGTACTTTCTTTTTGTATTAGTTCTATTCATTTTTGCTCCTTGTGTTGAAGCTCTGTTACTCTGTTATTGGGTGACTATATATTCAGATTTTTATATCTCTTTCATGTATTGCATTTTCACCACTTTATCTCAGTGAACATTCTCTTAACTTCAATATATTGAATATTAATATAGTCACATAAAATTTTTTATGACCTTTTTGTTGTGTATCTTGTTTTCATCCTTTTATTTTTGTAAATAATTTTTTTGACATTATAAAAGTAGTTTAAAAATGTTGCTACACACCTTTCACCTGCTTCCCCCTAACATTCACATCTTACATAACTGTGTCGCATTTGTCAAAATTTAAAAACTGTCATTGTCACATTACTATTAACTAAACTCCAGATTTTATTCAGATTTTACCAATTATTTTTTCAGAATTCAACCCAGGACATTAACTTGCATTTATTGATCATGTCCCTTTTGTCCCTTCTGGTAACTGAGACTGTCTCACGCTACGTTGCTTTTCATGATCTTGACAGTTTTAAAAGAGTATTGGTGAAATATTTTTCAAAATGTCCATCAATAGGGATTTGTCTTTTTTAAAAATGGTTATACATTTTAAAAGTTTTGGGAAGAATGCCACAGAGGTGACGTATGCTTCTGATTATATTGTATCAGAGGTAAATAATAACAACATAACTTATTATTGATGATGTTGATTTTAGTCACTTGCTTAAGTTAGTGTCTGTTAGGTGTGAAATACATAAAGTTACCATTTTTTTTATATACTTCATTATTTGAAAGCAAATTCCTAAGTCCAGCTCACACTCAAGAAGAGGGGAAATTAAGCTCCAGTTCCTGGAAAGAGAAGTATATACATAGAGTATATGGAATACCTCTGTAAAGAAGATTTGTTCCTTCTCTCCCATTTTCTGTTGATTTCGTTATTTTTACATACCAGTATGGACTCATCATATTTATTTTATATTTTCAGTAATAATCTAATGCTACATTGTCTGTTCTGTTGTTCAAATTCCTCCAGGTTTGACCATGGCGGTGGGTGGGGGGTGCTCTTTGAGGCTGGCTCCTGTGTTTCTTTGACGCGCCCCATTTTTTGTGGTTGTTGTTTGTCTGTATTAGGAGCACCTCCTCACTTCCCGGCACTACAAGATGCACCATGTTCACTTTGTGTTTACCCTTCTCAGACCCAGAATGAGCAATTCACTAAGGAGCCACTGCACCTTTTTAATGTAGATCCAAGATACAATGACTTATACCATTTTCCCATGGCCTAAAGAATTTCTTTTAATATTCCTTTCAGGGAAGATATGGTGGTGATAAATTCTCAGTTTTTGTTTGTCTGCAAAAGTCTTTATTTCTCTCTCATATTTAAAGTATAATTTTTCCATATATAGAATTCTGGCCTGGTATTTTTTCAATACTAAAAATATTATTCCACTCTCTTCTTGCTTGCATGGTTTCCAATAGCAAGTTTACTAAAATGATTATTCTTGTTCCTTTATATAGGAACTTTTTTGTTCAAGTTTCTTTCAAGATTTTCCCTGTTTTTTGGTTTGTGAAGCTTACATACAATATTTTTAGTGTGTTTATAGATGTATTTTTGTTTGTTTGTTTATTTTTCCTGTTTGGTATTCTCTGATGTTCCTGTGCTTTGGTGGACCTGTGATTAATTTAGGAAAGTTCTCAGCCATTATTACTACAAATATTTTGTTTTCTCTTATCCTTCTGGTGTTCCAGAGAATGTCTAATAATTCTTACATGTTCATTTGATCTTTCTTTTCTTTGCTTTGCTTTCTTGCTCTTTTTCCTTTTAAATTTTAGTTTGGAAAGTTTCTATTTGCCTATCTTGAAGCTCACTGATTCTTGTGAAATGTCAAGTTTTTCTGATGACCCATCAAAGGCATCCTTTATTTCTGCTGCAGTGTTTTTTATTTCCAGAAATTCCCTTTGATTCATAGTGTTTTCATTTCTCTGCTTACATTATCCATCTATTCTTGCACATTATCTGCTTTTTCCTTAGAGTCCTTAACATATTAATCAAAGCTTCTTAATGTCCTTTATGTAATAATTTTGATATATGTGTCATACTGGGGATAATTTGTTTCTTCAGACTGTATTTTTTGCCTTGCCTTTTGGCATGCTCTGAAAGCTGGATATATTTTATTGAGTGATGGAGTCTGAGATAGTTAGACCATTAGTGTGAGGGTTTGTGTTAAGCTGGCTAGAAGTTGGGCTGTGTTTAATAGTTGCTGTTCTGTAAGTTCCAGAAGATTCCAGTTTCTTTACTGTCCTCATTTTTGTCTCCCCTCCTGACTGTGAGTTTCCAACTACTCCTCTTCAAAGAGTATCTGTGTCTTGCAGTTTTTTCAGTTGTAAACCACTGTTATACTGGATGGGGCCCTGTTGACATGGAAGTAAGGTGTGTGGGAGGGGAAGGGTTCTGTAATCCTCTGATTAAATCTTAGTCTTTTAGTCAGCCGGTGTCTCAAGACTTTCACCTGCACAAATGTTACTCCACGAGTATAGCTTTTTTTCACCTTACTTCATACTCTTTTCTCTGGCTGCAACATTTCCAACCTACTGTCTCAAAGCCCTAACTCCTGTTGGATATACTTTATTATTTTTTACTCTTAGGTAAGACAAGAAGGCTGGAAGGCACTGGAGTGGAAGGAATTTATTTACCAGGGCTGGGATAAGACCCTGGAAACATCCTTTCTCCTAAATAGTGCATTTGTTATTAAGGTTCTGAATGTATTTCTCAATGATTGTTGTTATGAATTGAATTATGTCCCCCTTAAAAAGATATATTGAGTTTCTAACTAGAATTACCTATTTGGAAACAGGATCCTTGCAGATTTACTCAAGTTAAGATGAGGTAATTAAGGTGGGCCTTAGTCCCATGCCATGTGATGGAGAGGCACAAATTGGAAAGATTAGCCACAAGCTAAGGAACACCAAAGGCAGATGGCCACCACCAGAAGATAAGATGAATCAAGGAAGGATTCTCCCTTATGGGTTTCAGGAAGGAATGGTCTTGCTGACACCTTGATTTCAGACTTCCAGACTTCAGAAATATGAGAGAATAAATTTCTGTTGTTTTGAGCCACACAATTTGTGGTACTTTTTAATGATACCCTAAGACACTAACACAATTACTACACCCTAAGAAACTAATACAATTTCTACCCCAGACAGACTTATTTTTGGACCTTTACTATGAGGATCTGTTTGGCTTCCTGGATGTAAAGCCCACAAAAGTCTTTGGGTCTCCATAAGACTGCAAGACTCCGGAGTTTCTTACTTTCATGCTAGTCTACAGTCAGCCTTCGACAGTTGATTAAAATTGCTATTTAAGTGTTTCTAAAGGTTTTTGGCTCCAGGGATTTCTGTTCCAGATAAGCAGATCTCAGCTATGTCTTCATGTATGTATGTACCTACCTATCTTCCCACATATCAGGGTGGTGGTTTGTCTGTAATCTCAGTTCTCTGAAGGGCCCAAGGAAAGTCACTGATTTTCCATTTATGTAGCTTTCTCCTTTTTAAGGATAGAACGGTGACTTCCAAGCTCTTTACATGCTGGAACTAAAACAGAAAGTGGAGAAAGTTATTTAGAAATCAAGATCGGAGTGCTAGGTGGGCTGATTGAACTTCTTAAAACTTTAAAGAGTTTAAAGTTTGGTTTGACATGCAGTTAAGTTACTTATGAATCAGCTTGAACTTTTCAATAATTGTTTTAAAACCTTGTTAGGAAAATTGTAAGGAGCTTTTTTCTAGTACTACTTTAGCCTTACTACTAAGGCATGACTTTCTGCAGTCTCTAACGAATGGCCAATGTGTTCAGCAAATTCTCTGCTTTGGTCAGGTAGAAGCTGAACTTATCCTTGACCTCTGTGAGTTTTTGCAGTCATTGTTTTTCAAGCTTCATGGAGTTGCACCTACAAATGTAAAGCACAGACTTGAGGGAATCCTCCTGAATATTTCTTGAAGGATTTTCTGCCTTGTTCTAACACCTCAAGTAATCTGCTCCACAAATTGTAGATACCTCAATTTTCCAGAATTCCAATTTCTGTCTCCTTAATTCAGAAAGACTGTTCTCTGATTGGATCTTCTTTCCCTAAACCATGGTCAAGAAAGTGCCCATAGGCATAAATGTGGGGCATATTGTAGGCTCACCAAATTGTTTTCCTTTCTCTCGGGGTCATACTCCTGTGCTGTCTGAGGTTTAATATCTGAAAATATTTTCTTCATGCATTTTCTCTAGTTTATAGTTGTGTATGGTAGAAGGGCAAATATCATACTAGTTATTTCTTTGGACCTGGAAGAAAAATTCTCCAAAACAGAATTTTGAGGTAAATGTTTTCCTTGAAAATAAATCTAAACTTTCAAAATTCAATTTACTCTCACAAACACCAGGCTCAGAGGATTTCATTTTCTAGTACTGAGAAAGTTAGCTATTTGCCTATGGGGTGAAGCTCAGTGCTCTACTTAGAAGAAAGATAGTAGATGAAGGAGAAAATCTTTTAACCAAAGGTACTTTGAGAAAAAGAAGTGAGATAGCAGAAGGGGTACAATGTGAGATATCAGTGTTCTTATTTTTCCACTTAACTATTGGAATCTGAAACTTAGTGGCAATTACTAGAGGTTTTAGAAACACCCCACTGTATGGTGGAGCCTAAGAACAGAAGAGCTTCTGGGATATAACTTGTAAAGATCATGGAGGAGACAAAAGCCCCTAGAAAAACTGAAGCCTTCAGCTGAGCACCACCGTCAGTATTGTAGTGATTGGCACAGGAGCAATGACAAGGAGATGGTGTCCAACAGTGTAAACAAAAAATATCCTAAGCAACACTCCTACTTCTTTAACTTCTGTAGGAAGAATCTACCTACTTTGGGAAGGGGTTCTAGAGGTTATCAGGAAGAAATTAAATGGGAAGAGGCAATCTTCAGAGACCAGCATATTTCCTCGTCAAAAACAGACAGGACCAGTCATACTTTAATTATCACCAGTGCAAAGAGAAGCACAGGCCATTTTGCTTCACTGATCACATCAGCATGAATACATGGTATATTACATTGAGTCGTGCCGCTCTTATAGTCATTATATTACTAAAGCTACTTCTTTTTCCTTGCCATACATCCAAATGTAATTTTAGAGAGAAGCCAGAGCAGGAGTGTTTGATCAGAAATCTGAAAAACTGAGCTTAAACCTTAGTCCTTCAAGGAGAGACTTAGTTATCTTCAGAGAATCCTTAAGTTACTAAATCTGTTTAAAACTATGTCATATATAATTGAAATAATATTTTATTTTTAAAAGTAGTTAAATATAAACTACAGTAAGTGTAATTCAACTCATGATATGACAATGTGATGAGTTATGGTAACAGTGAAAACTAGATACTATGCGAACACAGAAAAAAAAATTAATTACAGCCAGTATACTTAGAAAATATCCATGAAGTCGATAGAACCTAAAATAGAATTTGAAGAATTGAAAGGAATTTCAGCTAAAGAAAAAGAGAGTGAAGACCAGGTGTGGTGGCTCACACCTGTAATCCCAACACTTTGGGAGGCTGAGGCAGGTGGATCACCTGAGGTCAGGAGTTCAAGACCAGCCTGGCCAACATGGTGAAACCCCATTGCTACTAAAAATACAAAAAATTAGCCAGGCATGGTGGCACATGCCTGTAGTCCCAGCTACTTGGGAGGCTGAGGCAGGAGAATCGCTTGAACCCGGGAGGTGGAGGTTGCAGTGAACCAAGATTGTGCTATTGCACTCCAGCCTGGTCAACAAGAGTGAAACTCCATCTCAAGAAAAAAAGAGAGTGAAGCATTTCAGGTAAATAAAACAGCCATGGACAAAGTCAAGATATCTGGAAATATTTCAGAAATAGCAAATAATTCAGTATGGCTTTCTGTATTTTGTTGTTGTTGTTTGTTTTTGTTTTTCAAAACAAAATACTTTTATGTGGTCCATTGGAGCCTGAATCTGGAAACCACTCACGGAGAATTTTATGTTTATATTACAGGTATATATTACAGGTAAGGGGACAGACAATTGATAAAATCATCTCAGTGTCAGAAGAGCTTGACCATATTTACAGGGTCAAAACTATCCACAGCTCAGAGGAAAAGGAGGCTCAAAGGAGAAAGGGGTTTGTTTCTCTAAGTGTAAAAACCCCATAACCCCTATGGGATGTGAGAGCTGTGGGCTAGCTGGCTTTCTGCACCTGGGGCCTGCAGGCCTGTGGGACTGGCTGAGGTACTCAGAAAGCTGGTCTCAGATGTCCACATGGCAGATGAGGACTCTGCCCCCGACAAGCAACTGAGATAAACACGGGACAGGTAGGTGTACAGCTACCTGGGCTTCTGGAGGGGAGGGGGAGTTGCTGCATCCTCTCTGTATCTATGGTGGTGCTAGGGATCCCTCTCTGCGGCAGGGCCAAGGTCATGGGACGGGGCTGGCCAAGGACTCTTCTGGTCACTGACTTATCTGGCAGCAGTTAAGTGGTGATGAAGACAAAGTACCTTACTAGACAACAGGCTGGGCTCAGCTCCCCAACCTGCCACCTCCTGGTTATGACTTCGATTCTGGCAAGTACTCTAGGAATTGGATAGTGTTTCTGGAGGGAGGGACAGATGGGCAAAGAACCCTCTCTTTCCCTGAGAAAGGCACCCTGAGAAAGGTCATACTGCTCAGATACCAGGGATCCGGGGTATCTGTGGGCTCTAGTTATTGTTTTTGTTTTTGTTTTGTTTTGTTTTGAGGCAGGGTCTCACTGTGTCACCCAGGCTGGAGTGCAGTGGCACAGTCACAGCTCACTGCAGCCTCGACCTTCTCAGGCTCAGGTGATCCTCCCACCTCAGCCTCTCTAGTAGCTGGGACTACAGGTGCATGCCACCACACCCGGCTAATTTTTCTATCTGTTGTAGAGACGGGGTTTCACCATGTTGGCCAGATTGGTCTTGAACTTCTGGACTCAAGTGATCTGCCCATTCCAGTAGGTTTAAAGCTTAGGACTTAGGAAAATGAACCTAGTGGAATAATCTTAAATGGCATACTAAGAATTTGAACTTTGTGTGTTTTTAATAATTTTTAAAATTATTATTCTTGTACGTGCTTTTTCCATGCCAAACATTAGTTACGTATTGCTGCATAGCAAACTACCACACATTTAGTGATTTAAAACAATAAACATTCATTATCTCCTATGTTATCTCATAGTTTCCATAGGTCATGAATCTGGTCATGGCTTATCTGGGGTTTCACGGTTTCACAAAGCCAGATTCAAGATGTTGGCTGGGCAGTGTTCTCAAGTGAAGGCATGACTAGGAAACAATTTACTTCCAAGCTCACTCAGGTAGTTGGCCAGATCTATTTCCTTGTGTTTATAGGGCTGAGTACCCCATTTTTTGTGTTGGCTAGAGGATGGAGATTGCCCATTGCTCCTAGAGGTCCCCACAGTTCATAGTATCATCGTAGCTGCTTATTTTATTAAACCTACAATAACAGTCTGTTGTGCAAGTCCACTAGAAACTTGGAGTTTTATATAATGTAATATAACCATGTCATAGATCACCTCTGCTATATTCTGTTTGTTAGAATAAAGTCACTGTTCCTGCCCAGACTCAAGGGGATGGGATTACCTAAGGGTATGAACAATGAGATCAGGGATCATGGGATTGTCTGTCGCTCATTAATCCTTACCACAAATTCTACATAGCAAGCAAGAAGTGAGACGTGTATTCAAAATGCATTCATTCATGTGTCTCATAGATGAATATTATCAATCATATAAGACACATTATAGCTTTGCATTTAACTCAGTATTCTTGATAATTTGATTAATTTATGCTAAGTTATTTCTATTTTAGTGAGATGGGTGTGTTGTCTAGCTTTTCTACAGTGTGACGCGCTGAGATAAAGCCCAGGTATTTTGTTCCACTTATAACTCTATTCAGAATACCTCTATCAGATAAATATTATCATCCCCATTTTAATGGTGAAGAAATTGAGGTGCAAAAAAGCAATTTTCTTAAGGTCATTCAACTAGTAAATGATGAAGCTAGAAGCCAAATCTAGGTCTGTGTTCTCAACCACTATGCAGACTTTATCTCTAAATCTTATCTTTTTCATTAAGGGAAATGTATGCAATTATACTCTTTAGGATAATTATTTCTGGAATGGTGTTAAAAGGTATTGAATATATGGAAGGCAAGGACTGTGAGGTCCATAAAGGAAGGAACCATGAAGATTTTGCTCACCACCAGCTCCCAGGTGCAACTTGTGGTATGTAAGTTCTCAATAGATAGATACTAAAGGAAGAAGGAAAAGAAAAAAAAGGAGAGGAGTTTTCTGTAGTAGTATGAGTTCTTTAGTAGGACCTGTTATCATAGCTCCTTTGACCAACCTTGGGAAGCAGCGTTTATCAAAATTAAAATCAAATTGCTTTGATTACCAAATAATATGCTCAACTCCTTACTTTACTCCAGAGTAGGTATTTATCATTGCCGCAAACTTCAGTCTTATCCCACCTCTGATATGTGCCCTCAGTGTCATAATCATAAAGGGGATAAAGCTGAAATATTGGTGGGAGGAAAGGAACAGTTAGTTGTATAGGTAAAGACAAATTAAATACCTTTAATAAGCACCAAAGCAAAATAAACGCAAAGAAATCCATCAAAGGAAACATCAAAATTAAATTGCTAAAAACCTAGCATAAAAAGACAAATTTTTAAGCAGCCAGAAGACAAGAGACTTTACATACAAAGCAACAAAGATAAGAATTATCACAGACTGATCTTCAGAAATAATGGAAACTAGAGAACAAAGGAATGGTATCTAAGTGCTGAGTGAAAGAAGGAAAGAAAAAAGGTCAACTTACAATTCTGTATGCACTGAAAATATATTTTTAACTTTCTTATTATTAGAATCCCTGTATCATTGGGACCAATAATGTGTGCTCAGCCGAAAGACTGAACACTTCAGTTTCCATAACAATGTGAATAGGGTTTAGCCAGTGAGATATATGTAAAGTTGTGGACAGGGAGTTCATGAAAGTTTCTATAAAGGAAGCAGGAGAGACAGCTGGGAAATCTACATAGCCCCTCCTTTTTTTTGCTTTTATTTTTTTCAGCCTGCAATGTGAATAGAAGGTGGGAATGGTAGTGACTAGCTTGGATCATGAGATGACCTCGGGGTTTTTTTTTTTTTTTTTTTTAATTATTCCCTAAATTCTACAGTATAATGACCCTAAGTTTAGAAGTAAGATGATAAGAGTCTGGATTACCACGATGGTGAGTATTACCAGCTCTGACTTCAATTCCAAGTTTAATTTTAACTTCTTTTTACATAAAAGAAAGAGAGAGTGAAATAAATTTCTATCTTGCTTAAGCCAATGTTATTTGTGGCTCATGTTATTTGTGGTTAAATTTGATTCTAACTGATTCAAGATAAGACTCAGAGATGGATTGTGTATCGTGTATAGGCTAAGGGTATCTATTTTAATATATACTTGCACATTTTTAAAACAGTGAATATTTTTAATATTTCTAAGCCAGTCAAGTATATATACATCAAAGTAGGTCAATCAAAGCATCTAGAGCAAATGCAGGTGTTTGAAACATCCATTTTTTCTGTTAGACACATGACTCGACCATGTTGTTCAGCCTCCCTTGAAGTTGGTTTGGCTGTGTGATTTCGTTCTGCCCAATGGAAAATGGGCAAAAGTATGTGTACCACTTTCAGAATACCTCATAAACTTCCAACAGATAATCCTATGCTCCCTTTTCCCCCTTTCTAACCAAAAGGAGTGGATTATGAGGACATAGAGCCTAGCAGAGATACAAGATAAAAAGAACCTAGGTTCCTGGATGACAACATAAAAAGTCACCATCCTTGAATTTTATATAATGAAGAAATAAACTTCTATTCTGTTAATCCATTGAAATGTAGGGTTGTTATTAGAATAGTTAGCCTAGCATGACTAATTCAGCTGAATTCAAACAGTAGTGTTTAAAAAGTCAAAATACCATATAACCATCAAATGCTGTACTGGAAAGTCTGAGCCCTGAAACAAATTATCTATATAATCTAGGGGAAATAACTTGATCTCTTATATCTTTACTTTCACCATTGGCAAAATGGTGAGAGTTATTGAAAAAACCCTCTTTTCAGTTTGAATGATTTGTTATGCTAGCTGGAAGCAACTACATTAGCTACTAACAGTATAAGTGGAAATGATGGCCTGAGCAAAGGGCAGCAGCCAACAGGACAGAAAAGAGGTGGTGTACAGAAAGGCCACTGCAAGGGAAGGTTGGCTTATTTTAAACTTCTCTGAAGTGACCTGTTCATGGATTCATTCTCTTTACATTCGTATTGAAAACAAAAAGTCTTCTGGCAGAGAGCTTTCATTTCTCTGGCTGTCTTTTAAAGAAATTCAGGCTATAATTAAAAATGACCATTTATAGTGGGGCTGTTCCTGTAAGTGCTGCAGGTTGCAAACACCAAGGCATCTTTTGGCATATGCATATTCAGGTATATGGTACCATGCAACCTGAAATGAATGTGCATAGACACTCATTTCCTGGTAACTATGGCAAGCCAATTTTGTTTGTTAAATATTGGCAATAGCCAGGGAATTGAAAGAATAGCCACCAAATCCAGAGTACTATCTCTTGTTTTTGATTATATCAAGCAGCCAATAATGTATCATTGCCTTCCGAAGGTGAATATTGGCTTAGAGAGACATTTTACGTAAGGTTTTGCTTGGAACAAAAGTTCCCGAGTAAGGAAAGCAGATAGAAGAGTGATTAATTTCTACGTGTCTAAAATAACAAAAGGGAGGCTTTTGACTTCAGAGGATGAAGACTGTTAGCACTAGTTTAACACAGGGTCAGGGCTAGCAAGCCCCAGGTCACTATGGCTCTGAACCCTTTCTTGATACCCTATTCTGAATTTACATCTTCTGGTTGTGTTCTATCACAACACAAACTCAATATATCTCAGAGTGAACTCCTCGTGTTTTCTATGTTAGTCAGGTTGCACACAACAAAAGAAACTCAACCCAGACTAGTGTAAGACAAAAATGAGAAATAATAGTCTTACAACTGAAAAGTTTAAGTCAGACATTAGGAGCAGATTGGCTTAGGGGAAAATATAATTAAACCTTCCTTTCTTTTAAGTTCTATGTTGGCTTCATTTTAGGCAGACTATATCTTTGTGGAAACAATAATACGTAGGAGCTCCAGGCCTACGTACTATTTCTCAGTAATGTCAACTACAAAAAAACACTTTTAAACATTCATATAATATTATATACAGTGCAATAAATTTAAAAATAAATATCAGAAACATCAGACCCCCCTATATGAACAAACTAAAAAACACATTTCAAGGTAAGTTATGGATCAAATAGTAATTTTAAAAGTATTAAAATTGAATGATAGGTTTCTGTTTTTGGTTAGAATATTGAAACTCAAAACTCTTTAACAGATAGAAGAAGCCATATAAACTACAAAATCATAGTTTTTATGATCTACCAGGAACAAAATAAAGTAAATGAAAATTCTTACTAGAATAAAAGAGAATCATTCCTATTTCCATGCCTCATAGAGTAGCAGAAAGTGAAGGATCTTGTCATAGATAAAGATAAGCATCCTTTGTAGTTTTTAAATTTATTTCTATATGTGCAGCAAAACTCAGAGTACATTATTATTATTATTATTATTTCCTTAAATGGTCAATAGTCATCTGAACAAATATAGATATAAATGATTACATAATAAAAAATGCAGATCTTTCATTTTTTAAAAGATATATATCTTTCTGATGCATTTCATTTCTTCCTGAAGGTGTGGGCTTCCATCTGGTATAGTTACCCTTTCCCTGAAAGAATTTACTTTTATCATTTTTTATAGGGCCAAAATAGTAATAACGATGTATTATATACTTAATTGCATATACTTTATTTACTCAAAAGAGGGTGTGACATTTCACATCCACTAGGAGAGCTAAAATATAAAAGACAAAAATAGTGTGGGTGAGGATGTGGAGAAATTGGAACCCTTACACTCTGCTGGTGGGAATATAAAATGACACAACTATTGAGAAAATCAATCTGGCAGTTCCTCAAAAGGTCAAACATAGAGTTACCATATGACCCAGGAATTCCACTTCTACGTATATATATTCAAGAGAAAAAAAAATATGTCTACATAAAACTTGTACCTGAATGTTCATAGTAACATTATTCATAATAGCCAAAAAGTAGAAGCAACTCAAATGCCTATTAGCTGATGAATTAATAAATAGAATATGGTATAGCTATATGATGAAATATTATTATTCACCTATGAAAAACAAAGTACAAATACATGCTAAAACATAGATGCACTTTGAAATCATTATGCTAAGTTAAATAACCCAGTTACAAAAGACCACATATTTTACAATTCCTTCTTTTTTTTTTTTTTTTTTTTCTGAGATAGAGTTTCACTCTTGTTGCCCAGGCTAGAGTGCAATGGTGCGATCTTGGCTCACTGCAACCTCTGCCTCCTGGGTTCAAGCGATTCTCCTGCCTCAGCCTCCCGAGTGGCTGGGATTACAGACATGCGCCACCATGTCTGGCTAATTTTGTATTTTTAGTAGAGATGGCATTTCTCCATGTTGGTCAGGCTAGTCTTGAACTCCCGACCTCAGGTTATCCGCCCGCCTCAACCTCCCACAGTGCTGAGATTACAGGTGTGAGCCACTGCATTACAATTCCATTTATGTAAAATGTTGGGATTAGGCAAATCTATAGAGGCTGAATGCAGTTTAATGTTTGCTTAGGGATAAGAGTGAGGGGTAAGTGGAAACTGGGGAGTGACTGCTAATGAATTTCTTTTTGGGGTAATAAAAATATTTTAAAATAGATTGTGGTAATAGTTGTACAATTCTGTGATTATATTAAAAGCCATTGCACTATTCACTTTAGGTGGGTAAATTGTATGTAATATGAATTTCAATGATACTGTTTTAGCCGGGCATGGTGGCATGTGCCTATAGTCCCAACTACTCAGGGTCTGAGGTGGGAGGATCACTAGAGCTTGGGAAGCAGAGGTTGCAGTGAGCCAAGATTGCACCACTGCACTCTGGTCTGGGCTACAGAGTAAGACCCTGTTTCAAAAAAATAAAAAAGAAAGAAAGAAAGAAAAAATAAAACTGCCATATTGAAAAACAAACAAAATACCAAAAAAAAAGCATGAAAAAATTAAGATAGAATTAAGAAAAGAGGACCAAGATAGTAGACTTAAAACACAGCTCTGTCAATAGTTACATTAAATATAAAGGATTAAATGCTTCAATTAAAAAGCAAAGATTGTCAGGTTGATTTTTAAAAGTAAGATCCAATTGCTTGCTGTTTACAAGGTTGTAAAGCTATACATTTATCCCAGATGTTTAAAAAATGCAACCCTAATAAAAGAATCCAAATGAATTTTGAAAATAAAATGTGATAAGTTGATACAAGTACATTAAAGAATTAAGATTCTTGAAAAGCTAAGTTTGATATAAAAATAAATATGAGGGCTATACCTTGTCTTTTATGTCATTTATTTAAAGATACAAGAACAGTGTGTCAACATTGGCAAATTAGCACAGTTCCGGGAAAAACTTCATTTGAAAAAGTCTGCTGGGGTAGAGATTAGGGACTTTTTCTTTGCTAAATTTGATAAAAGAGAACAAATTTAGAAGGAGAATGTAAGAACCATCTTCCTTCCTTTTTTTTTTTTACATTGAACATTTAAGTAATGTAGTGGCAGTCATGTTGCAACCATTAGACGATAAGCTAGAGGAGGAAAAGATAATATACTTAGGATAATTCAGCAGAAAGATAGCTGGGCCTAATTTTCTTGATTACATTAATGATCTGCAAAACCAATGCTAGCACCTATCTAACTCCACACTTCTTATGTGAGAAAACTAAATCTGAATTATGTAATCACTGTTTTCAAGTGTTCTTTTGATTGCCATCATAACTATTTTTATCTATTCTAATTTCTAGAGTGAGAAATTCAAATTAAACAACAGTAACTTTCAATTCTCCTACCATCTTATTGACAAGATTATAACCCAAAAAGGAGAAACAGAGGGCAAAGAGATTCTCATGCTGTGTGTGTGGGTTTGCAAATTGGCACAACTGCTTTGGAGAACAAGTTAATAACATTTAATAACACAGTCATGTATATCTTACACCACAGAACGTAACTTTTAATTACCTAAAGAAACATTCTCATTTTATACAAGGACATATGCAAAATAATGTTTATTGCAGCATTGCTCTCATGAGTGAATAACTGGAAACCTTCTGTATCTGCCAATTAAATAAATGTTCAAATAAATTGTTGTATAATCCTACAGTATGATAGTATTCAACAGTTAAAACGAATAAACTAGACCAATGTGTTAGCATGGATATATCTTGAAGACATAATTTTGAGCAAAAAGTGATATATAGGAGGATGTACCGAGAAAGATGCTATTCAGGTAAATTTTTAAAGCACACAAATATCATATATTGTTTATGGACACACACGTTGCATTGAACTGCTAGTTGTTTCCCTAAATTCATTCTACCTTTTACAGAGCAAAAAGAGTTTTAGCTAGACATGGCCACCAAGTAGACAATATATTTTCCTATCTTGACTATTTAGGACCTCAAAGACCTTTTACTAATGTTGGAATATCTATTGATATTTACCGTATTCAACATTACAATAGTGATATTAAAATATGTATTTATTTAATTTTTAAAACTATAATAAACTTTTATATTAGCATATCATTTTATCAAAAATAACTAAAAATTTATTGAAATAGTGACATTGTTTATATTTTCACAAATTTTTAAATGTCTTACTTTAAGACAAGTGAAGTCTAATATTTGTTTCTTCAATCTATAGCAATGTTATTTTTGTTGAAGGATATGAAGAAAATTTGGCCTCACACAGATGTATAGTTGGAAAAAGGAAGGGGATGCAGACAGGACCTCGAAGCTCTCACATTGTATTCACAAAACCACTGCCTTAGGAGATTGTAAAACAACAGAATCTCATGAGTCAAAGTAGATTACCCACCCTGGACTTTCTACCTCCCTATGAACTGTTATTTGAGAAAGAAATAAACTCAAATTTACTTTGAGCCATTGTGTTTTGTTAATGTTAATGTATATGTTAGAGAAGTTTAGTTAATACCCTATGTTATACACAGATACATAAGCAAAGTGTAAAATATGATCTGAAACTGTATACACACACTGCAAAGTGTAATTGAGAAAGGCACTACAATGTAATGAATGTTTGTGTCTCCCCAAAACCCCTATGTTGAAACCCTAATCCCAAGGTGATGGTACTAGGTGGAGGGGGCTTTTCAGAGGTAATTAGCTTATGAGTATGAAGCTTTCGTGAATGAGGTTAGTGTCTTTTACGAAGAGGCTGGGGAGCTAACTAGCGTTCTTTCTGCTATGTGAAGATACATGGGAAGTTTGCAGCCTGCAACCTCAAAGAGAGCCTTCACCAGAACTCGAGCATGCTGGCACCCTATTCTCAGATCCACAGCCTCCAGAAACATGAGAAATAAATTTCTACTTTTGTAAGTTACCCATGTTATGCTACTTTACTATAGTAGACCAAACTGACTAAGATAGGTACAAAGGGACTTTGAATGTATCTGTAATATTTTATTTGTTCTAAAAAGACATTTGAAGAAAATATGTTAATCAGCCTTTGTTAAATATGTATAGTGGGTGTTGTGATTATTATGTTATTTTTATGTGTTTGAAATTGTTTTATAACAAAATGAATGTATTGTTAAAGCGTCTGAATCTGTACTTACTGCCTTTGTTATTATGCTCTCAAAGAGCAGAAGGGAATGTCTCAAGTTTTTTTACAAACACTAGTTCATTGAACTTTATTAAATATGTAATTCCAAAGTTCTATATGGATTTTAAAGAAAATTAATTAAGGAAAGGAAAATGAAATACGTATGCATAAATAAATGCATAGGAAGTCTTATATACAATTATGTTTAAGTTTTATTAGGGAAGAAGCATTTTTCGCTAGGGTTGTCATATTAACATATATTTTTATGGCATTACTAATTTAATTTTATATCACTTTTTAATTTAAATATTTCAAAGTAATTAAAATTAATAGTAACAATTTACATATTATATGCATTTAAACTGGAAATTGCTTTAACATCCATTACTGTCCGTAATACCAACAATAACCCTGCTAATTAGGGAAGACAAGAATTATTAATATAATGTTACTGTGAAGCTGAGACCTAGAGAAGTTAAGCAATACACCCAAGGCCACATAGCAAGTTATTTTCTCCTTTTAGATCTCAAATCAATTTTTGAATTTAAGGAGCTTAATGCTCAAGCTCCTTCATTTGAGATTTCCTAATACTTTCTCCTCATTTTCTATGGGGCAGAGCAGGGTTGTGTGCCACTTCACACCAATCAGGGGTAAAAAGGAAAGGCACAGCATAAGCCTAAGCCTTAAAGTAATCAAGGTCTACCCCCTGAGACTGTTGAAGGTTGAGCAACCACCTTTTCTGAGCACGTTGCTATCTCAAACCAAACCCAAACCAAATTACGTTAACAGAAAGGAAATGGAAATGATTACTGAGTGGGCAATCTAACAGTCTCTTCAGCAGCAGCCATTATATGCTTCTATTTCATTGAAACCCTTCCTTTGTACTACATGGTGAAGGCAGAAAATAAGGACTCTATGTTACAGATGCTGCCCTCTAAACACATTAATGAGGAGAGAACACTCACAGTTCACTCAACTCCTTGAATGTCATTCAACTTTCTTCAGCTCCTTTGAACACACTCCAGTTTATGTGTATATTTGTAGATAATATACATTTGTATTTTATATATATATGTGGCTATATACACACACACACACACACACACACACACACACACATATAATACTTGTACAGCTAGGATTTTGGATAAAAATGTGCAACATTGGCCGGGCGCTGTGCTCACGCCTATAATCCCAGTACTTCGGGAGGCCGAGGCGGGCGGATCACGAGGTCAGGAGTTCGAGACCAGCCTAGCCAATATGGTGAAACTCCGTCTCTACTAAAAATACAAAAATTAGTTGGGCATGGTGGTGCGTGCCTGTAGTCCGAGCTACTCGGGAGGCTGAGGCAGAAGAATCGCTTGAACCCAGGAGGCAGAGGTTGCAGTGAGCCGAGATCGCACCATACACTCCAGCCTGGGCGACAAAGCGAGACTCCGTCTCAAAAAAAAAGAAAAAGAAAAAATGTGCAACATTACACTTATTTAACTCAGGTAAATTGTATCTTCTTGTCTGTAAATTATTTGAGGGCAGAAATTTAGTCTATTTTCTTCATCATATTTTTCCTGAAGCCTAAACCAGTGTTGCATGTAATATGCATCCAACATGCCTTCTAAATGTTTAAATCTTAATTCATACCATTCTTTATCATATATTAGATCTCCCTCTTGTCTCCACTGAAACTCCTCCGTCTAGAGCGGAAGTCTGCTGTTTCATAAAGTGTTAAAGCCAGTACAGAAGTTATCTATGAGTTATTTTGTGCCAGGCAGTCCTCTAGGTGTTTTATTTATATTCTATGTGTATTTTGCCTAGTAGTAACTAATCAGAATAATCATCCATAAAAGCAGGAGCAATGCCCAAGCTGGAAGTCATTAAACCAGTATATTCATTGCTTCCTCAAACTTGGAGCCAACAATCAATGAGAGAGAAGAAACAAAACAAAACACCTTACCAAAAAATCCTGCATATTTGTGACTGTCATAATGACCAGATAGCACAGAAGAGATAGAAGTATTATTGAGCATCAATCCATAAACTCTGGAACCCAATCCTTAACCTAGTGATTAGTGTCCAGAGAATTCCCTGGGCCAGACAGAGTTACCTCACACTGGACATGACACCCATGGCTGTGGAAAGTCCCCTGAAGTCACTGGAACATACACAGGAGCGTGTGTACATGGATATAAATATAAAATGCTTCACTCACCTCAGCCCCCAAATCTGACCTTATTTGTCAGTGCTACCTTGGCTAGGTCTGGAGGGGAAGGAAAGAACATTTTGACCAGCTGATGCTGTGACAGATGCTGGAGAGGCACATGTGCTCAGATGTAGAGGTAGCTGGCATGCTGTGCGTGCATCTTTACCCTTGCTGCCCTCAGAGCCCCACTGACAGATGAAAGATACTGCCTCCTATGTCCTTTCTCCAGGAAGTTCAATGCTTCCTATTATTTGTTTGTTTTTCTCTAGCATAATTGTTCCTTGTGATAATAACATGATCTCAATAACATGATAAATGAAACCTAGGAAAAAAATTCATGTTCTCTACCACCTGGTATAACCATTTTGGAACTTCAAAAATATCCCTTGTAGTATTTTCCCTATGCTTTAAAAAATCTAACTGTGTTTTATCTGTAGCCTTTGTTCTGGATACAAAACAACAATACTGACAAGTGCCTATGCTATATCTAGGGTGATCATGTAGTGTTTGCAATAATATAGGACAATTTTATCAGTAAAAGGGGAGCTAAAAATAATTATAAATGTTTTTGAAATGTTTATATAATTACCATAAATTAGCTATATTGTATTGACGTGCCTAAAAATAGAGCTTTCAATGATTAGTGATGTTCAGAATTTTTTCATATACCTGTTGCTCATTTGTATGTCTTCTTTTGAGAAATGTCTATTCAGGTTGTTTGTCCATTTTTTAATTGCTTTCTTTTTGCTATTGAGTTCTTTATATATTTTGGATGTAAATATATTTTCAAAACTAAAAGTCATTCTAAAATTTAAAGTAGCATATATATATATATATAAAAACACATACATATGTGGGGAAAAGAACTTTATATTAATTATCTGAAGTGAATCACTTAACTGAATGACTATTTGAATATGTTCACAAACTTTACTAATTTTGTTAGTTTCATCTATTTTTAATACCATAGCACTGGAATGCCATTCTTTTTTGAAGAATGTATTTTTTTCTGTGATCTTATCATTTTAATTTTTTCAACTGTCTGAAATATTTCTTCAAAGTTGCATTCTACAATTAATTTGAAATATCTGAAATTTTCCATTTAATTGTCATTATAGACATTATTGAGAAAATACTCTATAGCAGCTGAAAAATGTGATAAGCTCAGTGAAAAATTCGCTAACTCGGGGATATTCTCTATTCTATTTCCTATAAAATATATAGTTATTTCAGCCCACATAACTTCACAGATACTGTATTTTGCCTCTATTTAAAATACTTTTCTTCAACAAATATTTTTAAAAATAAAAACCCATCAAATAACTTGTCCCTTTTTAAAATTCATTTACAAGTTTCACCAAATTTACATACTACAAAATAAAAAGTGTTATCTATTTCATTCTAAAATGGAATGCACATTTATCTAATGTAAGTAGGCCTATTTCCACAAGTTTATATATTCCAAAGCACAACTAAATAATTTTAATATTTAATCTTTTACACAGATTAACTTTCACCATTTAATTTGTTTTGTTCTCTTGCTTTTATAAAGGTGCATTTCAACATCTTTTTATTTGTATGCTTTATTTAAAAAAATACTTGTCTAAAAGTTTCTTTTTAAATTTTATTTCATTCATTGATAGATAAAATTATATGTATTTACTGTGTACAACATAATATTTTGAAGTACACATATGTTGTGGAATGACTAAATCTGGCACATAGTTATTTCGTGGTGAGAAAACTTGACATCTATTCTTCTCAGCATTTTACAAGAATACAATATCTCATTAACTACAGTCACCATGCTGTAAAATAGTTCTCTTGAACTTATTTCTTCTGTCTAAATGAAGTTTTGCATCTTTTAATCAACATCTCCCTAACCATCTCAGCTCCTGGTAACCAACATGCTACTTTCTACTTCAATAGAATTTTCTCATTGTGGTGTTAATTTGCATCCCCGTTACTGATGTTGGTAATTTTTTTCATATACCTGTTGCCCATTAGTATATCTTCCTTTAAGAAATGTCTATTCAGTTTCTTTGCCAATTTTCAACTGAGTTGTTTTCTTGCTGTTGAATTTTTTATGTATTTTGGATGTAAATTTCTTAACAACTATACAGTTTGCAAATATTCTCCCCCATTCTATAGGCTGTCTCTTCCCTCTATTGATTGTTTCTTTTCTCCAGGGGCTCCTTAGTTTGATGTTATCCCATTTGTCTATTTTTTTGCTTTTATTGCCTGTGATTTTGGGGGCATATCCAAAAAGTCATTGCTGAGACCTATGTCAAGGAGTTTTTTTCACACTTCTAGTAGCGTCATAATTTTGAGTCTATATTTAAGACTGCAATCTAGTTTGAGTTGATTTTTCAGTATGGTGAGAGATATGGGTCTAATTTAACTCTTTTACATATGGATATCCAGTTTTCCTAGCACTACTTATTGAAGAAACTGTACTTTCCTCATTGTTTGTTCTTGGCCCCTTTAACAAAAATCACCTGGCTGCATTTCTTAATGGACTCTCTATTCTTTTCCATTGCTCTATGTGTTCATTTTTATGCCAATATCATGCTGTTTTGGCTACTATAGTTTTGCTGTATATTTTTAAGTCAGATAGTGTAATGACTTGAGCTTTGCTCTTTTTGCTCAGTAATGCCTTTACTATTTAGGCCCTTTTGTGGTTTTGTATATATTTTAGGATTTTTCTTTTAATTTCTGTGAAGACCATCACTGATATTTTAATACTGATTGCATTGAATCTGTAGATCACTTTGGGTAGTAAGAACATTTTAATAATATTAATTCTTCTGATCCATGAGTATGGGCTACTTTCCATTTTTTCTGTGTGTCTTCAATTTCTTTTATCAGTAGCTTAGTTTTTAGTTTAGAGATTGCTTACTACTTTGGGTAAATATATTCCCAGGTATTTTTGTAGCTATTAATATGGTATTGCTTTCTTGATACACATTTTGAATTTTTGATGTGAATTTAAATCATATTGTGTATTTTAAACAAATTATTTTAGCCATTATTTCTAATATCTTTGTCTTTTAACCTTTATATTGAAGATATAAGTTATTTACTCAACACCATTCAAGTATTAGAGCATTCTGCTTTTGCCTGCGTACTTAATTTTTCCAGGTAGTTTTACACTTTCAGATGTTTCAGTTTTACTCAGTAGTGTCTTTTTCTTTGATTCTGAAGAACTCTCTTTAGCATTTCTTTTATAAGAGGTCTGGTGGTTACGAATTATCTTGTTTTTTAATTGTCTAGTAAAATCTTTATCTCTTCTTCATTTCTAAAAGACAGCTTTTGCTGTCTTTTTGGTTGTCAGTGTTCTTGGTTGTTAGTTTTCTTCCTTCAGCACTTTGAATATGACATCCCATGCTCTCCTGGCCTGTAAGGTTTATGCTGAGAAGTCTGCTGCTAGCTGTAGTAGAATTCTATTACATGTTATTTGCTTCTTTTCTCTTGCTGTTTCCAGGATCCTTTCTTTGTCTTTGTTCTTTGACTCTTTAATTACAATATGCCTCGGGGTAGTTTTCTTCACATTGAATCTGATTGGAGACCTTAGACCTTCCTATATCTGGATATTTACATACTTTTTTCAGGTTTGGAAAGTTTGCTGTTACAATTTCTTTAAATAAGCTTTATATCCCTTTATCTTCTCTTCTCCTTAACTCCTATGATTAAAAAATTTCTTTTTTGATAATGTTTCATAAATTACGTAAGCTTTCTTTTTTTAATTCTTTTTTCTCCTCTGATTATATATTTTCAAATAACTTGACTTCAAGCTCACAGATTCCTTCTTCTGCTCAGTCAGTTCTACTATTGATATATTTTTAATTTTGTTTATTGTAGTTTTTAGCTGTAGGATTTCATCTTACTATTACTATAATTATTATTTCAATATTTTTATTAAATTCTAATTCTGGTTATGTATAGTTTTTCTCATTTCATTGAGTTGTTTCTCTATATTTTCCTGAAGTGAGCTGAGTTTCTTAAAATGTTTATCTTGAATTCTTTGTCAGGCATTTAATATATCTTTATTTCCTTAGGATTAGTTACTGGCACCTTATTTTGTCCATTTGGTGATATTATGTTTTTCTGATTATTCTTGATCCTTGTGGTTGTATATCAGTGTTTGCACATTTGAATAAATAGGTAATTATTACTGTCTTCACAGACTGGCTTTGTCTTGGAAAATCCTGTGGCTGGCATGGTGACGGGGCCCACCAGAAACACAGGGCAATTGTGGCTGGTGCAGTGCTGTCAAAATCCTGGAGCCTGCTGTGGCAGGTAAGGCACTGGAGCAGGATAGAAGCTGAGACAGATGTGCAGCCTGTGTGGCCCGGGGGCACACAAGAAATCTGGGGCAGCTGCAGCTGGGGTGGCACTGCCAGAAGCCTGGGGCCCACTATGGTAGGCACAGAGCTGGGACAGACTAGAAGCCTGGGTCCACTGATATTGGCAAAGTGGTAGTGTGGACCAAATACTGAGTTCACCAAGCAAGCCTTAAGCATGGGGCTGTGTGGTCCCATCTAGCACTGGGGCAGGCCTAAAGGCCCAGTCTATAGGTACCAGCCTGGAATAAGACCAGGAAGATCTGCCTAGTGCTGGGTGGGCCCAGTTTTTGGGTCCAATGCAAAGTTCTCTGCTCACTTTCTTCTCTTTCCTTCAAATTGACAGTATCTCTCTCCATGTTGTGCTGCCTGGGTTTGGAGGTAATGCAGGTGATGTAAACTTGTTTTCCTACCATCTTCAATGAGTCTTTTCTAATTATTGTGCTACAACCAAATACTATAAACTCTCACCTGGTTTCCTCAGCTCTTACAAAGGTATTTTCATGCATGAATTATTGTTCAAATTGATGTTCCTACAAGGGGACAACTGTTGGAGAGTCCTACTCTGCCATCTTGCTCTATATACCGTCTCTAAAATTCTCAGTGCTGAAGTTTTCTTCACTTCATTCACTGAACACATAGATTAAAAATTTTCAACTAATTTTGAATTAAATACAAGCACAATGTATAGGACTCATTTATGAAAGTTTAATGCCATTGTAGGACACTTACTTAAAGGACACTTTAGGTTTACTTAAAGAATAGTCTCAAAATTCAGAATATTTTAAAAGTCAATGAGTGACAAGCAGAGCAAAGATAAAAAGCTCATATTTCCATGCTACTGTATTTTTTATACTTAATGTCAGCATCTTCACAAAATTTTCTGTGAAAAAAAAGATACCTCTGTTTAAACATCATTAGACAAGTGAGCTATGTATGCCTTTTTTTCCATTGTAAGCAAGAGTATAATAAATGCATTTGTATCACCTCTGACACATCTATCTTCACAGGCCATCTGATCTCATTGTTTCTGCACACTCTTGGAAACAGCACGAGGTTAAAGGCTGGAGTCTTTAGTGCTTTGTGTTCCAGGATGCCAAGAATATGAGTGCAGGCCATCATCCTAATTGTCTTTGATGCTTAGTTGGGTATCTCTAAAGTGATCTTTACATCTCTTTGCAAGCAACAATATAGTTTGTCACCAATATGGAGAAGAGAAGCATGGTATCTGATCTTGGTTTCTCCTCTTCCTCTCGTAATCACTGGGACTGGCAGAAATGGGCTTTCTCCTCTCTCTCTTTCTATATGATCATTATTTGCCTTAAACAAAATGTTATGACCAAGTCATTCAGGCTTTCAAGTTAAAGGAGGAGATTAGGGATTTTAGACAGGCTTTCAAGTTAAAGGAGGAGATTAGGGATTTTAGAAGACATTTCTCTCTCTTAATGAGCCTTGCTTTAAATTTAATTATCTTCCTGTGCACATAAAATTCCTATTTTGTTTGCCAAAAACTGAGTACTATCTTTTTCACTCTGCCTTCATGTTATTACAATTCTATTTTCCCTCTGAACTTCCCTGCCCTGCATCCTCAGAAAGAGTAGATAGATGCTTCAGGCTGACTTGGATGAAAATCAGATACATGGAAACACAAAAGAGACAAGCATATTTATATATTTCCAAAATTATTACCCCACCTTACTATACATTACTAAAGAAATAATTAGTGGTTCAGAAGTGTGCATGTACAAACACTGTCATCTGATAATATTGACAAATTAAATTACAAAAGAATTTTCTATTGCTACAAATTATATATGAGAGCTCCAGCTTCACTGAATCCTTGTAAGGATTATCATTTTGAAAATGTTTACTAACTTCCCAATCAAAGGATAATCAAGGAATAACATTTAGATTTTCTTCATTTTATTTTTTCTCCTAACCTTTCTAATTCTGCAAGAGAGTAAGCTTGTACTCATAAGAAATACAATATAAGAATCTGATGTAGGGATGTAACATCACAAGGTATCAAGCACAGTCAGTACTGTCAACTTATTATTATTGAGATCAACAGTTTTCCAATTTCACTTTTATTTCAAAGCAGGATTTGGTTGTTGGGACTACTACCCTAGTTATTTAGTAATGCAATTATTTTTGAGATTGGCTTAGCTTTTTCAGATTTCCAAAATAGTTGCTGTTTTACATATATGATTTTAATTTTCCATGAATGCTATAAAATGTTATTAATTCCATTTTACAGCCAAAGTGAGACCCAGAGGTGCTAAGTGATTTGCTTGAAGTGTTTGGAAAGTACAGAGCAGTGTAGTAGAAGGTCAGTCTGCATTGGAATTCCGAGTCTACTACTGACTGGTTTTGTGATTTCAGTGAATTTCTTAACCTCCTCAAGCTGCTTCCTTATCTGCCCATCGAAATTTGCAAAGTTCACTTCAGGGTTGTAATAGGAAACAAATATAAGGAAATTTTCATTCAGACCTAAAAGGTAACAGCAAATAAATGAATGATTATTCTCATTGAATAACAGTGCTGTGTTCTT
This sequence comes from Homo sapiens, assembly GCF_000001405.40. NCBI lineage: Eukaryota > Metazoa > Chordata > Mammalia > Primates > Hominidae > Homo > Homo sapiens. The sequence goes on along the minus strand of NC_000003.12, from coordinate 189,459,280 downwards.
TCTCTTCTATTCCACTGTTTAATTTTCTTTTGAATATATCTTTTTAAATATAGAACAACCACTTACTATTTTACATATTATTGTGTCAAGGATGAGCAGAGATAAAGAGAAATTGAACCAAAAGGAATTTTACATGTGAATTTACCTTACAAAATGAAAGAATCATAAAATGCAAGAACTGCATTAACAGTACATATTTATGACCTACAGAAAAACAGGTGTGCAAGAGAAAAGGAATGGCACAGAGCTTCACAGACAGTAAATTACAGATCCGTATTTCTCTTAGAGTCCTGGACTCTGCAATCAGATCCAGGATTTTTAACAAAATGTGCATTTTATCCTTCTCAAATTGGGCAAGAAGAACCATAGATTTTACCAACGAGAAATGAGGAGCCCTGCCAAAATCCCAGCCGACCCTGCACACTTACTGGGAACGTACTGAGTGCCAGGGCTTGTGCCAAGTGCTCTGGGGGATAGAGTTGAGTAAGTCATGGTCATCGCTCATTCATTTAGTGGAAAAAGCAGGCACACACACAAGTAACTTGATTCCAAGGCAGACCGCGATAAGTGTTATCTTAGATCACTGGAGGAGACAGGTCACACGACTGGAATAGCATGAAGTCAGGCCTGAGGCTGAGGGCATGCTGTTATTTAGGAACCCTATCAGGTTCATCTCACAGCTTGGCAGTGGTCCAAAAACCCTGTAGTTTCTTGTCCTGGGTGTGCTGGGTCATAGGATGCTTCCATCCACCTATCCTCGAATCTACTGTGAAGGCTGCTGGAGTCTGAGAATGTGTAAAGACAGATGAGACAGAGAGATTTGTTTCCCTTCTTAACATACATTATACAATTTTTAAAATACATTGACCTAGAATGACTAGTACTATAGAAAAACGGCCTGCCAAAGATTCCCTCTTTTCTTTCCTTGCATGTCATGGAATGTCCACAGTTTTTTATCCATTCAGGAAGTGAACAGAACCAAAAATGCTATATTTGTTTATTTTTCCAGGATAATTCTTATCAAATTCAGCTTTGCCCAAGCTGTTTGCTTGTCTGAAGCCCAACAAGAACTGTGAGGTGCTAGAGAACACAGTCCTTCTGATCCAGCTCTGTCTCAGAAACTTTACAAAATTAAATACTCAATCAACTTCAGTTGTATTATTTTTAACCTTCTGCTATTTTTAAGTAGTTTCCCATTTTCCAACTTGCTGGTAACTTTCCCAAAATGCCCTCAAACTTAGAGCTAAAAGTAAAACCGAAGAAATGAGACATATCTTGACTAATATTATATCATGTTAAATTGATTGCAAAAAAGTAGGGTGAAGCGAGGAATTCACTTAAATGAAAAAGGAAAGAACACTTGACTGGAAGCCCAGCAGTCTGGGCTTTGCTCCGGGCTCCGTATAACATCTGGGCGAGCTGTTTCCCTCCCTGAGTCCCAAGGTCCCCAACCGTCTAGCAGGAGGGTTGAATAGATTTATTGTCAAGACTTCGTTTTCAGTGACCTGTCATCTACATTATGGTTATTCTTTATACTATCTACAACAATAATAATAATGGTATAATAATTTATAACTTACAAAGCATCGGTAGTTGCATCACTCTCTAGTAAATATGTATGAAACTATGCTTTCAGCACTACAATTTTATAATTAGAACCTGATTACATTTAAGAGGGGGCAAAGTGAAGTTGAGGGGGCCCCCACTCCAGGCCCTCTCTGCGGTGGAGTTGACCTCTGGGACTTACTATGGCCTAGATCAGATTCCTGTGGTCACACTCAGATCCAAACCAACTGTTGGAGCTTTGTAACGGACTACTCACTAGTGCTAATGAATCCAAGAAACCCACGAATTTGTGCTTCTATATTTGCAGGCCAGGTCTACCAACCAGAGAGTCAGGAAGGCTTTAGGCAGACAAGCCCTTCCTCTTTACTCACTCTTCACTGCCTACCTCTAATGCACACGTAACAGCTTCAGTAACCACCTAACGGTGATGATCACCAACTTAGGAATTTTTAACCAGAACTGGGATTTCCGTTTGTAGCTTCCTTTTCTAACCAGCTAATCAACATCCCCGCTGTGTTCTGGAAGATCAGTTTGACCCACACCAATGAAATCACTTTCCATCATAAAATACTTCCTCCATACCTCCCTGGCTTTCCCAACTCTGCCAACATTTGCCTTGTTAACTTGGCTCAAAAATTCCAGCTCATCTCTGATTTCTTTTCTTGGACTCCCCTTGTTAATCAATGGCCAAGTCCAGCAGCATTTCTGTTCACAATACCCACCCCTATAATGCTTAGGCCTCATCATCACTAACTTGGACAAATACCGTAACTTTTTAAAGTGTGCTCCCTGGTCTATTTCACCGTGCACATGCTCCTTTCTAATCATGCCACACCTCTAATCAGAAACACCTAAAGGATCTCTAGTATTTACCATGTAGTCCATTTTTAAAATGCTGGTGTTCAAGGCTTTCTATAGTTTGACACAATCAGCCATTTAAACTGAATGTCCCGCCATTAAGTGAAACTGCACATTATTATCCAAAAATGGTCCCCACCCATGCAGATACCTTTGTAACACTGCTAACTTGAGTAGTGTGTCCTGCCCTATTTCTCCACACCTTTCTTATTAAAACATGATTCCATTCTCCAAGGTGCAGCTTAAATGACCTCTTTTTTATTACACGTCTCTTAGGCCAGAAGTATGTTCCTTGTCTTCTGAACCCCATAACCCTTTTGCCTTTTGCCTTCTAAGGAAGGGCACGGATCGTATCCTATCTCAACATTTGGTCAGTTGTATACCTATTTGTTATTGCTCCTCTGCTAGGCTCTCAGTAAAAATAATGCAAGGTCTGAACTTTGCCCATCAGTATGCTCCATGGTGGATGAGACTGCATTGAGTGGGACGAGCAGAACTCCAAGGGTGGTTTTCAGTAAAGCTGAAAGAAACTGGACAGAAGATCAGCAGCCAAATAGCTTTGCCAAGCCAGTTTCTGAGGCTCTCGTGTACACGTGGAAGCACAGTTTCAGTGTTGTATTTGCTCTCCCAGGCTGCAAGTCATTACGCATCACTGGGGAACACAAGACAGCAAATAGCTCAGTAGAGTTTAGATTCAGTGGGGGTCCAGTGGGGGATTGAAAAGAAAAGGAGCGAGGAAGAGAAGAAATAAACTAAGAGTTTCGTTGTCTTTTATCTATGATTTATCCTATGATTTCAGCTGGGAGGATGACAGTTATAACATAGCTACCCTTCACTGACTTTCACAGAATGACTGTTTTTATGATAATCAGAAAATTCCAGAACTGGGTGGAGGTTTAAGAAAAATACAATTCAGAGCAAGGAACTAACTTATTCCAAGCTATAAATTTCAGTCAGCCACTGAACCCAGATTGAGACTATTTATCCTGATATCTAGTGTATCTACTATTATTCTTCTAGCCATCTTTTTACTGACTTAACTTCTCAAGAATTCAGAATGTCAACATGTCTATGTTTAAGTATTATTAATTTTGGCACAATGGGTGACAGATTGGATCTCCAAAGCTCACTCCAGGGTCTCCCTTTACCAGTGTGAAATCACTTAAGACTTTGCTGTTTGTATGACTGTCACCCAGGCAGGAACTCTAAGATCCTGAAGAAAGTAGTCCCTTTGACTCACCTGTTTTTCTCATAGCACCTTCAAGGTGATTTACCTTATTAAATATTCAATCAGTGAATTGAATTGATAAAAACCTCTACTGTCCCACAGCTCTTCCCTATGTTCTAGCTCTTACTATAGTCACAAAAGTGTTTCTAAATTGACCTTACCAGATAAAAGTCCTCCTGCCAAAGAATTAATTTGCCCTATGTACACCTAGCAGTCGTTTAACCCCATAGCACAATAATCTGGCTCCTCAACCCCCAAACCCAGGCTTTTGGACACAAAGTGAGTACACTGTGCGCAGCCAGCCCTCAGCACCGGGACAATGTGTGCCCTGTGCCAGACCTGGCCCTCCACCCAGGCAGCTGCACCCTGAGCATGAGGACCAGGGGCATGGCCACCTGGCGCTTATCCTCTCGTTCCACCTGACAGGAAGATGGTTTAAGCTTTCTCTTGCACAATGCACTGGAGGTGGAGGAGAGAGAAGAGAGACAAAAAGAACTGGTCAGGTTGATTTCATCTGCCTTAGCAGCAGTTCCTCAGTATTTCTTTGAGAAAAAATGTTTGGCAACTTAAGCACAGCATGCTCAGGCAGATTCCATTTAACAGGACATCTGAGCGGTCTTCGGTCTCCTCCTTCCCTCTTTTCACCTCTCCTCTTTCTCCTGCCCCTAGGAAAGATTTTCTTTAATCAAATGTTAACAGAGAAGGCTTATGGATTTAATTTCAATAAACATGTACTTTTCTTTAATACTGAGTTCTCAACAGCAGATCTTCAGAAATAAGTATGCAGTGTATCATTACCCATTAAAAAAAAGTTTGTGGTCTCTTTTCTTTCCCTAGACAAAAAAAAAAAAAAATGCTTATTGTAGGAATTTCCCTAGACACAAAAAAAATGCTTATTGTAGGAAAATGCTTATGGTAGGAATATATATATATAAAACATATATAATATATATAATTATATATTATATATACATATATAAACATACCTATATTTAATGGATCATTTGATATAAGCAATTTATAAGTGTTAAAATATATATGAAAACTTTTTTCATATTAGCAAACATAATATAATTATTTGGTCACATAATACGCATTATATTGCTGTAACAAAATTTATTCAGTTCTATGCTTTTGGACATTTTGGGTTCATTTCTAGGTTACTATATACAACACGGTATATAGATCTTGTAAAAAATCTTCTGTTGTACATATCCAAACAGAAGAAAATGAGTATTCAACAGAAGAAAGTTATCTTTCCACTTCATGAGATATGACACTGAATTTGGACTCTCAAACTTTGCCAATAGATCAAAGATTGAACTATAGGATGTTTAAGAAGCTTATGAAGAATGAGAGAGAAAAAGTAAAGAACTGAAACTACAATTGCCAATTCTTCCTGCTCATTACAGCCCACAGTTTACTGTTGCCAAAATTCCTGCTTATTAGACAATCTGCCCTCAGACTCTCTCAGACTTTAATTGAGCCATAGTTTATTTAATTTACTCATCTCTTTAATTATAACTCTAAAGCACTCAGAAACCCATGTGGATCAGGACATGAGCCATGTCAAATTCACCAGCATAGTTCAACAGGCAGAAGTAGTGAAATAACTTTGATTCTTTACTATTATCCACATACAGACTTTGAAAAGGGTCCAAATAATCAACCCATAGCAAGAGTTACAAAACGTTAGCTACTTTCCTTAATTTTATAACAACTCTAATACCACTGTCTTAGGCTCTTTATTATGTAGATAAAGTGAGTCTCTTCTCAGCAAAAAAGGATCTTTCCTCATTACAAGAGCATAAAACGGGAAAGAGAGCAGAGGATTCTGTTTCGTGAACTAAGGTGAGGAACTTAATGTTAATAATTTTTGTGCTGTCACATTGAGGAATATTAAAGGAATAGTTATGCAAATATAGACAAAGAGGAGAACAATAAGTATTCAATAACAATAACAATAACTATTCCTCAAATATTTACTGAAACTGGACGAGCCAGTAACTGTACTGCTTCCCATAAGGAATCTAAGTTAAAGATGAAAATCTCTACTATTGAGGTTACAGGCTAGTTGAAGAGGCAAGTCAATGGTAAACTATTTGACAAGAGCACTGGTTTTCCATCACAAGGAGACAAATATTGTTGGATACTGGTCCCTTGTCTCTCTTAGTTACAAGGTCGAGGGTACAGTATCAGATCAGATCTTTAATGTCATTCATCAATGTATTCAAAAAATATGGACAAGAAAAGCCCTGAGGGGGATGCAAACACATTTGAAACCTCAGCCTAACCTCCAGAAATTTATGGTTTAGTTAGACAAATGATAGACTCATAAGAAATGGTGATTAAGCGGGTATTAAATGAATTATATAAGCAACAAGTATCAACATATTTTAAAATACAAACAGAACACTTCTTGTAGGGTTGGTCAGAAAGTGTTTCAAGAAGAAAAATAGGAGGAAACTGGACTTTGAAGGATTTTTTTGTTTCTTGTAGTCCAAGTAGAATTGCTAGGAGATATAGAACAGGCATTGCAAGGGTAATGATCTTGAGCTAATTCCACCTAATAAAATGGACTTGGGCCAGGTGCGGTGGCTCACGCCTGTAATCCCAGCACTTTGGGAGGGTGGGGCCAACGGATCAGGAGGTCAGGAGTTCGAGACAAGCCTGACCAACATGGTGAAGCCCCATCTCTACTAAAAAATACAAAAAATACAAAAATTAGCTGGGCGTGGTGGTGCGTGCCTGTAATCCCAGCTACTCAGGAGGCTGAGGCAGAAGAATCACTTGAATCCAGGAGGTGGAGGTTGCATTGAGCTGAGATCATGCCACTGCACTCTAGCCTGGGCAACAGAGTGAGACTCTGTCTCAAAAATAAATAGATAGATAGATAGATAGATAGATAGATAGATAGACAGACAGATAAAATAGACTTGGACTCCACTGGATCTTACTTCACAAATGTTTGATGAGTATCACTATGAGCCAGCTAACATGTAAAATTTTGGGGATAGAAAGTTTCATACGACATGGAACTCTTCTTAGTTACAGTGAAAGGCAGACATCATACTCATATTCTGCTTTATAGTTCGCAAACCTTTTCAAACCTATTACTTCAAACTCATGATATGATTTCTATCTCACCCGTAAGAACAAAACAAACCAAACCAAACAAAAGCCAACAGTGACAAACCCCGAGTCTTAGGATTTGTTACTTGCCCTAGATTATACAGGACTCCAAATAATTTTATTTACCCTATAATAGAGTTACTGCTCCTGCATGTTGTATACAAATGAAGTAAACTTTAGGTCTCTGAGTTATTCAGTTTAGTGATTGCACTGATCATTCTCACAGATTATTTCTTAGATATGCGTCTTTTTTTGTTTTAGAAATTCAATATTCCAACAATTATGTAATATAGATCCCAGCATCTGGGAATAAATTGTCTGCTTTCTATGACATTTACTAAGAGCCAAGGAGTGAATTTAGCTCATTAGTCAGCTATGCATAATTTCCTATGTAGTATCATTAAATTGTTTATTAAAACATTTATTTTAATTTTTTCCAACATTTTATAACTTTATATATATTTTAATCTCCTGTATCCTATGATTTGTCATAATGTGCAATATGAGTCATTTTCTTTTAGTAATACATTTCATTAATGTTTGATAGAAATTAAATGACTATAAACAGATATTTCATATTATATTAAAAAGTGAACAAGATCTGTGAGAGCCAATGATCTGGCAATTGCTACAAAATGTAAGGACAGGCAGCTCCACAACTTTTTAGGAAACATTTTTGGAGAAATCACTGTATACCACTCACTGTCCTGGGCACTTTTATATACCTCACTGCATCTAATTCTCAAAACGAGCCTCTAGGTTTAAAGAACTAGTTCCTATATCACAAATGAGGAAATGCTCTCAGAAACATGTAAAGATCACTCAAGACTACATATCTGACAAGTGGGAGAACCCAGACATGTCCAGATGAATGACTTTTGCCTCAGGTTTAGGAGGTGGGAAAGGAGGCATACATGACATTATTTCCTTGTTTTGTTGAAGTTGGTAGCTGTGACTAATCTGTATTTAGAATAAAATGTTAGCAAATCCCATTTGTTCTCCTCTTTGCCTATGTGCCTGACAGAGCTAGGCTTTGCAACTATTTTACGGAACAGTAAGTCCATTGCTACTATAACAAACTTCATTTTTCTTTCTTATGGGTTTGCTTTAAGTTCACAGCTAATTTCAGCTGTTCTTATGCAAATGTGTAGTCTCATCATCTGGGCCATCCTCCTGTCCCTAATATCCACCCACAAGATGTACTTATTTTTAATAAAAACAATCATCCTAACAGAAGGTACTGGAGAGAATCTCATCTCAAATAATATTGCCATTTGATAAAATGATACCTTTCTTCTGGTGAATGTGAAAGGGTCTTACAAACATTATTATTATTAATAACCTTGCACAGTACTTAGGACATAAGCAAGACAACATGATATCTATGATATTTTGTCAATTCCCAACACAAAACAGTCAATTATCTTTTAATCTTCACTGTTGAGTATCACCGTTACACACAAAGAGAGGAAATTGAGTCTGAATTAAGAATTCGCTCACCCAAAGTCACAAAACTAGTTAGTGGTAGATTCAGATAAAATATCTGATTCTAAAGTTAGTGAAAGTTATCTAGTTAGATCTAAAGTTAAACCTTATTTATAAGATTTAAGAAAAGGCTGTTGCCTAATTTTTCCCAATTTTAAGTTTATCACCTTTAAGTGAGGGTTGGTAACATCTGTCCTTCCTACTCCACATTTAATAAATGGGAGTAAGACTATCTTGCACAAAATATAAAGCATAGAAGTTTGGGTGCAGTGGCTTATAATCCCAGCACTGTAGAGGCCGGGGGGAGAGGACCTCTTAAGCCCAGTAGTTTGATACCAGCCTGGACAACAAAGCAAGACCTCTTGTCTACAAAAAAATAAAATAAAATATAATAAAATAGTAAAATAAAATAAATTAAAAATTAGCTGGCTGTGGTGGTGCTCACCTATAGTCCCAACTACCCTGGAGGCTGAGGCAAGAGGATCAATTAGGCCCAGGAGTTCAAGGTTACATTGAGCTATGATTGTGCCACTGCGCTCTAGCCTGGGCAACAGAATGGGACCCTGTCTCTAAAACAATATTAAATGAATAAAATAAAAATAAAATATATAAAACATAAAATATTTATACAAAGTATAAGGTATATGAGGTTTTGCCAGTATGTCTAATATATCCCCTTTACAATGTGGCTCCTGTTGAGTATGGCTTTTTAATTATTTTATTTTATTTTATCTTATTTTATTTTATTTTGATACAGTCACCTACCTTTCAAAGCAGTATTAAAACTACAATTTAGCTTCAAGCTCAGTGTCAGGGTAAACAGTAATGTACAATCTGTCTTTGGTGTGCCTTGCAAAACCTGTTTCATCCCACTCACAGTAGCTAATTGTGGATGACATGGATATTATTCCAGACCAGGGGTACTCAGCATTTCCCCACACTTTAACTATGTACAGTTAACTTCACCCTCATATGAGATAGTGTTTTGAAGAAACACTTCTTGGATAATTTTAAAATGGTAAGATAGCCTGGACTATTAGAAAGTGCACTGTAAGAGTCAAAACCTAGATTCTATATACGGCTTTGATGCTTAAGTAGTTGTATGAATTTAGGCCTGTTATCTTCCCGGGCTTCATTTTTCTCATGTATGAAATGAGAAGGTTGGACTAGATAATTGATGTGTTTTGTTATTTAGCAACCATTATTTAGAACCTACCATATGCCTTCATATTTTGAGAGTAGATATTATAGAGATAGAAGAGACTATGATCCCTACTTCAAGTATTGCAACATCTGGTGGGGGAGACAGACATAAACCAACAACAGTAATTCAATGTGATGATCTCTAATGACTTTCCAGTTATGAATCAAAATGAATTTTTTCTTTTTCCTTATTAATACATGTGTAGCACACACACACACACACACACACACACCCTTTCATACATGAGCCAATTGATTGCAGAGAAGTACAAGCAGAGACAGATGCCAAAAGGATAATTGTCAATTAAAGAAGTGATTTTTTTCACAAGAAGAATGATGATATTTTCTCATTGGATTTTATTCACAGTTACTTTGTCCATATGGAGAGAAGCTAACTGGGAGAGGTTTATAAAAGCTAATATTGAGTAAATGGTCATGCAAAAACTGTTTCCACTTAGTTTCATAATTACTGGGCCATTTCTGAAGCCAATTGGCTTCTCATGTAGAGCTCTGCTCTTTAACGTCTCTGATTGTCATGGTAACCAGGGATGACTGCCCTGGATGATTGTTTTAATGGTGTATAGGAAGGGAATTAGAGAACAATAGCATAGGAGAATACCAAGTCCAGGGATTCAGACTCAAAAGCTCTAAGTCAAGTTCTGCCTCTACTAATTACCTATTCAATATATTTCTGATCTAAAAAAATGTCCCTAGGCAATTCACTTCATCTTCCTGTGCAAGTTTTTTTTTTTTCCGTTAAAATATAATGACTTTTGTCTACCTCACGGGAAGGTGGGAAAACTTAAAGTTCTTCTTGTCTTTAAAGAACTACACAGGGACCAGGTGCAGTGGTTCACGCCTGTAATCCCAGCACTTTGGGAGGCCAAGGCGGGTGGATCACGAGGTCAGGAGTCCAAGACCGGCCTGGCCAAGATGGTGAAAACCCGTCTCTACTAAAAATACAAAAATTAGCCAGGCGTGGTTGTGGGCGCCTGTAATCCCAGTTAGTCGGGAGGCTGAGACAGAGAATTGCTTGAATCCAGGAGACAGAGTTTGCAGTTTGAACCCAGGAGGCGGAGGTTGCAGTGAGCCGAGATCGTGCCACTGCACTCCAGCCTTGGTGACAGAGTGAGACTCCATCTTTAAAAAAAAAAAAACACTACACACATATTTGATGGAGGTGTATATTTTGGGGAGTAAAATGAGAAAGAGTAGTCAATGTTGGGAATGGGAAATTTCAATATATAACATAGTCATATCAGCTCAGAGCACAGGGGCATTGGAAAAAACCTGGCCCCATCTTCTCACTTTACAGATGAAGAAACCAAGGTTCACTAGAAAAAATACTAAGTCTTATGCTATATTACATATGCACATATTCCAGTCACATACTAAGCAATGAAAATAAAAATTAGTCATAAAGACATTTTATAAATTCAGGCATATTTAAGACAGTGACTAATGATTTTTGTTTTGTTTTGTGTTTTGATATTTTGATATTGAATACTTACATATTTTACGAATTCACTGGACAATTTCTTTCCAGGTTTAGTTTTCTGCTCTAAAAAAATATTGTCTCAGGACAAACCATCTCTCAACACATGAGACATAATGTTGAAGAAAATTAACAACTGTAAGTTCATAAATCTATGTTTGAAAAATACCCAGGCTTCTGAATTCCAGTAGCAAGAGATTGCCTCTAAACTTGCCTCTAAACAAATTGGCAATTTCCAACTTGCCTCATTCACTCTATTCATTTATAGACAATTTCAAGATAGAAGAGTAGCAGTAATTGTTGGGAGACAATTATCCATGGGTTTCTCCCACATATCTGAACTTCCTCTGAGCAAAGGCACTACCATCTGATCCAGAATATACTTTCAAAAAAGTTTATGTGGTTAACAGCTTTGGTAGATAATGATAGTGTCTCTCTTTCAGCAATTGGAGGGAAAGCTTACAAGCTATTATAAAATATTAAGATTCACTAAGCCCAGGATTCCTCTCCTGTAATGAATCCACTGTGTGTGCAGATGTTTGTTACTTGGCCCTATTTTTGCTGCCCCATCAGAATTGGGCCTCAGGAGAATATTATGAAAATGCTGATCCCCTGGATGCTTCTCTGGATTTAAGAAGCTATTCTTCATCTCTGACCCAATAATCTGTGTCTTCTACCAGCATGCATAAAACTGTGGCCATTTAAATTGTTAGCTTACAAGTAAAACCTCAGAAGCCAGTCCTTGAAAGTAGTTATGTGTCTTGTTCACTAACATCCCTTCCATTACAGAAAATTAATATAATCCCATTCCCATTCCTGTTTGATAAAGATTGGCTTACAAATATGCGTGTTATGCTAAACTGGCCAAAGCAATGTGAGAGAAAGTGTGGGAGAAGTCCATTCTAGAGTTTTATAAATCAAAGATAAAGGCTGCTTTTCTTCTTGGTTGAGTGCTGTCATGATATCTCAGTGTGATACTTGGAAACATTTCAGCATTCTTGCTACAACCCTGGGATGACAAAAATTACATCTAGAGAAACAAGAGAACTTCAGAGAACAGCCCTGACTTAAGAACTTTCAGCCACTTAACTGCTACTATGTTGGAGAATGTATTTCCTTATTTACGCTTTGGGCTTTTCTGTTTGTTTGTTTGTTTTTATCCTTATGCACGCTGATATAGTTGCCTATAAGCAATGACTCTACTGACTCACCATACATTCCCTCTTTGACTCACTACAATGAGACTTCTCCTCCCATCACTACACTAGATTAACAATTACTTATTTAATTTTAATTTTTGTTTTCATGTACAAATGGGAAAAAGCATAAAACTTATAAGTACAATTTAAAATTTAACAATAAAGCAAGACCCAAATCACTAACCATTTTATGTAATGAAATTTTGGCAGCATCATTGAAGGCCCCCTGTGTGCCCATCATGGACCCAGTTTCTCCCTATCCCCCTAGATATAACCACTGTTCAGAATTTTGTCATTAACGTTGCCATGCTTTCCTTTATAGCTTCATCCGCAACCATGCTTTCCCTCATCAATATAGTTTAGCTTTCCCTGCTTTTCAACTTTATATAAATGGAGTAATACTCTATGTATTATTTTTTGTCTAGCTTCTTTGTCAATTTCTATGTGACATTCATCCATGTTGCTGTGCAAACCTTCCATATTTTTCAGTTACATTGTTGCATAATATTCCATTGTATGACTATGGCACCATTTATTTATACATGGTATATTTGGTAGAAATTTGGATTTTTTCTTATTTGGGACAAATAATAAAAATCCTGACATTCACATTTTTGTAAAGATACCTTGCTACCTATCTCCACAATATTTTCTAGGTTATATACCTAGAAGTGAAATTCCTGTTTCCTATGATATGCATACTTTCAATTTTGCTAGATAATATCAAATATTTTTGCAAACTGCCATATCAGTTTATACTCCCACTAAAAATACATGAGATTATCCATTTACCACATTCTCTGCAACACTTAGTATTGTCAGATTTTTAAATTTTAGCTAAACAATTAAAAGATAGTCTCATTGTATTTTAAGCTTGCATTTTTCTGATTACTAATATAACTCTGTTATAAAGAAGTTGAGCATCATTTTGTATGTTTACAGGCCATTACGTTATGTTCTATTCTGACTTGCATGTACAAGTATTTTACCCATTTATTTGTATTGTCCTTTTAAAGTTTATTTTTATTTTTTTAATTATACTTTAAGTTTTAGGGTACATGTGCACAATGTGCAGGTTAGTTACATATGTATACATGTGCCATGCTGGTGTGTTGCACCCATTAACTCGTCATTTAACATTAGGTATATCTCCTAATGCCATCCTTCCCTCCTCCTCCCACCCCACAACAGGCCCCAGTGTGTGATGTTCCCCTTCCTGTGTCCATGTGTTCTCATTGTTCAATTCCCACCTATGAGTGAGAACATGCAGTGTTTGGTTTTTTTGTCCTTGCGATAGTTTGTGAGAATGATGGTTTCCAGTTTCATCCATGTCCCTACAAAGGACATGAACTCATCCTTTTTTATGGCTGCATAGTATTCCATGGTGTATATGTGCCACATTTTCTTAATCCAGTCTATCATTGTTGGACATTTGGGTTGGTTCCAAGTCTTTGCTATTGTGAATAGTGCTGCAATAAACATACGTGTGCATGTGTCTTTATAGCAGCATGATTTATAATCCTTTGGGTATATACCCAGTAATGGGATGGCTGGGTCAAATGGTATTTCTAGTTCTAGATCCCTGAGGAATCGCCACACTGACTTCCACAATGGTTGAACTAGTTTACAGTTCCACCAACAGTGTAAAAGTGTTCCTATTTCTCCACATCCTCTCCAGCACCTGTTGTTTCCTGACTTTTTAATGATCACCATTCTAACTGGTGTGAGATGGTATCTCATTGTGGTTTTGATTTGCATTTCTCTGATGGCCAGTGATGAAAAGCATTTTTTCATGTGTCTTCTGGCTGCATAAATGTCTTCTTTTGAGAAGTGTCTGTTCATATCCTTCTCCCACTTTTTAATGGGGTTGTTTGTTTTTTTTCTTGTAAATTTGTTTGAGTTCTTTGTAGATTCTGGATATTAGCCCTTTGTCAGATGAGTAGATTGCAAAAATTTTCTCCCATTCTGTAGGTTGTCTGTTCACTCTGATGGTAGTTTCTTTTGCTATGCAGAAGCTCTTTAGTTTAATTAGATCCCATTTGTCTATTTTGGCTTTTGTTGCCATTGCTTTTGGTGTTTTAGACATGAAGTCCTTGCCCATGCCTATGTCCTGAATGGTATTGCCTAGGTTTTCTTCTAGGGTTTTTATGGTTTTAGGTCTAACATGTAAGTCTTTAATCCATCTTGAATTAATTTTTGTCTAAGGTGTAAGGAAGGGATCCAGTTTCAGCTTTCTACATATGGCTAGCCAGTTTTCCCAGCACCATTTATTAAATAGGGAATCATTTCCCCATATCTTGTTTTTGTCAGGTTTGTCAAAGGTCAGATGATTGTAGATATGCGGCATTATTTCTGAGGGCTCTGTTCTGTTCCATTGGTCTATATATCTGTTTTGGTACCAGTACCATGCTGTTTTGGTTACTGTAGCCTTGTAGTATAGTTTGAAGTCAGGTAGCATGATGCCTCCAGCTTTGTTCTTTTGGCTTACGATTGACTTGGCAATGCGGGCTCTTTTTTGGTTCCATATGAAGGAAGCACTAAACTTGGAAAGGAACAACTGGTACCAGCCACTGCAAAAACATGCCAAATTGTAAAGACCATTGAGGCTAGGAAGAAACTGCATCAACTAACGAGCAAAATAACCAGCTAACATCATAATGACAGGACCAAATTCACACATAACAATATTAACCTTAAATGTAAATGGGCTAAACGCTCCAATTAAAAGACACAGACTGGCAAATTGGATAAAGAGTCAAGACCCATCAGTGTGCTGTATTCAGGAAACCCATCTCATGTGCAGAGACACACATAGACTCAAAATAAAGGGATGGAGGAATATCTACCAAGCAAATGGAAAACAAAAAAAAGCAGGGGTTGCAATCCTAGTCTCTGATAAAACAGACTTTAAACCAACAAAGATCAAAAGAGACAAAGAAGGCCATTACATAATAGTAAAGGGATCAATTCAACAAGAAGAGCAATCTATCCTAAATATATATGCACCCAATACAGGAGCACCCAGATTCATAAAGCAAGTCCTTAGAAACCTAGAAAGAGACTTAGACTCCCATACAATAATAATGGGAGACTTTAAAGTTTATTTTTAGAAGTTCCTTATTTGTTCTGGGTATTGGTTACAGACACCGTGATGCAAATATCTTCTTCCATCATCTGTGGCTTTCTTTTCTTTGTGGTGATTTATAGGATGTAAGTTCAAAATTTTAATGCAGTCCAATCATCAATTTTCTCTTTACAGTAAAAATGTTTTGCGATCGGTTTAAGAAATCTTTTCTTAAAATGAGGTCATGATATAACATTATCTATCTTTAGAATATTATCTTAGAAAAGTTTTAAAGCTTTTACTTTTATGTCAAAAATTTCAATCCACATGGAATTCATTGTGTACACATTATGCAATAAAGGTCAGCTAATTGTCTTATCCCCATTGATTCCTCACTGATCAGCAGTGCCTCCTTTGTTATAATTCAAATAGAAGTCCTTTTTTTTTTTTTTTTTTTTAAATCGGGATCTCCCTATGTTGCCCAGGCTGGGATGCATTGGCTAGTCACAGGTGTGATCATAGCACACTACAACCATGAACTCTCAAGCCATGTCCCTGCCTTCTGCCTCAACCTCCCTAGGAGCTGGGTGTGCACCTGGCTGAACGTGTTTCTAAATTCCTCATGCTGTTCATTCAAATGGATAATGAGGTCACCACTCGATATAAAATAAAAATAAACGGCTGTACTTATTGTTTACTAGAGTAAGGGAGAAGTCTGCTTATAGAGAAATTTCTGAGAACAGATAGCTGATCTTATTTAGGGTCTTTAGGAAGCATGGAGTTTAGGGGATTGATGATGTACTTTCAGAGATGTAAATGAATTCAGGTAACTTGGAGATCCATTTGATTCAAATACTACTAGTACTGATAGGTTGGCAGTCACAGGTGGGTTTACTGGAGTGAGTTCATTCCTGATTGGCTTATTTTCAGAAGAAATGGAAGACACCGATTGCTTGGCTTAGAAAAGCGTGTTTCCTCATGGACACAGAGAGGGGAACAACACACACCATAGCCTGTTGGGGGTGGTGGGTGAGGGGAGGGAACTTACAGGACAGGTCAATAGTTTCAGCAAACCACCATGGCTAACGTATACCTATGTAACTAACCTGCACGTTCTGCACATGTATCCTGTTTTTCCTTTTAGAGTAAATAAAGTTAAGAAAGAAAGGAAGGAAGGAACAAAGGAAGGAAGGAAGGAAGGAAGGAAGGAAGGATCGATCCAATGGAAAAATGGGCCAAACATGTTACCTGAATTCCATTAAGGAGGAAAGAAACATTAAAAAAAAAAAAAAAAAAAGAAAGAAAAGAAAAAGAAAAGTGTGTTCTGTAAGGCAAGTTGTTGATTATTTGAACAGCTTTAAAATTTGTTCAGATGACTACTTGTTATCATAACCAAACAAAAATCTATCTTTTCCTAAATTTGTGGAAACTTTTTTTTTTTTGAAATGGAGTTTCACTCTTGTTGCCCAGGCTGGAATCTTGGCTCACCTTTGTGTAGCTGGGATTACAGGCATGTGCCACCACGCCCGGCTGATTTTGTATTTTTAGTAGAGACGGGGTTTCTGCATGTTGGTCAGGCTGGTCTCGAAGTCCCGACCTCAGGTGATCCGCCCCCGATGGCCTCCCAAAGTGCTGGGATTATAGGCGTGAGCCACGGTGCCCAGCCGGGAACTTTTTAAAATGTCAATTCCATTGGTCATTTGTCTAATTAAGCATTAATATAATACAGTGTTAATTACTGTGACTTTATTATGAATCTTAATATCTGATACAAGTTGTTCCACTTTTTTCTTTTTTCTTTGAGTGTCTTAGGTATTTGTATTCATTTCACTTCTGTATAAATTTCAGAAACTACTTTTCAGTTCATACAGACACAAACATGATTATGTTTGTACACCATTAAAACTTGAGGTCAATTTACATAATAAAATTACATCTTCTAATCCAAGGGTATGGTGTATTTTTTTCATTTGTTGAGATTTTTCTTTGTGTCATTCAAAAAGTTTTAGAGTTTTTTCCATAGCAGTCTTGCACGTCTTTTGCTAGCTTTATTACTAGGTACATCATATTATCTTATAATATTATAAATGTCATATTTAATGCCTGATTGCTTGTTTCTAGTAAATAAAGCTTTGCAATTGATTTTTATTAGGTTGGTTTTTTAGGTCATTATACTAGGTCCCAACACAATGTTGAATGGGAGTTGTGAGAGGCAGAATTCTCCTGGCCACATGTTAGACTGCCATCCCCAAGCTTCTTTTTTGTAATTACATGTGGACATGTGACTCAGTACTTGTCAATAAAATATGGGAAGAATTGTAGCATGCAACTTCCAAGTCTTACCTATCAAATAATGACAAGGGGACCTTCAATTCTTCCCACTTTCTATTTGTTAGGTAGAGAAAACTCTTAAAACCCACAGAAGGGCAAGCTGTAAAATAAAAGGTGTCTAGAAACCTGAATGCCACATACATTGACACGTAATCAAGAATATTCACACTGCACTGTCAAATAAGTAAAAATTTATTGTATTAAGTCACTTAGCCTTTGGATATTATCTAGTATATTAATTAGAAATCATTACCTTAATTACATACAAAAGTTAATTAATTTTCAGTATTTTTTAATAAATATTTCTAATGTATATATTTTGACTCAAAAGTTTCTTTAGCTGCATCCAACAAGTTTTGATATGCATTATTTTATTTTCATTTTCTTAGTTCAAAATATTTCTAGTTTCCATTTAATTTCTTCCTTCGGTTACATAAAAATATTTTTTCTTTCCAAGAAGAGATATTTACTTTCAAACATGAATATGATAAAGAAAAATCTTATGGTATATATTTCCAGCTTAATTATATTGTATTTAGATAACATGCCCTATATGTTTTATCCTTGAACAATTGTTTCAACTTGGTACCCAAATTAAGGTCAACTTTTATAACAGCTATATTTAGATGTATGCAAAAAGAATGTGTTATGTAGTTACAGGATGCTATGTTCTGTATATTTTTAAGGTCTAATTTGTAATAATGTTGCTTAAATATGTTCTATACTTACTGATTTGTGGTCTGCTTGATCTGCCAGTTACTCAAAAAATATGTTCAAAATTCCGACTTTGCTCGTGAGATTTTAAAATTTCCCTTAGACTCTTGTTGAGTTTTTGCTTTACATATTTTAAAGCTATGTCATTAGCTGCATATAAATAAGAATTATGACTTCCTGATAAATTTAAACTTTTATCATCCTAAATGATTTTCTTTTGCTCTAGTAATATTTTTTCCTTAGACTTTGTCTGATATTAATATCATGGTCTTTTGGATGGTATTATCACTGTATGTCTTTTTCCATTCTTTTAGTTTCAACCTTTTTGTATTTTTTTTGTATATTTGTATATTTCTGATATATATAGTATATATATATCTCATATATAGTATATATATCTCACATATAGTATATATATATCATATATATATACTAGATATACTATATATACTATAGTGTAGTATACTATATATACTATACTATACTATACTATAGTATATACTATATATAGTATATACTATACTATACTATAGTATATACATACTATATATAGTATATACTATATACTATATATAGTATATACTATATATAGTATATACTATATATACTATATATAGTATATACTATATATACTATAGTATACTATATATAGTATATATATACAATATATATACATATATAGTAATTAGCACTATTTAAAGAATATATGTATATATTAGTACTATTTATATATATTAATTAGCACTATTTAAAGAGTATAAATATATATGTGTATATCTATACTCTTTAAATAGTACTAATGTATATATGTACTCTTTTAATAGTACATATGTGTGTGTGTGTACATATATATATATACACACTCTTTAAATAGTACTAATTAGATCTTTTTCTAATTTACTATGCCAAATTTGTTTTTACTTGGATAATTTAATCCATTTACATTTTAATGTTTTTACTAGTTCATTTTAATCTCTTCTTTTATCCTTTCTCTTTGTCCTATTGTTGTGTGTACTTTCTCCTTTTTAAATTTCTTTTGGAATAGTTTTTATGTTATTATCTTTTGCTATTTATTCTCTTGGAAGTAATGCATCATTCCCTTTTTTATTTAGTGGGTGTTAAAATTTACATGATCGACATATCAAAGTATACACCTAATTAGTAATGCCTTTACTCTTCCTGGACAATACAGAACCTTAAAACATTCATTTGCTGCACTCTTGGCTTATATGTTTTTGTTTTAGTGATTTGTAATTTTTTTTTTTTTTTTTACTTTGTGATACTTCACTTTCTCCAGATCTTGCTTTTATAATGCTTCTGGTCCCTGGTAAAGATGGAATGACTAATCATAGGATATCATGCGACCATGCGAGCTAGGTTTCATCAGACTGATCAAACCACATGGACAGGTAGATTCAATAGCAATTCATTGTAACAACGAGATTTTACACCTATGATTAGACACAAGTAGGAACAACAAACACAAGTAAGCTGCACAAGCAGACAGCTCAGAAGCTCATGTCATCCACCAATGCTGCACCAACAGACCCAAAATTCATGGGTATCTACTCACTGGTTGTACAGGATCCTCTTGTCATCATCTAATAAACAAGGGAAAAGCCTGAGCTTAGTTAATGGATATGCTGGCTCCATGTGTGGATGCAAGCTGAAAATGAAAAGCAGTTGTGCTAAAGCCTCACTCATACATGGAGCCCGCAGGTATTCTACCTACTGGGGATGATACCATGTAATGGTCATTCAATTAGTTGTACACCACTTCCTTCAGGATGCCATCCCAACCTCACAGGGTATCATCAATAAGTTGGTACATCAACTGTGCCTTCAAAACACTATTCTGGGTGGGCACGGTGGCTCGTGCCTGTAATCCCAGTACTTTGGGAAGCCGAAGCAGGCAAATCACCTGAGGTTTAGGATTTCAAGACCAGCCTGGCAAACATGGTGAAACCCCGTCTCCACTAAAAATACAAAAAAATTAGCCAGGCATGGTGGTGTGTGCTTGTAATCCCAGCTACTCGGGAAGTTGAGGCAGAAGAATTGCTTGAACCCAGGAGGTGGAAGTTGCAGTGAGCTGAGAGATCATGCCACTGTACTCCAGCTTGGGTGACAGAGAGGGACTCCGTATCAAAAAAAAAAAAAAAAAAGAAAGAAAAAGAAAACAAAACAAAAAAACCCCCAACATTCTATTACTCCATCTGCCAGAAGTGTTTGGGTCATGTAGTGTCATAAGACCACTGGTCAGATGCTTATTACTACACCTCATTTGTCAAAGATGGATTCTTGGCCAAGCATACTGATGTGCCCTCGGTTAGCAATGTTGGCAAGGTTTCTACAGGCAGGAAAGAAAAGCATGTGCCTGGAATATGTGCCACTTCCAGTCTATAAGAATTTCTGCCTTTTCCAAGATAGGAAGGGTACAATAGAATTAATTTCCAACAAGTGATGACTTGGTTTCAAATTACCAAGTGATGACTTAGTCTACTTGAGGCATGAAGTTATATTTGGGGTTCAGCTTTGGTCTCCTTTTCTGGAGGGAGATTAGACAGTGTTGGCATTAGACAGTTGTAGCAGTTAGATCAGTCTTGGTAGGTGAGAGCCCAGGCTCTTTGGTCCATTCATTCCCTCTAAGCATACATCCACAGCTTTTTCCCTCCCATAAACCCATTGTGACACTAGACAGCACTGAGAAGGGTCAGCAAAAGATGCTGGCTGACACCAACCAGCCAGGTGATTTGATCCACTTCGTTGTTTACTGACTCTGCTGCTCTGGTAGGTGCTCTCTGGTAAGCATAACATGTAATACAAAGATGTTTACACTTCTTACTTGTTCCCTTATGCCCTTCCACAAGCTTTGCCCCAGACTTCCTTGTCTTGATCTCACAATCTTTCTCTTTCCTGGGCTCTAACAAAGCAGACAAACCATTTGCCACAGACCATGGCATGAGGATTACACACACACACACACACACACACACACACACACACACACAGAGTTTAGGAACTGCAGCATGTAAGAGTGTCTTCACCATCATTGCCAGTGATGGAGGACTTGGAGAATTTGTGCTTCGTCTCTGCAATGTTAGTCTTCTGTATGTCTAAAGATCCTATTTATAGTGAGACAAGGTGCTTTATGAGAGAAATGTAAACAAAGAAGATATCATCTCTCAGAGTTTACAGTTACTGAGTGATTGAGAGAGATAACAAATTAAAAAATACAGTACAAAGTATTTTGTGTTTTTTAAATTTATTTTTTAAAAATTTCAATAGCTTTTTGGGTTACAAGTGGTTCTGGGTTACATAGATGAATTACACAGTGATGAAGTCTGAAATTTTAGTGCACCCATCATCAGAGTAGTATACATCGTATCTAATATATAGGATTTTTACCCTTCATCCACTCTCACTCTCCACCTTTCTGAGTCTCCAATGTCCATTATACCACTCTGTATGCCTTTGTGTACCCATAACTTAGCTCCCACTTATAAGTGAGAACATGCAGTATAGTTTTTCATTCCTGAGTTACTTCACTTAGAATGATGACCTCCAGTTCTATCCAAGTGCCTGCAAAGGATATTATTTCATTCTTTATCCACTCATCTATTCATGGAACTTAGCTTGGATCCATATCTTTAGAACTATGAATTTTGCTGTGATAAACATATGTGTACAGGTGTCTTTTTGATATAATGACTTCTTTTTCCTTGGGTAGATACCCGGTAATGGCATTGCTGGATTGAATGGTAGACCTACTTTTAGTTATTTGAGAAATTCTCCATACAGTTTTCCACAGAGGTTACACTACTTTGCATTCTCATCAGCAGTGTATAAGCATTCCCTTTTCACCACATCCATGCCAACATCTATTGTTTCTCAGACTTTTTAATAATGGTCATTATACCTGGGGTAAGGTAGATCTCATTGTGGTTTTAATTTGCAGTTTTCTGATGACAAGTAATGGGGAGCAATTTTTTCATATACTTGTTGGCCATCTGTGTATCTTCTTTTGAGAAATGTGTATTTGTGTATCTTGCCCACTTTTTATTAGATTATTTGATTTTTTTCTTACTGATTTGTTTGAGTTCCTTGTAGATTCTGGATGTTAATTCTTTGTTGGATGTATAGTTTGCAAATATTTTCTCCCACTTTGTGAGTTGTCAATTTCTTCTGATGATTATTTATTTTCCTCTGCAGAAGCTTTTTTAGTTTAATTAGCTTTTTACTTTAATTTAGTTTAATTATTTTTTGTTTTGTTGCATTTGCTTTTGAGGTCTTAGTTACAATTTCTTTTTCTAGACCAATGTCCAGAAGAGTTTTTCCTAAGTTTTTTCTGAGAATTGTTATGGTTCCAGGTCTCAGATTTAAGTCTTTAATTCATCTTGAGTTGATTTTTGTGTATTGTGAGAGAAAAGGATCCAGTTTCACTCTTCTACATGTGGCTATCCAATTTTCCCAGCACCATTTATTGAATAGGGTGTCTTTTTCCCAATTTAAGTTTTTGTATACTTTGTCAAAAATCAACTGGTTGTAAGTATTTGGCTTTATTTTTGGGTTCTGTAGTCTATTCCATTGGTCTATGTGTCTACTTTTATACAAGTACCATGCTGTTTTTGTTATTGTAGGCTTATAGTATAATTTGAAGTTGGGTAATGTGATGCCTCCAGATTTGCTCTTTTTGTGTAGGATTGGTTTGGCTAATCAGATTCATTTTTGGTTCCATATGAATTTTAGGATTGTTATTTTCTAATTTTTTGAAAAATGATGTTGGCATTTTGATAGGAATTGCACTGAATCTGTAGATTGCTTTGGGCAATATAGTAATTTTCACAATATTGATTATTCCAATCCATGAGAATGGGATGTATTTCCAATTGTGTCATCTATGATTTTCGTCAGCAGTGTTTTGTAGTTCTTGTAGAAAGATCTTTTACTTCCTTCGTTAAGTATATTCCTAGGAATTTTATTTCTTTTGCAGCTATTGTAAAAGAGATTGAGTTCTTGATTTGATTCTCAGCTTGGTTGTTGGTATACAGCAGTGCTACTGATTTGTGTGCACTGATTTTGTAATCTGATACTTTATGGAATTCATTTACCAAATCTAGGAGTCTTTTGGAAGCCTCTTTAGAGTTTGCTAGGTATCAAATCATATCATTGGCAAACAGAGATAGTTATACTTCCTCTTTTCGAATTTGGATGACCTTTATTTCTTTCTCTTACCTGATTGCTGTAGCTATAACTTCCAGTACTATGTTAAATGGAAGTGGTAAAAGTGTATGTCCTTGTCTTTTTTCAGTTTGTAGGAATAATACTTTCAACTTTTCCCCATTCACAGTATAGGCTGTGGGTTTTTCATATATGGGTTTTATCATTTTGAGGTATGTTCCTTCTATGCCTAGGTTGTTGAGGTTTTTATCATAAAGGGATGCTGGATTTACCAAATGCTTTTTCTGTGTCTATTGAGATGATCATATAGTTTTTTGTTTTTAATTCTGCAGCCACATTTACTGACTTGCATATGTTAAACCATTCCTCCGTTACTGGGATGAAATCCATTTTATTATGTTGAGTTATCTTTTTGATGTGCTATTGGATTCCATTTACAAGTATTTTGTTGAGGCATTTTGCATCTATTTTCATCAGGGATATTGGTCTACCATTTTCTTTGTTATGTCCTTTCTTGTCTTTGGTATCTGGGTGATACTGGCTTCATAGAATGAGTTAGGGAGGATTCCCTCTTTCTTATTCTTTTGGAATAGTTTTAGTGGACTATCATTGTCTTACCAATTCTTATCAGGTAGAATTCAGCTGTGAATCTATCTAACCCTGGGCTTCTTTGTTGTTGGTAAATTTTTTATTACTGATTCAATCTTACTGCTTGTTATTGATTTCTATTTCTTCCTGATTAAAGCTAGGAGAGTTGTACGTTTCCAGGAATTTATCAATTTGATCTAAGTGTTCTTGTTTGTGTGTAGAGGTGTTCATGGTAGTCTCAAATAATCTTTGGTATATCTGTGGCATCAGTTGTAACATCTCCATTTTCATTTCTAATTGAGCTTATTTAAATCTTTTATTTTCTTGGTTAATCTAGCTAATGATCTATTGATTTTGTTTATCTTTTCAAAGAACCAACTTTTTATTTCATTGATCTTTTGTATTTTTTGTTCCAATTTCATTAAATTCTACTCTGACCTTTGTTATTTCTTTTCTTCTGCTAGCTTTGGGTGTGTTGTGTTCTTGTTTTTCTAGTTCCTTGATGTGTGATGTTAAGTGGTCTATTTGTGATCTTTCAGACTTTTGATGTAGGTACTTACTATTATAAACTTTTGTCTTAGAACTGCTTTTGCTGTATCCCAGAGGTTTTTATAACTTTTGTCACTGTTATCATTCATTTCAAAGAATTTTTAAATTTCTATCTTGATTTTATTGTTTACCCAAAAATCATTCAGGAGCAGAATGTTTAATTTCCATGTATTCGTATAGTTTTGAGGTTCCCTTTTGGAATTGAGTTCTCATTTTATTCTGCTGTGTTCTGAGAAGATATTTGATATAATTGCAGTTTTTTGAAAGTATTGAGACTTGTTTTGTGGCCTGTCATATGGTCTATCTTTAATTATATTTCATGTACTGATGAGAAGAATGCATATTCTGCAGTTCTTGAGTAGAATGCTCTATAAATATCTGTTAGTTCCATTTGTTCTAGAGTGCAGTTTAAGTGCAGTGTTTCCTTCTTGACTTTCTGTTTCAATGATATCTCTAGTGCTGTCAGTGGAAGGCTGAATTCTCCCACTATTATTGTGTTGCTATCTCTCTTCTTAGGTCTATTTGTAATTGTTTCATGAGTCCAGGAGCTCCAGATTTAGGTGCATATATATTTAGGATTGTTATATCTACTTATTGGATTCATCTTTTTATTATCATATAATGGCCTTTGTCTTTTTTATTGTTGTTGCTTTAAAGTCTGTTTTATTTGATATAATTGTAAATACTCCTGCAGGATTTTGGCTTTCATTTGTGTGGAAATTCTTTTTCCATCACTTTACCTTGAGTGTTTTATCTTTACGTTTCATGTGAGTCTCTTGAAGAGAGCAGATATTTTGTTTGTGATTTCTTAATTCATTTGAAAATCTGTATGTTTTAAGTGGAGCATTTAGACCATTTATATTCAGCATTAATATTGAGACATGAGGTACTGTTCCAGTGACTGTGTTGATTGTTACTTAGTTACTTTGTTTTCTCCATTTTGTTATTTTTTATAGGTCCTGTGAATTTTATGCTTTCAAGAGATTCTATTCTGGTACATGTCAACCTTTTGTTTCAAGATTTAGAACTTCTTTTAGCACATTTTTAGGACTGGTTTGGTAGTGACAACCTCCCTCAACATTTGATTGACTGAAAACAAAATTTTATTTCTCCTTCATTTATAAAACTTAGTCTTGCTAGATACAAAATTCTTGGCTGACAGTTGTGCTGTTTAAGGCAGCTAAAGATAGGACCCCAATCTCTACTGGATTGTAAGGCTTCTGCTGAGAAGTCTGCTGTAAGTCTGATAGGTTTTGCTGTATAGGTTACCTGATGGCTTTCGTCTCACTGCTCTTACAATTCTTTTCTTCACATTGACTTTATAGCCTGATGACTATATGCCTTGGTGATGTCCTTTTTTTCAGTGAATCTCCCAGGAGTTATTTGAGCTTCTTGTATTTGGATGTCTAAATCTCTAGCAAGGCCAGAAAATTTTCCTCAATTATTCCCTCAAATAAGTTTTCTAAGCATTTTTTTGCTTTTCCTTCTCCCTCAGGAATACCAGTGATTCCTAGGTTTGGCCATTTTCCAAAATCTCATATTTCTTTGAGACTTTGTTGATTCTTTTAAAAATTCTTTTTTATTTAATTTTGTCTGATTGAGTTAATGCAAAAGGCTTGTCTTCAAGCTCTGAAATTCTTTTTTCTACTTGGCCTAGTCCATTGTTAGAACTTTCCACTTCACTTTGTAATTCCCTAAATGTGACTTTGATTTCCAGAATTCTGATTTTTTTTTCTTTAAAACAGGTATTTCTTTAGAAAAAATTTTATACATATTCTCACTTGTTTTTGTAAATTTCTTTATGTTGGTTTTCACCTTTTTCTTGTATCTTCTTGAGTAATTTAATAATCAATGTTTTGAATTATTTATCTGGTATTTCAAAGATTTTGTCTTGGTTTGGATCCATTGATGGAGAGCTAGTAGGATGTTATGGGGTATTACATAACCCTGTCTTTTCATATTGCTGGAATAATTTTTCTGGTTTCTTCTCATTTGCATAGACTATTTCTTCTAATTATGTTTGAATTTATTTTTTTATTCAACTTTTATTTTATGCCTCCCCCACCCCTCTGATGATGTAACTTTAATGCTTACAGTTTATTGTAACCTAATTTAGCTCTGAGTGCTTTCGATGGTGAAGACTCCGTATGGGTTCCTTTTTTACAGAGCGTGTATGATGGTTTTCTCAGATGCTAGTTGTAGTGGCAATGTGCTTCATGTGTGAGCAGGCTCACTTCTCCTGTGGGGTTAGAATTGCAAAGTTGCACGAAGCTTATTTCATTCCCCAGTGGTGTGCACATTTATTTATTTATTTTCCCCAATATTTTATTAACTGAGTTAAACAGCTCAGGCTTAGGCCAGTAGTAGGTTTCTACAGGTAAAAACTGGTTGTGGCCAAAGCAGGTAGGTAAGTACAATATTCAATGGCAGGCAGAGGTCCCACTGGGAGAGGTCTACTGGGAGAGCTCTCAGTGAAATGCTTTAAGGTATGTTCAGGGGTAAGGGAGGAAGCCACCTCAGCTCCCCTACCAGGTCATGAGAGTGATATTCCTCCCAGTCACACTCCTGATCCAGTGTTTCAGCTATTCACATTGGAAAGGCACCTCTTTTCATCTGCAGGAATGCTAACGTTCCATGTATGGAGGGGTTGTGACTGTACCCCTTGTGCAAGCCTGGACTTGAAAGGCACTCCTCCTGTGGGGATGCAGCCACCCTAAAGTGTTCCAGAAAGGCTGTAGACAGGTGCACCCATGCTGAGCTCCCATGGGAGAGGGCCCAACTCTGTCTTCAGTAGTAAATGTGGGGAAGAAAAAGTCTCCTTCTCCAAGGCCCTTCTCGAGCTCCAAGGCCCTTCAGGAGCTCCAAGGCTGTCTGACTGTTGAGATAGAGCTGCAGACTTTCCCCACTGAGCCCAGCACTGCAACTGTGCCTCTGCTGAAAAAAACTTCCCACAACAGCAAGTTGTGGGACTCAAGGCCACCATCTGAATTCTTTTGTCCCACGGAGTGCTCTTGTGACACACTGCCCTCCCTCTTCCCCTAGGAGTAGGAGTCCCTGAGGGACAGACTAATGTGAATCCTGCTGCTCCTCTATGTCTGGCTACCCAGTAGAGCAGCCACACTCCAGGCTGGTACTGGGGAATGTTGGTAAGGAATCCAGTGATATGACCTGTCCTCAAGTCTCCCAGCAGCAGGTACCAACAACAGCTCTGATGGGGATGGCAGGGGAGAGATACGGACTCTGTGATATTTTCTTAGTTAGAAATAGCCTTAGTGTATTCGTTTTCTCAAATGCCAGTTGCAGTAGTAATAAACTGTTCATGTGGACATCCTCAAGGCCTTCTGGTTAGCCAGGGTGATGTAGGCAATGGTGACGGCTGATGTCATACAAAACGTTTCTCCTTCCTGGGCACTGTGTATTCTGCCTGCAGATGCTATAATGAACTGTGTCAGTTGGTCTCCATCCAGGAGGTGATGCTTGCAAAGGAGCACCAGCTTTGGTGGTAGCAGTGGGATTTATGCTTGCTTTATGTTACCCAGGGGAGGGGCTCTGGTGTCTCAGGCAATGCATGGAGCCATGGGGCTCCCAAAAGTTTCTGTCCTTTGAGTTAAGATACCAGGGAGGGTGATGGGGCAAAGCCAGATGTGGACTGGGTCAGGTAACGCTGTACTCTTGCTCCTCATGTGCAGGAGCAAGCAGCAGCCCCAGTGGCAATTAGAGGGCAGCTCTCTGAGCACTGGGGTAGCATTCCAGGTAAGAGCCCAGCTACCTTTGTAGCACAGAAAAATCCGCACAGGGATTGGGGAATGGCAGGCAGCAGTAAGCTCCACTCAGCTCCTAAACACTTGGCAAGGCAGGTCTCAAACCCACAGTGTTCCACTAGCAAAAGCTAGCTTGATTCAGGCAATCTGCACTCAGAACTCAAAACTGCCCGAGGCAATGAGCCTTCCCACCAAGACAGAAACTATGGCTTTCAGGCCACACCCTTTCCAGCCTGCCTGTGAAATAGGGGTGCCCAGCTTTTGTGCCCATGGCTATTACACTCTTCCCCCTCTCCCCTTAGTTCTGGCCAAGGGGGGTCATCCTGACCCAACAGTATATTGCAAATCTCAGTTGGGAGCTTCTCTCAACCTGTGACCAATACTTGAGTTATCCTGCAGACTTCTGCGAGATCCCCTATGAGGTAGGATCAGGAATGACTTCCCCCAAACACTGCTGGAGTCTAAGAGTGCACACCAGGCATGTCCCAGTGCCTCTCCTTCTCATATACTCCCCACTGCTCACTAAATCTGCTCCAATGCTGGGTAGAGTTAAGGCCATCCCCAGTGGCCTGGGTTGCCAGGTTCGCCAATAGGGGAGTATATCCTGGAGGCAATCTCTCCCCTCTCACACTCTGGGAACTCACAGTTTTCCATCTGGTTCATGCTGTAGGTTGTAGCCCACCACTTCTTTCAAAGGGTCTGTGGTTTCTTTCAGTTATCCTGTTAAGATCCTGTGCTGCTTCTTGGAAAAAAGTTCACAGATTGAGCCTCTACACACTATTTTGTCTTTCCAAGTGGGAGAGACATGCTAATAATGCCTTCAATCTGCCATCTTGGAAACAAAAACAAAAACAGTACAAGATATTTTGAAAGCACAGAGAAGTGGCTCCTAAAACAAATAGATGTGTTTTGTTTGTTTGTTTGTTTTGGTTGGCAGGAATGAAAGGAGGAAATGCATTAGAAAAGGCTGGTAAGACATCCAAGGAGAGATGAATGGATGTTGTAGAAAAGAAAGAAGTTAACTATGTAGATTTGGAGGTGAAAGGCACTCAGGCAAAAGGCAGAGAAATTTCTGTAAAGTCAAGGAGATATACAGATTTCATTTAAGTGGCATGGAGTTTGAGAGGGAAAGGAACGTGTCAGAAGGTTAGGCTTCAGAGGTTTACAGAAGATGAAGCAGAAGCTTTTCATGCCAAAGATGCCTGGGGTCAATAGGAAGTCATCACAGGTTTTAATCAGGAGAATGAGGTGATTCCATGAGCACTAAGCAAACTGAACTGAAATGCCCATTCTTGCATGTCTTGTCCTCCCCAGTTCAGGAAAAAAAAAAAAATCTTTTTGGCAACAAAGCCATTTCTTCAAAAGATTTACAGGCTTCTGGAAAAACTCCAGTATAATACATAAAGTTCAGAACTAACTGTTCTTATGAGAGAGGAAGATTTAAACACACACACACACACACACACACACACACTTCATTTTTGAGAGTGTGTATTTTTCCCTTTTTTTGGGAGGGTGTGAAGATAACTTTAGATTTATGGAAAATCAGGCTGCTTACAGAGGCAGAGGACATAATTACTTCAATAATAAGTCGTCTTAAAAACCAGAATTTCCATTAGGAAAAGAAGACAAGAGAAACTACAAGAAAATACTCTTGAGCTAGGATACAGAGATTCAGTTCTGCAAAGAATTGCAAATTAGTTAAAGCAAGAGTAATTCTTTGCTAAGAGCCTCCTCTCAGGAAACAAATGAATAAATACATAGAATCATGAATATGCACTTGCTCTTAGTTAAAAGGGACTTTATTTTGGGGGCCCATAAAAGAACATTAGCCCATGAACATCACTTTCTCATTGTCTTTGGGATTTCAGATTTTAAGCCCAGGATGCATTAGAGACCTTGTTCCATTGAAAATATTTAGTCTTCTCTATATACTCCAGCTTCCCTTTAAACATTTTATGAGTATCATTAATTAACCCTTTTTCTATGCTCAGCTATCACTTTTTCACAGCTGATTATTGTATCTATCTTAATTCACAGGAATGTGACTTTCCTAGTTGGTGAGGCTTTCTGTGGATTGCAGGAAACATGATATTTTACTCAGAGGGACTTTGAATTCCAGTCCTGCCACTTGCTGGTTCCTGGGGCGATGGAACCTCACTGTGTTGCAATGTGCTCATCCATGATATAGAGACACAGGCCTCAAACGAAATTATCTTACTGTGTTCCTTTAACAAATGGTTCACAGCCCAAGCAAGACATTAGAATCACCTTGAGAAGCTTTTGTTTTTTTATATAAATACTTTTAACTTGTATTTTAGATTCAGGGGGAACATGTGCAGGTTTGTTACATGGGTATATTGTATGATGCTGAGGTTTGGGGTATGGGTCTCATCACCCAGGTAGTGAGCATGGTATGTAATAGATAGGTTTTTAACCCACATCCCCCCATACTTTCCTGCTTGGGTAGTACATACTGTCTATTCTCATCATTATGTTCATGTGTACTCAATGTTTAGCTCCCACTTATAGGTGAGAACATGCAGTATTGGATTTTATGTAGCTGAGTTAGTTCACTTAGGATGATGGCCTCCAGCTGCATCTATGTTGCTTCAAAGGACCTGATTTTGTTGTTTTAAGGGCTGTGTAATATTCCATGGTGTATATGAACCACATTTTCTTTATCCAATCTACTCTTGATGGGCATCTAGGTTGATTTTATGTTTTTGCTATTGTGAATAATGATGCAATAAACGTATGAGTGCATGTGCCTTCTGGTAGAATGATTTGTTTCCTTTTGGGTATATACCCAGTAATAGGGCCTCCTGGTTAAATGGTAGCTCTGTCTTAGGTTCTTTGAAAAATCTCCAAACTGCTTTCCACAGCAGCTGAATTAATTTAACTTTCCACCAACGGCATATCAGCATTCCCTTTTCTCCACAGGTTTTCCAAATCTGTTATTATTTGACATTTTCATAATGGCCATTCTGAATGGTGTGAGATGATATCTCATTGTGGTTTTGATTTGTATTTCTGTGATAATTAGTGATATTGCACATTTTTTCATATATTCATTGGTCATTTGTATGTCTCCTTTTGAGAAGTGTCTGTTCATGTCCTTTGCCCACTTTTTAATAAGGTTATTGTTTTTTGCTTGTTGATATGTTTAAGTTCATGGTGGATTCTGGATATTAGGTCTTTATCAGATGCATAGTTTGTGAATATGTTCTCCCATTCTATAGGTTGTTTGTTTACTCTGTTGATAGTTTCTTTTGCTGTACAGCAGCTTTTTAGTTTAATTAGTTCTCACTTGTCAATTTTAATTTTTATTGCAATTGCTTTTGGGGACTTAGCCAAAAATTCTTTGCCAAGGTCGATGTCAAGGAGGGTTCTCCCTGGGTTTTCTACTAGGGTTTTTACAGTTTGTGGCCTTACATTTATATTTTTATCCATCTTGAGGTAATTGTTGTATATGCTAATGAAGCTTTATTTCTGGGTTCTCCATTCTGTTCCATTGGCCTATACATCTGTTTTTGTGCTTGTACTATGTTGTTTTGGTTATTGTAGCATTATAGCATAGTTTCAAGTCAGGTAATATGATGCCTTTGGCTTTGTTCTTTTTGCTTAGGATTGATTTGGCTTTGGGGGCTCTTTTTTGGTTCCATATGAATTTTAGAAATAGAATTAGTTTTTTCTAATTCTGTGGAAAATTACAGTGCTAGTTTGATAGGATTACCCTTGAATCCATAAATTGCTTTGGGCCGTGTAGTCATTTTAGTGATATTGATTTTTCCAATCTATAAGCATGGAATGTTTTACCTTTTATTTGTGTTGTCTCTGATTTCTTTCAGCAGCGTCTTGTAGTTCTCCGTACAGAGATCTTTCACCTCCTTGGTTAGCTGTATTCCCAGATATTTCTCTTCTTTTGTGGCTATTATAAATGGGATTGTATTCATAAAATGACTCTTAGCTTGAACGCCGTTGGTGTATAGAAATGCTACTGATTTTTGTACATTGATTTTGTATCCTAAAACCTTACTAAAGTAATTTGTCAGTGCTAGCAGTCTTTTGACAGAGGCTTTAGGGTTTTCTATGTACACAAATTAAGAAAACTAGAGGAAATGGGTAAATTCCTGAAAACTGAAAAACTCCCAAGATTGAATCAGGAAGAAAGTGAAAACTTGAACAGACCAATGACAAGTTCTGAAATTGAATTAGTAATAAACATCGTACCAAACAAGGAAAGCACTGGACCAAAGGGATTCACAGCCAAATTACACCAGATATCCAGTGAAGAACTGGTACCAATCCTATTGAAACTATTCCTAAAAATTGAGAAGGAGGGGCTCCTCCCTAACTCATTCTATAAAGCTAGCACCAGCCTGATACCAAAATCTTGCAGAGAAATAATGGAAAAAGAAAACTTTAGGCCAATATCCCTGATGAACATAGATGCAAAAATCCTCAAGAAAATAGTAGTGAACCAGCCGGGTTCAGTGGCTCAGGCCTGTAATCCCAGCACTTTGGGAGGCCAAGACAGGTGGATCACCTGAAGTCAAGAGTTCGAGACCAACCTGGCTGACATGGTAAAACCCCATCTCTACTAAAAAAAATACAAAAAAAAAAAAAAATTTAGCCGGGCATGTTGGCACAAGCCTGGAATCCCAGCTACTTGGGAGGCTGAGGCAGGAGAATCGCTGGAACCCAGGAGGCAGAGGTTGCAGTGAGTCGAGACTGTGCCACTGTACCCCAGTCTGAGTGACAGAGCAAGACACCGTCAAAAAAAAAAAAAAAAGAAAAGAAAAGAAAAGAAAATAGTAGTAAACTGAGTCTAGCAGCACATCAAAAACTTAATACACCATGCTCAAGTAAGCTTTATTCCTAAGATGGAAGTCTGGTTCAGTACACAGAAACCAATAAATATAATTTATCACAAAAACAGAATTAAAGGAAAAAACCATATGATCATCTCAATAGATGCAGAAATAAATTTTAACAATATCCAACATCCCTTCATTAATAAAAGCTCTCTCAACAGACTAGGCATTGAAGGAACAAACCTCAAAATAATAAAAGCCATCTATGACAAACCCACAGCCCATATCATGCTGAAAGGGCAAAAGCTAGAACCATTTCCCTTGATAACTGGAACAAGATTAGGATTTCCACTTTCACCACTCCTTTTCTGTATAGTACTGGAAGCCCTAGCCAGAGAAATCAGGCAAAAGAAGTAAATAAAGGGCATTTGAACAGGAAAATGAGTCAAACTGTCTCTCTTTACTGTAGAAACTCTAAAAAAAGAATAAAAAAGGACCTTTGCCAAGGTGTCATCCTCAGACTCTGATTTAATGGACCAAGACATTAGTATTTTTTAAAAGCTCCTCAACTGATTCTCATGTATAGCCATAGTGGACAACCACTGCCTCAAACCAAATTATCCCAGCCCAGACCACAGAACAAGCATAGAATAAAATGGACATCAGGTCAAACTGCTTTGCTCTCCACACTGACCTAGTTAACAGATGACAGAGGAAGGTTAGAGGTATCTCAGCAGAAAGAACAGGCTCTTCCTCATCTTTATTGGTGCGATTAAAGTGGCCCAGCTACAGGGGGAAGAAGGGAACCTCCGCTTCAGACTAGCAACACTTTATTAACCTGAGAAGGAAAAGAACACATTACCGAAACAGGGTAAGGAAGGAACTTGATCCCTGTAATTCCATATGTAGGGGTGGCATCCTGTAAAAAGCATGTAGAAACCCAGAACTGCTAGCTTTAAAACCTCATCCACTTCCTCTGCAAAAAATGACCCCTAGCAGGAGACTTCCTTTCTTGTGTAGAGGCCTGGAAAAGTATCTCATATTAAGAATGTGAACTGATATTTTGTGAGTGTCTGCTAGGAGTTGAGAACTCTGCTAAGCATATGCATAGATAGCATCCAGCCCTCCAGTCCCAAGGAGGATTCTGCCAGCTTTCAAGGGGATTGAAAGTTAGTGAAGGTAAAGCAAGATCTCTCCTAAGGACTATAGAACAGACTTATTTCTGCCTGCCACACACTTGAGATCTCTCAGCTACTAGACACTCTGGGCCAAGTGGTTTTCAACCTTTAGCATTCATCAAAAGTGGCTGTGAGGCTTTCAATTGACCATTTACAATGTATTGAGCCACAAAGATGAGCTCAATACATTTTAGAAAGCATAAATCACATAGATCATATGAAACAAATACAAAATATAAAGACATAAAAATGTAAAAGTGCTCACCCAATTAAATATAGCCTTCTGGTCTTACCCCAGAATTTCTGAGTCCAGTAGGTCTGTGGAGGGGCTTATAGTTTGAGCTACTGATGAGCTCTCAGGGTGATGCTGATGTTGCCGGACTAGGGACCAAACCTCTGATACCCTTCTTTCAAGGGTACTAGCACGATGGAGCTGTCTTCAATGGGTTATCAAGAATCATATATGTTTGCTTCCCAAATTTGTTATGATTTTCTTCTTCCACATGTAGGTTAATTAAATATTATGTAACCAATAAATTACAAATATAAATAAGAGGGCTTGTTTTGGATTTCTCTGAAAGTTAAGTAGAATATTTTGGAAGTTTCCCATAAGAAGTGTTGCTTTAGGAAAAAAATGCTTTTGGGTGAGTTTGCTGTCATGTGAGAAGAGTGCGAGACTAGGAGATGGGGGGTGGGAGAGAGAACTATAAAACTCCTTAACTTCTGCATGCACGATGCTTCAGGGTGTCTTCTATTTGTTTTTTCTTTTGCTCTTTAAATATACTGAACCTAGAAAAGGCCTTGGCACTACATCAAAGTATTTTCAATTCATTGTATATGTACACGCTTTAAATTTTTTAAAATGTTTTCAAAAACCTTTCTGAAAAGGTGTGTATCATTTCTTATTCTCTTTAATTCACATATTTTCTTCATTCTCTATTTATATTTATATTTAATTCATAAATCAACTAATTATGAATATCTGTACATACTGAACTTAGAACTAATCATTTGCTTACACAGGAACAATGAAAATTTTTTACTCTAAGTACTAGCAAATAAAATTAATGTGGTTGGTATGAAAGTATTCTGAAGCAAAAGAGAAAATGAAGCCTTGTTCTGAGAACTTAGAAGAAAAAACTCACGTATGTGCACATGTGCATGCACACATGCACACACACACAGATAGTGTATCTATATCTCTGGATACATCACAAATATTGTTATTTAGGTTTTTTTTCTGTAAATTGCTTCTGCCTCCTTTACCCAATATTTAATTAGGTGAGATTTTTAAAAACTTCTGCATGCTATAACTTCGTGTTTATTTAATATAATAGATTCTCTTATAAGTTTTATTTTTATTATTATTATTATAAATTGTCATTGAAGACTTCAGAAAACATTTCCTTTCTTGTATTCAAAGTCAGAGGTATGCCTAATAGTCAATTATTTGGCACCTAATTGATTAAATAGTGTGATTAACTTTGACATCTTTCCCTATTATAGACTTAGAATGCTGTGTTAGTCTTCCATTGCCATTGTTTCCTCTGCTACTTAAAAAACTGTTCACATCCCTTGTAAGTTGGATTCCTAGGTATTTTATTCTCTTTGAAGCAATTGTGAATGGAGTTCACTCATGATTTGGCTCTCTGTTTGTCTATTATTGGTGTATAAGAATGCTTGTGATTTTTGCACATTGATTTTGTATCCTGAGACTTTGCTGAAGTTGCTTATCAGCTTAAGGAGATTTTGAGCTGAGACAATGGGGATTTCTAAATATACAATCATGTCATCTGCAAACAGGGACAATTTGACTTCCTCTTTTCCTAATTGAATACCCTTTATTTCTTTCTCCTACCTGATTGCCCTGGCCAGAAATTCTAACACTATGTTGAATAGGAGTGGTGACAGAGGGCATCCCTGTCTTGTGCCAGTTTTCAAAGGGAATGCTTCCAGTTTTTGCCCATTCAGTATGATATTGGCTGTGGGTTTGTCATAAATAGCTCTTATTATTTTGAGATACATCCCATCAATAACTAATTTATTGAGAGTTTTTAGCATGAAAGGCTACTGAATTTTGTCAAATGCCTTTTCTGCATCTATCAAGATAATCATGTAGTTTTTGTCTTTGGTTCTGTTTATATGCTGGATTACGTTTATTGATTTGCGTATGTGAAACCAGCCTTGCATCCCAGGAGTGAAGCCCACTTGATCATGGTGGATAAGCTTTTCGATGTGCTGCTGGATTTGGTTTGTCAGTATTTTATTGAGGATTTTTGCATCGATGTTCATCAGGGATATTGGTCTAAAATTCTCTTTTTTTGTTGTGTCTCTGCCAGGCTTTGGTATTAGGATGGAGAACTATAAACCACTGCTCAATGAAATAAAAAAGGACACAAACAAATGGAAGAACATTCCATGCTCAGGGATAGGAAGAATCAATATCATGAAAATGGCCATACTGCCCAAGGTAATTTATAGAGTCAATGCTATCCCCATCAAGCTACCAATGACTTTCTTCACAGAATTGGAAAAAACTACTTTAAAGTTCATATGGAAATAAAAAAGAGCCCACATTGCCAAGACAATCCTGAGCCAAAAGAACAAAGCTGGAGGCATCATGTTACCTGACTTCAAACTATACAAGCCTACAGTAACCAAAACAGCATGGTACTGGTACCAAAACAGAGATATAGACCAAGGGAACAGAACAGAGCCCTCAGACATCTGATCTTTGACAAATCTGACAAAAACAAGAAATGGGGAAAGGATTCCCTATTTAATAAATGGTGCTGGGAAAACTGGCTAACCATAGGTAGAAAGCTGAAACTGGATCCCTTCCTTACACCTTAGACAAAAATTAACTCAAGATGCATTCAAGACTTAAATGTTAGACCTAAAACCATAAAAACCCTAGAAGAAAACCTAGACAATACCATTCAGGACATAGGCATGGGCAAGGACTTCATGTCTAAAACACCAAAAGCAATGGCAGCAAAAGCCAAAATAGACAAATGGGATCTAATTAAACTAAAGAGCTTCTGCACAGCAAAAGAAACTACCATCAGAGTGAACAAGCAACCTACAGAATGGGAGGAAATTTTTGCAATCTACTCATCTGACAAAGGGCTAATATCCAGAATCTACAAAGAACTCAAACAAATTTACAAGAAAAAAATCAAACAACCCCATCAAAAAGTGGGTGAAGAATATGAACAGACACTCCTCAAAAGAAGACATTTATGCGGCCAACAAACATATGAAAAAAAGCTCATACTAGTTATTAGAGAAATGCAAATCAAAACCACAATGAGATAACATCTCACTCCAGTTAAAATGGTGATCATTAGAAAGTCAAGAAACAGGCTGGGCGTGGTGGGTCATGCCTATAATCCCAGCACTTTGGGAGGCCAAGGCGGGTGGATCACGAGGTCAGGGGTTCGAGACAAGCCTGACCATCATGGTGAAACCCTGTCTCTACTAAAAATACAAAAAAATTAGCTGGGCGTGGTGGCAGGCGCCTATAATCCCAGCTACTCAGGAGGCTGAGGCAGGAGAATTGCTTGAACCTGGGAGGTGGAGGTTGCAGTGAGCCGAGATCACGCCACTGTACTCTAGCCTGGGCGACAGAGCAAGACTCTGTCTCAAACAAACAAACAAAAAAAAAGAAAGAAAGTCAGGAAACAACATACGCTGGAGAGGATATGGAGAAATAGGAACACTTTTACACTGTTGATGGGAGTGTAAATTAGTTCAACCATTGTGGAAGACAGTGTGGCAATTCCTCAAGGATCTAGAACCAGAAATACCATTTGACCTAGCAATCCCATTACTGGGTATATATCCAAAGGTTTATAAATCATTCTACTGTAAAGACACATGCACACGTATGTTTATTGCAGCACTGTTCACAATAGCAAAGACTGGGACCAACCCAAATGCCCATCAATGAGAGACTCCATACACAAGTATGGAGTGTTTTATTAATGCATAAAGTAGTAAATAATGTTTGTCATTTGGATAAATGTAAGTTAGATTTGCATCTAATACTGTACATTCTTTATTTATAAACTTAAATCATTAAAAATGTATAATCATGTCAAGATGTAATCACGGAGCATGTTTCCAACTTACTATAAGTAAAGGCCTGTGGCTAGAAATCAAAATAGGAAAACAGCTAAGACAGAATCTTAAATGAACATTTCTGTTGTCCTGGATGTATATTTGCCTTGAAGTAATCATTATATTTTTAAAATTATTTATTTAACCGCCACTTATATAGAACTTACTACGCAAAAGTTATTGTTCTAAGAATTCTGCAGACATTAACTCACTTAATCTTCATAACAAAACAGTGAGAGATATTCTAGTATCCACATTTTAGTGGTGAGCTTAGGTAGCTTGCTCAAGATCACACAAGTAGTACATGATAAAACTAGAATTCAAATCCAGGCAATACGACTCCCTGGTCTGTTCTCCAAGCTGCTAAGCTTTGCTGCCTCTCTTACCAGACCAAGGGAGAGATGCCCATTAGTGTTATTTTAAATTCTGCCTCATATTAGTATAGCATAATTTTAATTTTACATACAGCAGTCACAGTGATTAAAAATAGATTCTCCCCATAGTCACAGGAGGCAAATAAGAGGGTATTTACTCTCATTTTACATAAGAAATTGAGACTCAGAGAATCCAGGTAACATTCACATAGTTTAAATTCAGGCTCTGGTTGTTTGACTACTGATCCACTATTTTTTTCCTTCACTCTACACTAGCTTTCTCAATTCTCTATTTTTCTTTAAGGAGAATTTAAAATAAGAATTTTTTTCTTCATCCTCTCCAACATTGGTGGCATGATTAAATCAAAGAGATGACCTTTTTTTTTTTCTTTAAACCAGAATGTTAAGCAATTCTCAAAATTACTAGGAAGGTTTGATTTCAATCTTTCAAGTAACCTATTTACTTATTAAGAGTCATGAGGGCTTTTGAAGCTTGACACAATTGTACAGGATGACTGGATAGAACATGGCAGTCCCTTTTCCCCCTTCATCTTCAGCCAGCACACTGGATTGCTCCTTTGCCAGCTAGTGAGGCAGGCATGTTGCAACACTGAATAGTCAGGAATCAAAAAATCTGGTAGAGGAAACCCTGGGGCTGCAAGAAGGGGACCTGGGTTCAAGTCCCATATGAACTCACAACTCACTGGGGGAGCTTCAACAAATCAGCCCAGCAGAACCCACCTCGGTTTTCTCATTTTTTGAGTATACATATTTGACTAGGTGATTGCTGAAGTCTGTAAGTCTGTCCCAACTTCTCTTCTCTTTTAGTGGTCTGAGCTCTTCCTCCGTGTGTGCATGTGACTTTTCACAAGTTGCACCTAAGTTTACTCATCAGTAAACTAGGACTAATAATATAAGTTATTATTAGTTATCATCCGAGGCAGATTATCTCTCTGGATTGATGAATGCATCAAAGAGGATACTAAATATAAATGTTTTAAAATATAAAATATGCTTTATAATTTGCAAATACTTGCTACCATTAACTAATTAGAAAAATTAGTAATTAAGAGTTCAGCAAATGAAAAAATTGCTACTGCTCTTCATAAAGCTCTCAATGGGTTAACCGCTTGGACATCTGGTGAAATACTAGCCTCAGCTGTTTAAGTGACATCTTCTTGGGTCAAATTTCTCTCCTCACTTCAGTCCATCTGCTCACAGCTTATCATAATAAACACTTCTAAGTTAAAGAGCAAAGAGTACACAGCAACGAGAGAGGGACAGCATCTTGGATATTGGCTAGACAATAATATTAGAGCAAAAACAACACCCAGCTATCTACTCTTCTTTCCTCCAGCCCCATTCCACACTGCCCATTCACCCCTCCCCCGACCCTTCCCTGCCCCGTGTGTGGCAGCCACATGCCAGGTGGGAGAGAAGCTGAAGGGAAGAAATCAAAGCTACCCATAAGTGACTGAAGAGAAGAAATAGGCCTAATGGGAAGAATAATGCCAGGTGGAAAATCTATGTGTCACTTGCTTTTGGACCAATGAAAGTAGAATGTATTATGTGATTGATACTCCATAGAATAGAATCTTCTTAATGTAGTGTCTTGGGGATCTGGGCACTTGGCTTATCTAGGAACTGTACCAAGTTATTCTGAGACTTTAGCAAAAAGTCTAAATAACTCAATATTCAACCTCAGTTTTCTCATTTGTAAAATAAGGTGGTAATTGTGGTAGCAATAAACACAACACTATTGTCATTTGGCTTAAATTTAAAAAAAAATCTGTGACAGAGTTTGGCACCTAGTGGGAAGTAAAATTTTTTTTATTGACTTTGAATATTGAATCTGGTACACTGGACAGAGATTGATACTGAGATGCCCGTGGATGCCCACCTGAGGACTCTAGCCTTTCAAATCTCTAGGAATGATCTGAAGTTTCACACCAAGGGAGTACAATTATCAGAGTTGAGATCAATATTTCTGGCTATTTCCAAAATAAAGGGCTTATATAGACACATGTAAATTCCTTCCTTGCTCTGATGTTCTGAGAGTCCATATGTTCTGCTCTCTTGAATGTCTGATTACATTTAAAATCAAAAGGCACTTCATTCTATATACCTTCTGTGTCAATATGCACATTCCCAGAAGCCACTTTTTCTTCCTTGAAGTCACTAACATCAAAATAACCTCAGAGACAAATAGATTATGGTGCACCCATACAATGCTAATAGTGGTTATTTCTTCTCTCATCTTTTTTTCCTGAGATGGAGTCTTGCTCTGTCACCCAGTCTGGAGTTCAGTGGTATAATCTCTGCTCACTGCAACCTCTGCCTCCCAGGTTTAAGTGATTCTCCTGCCTCAGCCTCCTGAGTAGCTAGGATTATGGGCACATGCTACCACACCCGGCTAATTTTTGTATTTTTAGTAGAGACAGGGTTTCACCACGTTGGCCAGGCTGGTCTCAAACTCCTGACCTTGTGATCTGCCCACCTTGGCCTCCCAAAGTGCTGGGATTACAGGCATGAGCCACCGTGCCCCGCCAATAGTGGTTATTTCTTAATGATACGATTTCAGATGATAATTTTTAAAAAATTATCCATCACTATAGCTTCTTCTTATTCATCTCTCATGAACATGCATTCCTTACATGACAAAAATAATAAAAGAGATAGAGTGTTGTCTGAGGCAGGAAAAAAGGAAGAAATGATGGTAGCAAGATTCAGAGCCCAAGATGGAAATTGACTCAGCACTTACCCCATTAGGTGCAAAAACAAAATGTAATTTTTTTCGAACAGTGTCTTCTTTATCAATAAAGTCATCTATCTCCTCCCGTTGGAGGAAAACAAAGTTTATTTTATAGTAGTCCCTAAAAGAACCTGCATCTTCTTTCTCTCGCTTTGTTTAAGCATCACGTCTTATTCCTTCATCTGACCAAAAAATATCATAGATCCTCCCCATGTGCCAAGTGCTGTGTGGACACATAAATAAATAAGATGGTCTTTGCTTTCAAGGACTGAAGTAATTGAAGTTTTCACACACTTCTGGTGGGAGAATGAATTGGCAAACCCACTTTGAAAAAGGCAGTTCGATTAGTTGTTACTCTTAAAGGTGTGATTACATAGTCTAGGACACAGCATTGCCATGCTAGATCAAGCTCTTGCAAATATGCAAATGTTCAGTGTGTGCGACTTGCAGTAACAGATAAACATGTTTAGAGTAGCACTATTTGTAATAGAAATGAATTAACCAGAAACATCCCAAGCATACATATGAATGAACCACAGCTACATGGATCAATATTAATGAATTTTAAAAACATAGTGCTGAATACAAAACAAGTCACAAAAGATAACATCTATTATAGTTTCATTTAAATAAAGGTCAAAACAGTCAAAACTAAACAATATATTGATTAGGGACACCCATATCTGTGGTAAACTGCAAGAGAATGAAGAATAATTAACATTCCAGATAGTGATTAGTTTGGGAGTGAGGAAGTGAGATAATTTAAAAGATGAAGGGCACTTGAAGAGCTTCAAAGGTGATGGGAATGTGACGGATATAGGAAAAATAATTGTATTGTTATTCTTAATATAAAAGCAATATATATAGTATTTATATGTATAATAATATTTCAAGCAAAAGAAATAAAATAATATGCACAAAAATGAAACAAATCCATACCACCCAAATCCATCTTTTTTTCAAAGCCCAAATCAAATATTTTCTGCAATGTAGAGTCTCCCCTTACCTCACTGATATTTTCCTTCTCTCTTTTAATTGCTTTTTCTATTTTATTTGTTTGTTTGTTTGTTTTACTTGTCTTATGATAACCTTCCATTTCTACTTTATGTGAGTATAGTTCTGGTAAAGATTTTATCTCCTGGAGACTACACAGATCTTAAGTGTAGAATCTGTGACTCATTATCTCTGCTTCACCCACAGCAACTATCTTGGTAACCAGTTGTGATGTAGTCCGTGAATATTGGGGCTTACCCTCAAGAGTTTTGCGTTCAAATCCTTATTTAAAAAAAAAAAAAATTTGCGACAGAGTCTTGCTCTGTCATCCAGGCTGGAGTGCAGTGGCACGATCTTGGCTCACTGCAAGCTCCACCTCCTGGGTTCAAGCAATTCTCCTGCCTCAGCCTCCCAAGTAGCTGGGATTACAGGCGCCCACCACCACACCTGGCTAATTTTTGTAGTTTTAGTAGAGACGGGGTTTCACCATGTTGGCCAGGCTGGTCTCAAACTCCTGACCTTGTGATCCACCTGCCTCAGCCTCCCAAACTGCTGGGATTACAGGCATGAGCCACTGCGCCCAGCCTAAAATCCTTATGAGTTAAAACTCCTGAGACCTTGAACATAAATCTTTACTTCTATGAAAGGCTAATAACGTCTAACATTTTTTCTGAGTATTTATTGAATAATGTTTTAAATTGTGTTACGAAGTATTATATAAATGTATACTTGAGTCCTTGTACACAGTAGGTTCTCAAGAAATATTCATTGACTGATTTTGACACAGTCTTAGCTTGTTACATTTAAGGACCCTAATCAATACACAGGACTAAGACAATGACTTGAAAAGGGTGAAATTACATGTTCCATGGGAGGAAG
The DNA here is from genome assembly GCF_000001405.40 of Homo sapiens. NCBI lineage: Eukaryota > Metazoa > Chordata > Mammalia > Primates > Hominidae > Homo > Homo sapiens. Next base: position 189,415,814 of record NC_000003.12, on the reverse strand, counting down.
ACTCTGAAACACACTAGAAGGACACACCCAGGGATATCAACTTCACTGAAAAAGGTGGGTGGGACTTTTTCAACCTTGAACCTTCCGAGCTACAAGAGTCTGTTGAGCCCTTAGCTTCCCAACCTCTTGTGAGACAGAGCTGTGAATGGCCACCACACTTTGAGGCCATGAGGCTATGTAAAGTATGTTCTCAGACATAGAAGAGAATAATTATGAAGCCAATGAATGATGCATGACAGAGTTAATAGAAATTAAAATAAATAGAAACTGCTTTTGCTTTGAAATGAAGTCATTATTTGTTAACTCTTTCCTGAAGATATAATATTAGTTATTTTAGACTCACTATCCTAGACAGTGTTAGAAAACCTTGGAAATTTATTTCCATTTTTGTTTTAAAAAATCTTAAAATATGTTCTAAAGGTATTTATTAATGTTTTTCTCAAAAAAATGTTTAAAGAGAATATTTGCAGCAAAATTGGGTTTACTTTATTTTGGATGTATGTACTTTAAAATGCCGACTTAATTAGTATTATCTTATCTCTAAAGTACTTTAGGAAATATTGTTTTATTTAAATATCTGTGAAGTGAGCATTATAAATGCCACTCTATACAATACAGATGAGAGGTGTAGACAGTAAGTGACAGAGCAAATATCAACCTGAGTTTATGGACTCTACATCCATACTATCACACTTGCCACCCATTTACCTTCGGCATTTACGCTGGATAGATTACCTCTTCATAAGAAGACTCAGGCATTCTCTTTGAAGTGGACACTATGCCTGGTATATAGTGGGCATACAGCACATAATTACTTAATACATGAACTCATTTTTTTCACCCAGCATCTTCAAGGACTTACTTGTGCTAGGTTTTAAGGAAGAATCATAGAAGGCCCCTACCTTCACAGACACAGCACAATTAAATTAGCAGATGTAAACTAAAAATTATAAATGCCATTCATGTCCTTTAAAAAAATAATTCTCTAAATGCAAACTGAAATCTTATTCATCTTTATATCCTCAAAGTATCTACCATCATATCCAACCCATAGTAGTAGGTGCTTTATAAAGATTTGCCAAAGAAGTTGGAGTGTTAAATCCTGTTATAATAACCAAGGCCAGTAAGTAAAGAAAAGGAACAGAACTGTGTGTGTGTGTGTGTGTGTGTGTGTGTGTGTGTGTGTGTTTAGCAAATTTTTTATTTTGAAGTAATTTTAGATTTTTCAAAGTTGCAAAAATACTATGAAGAGTTCCCATGTACCTCTCACCCGATTTTCCCTAACATTAATATCTTACATATTTGTCAAAACTAAAGAAAAAACACATTAATTCATTACTATCAACTAAACATCAGACATTATTTAGATTTTATTAGTTTTTCCACTAATATTTTTGTTCTGCTACAGAATCTGCTACAGAATAAATCCAAGGTACATTGGATTTAGGAATTTCTTGCTTACAGAAATAATTTTATAATGTAAGGGAGAGATTTGCATTATGTTAGGTCTGTTGATCACTGAGGAATGCTTATGAACCCAAAATAGCAGTAGTAGATACACACAAAAAGGAGCTTTGTGAAGATAAAGAAGGAAGACAATGAACTGGTCTCAGCTGTGTCTGGCAAAACTTGAAAAACAAAGTCCTTGTATGGTATGTTCTGAACCACATTTGCATGCTCTATCTCAGTAAATCTACATGTAACAACAAAAAAGTAAACTATAGTTATTTAAATAACAAACAGTTCCTTTTATCAATTAAGTTTTGACAAGGTCTCAAGAAAACACAATCAGGAAAAGACAGTCTCTTCAATAAATCGTGTTGAAAAAACTGAATATCTATGTGGAGAAGAACGAAATTAGACCCTTATCTTAGACCATACACAAAAATTAACTCAAAATGGATTACAGACTTATATAGACCTAAAAATGTAAAACTACTAGAAGAAAACATAGGAGGAAAGTGCCATGACATTGATCTTGGCAACAATATTTTGAATATGACTCAAAAGAGATGAGAACAGACATTTTTCAAAAGAAGGCATACAAGTGGTCAAAGGGTACATGAAAAATGAGAAAATGCTCAGCATTGCTAACCATCAGGGCAATGCAAATTAAAACCGCAATGAAATGTCACTTATCACCTGTTAAAATAGCTTTTATCAAAAATAAGAAAGGTAACAAATGTTGCTAGGAATGTAAATTAGCATAGCCACTATGGAAATTGGTATGAAGGGTCCTCAAAAAACTCAAAATAGAATTACCATATGATTTAGTAATTCCACTTCTGATTATATATTCAAAGGAACTGAAATCCGTATATCAAGCGATATCTGTTCATTGCAGCATTATTCACAATAGCCAAAATATGAAATCAACCTAAATATCCATTAATGGATGAATGAACAGTGAAAATGTGGTGTATATGCACAATGGAATACTATTTAGCTTTAAATTAAATCCTGTCATTTGCAACAACATGGATGAATCTTGAGAAGATTATATTAAGTGAAATAAGCAAGGCACAGTAAAACAAATACCACCTAATCTCACTTATATGTGGAATCTAATAAAGTTGAACTCAGAAGTAGAATAGGCTGGAAGGTAAGGAGGGAGGAAATGGGAGGCTATTGACCAAAGCATACAAAACTTCAGGTAGACAGGAAAAATAGGTTTTGAGATCTACTGCACAACAAGATGACCACAGTCAACAATAGTGTATTGTTGATTTCAAAATAACTGAATTTCAAATGGCTCATGATAAAAAATGATTGGTAAGCCAGGTACTGGATATGTTAAGTAGCTTGATTAAATCATTCCACAATGTATATACATACATCAAAATATCATATTATACCCCATAAAGGTACGTATGATTTGTCAGTAAAAGGTAATATTAATAGTAAATTTAAAAATTCCTTTTCAATAGTCGGTCTTTTTTAAGATATAAAACAATACAAAGGATATCAGTTTTTGTACACCTCCCACACTACAAATAGGACCATTACAAAGGAACTTGAAAATCTCTTGTAGTTTAAGTTAGCTTTCGGTTTAACAGTAACTAGAACACAGGTATTTTTTTCTCTTTCTCTGGAAGGAGATTCTGTTGAAATAACAGTATAGAATTTTATTTAATGACAAGTTAGTAATAGCAAAAAGAATAGAGAAGTATGAGAGATTTAAAAAAATTTCTGTAATGTTAAATCTTATACCTACGTGGAATGTAGCAGACAAAATCTCTGCCCATAATACTTGTGGGAGACAGTTTTCCTGGAAGAAGCTAGAAGTTTCAAGGTCAGAAAATTCAGAAATTAGAACTCTCTTACTAACTACTTAGAGTTGGAATTTTAGCTAAAATTTGGGAGCAATTTTCTAAATCAGATGGATCCTTGGGATGGCTAAGATGACCAAGATGGGTACTAGATCTCAAAGTGGGTGCTAGTAAACCCAAATTAAAATTCCTTTTTATTTTGCATTTGGAAATTCGTAGGTTAAAGGTTCATTTCTGGCCTGCCACTCAAATGTTAAGACTGGCAATTGATAAGTTTTGCTAAGTGCATTGAATGTCCTGTCAGCCTTCCATTCAGAAAGAAGTCTAGCAGGAAAAGAGCCCACATGTCACATGTACAAAAGCAGGAGAGATCCACATCCACGCAGCCAAATTGCCAGATGAACCTCTAATTTTTCTGTATGAATAGAAATACAGCAGCATGAGATAATGAAAAATACCATCAAAATAAAATATGAGTAAAGAATAATGGATCCTGCAACAGATACTTGACATAAGAAATAGGAATAATTTTTATTATACTGTCAGAGGGTGTTGAGAAGATAGTTCGTTTATGAAATTTGAAAAAAGGTAAAAATAAATGATCAATCAATGAATTCAAAAGAGATATTGGGGATTAAAAATACATTCTTAGGAATGAAATCCAAACAAAACTTTTTGAAGAAAAGTTTGAAAAAATCCCAGGATGTAGAGGTAAATAAAAAGAAATATAAAATATGAGAACAAAATGAAAGAGACACAACAAAATAGTCAGGAACTATGGTATCCACCAAGAAGTTTCAGAAAGAGAAACTTATGGAAAAAATTATCAAAGCAATAATAGAATTTTTACACAGGATCTTAGCCAAAAGGCTGAGAAGCAACAATAGAATATCTTATAGAGATAAAAGTGGACACCAGTCTTCATATTTAGAAGGTTCTTAAAGTGTATAGAGAGCAAAAATGAACAAATTAATGTATTGACTACCTATGCCTTCCTTACTTGGGAAAATGAAGAACAAAGGGAAAATCTTAAAATCCCAAAATCAGACAGAAAGAGAAGAAATAAAAATATATCCACAGAAGAATGAGCATGAGACTCACAGCAGGCTTCTCAATATTAACTTCGTAAGTTAGAAGGCAGTGGAAAAACACCTTCAAAGTTGTGAGGAAAGATTATATATAACAGAGTTTTATATCCTGCCAAATTGTTAGACCAGTGTTGCTATAAAATAAAGTGATTTTCAGATAAGAAACAACCCCCAAATTGTGTCTCCCATATGCTTTATATGAGCAAGTCAATTGATAACATACTCCAGAAAAACAAGCAAAAAAAGGAAAATATGGAATCCAGGAAAAGAGGTTTGGACTTAGGAGCACAATGAAGCTTCAGTATGATACCCTTGCAAGTAGATATAAAAGATAAGTATTTTCAACTATCATAGGACATGGGAGAGAAGGTTTCAAGAAAGAAAAGAAAGACAAGAAAGGAAAAGAAAAGAAAAAGAAAGGAAAGAAAGAAAAAGAAAGAAAGAAAGAAAGAAAGAAAGAAAGAAAGAAAGAAAGAAAGAAAGAAAGAAAGAGAAAGAAAGAGAAGAAAGAAAGAAAAGAGAAGGGGAGGCGAGGGGAGGGGAGAGGAGAGGAGAGGAGAGAGGGGAGAGGAGAGGAGAGGACAGAAGAAGAGAAGAGAGGAGAAGAGAAGAGAAAAGAGGGAGGGAGGGAGGAAGGAAGGAAGGAAGGAAGGAAGGAAGGTAGGAAGGAAGGAAGGAAGGAAAGAAAGGAAAGGAAGGAATTCCATGCAATTGACTGACCAAAAGCCTGAACAATGTGGGAATGGGGGAAGTCATGTTACGTAGTTTTCAAGAATGACAAGATGTTAGACAGGATGTTAATTTTTAAAATTATTATACATAGAAAAATCATGGTATAAATGTAAAGGAAACAAGAATGGAACAAAATTTTGAGCAGTTGATGAAATGTAAGAAAAGTGAATGCAGTTAACACAGATTCTAGGAAAAGTATCCACCAAATAACACAAAGGAATCATAGCATTCTATCTTTAGAAAAGGAAATTAATCTTAGAAATGTTAGCATGCTTAGCCCTGACTGAAACGAGCAAGATTTATAAAATCATAGTAATATTATATATTTTTTGGTATTCAACTTTTAAGGTCAACTTATATAAAAAGTAAAAAAAATTTAGTTTCAGAAGATAATGCAAATGTCAACTTTAATTCATGTATAAAAGTATGGCTGACAGGAGTTGGGTGTTGGAAGGGGGAAGTGGTGTGAACATAAGGATAGAAATACAATTTTCTCATTTTACATAGTAAGGAGCTATGTCTGAAGCTGCTGAAACAAGAAATAGAGGTATAGGACTTATATTTTTATGATCTTCAGTAGCATAACTTATATTTAAAGTTACAAATATAATCAATGAAAGAACTACAAATAATAATAAAACTATTTAAATTTGGGGAAGAAATGGGAAGTTGTGTAATAATGCTAAATGGAGGGCCAATAGGTGTCATATAACAGCTACTAATTTGAAGAAAATACAGATAGAAATAGGTGTCATATAACATCTACTAAATAGGTGTCATATAACATCTACTAATTTGAAGAAAATAGAGATATAAGTACAGATTTAGAGTTTTAGAAAAACTAGCAGATGAACTAGATTCAGAAATTGTTAAATGTGCTGGACAGCAGAAAATTATAATCCAGAGAACTGCTGATTTTCATTGGAATCTTTTTCATATGTTACTTATCATTATATGCATGTATTTTACAATTATAAATATACATATTATGTTAATTGTAGAAAATTTAATCTTTAATAGTTAAAAATAATGAAAAATAGACCCACAACATTTACACAAGGATTTTAGATGCAGTATGTTTCACAAAGTTTCAAATTGTATTAAAAAACATATCCATCTATCAATCAATAAGAGAATATGGGACATTGTTGTGTGAAGTTTAATGCAGCCTTAAAAATAATTACGTAGGAAAAGTGTGCTGACTTAAGTGGATGTCTGACAAATGTTGTTTATGGCAATGAGGAAGGGAAGCTACAGAATACGTCCAATGTGATAACACGCATGTACAAAACCATACACTTCCATTTCTACAGGTATTAATGCATACAGAACTTCAGAGAAGAGGTCTGGAAATGCCAATGGTGTTGATGGAAATGGTAAAGGAGAACTCAAACTGCACTGTCATTTTTTTTCTATGACTTGCTTTTCTAAAAACACAATATATATTTTCCACTTTTTATTGTGGGAAAGTAGAGACAAGTATGCTGAATATGTATGATGAATTAATATATATATATCTTCCAGCCTCAAAAATTAATTCAAAACCAATCTTATTTCATCTATACTCCTACCCATTTCCATCCTTTATAGATAATATAGAAGAAAATTTCAGACGTCATTTTATCTGTAAATATTTTGGTATAAGATAAATATCACCTTAAAAAAAAAATTATTTCAGATAATCAAATATCTACTCTTCAGTATCCCAATAGATTCATAAATGCATTTATTCACAATTTGTTAGTTTAAATAAATATCCAATATGTCCTGATTTTGATGTGTTAATATTTATCATTAAATATTTCAAATATACAAATATATAAAAAATAATTAATAGACATATGCATAAATACCACTCAGATTTATATAATACTGCTATATTCTATATTGGCTTCAGAATTAAAAAAAAATTCTTTTAGAATAAAAAGTACATTAAAAAATTAAATATGGTTTTAAAGACATAATACTGAGAAATAAAAGGTTAATGATATCCTGCACACCCCTGAAATTCTATTACCCTCCTCAAAGTTCATATGTGCCCTAATGTTAATATGCATCTTTCCCATTATATTGTATACTTGATATTTATAATATTTTGTACTAATTTTGACAAATTTTAAATGACATTAAACTTTATGCATCCAATTTTATTGTATTTTTACATTCAACATTATGGGATCTGATATTTATCTAATTTATCTATCTTGATACATGAAGATCGAGTTTATTTTAGTTGCTTCCTAGAATTTCACTGTGTTTATATATTCTTTTTCCTTTGAAGAACATATAAATTATCCCAACTTTAGTCTTATAAACTGTCATAATGATCATTCTTATAGACATTTATTCATGTAGATATGTGAGAGTTCCCATAAGGAATATTCCTGGAAATGAAATTTCTGAATCATAAGATACGGCATTTTCAAATTTACCTGATATTGTCAAATTGAGCTCCCAAGTTACTTTTCTAATTTACCCTTCCACTAGCAGTATATGAGCCTTTTGACTCTATCCTCAACAGCCCTTGATATTTGCCAAGTTTTAAATTTGTATATATAATGAATGTGAATGGCATTTCTTTGTGATTTTAATAAACATTTATCTGGTTGTTATTGAGATTTCATATATTTTCATATACAGTCTTTCAGATTTCTCATTCTTTGAAATGCCTGTATATAACATGTGTTTATATTAGATTATTTGACAATTTCTCATTATTTTTAGAAGTTCATTATAAATTTTAGACATAACTTTTATTATTCATTATTAATTTGTGTAGGAAGAATCTTCTTCCTCTCTTTGACTTAATTTTAGATTCACAGTGTCCTTTCATAAATAAGTTTTAAATTTTAATGAAGTCAAAATTTTCAATAATATTATTTTTTGGTTTATGATATTGGGAACTTGTTTATGAAATCCTTCCTAATTCCTAATTCCACTAATATATAATCCTATGTTTTTTCCTAAAATTTTTAAAGTTTTGAGTTTTGTATTTTAATTTTATAATAAAAATATATATTTTTTATTACTTTATGATTAGCAATCAATATCATTTTCAAGGGACCAAAAATATTCATAGTTTTAGCCCTCAGAAAATATTTATTTTATTTGTTTTTATACCTATGTCTTATTATTATATAAATGAGATGATAATCTACATTTTTACACACTTTTTTCATTGAATAGCACTTAATATTTTTAAAAACTCATAATAATTCACAGAAGGAATGGATGAGGCTGGTGAATCCAGACATGTAAGGTTTGGAGAGGGAACTTTCATGAAAATTCTCTTTTACTTTATATATTTGGGATGCATGCAATCCAAAGAGCACCTATTAGCTCTTTTGTTTCTACATACTCTTTATGTATTCCTCCACTGTGGAAACTTACATAGTCTTCCTAATATTTGTAATTCACATCTCTCCCTCCTCCATTAAACCATGAGCTCCTTTAAGTCAGAGATAAATCTTAGTAATCTATCACTAATTGGAAGTACCAAATAATAGGCATTCAGGAAATGTGAAATGGAAGATGGTGAACTGGACATTTAACTAGGAGTGAGGAGACCTAGACCTAAATTCTACATCAGCAAGTAGTTAGGTGTGTGTCTTTGGGCAAGTTCTCTCTCTCTTTCTTTCCCTCTTTCCTCCTTTTTTTTTTTTAAGAGACAGGTTTCACTCTGCCACAGAGGCTGAAGGGCAGTGGCATGATCATAGTTCACTTCAGCCTTGAACTCTTGGGCTCAAGGGATCCTCTAGCTTCATCCCCTGAGTCGCTAGGACTACAGGTATATGCCATCATGCCTGGCTAATTTTTTTAATTTTAATTTTATTTTCTTTTTGAGAAGGTGATCTCACTATGTTGCCAAGGCTGAACTTGAACTCCTGGCCTCAAGCAGTCTTCCCTCTTCAGGCTCCCAAAGTGCTGGTATTATAGGTATGAGCCACTATGCCTGGCCTAAATTTCTCTTAAGACTCAGTCTTTTCATCTGCTAGTAGAGGGAGGAGACTAGATGATCTATAAGTTTTATACCTCCTCTGGCATTCCAGACTCTGATTCTTTAAAAGGTATTTAATGGAACCCAAAAATATTCTTTACATTATTTATATTTCATGATCCTATTAAGTAGCTCAGTCTTCCAACAACCTATGACATCTAATACTAACAGGTGTTTACTTAAATACAAATGGAACTTATGGTCCCTTAAGGCTGCCAGTTTTTCAGTAGAGATATCCCTGCAGGTTTGGATGGATGAGCTGTTTTCTGGTAAGTAGCCATTAGAATACCAGAGAGTGAACTTAATATAAGATATCAACTGGAGCTCTCTTACTACTGCAATTTCTGGCAGGATATGAGACCATGTCATTTGCTGGCTAGTTTGCCTTTCCATCTGTCCCATGGACTATGACTTGATAAAAGGAGTTTGTGATTACGTCTTTCCCTAATGACTAAAGCCTTCTTGTAGTGCAAAGTCTCCTGTGGCACATGAGCAAGAATATTTGTTTTGAAAAATAAATTTAAAAGATAATTTATTAGACCTTTGATTATTCAAGGAACACTCTGTCACCACTGCTCTTTGGGAGATGAAAAGTATATCATGTGTTCCAGTTTGCATTGAGAGAACTAAAGCTCAAAAGGCACTTTTAATGTGTCCAAGAACCATATAGTCAGGAGTCCATCCCATTACTATAATGCACCAGACCAACCATCTGTCAAAGTCTCCTATCAACATATCATAGAATAATCTCCAGTGCACATATACAACAAAATAATTCCTCATCTATTCATTCTAGGTATAATTGTCCACAAAACTGGTTCTGGTTGAAACAGTCATGGAATTTTTTTATGCCCAGTAAAGAAAAATATCAGGAATTAAAACTTTCAACCCAATAATCTACGTTCATAAAAGAAATTAATAATAATTGTTAGCCAAGATCAACTTAACAGTAAATCCCCACTTAATGTCTATGACAGGTTGTTGGATATTGCAACTTTAAGTGAAGCAGTATACGGCATTTCCTTGAATAATGCCATTTTGTTCAACATTGTTTTGTTATAATATTGATAAGGAAGAAAACTGGCTGCATTATATGTCCTTTTGCTTAATGTCACAGTTAGAACCTATAAATGACATTAAGTGAAGACTTAGCATACTTGGAAAGTAAGATAGATCAGAGAGAAGACATTCACTTTTTAGGACTATAACTTCCCCTAAAAAATGTGGTAGAAATGGCACCATCCTTTCTTTTTTTTTTTTTTTTTTTGGTACTTTTACTATTCCTTCTTTGGCAATAGCCCAGTGTGTTTCAAGGGACAATATTAGGTAAACAAATGGTTATTTGTTCAGGACTTGTGACAAACAAATTAAGGAGAAATTTCCCCTTGCATTGGCATAGAACTTGCTTGACGTCTCATAAGTAAGGAGCCAAGCGAGTGATATCATCATCTTCAGACTCTAACCTCAGGATGTCTCACCTCTCACATCAAATACCCTAATCCTCTGTATTAAGTACAACTTCAGGCCAAGGTATTAATGTGTCCTGGACCTTAAAGAAAGTATTTGCAGTCACAAATAGCTTCATTTTAAGCAGGTTTGTTTTCATGAAAACTTTTATACCTGAAATGGAAGCTAGTAACTAGACTTTGGAGAAGAAGGGATTTTCACCAACTCACTGGGAAGTCCCTGTGGTTTCTAAGTTCCATTTCTATTTCATTTCATGAAGGTATTAATACAGTTGGTCCTGTCATTTCAAACCAGCAGAGTCAGTTTTTTTCACCATTGACCTTGCAATTGAAGAAGTCAAGTCTGCAATTTCCGTACAGTTGTACAATATTGGATTGCCCCAGGTGTTACAGACTAACTTGTCAATGTTAATTTTACAGTACATAAAATTAAGGAGCAGAGCAAGTAAGAGAGTACCCAAGATCAACGTAGAAAGTATAGAACTAGAAGCCAGATCTCAAAATTCCAAGTACAATGTCTTTTGTACCATGCTATACTGTGCATGTGTGGGTACATTTAAAGACCAGACCAGAGACAATGCATCCAAATAAATGCAGATTCATTTTTATCCATTCAAAATAATCCCCTTAGAAGTTTACAACTATTTTAATAATACTACTATTGTTCAAAACGTATTTGGGGTTCTTTTGGGGCATTAAATCTAGTCTGTGGTACAATATACATACTTTATGGCACATTATTAGTGATTGCCTTTGCTGTCCAACTGTTAGCTCATTAAGGTCCAGTCTATATTTAATTTTGCCTGTATCTCCAGTACTTAGCATAATACTTGATATAAAACACATCATTAAAAACATTTTTTGAATAAATGTATATATATGTTTACTATTTATGGAAGATTTAATTATTGAAGATGGTCAATATCACAAAAAAGTTCAAGCTCATAAAATCAGTGGCTGGGTTGGGTCATGTTTCATGTGATTCTTAGAGTACTTGTCTCTCTCCCACACACCCAGAGTAATTTGAGCTCAGTGACTGTGTCTTATTCACCTTAGAGTCCCATAGCACCACTCCCAATTCTTGCACAGAAAGAAAACTCTCATACATATTTAATGAATGTTTGATGAATAATGGAGCAGTAGGTAGTAATTTGGATGAAGGTACAGACCACTTGTTTACAGGTTGCTGAAACAAGAATGCAATGATAATGTTTCTTAAGTTGGCAAATAAAAATTAACATAGGCTATTGCCAAAGTTATAATCCTCAACTAGCCACTTCGAACTGTGATATAAAATGAAAATACATTGTATTGACTGAGAGCTGATGTCCAGATAAATTTAGCTGCCAACATCCTAATTGCATAGTGTTCGTAAAGAGAGAGTTTTCTATTTTGCAAAGATCTCTCATCAGGCTCTTTTCAGGATGTGATATATATTTAATGTCACTAACCTTACCTCACCAGCAGGAATTAAACATTAATTAAGAAGCATTTATGACTATAGTAAGTTCTCTGATACTTGGTGCTGGTTATGCGTGGTGTTTGGAATTGCACATATCTGCACTTTCCTGGAATGTCAGGCTATTAACAAATGCTATCTAGGAATAGTGTACCATAGGAGATGTTCCAAAACACACACACACACACAACACACTTAAGTCATTAAAGCCTGTTTGTAGTAGCCCGTTTTCATGCTGCTGATAAAGACATACCCAAGATTGTATAATTTATTTAAAAAAAAAAGAGGTTTAATTGACTCACAGTTCCGCATGGCTGGGGAGGCCTCACAATCATGGTGGAAAATGAACGAAGAGCAAAGGGATGTCTTACACTGTGGCTGGCAAAGAGAGAATGAGAGCCAAGAGAAAGAGGAAATCCCTTATAAAACCATTAGACCTCGTGATACTTACTACCATGAGAACAGTATGGGGAAAACCGCCCCCATGATTCAATTATCTCCCACTGGGTTGCTCCCACAGCACATGGGAATTATAGGAGCTACAGTGCAAGATGAGATTTGGCTGGGGACACAGCCAAACCATATCACTGTTTAATAAATGTACTTGGGCAAAACCAGTGAGACCTAGCTACCCAGGAGGTATCCTTTTTTAAAACATTGGTACAATAATGAGACTCAGGCCCACATTCCCATCGGATCGTGTATTCCTTTGGGAATAGGAATTAATAAACTCTACCTTTTGCCACACGTTGTTCAGGGCAGAGTTGGAGGTGAGGTAGATAAACTTCAGGGTTTTGAAATCCCATGAAGCTTAATAAAAAGTATAAAAAATAACTTCAATCTTGGGGGTAACTACAAGGAATAGTCAACAGTGCCTTGAAAGTTTTCTAATCTAAAATGATTTTTTTCATGGGAAGATATGCCCAAAACATTATGTTTTATTCCTTAAGGAGAATCTTCTCTATTTGAAATTCTTACTATGTTCTAAATTAACAAGCAGGACTTATTTTTTGTAAGGTGGGTTTTATTGCTGAACTTGTTTGTGTAGGAAATTAAGAGCTGGTTACATTCAGTCCTGCCCATATACAAACATGGACGTTCAATGGGAAAAGGTAGGAAATTTGTTTTCCACACTGCTTCTATCCCTCTAGTTACCCTGATGTAACTCTCCATCTAGAGGGCTTATCAATATTGTGGGATATTAAAATGAGTCCTTACATGAGGCAAGTCAGATGGGGACTGGGCAGGATAAATAGCACTTCCACTGGACAGCCAGTGGGGCCACTTGCTGGCTTCTGTCTCGTTGGCTAGATGCCATCATGAAAGGTAACCGAACCCCTCCCTCCAGGTTATTTATCTTTCTCATTCCAGTGGAAACTGAGTGAGTGGCTATGAGTCTGATGTTACTCTCATGTGGCTTTTAAGCCCTAGCCAGCAATAGCTCAACTTGAGAGTGAGCACAAGCGAGAGAGAGTTAGGGGAGAAGGGGTGTCAGCTGCTAACACTGCTTCTGTCTGTATCATTCAAGATCAGTTCATCTCTTCCTGGGATCTGGTGAGCTCTGCATTCATCACATCAGCACAGGCTTTTTCCTGCATAATCCGAAGGATCTTTTCAAGTTTTTAGCATGGAAAATAACCCCCTTTCCCCTCCCATCCCATATGCTGTCAAATCTGTGACTTTCAGCACATGAATCCTATTTAGCCCCATGAAGTAAATAAAGGCTTTCAAAATTTAAAAGCCAAAGACTGCCTCTCCCCTTCTTTTTTATTTTTGCTATCTTTTTTTTTTTGAGGCAACATAAAGAATGTCTGCCTGCCTAAATGGAGGAGGAGTTAAAGAGAAAACAACAGAAGTAAAATTTCATCCTTAATGCTTCAAAAATATTATCTGACAGGTCTTGTAAATGCACTACGGAGAGAAGGGGGACATGAGCTCAAATAAGTGTATTCATAGTTTATCTTAAGACTGTAGAAATAAGTAGAGATCGCCTGGTTTAATTCTTCCATTACAGTGAGGAAAACCAGGATCCAGAAGAAGAAAGTACGAGTATAGGGAAAAGAATGGAATTCTGAGCCCACGATAGATGTCTTCTCAACTTGGTTTAAGGAAGAGTATAGACTTTAATGTTAATGAAATCCATATTTAAATTCCTATCTGAAAATATTTTTAATTAGAATTTGAAATGTATAGATTCTGCCATTTGCTAGAATGTGTGACCACGGACAACTACTAAACATTCTAAGGGCTATCTGTGTTTAGTATATAAGTGTAAAGTAATATTATACTTGTAGACTTGTTATAATGAAACCTTATGTGAAGTATCTAAGTATCTAAATAGTTGGCACAAAGTAGATGCTCCATAATTCATTGCCGTGATTTATGGTATGCTGCTATACTGTAACTCTATATCATAAATGTAATTATAGGTTGTCACATGAATTTGTATATGAAAGATACTAGTTAGATGCTATAATAAATAAATATTGTGACTTTGAGCACATGAATCTTATTTAGCCCCATGAAGTAAAGGCTTTCAAAACTTAAAAGCTACTAGCTAGATACTAGTATATCTCTTAAGAGGCAAGTCTTTTAATTTCAATTATTCACTTCTTCCAAAATTTTAAGTTTCTAACACTGCAACATTTACAGTTAGAATGTACTGACATTTTTAGTTAGGACAGTTCACCCAATAAGAATACTTGTCAGTTGAAAAAGGACAGAATAAGACAGATTCAATAGCCAATATACTTTTTCATACAAGAAACCTGACCTCTACAGAGGAAAATTACTTTTCCAAGGTGGCAGAATTAGTTCCTTGTAGAACTAGGCTTAGGATTCCAACATCCAGGTATGTAGACTAGGTCATGTCACTCTCTCTGCCCTACTTGTAACATAAGAGTTGGGAGACATACGCATCAAACTTCAAAGTAATCCAGACTCTTTTACTGCCTTCATACTACACCTTATAACATCCATCAGATGTATTATAAATGACCTTATAGAACTCTTTAGACTCACTTCACACCAACAAAACATAGATTGTAAGAGGCAGATCTGGTTGCCTTAAACTTTTTGTTGATGGATCTTTTTTTTTCCATAAGTTACTTTCTCTTATCTCCAATGTTTTCTAAAACGTGCTATTTTAAAATATTAAGGCCATTGTTATACTTTGTTGAATTCTCATGATTCTACATTCTTGACATTTGCTCATTTTTATTTGCTCAGATCATTTCAGATTTTTTTTTAATGGCTGCTTTAGCAGAGTGTCAACTTCTTTCTAAAATAAAAGAGAAATACATTTTCTCATGACTTCCTTTAAACACTTGAAAAAATAAATAAATGCAAGCGTGATTCAGGAATAACAAAGAAATCTTGCCTAAACAATTCCTATCACAAAGACAGAAAAATACTAGTTAAACGTAAAGGACAATGTGAAAGACAGTGAGAACTGCCTTTAACACAGACACAACTGAAATATTTTCTCAGTCCAGTCATGTTCAACTTAACAATAGCTAATATAAGCTGATGTTAAAGAGTATTTTTATAAAGATTTTTCTTTTATGAAACCTCACCCACTTATAATCCATGTAAACAGACTTAAAGAAAAAACACAAAACTCTCAGTATCAGTATCTTAGCAAAGGCACAGTAAAAGAATAAGTGAAAATAGCAACAGTGAAACTCACAAACAGGTTCAAACACAGTAAACTCAGTTCATCGAGATCATAAGTTCTGTCTCATAGTGAGGAAAAAGGGATATTTTTTAATAAATAAGAAAGAATTCATTGCATGAAGCACAAATGCTTTATAACAAATGTTTTTGGTATGACACTACAAAAAATAATTTGTAGGGTAAGGAGGCATCTGTGTGGCTGATTATTTTCCTGTTTACATCTCCTAATTTTTTTAGAATACATTCCTTAGCTGTGCGTATTTGATCTAATCACTTAACCTGCTTGAGTCTCTCCAGTCTCAAAAATAAAAATGAAACAGTAATATCTACTCACCTGTCATCTAATATAAATTTTTAATAAAGAGAAAATATAATTTCTTAAAGGATAGGATGTAGAGATAAGAGAAAGAGAGGCATTAGGAATAACTTCAAGGTATTTGGCCTGAGGGACTGAAAGGATAGAGTTGGGAAAGCCGATGGAGGGAAAAGGTCTAAGATACATATTCTTCCAACAGACAGTGCCCCAGCTCACTGAGCACATTGAACTGTGAAAATCTAGGAATTTGAAGGAGTCAGAGCTCTATGAATCCAGTTTTTAGCCAAGGCCTAGCAAATCTGAATTACCATTTACTGGGCTCCATGGCAACATATTTCTATGTGTGGCTGTTCAAGATATGTCAATATCAAAAGAACCTATTTCTAGTTCTTTACCTCCAAATAAGATTACCTACAGAAAGGCAGTAACAATCATCTAAATGATAGACTCAGTTTCATATGATACTTCCATTTCCTGATTATTTTATTATTGAATGCATTTCACGTTTGAAGAGGAAATTTGTGATATGTGTTAGAAGTCATACCAAAAATACTATTTTTTAAATGACATAGATTTTTATACATAATAGCGATAAAATTCTGGCTGGAATGCAGGATACACTGACTGAAGGTCAAACACAGTTCCAACATGATGTTTTTCTATTAATAATTGTAAGCATGCACAGCTCTTTCTCTCTGGCTGATAAATTTCTTCCCTTAGGCACAGTAGGGTTGCTAAATTATTCATCTTTCCTATTGGGAAGTCAATGAATACCTGAAATGTATAAATGAAAAAAATAGGAATTACAGTCTATGATGTAGAATTATAAAGGTATCTAGCAGGGCAATTAAAAAATTAAGATCTATAAATCTGTGAGTAGATGTTGAGAGGAAGTATAATTTTCGTAGAAGGGAATCATTAGACATTATGCCAGTTGGAATCTGAGCAGAAAACAGATGGCACACTGTTGTTGAAGACAGTTGAATGAAAAACAATTTACAAGGCTGTGGACAATGTTTAGGTAAAACAATGAAGGATGATGAAGGACCCAGATTCTACCAAGGGGCAGAGGAAAGAGGCAATTACCAGCACTTGGCGTGATACATCTATGGAGAAATGTCATTCTCAGGAGTTGGGGCTGAAACAAGTTGTAGCCATAGAGGGAAGTCATTGTCCACCCATGGCCCCAAAAAAAGCATTAAGGGGGACAAATTTTCTCCCTCTGATCTCCTGATGATGCCACCCATTGGCAAATCCATTTGGAAGACAGAGAGCATAGGAGCATGGACAGTGAAATTCAGAGGTCAGCCTCCTAGGTCACAGTACAGGGTGGAGAATGACGGAGAATGGATTTGGAGAAGTACAAAGAATATCCAGCATAGACACTATCTAAAATGGCAAGCTTAAATAAAGTAGACTGGAAAAACACATAGAGGTCTACAAAGAAATAATTTTTAAAAATTGTATCTTGTGAATATACACGCTAATAAAGTTTGTGGTAAAGAAATTTATGTCAGCAAACCCATATCAGCAAATCCTTGAATTTCAAATACTATGTTGATATTTAATATTTACATTTTAAATATCTTAAATTTATCTTTCATTATACTCAAGTAGTACCCTATAAAAATTGTGATGTAATATTATTATTATTCTGTCCATCTACATATATATTTTAATTATCTATCTAGTGAGACCTGAAACGACATGTAAATAATGTATAAGCAATAGTTATTTCTGAGTGGTAAGGATTCTTTTTAAACTTTATTCTTTGAACTTTTCTGTAGTGCTTGAGTCATAATGAATATATAACATTTTAATGAAATTATAAATGGTAAAAACTAAAAAAAATATGTATTTCTATGTGGAGAGAAAATACGCCTACTAATTTGGGGGCGACTTATTTAAATGCTGTCTTTTCTATGAGGCCTTTACAGGCCGTTATAGTCATAATAATTTTCCTTCTCTTCTGGTATTCCCATTATAATGTGAAATTGACAGGGTCAAAACAAGAAAACTGTGATAAATGATGTCTGCTCATTTAACATGTGTTTCAAGACAGAAAAATCAATAATGGGGGTAAAAATAAAAACCAATTACTGAGAAGAGGTCACGGGGAGATTCTGTGAAATAAGAAGGTGCCAAAACACAATATGATAACCTTGAAAGAGCAGGCACCACAAAACAGCTAAAGTGAGAAACAAGAGCACAGCAAATAGCCACTAAGAAAATCCAACACGTTCTGGTGGATGGCAGTCCTCTCCTCCTGGAATAATTTCTTTTTGTTTGTTTGTTTGTTTGTTTTTGTTTTGAGACGGAGTCTCGCTCTGTCGCCCAGGCTGGAGTGCAGTGGCGCAATCTCAGCTCACTGCAAGCTCCGCCTCCCGGGTTCATGCCATTCTCCTGCCTCATCCTCCCGAGAAGGTGGGACTACAGGCGCCCACCACCTCGCCTGGCTAATTTTTTATATTTTTAGTAGAGACAGGGTTTCACCGTGTTAGCCTGGATGGTCTCGATCTCCTGACCTCGTGATCCACCCGCCTCGGCCTCCCAAAGTGTTGGGATTACAGGGGTGAGCCACCGCGCCCCGCCTCCTGGAATAATTTCTATGGGCTCTTATCCGTACTTCCGGGTCTTTCCCTGCACTGCCATAAAGTTGCTGCCTGTTTCCTGCTGCACACTGATCTTTCAGAGCATTTGATTTGGACTTTCGTTATCTGCCTTAGCATATTTTGCTTTGTTTTAAAATGTACACTTTATGTGACTCATTAAATTTTCCAGTTGGTCATTTATTTATATCTGTTTGTATTCTTGGATTGTTATATTATTCTACCGCAATAAAATCCAATCTTATCATTATTTATGTGAATGCTTAAATTGCCACAGATTTGGTCAGCGGGGGGCTCCTCCAAGCTGAGCTCTCTTTCGCTTTGACATGTCCCTGTCTTTCTTTGAGCACTTCCTTAACTTTCTGACATTACAGAATGTTCCAGGATCATCTTGTGCTTTCCCTGCCCAAGTCCTGGAGGTAGACATTTATTCAAGGATCCCTGATTCCTGTTAGGGGAATGAATATTTAACAATATATTCTAATTTTTTTCCTGGTGCAACTAGAAACATTATTTTTTTCCTTTTTGCTGAATTATCTGAAAAAGTCTCACCTATTGATTTTTTTATCATTTAAGATAATCTTTGTATAATAATAACTTTTTTTCTCAAACTTCTTTATTTCAGGGCCCCATACTGATGAAATGAAAAGGAGTCTCAGAACGTCCGTGTTTATCCTCTTTACTGCATAACTGCCGAGAATAATCACTTGGGATTCAGTCTGGCCCTAGAATCTCTCAATATTATTTCCACATTTAAATTGTCATTTAATCTTCATATCAAACTATTGGTCATTCCATCATTTTCAAAGATTTGGGGAAGAAATATTTTTAATCTATATTATGAAGAGCAAGATGTCGCTTTATAATGAAACATCAGCTCTTAATTGATATTGAGATATTGTTAGATATTAAATTGAAAAGGTAACCTGATATTCACAGAGATATTGATATTAAATTGGGAAGTTACATGAGCTATTTGTATTAAATTAGAATACTATTAGAATGGATATTTAACAATATATATTTTTTGTTTCTTCCCAATGCAAGTAGAAAAGGTACTTATTTTTTTCTTTTTTGCTGAATGATCCAAAAAAGACCTGCCCGTCTCCACCCCAAACAGTCTCTCTTCTTGCTACACTCTGGGATCTTGCTCTATGCTGCTGAAAATGAGCTAAACACAGATATGACAGGGTACTGTTAGCATGATTTGCATACCGTACAGGATACTATTACAACACTTGTCTTCCTTCCTTCTCTACATTTGTTCCAATTTAATATCAATATTCATTATAATAGTATTTGTCGAGTCTATAGGAATAGAAAAATATAAAAGCACAATTATAGTATTTGATAATTGTGTTCACAGTTTAATGAACAAACAAATAAATATGCCAGTAACTGAAATTACAGTGAAACAAGAACTATGAAAAGATTGTACAAATTGCCAAAGGGTAAATGGATCGTGGAAGCCTGGGGAAGAGAGCAGTCAGAGATGGCTGAAAGGAGAAGAAAGTTATGAAGAAAAGGTGATAAATCAATAGCAGGGCAAGGAGAGAAAACGCATTCCGAATAAGGGATCACCATAAGCAGAAACATAGTGACTTAGAAGAGCATAGGGTGTTCAGGGAATGGCAGGTAATTTAGTACAGCTAAAGAAACATATGGTAGACAGACATGGAATGAGGCTCAGGAGGCAAAATGTCCAGGATTTGGAATTTTATCCTGAGGTTACAGAACCATGGAAGGTTTTATACATTGGGGTAATTTATTGGTACTGCATCACTAATCCAGCCCATGTTAGGGTCAGGATGACAATTAAAATGCTATTGCAACCTTTCACAGAAAAAAAATGATGTGGGCCAAATCTAAGGGCATAAAATTGAGATTAAAAAGACAATTTAAGGATATTGAAGAGGCAGAATCGATAGAAATTAGCAAACATTTGGAGGTGCAGAGGCTGATGAAGAAGAGAGTTGAGGCTCACTGAGAAATTTTTGGCAGAGGCAGCTTGATGAACAAAAAGTCTTGCTAAAGGATAACTTTAATTTGATCATCCTTGAAATTGCAGAATGATATAATTAAATTAAGGGATACCAAAGCATAAGAGAAGTGGAACTGAAGCTTCATAATGAAAGTTTTATCTACACTTCCTTTGTGAATTACGCTTTAACAAAATAAGAGCAACTCTGAATTTTCTAAACGTTGACTTTCCCCAAGTAACAGAATGACCACTGTCAACTCTGACAATCCTAGTTTGACTCGGAGCCTGATATGTCAATTTTCCTTGCCGTGAAGACTCAGATATGTAATTTCTTTCTAAACATTGTGAATAATTAATTCTGTCTGACTAATGACCCAAGATTGGGTAAACGAGAAGAAGAGGAACATTTACTATATAATAGATTAAGTGAGGTCAAGCAAATATGTTTAATGTGAACACCTGCTATTCCACACATAATGAGTTATTTTAGAAGTTTCAAGTTGAATGAGCATAAAAGCCCCTGCGGAAACAGAAATATCTCCACCCAAAACGGTCTCTCTTCTTGCTACACTCTGGGATCTTGCTCTGTTGCTGAAAATGAGCTAAACACAAATGTGACAGTGTACTGTTGGCATTATTCACGTACAGTACAGAACATTATTAAAATGTGATCTTTGCCCTTCCTTCTTTCTCTACATTTGTTCATACCCCAACCTATCTTCTGCTTCATCCACAATTTCAACCAAGCTCCAGAATTCAGCTGTATAGGCTTTGTTTGACTTGAAGGCACTGTTTTTCAGAAAGCTTCTTATACCTGGGCCACACTTTACCTGTGAGGAGTCTCAGCACAGATTGCTGGGTTACTGGGAAGGCCCAGGACTGAAGATCAAGGGATCTGAACTACCATTTTTCCATCTCCCCTCATCTCAAATTTTTATTTCTTAAATTGGAAACAGTCATTACTCAGCTGCTACATCATAGTAAAAACTAAATAGAATTATATTTTAAGATATATTTTGTAAGCTTAAAATGCTATACAAATGTGAGAGATTAAAATTGTCATCCAAGCTTTCTTAGCCAGTTTATATACTTTGTCTTAATTATATTAAAGTTAACTTCACTGTCTTCA
Organism: Homo sapiens; assembly: GCF_000001405.40. Lineage (NCBI taxonomy): Eukaryota > Metazoa > Chordata > Mammalia > Primates > Hominidae > Homo > Homo sapiens. Next base: position 189,394,093 of record NC_000003.12, on the reverse strand, counting down.
TTTGTATTATGGGGATAAAAATATTGCATTACCAGAGTGGTTAAAAGAACAAAATGAGTGTTGCACAAGTCTTGGATGTATTAAATGTTAAATAAAAGGTGGTACTCTCGGTAGAAGTACTGGTATTATCAATATTATTCTTATCGATCCATTGCAAAGCAATTGGTGTTTGATCCTAGCCTGTCTACAGGACACAAACGCCCTGGTTGCTGAAGACTCTGCAGAATAGATTGCGCAAAGGATATGATGCAATTGCACAATGTATGTGTAGTAGTACATTGCTCATTTAAATAATAAGTGCAGCCCAGGTCATGGCCTTTGCTTTGTACTAGTACAGCATTACCCTCTGCTAATACGTAAAGCTTTATGAGGCAGCAAGGCTAATCTTTCTTAGGCTCTTAGCCTCAATGAAATGAGGGCTCAGACAGTATCCTGTGTGCATTTTAAGCCATCACTGTCAGTGAACTTAAGCTGTTACTTCTGCCCCTTCCCCTGAAGATGGGGTTGCTACAGGCAAGTAAGTATCATTACCATTTCAGGTATGAGAAATGCTTAGCCTGCCTTTGATTTTAGATCCTAGAACCTGAGAACTGAACAAAACTCTAGAGGTCATTTGGCTCAACCCATTAACTGTCCAGAAGATGAAAGTAGGCCCAGAGAAAAAGTGACTTGCCAAAGGTTAAACAGCTTTTATCAATGCAGAAACCAGGCAAGATTTCCTGACTCCCATCTAGGGCTTGCTTGCTACTTTATTCTTCACTAGTTTAATTTGGTCTCCATTGGCCAAGACCACCTCATTGCTGGCTTTCTGAGGCCAAGCACCTGGGTGGTTTCTTATCTGAGTATTGGACTGCAGCCAGGCATGTGAATGGACAGGGATGGCTGACTCAGACTTTGGAACACTTCATGCCTAAGGGGTAAGGTACAGCCTTAAAGAAGGGTGTGGGCTCTGGGCGCTTCCCCATACCTCCAAAGTTGTGTCAGCATGACTGGCTGAGTAAGGGGGAAGGAGCATGGTCTCATCCTGCAGGGCTCCAGCTAATAGATTCTGGGACGTAGAGCAACTTTGATTACTTAGCCAACTTGGGATATGTTTAACACAGGTAAACAGAGCAGTGAACTAGCAGGGAGACAGTGCAGAAAGAGTGAAAAAGCTTTCTTATTATTCATGCATTTATTCATTTTTGCAAGAGGTATTTATTACACAAATATTCCAGTCTACACAACCAAGTAATATGACCCATATTCTCAAAAATTTTATGGTGAAACATGAGAGATGGCAACTAAAGAGCCAGGCTTTGGCCAGGCGTGGTGGCTCACACCTGTAATCCTAGCACTTTGGAAGGCTGAGGCGAGTGGATCACCTGAGGTCAGGAGTTCAAGACCAGCCTGGCCAACATGGTGAAACCCCGTCTCTACCCAAAATACAAAAATTAGCCAGGTGTGGCGGCGGGCGCCTGTAATCCCAGCTTTACGGGAGGCTGAGGCAGGAGAATTGCTTGAATTCAGGAGACAGAGGTTGCAGTGAGCCGAGATTGCGCCATTGCACTCCAGCCTGGGTGACAGAGGGAGACTCTGTCTCAAAAAATAATAATAAATAAATAAATAAGCCAGATTTTATGCAGTGAGATATGTGCCGTAACAGTGGTGAACACGAGGCATTGTAGAAACTCCAAAGAAGGCTGTATTGGGTGTGTTTGTATTGTGCATGTGTGTGGTGTTCAGGAAGGCTTTCCTGGAGGTGATGTCTGAGCTGAATCTTTAAAGATGCAGAAGGGATATAATGTCAGAGGTGTGAGAAAGCATGGTTGTTCTGGAAAATGGGTAATTCAATATGGCCAGAGAATGGAATCAAAAGTAAGGATTATTACAAGACGCTTGGCATGTCACTTTTAACTGGTAAAAATGGTCCACTTCACCTTGCTACTGAGCAAACAGAAACTTAGGGGGATTAAGCCATTCTCCCAAGACTACCAGAGATATCAAGCACCAAACCAGGATTAGCTCAGATCTTCATTTTTCAAATGCCTTTTATACTATAAACTCCGAAGAAAATATTTAAAATTATCTCCAAGGCTTCCTCAACTTAGAGAAGAAGGAGTAGTTTGGAACTGAAGTCCCATTTTCTTATGGAAACCATGGCATATATGTTGGTTCAGGATCCAAGTTTGTCCTGCACAAAGCAACTCAGCCCATAATGTACCTATAATACTTTACAAAAATAATTACAGTAACTGGCTGTCAAATATAACCAAGTTTGTATAAGAAAATGTGCTTCAATTTGGAATGCTTGAAAAATCTCACCCTCCCGAAGTGGGAGATAGACACTTGCAGATCCTGATTGACAGGGCCCAGGAAACCAGGGAGGATGAATATCCATGAAGAACATGACCATGGGATCCTGGGGACCTGAAAATTGTGGGGCCGAACATCTTTTCTAGGACAAATTCCCCAGGGACACCTTGCAGCCTGCAGTCTTTTGTCTTCTTATCATTTCTTTTCTTCAGAAAACCCTTCCATGATGCCACCCAAGATGTGGGACTATGTTTTTCTCCTCTCTGATGTCCCATAGATCCTTCCTGCCTGCCTGACACAAGCACCAAAAACTTTGGAAGTTCCATTAAAGACTAGAAACTATGAAAAGTTAAGGAATAAAAAGATATCTGGCCAGGTGTGGTGGCTCACGCCTGTAATCCCAACACTTTGGGAGGCAGATCACCTAAGGTCAGGAGTTTGAGACCAGCCTGGTCAACATGGTGAAACCCCATCTCTACTAAAAATACAAAAATTAGCTGGGCGTGGTGGTGGCGCCTGTAGTCCCAGTTACTCTCCTGAGTCTGAGGCAGGAGAATTGCTTGAACCCAGGAGGCGGAAAATGAAAAACAGAGTGAGGGAAAGTTGGCGTGCAGGTGCTTTTCTGTGTCTGAGTCCCTGAGGCCTCCTGTAACCACACTCCTGGGTGCTCAGGAGTAGAAAAGGGGATAGTGGAGAGAAAAACATAATTAAAAAACACATGGCAGTCCCTGCTATTACTGTCCTTTCACCAACGTTATCTTCCTGCTCTAACAATAACAACAAATATATATCTTCTGCTTTAGCAATTCCCCCAAAATGTTTAGCCACTTAAACATTTTAAAATACAATCATTAAATGTGAATCATGGATTACTTCAGTGTAAATACTGGAAGGAATCTCAGAGGTGATTAGTGAAACCTTTTTATTTTACACATAAGGTAACTGAGGTACACAGAGAGATCTGAGATTTTTTCGGGTTCACAAAGGGAGCGAGAGGCACGTGCAGAACCAGAATCTCTCACTTGCCTGACCCCAGACAGAGACACTCTGCTGCTCTGCGCTGCTATTGAAATTGACAGTCAACAGAGCATTTTCAAATGTATTATTCAAAAAACTCTGGGTTTGGCACAACTCAGATGGGTTAAAACGATTTTCCTGAAGCCACACAGTTACTGAGACACCTGTAAACAGACCCCAGATCTCTTAGATTCCAAATCCAATGCCCATAAGACTGTAAAGATGGCCATGTGGAGTTTTCTCCAAAAATGTTTAACCTATGGAATAAGTTGAGAACTTAAAAACAAATGATCACGGTAGACAATTTCCCTTTTGGGTAATCCCGGAGAGCAAAAACAAAATCCCCCCGAAAAATCAAAGCTTTAAATTTGAATGCGCATCCTTTACTAATACACACGGCCTGTGAATTAAGGATGGAGAATTATTCCCTCTGTTTTATGTGTGAAACTGGTTTCATAATGTTTACTTTTTCATTTGTTATTAATTTTGGATCATACCACTAAAAATTAATTAATGTGGATTTCTATTTCTTAAACATAGAAATGAGTTAATATACATGAGAATATTTTTATTAATTTTTTAATTAAAAAACACTCTCATGTACATTAACTCATTTGATGTTATCATTCCTTCAATTAAATTTGTTATTGTTATTATTATTATGATGATCTCCTCTTTTCACTTAAGAAACTGAAGTCCAAAACCTCAAAGTTAATAAACAATAGCAGAAACCTATGTTTTCCGATTCTAAATCTAATAGGTTAAACATTGATTCTGGCATATTTCTAATTATTTTTGTTGTATCTGTTTCAATCTCATGGATAAAAACATTTCACAACCACATTCCCACATAATACTTGTATATTTAATTACCTACTTCCTTCTAGGTAGACAGTGGACCTATAGCTTTCAGGCTGTTGGATCATTATGTGTTGTATAATGATTGGTTTTGCTATAAACACTGCCATTGAAAAGGCTGTCAAAATGCATTCAGAAAGACTCAGCTGCCAAATACAGTAGTCGCCCCTTATTCATGGGAGATATGTTTTAAGACCGCCAGTGGATGCTTGAAACCATGGATAGTATGAAAGCTCACATATACTATGGGTTTTTTTTTTTGACTGATAACCCAGACAACTACGAAGTGACTGACGGGCAGCTAATGTATACAGCGTGGATACACTGGACAAAGGAATGATTCACATGCTGAGCAAGATGGAGCAAGATTTCATTATGCTTTTCAGAATGGTGCACAATTAAAAACTTATGAATTTCTGGAATATTCCATTTAATGCTTTTGGACTGTGGTTAACCACTAGTAACTGAAACAATGGAAAGTGAAACCATGGATGAGAAGTAGGTACTAGTGAACAAGTTTCCAGTTAAATGTTCAAATTCAATCTGCTCCTCAGTTAAACATATGAATTATTTTTAAATGTAAAAATTTTGTATATATTCCTCTGGACAATGAAGATTAAACAGAAGAAAGATGGTAAAAAAAAATTTAAACTCATGGAGTACTGTAGTATCCATTTTTTATCTTTTTAAATTATTTTATTATTCTTTTATACTTGGTCAATGTAAAGTTTTGTTAAATCTGATTTGATTCAGTTAGGTCCATACTTAACCTACTTTTAGTACAAAATATGATTTTTTTTCCAGGTTCCAAGCAAGTAGGTTTATTTTCAGTTGCCTGAGTAGATATATCTATGGCCAGTATATGCAATAGATAGAAGCTCAAAGCCAGAGAAGTTTCATTCTCCGGGGTCCATGTGATGTGTTTGATTCAACTGATTATAAGGTACCCTGAAAAAATACGTTGTCAGTGCTGTATGCTGTAGTTTATTTCAAAATAAGATACACACAACCATTGGGACTGAGAGGCTGGGTTGTTTTGTCAAGGTCAACATTTAACTCTATTCTGGAACTGTTCTCAGAATTATGAAAACCAGAATTGCACTCAGAACTCATGTTTTTGTTTGTTTTTGAGATGGAGTCTTGCTTTGTCGCCTAGGCTGGAGTGCAGTGGCGCCATCTAGGCTCACCGCAACCTCTGCCTCCCAGGTTCAAGCAATTCTCCTGCCTCAGCCTCCCGAGTAGCTGGTACAACAGGCACGTGTCATCACGTCAGCTAATATTTGTATTTTTAGTAGAGATGGGGTTTCACCCATGTTGGTCAGGCTGGTCTTGAACTCCTGACCATGTGATCCACCCGCCTTGGCCTCCCAAACTGTTGGGATTACAGGCGTGAGCTACCGCGCCTGGCCAGAACTCATTTTTAACCACCGTCAAGCAACAATTTAAAAACAAGTATGAATAAAATTTAACTTTTATATAAAACAAAATCAACTGATAAGGTTTTTACATCTTAAGTTACAAAGGAAGATTGCATTTTTATCAATAACTTTTCTAAACAAATTCTTTTTTCTTTTTAGGAACATTTCTTTTGCAAACAGTAAGCCCATCTAAATTAATTCATATGATAAGGGGATTTCTATCTCTCTTTATAAATCCTGAGGTCAGTAATTCTAGGAAAATACAGCTGCCTATGGGGTAAATTCATGATAATTTCACAGCATTGACAACACCGCCATTAAAGAGAGAGCCAGAAAAGTAGTTAATGGAATATGCTCAAGAACATTGTTTATTATAGACAATTTAATATTTTCATGATAAAATGTAACTGTGATAAGACATTAGTTATTTATATCTTTACTAATGTACATGTCATAAAATATTTATGAAATGCCAGTAACGCATTAGACTTCTAAAATTAAACACTGGACTTAAACAAATTAAAAGCACATAAGTCTAATTTCAATTATTCTAATACTGATAAAAATGTTGTGAGCAATATATTTCAAAACTTTTTTTTTTCAAGAAAAGAATACTGATTAATAATATTTCTTTTAGAAGGTTTATTTTAGGTCTTTAACTCACACACACACACACACACACAAACGTGGCATATGCTATTCTGAATTCCTGGAATGGCAGATACTTACAGTCTTTCTTTCTATTAAGTGTATCCTATATGAAGTGCAACTTTTTACAAAAAACAAGAAAGTGATTATAATCTCAGCTTAAAGAGATAGAGTGTAAGAATAAATCAAATGGTGAACTCAGGATGTATATCTACCTCCTTCTCACCTTTGACACATTTAGAAATCAATATAGGCCGGGCGTGGTGGCTCACGCCTGTAATCCTAGCACTTTGGGAGGCAGAGGCAGGCAGATTGCTTGAGGTCAAGAGTTCGAGACCAGCCTGGCCAACATGGTGAAACCCCATCCCTATTAGACATACAAAAAATTAGCCGGGAGGGGTGGTGTACACCTGTAGTCCTAGCTACTCAGGAGAATCTGAGGCAGGAGAATCTCTTGAACCCAGGAGGCGGAGGATGCAGGGAGCCGAGATTGTGCCACTGCACTCCAGCCTGGGTGACACAGAGAGATTCTGTCTCAAAAATTAAAATTAAAAAAAAAAGAAATCGTGCTATATATGTACACATGTATGTACACATATATGTAAAATTATAAACATATGATACATAAGGTACTTATCTTTTTTACATATATAAAGTTTTAATCAATATGAATGAGTTACACTGCTGAAAAACAGGGAAACTTCACTTCTGTTGAGTAGAAGTTATAATAGATCATGATTATAATATATACATATATTATAAAACAGAATTTGATTATTGCGATCGTAGCTCTATAATTATAAAAGGAAGCACAGTTGTAAAAGGTAGAAATGACTCTGTAGCTGTGTTTGCCAAGTTCAAAAAGTATAATATATTTTATACTGATTATAACTATAAAAGGAAGCACAGTTGTAAAAGGTAGAAATGACTCTGTAGGTGTGTTTGCCAAGTTCAAAAGTAATAGAGCCTTAAGCAGGGAAGTGTCCTAGGACAACCTTTAGGGTAATTTGTAGAGAGATCTTCTCCCCACATGTCTTACTCTGTTGTCAGACAATGAACCGTCAGGTAAAATGGGCTTCTTTTCCAACAAAAAAGCAGTAACTGACTGCTTAGGCCTGAAGACACAGGGTGGGCTTTGGATAATTGGTTACATTTACAAGGATAAAGAAACACTCATATTTACAATGCTGTTAGGATAATCTGACATATATCACATTTCTTTCTCTTTTACAAATTTAAAGATAGCCTGAGGAAGAAAAAAATAATACTCTCAGAAAGGGTAATCATTCTTAAATACAAAGATAAAGAGACAAGCTGGATTCATCAAACACTTGAAGAAAACAAGTAACATGGGAGAGAGAGAGAGAGAGAATCACCAACTTTAATAAACATACATCATCCTAGGAACTAGAGTTCCTAGTGCAAAAAGATACTTTGAAATGTATTAGTATCTTCAGAGTAATAAGAGAGTTTAATATATTCATGAATCAATAACTTGGTTGTAAAAAATATTACCAACTAGAGATCTTGAAAATGATTGCCAAAAGTAAAATCACAGTAAATGAATGGGATAGTAGAATAGCTGCAGCTGAAGATGAATCTGATCAATTTTTCCAAAATGCAGGGGAAAGGTACAAAATAAAGTACATCAGAAAAATTAAAAGACAACATTGATCCAAATTTTAATACTCATTTCAAAGGAAGAAAAATAATGTAATAGAGGTAATAACCCAATAACAATACTATTATTGCTACTACAACCAATGACATAAATACACAGAACTGATGACATCATTCTTTACATTGAAAAGTCTACCAATGAGAACACTTGGACACAGGAAGGGGAACATCACACACGGGGGCCTGTTGTGGGGTAGGGGGAGGGGGAAGGGATAGCATTAGGAGATATACCTAATGTAAATGATGAGTTAATGGGTGCAGCACACCAACATAGCACATGTATACCTATGTAACAAACCTGCATGTTGTGCACATGTACCCTAGAACTTAAAGTATAATTTTAAAAATGTGAAAATAAAAAAAGAAAAGTCTACCAATTATTGGCCAGGCACAATGGCTCACACCTGTAATCTCAGCACTTTCAGAGGCCAAAGCAGGTGAATTGCTTGAGCTTAGAAATTCAGTACCATCCTGGGGAACATCATGAAACTGGAGAACATGGTGAAACTCCCTCTCTACAAAATACAAAAAAAAATTAGCCAGGCATGGTGGCACATGCCTATAGTCCCAGGTACCCAGAAACCTGAGGTGGGAGAATTGCTTGAGCCTGCGAGGTCGAGGCTGCAGTAAGCCAGCCCTGTTTGTGCTACTGCACTGCAGCTTGGGTGACAAAGCTAGACTGTATCTCAAAAAAAAGAAAAAGAAACAAAAAGAAAAGAAAAAAAAGTAAACTGATTATCAAGCAAGATGGAGAATGTAGTCTCCAATCCAAATGCATCAAAAGCCAGAGTAAGAGAAACAATCTTAAAATCTTTCAGAAGAAACAAGCAAAGATGCTGGAACAAGGAATATTGAGCACAGGCAGCAATCAATTTAGAATCTAAAGAATTGTGTATTATAGAAAAGACTAATACATATTTAAAAGTAAAACCTGAGATCTTTTCAATAAGAGATGTGTTAGGAAGTTGGGGGAAGAAAACATGATATGAAATTAAAGTTCTTGACTAGTTCAAGGGGACAACAGAGATACTGATTAAGTTTATTTCTTAATAAAAATAATGATATTATTTCTATAATATTAATGGTGTTTTATTTTAATTATTACTCAGTAAAGTAGAATAATAATAAAATAATTACCTTAGATCCTATGACATCACATAATGATCCAGGAAAATAACTTCAGAGGCCGGGTGCAGTGGCTCTCGCCTGTAATCCCAGCACTTTCGGAGGCCTTGTGGGGAGGATCATGAGGTCAGGAGTTGGAGACCAGTCTAGCCAACGTGGTGAAACCCCGTCTCTACTAAAAAAAAAAAAAAAAAAAAAAATTAGCCAGGCGTGGTGGTGGGCACCTGTAATCCCAGCTACTTGGGAGGCTGAGGCAGGAGAATTGCTTGAACCTGGGAGGCGGAGGTTGCAGTGAGCTGAAATCACAACATTGCACTCCAGCCTGGGCAATAAGAGCAAGACTCCGTCTCAAAAAAAAAACAAACAAAAAAAAAAACACAAAACTTCAGACATCATTTTACTTATATATATTGACCAAAATAGCCAGAGGTATGTAACACAGAGAAATAGAAGAGCATTTTTAAGAAAAAAATGTATTTTATACATCTATATCTATTGATATATATTTATAAACTATTTTAAGTAACAAACTGTACTTTAGCAGCAGCAACACAAAGTAAAATAAACCCAAAGTTGCTGATATTTTTAGAAAATGTTTCTTTGGTACAAAAAAATATTATTTTCATAAAAGTTTCTCTGGGTATAAAAATCAGTTATGAAAAAAAGCGGTGCACTTCCAGTTTCTTGTCAAACATGTAAGGAGCTTAGAGGTCTTTACTCCATCCCAGCAAGTAAAAAGTTAAACTGAAAAATTAATAACTCTTCTTAGATTATGAGAAAAATGAAGTCACTGAATATGTCACTGCCCCCAAAACCGGAGAGAGAGAATGGCAGAGAATCACAACTTTACCCAAACAGAAATCCAGAAACAGAAACTTTTGTAGAAACCAGTAACAGGGTAGGAAAACCTAAATTGTAATTGATGAATCACTGAAGGCTGATTACGGACAAGCCTGAGAGATAAAAGCTCCAGGAGGACCCAGCCGTAGCCGGGGGCATGTATGGGGGGATCTTTGTGAGTTTTACCACCAGAAATTCTACTGAGTCCTCACAGTGAATAATGGAGAAAATTTTTCTCATGCTTCCAGCAGGAAGAGGGCAAAGAGAATTATTTTGTAATACTCTAGAACATTTTGTTCTAACAAGGCTTGTCCTCAGGAGAAATTATTTACCAGAGCCCAACCTGCCAGGTTATATACAGGTCTAACCTGCCTAGGGGAAGGGAAATATCCAACTCCAGCTCTCTCTAGACTCACCTAGGCAAAGGTAAATGCATTAATTTCAGTGCCCTCCAGGCATTCGATCCCATCTGCTGGGGGAGAAACCAAAACAAAACAAAACAGACTTACTTGTGAGGTTCACAGTCCAGGATCACAGGCTCACCAAAAGACTGAGGCTTGATCATAGAACTATAGAATGCTTCCCCTCTTCCAACACCTAACCACTACATTACTAAAGGCCTATTTACCATGGTTACTTTTACCCAGTCCATCATCTGCCTCCCTGCAAAAAATTACAAGATGCACCAAAACACAAAAAACACAGTTTGAAGAGACTGAACAAGCATCAGAACCAGAGTCAAATGTGGCAGGAGTGTCGGAATTATCAGATAAGAAATTTAAAAATTAACTGTAATTAATATGCTAATGGATGTTTTGAAAAAGAAAGGAGACAATATTGTTAGAGTAGGTAGTTAGGCAGACATGAGCAGGACCCGTGAGGCCCCTCCCCAACCAGAAATATCAGGCAATGATGGTCAGGTGGTTGTTAAACTGTCTCTCTAAAATAGTAATTGGTTGCAGCCGGCACCAGGGAAGGGCCGTCTCCCAATAGATAGGAAACACCTGAAGCTGGGGATCAGCAACTTCCTGATAATATCTCAGGAGTTGGGCAACTGGGCTCAAGCATGCACCCTAAGAGGCAAAATGGCAAAGTTTAACTGGTATACGACCTTCCTCTAGAAACACTTGACGGGTAAGGGAAAAATGATTCAAATGAGCATGTGTGCAACTTCAGTAAATACACTGCCCCTTCCAAGTGCTGACAGGCCACTGTGCATGCAGACAGCCCACCCCAAGGGAAGAATCAGGGGAGAAGAGATGCAAAACCCAGAAGCATGCTAACAAAACCCCAAGTCAAAGTCAAACTGTGCCCTTGGATGTCTCAAGTTACCCTCTTAGCCCTCTTCTAAGTAAAGGTAAAATAACAACTTTACTTCCTTTTGTTCCTGCTCTAAAACTTTTTAATAAACTTTCACTCCTGCTCTAAAATTTGCCTCAGTCTCTGCCTCTGCCTTGTGCCCCTCAGCCGAATTCTTTCTTCTTAGGGGGCAAGAATTGAGGTCGTTGCAGACCGATACAGATTCGCTGCTGCTAACAATATGAAATAACAGATGAATAATGTAAGCAGAAAGATGTAAATTCTTAGAAAGAATAAAAAGATGCTTAAGATAAAAAATACTCTAAAACAAATGAGGAACCCCATTGCTGGGCTCATTAGTGGAATTAACATAGCTGGGGAAACAATCTCTGCGCTGGAGGATATGACAATAGCAACATCTAAAACTGAAAAGAAGAAATAAAAACTAAAAAACAAAACCAAAACACAACAGAATATCCAAGAACTGTGGGAAAACCACAAAAGATGTGACATACACAAACAAGAATACCAGGAGAGAAAAGGGAGAAAGAAACAGAAGCAATACATATTTGCAGCACTAATGACTGATAATTTTCATGAATTAATGTCAGACACCAAACCACAGATGCAGGAGCTCAGAAAATTCCAAGCAGAATAAATGCCCAAAGAAAGCAAAACTACACGTAGGTATGTCATATTCAAATTTTAGAAAATCAGAGATAAAGAAAAAAATCTTTAAGGATGCCGGAGAAAAATCACTTCATCTATAGAGAAAAGAGAACAAGAATTACATTAAACTTCTTCTCAGAAACTATGAAAACATAAAGTTGAGTTAAATATTTAAACAGTTGATATGTTTGAAAAACAAAAACGCCAACCAGCCGACCAGAATTCTGTCTGTTAAATTATTCTTCAAAAGTGAAGGAGAAATATACATTTTCTTAGCCAGAAAGATGGGATTTGTTACGTGTATCTGCCTTGCAAGAAATGTTAAAAGACATTTTTTAACATCAAGGAGAAGAAGAAGAAAGGTTCAAAACTCAAATCTAGGCCGGGCGTGGTGGCTCACGCCTGTAATCCCAGCACTTTGGGAGGCCGAGGTAGGCGGATCATGAGGTCAGGAGATCGAGACCATCTTGGCTAACATGGTGAAACCCCGTCTCTACTAAAAATACAAAAAATTAGCTGGGTGCGGCGGCAGGCGCCTGTAGTCCCAGCTACTTGGGAGGCTGAGGCAGGAGAATGGCGTGAACCCGGGAGGCGGAGCTTGCAGTGAGCCGAGGTAGCGCCACTGCAGTCCAGCCTGGGTGACAGAGCGAGACTCCATCTCAAAAAAACAAACAAACAAACAAACAAAAACCAAAAAAAACAAAACTCAGATCTGTAGAAAGAAAGGAAGAGCATTTAAGAATAACTAAGTGAAGGTAAAATTACAACTTTTACTTTTTAAATTCTTAATTGATTTAATAATAGTGTTCAAAATAATAATATCGACAATGTATTCAATTATATATACATATTTGTATATGTATATGCATATATATATATTGTATTAGTCTGTTCTCACACTGCTAATGAAGACGTACCCAAGACTGGGTAATTTATAAGGGAAAGAGGTTTAATTGACTCATGGTTCAGCATAGCTGGGGAGGCCTCAGGAAGTTTACAATCATGGTGGAAGGGGAAGCAAACGCATCCTTTTTCACGGGTCGGCAGGACGGAGAAGTGTCGAACAATAGGGGGTTACGAAACCATCAGATCGTGAGAATTCGCTCACGATCGCAAGAACAGCATGCAGGTAACTACCCCCATGATTCAATTACCTCCCACTGGGTTCCTCCCATGACATGTGGGGATTATGGGAACTACAATTCAAGGTGAGATTTGGGTTGGGACACAGCCAAACCATAACATATATGTATATATGCATATATTACATATGTATATACACATATGTATTACATAAGCATGAAATGAATGACACCAACGATAAAAAGAACAGTAAGGAAGAATTAAAGATAGTTTTTTATTATACGATTCTTGTACAACCACTTATAGTGGTATAGTGTTGTTGAAAGTGTACTTGGATTAGTTGTTAATGTATATTGCAAAATCCAAGGAAACCACTGAACATGGTAAAAAAAATTATAATTGATATTGTAAAAAAGAAAAATAGAATCATATAAACAACTGTTCAATTAAAACAATAACATGCAGACAAAGTATGTACCAAAAGAAAAAAAAACATAGAACAAGGGCAAGAAATAAAAACCAATAATAAATATGGTGGATATTAATCCAACTATGTCAATCATTACCTTTAATTGTTGATCTAAATACACAAATTAAAAGACAGATTTTGTTAGAGTAGATTATAAAACAAGATGTTTGTTGTCCACAAGTAACCCACTTTAAATTTAAAAACATGTATAGATTAAAAGTAAAGAGATGTTTTACTGTGAACCTAAAACTGCTCTTAAAATACAGTTTATTATTTATTTTAAAAGAATAAATGGGTGGAGAAAGTGTTATGCATTCTAACACTAATCTATTAAAAAGCACAAAAGAAGACATTAGATCAGGGAACATTATTTGGGATAAAAAATACTCCTACATAATGATAAAGGGTTCAATACTCCAAAAAGACATATTCCTTAATGTATACACACCCAACAAGAGACCATGAAAATATGTGAGGTGCAAATTGATTTTGTGCCTGTTGAATCTATTCTTTCAAAATCAGTAAGGACATGGCCGTACTCAAGAGTATCACTGATCAACTAAATATTATTGACAACTATAGCCCAGTTCATCTAACACCAGCAGAATACACATTCTTCTCAAGCTTACATAAAACATTCATAAAGATAGACCACATTTTGGGCCACCAAATACAACATAACAAACTTAAAACAATACAAATTATTCAGTGTCTGCTCTGACTACCATGGAATTAAACTAGAAATTAATAACAAAAAATAGCTGGAAAATTCTAAAATACTTCGGGATTAAACACATGGGTGGAAAACAAAATTTAAAGAACATTTAGAAAATATTTAGAACTACATAAAAATTAAAAATAATTTATCAAAATTTGTGTGATACAGTAAGAGCAGTGCTGTGGAGAAAATTTATAGCATTGAATGCATATATTAGAAAGAAAGAAATATACAAAATCAGAAATTCAAGCTTCTACACTAGGAAACTAGAAAAATAAGTACAAGTTAAATCCAATGCAGGCAGAATAAAATGAATACTAAAAATTAGTATATAAATCAATACAGTTGCAAACAGGGAATCAATAGAGGACATCAACAAAACCGAAAGCTAGTTATTTGAAGAGATCAGTAAGGTGAATACATTTCTAGCAAAGCCAACAAAATAATAATAAATAAAAAGAGAGAGAGAAGACACAAAATACTAATATTGGAAATGAAAGTAGGGACATCACTACAGATTCCATGGACATTAAAATGAAAATAAAGGCCGAGCACGGTGGCTCACGCCTGTAATCCCAGCACTTTGGGAGGCCAAGGTGGGCGGATCACGAGGTCAGGAGATCGAGACCATCCTGGCTAACATGGTGAAACCCCGTCTCTACTAAAAAAAAAAACAAAAAATTAGCTGGGTGTGGTGGTGGGCACCTGTAGTCCCAGCTTCTCGGGAGGCTGAAGCAGGAGAATGGTGTGAACCTGGGAGGCGGAGGTTGCAGTGAGCCAAGATGGCCCCACTGTACTCCAGCCTGGGTGACAGAGCAAGAAGAAAATAAATACTATGAATAATTATATGACCACAAATTTGATAATCTAAATGAAATGGACCAAATTTCTTGAAAGACACAATCTGCCAAAACTCACACAAGACAAAATAGACCATCTGAACTGGCTCATATCTATTAAAGAAACTGAATCAAAAATTAATAATCTTCAATCACAGAAACCACCAGTAATAGGTGAGTTCACTGGTGAATTCTACCAAACATTTAAAGAATAAATTATATAGATTATCTACAATCTCTTTCAGAAGACAGAATCAGAGGAACACGTCGTGACTCATTCCATGAGGCCAGTATTACTCTAGTACCAAAACCAGACAAAATATACTGCAAGAAAATAAAACTACAAACCAATATCTCTCAGGAACATAAATGCAAAAACCCTCAAAAATATTAGCAAATCAAATTAGACAAGGTATAAAAAGGACTCTATATGATGACCCAGTGGGATTTATCCCAGGTATGTAAGGCAAGTTTATTATCTGAAAATCAATAAATGTAATCAATCTCATTAACAAGCTAAAGAAGAAAAATCACGTTATATCAATAGATGCAGATAAATTATTTGGCAAAATCAAACACCAATTTATGATAAAAATTCTTTTCAAACTAGGAGTAGAGTAGAACTTCCTCAATTTGATTTTTAAAAATCTACAAAATCCTATAGCTAACTTTGTATTTAATGGTGAGAGACTTTCTGTTAACATCAGGAATGAAGCAACGGTGTTCCCTCTCACTACCTCACTACTGCTTTTCTTTCTTTTTTTTTCTTTAAGACAGAGTCTCACTTCGTCACCCAGGCTGGAGTGCAGTGGTGTGATTTCAGCTCACTGCAACCTGCAACCTCCACCTCCCAGGTTCAAGTAATTCTTCTGCCTCAGCCTCCCAAGTATCTGGGATTACAGGCATGCACCACCATGCCATGCTAACTTTTGTACTTTTAGTAGCGACAAAGTTTCACTAGGTTGGCCGAGCTAGTCTTGAACTCCTGACCTCAAGTGATCCACCTGTTTTGGTCTCCCAAAGTGCTGGGATTACAGGCATGAGCCACCAAGCCCAGCCCTTCCCACTGTTTTTCAACATCTTACTAGAAGTGTATAATGCAATAAGACAAGAAAAAGAAATAAAGAGTATTTAAATTGGAAAAGAAGAGATCAAATTTTCTCTATTCACAGATGACATAATCAGCTATATAGAAAATCTGACAGAACTGACCAAAAAAATTGCTTGCACAAATAAGCAATTATATCAAGGCTACAGGATACAAGGCTAGAATACAAAAGTCAATCACTTTCTTATATACAAGCAATAAAAAAGTGGAATTTGAAATTAAAAACATATTACCATTTACATTAGCACTTAAAATGAAAAACATAGGTATAAACCTAACAAGATTTGTACAATATCTATATAAGGAAAATTACAAAACTCTGATATAAGAAATTAAAGAAGAACTAAATAACCAAAGAAATAGTCCATGTTTATGTGTAGGAAAACTCAATATTGTCAAGACATCAGTTCTTCCCAACTTCATCTATGGATTTAACACAAACTTAACCAAAATCCTAGCAAGTTATTTTGTGGATATAAAAAGCTGATTCTAAAACTGATTCTAAAGTTTATATGGAGAGGCAGAAACTCAGAAGAATGAACTCAGTATTAAAGGAAAAGAACAATATAGGATAGCTGACACTACCTAACTTCAAGTCTTACTATAAAACTACAATAATCAAGATACTATGGTACTGGTGAAAGAATAAACAAATAGATCAATGGAACAGAATACAGAGCCCAGAAATAGACCCATATAGATGTAGTCCAGCTGATCTTTGGCAAACTAGCAGTCTTTTCAACAAATGGGGCTGGAAAAATTGTACATCCACATGCAAAAAAAAAAAAAAAAAGAATTTATATACAGACCTTATACCCTTCACAAAAATTAACTCAAAATGGATCAGAAAACTAAATGTAAAACACAAAAATAAAAAAATGAATGGAACATAACATAAGGAAAAGCTTAGCTGACCTTGAGTGTATCAATGACTTTTTGAAAACAACATCAAAAGCATGATCTGAGAATGACATAATCAATAAGATGTACCTCATTAAAATTAAAAACCTCTGCTCTGAGAAAGGCAATGTCAAGAGAATGAGAAGACAAGTCATAGACAGAAGAAATATTTGCAAAAGACAAATCAGATAAATAACTTTTATCCAAAGCACACAAATAACTCTTAAAGCTAATCAATAAGAAAATCAAAAAATCTGAACAGACACTTTACCAAAGACGAAAAAGAGATGGCAAGTAAGCATATAAAAAGATGTTCAACATCATATGTCACTAGGGAATTTCAAATTAACACAATGAGTTACCACTACACACTATTTAGAATGCTCACAATCCAAAACATGGATGATACCAAATGTTTGGCAGGATGTGGAGCAACAGGAACTCATTCATTGCTGATGGGAGTGCAAAATGGTACAGCCACTTTGGAAGACAGTGTGGCAGTTTTTTATAAAACTAAACATATTGCTATGATATAATCCTGCAATCACATTCCTTGGTACTCACCTAAAGGAATTGAAAACTTAGGGCCACACACACAATTATGTACATGGATGGTTTATAGAAGGTTTATTCCTAATTGCCAAAACTTGGAAGCAACTAAGATGTTCTTCAGTAGGTGAGAGCCTAAATAAACAGTGGTAAATCCAAACAGAAGAATAATGTTCAGCAATAGAAAGAAATGAGCGATCAAGGCAAGTAAAGAACTTAAAAATATACCACTCTGTCATATTGACGATTTAAGTTAAAGCCACTTGACAAACAGCAGGTGCAAAAAGATCACTCTGACTTTAGTGTTTCCTTTAAGGCGGAAGATGAAATTTTTATGTGGAAGATGTCCTCCCTATACTAGAGGAAAAGAAACATTCTTATCATCAAGGATGAGGAAATTGAGGAGGAAGCCATAGGAATTCTGTACAAACAAGCTATGTTAAACTAACTCTTATCTTCCTAGGTACATCTCTACTCAGTTAACTACCCTAGCCTAAGCTCCTTTGCCTTATCATACTTCCACACTTTACTATTCTTTGTCTAATTAAATAAATACGTATCTGACTCTAACTGCTTCTTTGGGTCTTCATTTCCTTATGCCATGTAAAACCTGTGTTAAATAAATCTGTATGCTTTTCTCCCATTAATCTAGCTCATGCCAATTTAATTCTCAGACACAGCCGGGACCCTAAGAAGGTGAAGGTAGAATTTTGCCTCCCCTACACATGAAAAGACATAGAAGAATCTTAAATCATATTACTAAGTGGAAAAAGCTGATCTTAAAAGGCTACATACTTATGATTTTAATGCTATAACATTTTGGAAAAGGCAAATCTCTGGAGATAGTAAACATATCAGTGGTTGCTAAGAGTTAGAAGAGAGAAAGGGATGAATAGACAGAGCAAAGAGGGTTTTCAGGACAGTGAAACTGTTCTGTATGACACTGCAATGGTGAATACACGTCATTATACATTTGTCAAAACCCAAAGATTTGAACCCTAATGTAAACTATGGACTTTTGGTGAAAATGTATCAATGTGAATTCATTAACTGTAACAAATGTGCTACTCTGGTGAGATATGTTGATAGTGGGAGATTATGCATGGAGGTAGTGGGTATATGGAAATTCAGTACTTTCTGCCTAATTTTGCTGTAAACTCAAAACTGCTCTAAAAAATAAAGTTTACAATAAAAAACGAGGTGAAATAATTATGTTTTAACTACATTTTTTGAATGTGGATAGAATTGTGAATCACTTGGCCAGAAAGATGATGAATGATGAAAAAAGATGAATATATGGCTACTCTAGCAATTACACATCACCCCTACTCCTAGCTTTTAGTTTTTATTCATTTTATGTTGATTACACTTATAAAATGTACGTTGTGTTCTGTTATCATAATTAACAAAATTGTCTAATATTTGTTCTGTTCTTAAGTGAAGTTACTCGTTATCAGCCTTCTTTTGCTATGCTTTATTTTAATCATATTTCTTAATTCCTGGGTTCTCTATTTTGATTCATCCTTTAATTGGTTAGATTTTCTTGACAGAAAATGCTTTGCAAAAGGGTCAATGTGTGACATATTCCCCAACTTTTTCGTGTGTGAGAATGTCTGCCTGGTGCTGTCTTTATACATGAATGATATCTTGGCTTGTAGGATATTCTTAAATCACAGCTTCTTTCCTTAGAAACCTAGAAGACACATGTATTAGTCCGGTCTCACATCACTATAAAGAAATAACTGAGACTGGATAATTTATAAAGAAAAGAGGTTTAATTGGTTTATGGTTCTGCAGGCTGTACAAGAAGCATGGTAGCATCAGCTTCTAGGGAGGCCTCAGAGAATGTACAATCACGGTGGAAGGCAAAGTGGGAGCAGCACTTCACATGGCTGGGGCAGGAGGATGAGAGGGCAGCTGGAGGTGCTACACACTTTCAAATGACCAGATCTCATAAGAACTCTATAACTAGAACAGCACTAAGGGGATAGTGCTATACAACTCATGAAGGATTTACCCCCATGATTCAATTACCTCCCACCAGGTCCTGCCTCCGACACTGGGATTACAATAAAACATGAGGTTTGGGTGAGGACACAGACCTAAGCTATATCAGTACTGGTCCATTATAATTCAGAATTGAATGTTACTGGAGCAATGGCTGATATTGGCCCTTGTAGATTTGTTTTCTCTACCTGGATGCTGGGACAATTTCTATATTATTTTTCTTCAGATTTTTTTCTGTCTTTATTTTTTCAGGTGATAAAACATCACAGATATGATTCAAGCTACTTATGGTTTTCTTCCAAATTCTAATCCAACCCCTTCCTCCACAGAACCTCTATATTGACTTTTTATTCATCAATTTTCTACCAGCTGCCTTACTTTTAATGCACAAATTCCACATTCTATTTTTGAGATGTGTCCATATTGATATATGCAACTTTTGTTTATAAGTATTAACTGTACATTCTTTTGGTAGCTATTAGTTTGTTTCCAACTTTCCATTGATATGGTTTTGCAATGAACATTCCGGTACTTGTCTCTTAGGGCACAAATACAAAAGCATCTCTTGTTGAGGAATTGATGGTTCAAGGAATTTTTATCTTCAGCTTTATTAGATATATCTAAAATGATTATATAATATTATTTTTCTATCAGCAGTGTAAAAGAATTCTCATTTTGCAACTTACTCTTAAAATAATATGTGACACATGACAAAGTGCCATACAAAATTAACTGTTATTGAGATTGAGGTAATAGCTACCTCATAAAATGAGTTCAGTGGTGTTCTCTAAATATACTAGTTAATGTATTTATGATATATTCCTCGAAGATTTCATAAAAGTCAAAATAAAAACACCTGGGTTCTGTAGATCCTAGAGAGTACATTGAATTATTAACTAAATTTTTGTAATTGTTATTCATTTAATTCAAGGTTTTTATTACAATTTATAATTCTTTCTGGAAAATAGTCATCTTCTCTTTTAATTCCTAATATTTATTAATAACTTAGTATTACTTATTAAATATTTAATATTTATTATTGAATATTTAGAACATTTTTATGCCATTTCTCTTCTTGATTAGATAGTGTGTCTTTTATACTAGTTTTTTGCATTTTTTTAAAGAGTCAGCTTTTGATTTTACTGTTTACCTTCTTGTTTTAAATTATTATTGGCTCTTGTATTTGTATTTACTTCCTCCAGATTTCTTTAGTTTTACGTAGTTTTTTATAATTTCTTGAGTTGAATGTGGTTTGCTTGTTAACTCGTGGCTTATCTCAAAACGCATTTTTTCATTTGCAAATATATGTTATTGTTGAGTGAAGGGTGTGCATTTTCTTACGTAGATGATTTCTAAATTAATCCTACTTTGGTTCACAATTTTGTGTTATTCATTATTTACAAAACTTGGAATTGCCAAAAACATTTTCTATGTGATATTCATTTTTTGAAACTTAGTGCAACTCTTTTGTGACCAATTGCCTTTTTAGTTGCAAAAAGTAGATTAAACTAGTTAATTTTGTTTTCAAATCTTTTATATTTATAGCTAAATTTTGTCTGATAGATGATATACATGTGTTAAAAATCTCCCACCGTGATTATGAATTTGTTCAATTCGCCTAGAGAATTGTATATTTTCAGGCAGTATTGTTTAGTAACTACAAGTTTATGATTGTAATCTGTCCTTGCTAGGTTATTGCACTTATCATTATCATTTTTATTATTATGTTATTCCTGTGTTTTTCTTAATTCCATTGAACTAAAATAATTACTAATTTGCATTTTTATATAGTATATTTCTACAAAATTATCTAACATATTTTAGGTTGTATATTCATCTGTAGAGCAGTACTCTTATTTTACATATTACCAAGAGTGTTAAGAAAATGTTTTACATTGCTCAGCAATCTTGAATCCATGAAAATAGTTAACTGAGAAAATTAATGAGATGTTGCACTGCATTAGTGGGAAAGTGACAATGGTGCTGATATATGTGTAAACGTGTGTGAGTGTAAATATAGTACAGTGTAAAGGGTTTGAGACTAGATAAACAATACTTGTTAGGCTAAAAGCTTTTGAAGTATGGTGAGAATATCATGCTATAAATCTTCACAGTTTTAGAAAAACAGTTGTGACAGTTGTGGAGGAAACCACGGAATAATTATTTTCATACTCAGCAAAAATGTATTGGCACTAACACCCATAAAAGTAACGTTTATTCTTGAAATATCCCTTCTTATCAAAGCTAAATCTTTCTGTTGCAATCCTGCATGCTTATTAATTTACTGAAATTCTTGTTTTTATACAGCTGGGCAAACTTCAGTGCTATCTTTATTGGAATTCTCATAATTTTTCATAGTTTTTCTTTTTCTGGCATCAATATATACAGTGACCATATAATTAATTAATTCCATAAATATAAATATGCTGTTTATTTGGAACAGGATCCTATCTAAATCTCTGAAAAGAGAGAGACCAAGGGGCAACATTTTGTGCACTCAAGAAGCTCACATTTTAGTGGTGAAGACGAACAAATAATGACGATGCAATATTGAAAATGTTATGGGAGCACAGAAGAGAATTTAGTTCACTCTGTCAAAGGTTTCTAGAAGAGGGCTTGGTGTGAGAGCGCTATACAAATGAAATATCACAAGATCCAAACTTTAAAGCCTAAGACAATTTTAATAAGAGGTTTAGTAAGGGAAGCTCATTTCATCAGAATGAACTATGTGAGCAGAAGTGGGAATGCACCTTGCTTAATTGGGAAGAATGGGTAGTCCAGTGTAGCTGGAATAGGGGCAGGGCAAAAACAGTAGCTGGTGCAAATAATTAATGAACAATAATAATTATTATTGTGATTATAATTATAGCCAACACTCTTATCATGCTTATGATCTGCCAAGCACCATTCTGTTCTGTTCTTTCTTTCTTTCTTTCTTTCTTTTTCTTTCTTTCTTTCTTTCTTTCTTTCTTTCTTTCTTTCTTTCTTTCTTTCTCTTTTTCTTTCTTTCTTTCTTTCTTTCTTTCTTTCTTTCTTCTTTCTCTCTCTTTCTTTCTTTCTTTCTCCTTCCTTTCTTTCTTTCTTTCTTTCTTTCTTTCTTTCTTTCTTTCTTTCTTTCTTTCTTTCTTTCTTTCTTTCTTTCTTTTCTTCTTTCTTTCGACAGTCTTGCTGTGTCACCCAAGCTGGACTGCAATGGCACGATCTTGGCTCACTGCAACCTCCACCTCCCAGGTTCAAGCAATTTTTCTGCCTTGGCCTCCCAAGTAGCTGGGATTACAGGCACAAGCCACCATACCCGGCTAATTTTTTCTATTTTTAGTAGAGACAGGGTTTTGTCACGTTGGCCAGGCTGATCTCGAACTCCTGACCTCAGGTGATCCACCTGCCTCGGCCTCCCAAAGTGCTAGGATTACAGGCGTGAGCCATCATCACACCTGACCCATTCTATGTTCTTTATATACGATAACTCATTTAAGCCTCAAAACATCTCTGTGAGATAACTAGTATTATTACCTCCATGTTACAGGCAAAGAAACTACAGTACACAGAAGTTAAAAGTTTGCCAAAATCTCAGAAAAAGAAAGTAGTAGAACTGGAATTAAAATTTAGGTATTGGATTCCAGAGCCAAAGCTCTTAAAAACTTACACAATATTTCAAGTAACTACACAAGGAATAAATTTTTACAAGATCAGTTGTTATCATGGAAAGGCATACACATTTAATTTGTTTTTCTATTTCCTTGGCATAAATGATTCCCCCAGGAAAATAGTTATTTGTAAGTACTATCCCAACACAAAGGCAGAGGGAACACAGGTGGAAACTGACAAAAGCCCTGAACTTGATGAACCTGTTGTCATTTTTTTTTAGAATTGATTATTGGTTTTCATTACAAAAAGCTGTAACTCACATGCTGTGAAAGTAAGACAATGTTAAACTAAGCCCTCTGTTGGGTGTTGGGGGTTGGGGAGAAACATAGTTGACAATGTCAGCTGGTCCTGTCACTGTGAAAATGCAAAATTGTGAATATTTCAGGCTTTTACACAACCATAAAGCTCTCAAGGGCAAATAGTTTGATTTAAAACTATTTAAACCACTTTAAGTTCAATTACCAATGTATTTCTGAGCTCTGGCCTGAAGCCAGTATCTTCCCGGTCCTAATTTAGTCCCTAGTCGAATACAAACTTTAAATTTAACCTTCTCAATTAAGCTAACCCCAATTTCATCTGCCTCTTTACGGACTTAAAGAAAGCGCTTCTCTAAATTTTTTTTTCCTTCACAGCTAGGTGTGCTGTACTGAGACATGCACATGTGTCTTTCCAAACAGGGATGTAGTTAACCTTGCCAACCTAAAGCCTCTTCAAAACTTTGAAATTGAGAAGAGACTGTATTCACAACACTTTCATTGTTGCGTGTCTTTTAGCTACTTTTGTGATTACTTAACTACTTCTTGCTGGAGAAAGTCCAAACCTGAGGTGTAAATTTCTAGCCTTACCATGACTTTAGGCACATCAGTCTAATGGAGGTTTCCCTCAAACACTGTACATTGTCTTCCTTTCGGGTTTTATTAATGCTGTTCTTTTTATCTGTAATACTGTTCCTCATTTCTCCCACCGCAAGTTTAACAAAATTGTAAACAAATTGCAGGGCCCAGCTCAGATAACATACTTCTCCCAGAAGGGTGCTCTTCCTCAATTTTATATTCAAAGCATTTTTTTAAAAAACCTCAAGAAAGCCCTCATCGAAGCCCAGTTGGAATTACATCACCTGGTACAATTAATTAGCATAAGTGCTTCTTCCCTCTCAACTGTTACCCACTCCCTGTGGTGACTCACATTGCTTGTACAGAAACTTTCTCTATGCTCTGTATACAGCAGATGCTTCGTAACGGTATTCAGTATTGAATAACAATAATAGATATATTGAAATCTACTGCTTTATATTTGAGGCTGGAAGGAATAAGGAAAAGATAACGGAACCCTAAGTCAAAAAAACTCAAGTTCAGAGTGTGGCTCTACCACTAATATTGTATAATGTCATACAAATAATATTGTCTCTGGGTCACAGAAGAATGATCTAGGTAATCTGTAAGATTCCTTATGAATTTAGGATTTGTCATTTTAGGATTTCCCCACCAATATCATGTACAGGAAGTACTGATTACTTCAATCGTCAACTCCAAATCCAGCTTGAGAAAATTCTATTATAGATGATGATCAATGAAGCCTCATATACGGGGTCAACGAGTACATCTACACAATATAGCCTGACATTTGCTGATACTCCTGGAACCACACATGCACACAAAAACTCATTCTACAAAAGAATTTGGGTGTAGATTGGGAATAAAACCTTTATTTCACTAACAAAGAAACTGAGGTCCAAAGAGGTCCATTATTTTCTCAAGTCATGCAAATAGCTACTAGCAGAATCCAGGCACTAACCCAGAGTTTTCATCTCCCAGGAAGAGCTTTTCTAAACGAACTCAGAATTTAAATATTTAACTGAGTTAAAAAGCTGAGATAAAGGTAATGAAGAGGAAAAATAAAGGGAGAAAGACTGTGTTTAGAGCTTTAGCTAGGATACTTAAATGCAGTGGAAGTAATCCCTGGGTTTTTTGAGAGGCATTATAATTGTGTAAGAATTGCAGTTCAAACACACAGGTGGGAAAACATTTTAAATTTTTGTATTTATATATGATTCAACCTAATGTATATGTTGGAATCCCATTTCACTAAGTGGTGGAAATTTAATCTTCATCTCTTTAGGGTTCTTCTCCTTTTCCTAGGTTTTTATGCAAGCTCCAAAGGCTTTCTTTCAAGCCAAGACACCAGTAAGCATCTGAGTATCTACTGCTATCTAATTATGCACCGAAATATCCACCACGAATTTGACTGATGACCATAGATCTACGCAGATCACTGCTCAGTCATCCCTCATTCTCATGGTCAGTGAACCCTTTCTCTGTGTCTCCTTTGTTTCCTTCTGCATCTCCTGGTCCACACTGGGCCATAGGAGACTCTGAGCTAAGTCCTGATTTGCATAAACCACGCAGTTATTTCTGAACTGGGTTTTGCTTCCTGCTCAGGTTTTCCTGGAAAGCAAAGCACAGGCCTCTCAGCTCCCTACTTTTTAAACTTATCTGAGGATTTGATTGTCTTCCCCAAAATTTTGGTCTACAGTGGAGAAAGCATCAGAGAAACATTTTCATTGCTTTGGGACTCAGTTCTCTTCTCAACCTAGGAATTTTTTTTAAATTTTAATTATAGAAAATTTCAAACATGCACAAATATAGGGAAAGTATAATATAATAAACCCCAGGTACCCATCTCCCAGCTTCAGCAATCATCTACTCAAAGCTAATCTTGTTTTATTTACACTCCCACCCATTCCCCGTCAATGTACTTTTGAAACAAATCTCAGACATTATTTCTTTCAATTTGAAAGCATCAAATAATCTATAAATGATAGGGTTTTAAAAAAAATTACACAGTACTGTTATCAGAAAAAAAAACATTAATTCCTTAATATCATCAAATGTCTACTTAGTATTCACATATTTCACACTTCTTTGAGTGTCTAATAAATATTTTGCTTTTAAAACAATGTGTTTGCTTGAATTAGGGTCCGAATAAGAATGATTTATTGTTATTGTTATTAATTGATATATCTTTTAAGTCTATTTTCAATAGGTAAGGTTCTTATCAATCTTTGTGCTCCACCCTCACCCCTAAGATCTTTTCTTGAAGAGATCAGGTCATTTGCCTTGTAGATTTTCAGGAAATCCTCATCTGGACTGTGGACTCTTACATAAACATACATGTCAGATATCCTCCCGAATTTTTCAAATTCCTTTTCACTGTCATCTATAATAGTGTGTGACACAAAACCTCAACTCGGACTGTCTTAACACAATAGAAACATACTTCTTCACAGGAAAGTTTAAAACCAGTGTTACAGATCCTCTGAGCTGTGACTCCCGTCCATACAATGATCCAGGGACCCAGGATCTTTACCTTTGTTGACTCCCCTGTGTCTAATATATGCCTTTTAGTGATTACCAAGCAGGTCGTCTCATTCCAGTCAGCCAGCAGGGGAAGAGAAAGGATAATTCATAATTATCCCATGTGGGAGGTGTTTATTTTTTTTTAATAAATCAGATCTGGATATGGATCTGAATAAGGAGGGAGCATATCACTTCTACACATATTCCTGGGCCACACTCAGCTGCAAAAGAAGCTGGAAAGTAACATTTAGCTGTTTGCCAAGAGGAAGAAGAAATGGGGTTAGTGTAAAATCGGCCAGTCTCTGACCCTCTCCAAGGGCTACAGTTTTGAAACTCAAAAGCTAAAAATAAAAAATAGAAATTTAAAAACGATCCTGCTCTATTATCTCTTCTTAATTAATAAATCTAGATTTACCAAATTTGTCAGGGCAACGTAGTAGTGTTACAGAAAAGTACTAGGTTTAAAAAAGAAAAATGTCAGTTACAATTTCAATTATTTTTTTCTGCCATGGAACGTAGTAGTTTATAAAACAGGCCTGTAGTTTAGGTGGATTGAGTTTGGATCATTAATCTACCACCATCTAGTTGTATAAACTAGGTTAATACAATTTCTCTGAACCTTGCGTCCTACCTTTCTATGACACTAATAATGTCTTACTTCAAAATGTTGCAGTAAGGATTCAATGAAATAATATCACAATGTCTTATAAAATGTAGAGTCTCAATAAATGTTAGGTAATAATAGCAAGCAAATGTGAATTCTCTAACTGCTAAGTCATTTGCCATTACTTTAAGCCTGGTGTTACATACCAAGCCTCTACATAGAATTAGCTCATTTTCTTAATGAAGTTGTCGAAATCTATCTACAGAGTTTTGGATACCTGTCTCCTCATCCTGAATATTGGAAAACGAATACGTTCAGAAGCAGTTGAGTTAAGAAAACTATAGAAAGATATAAAATGTATGTCACTTAAAATAGTACAGAATACACTGTATGTATTATTCACACTTTCAAATGGATTATTTCCTTTAAAAAATAAATTAGGTGGAAAAAGTTTTTATTATTGTTCTGATTCTTGTTTTCTGTTTTGTTCTGCTTTGAACTTGTCAGCCTTTTGCCTTAAGCAATATGTACAGTTGATCTCCAGATGCCTGGAAATGAGAATGTGTCAAGGTAACTCTCACCTTCGTTGCCAGGCTGAGGGATCCAGCTGGAAGGAAGAGCAGCTGCTCTTGGTGCCCTAGTTTGGGCCACTTCAAACACAGCTTTAACTTTATCCTGTTTTAAGTGCAGACATTTCAAGATCCCATGGAATGGGACACGACCCATCTGCTTTATATTTGGATGCTACTTTTACTTAAGATACACTGCAGGGGTGGGGGTAGGAGGAAGGGAAGGATGGGATAAGAGCCTATTGGTGCCAGGTCAATGATATCTATATTTTTAGAGTACCTTTTCACATCCAAGAATGTGTCTGCTATATCTCAGTATTCTTAGTCATATAAGGCCCTCAAAAGTTAGGTGGCTTAAAAAAAAAAAGAAAAGAAAAAAAGTTAGATGGTGTTTCCCTTGTGTTGAAAAAAAGTGAGCCTGGTTGGGAATTGGACCCCTCTACCTTACAGAAAAAACCTTTCTTCCTAAGGTGGAAGAGAGCCACCATTTCTCTGCTCTACTTACAGCCTATTTTTACATTCAGGAAGTAGAGTTATTGCAGAATCATGAGAATTGGAGATGGAAAGAATTTACAAAGCAATTCATTCCAACTAAAGGCCATTTGAGAATTTTTAGTCTGCTCTCCAGTGGTGGTTTGGGCCACTACATTCCTCTCGTTGTGTGCTGATTTCACCCAAAGCTAAAATTCTGTCAATTTCATAAACAAAACCAAGTAGATATTTAACAGTCTATTCACAGTTAGATTTAAATGAATTACTTTCCATGAATTAAACTACCTTTCTGCAGTTATTTTCTTTTACAGGACAAAAACCTTTTGGTAAACAAGGTCCAAAACCACTATATAATGATAACACTATATAAACGTTCAAAATTAAAACAAAACAAAAATTTGATATTAAGTACATAATAAATAATGAGACAAATCAAAATTTCTGTGACATGGATTACTCACCCTTTAAGATAAAGGAATTCATCTTGTCATTATCATTCTGAATATCTATAAAATAGTCAAATTTGAGTCATGCTGTCTGAAAGTCAGAAAAAAAATGAAATCTCTAAAGAGGTCTCATAATTTTACTAATGATAAAATAAAGATCCAGAGAAATTAAGGGACTTGCTTAAGGACTGCTAGAAAATTATTGGTAAAAATTTATTCCTCACGGACTCCTAAACCAAAGCTCTCTGCACCTTAGGATACTATTGTCAATTAATTGCTTAGAAACTCTACAAATATCTGATTAAAATTTCCAAGCATTATTGTTACCAAATTGTTTCAGTAGGATTTGGTACAATATCTGGTGAATTATAAGTCTCTAAAGAACCTATGATTGAATTGTTTGTGGGGAAATAGTTGAGATTAAGAAAATTACGTGCTTGTGGCCGGGCGCGGTGGCTCACGCCTGTAATCCCAGCACTTTGGGAGGCCGAGGCGGGCGGATCACGAGGTCAGGAGATCGAGACCGTCCTGGCTAACATGGTGAAACCCCGTCTCCACTAAAAATACAAAAAATTAGCCGGGCGTGGTGTCGGGCGCCTGTAGTCCCAGCTACTCGGGAGACTGAGGCAGGAGAATGGCATGAACCCGGGAGGCGGAGCTTGCAGTGAGCCGAGATCGTGCCACTGCACTCCAGCCTGGGCGACAGAGCGAGACTCCGCCTCAAAAAAAAAAAAAAAGAAAGAAAAGAAAATTATGTGCTTGAAAATACCATTGACCTTAAGTGAGTTACAGGGAGATAGCATCTGAAGATAGAAATCAACACTGTAATGTTTTAGCGCAATTCTCTGACTGAATTGTTGTATGAATGATGGTCATTACTGGACTTCTCTAAAATAAAGAAATTTAATTAAATCATTTCTAAGGTCCCTCTGAGAGCTCCACTAGTTTACCCAGCATAGCTATTGTTGCTCAACAAGCACTTATTGAAGGAATTTTGCACATATGTTCACTGAAAGATTTTTTCATATTAGAGCACATCTTTCACTGGAAGAAATTAATGAGGAAATGCTAACCAGGCATATTGATTTGTTTTACAAATGAATATTTTCTATATAACTTTTGTGAGGTTATGTCCTCATGCTTAGAATAATAAATGCACATATTTAGTTTTAAACCAGAGTTGAAGACTTGAAAAAGAATATAACAAATAAGTAAACTCTCTGCATTTGCCACGGTTCTCATGTGAAACAGAACCAAGAGGATGTATGTGTGTGTGTGTGTGTTTGTGTGTATAAATAATAAAGAAATTTATTATAAGAAATTGGCCCACACAATTATGGAGGCTGGCAAGTCCCAAGATCTGCAGGGTGAGTCAGCAAGCTGGAAATCAGGAGAGCCAGTGGGGTAGTTTCAATTCAAAAGTTGGCAGACTCAAACCCAGTAAGAGCCAATGTTTCAGTTTTAGTCTGAAGACAGAAAAAAGCTAAAAGCCCATATCCCAGTTCAAGAACCCCCAGGCAGAAAGAATTCTGTCTTACTTGGGAGAGGTTGGGGGGGGGGGGTCAGTCTTTATGTTCTATGCAGGCCTTCAGTTGATTGGATGAGGCCCACCCACATTAGAGAAGGCAGTTTGCTTTATTCACTCTACTGATTTAAATGTTAATCTCATCCAAAAACGCCCTCACAGAAACACCCACAGTAATGTTTGACTAAACATCTGGGAACCCCATGACCGAGGCTTCTGACTCCTCCAAAACATAACTAATAATGGAGCCTTATTGATAACATAGACAATTAACACATATTTTGTCTATGTATTATTTACTGTATTCTTATACTAAAATAAGCTAGATAAAAGAAAATGTTATTAAGAAAATAGATCTACTCTTCATTAAGTGGAAGTGGATTATCATAAAGTTTGTCATGTAGAGTAGGCTGAGGAGGAGGAGGAGGAAGACAAGGGCTCCATCTTGCTGAAGAGAAGGGCTCCATCTTGCTGTTTCTGGGTGGCAGAGATGGAACAGATAGAGGAGCTGGAAGAGGAAGCAGAAGAGGAAGACACACTTTGTGTAAGTTTTATTGAAAAACATCCACATATAAGTGGACCTGTGCAGTTCAAGCCTGTGTTGTTCAATGACCAACTGTAATTAATGAAAATTAAAATCTGTGTTTTGGTGACATTACCACAGTATCTGTGTGAGCTTAGCAAATAACTTAGCAAACTTCATATGGAAATGAAGTTTCCATATGGAAATAACAATGACTACTTGGCCACCTCATAGAGTTATTGCTTTACACAAATGAAATAAATTAGGCTTACAGCTGTGGAGTAAATAAATAAAAACAGAGTATTTTGATCCTAATGGCGGGGTTGGGGGACATTGGGGTGAGAGGTTGGGGACGAGAAGAGAGAGAGTCAGACAAATGAAATAAAGGGTATGATTATGTATTATAAACTGTAATTGGCTCCAAAACGTGAATTGTTATCTAATGCAATTTTTTATCTTTTTTTTGGTTTGGTAGTTACAACTTGCTAACAGAAAATATTAGGGCTCTACAAAGAAAAAATAAATTAGGCTTACAGGAGTGCACTTCAGGCATTAAGAAGGATTTTTTCTTTAACAAAATATGACACTAACCACTTCCCAGAAAGGTTATCTAGTAATGTGAGAAATCAGTATGATTGAATTGAAAAATTTCACCAAGCAGTTCATTAATTTCACACATTATGTCATTTCCCCACTGCTATCCACATGACTCTATGCGATTTATCCTGAAGGTTGATTTTGCTCAGAACATGGATACGAAGGAAAGACAGCATAGGGTCTAGTCGTTTTCATTCTGTTTCACATTAATTCTTCTTTCATATTGATTCTCTTTCCTGTACCAGTTCCCAGTTGAGTGTCTTTTCCACCACTGGTGAAACTAATCCTTTTTCAGGCTGCCTCCCTCAAGTCTCCTTTAGACGTGTTACTTGCCGAATACATCCTCACTGGTTGATTTATTAATGTATATTGCTTTCATTATCCTAGTTTCCGATGCAAAATCCTACACTTTCTGTTTTTACAGTTACTTCAGTGAAAACTCCCTAGAACCCAGCCTGAGATCACTATGTATATGTGAAACCACCATATAGGAATCAAACATTCAATGGAATCTTCACATATCTATAACTTAGATCCACTGAAAATAGGACATTGGGAATCATCAAGTCTACTATTTTCAACTTAAAATTAAGTGAGAAAGGAGAAAGAGTGAGTGAGCAGAGAGAGAAGGGAAAAGACAAGGATAGATATTGAGAGAAAAGATGTTCTTCAAGGTTACTCAGCTTATTAGTGGCAAAGCTGAAATTAGAACTTCAGTTTCTGACTCTGAATTTAGAGTTCTTTCCACTGAACTATTCTGTCTCCTTTGCTAGTGCTAACGTTTTAAATACTCAGAATTGTTCAATACCTTTAAATGGCTTGGTGCAAATCCTGAGGACCATTAGGCTTCTTCATTCCTCCTGGGGTCACCCTGACACACAGTCCCAAGCCTCCCATTTTCAGACAAACCCAGGGACCAAGGAAGGTGTCTGTGTTATTGACTATGTGTATGTTGGTTACTACAAGTATCTGCAGTTTTAAGGACTCACCATGGATCGCATTTCCCTGCAAGCTGCACTGCAGTAACCCAGACACAACACTGACAGCTGTGGAGTAAATAAATAAAAACAGAGTATTTTGATCCTAATGGCAGGGTGGGGGGGGGGCTGGGGGGTGAAAGGTTGGGGACGAGAAGAGAGAGAGGCAGACAGAATGAAACAGTCACAGCTGTGAAAAGAACAGATGCCAGCCAGGAGAGAGGGAAAGAGTGAGAAGGGGAGGGGAGAAAAGATCAGGGTTCCACCAATGTCAGAAATGTTGAAGCTCTTGCAAAGGGATACACATACTTGGGACAGGTGGGAAGTGTTTACATTAAAACCAGAATGTCAAATGCCTTCCTAAATGCTGGCCAGATCATTCAAGACCCAAGTTGACCCAAAGGAAAAAGCTGAATTCCTTGCCCAGAAAGCCCATTACAGAGAGAGCTTCCAGAATTCTTTATATTCCATTCAAATTACTGGATATCAGCTGTGTGTTGCCAGCTATCAGCTGTGTGCATCAACACATCATGCTGTATTCCAGTGGCTCTTAAAGTGCAATCTCCTGACCAGTAGCATCAGCATCACCAAGGAAATTTTGACAGAAATGCAAATTTTCATGCTTCATTCAGATGTACTGAACCAGAAACCCTGAGGGTGGGACCTGAATTCTGGTTTTTTTTTTGTTTGTTTGTTTGTTTTGAGTCAGAGTCTAGCTCTTGTTCCCCAGGCCTAGATTGCAATGGTGCAATCTCGGCTCACTGCAACCTCCACCTCCCGGCTTCAAGAGATTCTCTTGCCTCAGCCTCCTGAGCAGCTGGGACTACAGGTGCCAGCCACCATGCCCAGCTACTTTTTGTATTTTTAGTAGAGACAGGGTTTCACCATGTTGGCCAGGCTGGTCTTGAACTCCTGACCTGAGGTGATCCACCCGCCTCGGCCTCCCAAAGTACTGGGATTACAGGTGTGAGCCACCACACCCAGCCTGAATTCTGCTTTAACAAACCTTTCAGGAGCCTCTGATGCATGTTTAAGATGGACGCCCTCAGCTTTCTGTGCACGATACTGCTTAGGTTCCTCAGGATTCTCCATGAACCTGTAACCCTCAGTCCAACAGGCCTCCATTCGACTTTATACCTTGGTCTGCGAGGGTTCTGCGGTATCCATGCCCTGATATTACCAAGCACCAGTCTCCAAACAGGGGCAACAGAGGCAAGAGAGACTGTGCAGTGTCTCCAACAGCTGGGGCAACAGAGCAGCTGAGCCTACAGTACAAAAGCCCATGAGCCCAACACATAACGCTGACCAAAGACTGACCTCACGTAAGGGCCAGTTAAAATAGCCTTCTGCAGTGCCTTTTATTTAAGGAATGCAAAACATTTTCCAAACCATTAAGTTATGGAACTTGAGCACATCAGTGTCTAGAGATTTGGAAAATTTGGTTTGAAGGAAATTCAGTTTAACGTGAAGAAACACTTATTCTCTATCCCTTGACATTATTTTTAGTCATTGGTCATACAGGAGCTAGGCATCCAGAGACCCAGCTTCCAATCACACCTCTTCTACTGATCCCTGACTCCTGGATAGTTACTTTTACTCTCTCATATCTTCATAAAATGAAGAGCTTGATTAGAGAGGATACTTAAGGTCCTTTTTTTTTTTCTTAGCTCTAACAGATAATATCTTTGTAGGGGAGCTGGCTTATTAGTAGAGCCAGTTTGAGCAATGAATTGCACGAGAGTGCTAAATTCAGTTCTCTGTGTGGTCTGCAGAGCTTGATTCAGTAGTCTCCTTTTACAAACATGCACGCTGGTTTCCAAAGGACTCTGGTGGCTCATTCTGTATGACATGGCACCAACATACCAATCACCACCTTGGGGAAAAACTATTCAGTCCTTACTGCTTTGTACCCAATAGTGTTATGGCTCCAACTGCAAAAAAAGTCACAACATTATTATTAAGGAAGTTGTTTTAGAGGTAGACTAGAAAGGAGTATCTAAGTTCAGTAAACCATCTTTTGATTTCCTGGGACTTTTCCCACTAGATTCTGCCCTTATGTTAAACATCTCAACACATCTAAATCAAATCTTACTTTGCCAAGGGACGCAACTCTTAAATTACAGAACGTCATATAGGAGAAAGAGAATAATTATGTATTTAGTAATGACTCTGTACCAGAATCTGTGTTAGATGCTTTACTATGACTATCATTTTATTTCAGTTTTTTACACTGAGGAAATCTGGTCATGATCTTCTCATTTCATCAATGGAAAACCAGAATTCTCAAGAAAGAGACCTAAGGTGGGAGATTACACAATGAGTTAGGAGCAAATGTAGGACCAGACACTCAGTCTAGTGATCTTTCCAATCTGCTTTTCTCCTTTTCCTGATAGGTATTTATTCTCTTAAAGCCTCATTATAGTCCCTGAAAAGTTTAAAGACAATACACAAATAGGAAAACATTTGAAAGGAAAAAAGTTCTTTGGATTTTTTTATTTCTACTGCCCACTATAAAAATAACTGCATTTTAAACCTTGGGAATAATGAAATTCCCCAAGATAATTAAGATGTAGCTCAGAAAATTACCAAAGCAATTATTCCACTGTAGGGAATTCCTGCTTGAACTTCCAGAAAGGCCGTGCTCTTTCAGACTTTCAGAATCACAGCAGTCAGTTTGTAGATACAGAGTAATAGTATTAGAAAAATGTGTCGGTTGCTTACTGCATCTCAGCCACTGTGACATTGCTTAATTTAACCCCCCAAAATAATCCACTGTGAGGAGGTAGGAACTATTATTATTGCCATTGAAGAATAAAGAAACTGAGACATAGCAAGGTTACACAACACACCTGAATTCAAACAGCGTACAAGTGGAAAATGTAGCCTAATTAGAGTAAGCTTAGTTTAATTGTGGATCTTGAGTTTCTAATCTCCATTCTTTACTCCTCTGGTAATAGAAGGTGATAATTAATACCTCCACTGTCCTTCAGAGTTTGTAAATCTGAGTGCCCTCTATCTTATTTAATCCTCATAAAAATGTGAGAAGGTGTCATGGTAAGAATTGTTACACCCCACTTAAGGGATGAAAAAACTGAGGCCATGTGAGACTAGGGAGCTGGTCTGGATCTTACAGGTGGAAAGCGCAGAAACAGAACTCTGAGTTCTAGTACGTTGCATTTTGGGTTACAGCACAATGACAGACCACAGCTACCAGGTCGGGGATCACAGAGATGTGTCATCAAGCCTCAGTCCATGTCACAGGACAGAAGGCTACGGGAGAATTTTCAGCATGCTCTGGGAAAGATGAAAAGGGGCGGAGACAGTTCCTCAGGTCATAGCAGTAGTCTAATACTCATGTGGTCTCCTCTTACCCCTGAGTCCTAGGTGGATTGGAACAGGTAGTGGGGCCCTAGTCATTCTTCCAAATGAGGGAGGAGGGGAGAACAAAACACAGAAGACAGCAGTTCATCCTGGTGTCTGCAATTATTTTTTCTTCTCTGGCTCCTTTTTTTCCTGTTTGTAAATGGACCAGGGAATCACTAAGCACTGACTTCTGCTCATTCCACTGGCCCTGGGCAGTCAGCTTTAAAGGAGTCAGGGCTCTCCACTTCCCCTTTATTACAGCCTCCTCAGTTACAGGGGCCATCGCTGCCTTCCCTACTCATTCCCCACCACCAAGTGCCACACCATCCTTCTAGTTGTCTACGTGAAATGAGTTCTCATCATGTTGTTCTGTCAAAGTAGAACTCATGGTCTCATAAGTACACACCACTTTTTTCTCATGGTCTAATGAGTCCACATCACTTTTTTTTTCTTTTTTGAGACAGGATCTTACTCTGTTGTCCAGGCTGGAGTGCAGTGGCGCGATCACTGCTCACTGTAACCTCAACTTCCCTGGGTCAGGTGATTCTTCCACCTCAGCCTCCCAGGTAGCTGGGACTACAGGCGCATGCCACCATGGCAGGCTAATTTTTTTGTATTTTTTGTGGACACAGGGTTTAGCCATGTTACATAGGCTGGTCTTGAACTCTTGGGCTCAAGTGATCCACCTGCCTCAGCCCCCCAAAATGTTGGGATTACATCCATGTCACACTTTAAAATACATTTCAAAAATACAATATAAATAACTATGTTAAATTTAACACTTAATGGACATTGATTTTTTCTATAATGACAAAAGTCCTCTTTTTATAAGCAAGTTTTACAAATGCTGGGACTTCATATTCTTAATAATAAAACAAACAAAACATTTTTAAATAGCCAAAAGAGAAAGGAAGTATTTATAGTAACACAGTTCTTGAATTATTCAAATGCTAGTTGAACTGAAAAGTTTGCATTGATTTTCAATAGAAAGCAAAATTATTTTGCAGTTATTCCACTGGTGCCTTAAAATGTCAAAGATCCATTCTTTTACTTTTTTTCATATGTCCATATTTATTGGCCATCAAAACTCCATATGTCATGTGTTCATACACACGCACACACACACCCCCTTGGACATGCATGCTATCATAAAATGCCAAGATATAAATGCACAAGAACTAATCAAAAGCTAAAAATGCAGGAGCTGATTATCAACTCTCTTTTCTATTTATATAACCTTGGGCTTTTAACTTTTAACACATCTGGTCCTTGGTTTCCATGCCAACACAATGGATACAATACTCTCAACCCTGCTTCCTTTACTACATCACAGAATTTTTGTGAAGATGAAAAGGCATCATTTATATTGAATAGCTTTGAAAACTATATAGCATTTTACATCAGGCATTTTTATTATGGTTATAGTTATTTCCTTTTTTGATATTTTCCTGCTTCTTATAATGTGAACCTGCCATCGTACTGGAGATGTTGCTCTCTTTAACTGTTTTGATGACCAAGAAATCGATGACCATTTAACTTCAATGAATACAAAAATCTTTTTGTTATTATTATTTATTTTCTCAGTTTCTTGTAATTTGTTACTCTTGTGTCATTGTTTCAACAATTAAGCGTGCCAAGCAATAATCTTATTAAGAAGATTCAGTTATAATTGTGTATTAATTTATTAATGATTTAAAAAGTCCATTTTTCTTTTTATTCATCTTTCATTATGCTGTGAATTTTTGTTTTTCACTGAAAATATTATATTCAATATTTTAATCTGAATTTTTGTTCCTGCTATCCCATGCTGCAGCTTCCAGCACCTGATAGTAAACATAACACAGATATATATATATATATATATATATATATATATATATATATATATATATATATATGGAGAGAGAAAGAGAGAGAGAGTAAAGGAAGCAGGAACTACTAGGGGCCATCTTAGATGTCAGCCTGACACTCATCTTAACCCACTAAATTAGCAATCAGACATATACACATACAAAAGGTGAAATAATACCCAATGCCAAAAAAAATTAAAATTGTTTACTTATACAGCGTTAGCAACTGAGGAAGTCATTTCATCTCTCCGAGCCTCAGTTTCTTCTTAAAATGATAAGATTTATCTTATCATAACATATATAAAATATCATTTATCTTACTAAAATAGCTACTTTATATGCCTTACAGGTTACTGTGGGGAGTGATTATGACAATAACTATGAGTGCAACTGATAAACTGTAAAAAATGAGAGAATTTGTTGCGTGAATTTGTTGGCCCTGGTGGTATTGGCAGATAGACCTAAGCCGGGACTGGGGCTGGCATTCACAA
The DNA here is from genome assembly GCF_000001405.40 of Homo sapiens. Taxonomy (NCBI): domain Eukaryota; kingdom Metazoa; phylum Chordata; class Mammalia; order Primates; family Hominidae; genus Homo; species Homo sapiens. Next base: position 189,356,130 of record NC_000003.12, on the reverse strand, counting down.
GTCCATGAATCATCCTTCAAACCCTCAGCCATAAAGCAAAAGACAAGCCCGAGCTACTCTTTGATTTGTTGTGGTTTTGTGCTCTTTAAAGCCACACCCACCACATAAAGAAAGCAACAACTTACGAGAAATTTATTTAAAATGCTTGTTCTATTGAGTATAGCAACCTTAGGTCCAACCCTTTGATGATTGGCCCAGGTTGATTTTGTTAACAGCTTGCCTTGGGTTTGCAAAATTGCCCTTACGTGACCCCAGTGAGTCTTGATTCAGCCTCAAACTTTAATGAAGACAGAAACCTTACACATTAGGGCAGAGAGCCCTGTCCTTACCACCTCCAATCAGCACAGCTTGGGCTTCCAAAACTACACAAAAGATGTTAGTGTTTCATCAGTTTAACAAGCAGGCAGAGGCACCCAGATTTCACCCTGGATTCATTACCATAACCCAGCTTAAGAGCACAGAGACCACAAAGCTAATGCTGTGTGTGCTGCAGCAGGTAGTGCAGTAATCCTCAGCTCCTGGATCACTGTAGGGCCAGGGAAATGTTAAAAAGCACAAGGCCTCGGGTAGCTCTAGGGGAGCTGCTGGAATGTTGTTTATCTTCAGAGGGCAACAACTGGTCCAGTATTTCACAACAGGAAGGTCTGTCCTGGAGCTCAGACATTGAAGGCTTAGAGAAGCAAGGCCTGAAATAACCCCCCTTCCCCTCTGACTTCTATCTCCCCACCCTGCTGAACCCCCTCTCCTCCCAACACTTCAGATTTAAAAAAATAAAAGGCACAGCCAGGGCTACAACCTTGAAATAGATGTAGCTTTCTGGGTAGCTTGTAGTTAACTTAATACTGTAGCTGAGATGGGAGACCGCCTGATGCAACAGGACTTTAGGTGACAGGGAAGCCAGAAACGAAGGCCTTCTTTTATTGTCTTAACCCCTTGCTTCATAAAAATTACCCATTCTTATTCATCTGTGTTTTTAGTTTCAAAATTTTCTCTCTGAGCTCTTGTATGAAAGAAGGAACTGACTATGATTTAAATTCTAAAATAATAGGCAATGCCTAGTAACTTTAATTTAGCTCCATGTGATTTGAGGGAGTTAATTCAACAAAGTCCTAATAAATATTCCTATGATCGTGCACAATCAATTTATCTCTCCAAGACTCTGTGCAAACAGTCAGAGAAATGACAATAGCCTATATTTGGGCCCATAAACTGAGGCAGTTCTGTGAGCTCTGGGGATCCTCTCAATCTCCTTGGCAGAGAACGCTGGGAAAAATCTCAATGGTTGTATTCCTTAATGTGGTGGAATAAAATTGTTGCTGAGAAAGAAGTATTTATATACCAGACTATGGGGATGTTTCTGGGCTTTTGGGAGGTTATAATAGGGAAACAGGCGGGGCTCATGCCTATAATCCCAGCACTTTGGAAGGCAGAAGTGGGAGGATTGCTTAAGACCAGCCTGGACAACACAGGAAGACCTCATCTCTACAAAAAATAAAAAATTAGCCAGGTGTGGTACCACACACCCATAGTCCCAGCTACTCAGGAGGCTGAGGTGGAAGGGTCACTTGAGTCCAGGAGGTTGAGGCTGCAGTGAGCTATGATTCTGCCACTGCCCTCCAGCATGGGTCACAGAGTGAGATCCTGTCTCGAAAAAAAGAAATAGGTAAACATTGGTCTGTAACATTTATGATCAGTTCTTGCCACCTCAGCTGCTTTTGTACAACCGGCCTTAAGCTGGCTCTTCTTTCCTATAAAGAAGGGAGAAGGAAGAAAGCTGGATCCAATAAAAAATTTCTTTTTTCAGGACATGTCAGGATGAGGAAGCACTTTACCTGAAGACAGATAATGATTCTTCAAGAAAAATGTAACTACTTCATTCCAGACTCTGTCTTGGAAATATTTAACCCCTAGTGAGCACTCTAGCAGGTCATAGTACACCTACTTCTGCACAAACTGACAAATGAGGTTATTCACTTACTCAGCAGGCAACTACCACGCCCTGTATTCATAAGAGATGAACAATACTCGGTTTGCACTCAGAAAGGCACAGAAAGAATAAATATGTAAAAAGTCAACTCTAATATCTGGCAAAATAAACTGTGGCTACAAGTAACTGGTGATAGTGATAGAATGCAGAGAAAAAAAAAAAAACAATTCTGACGGTAGGTTTCAAGAAGAATTTCATGAAATAAACACCATTTGACCTCCACTTTAATGGGCAAGTAGAATTTGATAAGGAGACTACAGATGTGAACACATTTCAGCTAGAGTTGACGCAGCAAAAGCAGAAAAGTGTGAAAGAACTTGTGATACATGCGGAAAACAATGAGTAATTATTTGAGACTATCCTGGATTGCTGGCCACACCCTTACCAAAGCCTCTAGAAAGACTTCTACTTTCAAACTGCCCAGCACACCTATGAAATTCCAACATTCTTTTCAGGAGCTGCAGAGTGGGGAGGTTAAAAACATGGGTCCTTGGGTCCATTTGTCTGGGTTTAAGTCCTAGCTCTGCCTCTTACTGGTTGTGTTACTTTGAGTAAGTTGACTGACTTCTCTAGACCTCAGGTTTCTCTTCTGTAAAACAGAATCATATTACCTGCTGTGAGGATTAAATCATAAAAATAATATGAAATACTTGGCATGATTCCCAATACATAATAAGGATTCAATATTACTGTCGTGGTTACTCGCCTGTTTCATTTCTCTTATTAGACAGGTGATTCCTAAAGGTCAAAGAATGATCCATTCCTATTTTACTCTCATGGCCCAGAATCTAGAAGTGCTTTCGCATAAAAGTAGAATTTATAAATACATGAATGTATGAATGAATGAATAAGTAGAATACCCAATTTCAGATCTAGACTTTCCTAATAGTAGGGTTTGACTTTGATTCATCTCATTGAGCTGGGCATCTGCCTTAAAGCTTTTGTATTTTATAGATTCAGCCAACATTGTAGTTCTGGCCATGTGAGCTCCAGTGGACAGCTGGAGAGTGTAAACACCAATACATGGACAGAGCATCCTTGGACCCAGTGCTCTGCTATTGCTTAGCCTTTCTCTGTAGAGGACATTTGCTTGATCTATGACTAAATTCCATCAAATATGAAACAAAAATAACTTCAATGACCACTTAATCGTCATTAATAGAGACCTCATTAGATGTCTCCAAAACCCTTTCTGAGAAGGCATTTGGCTAAAGCCCCACGTGACAATGAGGTGTCCCAGGATGCCAAAGAGAATTGTAAGAAACAATGACATTTTAAAGGAGCTTTCAAGTGATTTCTTACATTCTGTTCAAATTCAGAATTATAAATGGAAAAGAAAGGCCAAAGTTAGCAACTCTGAAATAATCAAAACTTTCAGATAATTACAATGTAAATTCAAATACCTATATAGATAACTAGTTTTTTTGGATAATAAGCTGGGGATTACTCAATTTATTATATTGAAAACATGCACTCTTTCCTAAATTTTCATACAGGACAGCCAACAAAGTTTATCACCAGAAAAAAATAAAAGATAAGGACACAGAAGATAACCCTGTATAGAACAAATGAAACTTTTCAGAGGAAAAAATATAGAGAATTATAAAAATATGTTGAGCAAATACATTTGTACCAATGCCCTTACATATTTGTTGGGATATTTCGTATGATAGATCCTAAAGGGTAGAATAACTAAGTAAAGAGAGAATAGGCCGGGCACAGTGGCTCACGCCTGTAATCCTAGCACTTTGGGAGCCCGAGGTGGGAGGATCACGAAGTCAAGAGATCGAGACCATTCTGGCCAACATGGTGAAACCCCGTCTCTACTAAAAATACAACAATTAGCCGGGCGTGGTGGTGGGCACCTGTAGTCCCAGCTACTTGGGAGGCTGAGGCAGGAGAATCGCTTGAACCCGGGAGGCAGAGGTTCCAGTGAGCCAAGATCACGCCATTGCACTCCAGCCTGGGCAACAGAGCGAGACTCCATCTCAAAAAAAAAAAAAAAAAAAAAAAGAGACAATAAACATTTTAAAGCTTTAATAGGTGTTGCCAAATTGTCCTTCAAAACCGCAGCAAGTTACACTTACTACTTTGTGTATGAGGGACCTGACACTCAACTCAACAGATTCTACTAGATTTTAAAAAATTCCCTTAAAATAATTAAAAAAAAGAATAAGACACAAATGGAAATAATCTACCTTCATCAGCAGGTTATGGATCAATAAATTTTGGTATAACTGTGTGATGGACTGTCACTCCTCAATATAACAGAAAAAAAATGCTGATACACACAATATGGATACACCTCAAAAAAATATGCGAGTGAAAGAATCCAGACAAAAAAATTATATATACTGTATGATTCCATTCATAGGAAATTCTGGAAGAGACAAAACTATTCATGGTGACAGAAATCTTGTGCTGGAAATGAGTATAGACTGTCTACAAAGGAGCACGAGGAAACGTTTTACAGGAATAAAAATGTTCTAGATCTTGACTGGGGAGGTGGTTACATGAGCAAATGCATTTTTTTCAAAACTCCAATTATATCTCCATAAAGTCAGCGGAAACAAAGGGGAATAAAATGAGAGGGGTGGGGGCATGATCACCAGGATTCAAATGGGGTTTGGATGACAGCTGACCCTGGATTCTAGTGTTTTTTTTTCCCCCATTTGCAGCGATTGCTTCTAGGTTATTTTTATTTCTCACTTTTCTAAAAGCTGAAGTCTGAATGATCACTTCCATGCTTTAAAATCTTTGAATATCTCTCCCAACTTTCAGGATAGAATTCTATCTCTTGGGTTAGCCAAGATTTCCTGTACTCTGCCTCCATCCTGCCTACCTAGCCCCATCTCTAACCCCTGACCCCCTAGATCCAACCAATTTCTCCCCCAGCCAGCCTGAAATACTAACTCTTCCTACTATTTCATGTTCTAGACCTTAATACATGTGTCCCTTTCTACCAGAAACAGTCTTCCAGCTTCACTTCTTTGTCTAATACCTAATTGCCTCTGAAATTTGGTCTATGTCAACTCTCTGAAATCTACCACTGCCAGCATATCCCATCACACATCTATTCTAGCATATAACACACAACATCCTTATTGTTGGAGTCTTGGATTTTCCCTCCTACTAGGAGCTCCTTGAAAGCAGGACATTGTCCTCATTAACTTATTATCCCATAGTGACTAATATAGCACCTGATATATAGTAAATAGTAAAAAAGCATTTGCTGGCCGGGCATGGTGGCTCACGCTTGTAATCCCAGCACTTTGGGAGGGCGAGGCGGGAGGATCACGAGGTCAGGAGATTGAGACCATCCTGGCTAACACAGTGAAACCCCATCTCCACTAAAAATACAAAAAAATTAGCCGGGCGTGGTGGCGGGCGCCTGTAGTCCCAGCTACTCGGGAGGCTGAGGCAGGAGAATGGCGTGAATCTGGGAGGCGGAGCTTGCAGTGAGCCAAGATCACGCCACTGCACTCCAGCCTGGGTGACAGAGTGAGACTCCGTATCAAAAAAAAAAAAAAAAAAAAAAAAAAGAGCATTTGCTGTGTGAATGGGTATGAAATATTAAATTTCTGGGAGAAAAAAATAACTGCAAAACGTAAACTCTAAGTTGCAAACTCAAAAGAAGATGATATGCAACTGAGGTAAGATCCTGTTTCTAAGTCCTGTATAGACCTTCATGGCATGACAATAGTTTTTTCGTTTGTCCAAAAGTGTCTGAGGCCAACTTAAGGGCATGGAGACTGTAATTTTGCTGTGTGGATCTCAGCTGAAATCCCAACACATTTGCATGAGACAGTAATCACTGCACTGCCTTGCTGGTAAGAATACTAATATTTTGGTCCTTCCAGACAGACTCAGCAATGTGATTAGGAGCCATTTGAAAAATGACACCCCACAGTAAAATGAAGCTTCGTGGCCTCTTCTTCAATCCCAGCTTCTGATCCTTTTAAACCTCCTTTAAGAACATTTATTTTCTTTCCTTGAGTATGTTTATAAAAAAGTAAGAATAAGAACTCTCTTCTGAAACTACCCCTAGCTGCCAAATTATCCATTATTTATTTAGGCAATATTCAAGTCCCTGCATCTAGAAAAAACCCGAAAATCTTTCTATCGAGTCAGCCAGTGAAAGTCTAGACTAAGTTATGTGGGCAGTCATTATTCTTCTTTGCCAAATGCAGAAAATGACTTCATAGTTTTGTATTCATTTTTGGTCTTCCCCATTTCCTGCTGAACCTTTATATATGGCATTTGTCTCAGTCAGTGTTTTCACTCTGCCATTTTTGCCTAATAGAATCGCAGGTTTGGGCAGGAGCCTGACACTGAACCCTTTTTATATAGTTCCCTGCCAAATGGCTATGGGATTTCTGTTTGAACACTCCCTTGACACAGAGCTCACTAACTCCTAGGGGCAGCGCATCCTATCTTTGAGCCATACTGGCTATTTTACCTTGTGAAATCATTTTTCCTAGAATTTCTGCAACATTGATCTGAATCTATCCTTTAGGACCACAGAACAGAAGTAGAACCTCTCCTCCATGCCAGTTCTTCAGTTACATACAGATGATAAAGATAATACCATTGAGTATGCTCCAGGTTACTCCCTTGCAGAAAGTGGTTTGGGCCATGGCCCTCTGCGGATTTCTTTGTCAATATCACTCAAAAGTCTGGTCCCTGGATCCAAGAACTGCTATCCAGATGCATTCTGATGCAGCAAAAAAGGGCAGGATCATTATATACCTCCCCTCTCAGTTGAAACGAGCTCCATATCTCTTTCTTTTATCTCACATTTTCCATTCTGCTTTCAAATTTATCTTTCAGTATATTCTTTCATTAAACTCATACACTCATTTTACTGTCTTTCCATTATTCATACTATTAAAAAGTATACCACATATGATATTTTCAGTACACGACACAGATATAAAAAGAAAATTGTAATACATTTGCATATAATATTTATTTAAGCCTCATTCTGTCTGGAGGCAGAAAAATAACTATTTTTGCATTTCCTGGTAACCCTAGTCATTTTAAAATTTAAGTCTGCCAATTTATGATTTCCCTTCTGTCTTCTTTGCAAGAGCACATTTAAGCTCTGAGAGGCTTACGTTACATCGTGGGGAAAACACCTGGGCCCTAGCTGCATCAATACAAGCTGATATTTGCCAAGATGTTCGCCTTTCTACTTACCAAAATCAATGCCCATGTGCTCCACTGCCTTCTTTCCTCTCCAATGCCTTCACTTATACATCAGATCCCACCTCCTCTTGAAAATAAAATAGACATCCAATTCTCAACATGTCCCAGATCAATTCCTGATATCCCATAACCCCAAACCTTCACCTTTCTTAGTCTTCCAAACTTTGTAAATGGCAACTCTATTCTTCTAGTTGCTCAGGCCTAGATTGTCAAGTTATCTTTGATTTTTCTCTTTTTTGTCATAACCTACATTTATTCTCTCATAAAGTGATGTCCATTCTAGCTTCCAAAATCATCCAGAGTCCAAGCATGTATATTAATCTACACTGTGGCACACTGATCCAAGCCACCATTGTATCTCACCTGGATGATTGCAATAGACTCTTGGCTACTGTCTCTGCTTCTCCCTCGACTCCTACATGCTATTTTACTCAGAGCATTTAAAATGACCCTGCTAAAAAATAAGTCAGACTGTATCACTCTTCTGTTCAAAATAGTTAAAGGCTTCCCATCTCACTGTAACAAGACTCAAAGCCTGCAATGACCAGCATGTCTCTGCATGGTCTAGATGCATATGAACTGTCTGACTTCAACTGCCTCTACTCACTCCTAATTCACCACATTGCAGCTATACCAGCTTCTTTGCTTTATCCTATACTTGAAGCACACACCCGCCTCAGGGTCTTTGCACCAGTTGTTCCCAGGGATTCCCGTGGTTCTTTCTTTCACTCTCTTCAGTCTTTGCTCAGTGAGACCTTCCCTGATTACCATATTTAAAATTGACCACCTTCCTCCAGCAGTCTCCTCCCAACCTCTGTTTTTTCCATGCCACTTACCAGCTTCTTGAGTATTCCTTGATTGTGTATCTTTTTCATTCCTCTCTCTCCACTCTCCATCAGCAAAATGCTTCATGAAGGCAGAGTTTTTTTAATCTCTTTTTCTTCCCATTACTCTATCTCATGTGATTAGAATTGTGACTGACTAGTGTCATGTATCTGGCACGTAGTCAGCACTCAATATTTTTTGTTCATTGAAATCCCACGAGTGTTCTGTCATATGTTCCACATTACTTTCTGCCTTGACATTGCCTTTTCCTGACTGCGAGACTTTCCCTGGCTCACAAACTGCCATCTCTGAGCCTTCTGAAGAGATTCATAGACAATTTCTGCACACCTTCCTGCTACACTGGGGCTGCAGTCACTTCTGAGACAAGTCTTTGGTCTTCTTGGCCCAGACATGATGCAGCAGCATTTCTTGTTCAGTGCTGCTCCCCTGTGGCATGGGGTACCTTAGGACCCTGCCAGAATCCACTCAAGAAGTAGGGGCCAGCTCAGCGATAGTCTCAGACTACCTATGTTAGGGACGCGTAATTAGGATTGGATTTACTTCTTTCTCATTACCATAAAACAACACCTCCCTCTCTCGCAACTATACATTTTGACCCACAATGTCATCATTTGAAGGTGTAACAATCATAACGATGATAGTAATAGCCAGCGGTATTGTGTTAACATGTTACTGGCACTATGTTAAACACTATGCCTATATTATATCATTGAATCCTTAACTCTATCCTTAACCACTCACCCCATGACTCCTGTCAATCAATCACTGAGTGGGAAGAGTCACTTTCTCAGAAGTCTTCAGCAGCTTCTCACAAGCTTATCTGCCCTTGTTTCCCAACTCCATATTTTTACCTAGCCATGGTCAATATGAAAATCATTCTATGTCTATCACTTCTAAGCCAAATTCAATGTATGCCAGACAGATGCACAGAGCTATTTCTATAGTATTAATTTTATATCTTAATAAATAGAATTCTATATTATTAATCTCCTGTGCAGGTGAAATCACAGGACTCATTATTCTAGTATGACTTATCACCTGAGATAACCATGTGTAAGTCATAAGAACTCCTCTTTGCCCCTAGGATGTCACATAGTGGCTAGTTGCCACTTGGGAAACATTAGGGAGGTCTCAGGAGCTAAGGATTCAAGGTCAGAACAGGAAAGACAATATGATGTGCATATGAGAGTGTACAATGATGGAACTGGTGACAAGGAAAATTCCCAGTGTCTGGGAGAGTCAAGAGGTATCAAGGAGAAAACTTTAACCTGAGGTGTTTCTCTTATTGCATTTCCAGCACATCTCTGCATCCCAATTCTACCATAATCAACTGTGAGCTCAGGTAATGCAATCTCATTTTCATATCAGCAAAAGGGATTATGAAGGTAAATCTTCAGAAGGAAAAAATTATCCATGCTGTATTTTGAAGCTGAATGCAGGATAAATGATTTTTTATCCACTCTTTTGTATTATTCATGCCTCAACTCTCTGCCATGGCCATGAATAAATGAAATTTAACAAATGTTGTTTGGTCCATGGTGGCCCAGAGTCACCCTAGAAGCTGAAGTTCAGCTACAGGGGATTCCAGGGCCTCGTAAAGTATAAATGTGATGACCTTGGAGATAACAATAAAAAAAAAAAACTCCCTAAATCTTTTAAAACTCCTTTTGGTAAACAAAAAATCACATGCCCACCTTAAATTGCATTTGAAATTCAAAGTGAATTAAATATTGTGACAAGATGGAAAAGCAGATCAATGGAGCAAAGTGTGTTGCTGTGTATTGATATCTCTCCCTTGAACTTCTATAGACCTTCCTTTGAGAACCACGGTGTAGATCAGGGATTGGCAAAATAGGGCATGCCACCTATTTCTTGATGGCTCGGGAGCTAAGAATGGTTTTTATGTGTTTAAATTGTTGGAAAAAAATCCAAAGAAGACATGACGTGTAAAACCTACACGAAATTTTAAATTTGTGTCCATAAATAAAGTTTCATTAAAACACAGCCATGCTTACCCGTACTGTCTGTGGCTGCTTTTGTGCTATAGCAGCAGAAAAATGTATGCGTAGCAAATATCCTTTTGCCTGCAAAGCCTGAAATATTTACTATTTGACTCTTTACAGAAGAAAAAAAATCATCAATACCTGGTGAAAATCAATGCCCTCTTTAAAGATGAGCAAATTAATACCCAAGGAGAAGTAACAGCTCAAGATCTCACAGATAGTATGCATCAGAGACAGCTCTAGAACCTAGTCATCATGATCCTATTTCGGGTCTTTTCTCATTGTGCCACATCACCTGAGGGTCTCAGGGATTGTAGGCAGGGTGGGAGGCAGTTACTAAGCACTGGCTCTGGTTGTAAGAACCAGAGCCACTGTTCAAAGGGCTTCAGGAACATAAATAAATAATGCATTTTATTTCCTAAGGAGAGATAAGTTCAAAAAAAAAAAAAAACACTGTAACTAATTATGAAGGTGTGAGTGGCAAATTCATTTCATCTTGGCACATGCCCTACTGTGTGACGGGATGCTGTAACCTTCTGGTCTGAACTGAGCGCTGCTCACCTTTTGATCAGAGTACCCATCTGCTGTTTGTGCTTACTCTTATTTTGCCACTGCAATTTGAAAGCCCACAGAAACAGGAATGTGGAACATTTTATGTGATCAAGGGCATTAGGGGAAAAATAAAAATAAAAATTTTAAAAAAAAGCAGAAAAAGGGAATCTGAGGATGGGGGAGGGAGTTTAGCTCCGTTTTCTGCTAGAGGCTACGTTTTTATTTTTATTTTTTTTCCACTGGCACGTGTCTCCTTTGTTTGGAATAATGGAGATAATTATACATTCAAGGGCTCATACTCTAAACCCCCTGAACAATTAAGAAATCTTATTGCAGGCAATCATGAGAAAATGTGAGGGAGGATTATCCAGTGAGACAATGGAAATCACACTTCTTCGAGTCCCTCGCTGAGTATAGAGACCTAATCACCATTCTCCTCTCTTTCCCATGGCCTAATTGTTGATTTTCCAAGCCTCTTTCAGGGCAATGCAATGTATTCTCCTAAACCCTGATCATGTGAAGTCAGACATTTGGATGTGTCCCTCTTGGGAAACTGCTGCCTCAGTGATTTTGACACCGACCTGTAGGTGCAGCTCTGGGTGTAGAGGCTCCCATTTACCAGCAATTAGGAGTAGAAAACAAAACAAAACAAAACAAAACAACAACAAAAAAAACCTTTTACTTTCTCAGGCTGCAAGATTCCTTCTGTAGGGAGAAAGTCACTCCATGGATCATTCACTGAATTTATCAAATATTTACTTAGCAGCTACCACACAGCAATCATTATTCCAAAACTGGAAAATACAGCAGTGAACAGAATATAGGCCCTGACTTTAAAGGCGTATGTCTACTCAAGCCAGGAGATAGACAAGAAAATAAGATACTTGAATTTGTGTCTTGTGGGATGTGAAAAAATAAGTACAGATGTTCAGGGGACTGCATAGGCAGAGCTAAGCGACTGAAAGAATAAGTGGAATTAACCAGAAGAAGAGGTTAGAGAAGGACTTGTCAGGCAGAGGGGATGCATATGAAGCCTCAGAGATGAGGAAGAACATGGGTTGTCCAGAAAACTAAGATGAGGCTAATCAAACCTTGGAGAGGGGAGCAGCAGGCAGGTAAGTCAGGAGGGAAAATGACAAAGAATGAGGCTAGAAATGTCTGTTAGCACCAATCAAGGAGCATCTTTTAAGCCATATCCTGAAGATAAGGAATGTAGTCTTAACCTGAGTGCAATGCACAACCTCAAGAGGTTCTTAATCATGACAGTGTGTGATAGGATTGAATTTACTTCTTTCTCGTTACCGTAAAACAATACCCCCCTCTCTAGAAACTATACATTTTGACCCACAATACTATAATTTCCAGGTGTAACAATAATAACAATGATAACAATAGCCAGTAGTATTGTGTTAACATGTTACTGGCACTATGTTAAGCATTATGGCTATATCACCGAATCTTTAATCACTACCCTATTAAGTAGATATTAGCATCTCTGACAGATGTGGAAACTGAGGTACAGAGGTTAAGTAGCACGCCCAAGAATGTACAAGACTTAAAAAGAAGAGCTAAAATTTAAATCCACTCTAGATTGAATCTAGAGGTCAAACTGAGCATGAGCTTAGTGGAAAAATCAAATTCAGCTTCCAACTCTGATTCTCAATGAATGGGTGATCATGGGCTTTCACAGGCTCAAGTTTTCTTCGTATTTAAATGATGCCGATGGGCTACATAATTCCCTTCATCAAGTGTAATATCCATGTATTTTATTTCTCAAAGATGTCAACAGAAATATGGTTCATTTTAGTCATTTAACTCATAATATTTGAAAGGCAAGAGACACAGTTACATAAAATCAACCCTTATAGAAGACGTGATCTCTTTCAGAGACCATTCCAAATCTCGCCTCTTCTCTCCTTACCATCTCAATCTTCTTTTCCAAGGCTTGAGATGGAAATCCAGCAATAGAAGATGATTTCCATAAACATGTGTTGACTGTCAATGGATCAGAAAATACACTATCACTGGAACCTCTCTCCCACATGTTGCTGTCATCAGGTTTTGTCTTCTTTATGGTCCATCTACAGTGACAATAATTCAGGCTCTGTTTTCTCCCCATCAATTACACTTTAAGCTGATCAGGCTGAGACGTTTTATTAGAGAAAAACAAACAAATCTAAAAAGGTAGCTGCTTAAAGCTAACAAAAAGATTCAATGTGGAAAGTGGCTAAATTGTATTTGCTAGATTTGAAGAAGCCAACAGGTACCTTTTTGTGTATTTTACACCACTATCCATAAGAAAGAATGAAAGTCATCATACAAAACAGCTAAACAGGGACAGAGAGCTATCATATTTTACTCCCTTCAGGTTGCCAGGGGAATATCAACATTCAGGTTGGCTTTTGATACTGGAAACATAATTCAGTGGTCTCAGCTCCAGAATTTTTAGACTTCCTGGAACCACAGGTTTAAAGACTTGGCAAGCTTGAGTCATGGCTTCAGTCTGTGTCTCCTTAGAAAAAAAAATATGAAGACCAAGTGATTTACGGTATGTTCTTCTCAAAAAGACTCCCCAACCCCTGACCACTAAATGGACTTTGAAATATGCCCACAGGGTTTCTTTATCCAAGGACAATCTCTGAGTGCTTATTATTCACTTTACTAGTATAGCAGCTCTTTAATCATTGTCTCTACATTTACTTTAATCTAGAAACTGTCAATTTATTAGTCCATAATGTGCCTAAATCTTCTCACCATATTACCAGAGAAAAGCTAGTATAAATTTAGAGGATGAGGCTGGAAGAGTTAAATTGGTGTGGGATGGGAATATGAAGAGACAAAGAAGATAATCATAATTCAGAATTAAAGTTTATTTGTAAAAATAGGCATTTCGTATTTTGCTTTTAGTGTAACATAAGACTGAATTTCAGCCTATAATAACAATTGGTGAGTGAGTAAAAGGGTCACTTATTATAAACCTGAAGTTATCTATTCCCACTTTCCTCTTAATCAATGTGGTAGTTTCTGCTAAGGCAAAGAAATGCTGTAGGTGATTCTCAAATACTAAATTTTAAAATTAGCATTTGGGAACTATTTATCTATGTGGAATTACTAGAAATTGGGAGGAAGAAAAAACCAACACATTTCTTTTGAAGCGGGTCCCAACGCAATCTTCCAGCATGCTGGCTTACAATAATAGGTTCTGCCTTCCCTGTCAATTAACCATTCCTATTTTTATTTTCTTACCAGAAATAGAATTTGAGAATTCAAAGAAACGTAGATGTCACCTATACCTACCTTCTTATGAATGAGAAAGCTGAGGTTCAAAAACGGTATCTTACAAAATCACAAAATATCAGAATTTGAAGGGGCAATGAACATTTAGTCAATTTTATTCTAAATTAAGAGAAACAGAAGTACAAAAAGTACTTAACTATTATCACACCTATTTCCCACCACCTATAACTGAAAAACTGTTCACATTTTGTCATATTTACTTCCAACAGTTTTATATAAGAAGGTAAATTATGCAGATACAATTGAACTTCTTTCAGTCTCTAGTCTCACTCCCTGATCAACCCAGGGACAGCCACTATTACATATTTTCCGAATCCTTGCAGACCATTTTGTATAATTTCATATACACACATAAATATCAATGGATAATAAGTGTTCTCTACTAGTTCCAGTCGTTAGGGACCCTTCAACCGATAGCATTCTGATTTTGTGTGATCATATAATATTCTTCCTAGAAAGATGCAGTACAAAACCAGTGTAAGACAACACAATTGTAAACAATTTCAATCTAACACACTCATTTAATAGATGGATCAGAGAAGTTAAGTGACTTTCCCGAGTGACACAGTGTCACCACCTGGTGATAACTCAGATATCTTGCCCCAAAATCCCTCTGCACATTACTTTTTCACTAGAAAACCCCACCTGATTATCTTGTTCCTCCTATTTTAAGTGCTGTGGATGTTTTTCTACTTCATTTTTAGAGAGGCTTTTTTTTTTTTCCTCCCCCACACCTTCATTCAGAAAAGAAACAATTCTGGGGTTGAGAAATTTCATACCAGAAACAATATACTCTTTAACTTCACACTTTATTCTGAACAGCATGGCCAGCCAGACAGACACCAAGCCTCACACACCATTATGAATCTGTCAGCAATTACAATTCTAAACCCTATTCGGTTTTTACTTGCTTCAATCAACTTGTCACTGCAGTGAGGATTATCTACTTTCTCAACATAAACATCAACAGAAGTGAGTGCAATGGCTTGCGTCCTTGGCGAAGGCCCTGCCAGGGAGAATGTTAAATAGCACATTCTGCAGACAGGAGGGATCTGAGGCCTTAATGGGCCGTAATTAGAGGGAGCAGAGCCTAAACAACCCTTTGTGTGATACTTCAGAATTCTCCTTAGGATTGTAAAACATTTGGGGAGATGCAAGGAGACTGCTTCTGCTTCTCTCTTCTGCATTTCTTGAGCTAGAGAGAAAGAAGAAAATGTGTCTGGTGCGATGTTTCCACCCAGAATCAAAGGGCCTTGGGGTATCATGTTGCTCAACCCCTTCATTTTAAAGGATTAGGAAACTGAGATCCAGAGACAGAGAGGCCATGGCCAAGGTCAATGAGACAGAGCCGTGTCCTCTCAGTCCAGGCTCTTCCTACACTGCCCCCTGCAGGAGGGGAGGAAAGGACTTGAATAAGAAGCCACATTTCCCTCCACATTCTCACACAGATTTCCATGGCACCCAATGGTGCAAAAATCAAGCAGCACACAGAATTTGAGGACAGGGAAAGCCAAGGGCTCCAGGGGCACTCGAAGGAGAGTTTCATCCCACCACAAGTCCCTTGTAAAGATAAGAGAATGTGTAAGTACACAAGTAGAAATTAATTTAATTCTTTCTAACAAGTTATTTTTTAAATAATTGGCTAAGGAAGTAGTGGTAGGTGAGTGAAGACAAAGCTTGGAATCTTCTACTATACGGACAGCTAACATTACATATATTAATTTATGTAATCCTCATATAACTTTACAAGGTTGGCACTATTATTATTGTCTTTATTTTTCAGAAGAAGGAACTGAGGCACGGGGTGTTAGGCAACTTGCTCAAGGTTATAAACATGGTAATGGCAAAACTAAGATTTGAACCTGCATGGTCTGGCTATAGAGGCTCCACTCTTAACCACATAAGTAGGCTGACCCATCATCCTGGGTCCCTGGGACTGTCCCAGTTTTCGTAATGAAAGTCTCATGTCCCAGGAAACCCTTCAGTCCTAGAAATACCAGGACAGTTGATTACCCTCACATAGCCATGCCGACTCTTTTATTTGCCAACAGTTAAACGGAAGCCTCAAGAAGTGATTCAGCTAGTCCAGTCGATGTGCCTTTTTTCATGCCTTTGGAAGACAGTAGCTGTGGGGAAGAACTGAAATATTTATGTGTGCCAAGTACTGTAACTGAGAAGTTTTCATGCTTTACGTCATTTTAATTTTCACATGCACCTTAGATAAGCTATCTAAGAAAAAAGGGAAGCTTGGAGAGGATCGGGTCAGTTGTCTAACATCCCAGAGTTATCAAGTGGCAAGGCCAGGATTTAAAACTCAACAAGCAGAAAGATCTTGAGTTTTCTTGATACGGATATGGCTAAAATGAGGAAGTCTCTGAATTTGAAAATCTTACCTGTTTGGTGTGTTTGCCTCTATTATGGAAATTCATATCTGGAAATGCAGGTGTAACTCTTTGAGAGTGTCCCCTTTCTGAGTAGAGTTTTGTGCTTCCTTCTTTTCACCCAGCTATGGGATACAGCTGCTCACAATTTGGAGCCCACACTCTCAATGACCCCCTCACCTTCATGCTGTGTTCACACTGATCTCTCTGTGTTATTACTCTCCTGCCCTTGTGTACAAGTAAAATTCCTTCCCATTCTTTAAGACTACTTCAAATGCTATCTCCCCTTAAAGACCTCCCTGGACATCCCAGTTTAAATTAACCATTCTCTCTTCTTCCTTCCCTCTACAGTCTTATACCTTTTTAAAACAGGTATTCTAATCTGCCTTATCTTAGAGTTATAGCATGTAGAGAAGGGGAGGGGGCTTGTTTGACCCTCTCAGTATGCTGGGAACCCCACCTGGGCAGAGTATTTGTCATATTTCTTTTCCTGGTACCCCACTGTGCCAGAGATTGCACCTGCACAAGTGTGTATGTGTTGAAGTATTTAGATATGGACTTTGATGCTTGTACATGGATATTTGGATTATAAAAACAAATATATAAGATGTTTGTGTATACCAGGGAATAATTTCTTTGGCACTTCTAGGCCAGGCAGTACTCTAAAATGAAAGCAAAATATAAGGTCAATTAGCTAGATGACTGTATTAGATACCTATTTCTACAAAACTTAAGTACATTCACAAAGCTATTTGATGTTAAGAATAATAATTTTTAAATAACTTAGTAGAAATAAAAATGGGAGAAAATCAGTTTCTATTTTTTTGGCTATGAGCCAGCTCACCGTATAACCTTTTGTCCTCTTTTTGCCCAAACTATAGGATAATGGTGATAAAACTACATGATTTTTAGTAACCTATCCAGCTCAATAATTCAGTAATTCTAATAATCAGAATAATCAGAATAACATGCCAATAATTCAGTAATTCTAATAATCAGAGCAATTCTTCCCTCCATAGGAACATTCTGTTCCCCACTGGTATAGCCATGGCATTCAGAAAATTTTGGATAAATAATAATATCAATAACAAATTAGTAAAGAACAAATTAAGCCACCTGAGGAAGAAAAGAGTATTCTATTTGAATGAAGGAAGCCAGAAATTCTGGAAGGATGTGATGTGTGACATGCAGGCTGGGGGTTTAATGAGTTTGAGGCGTGAAAAACCCAAGCTTCAGGGCTGCATTCCCTGGCAGCCTTGAGCACGGCATGTTTCCATGCCCTCTGCGGCTGAGTTCTATTTTAGAATGTACTCCATGCCTCAATCCTCTAACACAGCTGTGACTGTCTGTTAACTTTTAGGCACAGCCCTCCATTCAAGCAAATGGCTCTTGTTTTTATATTGACAAGCCTGCAGAAAAGGCAACATGAGGAGAACATACCCAGAAACAGACAGAGAATTGATTGGCGGCAGAGAAGTGGCAGTTATTGAGATTGAGGTATAGCAAACTTAGCCCAATTGGCCAGGGAAGAGAAAAGATTACTCCATAAGATCAGAAGCAAATGGCATTGGGAGGTCTTACTGGACAGCCCCATCCACTAAGAAATGGTTCATTCAGTATCCAAGAGCTCTTCAAGACTCCTTTGCTATCAAGGTTCCTTTCTAGCTGGGACATAACTCTTGAGACTTTAATCCATGGAAAAAAATGAGAGCATAGATGAGTGGTTTCACCATGCTCCCACCCTTCTTTCTTCTGGAATCCTATCCATGGCCCAGAGTTCAGAGCTGTCAAGTCCTGCCCTTGAATGCTTTGGTTAAGTGGATGCCCAGCCCAACTGAGGAAGCTGTGTCAGGGTTGGGTTAAGCTCTCCAGCTGCTAGATAGGACAGAAGTGGTCACCATGGAAATAAGCCCCCCATCAATCATTTAGTGACTCACAAGATCACTGGGAAGCAAAGGGGACTAAAGTCCCTGGAAAGACTACACCTTTTTCTTTAAAAAAAAAGCTGTCTGACTGCATTCTTGAAAGACAAGGCAGCTGCTTCCAAAATGGAGTGGAAATGGCTAGGGTTGCCTCTGTCTCCTGAATTTAGGCCTAGAAGATCTGTCCTGAGCCTATGAAGGTGGGGAGGCCCCCATCTGTGCATATTTTGCTATTGCAGCCAGTTCTGTCTGCTATGACAATGTCATAGATAGAAGAGATTTTTTTTCCGAGGGGTGGGGTGTGGGTGTTATCTATTCAAAACTCCCATTTTTTAAAGGAGTAAGTGAGGGTTAGGTTGTGAATAACTTGCCCAAGGTCCACCAGGGTAGTCAGTGGAGGAGCCAAAACTAGATTCAAGGTCCTACACTACAAATTTGTTGCTACTTCCACAATCCTGGAGTCTGAGTGGATTTTATTCTAAAGCTAATGCAAATTAATTAATGATTCATACAATAAAGGATTAATATCCAGAATATATATCCAGAATATACATGGAACTCAAACATCTCAACAGCAAAAAATAAAAAATAAAATAAACGATCAATTAGAAAATGGGCAAGTGATCTGAACAGGTGTTTTTTGAAAGAAGACATACAAATGGCCAACAAATATATTCCAAAATGCTCAACATCACTGATGATCAGAAAAATGCAAGTCAAAAGGACAAAGAGATATCATCTTCATCCCAGTTAGGGTGGCTATTATCAGAAAGAATATATCAAATGCTAGTGAAGATATAAAGGAAAGGGAACACACTGTTGCTGAGAATGTAAACTAGTATAGCCGTTATGGAAACCAGTATGGAGATTTCTGGAAAAAAAACAAAAAACAACAACAACAAAAAACACATAAAATTAGAAGGACCATATGATCCAGCAATACCAATACTGGGCATTTATCCAAAGGAAAGAAAGTCAGTGTAAAGAAAAGACATCTGCATCCCCTATGTTTATTGCAGCATTATTCACAATATCCAAGATATGGAACCAACCCAGGTATCCAAAAACAGACAAATAGATAAAGAAGATGTGGTATATATACACAATAGAATACTATTTGACCATATAGAATGAAATCCTGTCGTCCATGGCAATATGGATGAAACTGGAGGACACTATGTTAAGTGAAATAAGCCAGGAACAGAAAGTTAAACACTGTATGTGCTCACTCATATGTGGGAGCTAAAAAAAAGTTGATCTCATAAAAGTAAAACGTACAACAGAGGATACCACAGACTGAGAAGGGCAGGGGTAAGGAAGGGCTGGGGAGAGATTTGTTAAAGGAAATAGAATTACAGTTAGATAGGAAGAATAAGTTCTAGTGTTCTATAGCACTGAAGGATGACTATAATTAACAATAATGTATTACATAGCTTCAAATATCTAGAAGGAGGATATGAATGTTCCCAACATAAACGATAAATATTTGAGATGATAGATATGCTAATTACCCTGATCTGATCACTTACATTACATACATGACCATAGCACGATGAACCCTGCAGATATGTGTAATTGTTTTGTGTCAATTATAAAAATTGAAAAAGTTTTCAGATTATCGCTATTTGATGGTCCCTTCTAAGACCCTGGGAAAAGCCTTAGCAATGTGTTTCCATGGCCATTTTTCTTTCTGCATTTTTTTTTCAATTTTTAAAAAGTAAATATTTTAACTGCAATCGGTTAAGAATCCTGTTTCTTTCCATTCTGTTTTCCCTTCCATGACTTTTCCTTTCCTGTTGGGCATTAAAATGGCCATCAGCATTTGTGAGATCGGATTTAGAAGCAGCTAAGGTAGGTTTATGTTCAGCTGGGGTTTAGTAGGTTGTACTTCTGTGGTTTACAGTCACTTTCATAAGGAGTTAAGTTATTGCTTACACTATGTAGGACTGGCCTCCAAGAATACTACAACCAGCTAATACCATGATTCAAAGGAAGGGCAGGGCCAAAGTTTTGTTCCTATGGAAAAATGAATGTGCCCTGAGGTAGACAGCACAGGAAGCATGAGGGTAACAAAATAAAATGAGATTAAAAATATACAAACCAGGAGACAGTCTGTGAAAATTTTTCCAAATCTAAAATCTCATATGTGAAAGAAACTTCATAAATGTTTTCCTAAATTTGAAAAGCATGTTTAAAATGTATAAAATCATTATCAGTTATGAAGCTGAATAAAACTTTTCTAAACTATCAATAATTTTATAAAAATACATTTCAATCAACTGAAATAACATGAAATTATCTTTCTATTCCCTTTACAGAAAATGAAAATTTTAAAACTGTATTTTTATATGAAGAGGTGACCCAGCAATATGTAGTCAATAATGAGTATGAATAAAGAATTACAAGAGATGTGTTCATTAATAAAGGTATCAGGTTTTTCAGATGTTTGATTTTTTAAAATATCTGTCAGGTTTGTAATATTTGTAATAGGTTGAGATTCATTTTTCTTTCAAAATATGCATTTTTGTGTCTGATTTTGATTTTGTATTTATAATATTGTATTCTTTTTGCTTTAAAAAAAAAAAAAGAAAAAAAAAGAGTCTACTCTTGGCCAGGCCCATGGCTCATGCCTGTAAATCCCAACCCTTTGGGACACTGATGCAGGAGGATTGCTTGAGCCAAGGAGCTCAAGACCAGCCTGGGCAACATCGCGAGACCTTGCCTCAACAAAAAATAAATAAACATTAGCTGGGCATGGTGGTGTGCACCTGTAGTCCTAGCTGCTCAGGAGGCTGAGGTGGAAGGATCACTTGAACCCAGGAGTTCTGGGCTGTAGTGAGCTATGATTGTGCCACTACACTCCAGACAGGGCAACAGAGCAAGAGTTGAGAGTCTTTTCTTTCAAGGAATTTTAGAATTGCATCTCAAAAAAAAAAAAAAACAAAACACACACACACACACACACACACAAAGCCCCCTTCAAATTCATAAAAGCTTCAGTTGCCATGAAACTGTAATCTGTGCTTTGCCTGGAATACCTCTTTAGTGGTTTTATATTCATCACAGGATTACTGAGAATGACAGGAAGCTTCCTGGGTGGGTTTGGTGAACAGGAACCATCCTTGTTGTATAGTCACTCCAGCACTGTCTTCACTGGAATTTAGCAATTTACAAGAGTGTTTGGAGTCTTTTGCTTTGTACCCAGAAACAGTTCCCTAATGCCAATCCCTTTGGGTCAACTGCATTACGGGTAATAAGAACAAAGCCGTATAATACTTTACTATTACTCATCAGTGTTATGTTTGTATACTGCCTATCTCCCAAGCAACCAAACCACTCAGTCTCATTTAACTTTACCAAAGTCAATTTGTCTTTTGAAAATCTGAGGCACAGATTATTCTACCCCATTTTAGAGATGGAGAGGACTAAATACACAGTGCTAAATTGTTGAAATTCAAACTTTTCAATTACACCTCTATTTACTTACAGAGGTTGCTGCAGGAATTAAATAAGATAATGTATATGAAATATCCCAGCTTAGATGCCAACACCTAAGTGCTTGGTAAATGTTAGTTTAATGTTAGATGATTCTTTACCCATAGGTAAGCATTTGTCGACTTGGGCTCATGAAGCACCCAGATGCCTGGAGACATTTCTAGAGTTCCTTGAAAGAAAATGTGGTCACAGCACACAAGCTTCAAATGTCTTTGCTCTAGCCTGCACTGTGGATTGTAAATCTAAATTAAAAATACCAACCCATAATTTTTTTGCAAACTTCATTTGTTAGGAAATGTTAGTGAGAACAGATTTGTGAGGTGATGTGTCACCAGAACTGATCTCAACTTTCCAACTCCCAAGTAATATGGCCTTAGTCAAGTCATTCTATTTCTCTATGTTTTGATTGGAAGCAGAGAGAAACAGAATGATTTGACTAAGTCATTGGAAAACCAAAGATTTTAATAATGTGTAGCCTTGAAAGAGAATCTCAAAAAAGCATGGTAGATCTTTGAAACTGAAGACATATAGGCCATGAGTTATGTTTTTGCACCAGTAAAATAAGATGGGGAACTAAAGCTACCTGGTAGATAATTGATACTTCATCTGCCTCCTTCCACCAGCCCACCACCAACTCCCTCAGAACCACTAGATATAGACAAGCATGAATCATTTAATATGGTCACAGAACAGAATGTAAAAGCTTACACCCTGAACCATGCAGAAGTAAATGCATATTTGAAAGAAGGCAAAAAAAAATTTTGCTGGAAAAAAATCTTCGGTTATCTCACTAATATTTTTATTTTCATAGAGGAAAGGTGAGATAGAAACTAAAGGTGATAGAGAAAGAAACAGAAGTAAAGCAGATTATTTAAGTAACAAGTGTACTCAATGGTGAAAATAATAAGCGTTTAAGGAAAAAGGGGAAGAGGATGTGGAATATAGTGTACATAAACTAAGTCTGTCACCAAGCATAAGGGACTCACTGCCCTATTTGCTAGAAGCCAATTCTATGACACAGGGTTTTGGAGGAAAAGAAAAGCTTTTTTTTTTGAGATGGAGTCTAGTGCTGTTGCCCAAGCTGGAGTGCTGTGGCATGATCTCGGCTCACTGAAACCTCTGCCTCCCGGGTTCAAGTGGTTCTCCTGCCTCAACCTCCCGAGTAGCTGGCATTACAGGCACCCGCCATCATGCACAGCTAATTTTTGTATTTTTAGTAGAGACGGGGTTTCACTGTGTTGTCTAGGCTGGTCTTGAACTCCTGACCCCGTGATCTGCCTGCCTTGGCCTCCCAAAGTGCTTGGATTACAAGCATGAGCCACTGCGTCCGGCCAAGAAAAGCTTTTTATTGCTAGTCAATGAACAGGGAGAGTGGAGTCCAGCTCAAATCTGTCTCCCTGAGCTGGCTTTAAGGCAGTAATTTTGTTAGAAAAGTTTTAGGGGTGGATTCTGAGATGAGTAGGTGATTGGTGGAAAGAAAGGAGAGGTCTGGAAGTTCCTAGGGCATGTGCAGTTATCTTTTCACACCACTTCATTGATTGCATGTGCAAATTGTTGGGGAATTGGTATGAAACATTGGGTGGAAATTCAAGCTGTAACATCAGCAGGCTTCTGCACAAACTCCAGCCAGCCATATTGGTTCCAGCTGATTTCAGCCAGTTTAGTTATCTTACAAGGGGAGAGAGTTTCAGCACTGAAGAAGTTGTTTTGGCCAGCACAGTGGCTCAGGTCTGTAATCCCAGCACTTCGGGAGGCCGAGGTGGGTGGATCACTTGAGGTCAGGGGTTCGAGACCAGCCTGGCCGACATGGCAAAACCTCGTCTCGACTAAAAATACAAAAATTTGCCTGGCGTGGTGGCGGGTGCCTGTAATCCCAGCTACTTGGGAGGCTGAGGCAAGGAGAATCGCTTCAACTCAGGAGGCGGAGGTTGCAGTGATCCGAGATCGTGCCATTGCACTCCAGCCTGGGCGACAGAGGGAGACTCTGTCTCAAAAAAAATGAAGTTGTTTCATTTCTTGTCTGCCATGCTGCAAACTCAAGAATTTCGGTTAGTCATTGGTATCTTTAACTCTTTGGGGCATGGTTTCAAGTTTTGGTCTTTCAAAAATGGAAATTAACAGATAATATCTGATGTTGATTAATTAATACATAGAAATATGAACTTTCTTTTAGAGTTTTGGATTTATAGCAGCAGAACCAGAAAGAAAGATTCTTAAAATGAATTATCACTAAGTTGGAAGTAGGAAGTGGTGGGTTGGGAAGCTGCTGGTTTTGAACATAAGCTCTTCTATATCATTTTAATTCATTTACCATTTGATAAAACATAAAAGAAAATAAACCACTCATAAGGCATGTGTTATTTCCTATCTTTGGTAGCGTCAAAATAACATCAGATATGCAATATTGCTATTATTAAGGATTTTATTCTCAGTCATCTCTTTTCTTCATTCTACACCTGTGCTTTCCAATAGGATAGCCTCTAGACACACGTAGCTATACAAATTTAATTAATTAATTTCAGTTCCTAATATTCACCTCTCATTTCATGGCTAGTGGCTACTGTGCTGGATAGTATAGAATGAATTATGATTCTATAATGAATTATAGAATTTTCCATTATTGCAGAAAGTTTTTGGATAGTTATACTTCACACTGAGCAAGCTCATCCACTCTTACAGTTTTAACTACCACTCATTCTTGGATGAATCCCTGACCTTTCTATCCAAGCAAGGACCCTATCTCCTGAGCAACATGCTTTCACATGCTCCTGCTAATTGTTTTCACTTGATCTCCCCTACCCTTTCAAACTCAGCTTATCCAAATCTGAACACGTTATATTTCCCATGAAAGTCATTTTGTTTTCTTTTTTACACTCCCCACTTCTATTGTTGATGCATCATCTTAAAAGTCCCTAGAATCAGATGCCTGGTCTCTACTGCTTGCAGCTCACTCTTCTTAAAGCTGTTAGCAGGCCAGGAGAGCCTCGGCTTATTACTGCTTCCTGATCTTCCTACTATTCTGGCCAGAGTATCTATCGGGTCATCATATTCTGCTTACCTTAGGTGTGGCCTATGATTCCGCTAACCGAACTCCGTTCTGAAACTGACAAGCTTATGCCAGGCACTCTGTACATCACTCAACTCGTTGTCTACATGTTTTTTCCCCCATAGTAAAATGTCATTCCACACTTTCTTTTGCTATGCACATTCTGACTGTTGCTAGGTGCTGTTGATGTAACCACAATAAAGTATTTGAGGAATAACAAGGCGTTTGGTGAAAACAAAATACTATTTCTTTCTAAAGTCAGGGAGAAGTCCTAACCTGGGCTGCTGCTCTGTAAAACCAGACCACAAAAAGGCAGTGGTTTCACAGAAGTTTAAGCATATGCTACCTAAATGGGTTGAAACCAAAACATCTATGGCATCCACATCATAAGACCCATTTATTGATTGCCTAATATAAATACAGGGCTGTGCTAGAGAACAAACTGAGATATCTTCAAGGGGCTCACAGTCAATCAGGGGAGAAAGAGTTTAATAATTATCTTTAATATAAGTCAGCTTGTGAATCTAGTGGAATGACAAGCTCAATCTGTTCCAACCTTGTTCTAGCATGTCTTCTGTACTACAGAGGTCAGAAGCTAAATATTAAAACTTTCAGATTCCTTTGTAGCTAGGTTCTAGATAGGAGTAAGTCTAATTTAACCCAGATCTTCTCCCAAGGAGTACATAACCTTTGCCAAGTTTCTTAGCCTCTTCCTACTTCACTTTCCTCATCTCAAAATTGAAGTGGTGATATTAATATTATATTCTTGAGAAAGTTATTTGAAGATTCATTGATGTAATTAATGTAAAGATTTTAGCACGCTGTCTGGGACACATTAAACACTCAATAATTTTTTGCAATTATTATTAAAAGGTAGAAATGAAATGCCCTCCCCAGGTTCTGCTTTAGGATAAATAAGGAGGAAGGGGTCAGAATGTGTCACATCCATTTTCCTGGGGCAAATCTAGCAGACACAATGTGGTTCAGAAGCCAGCAGTTCATTAGATTGTAGCTAAGGTGATGAGATCCTGCTCTTAGAATAGCAGGTTCTGGCTGGGACCTTCTTCCTGATCTTCCTACTATTGTGGCCACAGTATCTATCAGGTCATCATATTCTGCTTACTTTAGGTGTGGCCTATGATTCTGCTAACTGAGCTCTGTTCTGAAACTGATGAGTTTATGCCAGGCACTCTGTACATCACTCAGCTCGTTGTCTACATGTTTGTTCCCCCATAGTAAAATGTCATTCCACACTTTCTTTAGCAGCTGAAAGCGTGCGGTGGCTCACGCCTATAATCCCAGCACCTTGGGAGGCCATGGCAGGAGGATCACCTGAGATCAGGAGTTCAAGACCAGCCTGGTGAAACCCCATCTCTACAAAAAATACAAAACTTAGCCGGGCATGGTGGCATGCACCTATAACCCCAGCTACTAGGGAGGCTGAGACAGGAAAATCGCTTGCACCCGGGAGGTGGAGGTTGCAGTGAGCCAAGATCACACCACTGCACTGCAGCCTGGACAACAGAGCAAGACTCCATCTCAAATAAATAAATAAATAAATAAATAAATAAATAAATAAATAAATAAGAATAGCAGGTTCCTGGTTGCGTAGCTTTCTGCATATGGCAGAGAAAACCAATACCTTGGTAAGTCAAATTTGCTGTGTTGTTCTGGAGTCACTTCTGGAATCCCAGCCCTAGAGCTTGTGTCTCCAGCTTTTCTAATGATATTGTAAGTACTTTATTCCATATTTTAAAAGATTTTGTGTTTAAAATAGTGAAATTGTTTATGTTACCTGAAACTGAATCCAATCTGAAATAGGCAAAATGGAAGAAGAAGCGTCATGTCTCTGCCACTAGCAAGTTATGGTGGCTTTCTTGGGTATGTATGACAGTAACTGAGTCATATTATTATTTCAGAACTCTGTTTCTTCACTTACAAAATGGAAGGCAGTCCTGAAGCAGAACATGGAAATGGTAGCTAATTTATTTGGCCCACTAAAAGAAATTTCTCTCACTGCTGTCTTCCAGGATCACCATGGAGTACAATACTGTAGTTGTTCATTTCCAGGTGATACAGCACAGGTATCTATAAATCTGGTTCCAATTTTTTTCCTCAGTCCACTGGTCACAAGGAGCTTCCCAGAAAGCCATAGATGTGGGTTAGGAGGGAGAAGAATCAGCTTAACAATAACTCACAACACTCACATATATGTTTACTGCAGCACTATTTACAATAGCAAAGACATGGAACCAACCCAAATGCCCATCAGTGATAGACTGGATAAAGAAAATGTGGTACAGATACACCATGGAATACTTTGCAGCCATAAAAAGGAATGAGATCATGTCCTTTGCAGGAACATGGATGAAGCTGGAAGCCATCATCCTCAGCAAACTAACACAGGAACAGAAAACCAAACACCACATGTTCTCACTCATAGTAGGAGTTGAACATTGAGAACACATGGACACAGAGAGGGGAACAACACACACCATGGCCTGTTAGGGGGTGAGGGGTGAAGGGAGGGAACTTACAGGACGGGTCAATAGGTGCAGCAAACCATCATGGCACACGTATACCTATTTAACAAACCTGCACATTCTGCACATGTATCCCATTTGTTTTTTAGAAGAAATAAAGGAAAAAAAAAGAAATAAAAAAAAAGAGTGAGAAGAAAATGTAGTAGGAACAGGCATTATGGTCTTCTGGGACAGTCGCTCATGCAACTTATTTGGGCCTTCAGGACCTGCTTAAGCCTTATCTTGTATATATCATCTCTAATATAATATAATGCCATTGTGCATGCCCAACTTTATGGTTTGATGGGTCAGACAACATCTAGTACATTCTTAGGCTGCATGGCAACTTGATAGCCTATGGCCAAGTGGCCAAGTGTTAAGTTTCTTTCTTTCCTTTTCTTTTTTTCTTTTCTTTTTTTTTTTTTTTTTGATACAGAGTCTTGCTCTGTTGTCCAGATTGGAGTACAGTGGTGCAATCTAGGTTCACCACAACCTCTGCCTCCCAGATTCAAGCAATTATCTTGTCTCAGCCTACCTAATAGCTGGGATTGCAGATGCCCACCACCATGCCCAGCTAATTTCTGTATTTTTAGTAGAGACAGGGTTTGGCCATGTTGGCCAGGCTGGTCTCAAACTCCTGACCTCAGGTGATCCACCTGCCTTGGCCTCCCAAAGAGTCTTAAGTTTCTAATGGAGCCCAGTGACAAGCCAACACCTGTTTCTCAAAAAAATATGTATATATCTGGGAGGATGGCATATCTGTGCTTAAAATTCTGAGGTCTACCCAGTGATTCACCTAGAGGGACTGAACAAAGGATCCATGCCTCGTCTATATCTGCCACAGATACTTTGAGCCCCTTTGGATCTGCTGGGTTATACAGCCCAAGTGGTAAGGCAGATTGCATGGTAGCCTGGACCTGTTTCAGATTCTTTTCCTATTCTGTGCCCCACTCAAAATTGGCAGCCTTTTGGATTATTTTGTCAATATATTCAAGTAGCAGACCCAAATGAGATATATGTTACTTTCACATCTAAAGAACCCCATTAAGTATTGAGGGGTTAACTAAGAAAGTTAGTCATGTAGGGGAGCAATTTACCATTTACCTTAGGATGTGTATATTGACATGCCCCAGACCACTGATCCTTTACAAAAGTTACTGATGTGACTTTTTGGTGACAAAGAAAAGAATTTTGAGGCAATACATTTCCTTGCACATGTTTTATACAAGTGTTAGAACAGTTACTACTTCCTGCTTTCCTGGTTTAATCAACATGATGTCATCAATGAAATGGACCAGCATGATGTCTTATAGAACAGAGAGGTGTTCAAGATCCTTGTTGACTAGAATATGACATAAGGTTAGAAGGTTGATATAGTAACCCTGAGTATATTGCTGGCTCTACAAGCTGAAAGCAAACTGCTTTTCATAATCTTAATAACAGATTAGAAAAGAAAAAGAAAAAGAAATTCAAGATCAATAACTGCATACCAGGTGCCAAGGAATGTATTGTTTGACTCAAGCAACAAAACCACATCTAGATCAATAGCTGTAGTTGGAGTCAGCATCTGATTAAATGTATGATAATTTATCCTCATTTTGCATTGTTTCTAAACTTATAAACAGATTTGACTCCTAAAAAGTAAGTGAACAAGTGTGATTCATGAGAGAGTAAAATAAATTCCAAAATAATTGTAAGGCTTTGCCAACTTATATCTATAGAGGAAGAACATGTATGGGCACTGATTCCAAGGTTATCAGATCAGAAGCATAATGTTGGAACATGAAGAATTTATTGATTAGAGTGGACCAGGCCAGGATTCTTGATCCAATGTATTTGGGACACTAAGAGTGGCTCTAATAGTTTGCTTTGTTAACTCAATTATCAACCTAAAGAAAGTATACATTAATGAACTTGAAATGCCAGAGGAAGGCTTCTAAAGGTTTGGGGAGCTCAGGATGCAAAAGTGGTTTTATTGTGTACAACCTTTTCACTTAGCCTCTATGTCCCCTAGGAAGTTCCAAAGACGCTTTCAACCCCAAGACCAGAAACACATTTCTGAAGGAAATCCTACTATTCTTGAATAGTTCCATGGTGGCCATTCTCTGCGGGCAAGCATGACAGTGGAAACTGCTGCCATTAAATTGAGATCCCTAAGTTCAATCAGGATGGGGGTTTCCTGGAGTGGCAGGTGCTGACTCAAGTCGGACTTCAAATCACTTCTGTTTCCACAGGTTAAATAAGACTTAAGTAGGCTGTCCATCTATTTTTGTTCTAGGGACGCCATGATCAACTAACTAATTCCAAAGAACTCCGTGGATCAAACCATCTGTTTACTGCTTTGGCTCTGCTGTCCATCACGATAATTATGCCCACCTTGTCCTCTAGACTGAAGACAGAAAAAAACTCATTTAAAAACACTGGTGGTTGCCAGATGCTAGAGAAGAGTAAATTTAACAGTGACTTAGGCAAAATTATATGGTAAAGTGTTAAACAAATAATTTAGAAAATAAATTTAAAAGTTAGAAAAGAAAACAGTAATTACTCAGAACTAACACAATTTCAGTAAAAGTAATCTATGCTAAAGTGGTCTCATTTGTGCTTTCAATGAATTTACCCAATCAGGAAAGGAGTTATATATTATATTATAGTATGAAGTTATTCATACATTTCATGTGAACAAACAGTGTGATAGAAGAAACCTGGATTTTATTAATAACAGTATAGTGGCAAATAAAGAACAACTCCATTCTAATTTGCACTGATTAATCTATATATGAACTGCCAAGACAAGTGTTGAATATAATATTTTAAAAGAAGTGTTTACCAAACAGAATAGTCTACAAAGAAGAGACAAGCTCGATAAGGACTCTGGATAATGCATCATATTTAAAAATGATTGTGCTCACTGGAGTTTTGTCTCTAAATACAAAAATAAAACTACTGTCACTACCTTTTAGGAGAGCACCTGCCTTTATAGAAAGTGTGAATATGTGAACTAGGAAATTAATTTATTTGGGATACCTTCAAAGGAATATCTAGCATCAAATCTATACATTTCCAAGGAGAGAGGTTTGGGTGCAATGTCCAGAAAAACCTTCTACTTGTTGCTGTTGCTCAGTAGTGGAATTAACTGCTTTAGAAAGCAAGGAGTTCTGGGCTCTTGGAATGTTCACACAGAAGCTGATTTTCCATCTGCTGTGCATGCTCTGGTTGAGGGCATTCCTGCAACCTCAACCAAAGGAGGCTAAACTACATGACCTTTAAGATCCTTTCTAATCTCAGATTCCGTGAAGAGTGCTCAGACAATATTAAAAAAGGAAAAGGAATTTCTGAGATGCATGGGGTAAGCATTATGGGCAGGACACGACAGACAAGTTGGTGGTTCAGAACACTTGATCTCAACGCATCCACAATATATCATGATCTGTCATATCTACCTTAAAAACGTAGGAGTTAATTAAACTGGGCTTGCAAATTCCATTTGGCT
The DNA here is from genome assembly GCF_000001405.40 of Homo sapiens. Taxonomy (NCBI): domain Eukaryota; kingdom Metazoa; phylum Chordata; class Mammalia; order Primates; family Hominidae; genus Homo; species Homo sapiens. Next base: position 189,325,381 of record NC_000003.12, on the reverse strand, counting down.
TCACTGAAAAGGGGACTGAGATATTTACTAAGAGCTTTTTAAAATCGAATATAAAATAGCACACGAGATACAAGGTCTAGGTTGAGAAGCAGTCTCATGACTTTATTCCTTATATTTCACATTGGCAGCAGGCCTGCAATGAAATATGGCTCATTTTTTTTGGTCTTGGGCTTTGAGGCTAAAGAGAGGGTTTAGCAGAGGATATCATAATTCCTTTTTGTGGATACAGAAGAACCCTAAGCAGTTGCCAAAATCAGGTAGAATAAGACAAGTATTGGTCCACTCTCAGTAACTCCAAGGCCTCAGAGTTTTTCCTTAGCTTCTGGGGAACTGGTATCTACAAGGAAATCAAGAGGCCTAGTCCCCTAACTGCTTTCGGAGCACGTTGTGGGAGGTGCAGACCAAAGGTGAGTTTACACATCAGTGACTAAAGTTTCCTGCCACTAAGCATAAGAAGTCACTCATGAGCAGCGTCCCTAAACCACAGCTACAGGATGTGGGCACAAGCCCTTGTATAATTGTTGGCCAAGAGCCAATGAGCATTCATCCCTGTGCAAATACCTTGGCTTTTTTATGTTGTTGTTAACCTTTGAAAACCACAGGCATTAGTCTCTCTCTTTCTTCCCCTTGGCACAAGTCATCTTCTTTTCTCCAACTTGGTCTCTTGTGTGTAAAGAATTTCTGAGGAGCTTTTAAGCCTAAATTTAATACCTTTGCCCTCCCCCTCTCCTGCCCCACAAAATGCCAGCAGAGGTGAAGCTGCCTTACAAAATATCTGCTGGCTCTGCCAGCTTCCGCAGCTTTGTTTGGGCTTTTTTTATCAGATAGGAAATCGGAGAGCTCTATAAGTGTCCTTAGCCTTTAAGAAAATGATGGCAATTTCTGGAAATTCTTCCCAAACGACTGTGCCCTATTGTTTTCTCATTTCAAAATTATCTCAACAACTACGATACATCAATTCAGATGGCATGTCTTTCCCATGGAATACAGATATTATATTGGAAAGAGCAGTGGGCTAGGGATAGAAATTGGAAAATGTAGTCTAATCTCAGTATTTCCAAAAGTTCACCATCTTCTTTTTGAGAAATGTCTTTCTAGTTTCTAGGCCTTTGCTTCATTTTCTGTGAAATAAAAGCACTGAATTGACATGGTTTTTCTGCCTTCTTATCCCCAGAACTCTACAAACTGGCTTCCTAAGAAGGTTTAAACAAAGGCTGAATAAAAAATGGACCTCAAGGCAAATGATTCAGAAGTGCCAACTTATAAGTGAGCTTCTCTTTTCTGCCTTAGATGACCTTAAGATGACCAAAGGTCAGGCCTCCAAACAGGCCCAATTGACCACCGAGGAGTGAGTCCTGGTGATTGTTTAAAAGTCCTCCTGTTGTGTTAAAACATCTATCTGCTTTGAACTTTCTCACCCTCAGAACTGCCTACGATGTATCAGAAGATAGTGAGGCATTTGTCAGTGGAGCTGTTCAAGCAGTTTCTGAAATAAAGCTTATCAGAGATTTTTCAAGTGGAAATTCCTGAATGAGATAAAGACCGAATAATGAAGACCTCCAACCATGACATTTTGGTTATGAAATGCTTTGTACTCTACTTAATGTATCTTGCGTCTACTCCTATTATCAATCAAACTCATCATGCCATTTGCTAAACTGTAGTGGTAAGTTCAAATGATAGTCTGATAAAAACTCCAAGTGTACACATAGGTCCCCTGGGTTGTGGCTCCCTGTTGAGCTTAAGGACAAAGATCCCAAGTAAGAACACCAAGTGTAAAATGAGAAAACCATAATCAGTAGGTCGATGGTAATGAAGAAACAATTTCTGGAGGAAATGTAGTTCCCTTGGATGTTTTCCCACCTTCTGCTGCAAAAGTCACATCACTCTCTAGGCAAATACTCAAAACTTTCTGTTTAATAAAAGAATTTAACCTCATTTCATTGAATCCTCACAAGATCTTTATGAAATAAGCAAAAGTAATATAATTGTCTCCATTTCGCAGAAGAGGAAATTAAACCTTAGGAAAGGTAAGGAAATTTTTCAGGGTCTCCCATGATTGATCCAACTCTTTCCTAAGAAAAAAATGGGTCTAATTAACTAAGTACTAGCAACAATTATTTGGAAAATGATAGGGTCACCGGCCTTAAAAGATTATGTCAATCATTTCTCCAAACGGTATCATACAGCAATTCCTCTCACAATATCGACTTTATCTAGTCTTTCCTTGAACATACCAAGTGATGGTGGGCTCACTGTTTAAAGAAGCAACCCATTCCATCATTGAAAATTTATAACTATAAGAAGTTCTTTCTTATCTTGAACTGCTATCCAAATTCCTAAATCTTCTCACCCTCTGGTCATAATACCGCTTTCTAGATCCCATTTATCAATTAAGGGGATAGCCTATATATGACAGTTTTTACAAAATGTGAAGGGAATTCATAAAGACCCTCTTGTCGTCTCTGAGTTCACTCTTTATGCAAAACAGCTTTGATTCCATTAAATGCTTATCCCATTGTTACAGACTGGCTCTCAGAACTAAGAAACATCTCCCTCCTGTCATCCTTTCTGAACTGTTTCCATTGATGATGGTGCACTGTGTCCTTTAGAAGGTCATTTGGGAACAGTCTGGCTTAGGTTACAAAGGGGGCAAATGTGCAGAGAGAAGTCGATTGTCAGGCTGATCCTTAAATGGTAACTCAAAAGAATGTGCTGGACATTTCAGAGGCTTCTGCCAATAAATGCCACTATCTTGAGGCAAATGGGGATTTTCGGGCAGCAGTATTATAATAATTTGCCAATTATGCCTGCTTCAGAACCAGTGCCAAAACAATCCAACGACTTTTCATTCCACTACTGTTGACAGGACAGCTATGGATTTCAACATTTCCTTTTACAGTCTGAATAGAAGTTCCCTGCCTTGGGGACTATAACAATATTTGCCATCATGGGGGGAAGAAAAAGTGGGTGCTGTAAAGGCGGAAGAGAGGGAAAGAAAAAAAAATTAATGGAAGTAAACAAAGACAAAATAAAATAAGAGTTATTCAAGGTTTAGGGTTTGAATGTCTGCATTAAATTGATGTTTATAAATATATCAGAGGACAAATCTTTGAAATTGAGGAAGCAAGCTTTTCAAAGAAAAGACTTTAAACTTCACATAAAAGTCAAAAAAAAGTTGGCTGGAATTTCAACTTAAACATCAACAAAGATGTGTCAATTTTGAGTCTTGGGAAAGGCAAAAAGCTTATTGTAGTAATGTCTATGTAGTCAACATTCAAAGCTTTTTTTTCTACATAAATTTAGATAAAATAAGACTCTGAAAGAAAAAAGAAAAGAAACTTGAGAGATGCAAACATATGAGATAATTTCCTGGGTTGTTGAAAATTAGATCTAAGTCGGGAAGAGACAAAGAGGAAATAAGAGGGAAAAGAGCAATGACAATAGAGTGTTAAGACAGTGTTTTTGAAAACATGGTCTTCAAAACCCTCTGCGATCCATGGACATTCCATATGCAGCACCTCTGAGGCCTAGAAAGAAAGATGCCTGTGGCATTCTCATCTTCACTCCAACCGCATTGAACCTACTTTTATCTGCTTCGTATATGCTGCTTCTACAAAAGATTTCTTTAGAAGAAAAAGGTCTGTTATTAAAAAATATATATTTGAACAAAAGATGGTATAAGTAAATGAGCTAGAAACCAAGTGTAGGATAGATTGAAACAGTCAGCCTTGGAGTAGGGATTCCATTTAACAGGCTGTGGTAATAATTGGTTGAGCAGAATTAAAAACCTGATCTAATAATACAGCTATAAGAATGGAAAGGAGGAATACATGAACAATTTTGATAAGAGAATGAGCTTCAAGTTTGACATCTGGGCATCGGAATACAATGCTAAGCCGTATAGAGATGTGATCATATATAGGATGTCATGGCAAGGAATTTAGAGAAATCAAAATTGACAGACTTCAGGGATGGATAACTGGGACCATATAAATACCACAGGATTTTGATAATGCTCAATTAAGAGGCCACTGGGACACTGATATATAGATGATTAGCAGTCAGAAATGCAAAACTGAGTCTTGGAATAAATATTGGGAATGGGAATATAAATTTGGAAGTCATCCTTATCAAGTGGTAGCTAAAATACTAGAGACAGTGAGACCCCAATGAGAGAATAAATCAGGATAAGAGGGCTGAAGACCAAGACCTAAAAAAAAAAAAAAAAAAAAGCCTACATTTAGAGAGCTGAAGCAACAGGACTTAGAGTCTTCTTTCCTGAGTTGATGATCAGGCACTCATTTGATAACAGTATTTGATAGGCTCAGCAGCATTTATTTTCTAGTTTTAAGAAAATTTGATTATTCTTGTATGAGGTCTAAAGTGTGTATCTATCAGTCCAATCAAGCTTTTAAATTTTCGGAAATACTAAATTTCTAAATCATAAAGCGTCATTTAAAAATAATTAATTGTTTCAGTCCAAAAATAGCGTGGGTCAAACTGGAATTTTCAAAGTGACATATCTGTGGATGATATGCTTATGGTACCAAAAAGACTCTCAAAAACCAATACTCCCACGGGCAAGGGAATAGCCAAGTTTGTTGCGGTTTCCAATGAATGACATCAGCCCTGTGTAGGTCTCAATCAAAATGGGTTCAGTTAACACCATCAGTTTCTTTCCTCTTCCAGATCCAGTTGAATTCTTGTGGGCATTCTGGATAGCTGGAACAAGCTTAGACATGAACCCAGACAACTGAAGAAGAAAAAAAGAAGGCACAAAGTTAGTTACTGTAGATTAAGTTGAGAGATACTCATCTCCCCAGCCAGTCTTCACAGAAGTTGACTACTCTCCTGGGGCTGCAGTTATTCTTACTTCTTAAACATAAATGGTTAAATTTATCTCTATTAAGTTAATTCAGTTAATAACTGTGCTTAAGTCCATTAAGACTAACTTTCCTCAGGCCCAATTTTGCTTCTTAATGTCAGAAATAATATGTAATTTTTTCAGTTTGTTTATCATCCACATAAGTCTACCAAGTACCATTTTAGTTTTAGCTGCTTTAATATTTTGTTAGTATACAAATAATTTGCATCGGTATTAGTACTGTAAACTGACTCTCTTTGTCACTAATAGATGAAAGGGCATCTGAAATTACTTAAGAAATATTGATGAAGCGCCTACAACAAGTTCCAGGGACATTTTAAGTTGAACAGACAGGCAAAAAAACCCCGCTGTCATGGAGCTCACATTCTCGTGATTGCAGACAAAAAATATTCATAAAAATTTTGAAGGTGATAAATTCTAGAAGGAAAATAGAATGTGGTAAAGGGATAAAAAGTAATGAAAGTTAGAGTTACTTCACATACTGTATTCAGGGCAAGTCTTTCTGAGGAGGTAAAACTTCAACTGAGACCCATACAATGAAAAAGAGCTAGTTACGTGAAGAAGAAATTCCAAGCAGAAAACACAGCACCTGCAAAAGCTGTAAGGGAGGCATGAATTTAGCTTCTTCAAGGGACACAGAAAACGCCTTTTAGACAGAAGTCTAGTGATCAAAGGAAAGAGGTTGAAGCACTAGGCATGAAGAGTCTTCAGGGCCATATTAAGGGCTTTGGATTGATGTGATTTTAGGAAGGAGTTCAATGTTGTATGCTGTTATTTTACAAATAATAATAATCCTAGCTACTGTGTGGAGTCAAAAATAGAATGCTCTTAGGGCTAAGAATGGAAGCAGGAAGACAAGATGAGTTTGGAGTTCACTTCAGGAGTCCAGGCAAGATACGACGGTGGCTTGGACAGTGTAGCAGTAGAGACCATCGGAACTGGTTAAATTAGGGATTTGGGGGGCAGGGGGTTCAAGCCAAAGAATGTGTTGGTGTGATTGAATTTAGGGATGAAGAAATGAGAAGGAAAAAAATGACACCCAGGTTTTTGGCCTGAGCAACTGGGTAGATAGCGATATTATTATTGAGTTGAGAAAGCCTAGGAGAGGTACAGATTGGAAATGGTAAGATACAGGGATGGAGGATTTTGTTGCAGACACGTGGTTTGAGTTACCTCACCAGAAATCCTCTTAGAGATTTTCAATAGGCAACTGGATATAGAATCTGGGACCATGAAGAAATATACAGATAAAAAGTCCATGTCTATAAATTTTTCATAATAATAATCACAGACCCAGAAGTCAAGAATGATATTCATAAAGTGAAGTTAATAGCCTAAACATGATAGGATATGGGACAGAGAGTAGGAATTAAATTCAGGAAACTCTTGTTGGATAAGATACTAGGCATTGTGGGCAATGTAGAGGGGATCTGGTAGGTAAACTGAGGATCTAAATGTTACAGGGATCTACCCAATACCAAATAACTAGTAAATGATTGAGCAAGGGCTTGGACTCAGGTCTCCTGACTTAACTCCTGAAGTCCTCTCTTTATAACATTGCTGTTATGAGCAGGAATTATAAAATTCTAATTTTTAGAAAATTTAGTTTTAAAATTCTGATATTTAGGGAAGAATTCATGTTCCTCATTTGCAAAAGGGAGAAAATATTACATTCATTAATTTTTAAACCATGTTCTTTAGAACACTAGATCTCTTCACAGATTGGGTGGGTACATATAATTTATCATCCAAATCTAAATTCTCTGGAAAAGAAAGGAAGTGCTATGTGAATAATGTTGGGACAGCAGGTACCTGAGGCTTCGAGGAGAGGATGTCAACAAAAAGCCAAAAGCCAAGCAGGTAACTTATTTTAGTCTCTTCAATCACATCAGAGCTGCTCTATTTTTATGATCAGTTTTATATATTTGAGTTCCAAGTAAGATTTTACTTCTTTTTAAATGAAAATCACTTGCCTAGGAAACTTCAGCTCTGGCAATCAATGATTTAATCCAAAAAGATCTATAGTGCCGACTCTCCAACACATCTCTCAAAACCAAGCTTAAATCCTGTATCTTCCACAATGCCTTCCCACAAACTCAAGGGAAAAGTTGACCTTTTTTTCTCTTATGTGTTTCCTATACCTATACCTCCACTCAAATATTTCATCTGGTTTTCTATGAAGTAGAGTCACAAATGTGGCTGTCTGTACAGCTAAACCAAAGTTTCTTCACCTTGGGACTATTGCTATTTTAGGCCAGACAATCTTTTGCTATGGCAGAGAATGTCTTCTGCATGTTAGGATGTTAAGCAGCCTCCCTATCCTCCTCCCACCAGATACCAGACAGATACCTCCCTGTGTATAGAAGGAAGTCTCCTGTAATAGAGGGCACGCCCGTCCAATACCCAGTACTTGAAATCACTTGAGAAGTCACGCTGCTGGACAGACTGTATATATCATCCTTGCATATTTTTTCCTGGAATTATCCTCATAGAGACCCTGTGACTATAAATTCAAGTGTGTAGAGACAAATAAGAAGAGGCAGTAGCTCCTTTTTCCTTGCACAAGAGAGGTTTCTACCCATCGTAATTTCCATCCTCATCCTATCCCATGCCTCAACCCTCCTCTCTGAACACATGCAGATATATGCACACACATACAAGTGCACTTTAAACTTAGCTAAACTGAATTAGTCTTTATCAGAGAACATTTTATATACCTTTGTAAGTATACATTTGATATGACAACCGATAATATCTCACTGGGACACTGGGACATTGTCATATGTCCCCCATGGGAAAAATCACCCTCTCTTGAGAACCACTGAACTAAAGGAAGTATAGGATCAGGCAGAGGGGTCTTAAGTTGGAACTATGATACTCACATAGCTGTGTGACTTTGGGCAAGTTATCCAACCTCTCTGAAATTTATAGTTCCTTTGCCATAAAATAAGAATATTAATAGTATCAAACTTATCAGGTGGTTGTAAAGATTAAGTGAAATAAAGTGTTTGTATACACGCTGTGAATGGAGGGGTGCACATACATGCACTTGTGTGCTCACATATTATATAAAGGATTAGGAAAGCAGAATGAGATGAGCCTGAAATTTGGAGTTATATTGCAAAGGCCATAAAGGAAGCTTGTTGCCAGGAATCAATAAATAATAACTGCTTAATCATCACTGACATCATCCTCATCATCATTACCAAACCATGATCTCTTAAAAATCAAAGTATAATTCATCTCAACAATTCTATTGCAACAAAGTCTGGATTATCCAAAGTCTGGATTATCAGGATGCCTTTTCATAGATCAGTAAATCTTGTCCAGTTGGATTACTGAATGCTTCCTCTGGCTTCATCATAAACTTCTTTCCTTAAGAATCCTCTGTAGACTCAAAATCAAAGTGCTAGAAAGTAAAAGTTGGCACTATTTCATACTCAATGAATTTGGCATTTCATTGGAGTCAGATGGACTTCATTTCCAGTCATTTCTAGGAGCCCCTTCAAAGCCAGGGGAGGGCATGGTTACAGAGAGACAAGCAGGGTGACAAGCAGTGCATTGAAGGAGAGGCAGACAAAAGGCCAAGTCCCCGAGCTGGCTCTTGAGCATTTCAAGCACCTGAACTAAATCTATGTGACAGGAACGCTGTGTCATCTGATATGAATGCCACCAGCCACATACTTTTCCCTAAAAGCTTTTATGCACCCACCTCTGGCTCTCTCTTTTATTTCAGTCCCAAATACAGAGGGTCAGGTTTTAACAACTCCAGTTACACAGGGGCTGTGTGTTGGTTAGGATAAAGTATAGCAGCAGTGTGCGTGGTGGGGACAGGGGGGACATCGTATTATTCTTGACTTTCCACCAATTATTTACCAGCCGAGTGCCTGGTCCACAGGTTTGCTTTAGGTGCTGTCTGCCAACAGTTCATTGCCTGGAGTCTCAGTTTTCCTTATTACAACCATCACTGGCTTCCTGTTTACACTGGGTAAAGAGACCAGGTTTCATGCCTGTAGGCCCACATTCCTCAGTTGAGCTGGTTTTCTGAGCCTGCAGGCTACAGGTTTCAGCCTCCCTGTGTATGGAAGGAAGTCTCCAAGTCTCCTGTCATAGAGGGCACGCCCATCCAATACCCAGTACTTGAAATCACTTGAGAAGTCACACTGCTGGACAGACTGTATATATCATCTTTGCACATTTTTCCTGGAATTATCCTCATAGAGCCCCTGTGACTATAAATTCAAGTGCATAGAGACAAATAAGAAGAGGCAGTAGCTTCTTTTTTCTTGCACAAGAGAGGTTTCTACCCATAGCAATTTCCATCCTCATCCTATCCCATCCCCCAACCCTCCTCTCTGAACATATGCACATATGTGCACACACACACAAGTGCACTTTAAACTTAGCTAAACTGAATTAGTCTTTATCGGAGAACATTTTGTATACCTTTGTAATTCGCAGCTTTTAAGCATGTTTCCTCTAATTAAAATGTCTTTTCCCACCTTCTTTGGTGCTTAAATCACCCATACCTTGAGTTTCATATCAAATGTCATCAGACTTGTTAACTTTTGGACTTATCTGTTCCCACTTTTGGGCTCCCCCTATTTACAATCTTAGTACTTTAAATTATAATTTGTGAAAGTCTTTGCTGCCTCCTCCCCCTACGCCGTAAGTATCTGTAGGGCAAAATCAGTTTTATTCTTCTTGGTAATCCAGAATATTGCTCATCATGTAATGGTCACTGCCAGGTAAGTACTCAATGAATATTTGTTGAATTGTTGTAAAAGGCAAACAAAGGGCTAAGAGTATAAAGTTAAATTTAATTGCTAAAACATTGGTTCATTTACATGATCCCCTTGAAAAGATGGATAGAAATACAAGAAAAGAGTACAAATGGTTGGTCTGTAGATCATGATGGTTGTAGGGCACACATAATGCGTTCACTGCTATTCATCAGTTCTGGGTTCAGTACTCATCCTTCCCAGCAGTAGTCTCTGCATACTGTAGGAACCCAGCAAAGCGATGGTTAAAAAAGAAAAGGTAAGGCTATAAGTTGCAAATACAAAGTGGATGAAATAATTGAGGATAATTGAGCCAGGTTTTGAGATACAATATTATACCATATCACATCAATTAATACAAATGTACACACAGTCTCTCTCTTTCTCACCCCCCCTTACACACACACACACACACACACACACACACACACACAATTCTTTCAGGCTTATACCCATTTCCTTGAATATTAGGAAACTGGGTATAACATAGAACTATTATTATATGATTTCAGTCACTTAATCCCTCTGAATAACTGTCCTCATTTTTTTTTAAAGAGACAAAATCTTGCTCTGTCATCTAGGTTGGAATGCAATGGTATAATCACAGCTCACTGCAGACTTGCACTGCAGACTCGAACTCCTGGGCTTAAGCAGTCCTCCTGCCTTAGCCTTCCAAGTAGCTGGGATTATAGGTAACTGGAATGGGAATACTGGTACATGCCACCATGTCTCATTAATTTATTTTATTAAGTTTTTTTAAAGACATGGTCTTACTCTGTTGCCTAGGCTGGTCTTGAACTTCTGGCCTCAAGCAATCCTCCCACCTTAGCCTCCTGAGTCACTGGGACTACAGGCATAGGCCACCACCACACATGGCTCAAGTGTTCTCATTTTTAAAACAAAGACACCTATCCTTATCTTACAGGGGTTTTATTAGTTGAATTACATGAAAATAGTATTCAAATTGTAATCAATAGATATAAAGTATAACTATATAATAGTATACTAGATATTTTTATGTCTCATAATATTAAAAGCAGTGCCAAAAAGCTACTATTTTATTTTATACTTTCACATTGTTTTATATGAGTAACACAAACTATGTATGTGAACAGATTGGAAAAGTTTGGTGAAGCAGGGAGATAAGCAAGACTGTCTGGGAAAAGGCCATTTGACCACCATATCTGCCAGATGTGGAAGTGGTATAGAGTTAGTGAGATGGGAATAGTATATTTTGACATAGCATTGTATAAACTTTACAGCAATTTTATCAATAAATGTTAACAGACTTAGACATAGCGTAAACTTTAACTTGAACGTAATTATATCCATTAATGCTCTTTCTTTGGGTACCTTCCTGACCCACCAGCCCCATGACTACTCAGCTTTGGCCCAATGTTGTGTAATCTCAAACCTATATCACCAGTTCAGCTTTCTGTACTGAGCTTCAGACCTAAATTTCTAACTGCCTGACAACCAACCCTACCCCAAGTTCTACAGAAATGCAACATGTTTCGAATTCAACATGTCATAAGCTGAGTCCCCAAACCTACTTTTTCCAGTTTTCTTCAATCAAATTAATGGAATCACCATCTACCCAATCCTGAAACCTTGTCATCTTTGACTTCTTCATCATCTTCAATATCCTGTCAGTTACTTGCTTTCATTAATTCTCTCTCCTGAATAACTCAAAATCTCCTCATCTTCTTTCCCTTCCTACTGCTCCGAACTTAGTTTAGGCTCTTATATCTATTATCTAAGCCATTATAACTACAGTGGGGACTATGTAACATTAAACTCCAGTTAAACCAAATTACTCTTTATCTAAGAACCTTCTGCATACTCTCATGTACCTCTACTCCTTTTTGCTTGATCCAAACTTCAGTTTCAGTTAATTAGAACTCTTAAAAATATTTGCATTTTTATCTGCCTCCCCTGTTAAGCACTGCCTTCCACAAAGGCAAGAACCTTGTCTCATTTCTGTTGGTATCCTCAGCAACAATCATAATACCTGCATTTTGTTGGTGTTAGAAAATCTCTTGAATAAAGAGATTCTAGATACAGTAGAAGAAATGACTCTGGGTAAGAATAAGTTTGAATATTTTCATGTATTTTAAAATAATAATTTGTTCCATTAGATTGTAAATAATTTAAAAGTGTTGACTGCATAACTCAGCTCTATGTTATTCCCTCCCCGTGAGACAATAGTTTTCTTAAACTGAATTAAATTGCTTCAGTTTTTGATTTAGTTATGCATTTTCCCCATATTCTACTTTTTTCCTATTTCATTCATCAGAGAGATGGAAAAACCAGTTTATTAAACCCTTTTAAAATCTCATGTTTTTGCCAAAATATTAACATAAAAAAATTCTAGATCCCCCAAATTATCTTTCTTCTTATTTATTCTTTTACATTGATATAACTGGGTCTTAATCAAAGCCAATCTTGGAAAATGTCCTAAACATAAATAATATTGTGACATAAAAACCAACAACAAAAGAGAAAATAAGACACAAAAACCTGGATCAAAGTACTCATCCTCTCACATTCCAGATGGAGATCATTTGTTTTCCTAGAGAGCTGGGACTTTGGGTGGCCTTTGAATAAGAAATAGCTTGGCAAATGAAAGTGCCAGACTATTGCTAAAGGAAAAAAAAAAAAAGAGAAAAAGCTTTGGAATAATAATTTAAGGAGAAAAGCCTTAAAGGAAATACACTTAACAGATCCGCGAAGTAGTTTGATTGGCTAAAAGTCAACCAACCAACTCACCGTCTATCATGTTCGTGTGTGTGCATGTGCCTCCCACCTGTTATTCTTACTTCCATCCAGTAAGAGCTACATGAACATCAATTTCCTGTTCAGCCTTTGCTACTGGGAAGGCTAGGGCAAAATCCAATGCTCTAGTCTATTAATTCCATTTGTGGGTATTTGGAAAATAATATTCCATACCCTCTTTGATATTTTACTTTTCATCTTTATTTTTGCATTATTTGATTGTATTTATATATAACAGAATAAGATAAAGCACAATCAGATGTTAGAATGTGACAGTGTTATTTCTCTGCAGTTTATAAAACTTGTTCTTTAATTCCTCACGCTGAACTTCTTCCTGCAAAGGGCATTCAGGGAATAACCATCTAATGCACAAGGTATGAGGAATAAGAGAAGACTTGGCCCAGGAAATGATGGATGTACCAACTAAGGCAGTTAGTATTTATTTTGATTTACAATAAAGTACAATTACTACTAATTCAAAAATATATATTATTTTAATGGTCGGAACCAGATGTCCTTTAAAGCAGGAAAATGTCTTTGGGAAAATAGGTTATTAAGCTCTTTATCTTGGATTAACAGATGTTTTCGGGCGCCTGTAGTCCCAGCTACTCCGGAGGCTGAGGCAGGAGAATGATGTGAACCCGGGAGGCGGAGCTTGCAGTGAGCCAAGATTGTGCCACTGCACTCCAGCCTGGGTGACAGAGCGAGACTCCGTCTTAAGAAAGAAAGAAAGAAAGAAAGAAAGAAAGAAAAAAAGAAAGAAAGAAAGAAAGAAAGAAAGAAAGAAAGAAAGAAAGAAAGAAAGAAAGAAAGAAAGAAACAAAGAAAGAAACAAAGAAACAAAGAAAGAAAGAAACATAAAGTGTTCTGCATTGTTAACAATAATTTTTGAAACAGAGTTTGAAGATTATGGAACAATGCATTAATGTGTTATTATTAATAAGAACTTCTAGAAACAGAGAAGTCTGATATTGCATTTGAAGTTCACGGCAAGAGCATGATGCAAACTCCCACTCTGTCCCCCTGAAGCCCTGGGTGAGTCTGTTCTCATATTCTTGCCTTCAAATAGGTGTTAGGTTGTTCTTATTGGTTGTTTTGTTTTGTTGGCTTTCAGTGGTAAAGAGTCAGGCTAGGGGCTGATGCTGAGGCTTGGGTTGAGAAATTTGAAATAGGAGTGTCCCATAAAGAGTGGCAACATGATCCATATACCAAGCTAGTTTAGTGTCAATAACAGCTTGGAGCCTGAGGGACACCGTGACACTATAAATCCCTGAGGACATTTGCATAATTCTTGAGAGGAACATTGACTTTTCATGGGAGAATAATGTGATTCGAGGTCATTTCATCTATGTATTATGGGGGAATGAAGACTCCATCTAGCCTGTAATCAAATATATGTTGCCTCAAATTCTTTTTAAAATCCCCAGGACCTATCAAGTTAAAATATTTTCACACACATACATATATATTTACACTTGCACGAATAGGTATGTTTAATGCAAGAAATGTAATATATGCCATCAACCACAGAAAGTCTTTACATACAGATTGCCAAGTTTTGAATTCATAGCAAATAAAGAATTGTAATATTCTGAAATGAATGACAGAATATAAAAGTAAACATAAAAAGGACGGAGAAGGTAAGAATTTCTAGGTCTATAAGCGCACTCATATGTATATTTGGTTTTATTGAAAATATAAAGTTTGATCTTTCACTACATTTTCAGCTCCAGCTGTTTTCCTTCTTGACTACTTAGAATGCCCCCGTTCTGCTTTAGATGCCTGGGGGAGGTGAGAGAATAATAGAAAACTGTTCCCTTTAGAAATAAGTCTAATATCTGCTTGATGAGATGAAATTTAAAGACAAAGAAATTGTGAATAGCTTTACACTTCATGGAGTATTTATACACACATCATTCTATTTAACCTTATAATGGTCCAGTGAGGTTGGGAGGAAAGGCAGTGCTCATTATCTTCATTTTAGACGTGAGACTACCAAGTCTCAGAAAGACAAGTGACTTAATCGAGCATGACCATAGAACCTCATCGAACTATGCTTTATACTATTCCACACTTCCATGAATAAAATAATTAGAATGTGATTATATGTGGGAAAGTATATACACCATGTAGGCAATGCATGCAATTAGCAAGCGGAAAGCAGCATGTTATATATAAATATAATGTATATTTACATATAAAAACAGTTTGACTCTTTACTAAAATAAATTATAAACCTATTACCGTTTTTGTCTATATAAATTGCTGGTTTTATTTTATTTTATTTTATTTTATTTTATTTTATTTTATTTTGTTTTGTTTAGGAGTACACGTCCCTAGAAGCACATAGCTCCAGCAACAAAGCTAATCTGAGAGTAATACCCAAGATGCCTCCTACCTTGCAAATTTCAAGGAATTTCTCACTGGTGTATTTCATAGGATGCTCAGTGAAAGTAGCATAAGGAACTTCAGTGGACCATGGGTTCCAGCGGGACAGAAGAGACTGCTCCTCCGGACTCCCCCAGTAGATCCTAAGGCCTTCTCCTTGTCTCCTACAAGAAAGGCGTTTTCCATTAGATTAGTCATTTCCATTTCCAAAAAAAAAAAAATAGAATGTAATACATCAGTCAGCCTTCATATTAACTCCCAACTAGTTAAACTGTTCAAAAGATTTTAGGGGGTGAGAAGAAAAAGGTGAATTAGGTTTTAAAAATAGGAAATTCAAGGTGTTTGGAGGAATTCTATATGGGAAACACCTACTTGGAAATGTGAGTCTGACACTCAGAACAGTGGCTAGAGCTGGAAATACGGATATTGATGTCACACCAAGATTCTGATGGTAAGAATTAAAAGAGAAAGAGAGGAGGTATCAAAGAGGTGAACAGTAACAGAACAGTTCAGGTGGGAGACAGTTTCAAGAAGAAAGGAGCTGCCATGACAATAACAGTTTCCACAGAAGCAATAACTGACTGAGAAAAGACATGGGACTTCTTAAATGGTAGAATATACATGATTTTTGAGGGGGACGCTGACAAATTCAAAATGCTCTGCGACTTCAGATTCTGAATCTCATTGTCCTCTATTCTCTGCACACATTCCATTCAGTGAAATTGCAGCAACAAACATGTCAAAGCTTGTAGAAAGACTGTGCCTGCCCCTCCTGTTAAGTTCACAGTCTTAATCCACAAGATGTGGGAGGAAGCCACTCTGGCATAGCCCAGGCCTGGTCATTTGGTAAACCTAAGTGCAGAGCAAGAGAAAGTAAGCTTGAGATAACAGGGAGAGAACTCATGGTAGAGGAGTGTGGCCACATTGAATAACAAAACCGTGTTTCTGAGGCCTCTTTTGCATGTGTCCATCAGAATTTATGATTTGTGGTTTCAGGTATCTCTGAATGCAAAGAGATGCCCGGAGGTTAAGCCAAACTCAGGTGCCCTGCATTCGACAAGCTTGGAAACTAAGTTGCCTGTAATTCTAAACAGCCCTATGGAACTTCACGGATGTCTCATTTTGTCTAAAAATTAAATCCTGGGATTTCTGGAATGAAAAACCAGAGCTTAATTGTGGTGCCTTCACAAAACTGTCACTTCCTGTATTAAGGAAGGATTCCTTCGGGAATGCTGTTATGGTTTCTGAATGTTTATCCATGTGGAGATGGTATAAGCACAATTTCACACAAATGCATATAACACTCCGCTCCCCAACTGGTTAATACCTGAACTTTTCTCACAAAAGGAAAGTAAAAAAAGTCCCTGAAACATTCTGCTGGCCAGTTATCAGATTTTTGATGATTATATTTGAAAACTGACACCCAACTTTTTTTTGTACTTAATCCTTTGCCCAAGAAGAAAAATGAAAAAAAAAAAAAAAAGTATATAGGAAAAAAAAGACAGAGTTAGGAAAAAAAAGACAGAGTAAAGAAAAATATTGAGAAGAATAGAAAAATAGAAGAAAAATATACCTCTAAAGTTTTCTTTCTCCCTCTCCTTCTCAGCTAGTATACTGGCATTTATTATCCCCCAGCTCTTTTTTTTCTGGCCTGACAATAAACTCTAAACTCAATGAATATTCTATGAGTGCTGGTAAATGGAGCATTCTGGATTGAGTCCATTAAAACAACTTGCACAATGGAATTATTTACTGCTTCATATGTCAATTTATGTGCTGGGTGCAATTTTGCTTTTATCCAAAGGGGATGAAAATCTGCCAAGAGAGCTTGCCTAATAAGTACACATTATATTCTTTTACCTTAGGGAAACCTCAAATGAAGTTTGAGCATGAAATTCAAGAGGGACCCTATTTCTAAATAACCAGTCAATGTGACTATAAAAAGGACCTTTCTCAGAGATATAGTATACTTCCAAATATGCAAGTTCAGCCAACCTTCTTTCCTGAGCTCCAGAGGTGAAAACTAGGAAGATTAATCTGAAGCTAAGTTATCACTCCAAGGGTGGGGCTTCTCAGGCCATCCAGCAAAGCTGTTAGTATCACAGTGCTATGAAAGACGATCATCTTCTCTTTTGTCAAACACCATTAGAACAATCGTGGAGACTGCAGATGCCTTTATGACCAGAAATACTTTATTTAATAGTAACGTACTCACATGAAAGAAATCCTGGGAGGCGACAGAGTGGAGTAAAAGTGCAGTGAGCTGGATGTCCGGGAGTCCTGTGATACAGTCTCGGTTTTGACACTTAACATTGCGTGACTATGGGCAAGCTTATTTCTCTTTCTGAATCTGAATCATTTCTCTTTCTGAATCTTCTGAATATGTCTTCCCATATTTAGAAAAAAACAGGACTTCCTCATCTGTTCTTTAGAATCTCTATATCGAGACATTCCATGACCTCAGTCATGCTGTGTGAATAGTGTAGGTGGTCATGATGCCAGTAACGATCATCTGGTTGCAGACATACAACATCCATAAGCAGTCTTGGGGTATGAATTCTCTAGTTCAGAAGCATCTAATTAGCCCCACTGAGCAGAACAAGTCCTCTACTGCAAAGGTCACAGCAAGTACTATCCTATCATTCCAAGAGGCTTTCAGGACCTACCACAACATTTTACAAACATGGAAAAGCACAAATCAGCTATTTCTCAGTGGAAATGCAGATAAGGTTTATAAACTGTAGAATGTCAGAGCTAGAAGGGCTCTTGGAAGCTATAGCCCAGTGCTTCCTTTCTGTGGATGGAAAAAACTGAGACTCAGAAAGTACCAGAATTTTCCCAAAGCATCACTACAAGACAGGGATGAACTGGCAAGAGTCCTGGTTTCCTGAGACCTCATTCAGGGGTCTTTTCACCATTCTGGGCTAAGGCTACAAAATATATTCAAAGCTAAAGCCCTGCTATTGCATAACATAGCCTTATTTCCAATAGACACAAAGTTAAAAGAATTGCTCTGAGGAGGCTGTCATCATTCATGGGTGAAAAAAGCCTGCCTACGGATCCCAGTCAGTTATCAGAAGAAAACCTCTGTCTCAAAACAAACTATGCATTCTTAAATATACTCAATATGAGCAATTTTGAGACTATAGGAAAATAAGGAAGCACTGGATGTGAAGGAGACAATTACAAACAAGTTAAGTTGTCAGGGTGAGAAGATTGGGTCTTTGGCCAGGTGCGGTGACTCACGCCTGTAATCCCAGCACTTTGGAAGGCTGAGGTGGGTGGATCACCTGAGGTCAGGAGTTTGAGACCAGCCTGGTCAACTTGGTGAGACTCCCATCTCTACTAAAAATACAAAAATTAGCCGGGTGTGGTGGTGGGAGCCTGTAATCCCAACTACTTGGGAGGCCAAGGCAGGAGAATCACTTGAACCCAGGAGGCAGTGGTAGCAGTGAGCCAAGATCATGCCACTGCACTTCAGCCTGGGCAACAGAGCGAGACTCTGTCTCAAACAAAAAGAAGAAGAAGACTGGGTCTTTCTCACTGAGCTGCTATGATGGGTTAATTAAAGTCCTAAGTAAAGGTTGCCAACATCAAATTATCAAGCAAATAAATATTTGGAAGTTTTCTTTCTGAAATTATACTCGGTATAAATCATGACTTTCACTAGCTTGTGTCTTTGGGCATTTCACACCACCTTTCTGATCTGTAGGTCACAATAATTTTGTGAAAAACAGGAGGATAACGGATGATAAAAAGTTTTGTTTCTGTAAGGCACTGTCCCACCAGCATATATTGAGTGTCTACTATGAACCATACTACCCACTCTGTACTGTTAGAGATCTTATATTTTTTATTTTATTTAACCCATATAGTAATTTTGAGCTACTTTTGAAGACATAGATGTAGTTACAGGAAATAAGTTAAAGAATATCACCAGACTTAATCAGATCATCAAGTCAAGAACCACTAGTGAAATGTAATTTTAAAAAAGGGGCAGGGAAAGGAAAAACACCAGAATCACTGGACATAAACAAAACCAGAGAAGCAAATCTCTAGCACAGAGGAAGTATTGGGATGTTTTATGCTTGTCTTCACCTATTGATACCTCTTCTTCCACCTGTATCCGGGTCCAAGGATGCTTCTTATGTGTCAGCTTCTGCTTTCCATCAATGTTTTCATATGTAAGATTTCTACTTGAATCTAAATCCATCAGAAAAACTTCCATTCAGATAGCTTAAATAAGCTCTTCAATTCTCTTTTCTTCAGTCTGAATAAGCCTAACTTCTTAATTATATTTTCTGATGGGTTAAAAGTAATCTTTTAAATCACCTCAGAGCTGATCCTCTAAAACATTCCAAAGTTCTCCATTTTCAATTCCACCATTTTCTTAGCACATTCTCTATGCAGGGTATAGAGAAAGGAATAAGACTCAGTGCCTGAACTCTGTAAGCCCATGATCTGACAATCTATGAGCCGATTTTACTATCAATTTGTTCCCAGACCTCAAAAAGCACAAATAGAAACTTGCAAGTCTCATTTCAGAAATAGAGGATCACTTATTTCAATTATTCCCACTTTCTATCCTCAAGGAAAACAGCTGGATCTGGCCTCCATTCCCACAGTAGTGGAAGTAAGAAGGACAATGTACTCTTTACTTCTAGTAAGTTCCAAAGCCTCCCAGAAAGAGGCAGAGGCAGGGGAAGGGTCCCATAAGGACTTGGTGGAAGAAGGTTTGTAATAGTCATGGATGTTTAGGATCCTAAACTATCTGAGTTGGAAGGCCTTTTGGAGAGGTCAGTTTCCAATTCTTTGATTTTATAGATATGTAACTGAGACTAGAGTTTTCAAAGATCACAGTTCTTACTTTAGTCATGTTAATTACATGTTTCACTCAGTGACTCAGATTCAGAGTTCTACTCAAACACCGTTGTTGGCAGGATAGAAGACCAGAGCAATTACTACTTTAAATCATCATAGCAGACCAATAGAAGTTTTGCTTTCTACACACAAAAAAAGCAAAGACATGCTGAAGGGGTGAGTTTTATACAGTAGAAACTGCTCATACTAGTGGCAAAGCACACAGTCATGAAAAACAAATATGGCTTAACAACACAAAAAGCAGCTACAGGTTGGAAGAAGGAAACACATTCTTTGATAACCAACTTTGTAAGAGAATAAATTATTTTTGACAGGAAAGACTCCTCTCCTCCAAGTTGTTTTTAGCTGAGCTAGAAAATATGCCAGTCAGTCCTCAGTCTGAGTTAATATACTCATTCCGTGCATTCTTCTTTCTTCAGAGAGAAGCCACAGGTCCTCTTGCATAGGGCAACATAGCTGGCTTCCTCTCCCTGGACTTCTCACTCTCCTTCTACCCTGGCCTCCAAAGAGTCTCTGTTAAGGCACTAACCTACCTGTTAGCAAAACTGAATGAGGACACCTAGCTCCCTAGAAGGAAAGATGGCAGCTTTCATTATTACCTCCATCAGCTGCCCCTCCTTTCTACTCATCTCAAATCTCAAAGCTCCACCACAGAATTAAAAACATAGCTCGAGGCACCAAACCGAGATTTATGAGGAAGCACAGACATTAACTCTTGCTCTAAACGCAGGGCGTGTGCTTGTAAGTATGGGTGAGCAAACAGAGGGAGGCTGTGAGTGGGAGGAGGCGGGCGGGCGATGGGGAGAGAGCAACTCAGAACAACATGATCTATTTTCTTAATGTCTCCTTTCCCCCTACCTTAGAGCAAGTATTGTTGAAAGGCAGACTTCTAGGCCCATGAAATGTTAGTCTCTTGCTTATTTAATCTGGACAAAAGCAGGGACAGAGTTGGCACCCTGGAGGGTATTCAATGCTCCTTTGCTCATTGAATGACCTCAGAGGAAATATTTTCCATGACAAGAACCCAAAAGACGCTGGCACAGAGTCAGACAATAAGATTTGCAGAATGTGTTTACATTCTCTCCATGTCCCCAGGCTGTTCCAAACCCATCGGCAGGTGCTGCCTTTATCTGCTCTCTTTGCTCACCTGGCTCCCTCCCAGAAGTTTCCAGGGCCTTTAGCTCAGTGAGATTAACCACTTACTGGCAAGGGTAACCAAGAAATTGTATGGGTTATATTACTTGAGGCAGAGGTAAGTAATAAATAAAGCAGATCGGCAATGTTCATCAAAAAAAGATTCAGGGGCATTGTGGTGTCATTGTAAAAACCTTGAGTGAGAATTAGAAGGCCTGGGTTCAAAAGATGGATCTGCCACTATTCAACTGGGTAACTTGAACCTTTTACTTCTCCGGGCTCCGGGGATCCATCTGTAATATCAGGTAGTTAAAACTAGATCATTTGTAAGATCCTTTTCTACCCCCAATAAATTAAGATCTATGCTGAAAGACCAGAATAATTTGTGTTATGCTGGTTAGACAAAAAAAAAAAAAAACAAGAGTTAACCCAAGGGATAACTTAATGAATATGAGAAATTCTCAGAAGGATACTAAGACCTGAACATTCCTCTCCTAAAAGGTGAAAAAAAGTGATCTTAACCTGCAGAAGAAAAGACTTGAGGTTAAATCAAGAGCAGAATTTAGATCAAGTGAGAGTGAATAATTATAAAAAGGGTTACCAAAAATGGTCACGGAATCTCCCAAACTGAAAGTCCTTAAAAGAGATGTTTATCTGCTTGGGAAACTTTAAATGTGCTTGTCCTAGAGGTGGTCATGTTCATGGCTGAAGAGAGGAAGACAAAGTTTCCAAACCAAAGGTCCAACCTAAGATTTCATGACTCACAATGTTGGAATATATGTGTGTTTGTGCAGTAAATATTTATGCTGAAATAAACATGGCTGCTTACAGTGCCAGGTACATAGAAACCACTTAATGAATTTTTGTTTAATGAAGGTGAATGAATGAGTTTACAGACCAAGTTAGGATGCCTGTCAATTTGAATGTCATATTATTCCATTTTTAGAGTGTTACATGTTATGGTAGTAAGCTCCCTGGACTGGTAGTCAAAAAAAAATGTGGTTCAAATCCTTGCATTTATAGTCACTTTCTTTGTGGTTTAGACTGGGCACTTTTCTTGATGTGCCAATTCCCTCCTTATAAAATAAAGAAGGCACTGGATTGGATAGTGTCTAGAGGACACTCTAACTCTACACAAACCTAACGTGTTTGACCCATCAGAGCAGAGGATTACCAACCTTTGGGTTTCACTTAAATAACACAGAGAAGTATTTTTCCTCAGTGAATTAATTTGGATGAAAGTCATTCTCAAACTTACATACTTATTTTCTTATATTAAAAATAGCTATTTTTAATTACTTAATAAAGTTATCCAAAAAAACACCCAGATTTTAAGACCTAGAAGGGAGTTATTATTCATCATTTATGTCCTGTGTCCTTGGCTCCTTAAATTCACCAAATATAGACTGAAATCTAAATGTTACCCAAATTAATACTCAAAACCCTTATAATACTTTCCTATACTGCTTCCCTTTATGAAAGCCAGCTGTTGTATATGAAGAGTCAGACTATTTGCCTAAAGCTCTAAAAGATTCTTGACTGCTAAGTTTATTGGTTCTTATGTCAGCTGTCTCCTCCATCACCATCAGGCTGCCATTTCTTGCTGCTATCAACATTCCTGACTTTAGCTGCTCTTTTTCTAATTTGTTTTTTCGAAACTTCTATTGACAGGGAAACTAGGAACATACTGTTATTGGGGTGATGGGCAAATGATAAAAATACCCTCTTTCTCAGGCCATTTATTCTAAGGAAAATGCAACAAGTTATTAGAAAAAGCTGTGTTTTCTCAGATGCCATTTAAATGGAAAGCTAATCCAATGAAGTTGACAATAAATAACTTTCGAACAAAGGAGAAGAAACTGGATGCTACTTTAAGTTGTGAGCATCTAAATGGCCTATTTGGAGTCCATGTCTGTCAGAAAGAAACAAATGTCATCCTAGGATTAAAAGTGATAACTTTCTTTCCACTGATGAGGATGACATGAAATGTTGTCATTGCTAGAGTCATACTTCGGCAGACACTGGCATTGTCATATTCTGTACACGGAGCCTCACACCCTGATCCATCCTTCAAACCTTTTAGGGTATAACTCCCTCAATAATGAATAATTAATTTAAGTGGGAACATTTTAAGTAAATCCTTCATAGAAATCCTCCATGAAGTCCAGGGAAATTGCTCCGGATACAATTGTGATGAGGATTCAGAAGAAGGAACAATCTCTCATAGTTAAAGGTATCAAAAAAGGCTTCATTCATTCAATACGTCTTTACTGATCTTTGACTTTGTACCAAGTGCATGCAAGGACCTCGAAAGATATAAAACAAGCCTTCCATAAACTCAGAGCAGCCTAATGATTTTATAACTATGGGGCCTTTTAGCTGGGGTTTGATGGATATAAGGCTTTTGATGAGAAAATAGCATTAAGTACTTTGAAGACAGGAAATCATAAGAACAAAGATCCACATAAGAAAAATTGTATGTGTGCTATGTGCCATAATTTGTATATTTGTGGTGACTGTATTTATGTCCAGTTGAGCTACATGTGAGCAAGCAGGGTGAAGTCAGACAGTCCAGAAGAAATCTACAGAAATTGGTAGAGGTTGCAGGGGAGGGTGCTGTGATTAAACAGAAAAGTGCATGGTCCAGAGCAGTCTAATCCTAACATGGAAGCTAGTGAGGAGTCACTGAGGAGTCAGTAGGGTGTGGTTTAATTAACTGAAAAAATTTGTCTCTAATTGCCAGATGCAAAACTAGAGAACGAAGAGGCATAGTGTGTTCAGAGGTGAATGGAACCCGTGGCTAAGCTGGATGCCCTCCTTGGTCTCCAGGCCAAGAGTGGGGCTGGGCCTTGCTATCTGTCAGCCTCCTGCTGGGTGTCATTAAGAAGACTAGAGGCAAACACAAAAGAGGATAAAATCAAAGATTGGGTGGTAATGGTGATAATGGCAGAAGAAGAAAAAAAATGGAGGAAAACATTATATGAAATATAACCTTTATCTTCAACAGATTCAATGATGGTTGCCACTTCACTGAGTAGCAGGTTTACCAATCTTGCTGCACCTTAATTTTCTGTTAAGTGGAATTAGTTGTATTTTTCTCAAAAACATACTATAAAGTGTTAAATGTAATTTAAAATGTGAAGCCTCTAACAGTGCCTACTAGGCATTCAATATTTGCTAGCTGGAAAGTGTCTTACAGAACACAAACTTTTTTTTTTTTTTTTTTTTTTTTTTTTGAGATGGAGTCTCACTCTGTCACCCAGGCTGGAGTGCAGTGGCAGGATCTTGGCTCACTGCAACCTCTCCCTCCCAGGTTCAAGTGATTCTCCTGCCTCAGCCTCTTGAGTAGCTGGGACTACAGGCGTGTGACACCACGTCTGGCTAATTTTTTTTGTATTTTTAGTAGAGACAGGGTTTCACTGTGTTAGCCAGGATAGTCTCGATCTCCCAACCTCATGATCCGCCTGCCTCAGCCTCCCAAAGTGCTGGGATTACAGGCATGAGCCACCGTGCCCAGCACACAAACATTTTATCATCCATTATCTCATTGTTCTTCATAAATTGTTGATACCTGAAAATTAGAAAGGAATTATGAAAATTCTAAAGGCACAGAACTAGTGAGAGCCAGGATTTACAACCAGATATTTCTGACCCAGAGATAGAACTCTGACCTGGATTTCCGGTCAAGAGCCATGAGCTCTACTAGTAAAGTAGGAATATTGAGGATATCTGAGGGCTGGTTAACAAAGGGGACATTTATTGGCATTGCTGGCAGAAGTTGCCTACTCCCAACAGTGCTCAGATTCTAGGTCTGGACCAGGAATATGTCTTCAGTGATGGAAGTGAAAAGCCAGATGCAGGGATCTGGAGCTTATCTGGTCTAGCTCTGGTTCTTCTTCCTACAAACAGCAAAGCAAATCTGGCAAGAGGAAGAGTAAAATCTTAAGAAGGATAACATTAAGCCTGCTTTCTTTCCAGTTCATTACCCTGGCACTAAACCTGAGTGGGAAGCATATAACAGGATTGAAAAAGACACAATAGAACTTTAACACTATTGACACAACTCTTTTTCTTCTTTTGAAAATTCTTACTTTCTGTAATGAGCATGTATTATTTTTACATGGAAATGATAACCTGCATATTTAAGATGTGTCATCTGTCTTAAGAGCGAGGCCTAAATTGTTCCAGGCAATGCGCTAAGACATCTACATACATTATGTCTAGTTCTTACCATGAGCTCACAAGATAGTTTTATAATCTCTATTTTACAGATGAGGAAAGTTAGGTCTAAAGACATTAAGTAGTAGGTGCTAGATCAGGCACTAGATTTTAGGTCTCTTGATTCCATATCCCCTGATAATCCCATGGTATCCTATGGCTATACAGGACAATGAAGAAAAGAAGCATTTATGCCAACCAATTGTTTGCTTTCCCAGTAAGCATACACGAAGATAATCATTATAGAGTTCACTTTTTTATGTGTGGTCTCTCTTCACCTAAATTAATCTGCTCTCTACCTTGCTCCATAGTGTCACTCCAACCAGCTCAGAAAACTAAAGTGGCTTCCAGTTGCCTACCAAATTCAGAAACACTTTCTCAGCCAGATACACAACCTTTTGAGTAGAATTCTAGCATGCATTTCCAATATCCAAAACCACAACCCCTCACAGCTCCAACCAAACCATTCCACTTCCTGAGCCTGTCTTAAAACATTTGTGATAACTTCATCAATATGAAATTATTCTATATACTAATGTTACATCATCAAATGAACTGTGAGCTGATCAAGAATAGGGTCGATGTCTAAATCATGTTCATGGCCCCCATGATATCCATTTTGCAGTTCATGGTCAAATCGGTTGGACATGAGTAGACCCATGATCTTTACTGTAAAAAAAAAAAAAAAAATACACAACTCAAAATAAAACAAAAATGCCCATTCCTCAGAGCAGAGTGATCTGACTCCAGCTGTTTTTATTTTTCATTAGTCTATATTTCTGAGTTGTTCTGTTTAAAAATGAGATTTTAAAGTGTTTCCTGTTTGTTTGAGGGAGATGAGAGAAATCCTTCATCAATTTTGAGGGGTATGTAACAGATATTTCGAGAAATGCCCAGGATAGAAAGAGTTATACGTTTGCATGCATATAGTATACGGCTTGCTTTGAAAGTGTTTTGCCGCAGATGCTGGCATGTCACATCTATATTGAAGGCTTTCCGTGCCAAGAGGTTGCCAGGTAGACAGAGGAAAGAGCTTCTCTTACAAAGCTACCAAGAAAAATGCTACACAATAAAGGAAACATTTTGAGGCAACTCCCTTCATTATGAATTGGTACATTTGGCAAATCACTGGCCTCAGGTTTGTGTAAATTTTTGTCTCTCCTCTTAAAAGGAAGTACTTTTGAGCACCCTAAAAAAACAAGTTTCAGCATGCACAGAATAACTAAGTAAAAAAAAAAAAATTCTCAGAAAAAAAAAAAACCCATTTTTCTAAATCTCCTGTTTCCATTTCCTCTCAAGAGAGGTTGGGAGTAGATGGTCTGGAATACATACACGGGCAGTTAGACCAGTTAACACAAACTTCTAGCCCTGCTGTCATGGCCCTTGAGGAAACCATGGGTCTGCCCGAGAGGGTGGTGGGTACAGAAGGCTCTGCTTTCCCCACTTTTGGAGGAATTTGAAATGGAACAAATTTCAAGAGAAGATACATGATACATTCATTTGTTTTCTCTTTCAGCTCATGACATTTCCTGAAGAAGTTTATGATATTTCATACAGTAAGTTATATGACAAAGCAAACTTCCACACACATACCCTCTAGGTTTTCCACACACACACTCTCTAGGTTATGGCCCTCATGAATCATTCAAACTGTTGAGCAAGGGTTGGGTATTCTGTGGCCCCTTCCCTGCCAAAGTGAGTATATTCTACCAACCACAGGTGAAACTCAGACAACAAAAATCCCATGCCACTGATGAAGTACTTTTATGTAATAAAAGAAGTCTTAGAGGTCAGAGGATGCAGATCTGAGTTCAAATCTCAGCACCAGCATTACTGTGTGACCTTGGAGAAGTCACTTTAACACTCAGTATGTTTCCTCCTCTGAAAAATAGAGACAGGAGACATACTCAGCAGAGCTAGTGCAAGACTGTTACCTAAAGGGTCTATCTCATCACTGGTTTAAAGCATTTCTTTAACAGAACCCTGCAAAGTCAATCACAAGAAAATAATTTTCTGAGTTATTTTACATTCCTGCTAGCTTTTTTGGCTCCCATCACAACCTGTTAAATCAGAAATTCAGGCGGGCAAAGAAGGAAAATGGTGTAAAATACTAAGCTATGTACAAAGTCAAGAAATGCCAATGTTTCCTGAAATAGAGCTGATTCACCTACATTCCACAGTGTATATTTGCTTTGGGGTAAGTGAGTTAAGTTTTACTTGAAGTTTTTGATTTATCTTCGTGTTGCAATAATATTGCTTTGCATACATATGAGTTTGGGGTTTTATGATTTTGTTTTTATTTAAGATTTACTTCTACCACAGAGCTTTGCATTTCCACCCAGGCCCAGAGCGATAGTTCAGACGGAGACCTGGGATCCTCCCTCCATTTCTCCCAGTCCTAGTGTTCTGTCCCTTAGCATAGCAGGCTTTGCATACATGAATGAGAACAACCAGCCCCATGTTCCCAAGTTCCATACATGAGTCCTCTTCCCAAATGGTCAGTTCTTGGTCACCCCTCAGCCCTATGTCTATGTCCATTGGCAGCACGATATGCTCTTTGAAGGACAGCCCCATTGGAAAAACTCGCACAAGCCCTGCAAGCAGAGGTAGGGCCATCAGGTAAAAAGTTTTAGGTTTTCAGACACTCAGAGCGTGGTTTAGAACAATGCTTGAGAAACTCTAATGAGCATCTGAATCACCTGGGGTTTTCTTAAAATCCAGAATCTGATCCAGCTGGTCTGGAGTGGGCCTGAAATTCTGGACTCTGTACATCTAATGAGCTCCCAGGTGATCCTAACCCCACCTAAGAACAAGTAGTCAGAGGGAGTGGGAGGAGCAGTATGGGATCTGGATTGGCAAATATCCTTGGCCCTGAGGGCTCCTCAGGCCGCGGGGATGGGCACAGCTAGAAAGGGATCAAAAGAAGGGTCATCTAAACTATGCACCTAGGGCATGGGTATTGAATGAGAAGTGAAAGGCATGGTCATTTTTACCTGATTGCAAGACAGGAATCTAAGCAGAAGAGGGTTTATCAGTGGCCGGGCATGGTGGCTCATGCCTGTAATCCCAGCACTTTGGGATGATGAGGCAGGCAGATCACTTGAGGTCAGGAGTTCGAGACCAGCTTGGCCAACATAGTGAAACCCTGTCTCTACTAAAAATATAAAAATCAGCCGGGCTTGGTGGCGCGTGCCTGTAGTCCCAGCTACTCGTGAGGCTGAGGTGGCAGAATCACTTGAACCCAAGAGGCAGAGGTTGCAGTGAGCTGAGATGACACCACTGTACTTCTGCCTGGGTTATGGGAGTAAAATCCTGTTTCAGAAAAAAAGAAGAAGAAGAAGAAGAGGGTTTATCAGTGAATTGTGATGAAAGGCACCCAAAGGCTGCAATTCAGACACTGTTTCTATCATTTAGTGGAGTTATAATACTTAAGTCTTCAAAAAATATTTTTATCAAGGAAACAGACTAGTATAAGGTTTGTTTGAAGATTATTCAAATGTTTACAGTGATACAACACTTTTATCATATAATCTCCCTGTCACTCTCCATTTATTTATTTTAAAAAGCAATAGCAACTACAACAGACACCTATTTCTTCAACCACTCCTCTTTTGACAAGGTCAAAGTTGCTTCACCAGCCAATTGCTTCGCCTTCTTCTGAACATGTTCTAGTTTTCCAATGTCCTTATTTCTAGTTTTCCAATGTCCTTATTAAAGTATGTGGCCATAAAAAGGAAACAATACTACAACAGTGATCCAATCACTATGGAATATGCCATGAAACACCCTCCTTCTGTTCATCCGTATACAGATATACAGATCTACACATAATTGTGTATGTCTGTGTATAATTGTATATATATCCTTATATAATTGTAATCGTCTGTATATTTGCAATTTAGCCAACAGCAACATTAGCTGTGTTGGTGATTTACCACATTGCTGACTCACCTGAAATTCACCATCAAATATAATTTCTAATTTCTAAGCTTTTTCATACCTGCTTCTGCTAAACTACATTGTGAAGAGTTGGTTTTTCAAATTAACTTTTGAAGAAATTAGGCATGGAAAATACAGCTCACAGTTAAATTCCATCTTTGGCACCTGATCTTTCACAAAGAAGATTTTGATCAGAAATTGTGAGGCAGAGAACAAACTCTCCTGATGACTTATTTAGGCTAAATGCTCAAGGCAAAAGCAAAATAAATTGAGTTTGTTCTGTCCTGGTAAGACCAGCATTGACTTACCAACTCATCATGAAGTGTACCTCCGTTTTAGAAACAGTTCTTGAATTAAGGGAGATAAAGCCCCAAACGGGTCAACAAACCAAGAAACAAAAACGCAAACTCCTATCCTGGTCAAGGCTTAAGAAACAGTCTAAATGTTTTTTTTTTTTTTTTTTTAAAGCATCATTTTAAAATGAAACTAAGTAAATCATCTTTCCCCACAACATAATTAGGATGTGGCAAAACGTTTCACTATGTGGCTAATTAATTCTATTTGCATTGTAAGCATTATCCAAAATACTGTAAGAGCCAGAAAGACAAAGTTTGAGCACGGTCTTTAATTAATCCTGCATTATGTCTAGTAAAACATCACGCGCCCTTGAGAACTTCCAATCATTTAAATGAAAATGTGCACGTACACACAATCCCCTAAAGATGCTTGGGATATCAATGAAGCTTTCCACTACCATATCCCCACACATTTCTACAGAGAGCAGAGAAGAAATGAGTCTCTGAATATTAAAGCGACTCCTTCATAATAATTTAAGGGTCAAAGAGACCAAGGCCTTTTTTTTTTTTTTTTTTTTTTTTTTTGCAATCTGAGTAGTACCCAATAGAGTTTATGTTAACTAATGAATACTAAACAAAATGAATCTAATTTAAAGCCACAGAGATAATGTAGTTTAAAAGATGTAAATACTGAACTCTAACTTAGCAACAATATTATTCATTCCACAAATGTGTACTGAGCTGAACTGTGTTCACAACACAGCCTTGGCATTGTTGATCAAAGACGAACAAGGAAATGCCTCTGCATTCAGGTTGCTCACAGTCTACTAGGAAAGATACGGGTTCTAAGAAAGACAGGAGAAAACTGAGGGGAGAAGCTTTCATTACAGAGGGCAGATTCCACATCTGATTTGAGGATAAGTCAATTTTGGAAGAAGTGGCGATTTAACCAGGGCATGAAAAAGTATAATGAGAAATGGTCATTCAAAGATTGGAGAAAGATTATTCCACATAGAAGCACATAAAACAAAGGCGTGAATGTGGGAAAGTGTTGGAGTTTTTCTACTTCTCACCGTAGGTGAGGTAAATAATTAGCATTGTCCTAAAGCTTATGTAAATGAGGAGTTAATGGGTGCAGCACACCAACATGGCACATGTATACATATGTAACAAACCTGCGCATTGTGCACATGCACCCTAGAACTTAAAGTGTAATAAAAAAAAAATTAACCAGTTTCTTCCTGCTTGCGCGCTGTGTGTGTGTGTGTGTGTGTGTGTAACTGTAAGGGTTGTGTAATTAAAGGTGACACAGAAAAGGGAACATGGTCTACACATCTTCATATTCATTGTCTTCAAATATTATAGAAATCTTATAGATAATATTTGCTATATTTATGAGGAAATTAATGTTCAAAGAACCTATTTCAAATTGCTGAAGTATTGTCTTTGGTCTATTTGAAACAAGACCTGTGTATTTCCCCCTGCGATACACACCCCACTTACCACCTCTCTAAAGGGGACACAGTGGAGCTGGGGAGCTGGTAGCATTTTTTTACAGGTAAGCCTCCCACAGAAATCTTGTAGACTAATGAGTGTTTCAGTAAAGTTAATTGATCATTCCAGTTCAACCTTTGCTCATTTTCTTTCACTCAACAAGCAAAGTGGGCCCCGAGCACAAATTAATCCATTATATATGATTTATATGGCAATATTATGCCATAAATCTGGTTATTATATAATTTGGAATTGGCTCCAAGAAAGAACTGGCTTTTCCTCCCCCACTTCCCCATAGGATCTTCCATATCACTGCAGAGGTGACATGGTATCTAAGTACTTGATTCCTGATCTCTTCCCTTTTATCATTCTCCAGAAATTTAAACTTCAATTTTCAAAATCACCAGTCAGTTTCCTATGGGCATAACCATCTGGTGAGAAAAGTAAGCTAATGAGACATTCACATGTTTTGTATACCCAACTATGCTTTTTTCTTAGCCCTTCATACAGTATACACAGAAGAAAAGGTACGTGTTGAATGTTCCAGTGTAGCTCAAACTTAGTGTTCATAGGGAAACAGGCCAAAAGGTTGGACAGATAGATTGCAGACAGGTAGTAGAAGATATTGGAAACTAGGCTCAGGAGTTTATCTTGCAAACAATTGCAGACTGAGGCAAGCTTTTAATAAGGGAAGAGATATGAACTGGGCCGTGGCTTTGACTTGTGACGATTAAATGGTCGGAACTTGACAGACAAGATGGATTTTGGAGAGTAAAAGCAAGGGAGAACAGTTAGGAGCCTGTGAGTGGAGGAACTGTGAGGACCTGAAACAGGGAAGTGACAAAGAGAATAAAAAGGAGGAGACAGACTTGTGAGTCAAAGATAATAGAATCTTAATCTTTAGATGGAAATATCTTTGAAAAATTGCACCATGTCCCTTTCTATTTTGTGGTCCTGAGGTTTTCATCCTTGATGAGTGAGAAGACACTGATGCCCTTAACCAGAACAGTCAGTGCAAGTTTGGTGGGAGGGGAAATGAGACTATTCCTGAGCCTGCTGAGCTGCAGGAATCTGTGGGGTAGGAAACCTATCCTTGGCACCTTTTGCTCCCTTTCCCGCCACACCTTTCCCCATCTTCCCTCTGGCAATCCCTTTTCAGGGGTGAGAGAGCCTTTAGTTATCCAGGTCCCAGATCAGGAAACCCTCAGTTTTCAGTGCAGGAGGAAAGAAGAAAGTGGCTAGCCCTGCAGGCACATTGCACCAGCATAGTTCCTGGTGTGTGACAGCGGAAGTGGGAGGGGAGAGCCTCCAGTCCAAACACAGCAGGACTCTAACAATGTTGAAATTGGGAGCCAAGCTAAGGACACTGCCAGAGGAGCCTCCACATCATCTCATTTATAACCTGGGGAACAACAAAACAGACATGGGTGGTACGGAATCTCTCCCCATAATCTGGCATCAAGTTGCCAACTTTAAAGAAAAGAAATGCCTAATGAATGACATAAACCAATTAGACAGCTGTCTAAACTGAGCCCAAGCTCTGAAACGGAGGTTGCCGGTTCCTATTAAGCAGAGTGATCCAAACAAGGGCCAAAACAAGCACATGTGGGACCCCAGAATGCCTGAATTTTGGCCTGTCTCAGAAAGCAGCCCAATACACCCTGCAGAGGCCCCTCTCATCCATCCCCTTACCTCCAAGGACACCTTTCTAAACAATGCTTCCTAGCCTTCCTTGTGGGATAATCTGGCCAGCCATCTCTGCTCGTTGCCAGGTAGTATTTAATAACAAAATCTTGTAAGAGCCAGTCACTAAGGGATGTGTGGGAAAGAACTGAGATTTATGATAACTTGTCACCTTAAAGCTTTTGCTCAGTTGTTTTCTGCAAGTGTGTATGGTTTATTCCATAAAGAAGTTAAAGCCACCCCTGAAATTGTTCTCTAGCCCCAAATTACTATAAGTTTGAAGAGTAGGGAAGAAGAGGTAAGAGTGGTGGTAGCCATATATTAATTGAGCACCTATCACATGCCAGGATCCTTCTGTTATTTCTGTTAATCTCCCCACAGCCCTATTAGCTGTGTGTTATTATTATTATTCCATTTCATAGACAGGGAAACTGAAAACAGAGAGACAAAGCAGTTGTTCAAGGTCACCAAAATAGTATGTGGAAAACACACTCACTAGCTCCAAAGGGTGGTACTGTTGATAACCTAATGTAATTACTATTTTTACATAAAATTTAATGGGAGGGAAAAAAAACAGGTAGAAAGTACAGATAAGCAAAAAAAAAAAAAAAAGCAAAAACTTCAGAAAATTACATTGAGTCCCACCACCCAGAAATAATCACTGTGACTATTCTGTGTAAATTCTGCAACTGCAGAAGTTTTAACTGCCTTTTTTAGAGTCCCTACACTGATGCTGCAAAAAAGTTTTAAAACAGATTACATCTTATTGCTATATTTAGAATCATCAAGAAATAACACAGAAGATGTTTTCAAATTGTTTAAAAAGGGAATTCGAAAAGTAGTTTTCAAATCCTACTATGTGCTTGAATGCTGCTTGGCATCTGGAGAATTAGAAGACATTTGTGTTTTAGTACCTGTCCTCCCGGAGCTCACCTGAAATGTCAGCCATTGATAAGTAGAAGCCTACCCAGAGCTCTGGGATGTCTCTGCAGTAGCAGCCAGAGGAGCCCACTGTAACCATCACCAACTTTCTATGTGACTCTGGCCAAAACACAATGCTCCCAGCTTCAGTTTGTTCATCTCCCAATTGGTGTGTCAGTGTTGCCCTGCTTAATGATCAGGGTTGTTTTCAGGAGCTAATGAGATATATATTTGTCAAAGCTCTTTGCAGTAAACAAAGCACTATGCAAATAAAACATAGTTGGCAAGATCACTAAAACAGGGACTTGGCTTCTCAGATTAAGAATTGTCGTGGGGTTAAAAGCATAACAATACTACTTCTTTAGTCCCCTAAATCAAAAATTAGTGTGAAAACTAAAACCAAAATGCTACCATAATAGTATCATATCCATTCATTGGTGTGACACATAAATAGTAACAGTGATGATAATAATGATGGCTAATACTTATTCTCTTTGGCACCATAGTTTCAAACACCTTGTAAATGTACTGCATGGCTTTCTCATTTAATCCTCAGAATCACCCTATGAAGAGCTATATTATTATCTCCATTTCAGAGATAAAAGAGACTCCATTAAAATATACAAAGTATTTTTACATACAAACAGATCACCTCATTTGGTCCTCATATCCCCATTATTATTTCTGTTTGGTTGGATGGGTGAAACTATGATTCAGAAAGACAATTTCCCTAAGGTCCCATAATTTGTTGAAGCCAGACCTAGGTTTAGAAATGGGTCTACCGGCTGGGTGCGGTGGCTCACCCCTGTAATCTCAGCACTTTGGGAGGCTGAGGCAGGCGGATCACGAGGTCAGGAGATCGAGACCATCCTGGCTAACATGGTGAAACCCCGTCTCTACTAAAAATAAAAAAAATTAGCCAGGTGTGGTGGTGGGCCCCTGTAGTCCCAGCTACTCGGGAGGCTGAGGCAGGAGAATGGCGTGAACCCGGAGGCGGAGCTTGCAGTGAGTGGAGATCGGGCCACTGCACTCCAGCCTGGGTGACAGAGCAAGACTCCGTCTCAACAACAACAACAAAAAGAAATGGGCCACTAAAGATTTTTCAACTAAACTACAGCTGTCTCAGGATTCAGTCACACAATCTTAGAAAACTTTCCCATCCTGTTAACTTTTCAACTAACTCCCCAACATCAGCACTTGTACTCACTATTATGAGAGGGTCTCAGCCTGCATCATTCAAAACACATCTGCAAAGCTTTTTCAAAATGGCCTCTCCTAAACGTCTTCTTCTACACCTGCAATAGTCCACAGTAAAACCTGGCCAAACTTCTCTGCCCTGGAAACATTCAGAGACTTTTTCCTTCATAAAATGTTATTCCTTTCAAAGAAAACCAGTAGCCTCTTAATAAAAGCTGCCACTTAATTGCTGATTTCATCGATGGAAAACGTATCTGTTTGTTCTATTTATTCCTAACAGGGGTTAAGACAAAGCTTTCTATGTTAATGTGCTCAACGAAAGATATCATCAAGTCATCTTCCATATTTCTCTTTACTTTATCACACTCTATCGATTCATCGCTGAAATGTGGGCTTTAAGACATGGATGAATGTAGACATGAGTGTGTGAGTGTTGGGAGGAGGTGTTAAGTGGTTTAGAACAGGTAAAAGGAGGGAACCATGTAAGTTAATTAACTGGCAGAGGAAGGATGGGACATATATGGGAAAAATCAACGTGTCTGATTTGGCAAGGTCATGATTTATATAAGTGAAATCTAGAAATAGATAGAATAGAAAAGTAGATTAGGACCATAATGCAAAGTTCTTATAAGTCAGGCTATGAAGCTGCACATTACTGCTTCTCATATTTTGCCAGTAGAACACCCCCACTGCCATAGAGCCATGACCACTTGCCATAAACACAAAATTTATTTGCAATTGTTTTATCATTAAAACCATATAATTATGTTTCCTATTGCATTTCATTTACATTGGTTGATTTTAACATAAAAGCAATATCTGAAAATGTACACCATTTAATTGATTAAATTTAGGCTTCAGGTAGATATGGCATGTTTATCCTGTGGCTTCTTGTAGTAGCTATAACAACTCTGTTACCTGAGATTTTCTGTAATCCCATTTATAAAGCATAAGTAGATAATAGAGCATCGTGGGCAAAAATCTGAGCAAAGATATAGGTTGATCAGCATGGTATTTTAATAAGGTAATCTGATAGATTTAAGTTGAATAGATTGAAAGACTGGTAAGACTGAAAGGGTGATACAATAATCTCATAGTACTTAATATTTACCTAGTGCTGCTGTATTAGGCACGTTAAAGAAGTAGTCTCAATTAATTCTCACAATTTTCTGAGTAAAAACTATCATCATCCCCATTTTACAGGTGAAGAAACCAAAAGAAAGATAATTTAAATGACATTTCAAAGACTACGTAGTCAACAAGTGATTCAACCTGAACTTAAGCAGGGGCAGCAGGTCTCCAGAATCTCAGCTCTTAACCACTACATAGAATCACAGTCAGGAAAACATCAAAATCATTGAAGCAAGAGAAAAAAAAAAAAACACCCAAAGTAAGATCATGACAGTAGGAACAGAAAGAGTTAGGTTTGAGAAATGTGGCAAAGATTGACTTGATTGAATTTGACAACCTGATTGGATTTGGGGTCGGGGGGAGAAAGAAGTGAAAAATGACTGATTTTTTAAGCCTGCATAATTGGGAAGATAATGAGGCCATCCTCATAAATAAAGACCTACAGAAGAGAAGCAGGTTTTTAAGGAAGCAAGATATAGGGGAAAGATGATGAGTCTGAGATGCCTGTGGGGTATACAGGTGGAGACAGCCACGGGGAAGAAGTGCAGGTGCAGTGTGTTTCCCATCACTCAGCAATCAGACAAGCTAAAGGTCCAATCAGCTTTTTTCAGCCCAGGTTTTTACTCTCTTAGACTTACCCTCTAATACACAGTACATCGGTGAGTGACACATGATTATAAAATTTTCCATAAATGCTTTTGGGGAGGAAAGGCTCACGTACAGATACAGGCACCCATAAACTCGGTTACCTCATAACAAGCTGGAATCTTGCAAGACCATCTTATGCTGATTATTTTCAAAACTCACATTATTAGGCACAAATCAGTGGTTTGCGATAGATGCAGTAACAGCTGAGTAATTTCTTTCTTCCTTGCAGCAAGCTGCCCTTACAAAGGTTAATTTGCTTATGCATCATAATGAAGTCTATTTAAAGTTTTGAAACTGCGACTTAGCTCAGAATGATACTGTTTGCCCAGAGTTAGGCTTAGAGGTGAGAAGCCTTTGACCCCACTGAGGTGGGAAGAGGAAAGAAAAGCAAAAGGGGACATTGGAAAGCGGAATCAAAGGTTAGCTGGAGTTAAGAAGAGATAGAATGCAAAGGCCCCAAGGTCATTTACAAAGCTGAATATGCTTCAGTTACTGGTTTATGATCAGGATATTGATCAGGTTTGCACCTTTAAAAAACAAGCATATCATCCCAAAATTAGATGGTGAATAGTATTAATATATAGCTTTTCTTAGTCATCCTATGTGCTATAATATTCATTCCTCTTCTCCTGCAATGTACATTGGCCTTTGAAGTTTTGTTTTTACTTCTCACAACAATCTCACTACACGTTGCAGAAAAAAATCCTAAAGTTTATATAGACTTTGTTATATTAGTTTATCACAAATAGCAGCATCTTTTTTTTACATACAATGTTATTCATTTTTTAAAAAGTGAAGCAACTACATTATTGATCTGAATCTAAACATTTTGAAAACTAGTTTTATTATTTAGCTAAATTTTGGTTGTGTATACACACACAACCACACACACACAACCATATACACACATAATTTTCTCTCCTCTCTCTTTTTCCTCTGTCTCTCTCTTTTCTCTCTCACTGTCTCAGACATAAACTTTGTGTTAAAAATTTAAATTTTTTAAATTTAAATTTTATTAACTTAAATTTTTTTAATTTAAAAATTAAAATTCTCACAATTTTAAAGTTGGGTGATAAAGTCATTTCATCATTATGAACTCAATTCTCAATCTTTTCGCAAATTCCCACCTAAAACGTTCTTTCATTAAAAATCACACCTTAAAATTGGGGGAAAATAGGCAAAAAATAAACACATTTGAGTTTTGCTGAAAGAATGGCCTTTTTATTGAAAATGCTGGTATTTAAGCATCATTAGAAAAATCCAGTGATTCCTCTAGGCAATATTAACTCGGCATCTTTAAAGAAACAAGTAGGCTGGGCATGGTGGCTCACGCCTGTAATCCCAGCACTTTGGGAGGCTGAGGCGGGCAGATCACGAGGTCAGGAGATCGAGACCATCCTGGCTAACAGGGTGAAACCCCGTCTCTACTAAAAATACAAAAAATTAGCCAGGTGTGGTGGTGGGCGCCTGTAGTCCCAGCTACTCGGGAGGCTGAGGCAGGAGAATGGCATGAACCTGGGAGGCGGAGCTTGCAGTGAGCCGAGATCGTGCCACTGCACTCCAGCCTGGGCAACAGAGCAAGACTCTGTCTCAAAAAAAAAAAAAAAGAAAGAAAGAAAGAAACAGGTACTGTGTGTGCAACCTTTTTTTCTTTTGCCATCCACATATAGAAATCTATAAAGCCAAAATACTTGATTCCTCTGCCTAGAGATGACCGTGCAACATTGTCTGGACAATGAGACAAGTAGAATTCCCCAAGGAAGATCTTTTCTTCAATTGTAAAAGGCAAAGCGTCACTGGGAGAAAGCTCTTTGCCTCCTCTCTTTTCCCTTTCTTCCTGTCTGAAATGCAGAGTGAGGCTACACGGTGCAGTGCTATCTTGCAACCATGCGGTGACAAGCATGATGAATGTCAGGGTCTTCAGGCAAAAGACAGCAAAATGGAAAGACAAAAGGAGGGTGAGGCCCTGCTGCCCTCCGTGAGCCATCAATCCTGAAATTCATCATCAACAACTGTATAAGCCTCTGTTAATCTCAACAGCTGTATATTATCCTTACAATTAAATCACCCAAGCTGACCCAAGTGAAAAAGAGGAGTTCGTTAGAAGGATACAGGAGTGCCTCCCATCACCTGACAGAGAACTGGAGCCTGGCCTCATAACAGATAAAGAAAAGAAAGTAGGAAGCTACCAAGGAAGCCTGCTGTCATTTCATCTCTCTCTGTCTCTGGTCATATGGTTTCCTATGTCTGAACTTTCCTGTGTGCAACTAACTGTACCTTATTCTCTCTTTGACAAGAGATCAGAGACATTCCTCTGTTTCCATATGCATGTGGCTGGCCTACAAATCTGAGGTTATGTGTTTTCCCATCCTTCTCCCAGTCCCAATTCTCAAATCCTGACTAGTATCTCTCAGTCCCAATTCCAAATACATAGGCAGGAGAATCTGATTGATCCTGCTTGAGAGAGATATCTGCCCCTATGTCCTGGAAGTAGGAGGTAATATGAAATAAACATGCATTCACTTAATTGCCTTCAACAACTATTTGTTGAGCTCCTACTCTGGATTGGCATTGTTGTAGACACAGAGGATGCATCAGTGAACAAAACCAAATCTCAGTTCTCATACAGCTTACCTTCTGGCATGGAGACAGGAAGGAAGTGAACAAATATATACTATGTGGCAGAAGGATATGATATAAAAAAAATAAAACAGAGTAAAGCAACAAGACTAATGCAGTGGGAAAGTTCCTGTTTTTCATAGGGTGGTCAGTGTTCTGGGAAGGTGACATTTGATCTGAGATCTAAAAAAAAAGAGGGAGTGATTATGTGGTATCTGGGGAATAGCATTCTAAGCAGAGAGGACAGCAAATTTAAGGCTGAAACCAGAAGCATTTTTTTGGCATTTTAAAAGAAGTACCAAGGAAGCCAGCATGTTTCTAGCAGAGTGAGCTTGAAGGTAAATTGTACAAATTAAGTCAAGAGAAGGGTCAGAACAAGACTTCTGAAGCTCCATCTTTGAGAGCAGGGACCTCACTCAGGCAAGACTAACATGCAGGAGACAACATCCCTCAAAAGTGTCTACTACAAACTGATATAAGTGAAATATTGTACTCAGAAAAAAAAATAAACTAGCATGTGTGGAAAGTGAGAGAAGTCTCTATGGAGATAGTACAAGGCAGAATCGTCTAAGGGGAAAATCACAGGCTTTGGAGTCAGGAGACTTGAGTTTGAATACAACTGGACAATTCGAGTTGTAGGACCTCGAGCAAGTGAATCAGCCTTTTTGATTCTCAGATAAAACAGAGTTACTACCCACCTTAAAGAATTACTCTGAGAAAGAAATTATGTACAATGTCTGTAATATTGATGTGAAAAAGGCTCTATGAAGAAAGTGCTCTGTGATCAAAAATGTTAGGAAACGCTTTGCTCTTTCAGACATTCACAATGGACATTAGTCTAATAATCTGGAAAGGTATCAGTAAGAAATCTACTTAGCTTTATGCAATCTGGTATTCCTTCATTTACTTGGAGCACTGAACACTTTGTTTTATGTGTGTGATTCTATGGAACAAGTCAGAAAAGATGTCCTCAAAGGGCCCTTCCATCTCTAAAACACACAGAACAGGTGCAGTGTCACTGAGGGGAGCTCCATAGCAGCCTACGCCCGCCTTTCCTCGCCTAGGCCTGGCAGGAAACATTCACAAGTGAAGGCCATCAAGCACTTTCCCAAACTTCTTATAACACCTTTCTTTTCCAACAGTGTGTTAACTAGTATTGTAGAAGAATAATGAAGTTCATTTTTAAGAAAAAGTGAGCATTTTTTCTGTGTCTTTTGGCTGCATAAATGTCTTCTTTTGAGAAGTGGCTGTTCATATCCTTCGCCCACTTGTTGATGGGGTTGTTTGATTTTTTTCTTGTAAATTTGTTTGAGTTCATTGTAGATTCTGGATATTAGCCCTTTGTCAGATGAGTAGATTGCAAAAATTTTCTCCCATTCTGTAGGTTGCCTGTTCACTCAGATGGTAGTTTCTTTTGCTGTGCAGAAGCTCTTTAGTTTAATTAGATCCCATTTGTCAATTTTGGCTTTTGTTGCCATTGCTTTTGGTGTTTTAGACATGAAGTCCTTGTCCATGCCTATGTCCTGAATGGTATTGTCTAGGTTTTCTTCTAGGGTTTTTATGGTTTTAGGTCTAACATTTAAGTCTTGAATCCATCTTGAATTAATTTTTGTATAAGGTGTAAGGAAGGGATCCAGTTTCAGCTTTCTACATATGGCTAGGCAGTTTTCCCAACACCATTTATTAAATAGGAAACATGCTGCTATAAAGACACATGCACACATATGTTTATTGCGGTACTATTCACAATAGCAAAGACTTGGAACCAACCCAAATGTCCAACAATGATACACTGGATTAAGAAAATGTGGCACATATACACCATGGAATACTATACAGCCATAAAAAATGATGAGTTCACGTCCTTTGTAGGGACACAGATGAAGCTGGAAACCATCATTCTCAGCAAACTATGGCAAGGACAAAAAACCAAACACCACATGTTCTCACTCATAGGTGGGAATTGAACAATGAGAACACATGGACACAGGAAGGGGAACATCACGTACCAGGGCCTGTTGTGGGGTGGGGGGAGGGGGGGGGAGGGATAGCATTAGGAGATATACCTAATGTTAAATGACAGGTTAATGGGTGCAGGACACCGACATGGCACATGTATACATAGGTAACTAACCTGCACGTTGTGCACATGTACCCCAAAACTTAAAGTATAATAAAAAAAAAAAAAGTAAAAGTGAGGAATTCAAAAGGGAAAAGAAAAATGCGGGGAGGGATGCAAGCAGAAAATGTCCTTCCCAACTTTAATGGAGAAACATTTATCCAAACCTGGGAAACGTGGGTGAGACTACAGAGGATACATGTCCTTGTAATATTGGTGCATCGGTGCATTCATTTTTGTTAAATATCATTGCCCTGTCCCTGATTTTCATACAATCTGGTAATAGGCCAAGGGAAAAGTCTCCAGTCATCTTATCTGTTCAATAACATAAAAATGGCAAAGTAAATTTAAAGTACTAACGCCTGTATCCACATCTTGGATTTATTTAACACAAGACTCAGGTTTGGACTCTAGAGCTCTGCTAGTTACTAGCTCTGTGATCTAGACAAGTAACTAACTTAGTCTCCTCGTGCCTCACGTTTTTCTGATTTTAAAGGAAGAAAATAATTGTTTACCTTCCGGATTATCGTAAAGATTAAATAAAATGATATGGTGATAATCCCTTGCCTCATGTAGATTTAACAAATGTTTATGAAATCAACAACTGACCAGTCACTGCTGATCGTTCCCCAACAGAAAACCTTCTCTCTGGGCTTTCATGAGCCACCCAATATTATTTTTAAGAGAACCTCTATAAATGTTAATTTCATAGCAAATAAACCCTAAATGTATTCAGTTACTCTCTTTTAAAACACATTTATTAAAATTAAAGCACTCTGATATCACAGAATCAAAAATTTCCAACAAATCATATTAGAGAAAATCTTGTTTGTTTCTTAATTTCTATTACTGATATAAAAGAGATGACACATTGCCTTTTTGAAAGAAACACTGGAATAAAACATGAGAGTCACATAGGAGGCATTTCCAGTCCTCAACTCTGGTAGAAGCTGAATGTCATTTCAATGGACATGAAAACCATTACCAGTCTATCAAATCTGAGATGTACCACTGCTTTAAAAAACTGGCACAAATATGAAGCACGAATAATTGAGGTTTTATGTAAGCATGAAAATGAGTGGTCAAGGAACTCCAAAACCTTTAATAATTAATACATAAACTCTCTGGTAATTTAAATTATGGGCTACGTAACTCAGACCCAATACATTATTTCACCTTGAGAGTGGGTTGATTTAAAGTTTCCTTTTTAGATATGAATGGTTTACTCGGTAATGATAATAAAAAAAGAACCACAAAATTCCACATATACAGCATCACTTCATCTAAACCAGCCCCAGCATGCAAGGTTGCAGAGCACTTAAACCCACACACTAAGAGTTTAACTTGAGCTTGGCTGGGGACTTGGATGAGACTTTCACTATTCAGACACAGAAAATATTAACTATCATCAAATCTGTCATTATCTTCCCATCCCCCCTTCCACATCCTCATCTCACGTATCTGATCCTTTCTCCCTCCAGCCAGCAGAGTGAAAAGCAGTGATTTGCTTAGTGGATTGTGGTTTTATGCGAAAAGAAAAGGGGCCAGCTGTGTATCCTTGTTCAGAGTAATCAAAACAGAGAGATGGGAAAGGTATTTCTTGAAATGCCCAAGGCATTGTGTAGAAAACACAGAAAATATCATTTTATTAAAGCAGTTATGAAAGAAAGGCAGAGAGAGGAATAGAGGAAAGGGAGAGAAGAAGACAGAGAGAGAAGAGAGAACGAGAGAAAAGGGGGAGAGAGGAAGAAAGAATTAACAAAAAGGAGAGAGATGGAAGAGGAAATGGGACAAAAAATGAGGCACAAAATACACGTTTAATACCCTCTCCCCCACTCTCTCTGTCTTTTGAACTGCATGTTCAGGCAAATACAGGTGTTAGAAGAGTATGTAGAAGTAGCAACCAGAGCTGGCCTGGCTTGCTGAAAGAACAAACGCCTACAAGATATGACTTATGGAGCACCTGGCTGACCCACTGCCCAAAATAACACCATGTTATCCACTGATGCCTAAGATTCCACTACCTATGCTGCTGCCTTTTTTTTTTTTTTTTTGGAAAGGACTATTATGCCTACTGACATTGCCCTGGGTTAAGAAACTTTTTCGGTCTATTTGCAAATATTTAAAAACCTCAGCCAAGGCGGGCGGATTGCCTGAGCTCATGAGTTCAAGACCACCTTGGGCAACATGGTGAAACCTTGTCTCTACTAAAATACAAAAAATTAGACAAGCGTGGTGGTGGGTGCCTATAGTCCCAGCTACTCAGGAAGCTGAGGCATGAGAATTGCTTGAGCCTGGGAGGCAGAGGTTGCAGTGAGCTGAGATCATGCCACTGCACTCTAGCCTGGGCGACAGAGAGAGACTCTGTCTCCAAAAAAATAAAAAATAAAAATAAAATCCTCTTGTGGGTGTCTTTCAAGGTCTTTTCTGGGAGCTGGTTTAGACCTTGGAGTAAAAGAAGAAATGATGAAGTCAGTAGGTGCCTTGAGATGGAAAACATGTCAAACCAGAAAGGTAAAGTCATTGAGGACAAATTTACTAACTCAACTAGTGCTCAATCTTTGTGAAAACAAGCTTACCATAGCTTTAGCTTGGATTTATACATTAAGAAAGATGAAAAAAATACTTCTTATATTATGATTTTATATTTATAAAATTACATGTCATATAATTAGGATAAAAAATGTCTCCATATCTCTTATACACACTCACGTGCACACACACACATATGCATCCACGATAACATAGTTCAATGGGTGATTGGCTCAGGATATAAATGACATTTTTAAACAAAAAATATTTTCATCTTTCTGTTTTGCTGTCCTCTACATTTCACTGTAGTTCCTCTCAGGGTAGTAACATGGCTAAAGGTGTACGAAGTTTCACATACAGACCCAACAATGTAGGACTTCTTCCCATTTTTTTAATCAATAAAGAACATGTTTTCCTTAAGTTTACTAGGAGATTTTCACATTTGTGGGAAGTGATATTGCTCAGTGGTTAGGAGCACATAGTCTGGGATCAGACTCCTAGGTGTGGACCTTGCTTTACCATTTATTAGCTGTGTTTCCTTGAAGCAGTTCCTTAACCTCTCTATTCGTTAGCTTCCTCATTTGTGAAATGAATAATAGTATCTACCTTATAGTGTGTTAAATGAGTTAATGTATGTAAAGACATTTTAACAGCATTTGGTTGATGGCAAGTCCTATAACATGTCAGTTATTGGGCCTGAATTGGGTCATACAGTCATGGCTAAGACACTAACTGACATGTAGGAGAGCTTGCCATCATTCTTCTCCTGGGGCTGCAGACCACCTTTCCTGAATCTCATGGGTCTCCCGAAGGAGAATAGATACGTAGTTAAAAGTGGTTCTGCTTAGGATGGGGGAAGGGCATAAGTGATTGTTGGGTAGGCAATCAAAACTGTCTGCTACATGTA
Organism: Homo sapiens; assembly: GCF_000001405.40. Taxonomy (NCBI): domain Eukaryota; kingdom Metazoa; phylum Chordata; class Mammalia; order Primates; family Hominidae; genus Homo; species Homo sapiens. The sequence continues at coordinate 189,280,830 of NC_000003.12, read as the reverse complement.
TTATATCCCTTAATCTTTAATACAACGCTATGATGCAGATAGTATCATTCATATATTACAGAGCAAATCCAAGACTCAGAGAGGTGAATTAATTTGCCTCAGGTAAGAGAAATAGCCATGGTAGGGTTACAGCTTTAACCCAGGCTATCTGTCTTCGAGTCCTGTGTTCTTTCTGTTATGGCAATCACCTTCCCTTTACCTTCCCCAAGCTTCTTGTTGGCCTCCATGTGCATAGGTTTCCATTGGTCCTGTTTAGGTGCATGTAGAGAAGTTTTAGATATGGGTCTCAATGCTGCAGCTTAGAGGAGTGGAAAGATACAAGATAAAGTAGGAAAGAGGGGCATAAAAAAGCTCTAAGTTTTTCAATTCCTATTATTAATACACATGTTATATGAACTGAGTCTCCTCTCATTCATGACACTCATACTTACAAAAAACATTTTATCCTATACGGAAAGAAGTCAATGTTCAGTAAGTCCTAGTTCGTCATCTAAAATGTCTTCCATTCATTTATATATATTATTCCATTCATTTATATATATCCATTCATTTATATATATTATTCCATTCATTTATGTATATCCACAGGTGCATTCATTCACTTCTATATTGCCCGTGGCTGCTTTCACTCTACACTCTTCACTAACCACTATGGTGCTAGTCCTGTTGTTTACAACAGGGCTAAACAACAGGTGCTGATATGAGATATATGTTAACAGATAAGTCCCTGAGCTACAAAAGAGATAGTCTAATATCACTAATCCCTCTTATTTTCCACAGCAGGAATTCTATCCAACCATACCATAATGGGAAGTGGCTACCAATCCCGCTCAGAGGTTTTCCAGATAAAGACCCGTGATCTACCAAATATTCTAACTTTTCCTCTAACTCTTCTGCCTATCTGAAGGACTACATTCAGTTTTCCCGTTCATTCATACACCCCTATAACTTTTCATAAACATCTTATTAGAGAAGGAATTACCTCCCTGTACTGTTTCATCCAAAGTCACAATCTATACGTTGATAGTGAGTGTCTAGAAACAACCTGAATTAGTAGTCAGGGTATTCTGCCTCTTCCTGATAAATTAGTTTATGCCATTTCTCCTCCAAACTGGGTGTTTTCCTTTGTTTCTGTTCTTAATTCAGTGAGGTTTTTCATACTACCTTTCATTGAGGGCTCACTATGTTCAGCATTGTTCTAAATACTTTATATACATCATCTAATTTAATCCTCACAACAACCCTTGAGAAAGGTAAAATTATGTCCATTTACAGATGAGAAAAAATAAGGTTTAGAGAGATTGAATAATTTACACAAATTAGTTTCTCCAAATAGATAATTATAGAGCTACAATCTGAATGAAGGTCCACCTGACTCCAAAGACAATAATCCTAAGCACTAGGGCATACTTGCCTCTTTCTGCACCCCAATTATGTCATAACGTATATTAGAGAACATTCCTGATGTCCTGGAATTTGCAGATTTCCCAGTTGTGATCTCTACCTTCAACTGAATCATGCATAGAAAGTTGAACAGGATAGAATAGGGCCCACCAAGAGTTGTTCTCCACTATTCTGACTCTCCACTCTCTTCAGGAAAAGGTTGGCAAACTAGGATCTGCTGGCCAAATCAAGCCCATTGCCTGTTATTGTAAATAAAGATTTATTGGAACACAGGTGTATTCACTCATTTATATATTGCCTGTGGTTGCTTTCACTCTACAACATCAGAGTTAGCAGTTGAAGCAGATACTGTATAGTTCATAAAATCTACGATATTTACTATCTAGTCCTTTAGAGAAAAAGTTTGCCTACCTCCACCACTAGAACAACTCTGATGTCAAATACATTTTAACAGGTTTCATTTATGGAGTTTTGCTCTTGTATGCAATATATACACTTCTTAGGAATATGAGCATAAGTACTTGGGACTGGAAATGGCATATTATACATGGGTATATACGAGTTCTAGTCCCTCTGCCTCATTTTAGCAAGGGGGTGATGGAAGAGAAAAGAAGATCACAGGCAGACCTGGTTTCAAATTCCAGGACATGGCTGTCAAGTGGTGGTGATGACACCTGGATTACAGTGCTTTGAATGTGAGAGACAAAGTTTATAGAGCTCTGGCACAATACTTGACACACAGAAGCATAGGAGATGTTTTCAGATGGAAGAAACTGAGGCTATGTTAGATCTTGACGCTTGCCAGAACAAGAATTTAGGTTTAGGTTTCCTAAGTCCTAAGTACCTTTTTTCCTCCATGATGCCACATTTAACCTTATTTAACAAGCATATGGACTACAGAGATGGATAGAAATTGGCATTGTTCATAGCATCATTTAGCCCATTACTGACAAGGGACATTATGGGTCTGGTTACACAATCTGCTCACAGTACGTAAAGCAATCTGCTTTCCAGCACCGGCTTCCAGCACTTGGAACTGGGTTAGAAGACACAGGCCTGTGAGAATCCAGACTCCTGACCTGTAGACCCCTGCTGCTCTCTCTCCACCCAGGGCACTCGAGCAACCACTGCCCAAATGCTCACCTTGGGAAGATTCACCTGATAACCCAGGCAATAGGTTACCCAGGCCCTTCACTGCTCCTGAGACTTGGGGTCAAAGCATCATTTTAACTCTACAAAGGCAGAATATTGTGGAAAGAAAAGCCACCAAGCCTAATCAAGCAACAAAGGGCATGTGGAAGGAGCATGGTGGCAGAGGCTTTAACATCCTGCATAGGAGTGGAAGTCCTCTGGAAAGAGGGTTGATCAGCCTGCAGACACAAAGCCTGAGAAAGGAAATGATGTAATGCTCACAAATCTGAAAGGTGCTTATGGATACAAAGAAATAGGCTTCGACGTGGCTTCAGAGGCAAAAGAAGCACTGATGAATCAGATTTGTAAAAACAGAAGTTTGTAACAGCTATATCTTATTTAAAAACAGAATATGCTGGCTGAGGAGGTAGTGAGTTCCCCATTTTTGAGTAAGTTGAAGCAGACACCAGTTTCCATCCTGCCAGCTAACATAATAGTGATTCCAACAATGTGGGATTGGACTCGTAAAGCTGTAAAATACATTTGAATTCATGGATTGATGCTTCTCATGCTCCTTAATATATTAATTTTCTTTTTTGGATTTAAGTTGCCTATACATAATTCCAACAATTATCTTTCTAATTAATTAATTGACTTTCAGCACTTCAAGACGTTAAACTTTGATTTAATCTTCTCTATTCTGTATACTGTCCAAACGTGTTCACTGCAAACATCTGATGAGTGACACATTTTGATTTGGTAAGACTTGAATCAAAAATGAAAAAACACATTTTAAAAAATGAAGCTTTTTTCTAATAGCATAGAGCTGTATTTATTCTGATTCTTAATCTTATTGACTGCATTTTTTCCACCAAACTATCAGACCACCCAAATCAATTCCTCTCTTTATTTTGAATTTACTGTTTTTTGAAATATGTATGTGGTTTTGAAATTCCCCTGGGATCTTATGGTATGAGGTGTTGTGTGCGTATGTGTGTGTTTAAGGTGTCTCCTTTATAGCTTGATAATTATGTTTGGAGTAAGTGCAGCATACGGACTTACCCCCATCACACACTCAATGCTTTAAAAGCCCTTGGAGGGCTGGGGATTGTAGGGAAAGCTGCCTTGGTTGGGCAGAAAGCCACATGGCTGCACATTTCTCACAGACCTCCTGTTCCATGTTACTTCCTCTATCTTTCTGTTGCCAAACCACCACAGTTCAGCTAATTCCTCCTCGAGCAGCGTCTCACCCAGTGCTGCAATTATAGTGGAGACAGAAATGGAGTTAGAAATGAAGTAACAAGGAGGCAAAGAGAGGAGGCTACTATGATTCATCCCGAAAGCATCTGGAGTCATTAAAAAATATATACGTTGTCCAGTAATCACTCATTTTATCCACTAACTAAAAAAAAAAGAAAGGAGGAAGAAATGAAAATTAGGTGTTTCGAAAAACCCTGCCTCTCTTGGTCTCTTCCCAAGGAAGCAGCTTGCTTAAGGGGGCATGTATATGTTCCAAGCAGAATGCCAAACCTGTCATCATAAATAATCCCAAGGTATTATTTAGAACAGCCATGAGCCAAGCCAAGGAAGAGACTAGGGATTGTTAACAATGTCTTGTTTTTACACTTTATGATTAATACACATGATCTATTAAGCTTTTCCTAAAATGAAATCCCTTAGACATCAGTACTTTAAAGCATGCTTGAGGCAATATTTGGGCACTTGTCTTATGACTTGGAATTTTCCAGGAGAAAAAAAGGAGGAAAACCATGACATCAGAGCCCAAGAATTTTTGCTCACAACTCAATTTTATGGGAAGTTGCCTATTCTGCTTTCTAGTAGTCACTCAACACTAAATTTCACACAATTCCTTTGAAACCAGCTTCTCCTGACTGCCACATGCCTACTAATGACATCCTTCTTCCCCCTTCAGAATTCCAGTCTTATCCATTTTAACTTTTTTAAAATGCTCTTCCACTTCTGCAATTCCAACCACAACCCCCTACTTCCAGCACCAAATCAAGATCTGCTGTTGTGCCACATCCATGGGGGCCACCACCTCTTCATCTTCACAGCCATTTCCATCGCTCAGCCTTTCATTCCCTCTTACCAATTCTATCGTGGCAGCCTCTTCACTGGCCTCCCTTCACACCCTCCTTACCTTGCCTTCCCCTCTCAGTGTTCCTTGTGTTATCATCACATATACTGTTTCAAGAGTCTTATTGGAGTAGCACTTCTCATTTTTTTTGCATCTAGAAAGCCCTTAACCAACCAATGCTTAAGGTTCACTTCCTTTAAGAAGCTTTCTATGATTCCCCTAGGTGTCTGAACAAGATATCCCTACAATACTTATGAAAATTATTGTATTTGCCTCTCTTCCCCACTGAAGACTTTGAGGTATGAGATTGTCTATTTTCTTTGAATCCTCAACAGTTTACATAGTGATGGACCTATAGAGGGCATGGCAAAATCTGTGTGTGTTTGTGTGTGTGAAATAACAATTGGATGCCCTTCCTCATTTAAAATGGATGCATTTCCCTATTTAAAATACAACAGTAGCTTTATTGCCACCAAGAAAATACAAACATTTTACACTGGCATTCAAAGCCTCTCCTATTTGCCCCAATCTCTAACTTTATCACATCCACAATACCTTCATTATATTCAAGCAAAACCACATCTGCTGATTGTTCTCTGAATTTCTTTCCTGACCATATGGCTTTATTCTTGCTATACCTTCTCCCTGGAATAGCCTTTCCCTCTAACCCTTTCTTCACATCCCAACTTCCCACCTGTTACTATCTTCCAAAGGTCTCGTCTTATACTATTTCCTTTGTGTTGCCCAGATGCAGTCACAACTGTATGAATTCTCTTTATTGTCAATTCGTCTCCACTGGCATATCCTTATTGCACCTTATAATATAGCTGTATATATACTTGACTTATCCTTGCTACTAGAGCATGTAGTAGTTATAGCAGGAACTGTGTTGCTTGGCTCTATATGACTAAAACATCTAAAACAGGGATGTACACATATTCATGCTCATTGCATGGTTATTCTATTAAGATTGTTTGGATCTGTATTGAAATAACACTGTATGTATGCTGTTTGTTGTTTAAGTCAAGTTGTCAAGTAGAAGATTGATTTGAAGTTCAGCTAAAAAGAAAAAGGCCTCAGACTTCACTGCAGGTGATTCTGTTCCCTTCTACTTAGAGCAATCAGAAGACATAAATACATGCAGTGCCTTAACCTCAATAAATATTTGATGAATGCATGGTTTTGTGGATTACAATTGTTAGTCAATAATGACTTCATACACACACACACACACACACACACACACACACACACACACACACTCATTACATTATCAAGAAATGCCCTTGGGAAAACTTAGTGATTCTTGTTTATTATTTATTTTTATAAGAAAAAAAAAGCACAGGTCAAAATTCAATTTAAGGTGGGAATTAACTGTTCATATGCTTTTAAATGTTATCAAAATTAATTGATTATCTTCAAATGTTTTTAAATTGGTAAGAAATACCTATTTCCAAGTTGAGGGACAAGCCTCACCTTTTTCAGTCTAGGGAAAAGAGAGAAGGTAGCAAATCCTGGAGATTATTTTGCAAAAATTTGAATCAGTGGTCAAAGTTTACTGAAAGTACATTAGAAATTCTGTGCTCTGATACCAGAGTCACAGAGAAGTCTCAGTGCTACTATCTGGGCCCTACCCTCGATTACTACTCACCCTACTACACACAAGAGTCATTCAAATCCCAAAAATCAGGGAAGTCACCGTCCCTTTTAGTCTAAGTTCTTATTTAAGTTCTGTACAATATAAAAACTCCCAAGAAAGAGTGGCTTTGACTGTAAAATTTTATCCAAACAGGCTGAACAAACGGCAATTACATTTTTCCCAATCCAGGAAAAATAATATTTTATGTAACTGGACCTAGAGACTAGATTGCATATTCCATCGTTAAGAGATTTCCCTCCAATGATAGTGAGATAACCCACTCAGCCAAAATTTTCATTTCATTTTAGCTCTAAGAAAATTATCAGAGCTTAGCTGAAGTAGGTGGGAGTAATGCCTATCCCATTTCTCACAGGCTCATCAGACTCTGAGGTCAGGGTCATTAGCCTTTTTCTAAAAATCACTCCATGGATCAGTGAAAAAAAAAAAAATCTGGGTTCCGAGAAGTTAAAAGATAAAGAATTTGAGGTATTAAGACAGTTGGGGTACAAAATAGCCTGTCATGAGGCCATTCAACATAATTTTTTCACTGGCTTCCAGACAAATACAACATTATTTCCACATAGGAGTGGGCAGACACTCCCTTAGTCATCTTTGTTGTCCTGGTCAATGGCAACATACCTGGGGGCAACTTCCAATGTGCCTGTGTACATTCACAATTTCTGTGGGTTTCTGTAAGCATGCTTTTCATTTAATGATTGTTGAGAACATTTCAGGCACAAGCTAAGGGACAGACCAATATAGGCCTATGGCTTGGAAGAGGGGTAGAGTGAGACATGAGAAAGCCCAGACACAGGGAGAATAAAGCACTGATTTTCAACTCCAGGCCAACCAGGGATGAGGAGAAATAAAGGAGGAAATACTGGGCCAGAGCTATCAAATGAGTGCATTCACTGCTTTTTTGGAAATTCCAAAGACTAAATAACATGACAGGATGCTATTTGCATTCTCTACTATGGCTAATAAATTAAACTTGTCCAATGTTACGTAGGGACAATATCAGCAAAACTGGGATTAGAACTCAAGTTTCCTGAGTCTACAACTTCCTGTCACACTGCCTGTCGCATACTCTAAGCACAGTTAGCCTAGTGAGGATGGGAATGAAGGACATAAAAACTTTTGATTTTCAAACTCTCTGCAGTATTTTCCCTGCCTCCTCATCTGAGTGAGGTGCATTTCTCTGCATGGCCACAGTTTTCCATGTTTAACTCCAGCAGCACTTGCCACATCATACTGGAATTGAGATTTTACTTTTCTACCTCTCCAGCCATACAGTAAGCCCTTAAAAAGAAAAATGTTAGCTCTGGAGTGTTTGACAAGTAATAGGAAGTAAATAGTAGTTGAATTAATAAATAGATTCTTGATTCTGTATAGCTACAGAATAAAATACTAGGACCAACAAGTGACAGCTTCAAGAGGAGCTGATTAGAGGAGCTGATTTTCCCTCAACACATTCTAACTAGATTCTACCAGAGTCAGAGAGGCCGAGCAGGAAGCAGTGGATTCTCTTTCACCAGAAGCCTTCAGAGGCTGGATAACCACTTGTCAGGATCACTGGAGAGAAAATGCCTGCTTTGGATGGTCTACTCTTTAGTAATCTATGGCTATTCCATTACAGACCCCAGACCCCATCAGAAATAGAAGAGTCTCTAGCACCACCTTTCTGTAGCTTGGAGTACTTTATAAATGTCTATCCTTGTCTGAGCTGCCTAGTGGACCTACTGATCCTATTTAGTATTGAGCCTTTGTAGAAAAGAAAGAGAGGGAAGGAAGGAAGGAAGGAAGGAACGAAGGAAGGAAGGAAGGAAGGAAGGAAGGAAGGAAGGAGAAAGAAAGAAAGAAAGAGAAAGAAAGAAAGGAAAGAAAGGAAGGAAGAAAGAAACGAAGGAAGGAAAGAGAGAGAGAGAAAGATAAAGAAAGAAAGAAGAGAAGAGAAGAGACTTGGCAGAAGAAGTCTGTGGTTGGGAAGTCAGCTTAATCTTCTACTACTGAGCTGATTTGAAGAACGAGACTTGCCCAGATTTCCTGAGAAGCACTTTACAGACACAATAAGCAACAGTCTCGATGTATATTAGTAGGAAAAAAAAATACACACAAATTAAATCTGAAAGCTCATCAGAAACTTATAGCTCACCTGAACTATCATACTGAGGCCTCAAAAGGAAACTCATCTAGAATCACACAGCCAGTCCTGGCAGAGTTGGCACAAAATTCTGCTGATTACAAGGCCAGAATTCTTTTCATTACCCAATGCTGTGAAGCCCACTATAATATAACACTTAATTATACAGGTTCAGGAATACAAGTCAAAGCAGATCCCAAATATAATAATAGATGCTTGCATTACATATGGGAAAAGCATGCTATAACATGGTTAAACGATGACATGAATAAATTATAAAGGGATTGATTGCACTGTGTTTTTCCCATCAAGAACTAAGTTGTACTCCTATATCATGTGGGACATCTGTGCTGTAAACTATAAAACACATGATTTCATTAGAATCCAAAACAAATGGATTGGGGCATCAGCGCGTATAGGAAAGGCAGAGTGCACAAACACCACATTAGGCTTTTCGATATACCCACTCTTTTAGACTGACCAGATACCAAGCAAAGTAGTTGCTTTTTATCTCTATTTTTACAGATGAGATCGGACTTAGAGCTACGGAGAAGTTAACATGTCATCATACCACAAGTACACAAGTAAATGAGAATCGGGATTCAAATCCACACTTGTTTGGTTCCCAAGCACATGCTTTTCCCCAAAAGATCAGGATACCTCAGTCGTCCATGTCTCTGTAAATGTGTTTAACTTTACATAAGTCACTTTCCCTCTTTGGGTCTTAGAAACTCTCTAAGGTCTTTTCTAGTTCTAGAAGTTCCTCTGATGCAAATATTCAAGACTTGAGAAGAAGTTCTTGTGTAAATTCTATCCAAAAATAAACAATGTAAAACTTACGCATGCACAATACCCAAAATATCTAGATTACTTTCTTTTCTATTTTCTGCTATGGCACATTTATCAAGATTTGTCTGAATGTTGGCACCCACTGAGGGCCTTCAGTAAAGAAACAACATATTCACAGTTCCTTTATGTGCATGTGGGCAAGCTTAAGTTAGACATATACTATATGCAAGACTCTGCAAACAGCTGCAGATGAGACAGGCATCATCATAAACACAGGCAGGAGTCAACTAGTGCTGACAGACAAAGGCCATCATGTGAATAGAGGCCATCTCAACTCTGCACTCAGGTGGGCTGTTTCTCTACCTTTGAGCCAACTGATTTTATAAGATTGCCCATGTATTCGTCTAAAGCAACCCATCCCTTCAAGGCACTGTGTTACAGTAGAAAACGCCCTACCTCACCTAGGAATAAAGAAACCCAGCTCTACCGTCATTTCCCAAGGACTTTAGTAAAGTGACTTCACATTCTAGTGGGCCTCAGTTTCTTCCTTTTTAAAATCAAAAGTCAACCACTCTCCTGCCTTCACTATGAAAGTGTGTGTGTGTTTGTGTGTGTACCCAATCAAATAATGAGCAAGCAAAGCCCTTGCAGATTCCAGGATGCTAACGTATCATGAGCATAAAAATAGAAATGAGATTTAGATTTTTGCTGCTGGCTTTATTATTATTATTATCATTATTTTGAGTAGTCTCATGGTAGGAAAAAACATGTTTCAATGTCATACGGATCTGTGTTTCATCTCAGGTAAAGCACTGGCTAGCTTTGTGGCCTTCAGGATGTTTGTTAATCTTTCTCTGCTTCAGTTTCCTCAGCTGCAAATGGACATAATGGCACCCGATAGTGATGATATTTGAAGTCACAATGACATATTTAAAGAGCCGAATACAGTGTCTCATCCACAGTGGCTATTTAATGCATTGTAGTGGCTACTGTATTAACCACTTTTTTCACATGGCCAGTGACAAACAGTGGGAAAGAAAGGATCTCCCTGCCTGCCAACCCTAGCCCTACCAGCCATTCCAGCTGCATGCCTCACTGGCGTGGGGACCTGGGCTCCACATTCAGTGCTGACTGAGCCTGGGAACACTGCAGCCTCCAGCACTGCCATTCTGAGGTTCCACAGTCTACCACTGGAGCACTTCTGCTGCCACCCAGCAACTGCCCAAGGGAACTGCATGGATTTCAGACAAGTAGAATGTATTTGAAATCTCAGAAGCAATTTGAAAGCCTTTTCCTCATCCACAACAATTTACAAAGGCATGAGGAGTTCAATGCCGGGATGAGATCTAATTCAAAATTCCTGACACGGATATCCAGGCATGTTCCCTCCAATATGGTATAATTTCTGTAAAACCACCTGGACCTTTTTTTTTTTTCTCTCTTCAGCATGTTATTATTATTTTTCTTAAAAGTAGCCAGAAAGCAATTTTAAATTATCAAATTTTATTTCTGAAGATCGGACTTTGAACAACATAGCTAGTTTGTGCTCTCGTTACTCTACAGACAAAAAAGAAGAAGAAGAAGAAGAAGAAGAAGAAGAAGAAGAAGAAGATCCAGAGAAGAGAAAAGATAGCCAACGTCAGGGAGCCTGTTTATGAAAAGTCAAAACTCTATATCTACTCAACCAATGCTCCATTTCCTCCATGTTTCCACAGAGCATGTTCCTTTTTCCTGGTGACATAAAAAGAACAAAACCAAAAAATGCTAGAATTTGTAAATTTAGGTCAATGAAAAAACTCCTTAGCTGTTTACCCATCTTTAAGTCTTACTCTCAGCTTTGCCATGGAATTCTTGACCACAGTCCCCTAAGACCACTGTAAAATGAGGGAGATTAAAGCAAACGCTGAAAAATCCCTTGTAGCTCCAAAAGCTTGTATTTCTTCTCACCTACTTTTATTTCTTGAATTATATTTATAGCATCTTGGAAGGCTCTAAACACATCATAATTAACAGGGTTTTTTTTTCTGCAATGAATCAGAAGAAACAAATCCTCTGCCAAGTATCCCCAGCACACATGCCATTCCTCCAGATGAGTTCTCAGGAAATACACCCTGCACAGCTCCGGGACTCAATACAATTTCTTGAACATGCCTCTTCTCACTTGTATTTAAACTGGCGCACCTAAGTAAGGTCTCCCCTCTATGAAGTGATCCACATCAGCAAATATTATTACAACTCCTAATGCAAAAGGATTCAAAAAGTGAAAAACGAAAACAAAATAATATATGGCTGGTGATTAAAAGAAGATTTAGAAAATCATGGAGACAGAGAGTCACAGTTTACGACCTTGAGACCACACATTGTTATGGAAAATGTATGTTTAGGATGGATTTTTACTGGAGTACCCAAAACATTGAACTTTCACCAAGAAAGTTAGTGATAGTCTTTTCTGCTTATGTTTTGCCTTGTGCCTTTTTTTTCTGTGTGCTTTAGCTCTTGTTTTGTTCTTTTTTAAAAAGAAAAAAAGAAAAAAAAAAACCTCAGGATGTTAACTCTTGTATTTCTAAAGACAGATGATGCCCAAAGAGTTAGAAATTTAATTGTTGAGTCTTAATATCCCATTTTCTGGAGGAAAATGTATGAAATAAGAGGGTTCTCGTCATAGAGAAAATACACATGCTAAATTGACAAGGCTTGAAAAGCCAACATTCAATGTTCACAAGTAGCGAGAACAAAGAGCACCCTAAAGCCTGAAAGATCCAAAGTCTCTAGCTTCCTAGATTCTGTACTCGGTGCTTCAGGTTCCAGAAAAGATTCAGCTCTTTTTTGGAGAACTGATTCCTTCCTTTCATAAAAGCCAAATCTCTGACATACATTCCATCTGCGTTTCAGGATCTTGCTATTACGACGCTAAAGACTAGGAGCCCTTCCCTAGAAGAAATGCAACATCTCTAGCATTGATGAGCTTTCTTGTCATTCAGAGATACAAACTATTATAGAACCTCAAAGTGGGTGCCATCACACTAAATGTATCATAGTGAGTACAGGATAAATTTTGGCGCCCTTCTCAGGCATTCCCCAGCAGGGATGGGATCCTGCCCTCTGCAGGAATTCTTAGGCAACAACTTCCTAAGGAGGTATTTCTCATTTAAATATAACCTCCTGGCAACCAAATATTTATCTGGAAGAAATGGGGAGTGGCCCTGTCCAATCAGGCACCTGGGTTCAGTCCATTACTCAAAAATAACAGGATTGTGGTATTTGGGGAACGCCTCCCCACGGAGATTTGCCAAGAAATAGCTCAGCAATCCCCCATCAGCCACCCATCCTTGTCAACATGCCTCCCTGGGCATTAGAGTGAGTGGACAGCACCGCACCCAAAAATCAAACCCCGGGCATTCTTGGCACAGATACCCAAAGGCGAAGTCAAGAGTGTACATGACAAAATCCTCGCCTGCTGCCCTGTTCATCACAGCATGTGATGTAACTTGATCCTTGCTGAGGATGGTAAGTCCATAAGCTCCAAGGCAATTCTCTTTTCAGAATTTATCTCCATCCAAGTGACTTCCCTCCATTGAATTCCAAGACCATTAATCAGTATTGTCCACAAGAGGGTGATATTCAGAATCTTATATGTAACCTCTCATTTCCACACCAAGATCAGGCATCCAACACCTTTTACCAGGACTGACTCCAAGACCTGATCACACTTTTCTCAGTGCTCCAATTCATCCCACATACCGCTCCCTGTTCTAATCATTTACTCACCATTCACATACAGCAATGTGCCTGCCATATACTAATGTTGTGCTATAGGCTATAAGGACACAAAGATAAGCCTTCATGCTCTGAAATCTTTATGATGTCAGTTGGTCAATCAAAATAAATAAAACCTCCTATCTTACCATTCAACACTGTCCATGAGCATGTTCTCCTCTCTTCCACTACTGTCTCTATTTTCCAGTCACCCAGGAGACTAGTCATGATTACTTAAACAACTTTTCACACTTTCATATCATTCTTTTTGTCATACTCTTCCTCCAGTTTATGAGCCACTTTATAACTCTCTACCAAAATTCTTCATTCTGTTGTCTCTTTAGCAACAGTTCCCACCACTAAAAACGATTGCCTTGTCTATGCTCTCACAATATGTTGCTTACATCTTTATTTTGGGCTTTGTCAGATTATGCTTTATATGAAAATTAGTTTTCTATATATTTACCCTCTTAGTTCCCAATTAGATCTCAAGCTATTTGAGGGCAAGGCCAATGTATAAAGTCATGCATCACTTAACAAAAGAAATACATCTTAGAAATATGTCATTAGGCTATTTTGTCAAGGCTACTTTTGGACACCCTACACAAGGCTAGATGGTATAGCCTACTACAAACCTAGGCTATATGGTATAGAGTATATTGCTCCTATGCTATAAACATGTAACAGCATGTTACTGTACTGAATATTGAAGTCAATTATAACACAGTGGTAAGTTTTTGTATATCTAAATACATCTAAACATAGGGTACAGTAAAATATGATATAATTTTGTGGGACTGCCATCATATATGTGGTCTGTGACCAAAACTTTGTGTGATACATAACTGTATTTTATCTCTCTTTCCCTATAGAGACAACTAGACCATTGTCCTCCATTTGTTGAATCACCAAATTAAAACTATCTCAACTTAACCTTTCCAAGATCTGGGTGCAGCAATATCCAAGTTAGCATAAAGGGGAAAAAAAAAACACAAGGAAAATGCATAATGACGGTAACTATATGAAATAGCTGAAACAACTTTGTAACTAGAAAGATCAAGGAATATCAATTACCTAATATTCTTAGTTATAAGTTATGCTTTGCTCTAAAACCAGCTTCTGATGGTCAATAATAATACAAAATATAACCATAGGTGTTTTAGGGAGCCATTTATGGGGTTTAAGGTCACTGTTTTGTATACTTGCAGAGTCATCCCATCTTATACATGCCTTCAGCTTGGCCTGAATTGTGAGATACCATCTTGTTCCTATGAGCATTTTCACATGTGCTTTCTTGATCACAAAAACGGATCTCCTGTCTCCCATTATTAAGGCTTTGGCTCTCTTACACCAACTCATCATGTCCCTATTCCCACCAGAAAACTGGCTCCAGCTCTCCGTTAGTTTGTCACAGAGTAACAGGCCTTGAGTTGAGTGAATGATGAACACTCCTTTTCTGTTGAACTTACAGTACAGACTGTAGTTCTGACTGCCCCACTCTGACTCACTAGCTTCTCAGGATATAGCTGCCTATTAACATTTTGTAACACCTTAAATAATACACATAGAGGAACTGACATCTTCCTAATAAAAGCAAAGCAAAGCAAATTGGAAAGTAAAAGGAAGCTAATACATTTGGAACACCTATGGCAGTCACCAGTTTGGCACTTCTCATGTGTTCTCATTTAATCCCACAACTCCGTGGGGTAGATATTAATTCTATTTTACAAATTAGTATATGAGCCTCCAAATAATTCGGTAGCAAAGCCATTAAGTGACAAGTCTGGGATTGGAACCATGGCCCGTGGACTTCTAAACAACATGAACATTACACCAAATGAAACTGCAACCCTTATCATTCTCGGTCTTTGGGAGTTGGCAGGAACCCTTCTCCTATTCAATGGAGGTACTAGTTAGGACTAGGTTTGGCTGCAAATAAAATAAAAGTCCCATCTAATGATGAACTGCGCATCTCTTGTCTTGGTAGAAGAAGGCCAAATGTGAACAGTACAGGAGTGGAAGGCAGCTCCACAAAGTCACTAGAAAGCCACATTCCTTCCCGCTCCCCACTCTGCCATCCCTAGTTTTGGTCCTCAGATCCACAGTTCACGATGGTGGCTGTAGTATTACATCCACATGACAGACAGAAGGAGGGGGAGTAGGAAGGAATGGAGGAAAGTGCTTCCTTGCCTTTTAAGGAGTCTTTTAAGCAGTCCCATTTATTCTGCTAGCCTTTAACTTGCCAGAACTTAGTCAAATGGACAGACTTAGATTCAAGGCAGCCTGAGCTATTTAGTGTTTCAGATAGGTGTGTGGCTTCCCCCAATAACTAAGGGATCCTATGAGAAGGAGAGATGGGAGAATGTTACTGGAAGCCAACACCATGCCATTAGAATTTAGCAGACACTTCCCCTAGTTTGAGGACAAAATTTAAGTTGTAGAGACAGAATTTACAGGATTGTCATGTAGAAGCGGAAAGGTAGAAAAAGAAAATCGGGTTTTTTAAATTCATGCCTGTAAACACTCTACAGAGAAGGTCCAGGTTGATGCTTCTTGCCTAAGTGGAAGGAGAAGACAGGCCCATCATGTGATGACTCTAGCTCAATGCCACTCTTCAGAAGAGGGGACTCCCTTTACTACCAGTTCCACAACTCACATTGACAACCATACTAAGATCCTGTGACTCCGAACACTGTTAAAGATTATGGCCTTCCTCCTTATTCATATACAAATCAAAATACCAACCACACCAAACCACAAAGCAGAACACTTTCATGAATGTCAAAATTCAAATGGCTTCTTTCTAGATTCATACATTTCAAATTTTTGAATAAGTACTTTAAGATTCAACTTTCCTCACTATTTGCTGGCCATGTTTTGCTGTTGTCTTACCCCTGTGCTTATCTTCATGCTGGGTGATCTAGCACTGTTTACAATTTTTCTTGGATTTCAGTTGCACCCAGGGATTCTTATGCTGAATGTTATGAATTGCAGAAATATTTCTAAAAATAATGATTCATTTGAAGAAGAAAAATACTGTGGGATTTTATATTATTTACTGACTGAATATTTGGGGAAGGAAGGGATAAGAAATCAGGGAGTTACTGTTTAGGAAGACAACAACCTAGGCCCTTGTTCAATAACTTCTCACCTTACCTCCTATCTAATAAAAATTGCTGTGCTTTGTGTTTTCTTAAAAAATCTTTTTGGTGAAATGAACACTTCATTGGAAAAAAAACTCTAGTAGTCAGACACACCTAAATGAAGAATAATTTAACCCACTTCCTACCATGCTGAATCTTTTTAATAAAGTGTGAAAGGAGGAATGATATGAAAAAAAAAGAAATATGAACTGTATAGGTGGATCCAGGAAATTTGAACTAAGGAAAAGAGTAGGAGGAGAACAAAAAGGAGAAAGAAAAAGAATATGTCAGTTGAACCTGGAAAAATAGATCAAACACCAACTTTGGTCTATCTTCCCATATCCCATTTCATCCTTCCCTTGGGTCTATAAAATACATGTACAAATAGTAAACTTTCCCAAAGCAAAAACTCATTGTACTTCTTGCTTGCTGACAAGGGCTTCTTATTTTTCTTGTTTCATGGAGCAAAGTTAGAAAGAAGGTTATAAAATCTTGGTTAACCATTGACCCAAGAAAGGGAAGAGACTTAAAGGGCATCAAATTTAACCCATTTCATGTTACAGAGGAGTAAACTGAGGCTCTGAGAAAGGAAACAACTTTCTCAAGAAGACATAGCAAATTGGAGGGAGAATTGGGATAAGAATTCAAATTTTCTTATTTCCAGTTGAGGTGGAGACTTCATATGGCATTTCTAAATAGTTGCCCTCACTTAACCAGAATTAAAAGGGTAGAAGCTATTCTTGATCAGAGCTAATGAGCTAAAAAGAGAGCATTTCCCAGCCCCTACCCTGCCTCTCCACGCCTATACCTGAGCAAACTACCTCCCAATAACCCTGCTGCCTCCATTTCTTAAACTGAAATACTTCTCAAGAAGTCATGCAACCTTCACACGTCTCTTAGTTTGGAGTGAAATGCCATAGCATCAAGATGCACTTCTGATTTTAATCCTTTAAATCTTTCCAGCATCACTGATAAAGCCCTGTGTTTATATAATACCATTCCCCAAGAAACCCCAGGTGATTTATGCGTATTATCTCATTACACAATAAGTAATTATCCTGAGAGATAAGTGGGCAATTTTATTTACTTTATACACTGAATCAAACCCATTTCTCAGCAATTCCAGAGATGTCCCCACAGTTTATAGTAAGTGCTTTCAAACTAGTTTTAACTGTGAACCCCTTTACACTGTAGTGAATGCCAGCACAAGCAACAGATAAAAGCAGAATTATTCTAGCTCCTCCAAAATGGCCATAGCTCATCAACACCTAAATACAAAACTAATCTCCACTTTGATGTCCTTCAGGTTCTTGGGATCTAGCAGGTCCAAGTTGTGCTGGCCTATTTACAGTTCCTCGGAGGCACCAAGCTCTCTCTGTTCTTCTCTCTCCCTGAAACATTCACCCCATAAACCCCTTCATCTCCTTAACTCCTACTCATCATTCTGATCACAATACCAAAATTTCTTCTTTAGAAAAGTCTTTCTGGATCTTTCCCCCTGCAATTTTGGTCAAAATTCTGTCATAAAAGCTGAAATCCTGAAAGTGGCAGGCTTGCCCTAAGGCAGCCTCTAATAATGCCTACTTCCCAGTCTTCCTGCCCTTCTGGAAGAGCCTCCCCAGGAGTGTGGGCTGGATTTAGTGACTTGCATCTATGACACAGAATGTGGCAGAAGTGCAGAGATGTCATTCCTGGGATTAGGTTACCAAAATCTGTGGCTTCTATTTTGCTCAACGTCTCATTCTCTCTCTTGCTCTCTCTCTTGCCATCTCTGAGGGAAGTCCACAGCCATGCTGTCAGCAGCCTCACGGAAAGGCCCACATGGCAAGGAACTGATACCTCTGGCCAGCTGCCAGCAAGGCCCTGGGCCTGCCAACAGCTGTGTGCGTGAGTTTGAAAGTGATCTTCCCCCAGATAAGCCCTGAGATGCCACAGCATCCCCCAGCCCCAACACTTTGATTGAAGCTCTGTGGCAGGACCCAGCTAGGCCATATCCATATTCCTGACCCCCAAACTGAAGAGTAATAAATGTTTATTTTACACTACTAAGTGTTCAGGTAAGTTGAAACATAGCAATTGATAATTCGCACACCCCATATAACTCTCCTTCAAAGTGCTTTCCACTTTTGTAATTTTACACTTATCAGACATGATTATTTCATGACTGTCTGCTTGCCCCATGACTGTCAGCTCCATGAGAACAGAAAATCTGACTCTCTGAGCACAATGGGATCATACTGCCCAGCCCAGCACCTGGCACATAAGCAAGTGCTCAACAGATGACACTTGAGTGAATAGTTTGTCTCAACCGACCTCTCTTCCCATAGCCTCTCAGGCACCCCCAGTAATGAGCATGAAGTGCATCCTCCACTGGTAGGCTTACTATCTGTCCCTCTTCTCTTCCTCTCCCACACCAGAAAAAACCCAATCCAGTCATTTCAAAGACGTATACTTCATATACTTCTACCAAGTCTTATACTTATACTTATACTTATACTTATACTTATACTTATACTTATACTTATACCAAGTCTTCTCAGACCCATGCTCTCTTTTTCCCAACCACTGGCCCAGTTCAAATCCTTAGAATTTCCCAACTCTACTATGACAGAATTTCTCCCTTAGCTGGCCCTTTTGTCCAGCTTCTCTTTTCTCCAAACTATCTCTTATATTGTCACCATTCTTATCTTTTTGAGGCAAAATGTCAATCATTTCAGGCTCCTCCCCAAAAACCTTCAATAATCTCATATCCTAATATGACTGAAACCCAAACTCCTCATACCATCATTCAAAACCATTTAGAAACTTTCACCATATTTTCCCAACAGTTGGGGCCCAGACAACTGGGAGACTTCACATGAGCACACTAGTTGGGCATTAGCTTATGCTTGCCCTTGTCCTGCTTTCTCTATTTCTCTGTCCAAGTTTGGCTCATCCCGTAATAAACTCCTCAGATTCTACCTTCTTCCTAAGACCTTCCCATATCTCCCAGTAGCAATTCTTTCTCCCTCTCCTGTGCCCATGACACTGTTGGTTTTCTGCTGGAGCCCTAACCAAAGCCTGCTTTGGGCTAAAGCATGTGTGTGCATACGTTTGCATCGCATTGAGACTGTGAACATCTTGGTGGCAGAGGCTATGTCTTGCCACTCTGTCGTACACAATGGCTGCCACATGGCCAAGCCTAGGAAGGACTTTCTGAATGTAATCAAATTACTGCTTAGAAAGAACATACAGTTAAAAGAGCTGCCTTCTGTTTGCAAAATGCTGCTGGGAGGGCAGATTATTAAGTCAATGGCTTTTTTCTTTTTTTTTTTTTAAGCAAAGACCACAAACCACCTCTGAAGCCAAGAAAAAGACGTGATTAGAGGGAAACACATCAGTACCTTTAATCCTCCACTGACTTTGGAAAAACAACAAAATGCCAGCTTCCACCAGATCATTTCTTCTTAATTAAAAGTTAGCCAGATTCTTTTGGAGCACTCAATTTTCTGGTCAGGTCAACAAAAAAGTAATGAACATCACACACACCTCCCTCCCCTGTCTTCCTAGCCCCATTCCTGGAGTTATGCAACCCTTGGGGGCGGCATACACTTCAGCTATTTGCTCTGTGTTCATAATTAGATTGTCTAGACAGGAGATGTTGCTGGAGCAATAGGAAAATATTTTACAAGATGTTCCGCAGAACCACACTTATAACAGTGATTAGGACACACTGACAGACGCGAAGCCAGCAGAATTGGCCCGGGCCACGAGCCGGTTTCACCCAGAGCAGAAGCCCTTTCAAGCTCTCATTTCAGGAAGAGGTGCCAAATTAGAGCTCTGAGGGCATGGAGCAGCAACTTCTTGGCCTTTGGATCCGAGAAAGCAAGGTTGAGATAATAGAATGATGTCTGCGATGCCCTCCTTCCTCCCTCCACCTGCTGACACTAAGTCAACAGGAGGCAGATGGTAGTTGCTGCTTTCACCAGCATCTCTCCAAAAGGATGTGTAAAGGCCAAAGAAAGCAGTTTCCTGGACCTGGCTTCTGCAGCATGGCCTATCCCTTCTATGTTGCAGAATGCAAATTTAAATAGCATGGAGAGATACATGTGCGATGCCTTCTCTTGCAGGGAGATATTTCTTGGCCTGACCTCCCTGCTTAGCTTTTGTTGGCATATCAATGTGACAGCAACAATATTTTCCAGCAGAAAACCTCTTTAGAGATATTTTTTCACAGGAGGAATTGATAAGGTAAAATCATTTAGCCCTCTAAGATGAATGGCTTTTGGAAAATTGCTACACTAATATAGTACTACAAGGGTATAGGATTCAATACAAAGAAAAATTAGAGATTTTAGAAATTTAGCAAGAGGAGATTCAGCAAGGGGAGGGGACTTATATCAGGAAAATGTATCAGGACCCAGGTCCCTGAATCCTAAACCAAGGTCTTTCTACCAAAACTATTAAAGATGCTTGCGTAATTCAAATGCTTACTATATACCAAATGTTCTTCTAAGCATTTTACCCATATTATCTCATGGAACCCTCAACACAGACCAATAAGAGAGATACTATTATCCAACCCTCCCCTCCTCCCTCCAGTTTACAAATGGGAAGACCGACGCATGGATTGTTAAGTAACTTGCTCCAGGTCACCCAGAGGGAAATCTGGATTGACTCCCTGTCAGCCCGACTTCAGAACAAGGTCTTTAAGCCTTAAACTGTCTATATTCTATCTCCTCATTAGAGTTCAGATGAGAATATGGGGAAAGAAATGGGGCTTAGTGACCATCAAAAATTACAATGCATTTGAGAACAAGTAAGAATTAGGCACATGACAAAGGCAGAGGAGGAGGTGAAATCAGAGAATTTCATGTTTCAGATGCTACCATCATCTGTTTCCACGATTGCATACAAGTCACTCAACCACTCAGAATTGCAGTTCCTTCACTGTTGTTTCTTATGGGCATAAAAAACAAATAGGCCAGACATGGTGGTTTGCACCTATAATCCCAGCAGTCTGGGAGGCCCAGGCGGGTGGATCACTTGAGATCAGGAGTTTGAGACCAGCCTGGCCAACGTGCTGAAACCCCGTCTCTACCAAAAATACAAAAAATTATCAGGGTGTGGTGGCAGACACCTGTAATCCCAGCTACTTGGGAGGCTGAGGCAGGAGAGTCACTTGAACCCAGGAGGTGGGGGTTGGTTGCAGTGAGCCGAGATCACACTACTGCATTCCAGCCTGGGCAACAGAGCAAGACTTCGTAAAAAAAAAAAAAAAAAAAAAAAGGGATTCCTGGGCAAGATGGCTGAACAGGAATAGCTCCAGCCTGCAGCTCCCAGCAAGATCAACACAGAAGGGGTGATTTCTGCATTTCCAACTGAGGTACCCAGTTCATCTCATTGGGACTGATTAGACAGTGGGTACAGCCCACAGAGGGCAAGCAGAAGCAGGGTGGGGTGTCGCCTCACCTGGGAAGCCCAAGGGGTCAGGGAACTCCCTCCCCTAGCCAAGGGAAGCCATGAAGGACTGTGCCATGAGGGATGGTGCATTCTGGCCTAGACACTACGCTTTCCCCACGATCTTCACAACCCACAGACCAGGAGATTCTCTCAGGTGCCTACACCACCAGAGCCCTGGGTTTCAAGCACAAAACTGGGAGGCCATCTGGGCAGACACCAAGCTAGCTGCAGGAGTTTTTTTCATACCCCATTGGTCCCTGGAACACAGCAAGACAGAACTGTTCACTCTAGAAAGAGGGCTGAAGCCAGGGAGCCAAGTGGTCTTCCTCAGTGGATCCCACCCGCATGGAGCCCAGCAAGCTAAGATCCACTGGCTTGAAATTCTCGCTGCCAACACAGCAGTCTGAAGTCGACCTGGGACACTGAGCTTGGTTGGGGGAGGGGCGTCCACCATTACTAAGGCTTGAGTAGGCAGTTTTCCCCTCACAGTGTAAACAAAGCCACTGGGAAGTTCGGACTGGATGGAGCCCACTGCAGCGCCGCAAAACTGCTGTAGCCAGACTGCCTCTCTAGATTCCTCCTCTCTGGGCAGGGCATCTCCGAAAGAAAGGCAGCAGCCCCAATCAGGGGCTTATAGATAAATCTTTCATCTGCCTGGGACAGAGCACCTGGGGGAAGGGGCGGCTGTGGGCACAGTTTCAGCAGACTTGAACATTCCTGCCTGCCAGCTCTGACGAGAGCAGCATATCTCCCAGCACAGTGCTTGAGCTCTGCCAAGGGACACACTGCCTCCTCAAGTCAGTCCCTGACCCCCATGCCTCCTGATGGGGAGACACGTCCAGCAGGGGTCAACAGACACCTCAAACACAAGAGCTCTGGCTAGCATCTGGTTGGTGCCTCTCTGGGACAAAGCTTCCAGAGGAAGGAGCAGGCAGCAATCTTAGCTGTTCTGCACCCTCTGCTGGTGATACCCAGGCAAACAGGGTCTGGAGTGGACCCCCAGCAAACTCCAGGAGACTTGCAGAAGAGGGGCCTGACTTAGAAGGAAAACTAACAAACAGGAAAGAGTAACATCAATATAAAAAAAAAAAGGATGACCACACAAAAACTCCATCTGAAGGTCACCAACAGCAAAGACCAAAGGTAAATAAATCCATGAAGATGAGGAAAAACCAGCACAAAAAGGCTGAAAATTTCAAAAACCAGAATGCCTCTTCTCCTCCAAAGGATCACAACTCCTCAACAGCGAGGGAACAAAACTGGACTGAGAATGAGTTTGACTAATTGACAGAAGTAGGCTTCAGAAGGTAGGCAATAACAAACTCCTCCGAGCTAAAGGAGCATGTTCTAACCCAATGCAAAGAAGCTAAGAACCTTGATAAAAGGCTACAGGAACTGCTAACTAGACTAACCAGTTTATAGAATATAAATGACCTGATGGAGCTGAGAAACATAGCACGAGAACCTTGTGAAGCATACACAAGTATCAATAGCCAAATTGAGCAGAAGAAAGGATATCAGAGATTGAAGATCAACTTAATGAAATAAAGTGTAAAGACAAGATTAGAGAAAAAAGGATGAAAAGAAATGAACAAAGCCTCCAAGAAATATGGGACTATGTGAAAAGACCAAATCTACATTTGATTGGTATACATGAAAGTGACAGGAATAATGAAACTAAGTTGAAAAACATACTTCAGGATATTATCCTAAAGAACTTCCCCAACCTAGCAAGACAGGCCAACAGTCAAATTCAGGAAATACAGAGAACACCACAGAGATACTCCTCGAGAAGCGCAACCCCAACACACATAATCATCAGATTCACCAAGGTTGAAATGAAGGAAAAATTGTTAAGGGCAGACAGAGAGAAAGGTCAGATTACCCACAAAGGGAAGCCCATCAGACTAACAGCGGCTCTCTCTGCAGAGACCCTACAAGCCAGAAGAGAGTGGGGACCAACATTCAACATTCTTAAAGAAAAGAATTTTCAACCCAGAATTTCATATCCAGCCAAACTAAGCTTCTTAAGTAAAGGAGAAATAAAATCCTTTACAGACAAGCAAATGCTGAGAGATTTTGTCACCACTAGAACTGCCTTACAAGAGCTCCTGAAGGAAGCACTAAATATGGAAAGGAAAAACTGGTAGCAGCTACTGCAAAACCAAACCAAAATGTAAAGACCATTGACACTATGAAGAAACTGCATCAACTAATGGGCAAAATAACCAGCTAGCATTATAATGACAGGATCAAATTCACACATAACAATATTAACCTTAAATGTAAAAAGTCTAAATTCTCCAATTAAAAGTCACAGATTGGCAAATTAGATAAAGATTCAAGACCCATCAGTATGCTGTATTCAGGACACCCATCTCACTTGCAAAGACACACATAGGCTCAAAATAAAGGGATGGAGGAAGATTTTCCAAGCAAATGGAAAGCAAAGAAAGCAGCGGTTGCAATCCTAGTCTCTGATAAAACAGACTTTAAACCAACAAAGATAAAAAAAGACAAAGAAGGGCATTACATAATGGTAAAGGGATCAATGCAACAAGAAGAGCTAACTATCCTAAATATATATGCACCCAATACAGGAGCACCCAGATTCATAAAGCAAGTTCTTAGAGACCTACAGAGAGACTTAGACTCCCACACAATAATAGTGGGAGACTTTAATGCCCCACTGTCAATATTAGACAGATCAACGAGACAGAAAATTAACAGGGATATTCAGGACTTGAACTCAGCTCTGGACCAAGCAGACCTAATAGACATCTACAGAACTCTCCACCCCAAATCAACAGTATATACATTCTTCTCAGCACCACTTAGCATTTATTCTAAAATCGACCACATAGCTGGAAAAACAACACTCCTCAGCAAATGCAAAAGAGCGGAAATCATAACAGTCAGACCACGGTGTAATCAAATTAGAACTCAGGATTAATAAACTCACTCAAAACTGCACAACTACATGGAAACTGAACAATCTGCTCCTGAATGACTACTGGGTAAATAATGAAATTAAGGCAGAAATAAATAAGTTCTTTGAAACCAATGACAACAAAGACACAACATACCAAAATCTCTGGGACACAGCTAAGGCAGTAGGTAGAAGGAAATTTATAGCACTAAATGCCCACAGGACAAAGTGGGAAAGATCTAAAATCAACACCCTAACATCACAATTAAAAGACTTAGAGAAGCAAGAGCAAACAAATTCAAAAGCTAGCAGAAGACAAGAAATAACTAAGATCAGAGCAGAACTGAAGGAGATAGAGACACAAAAAACCCTTTAAAACATCAATGAATCCAGGAGCTGTTTTTTTTGGAAAAGATTAACATAATAGATAGACCACTAGCCAGACTAATAAAGAATGATAAATACAATAAACAAAAAATGATAAAAGGGAGATCACCACTGATCCCACAGAAATACAAACTACCATCAGAGAATACTATGAACACGTCTATGCAAATAAACTAGAAAATCTAGAAGAAATGGATAAATTCCTGGACACATACACCCTCCCAAGACTAAACCAGGAAGAAATCAAATTCCTGAATAGACCAATAACAAGTTCTGAAATTGAGGCAGTAATTAATGACTTACAGACCAAAAAAAGCCCAGGACCAGATGGCTTCACAGCCGAATTCTACCAGAGGTACAAAGAAGAGCTGGTACCATTCCTTCTGAAACGATTCCAAACAATAGAAAAATACGGACTTCTCCCTAACTCATTTTATGAGACCAGAATCATCCTGATACCAAAACCCGGTAGACGCACAAGAAAAAAAGAAAATTTCAGGCCAATATCCCTGATGAACATCGATGTGAAAATCCTCAGTAAAATGCTAGCAAACCAAATCAAGCAGCACATCAAAAAGATTATCCACCATGATCAAGCTGGCTTCATCCCTGGGATGCAAGTCTGGTTCAACATATGCAAATCAATAAACGTAATCCATTACATAAGCACAACCAGTGACAAAAACCACATGATTATCTCAATAAATGCAGAAAAGGCCTTTGATAAAATTCAACACCGCTTCATGCTAAAAACACTCGATAAACTAGGTATTGATGGAACATATCTCAAAATAAGAGGAGCTATTTATGAGAAACCCACAGCCAATATCACACTGAATGGGCAAAAGCTGGAAGCATTCCCTTTGAAACCCAGCACAGGACAAGGATGCCCTCTCTCACCACTCCTATTCAACATAGTATTGGAAGTTCTGGCCAGGGCAATCAGGCAAGAGAAATAAATAAAGGGTATTCAAATATGAAGAGAGGAAGTCAAATTATCTCTGTTTGTAAATGACATGACTGTATATTTAGAAAACCCCATCTTCTCAGCCCCAAAACTCCTTAAGCTGATAAACAACTTCAGCAAAGTCTCAGGATACAAAATCAATGTACAAAAATCACAAGCATTCCTATACGCCAATAATAGACATACAGAGAGCCAAATCATGAGCAAACTCTGAATCACAATTGCTACAAAAGAGAATAAAATACCTAGGAATACAACTTACAAAGGATATGAAGGACTTCTTCAAGCAGAACTACAAACCACTGCTCAAGGAAATAAGAGAGGACACAAACAAATGGAAAAACATTCCATGCTCATGGATAGGAAGAATCAATATCGTGAAAATGGCCGTACTGCCCAAAGTAATTTATGGATTCAATGCTATCCTCATCAAGCTACCATTGACTTTCTTCAGAGAATTAGGAAAAAATACATTAAGTTTCATATGGAACCAAAGATGAGCCCATATAGCCAAGACAATCCTAAGCAAAAAGAACAAAGCTGGAGGCATCATGCTACCTGACTTCAAACTATACTACAAGGCTACAGTAACCAAAACAGCATGGTACTGGTACCAAAACAAATATATAGACCAATGAAACAGAACAGAGACCTCAGAAATAACACCATACATCTACAGCCATCTAATCTTTGACAAACCTAACAAAAACAAGCAATGGGGAAAGGATTCCCTATTTAATAAGTGGTGTTGGGAAAAATGGCTAGCCATATGCAGAAAACTGAAACTGGACCCCTTCCTTACACTTCATACAAAAATTAACTCAAGACGGATTAAAGAATTAAACATAAGACCTAAAACCATAAAAATCCTAAAAGAAAACCTAGGCAATACCATTCAGGACATAGGCATGGGCAAAGACTTCATGACTAAAACACCAAAAGCAATGGCAACAAAAGCCAAAATTGACAAATGGGATCTAATTAAACTAAAGAGCTTCTGCACAGCACAAGAAGTGCAGAATCTACAAGGACTTTAAACAAATTTACAAGAAAAGAACAACCCCATCAAAAAGTGGGTGAAGGATGTAAACAGACACTTTTCAAAAGAAGACATTTATGCGGCCAACAAACATATGAAAAAAAGCTCATTTTCACTGGTCATTAGAGAAACGTAGATCAAAACTACAATGAAATACCATCTCATGCCAGTTAGAATTGTGATCATTAAAAAGTTAGGAAACGACAGATGCTGGAGAGGATGTGGAGAAATAGGAAAGCTTTTACATTGCTGGTGAGAGTGTAAATTAGTTCAACCATTGTGGAAGACAGTGTGGCAATTTCTCAAGGATCTAGAACTAGAAATAGCATTTGACCCAGAAATCCCACTACTGGGTATACACCCAAAGGATTATCAATCATTTGACTATAAAGACACATGCACACGTATGTTTACTGCAGCACAATTTACAATAGCAAAGACTTGGAACCAACCCAAATGCCCATCAATGACAGACTGGTTAAAGAAAATGTGGCACACATACACCATGGACTACTATGCAGCCATCAAAAAGAATGAGTTCATGTCCTTTGCAGGCACATGGATGAAGCTGGAAACCATCATTCTCAGCAAACTAACACAGGAACAGAAAACCAAACACCACATAAGTGGGAGTTCATATGAGAACTCCCATGAGTGGTTCCAAACACCACATGAGTGGGAGTTCACTCACAAGTGGGAGTTGAATAATGAGAACATATGGGAACAGGGAGGGGAACATCACACACTAGGGCCAGTTGGGGGGTGAGGGGCCTGAGGAGGGATAGCATTAAGAGAAATACCTAATGTAGATGATGGGTTGATGGATGCAGCAAACCACCACGGTACATGTATACCTATGTAACAAACCTGCACATTCTGCACATGTATCCCAGAACTTAAAGTATAATTTAAAAAAAGGAAAAGAAAATATAGGTTGAGATGATAAATAATATCAAAAACTGGGATTTACTGAGATGTACCTGTCAAATCACCCTGTATTGTTTTCCAATATGTAAATGAAATTAAAAATAGTCTCCGGTTTTTAATTAAAACATGAAATATCCACACATTTTGCTTTGAGAATAAATAAGTTTTGAAAATAAAAAAATGGGAGAGTCGACAAGTAAATATAGATTTTTAAAACTCTTTAAATGAAAACTTTATTTTAGCACTTTAAAAATTAGAAAGCACTGTCAAATCCATCATTTAAATCTACAATGACCCTATGAGTTAGGTCTCCCAAGGTTTTATATTATTGACATTTTATAGATTGAAAATTGAGAACCCCCCTAAATTAAAGTAAATTGTCCAAATTCAAATAGCAGGAAAATGGTGCGGTTAAGATTAGTCATAGCTTTAAACCTGTAGTTAATTGTCAGGGAACCATAGTCTTCCCCTCCTTCCTCTACTTTTCTGGGAGGTTATAAACACAATAGGATTATGGAAATTGGTTTTTAATTAAAATCTTGGAATAAATCCAATTATGATAGAGGTAAGATTTAGGGCTCCCATTTCAGAAAAGCGACAATAACAAAAGATATGTACTAGCTACTAGTTACCCTGGAGAATGAAGCAGGCCTTTTACTATTTCCTAGTTCTGTCTCTGGTGAATGCTCTGATCCAAAGAGTGTGGGGAAAAGAAAGAGAGATCAGATTGCTACTGTGTCTGTGTAGAAAGAAGTAGACATAGGAGACTCCATTTTGCTCTGTACTAAGACAAATTCTTCTGCCTTGAGATGCTGTTAATCTATAACCTTACCCCCAACCCCGTGCTCTCTGAAACATGTGCTGTGTCCACTCAGGGTTAAATGGATTAAGGGCGGTGCAAGATGTGCTTTGTTAAACAGATGCTTGAAGGCAGCATGCTCCTTAAGAGTCATCACCACTCCCTAATCTCAAGTACCCAGGGACACAAACACTGCAGAAGGCCGCAGGGACCTCTGCCTAGGAAAGCCAGGTATTGTCCAAGGTTTCTCCCCATGTGATAGTCTGAAATATGGCCTCATGGGAAGGGAAAGACCTGACCGTCCCCCAGCCGGACACCCATAAAGGGTCTGTGCTGAGGAGGATTAGTATAAGAGGAAGGCATGCCTCTTTGCAGTTGAGACAAGTGGAAGGCATCTGTCTCCTGCCCGTCCCTGGGCAATGGAATGTCTCGGTATAAAACCCGATTGTATGTTCCATCTACTGAGATAGGGAAAAACCGCCTTAGGGCTGGAGGTGGGACATGCGGGCAACAATACTGCTCTGTAAGGCATTGAGATGTTTATGTGTATGCATATCTAAAGCACAGCACTTAATTCTTTACCTTGTCTATGATGCAGAGACCTTGGTTCACGTGTTTATCTGCTGACCTTCTCTCCACTATTATCCTGTGATCCTGCCACATCCCCCTCTCTAAGAAACACCCAAAAATGATCAATAAATACTAAGGGAACTCAGAGGCTGGCGGGATCCTCCGTATGCTGAACGCTGGTCCCCTGGGCCCCCTTATTTCTTTCTCTATACTTTGTCTTTGTGTCTTTTTCTTTTCCAAGTCTCTCGTTCCACCTAACGAGAAACACCCACAGGTGTGGAGGGGCAACCCACCCCTTCAAAGAGAATCTGCCTTCATTTCACACAAATCATCCACAGCCTTTACTTGTCTCTTGCCGTCACCCCTTTCCTTCATATTAAGCCAAAGGCAAACTGCATAAAACAAAACTCTGTTTTATTAAGTACCAGTATATGGATATGCTGGCACTTGTCTGCTAAGTTCTGATAGTGCTCTTCTCGGCCTCTTAAGCAGAAGTTACAGTAACAGAGAGGAGCACATGGAGAGGAAGGAAGAAGAGAAAGGACAAAAAAACAAAACAACTGTAGGTAAGGAAAGAGAGAGAGAGAGAAAGAGGGAGGGAAGAGAAGAGGGGAAGAGAGGCAAGTAAAGGAGAGGGAGGAGGATAAAAGATTATATATCCAAAGAAAAAAACACTGGACAGAGAGTCAGAAGAACAGATTTTAAGGCCCGCGA
The DNA here is from genome assembly GCF_000001405.40 of Homo sapiens. NCBI lineage: Eukaryota > Metazoa > Chordata > Mammalia > Primates > Hominidae > Homo > Homo sapiens. The sequence continues at coordinate 189,250,956 of NC_000003.12, read as the reverse complement.
TCAATAGCTCATGATGCATGAATCCCTGAACACCTGTAAGTCTCGCATTTCTCACCTGTAAGATGTATTCAATCAGCTCTGCCTTTTCCTGGGTGTTGAAGGTCAAACAGCACAAGGGAGGTAAAGACACTTGAAAACAGCATCAACATTACCACCTACAGCGAGTGGGTACTAAGATTAAATCATTGCTTTTTTTTTTTTTTTTTTTTAAACAAGGGAATTTGCTCAGACTCTGTCCAGGCTCTCCTTTGGAGTCAGCTTGCCATTATTTAGCAGCTGATTTTTCCTTGCCTCCTACTCTTTTCTCTGCCTGCTGCTGCCTTACCTTTGACCTTATAATGGTGACTTAATGCCTGAGAAGGGCCAAATAAGTTAGAAGTAAAGATAACAATCAAATTAGTCTACTTAGTTCCATGTTAACAAAAGCTTTAATCTGGGTGGGGGGGGGGGGGCGGAAATCAGAACTTGTTAACACCTGAAATCTATGAGGCACATTACAAAGGGCTTTCAAGTTATGTCATTAGAACCTAACAATAAGACTGTTAATGAAGCAGAATGACGATTAATGTCACCTTTTAATAGATGAACAAATAAAGTAACAGTTGTAAAAGTGGGACTAGAACCCGGGATTCCTCTGGCAGTACTTTAATATGGATGTTTGCTAAAAATCCCTGAGCAGTACATAAACAACTATCACTTAATCATGGTATGTTCCTAGCCCAGGGTGGCCAGAGAAAGCCCTTTACACTTAACAGATGCCAGCTGCTGGCACAGGCTTCCCCACTCTAACCACAGGTTGCAAATCTGAATAAGCTGCACAGGTTAATTAGGAAGGCTGGAATTACATCAGTCCCCAGTGGTAACAATTGGATGTCTCATGGGAAATATAATATTCCATGAAAAATTAGAGTTTCTTTGGTAAAACTAATGAAAGAAGGGAGAATAAGGGTGGGATTTTATGGGAATGATACAAATATGCAAATTTTTCATCTTTTAGAAGGAGATTTAATGAACACTAAGATGGCACATAAACTGGAAGCATATTTTCTAAATAAATAACCATTAAAGTAACTAATAATGACCATTATAAGCAACTTGAAAGAATGATGTAGAAGTAGAAAAATAAGGTGAAGGAACTGGGATGTTCTTGTAAATGGGAAGTTTACATCAGGGAGACTCCCTGTTTATATCAGGGAGTCAATGGATAATACTCAAAAAAGATAAGACTAAGACTATTAAGTTACACTTACAATCACTAGTAGAAAGAGAAACCTATGATTACTCTGTTAGAAGAAAATGCACTCAATGAAAAGCAAAGGAAATTAGACAACATGGTAATATATTTTAAAAATATGATACAAAAATCAAAATATTATAATTAAGGCCATAACTGTCATACTAATATATGTAAATAGGTTAATCTTACCCATTAAAAGAAAAAGACCCCAAGATTGGATCACAAAGTAAAATTCAATTATAGGATGTATGCAAGTGCACATCAAAAACACAGAGACTCAAAATGCTTAAAGTAAAATAGACAAAGATATACCAAGAAAGTTCAAAGAAAAAGAATGTAAGGGTTGCAATAGTCATCAGGAAAGGTATTAAAGTAATTAAACTCTATAATGAAAAATATTACATCTAAAGATTCAACATCTATGAATATTTCTACAACAAAAAATACAATATCACCATTCATGTAAAGTCACTAGAGTAAAAGAAATCCACCACAGTAATAAAAAAATTTATCCTATCTCAATCTATGACAAATCAAGTAGCCATATATATAAACATTACATGTATATAACTAAATGTAGCTATATATATATATAAAACATTTATTACTAAACAGACCAAGATAGAGTATACCTAAATAACATGATAGTAGATCTCCGTACCACTTATGAAACTCTATATGTAGAACTCTATATATATGATATACTAATCTCACTACCATTTATTTACTCTATATGTAGAACTCTGTATGTATGATATACTAATTCCAAAAAGAAAGAAAGTAGTATAATAGTGATATGCTAATTCCAAGGAGAGAGAAAGTAGAAAGCAGAGAGAGCACATTTAAGTATTTAAGAAATTGATAAAAAAAAATTGGCAATTTAAAGGTAAACATATTTAGTAATTTCCAGAGAGTAGAAATAGTAAGAGAAGACATTCACTGAACACAATGTAATAAAACTATAAATTAATAACAAAATTTAAAAGCATAAAAATTCAACTTTAAATAAAGTTACTTCAATCTATTCTCAGGTCAAAGAGGAAATGTACAAACAATAATATTAGGATATATGAAATATAATAATAAAATCTATTATGTATCTGAAAAAGCCACACTGAAGAAAATTTAAGAGTCAGAAAGCTTAATATATCTAACAAAAATAACCATAAATGAATTAAAATTTCAAGTGAAGTTATAAAATGCAAGATATATATATACAAATATAGAATTAATACATAATACAGATAAATGTAGAAAATAATGAATGAGAAAAAAAAGAATTCTATTGTGAACAAGTAAACCCAAAAGAAGTGGTACTTTAAAATCTATCAAACAATCATTAGCTAACAGAATCCTCACACAAGGAAGAAAGTAATTATCTGCAAAATAAACTTTTATTATTACTTTAATTACCTCTTTTAGGCTTTCTCAAATGAGTGAATATTTACAAACCTGAACAAAACTAAGTGATCTTCTAATAAGACATAAATGACTGAAACTTATCATAAAAGAAAGAAAAAAAATTTAAACATGCCAGTGCTACAGAGAAAATTGAGAAAGTTGTAGTGTTTATCTTCCTTTAAAAGCACCAGGTTCAGGCATTTTCATAGGTGAAACACACCAAACTTCTAAGTAACAAATAAAGCCATTTGTTTATCTAATAAAGTCAATAGAGAATAAAGAGAAAGTAGTTTTTAAGAAAATTATCTAACATTGAAACTAAACTTACAAGGATAGCCCAATTAAAAAAAAAATCTATATGTCAATTAAACATGAATATTAATGCAAAAACCTATTAATACTTGCAATTAATATTCAATAGCATATTAATATTCAATAGTATATTAATAAGTATATACTAATTCCAGGTAGTATTCATACCTTGAACCTGCCAAAATGTTTCAATAATAAGAAATGTGTGACCATTTTTAATTAAACCTAAGGAGAAAAGTAAATATATGATCATCTTCAAAGACGCAGCAAAAACGTTTGATAAAATTCAGTAACTAGGCATAGATTCCCAGCAGACTGCTTTTCCTGAAAATAATAACTTGAAATTCCACAGACACAATTGATAAGTGAATAAAACCCATTCTTCCACTCCCCACTTTGCCAAAAAAACAAACAACCAAAAAAACTACCTGAAGACTTTGGAGAGTAAGTAGTCTCCACAATTTCAAGGAGGAATAAATCCCATAGTATTTTACATACCAAAAAAACAAGAAAATATGAACCACTCTCAAGAAAAGGGACAGTCAACAGAAGCAATCCTGAGATGAACAAGAGATTGAAATTATCAGAAAGAACTTTAAAGCAATTATTGTAATTATGCTAACTTAGGTAAAAGAAACTATGCTTATAAACAATAAAAATATAAAATTTCTTAAGAAAATAAAACCTATACTAAAGAACTACATGGATATTTTAAAAGAAAAAGGTATAATATTTGAAATGAAAAATACTGGATAGATTTAATAGCAGAATTAAATGACAAAGAAAAATTTCAGTGAACATAAAGATAGATAAACGAAAATTATCCAATTTGAAGATAAGTCACAGAAAAGAATGGTAAAAAATAGAGCTTCAGAGACTTGTGGGACAGTATCAGAAAGTCTAACATATGTGTAATTTAAGTACCAGGAAAACAAATAGAAAGAAAAAATGAAATAAAAAGTAATAGCCCCAAACCTCCGAAACTTGTTGAAAGATAAATTTACAGATGTGAGAAGCTTAGATAATCTCAAACAAGGTAAATACAAAAAGAAGCACATGTAGCACATCAAAGTCAAATTTCTAAAAACTAAAGATAAAGATAAAATGTGAAGCAGCCAGAGAACATAAAGAGGAATAGCAGTTCAAATCATTGTGGACCTCTCATCAGAGATGGAAGCCAAGCAATGGTGGAACAACGTCTTGAAAGTTCTGAAAGAAGAAAGAAGTAACAATCTCAAGCCAAATTCTATAACTAGAGAAAATATTCCTCAAGAATTAAGACTAAATAAAAGTATTTTCAGAAAGAAAAACTAGGAGAATGTATCACCACTAGATTATACTACAAGAAATGCTAAAATGTAATTTTTCATGTATAGGAAAAATGACATTAAAGGGAAATGAATCTTATGGAAGAAATGAAGAATATCATACATGTTAATATCTAAGTAAATATAAAAGACTATTTTATCTAAATTTCTTTGAAATACTTATGATTTATTAAAGCACAAGTTATAACATTATCTTGCAGGTCATGGATTAAAAGCATGAGCCAACTGTGTGATTTCTACAACAAACACACTTTAAATACAAAGACATAAATAAGTAGAAAGTAAACGGATAAAAAAAACATGCTATGTGTATTACTCCCTTTTTATACTGCTATGAAGAAATACCCAAGACTAGGTAATTTATAAAGAAAAAAGTTTAATGGACTCACGGTTCTAAGTGGCTGGGGAGGCCTTATAATCATAGCGGAAGGTGAAGGAGGAGCAAAGGGACGTCTTACATGGTGGCAAGCAAAAGAGCATGTGCAGAGGAACTGCCCTTTATAAAACCATCAGATATATTGAGATTTATTCACTATCAAGAGAAAAACATGGGAAAAATCTACCCCCATGATTCTATTACCTCCCATCAGGTCCCTCCCACGACACATGGGGATTATGAGAGCTACAGTTCAAGATGAGATTTGGGTGAGGACACGGCCAAATCATATCACTATACAAACAGTAAGTATAAAGATGACACAGTAGTTACAATAATGTCAGATTTTAAAATAAACTTTATAACATAGAATTTTGCCAGAAATAAAGAATACTTCATAATGAAAAAAAGGCTCAATTCACCAGAAAGACACCAATCATAAATGTGCATGCACCTAATAATAGACTCAAAATATGTGAGGCAAAAGTTAACAAAATTAAAAAGAAAACTAGAAAATTCCACAGTGATAGATTTTTGCACTCCACTCAGTAACTATTAAAAAACTACACAAAAAATCAGTAAAAATATATATAATCTAAATAGCATTATCAAACACAATATCCCAATTGATATTTGTAAAAAACTACAAATAAAATTCAAGTGTACATGACAAATTCACAAAGATATATCATAATGAGCTTCATAAAACAAATCCGAAAGTATCAGTAAGGAATAAAATTAAAGACAGTATGCTCTCTAAATTAGAATTAAGTATAATTAAGATATCTATAAAAACCTGAAATATTTGGAAATTAGCCAATACAACTTACAATGCATCCATGGGTCAAGAGGAAAATCACAAGAAAAATTTAAAAATATCTCTAAATGATAATAGACACACAACATATCAAAATCTCTGGGAAGCAGCAAAAGTAGTACTTAAAAGGAAATTTATAACTGTAGATGTTCATATTAGGAAAGTTTAAAATCAATAACCTTGGGCTGCACTTCAAGAAGTTAAAAAAAGAAAAAGTAAACCCAAAGTAGAAGAAAGGAAATAATAAGGAAAAGAGTAGAAATGAACCGGGCGCAGTGGCTCACACCTGTAATCCCAGTACTTTGAGAGGCCAAGGCAGGCGGATCACCTGAGGTCGAGAGTTCAAGACCAGCCTGACCAACATGGAGAAACTCCATCTCTACTAAAAATACAAAAAATTAGCTGGGCATGGTGGCACCTGCCTGTAATCTCAGCTACTTGGGAGGCTGAGGCAGGAGAATCGCTTGAACTCCGGAGGTGGAGGCTGCGGTGAGCCAAGATCATACCGTTGCACTCCAGCTTGGGCAACAAGAGTGAAACTGCCTCAACAACAAAAAAAGAGAGCAGAGATAGAGATCAACTAATTAGTAATTAGCAAAACAATAGTAAAAGTTAACCAAGTGAAAAGCATGATCTTGTTAAAAACCAACAGAATTGGTATGATCATCAACAGAAGAGAAAAAAGAGGGAAGACACAGATCACTGATATGGTTTGGATCTGTGTCCCCACCAATTCTCATCTTGAATTGTAATCCCCAGTGTTGGAGGTGGGGCCTGATGGAAGATGATTGGATCATGGGGGCCTATTTCTCAGGAATGGTTTAATGCCATCCTCTTGGTACTCTCCTCATGATAGTGAGTGAGTTCTTGTAAGATCTGGTCATTTAAAAGTGTGTAGCATCTCCCCACTTTCTCTCTTGCTCCTGCTCCTACCATGTGAGATGCCTTGTTCCCTTTTTCCTTCTGCCATGATTGGAAACTTCCTGAGGCCTCTCTAGAAACAGAAGTTTCTGTATAGTCTGCAGAACTCTGAACCAATTAAACCTCTTTTTTTTCTTCTTTTTTTGAGATGGAGTCTCATCTCTGTCACCCAGGCTGGAGTGCAGTGGCTCGATCTTGGCTCACTGAAATCTCCACCTCCCAGGTTCAAGCAATTCTCCTGTCTCAGCCTGGGATTACAGGCATGCACCATCATGCCTGGCTAATTTTTGTATTTTTAATAGAAACGGGGTTTCACCATGTTGGCTAGGGTGGTCTCGAACTCCTGACCTCAAGTGATCCATCCACCTTGGCCTCCCAAAGTGCTGGGATTACAGGTGTGAGCCATTGCACACGGCAAACCTCTTTTTTTAATAAATTACCCAGTCGCAGATATTTCTTTATAGCAATGAGAGAACAGAATAATACAGAAAATTGGTACCAGGAATAGGGCATTACTATAAAGATACCTAAAAATATGGAAGCAACTTTGAAATTGGGTAACAGGCAGAGGTTGAATGAGTTTAGAGGGTTCAGAAGAAGACAGGAGGATGAGGAAACGTTTGGAACTTTCTAGAGACTGGCTGAGTGGTTATCACCAAAATGCTGATAGTGATATAGACAGTGAAAGCCAGGCTAATTAAGTCTCAAATGTAAATGAGAAACTTATTTGGAACTGGAGCAAAGGTCACTTTTGTTATGCCTTAGCAAGGAACTTGGCTGCACTGTGCCTCTGCCCTAGGTATCTGTGGAAGTTTCAACTTGAGAGTGATGATTTAGGATTATCTAGTGGAAGAAATTTCTAAGCATCAACACATTCAAGATGTGACCTGGCTGCTTCTAAGAACCTATACTCATACATATGAGCAAAGAAATGACTTAAAGTTGGACTCATGTTTAAAGAAGAAACAGCATAAAAGTTGGAAAATTTGAAGACTGGCCATATGGTAGGAAAAAAAAAAGCCAATTTTCAGGGGAAGAATTCAGGTAGGCTTCAGAAGTTTGCATATATAAAAAGGAGCAAATGCTCATAGCCAGGACAATAGGGAAAACAACTCACAGGCATTTTAGAGACCTCCTTGGGGGGTCCTCCCATCACAGGTCCTGAGGCCTAGGAGGACTAAACCCCCAGTGTTAGAAGTGGGGCCTAATGGGAGGTGATTGGATTATGAGGGCAGATTTAGCAGGAATGGGTATCATCCTCTTTGTATTGTCCTCACAATAGTGAGATCTGGTCACTTAGAAGTATGTAGCACCTACCCCTCTCTCTCTTGCTCCTGCTCCCACTATGCAAGATGCCTCACTCCCCCTTTGTTTTCTGCCATGATTAGAAATTTCCTAAGGCCTCCACAGAAGTGGAATCCATTATGCTTCCTGTATAACCTGCAGAACTATAAGCCAATTAAACTTATTTTCTTTATAAATCACCTGGTCTTAAATATTTCTTTATACCAATGAGAGAATAAATAAAATCACCAATATGAGGAAAGAAAGAAGATATCACTAAATATCTTATGGACATTAAAGGGATTATAAGGAAATATTATTAACAACTTTATGCCTTCAGCTGCAACAACTTAAATAAACAACAAATTCCTTTAAAAATATAATTTATCAAAATTAATATGAAATAAAAAAATTAGTCCTCTTAGGCCTCAGGACCTGTGATGGGAGGGCCTCCTGAGGAGAAAAAATTATGATAAACACAATATTTATAAAAGAAATTAACTTTATTATGAGAATTTCCCACCAAGAAATGATCAGGCCAAGATTTCCCTTATTAACTCTATCAAACAGTCAATGAAAAGATAACTCCACTCATATAAAAAATCTTTTAAAAAATAAAAGAGGAGGGAACATTTTCCAACTTGTTTTATGATGGCAGCATAGCCAAAATATGAAAACCTAGCAAAAACATTTTAAAAAATGAAAATAACAGACTAATACCCCTCATGAACACAGGCACAAAAATTATCCATAAAATATTAGCAAACTAAATCCACTAATGCATAAAAAGAATAATATGTCACAACCAAACATGTTTACCTTAGGAATGAAGAACTGACTTAATATTTGAAAATCTTAATAAAAATAAGACTTTCAAACATTAGACAAGCTGATTAAAAAATAAATATGCATAAATAAAAAACGATTAATAAATGGGGAATAACTCAACCAGATATTGACACATAATATAAGGTTATAATAATTAAAACCATTTTGAGCTTTAAGAGACACAAATGGAATGGAATAGAAAATCCAGGTACAGAAACACACAGAGAAAAGTACTACATTATAAAATAATAAACATAAAATATCAAATATATGATATCGAGAAATCTAGCCTGCCATCTGGATAAAAATTCAAGTTGATTGCATACCTTCTTCTTTACTCAAGGCAAATTTTAGATGAAATATAAGTTCGTTGTTAACAGTAAAATAAAATTACTAGACAAAAACTTGGAAATTTACTTTATAATTATAGTATGGAGAAAGCTTTTCTCAAAAAGACATAAATTTAGAAGCCTTGAAAGAATGAGAAATTTGATACCTGTATTAGTTTGTTTCACACTGCTGATAAAGACATACCCCAAACAGGGAACAAAAAGAGGTTTAATTGGACTTACAGTTTCACATGGATGGGAAGACCTCAGAATCATGGCAGGAAGCAAAAGGCACTTCTTACATGGTGGCAGCAAGAGAAAATGAGCAAGAAGCAAAAGCAGAACCCCGTAATAAACTCATCAAATCTCATGAGACTTATTCATTATCACAAGAATAGCACTGGAAAGACCAGCCCCCATGATTCAATTACCTCTCCATGGGTCCCTCCCACAACATGTGGAAATTCTGGGAGATAGAGTCCAGGTTGATATTTTGGTGGGGACACAACCAAACCATATCAATACCCCAAAACTAAAGGTCATGAAAAATAGCATAATAATGTTAAAAGAGATATGACAAACTGGGAAAAATTTATTTGCAACATATAGGACAGAAAAGGAATTCAGTTCTCTAATACACAAATAGCTCTTACAAATCAATAAGAAAAAAATTAAACATCCCAACAGGAAAAAAAAAATGGGCTATAGTCATAAATAGGCAGTTCACAGAAAAATAAATAATATGGCTTTCTAACCCAAGGATAAAAACACATATCGTTCTTCAAATTCTAGTGATGCAATTTGAACCCCAAATAAGAGACTTTTCTTTACTATCTCACTGGCAATGTAAAAAGGTTTTGTAATACTTGATATTGGTGTGGGTGTGTGGAAAAGATTACCCTGATACTTTGTGAAAGTATTAATTGGTAGCACCTGTTTGGAAGGCAATTTGACAATACTCATCGGTTAAAATTTACATGACTTTGACCTAAAAATTCCACTTCTAGAAATCCATTAATACATTAAAGGAACAATTACATGTTTGTGCAAAGTCTTGTAAGCAAGGATATTTGTAGCAGCACTTTGTAGTAGCAACGGTAAAAATAGATATACATCAATGAGGGACTGGCTAAATAGATTAAGCTTAAGAGGTAATATTCTGCACTATTAAAAAACACTGAGATTGATCTATAGATGATTATATAAACCTCCAAGTTATATCACTGGTAGATATTATAGCATGAGGCAGGACAGTTTATGACATGTGCTTTCATTAGGTAAAATAATATGTAATAAATATGTGTGTAGATATGTACTTTTAAACGTGTATAGGCATATGTACACAGAGAGACCTTGATATGGTTTGACTATGTCCCCACCCAAATCTCATCTTGAATTGTAACACCCACAATTCCCATGTGTCGTGGGAGGAACCCGGTGGGAGGTGATTGAATTATGGGAGCAAGTTTTTCCTGCGCTGTTCTCGTGATAGTGAATGAGTCTCATTAGGTCTGATGGTTTTAAAAACAGGAGTTTCCCTGGACAAGTTCTTCTCTTGTTGCCACCGTGTGAGATGTGCCTTTCACCTTCTGCCATGATTGTGAGGCCTTCCCAGCCACGTGGAACTGTAAGTCCAATAAATCTTTTTCTTTTGTAAATTGCCCAATCTCAGGTATATCTTTATCAGCAACGTGACAATGGACTAATACAGAACTTTTTATTCTTTTATATTTATAGACTATTTATTTAAAAATACACAAGAAACTGTTGACTATCACCCATGGAGGGAAGGCTGAAGAACCGAGGGTCTGGTGTAGAAGAGAGAGTTCCTGAAAATGAACATTTTTGTAATATTTAAATATATATTTTACAATGTGTAATATTATTATTGAAAAAAATCAACAGTTTTAAAAGCTAATGAACTTAATAAATTAATCACTTTTTGCATCCATGAAAAGAGTAAGCAAAAATAAGTTTTTTATGTAGTATGCATAGTGTAAGGAAAGCAAGTCACTTGATGAACTCGTGCTTTTTTCTGTATATTGAAAAGATTTCAGACCCTACTATGTGCTAGTCCTAATGCCAGGTGCTTAAAGGACAACAAAATCAACATTTGCCCGCAAGGAATTCACGGTTCAATGGGAAGACCTCACATTCAGTCTTAGAGAAAGACTGTTGTTTCTCTTGCTTAGATCTAAAATGTTTAGTAAAGGCAGATGCCTCGAAGACTATGACAGGAACTTACCTAATTCAGCATTCTCCTCTGTAGACCTCACCAAGTCTCTTGGTAATTGTCAACATCTGTGAAACAGTTGACACACCTCACCACCCCTACGTCACTGAACTTCCAGGAATGATCCCAAGAGACATTTTATAAGAAGAGCTACTACCCATTTTGGTTCTATCCACTGAGCTTTACAGAATAATTTCAATTCCCAGAGGCATTACTCTTTTTAGCTACCGCTTTGGAATGTTCTTCCCCTTTGGTTCTCCTTCTTTGGCTAACTCCTGCCCAATATTAAATATTGGCTCAAGTGTTTCTTCTGAAAGTTTTCTCTGATTACGTGACACACAAATTAGGTTGAGTGCATTTTCCCCATGTTCCCACAGCTCTTTCTTCCTTACATTAGCTATTTATTTGTCACGTCCTCATACTAAAATACAAATTTACTGACATGGTTTGGCTGTGTCCCCACCAAAATATCAACCTGAATTGTATCTCCCAGAATTCACATGTGTTGTGGGAGGGAACCAGGGGGAGGTAATTGAACCATGGGGTCCAGTCTTGCCTATGCCAGTCTCTTGATAGTGAATAAGTCTCACGAGACTTGATGAGTTTAACAGGGGTTTCCACTTTTCCTTCTTCCTCATTTTCTCTTGCTGCGGCCATATAAGAAGAGACTTTCCCCTCCCGCCATAATTCTGAGGCCTCCCCAGCCATGTGGAACTGTCAGTTCAATAAACCTTTTTGTATTCCCAGTTTGGGGTATGTCTTTATGAGCAGTGTGAAAACGAACTAATATATTTACTTAAAGTTGTATCCCTGGAGGCTGACATAGAGTAGGAACTCTAGTTTAATGATTTCAACTTTCATGATTTCACTATCCTCCCTTGGGTTCTCCCAGTTTACAGGGCCAAACTGAATTTTCGGCTTGTTTTCCCTGCAGGTCCATCCCTGCTGCACCACTTCTTCAAGTATAAGATATATACTCACTTGTCCAGGGACATCCCAGGGAAGGTGAACTTGCCCAGGCAGATGCGATAGACAGCGCTCAGAGGAATCCGCTGCAGCTGCACACAACTCAGCATGATGAAGTCGTATTTGCAGATCAAGAGAGTCTTGTCTGTGACCAGTAGAATTCTCTCCTTCTCATTGTTCCAGTGGTCTATCCTATAGGAATCATCATAGCAAATAAAAATTGATGACACAGCCTAAGTTAAAAGCAATGACCTTCACATCTCTCCTAGCACAGAAAACAGTGAAGTTTGATCAACTCAGAAGAGAGAGGGGCTGAGAAATACCTAATACCACACCACTACCCCACTCAGTCTGGTCCCATGACTAAAGAAGGAGGAAAGGTGGAAGATGATGGAGAAATATTTTATCATCCCAGAACTCAAAGATAGTTGATTACCCACGATGGAATCCATTAGGGGAATACCCAGTGTGTGTTGTGTTAGCAGTCAACTGACTCATACTTCCCAACATTTTCCCAGTTCTCTAGAAAACTTCATAGAGGACATCTTCCTTCATGGACACCAAAAATATCTCTTTGTTCTAGCTGAATCCGTACCACAAATTTACTCACTACGAACTAGCCTACACTAATTTCCGAAGGTTGCACTGCTGACTGGAAGTAAGTCGGAGACTGGAACACAGGTCCGCTGTCTTCCAAGTTATCTCATTCCTATTTGCAGCTCATCCTACCATATCCTTGTGGTAGAAATGTAGTGAAACAAGTGAAGTGAGATTTTTATGAACCAGAGTAAAGTAGATAAGTAGATAAACTAGATAAGTGTTTACTGAATTAATTGGCCTCAGATGTGAGAGCCTTCCAGGACACACATGTAACATTCTGACTGAGAATTCAGAATTTCTCCAACAGAGAGAACAGAAATAAAATACAATAGCTTCTTGTTAAAAGAGAGTGAACATGGTTCATAATTCCCCAGACCGACAGCACTTTTGCTATCTGCCTACTGTAGCCTTTAGGATACAGCACTTCGAGACTTACACTAGAATTGTTTTGGTACATGTTTTGTTTTTCCCTAAAAAACTGAAAATGTTGATTGATGACCAATTCATGTCTAAATCCTCACCACACAGAATCAATCTAATGTGTAAATGGCATGGACACCCCATTCTCACCATTCTCCACACAGTAACCACAGTGCAATTCTTAACATACAAACTGAATGATGTCACTCCTTGTTCACTTTATTAAATAGCATCCCCTTGATTTTAGGTTCATAACATGGACTACACGCCTGTATAATCCGGCCTCTACTCAGGGTCATCTCAGAGTACGCTGAAACCACTCATTGTTCAAGTCATGGTTCAAATGCCTCATTCAAAGAGGATTTCCTAAACTCCTGTATAAACTTGGCCTCATTGTATTTTCTCAAAGCAGACATATTTTCCTCTTTGCAGCATTTATCACAGTTTGTAAGAAGAAATGAAGTATAAAATGCTTAGCAATGGGTACCATGTGGGCACTGACCAATCAGAATATACACCACAATACTGAAGGTAGGGAAATGCTAATAAGTACAAGCTGAGTAGGCTGAGCACCAACCCTGTGTGTGTGAGTGCGTGTGTGTGTGTGCGTGTGTGTGCATGTGTGTGTATGTGTGTTCCATGAAGGCAGAGACTGTGTCTGTTGGGCTATTCACTCCATCCCCTTCAGTCAAATAGCCTGCAGTAAATACATATCTATTGAGTGGATAAATAAGTTCCAGTTATCACCATTTTGGGAGACTTTTGGTGGTGTGAGGCTGGAGGTGGAAATCTGCAGCTTTATCACTTACTAACTCTGTAATATTGGACTTTTAACCTTTCTATGGCCCAGGTTCCACGTCTGTGAAATGAAGACAATACTAGTACTCACATCATCCATTTGGGGAGAAGATTAAAAGAAATAATTCTCTGTTAAGGCTTTATAAGTTAGCTGTTACTATTGCTGGAAGGGACCTGTGTCACTAAGTGACTTGGGTAACCCAATTATGTACCACTTCACAGTGCAGTCTAAAGACAGATAGGCAAGATGCAGTTAGGAGTTGAATCAATAGGAGGACACAGAGAAGAAGATACAAAGGACAGAAAAAGGGAGACAGAAGTGAAAGAAAGAAAGGAGAAGCAGAAAAAGGAAGAAAAGAAGAATGAGGTCATTAATTGAGGTCCTAGTATATGCCTGCCATTATATATTCATAAGTATTAGTTCTATATCTTACCACAACCCTTTGAAGAAGGTTATGGCCAAAATCACTCAGCTAGAATACCATAGTACAGTTAGTGGTATTGTGAAAGGAAATGGCATAAAGTTTAAGTCTTGGTTCAACAGTTTCCATCCAGTGGATACTCACCTCCAAACAGTGATAGTCACCTCCTCCTCCTCCACTTTGAGAGAAAGAGGAAATTCTTGAGAGTCTGCTTGACATTCTCAGTCTTAGTCAGAAAGAGATGAAGACTAAAATTTCTTATCAGATATCTACATAAACTTCCCTAAATAGATTGCATCTACTTAGCAGTAAGTTATAAGCTGCTGCCTAATAAACCAGACTTGTTTTAGTCTAAAAAAACTGCAGCTTTTGGTTGAATGGTTTTACTGAAAATGTCAGCACTCCATAATGAGATGTATTTTAAAAGGTAAAGGATTCAGAAAAAAAGGAGGATTCTTTTTAGGAATACAGAGTGCTCTGCTCTGACACAAACTCTGCATAATTTACATGTCAGGAATATCTAAATTCAAGTAAACATACAGGCTTATAAATAGTTTGGGGCCACCATCTCAAGTTCCTGGGTTGTGTATTGATTTATTTAGACATCATTCACACTTTCTCCCCTAAGAACTCATGGAGAAACATTAAATTGCATATTCCAAACATTAATAGCATTGAGCTTTAAGTGGCAATAACAACAAATATAGGAATAAAGATATATTGTGTTTGTACAGCTCAGAAAGGTTTACAAGGTCCTTGAATATCAACATTGTCCTTTAATCTTCACAAGAACCCTTTGGTCTAAATGTTATTACCCTCATTTTGAAGACAAACTAAGGTCTACAGATCCTTAAAATGACTTGTTCAATGCTCTGCACCCAACAAACAGTGGTGCAGGGACTCGACACAGGTACTGAGACACCATATCCAGGCATAGTGTTTGCTTTCTCCTCAGTACTACCAACCTTTCAAAAGTGGACCCTTCAGTGTGGTTTGTAAACATGGTAAAACCAACCTCTGCAAGAAGCTGATGTGATGAGACACACCATTCCTAGAATTTTTCCTTCTAGCAAACTTCTTCAGAACAACAATCAAGACTGTCTTTTTCCGCCCTTGTCCCCTTTCAGTGTCCCCTAGCTTGGGGAAGAACCCTCCCTCCATCCAGTTATTCAAGCTAGAGACCTGGGAGTCATTCAGACTCACCGTATTTCCTCACATTCCATGCCTAGTCCTACAAATTTTACTCCTAAGATAAAGATGTCAACACCACCCACCTCTCTCCATCTTCCCTTTCACTCTTCTAATTCAGTCTTTCATCATCTGCTGCCTAGATGATTGCAATCACTCTCACTCTAGGCTTGGGTTACTAGTCACCCAAACCTGATTTACTTACATATACTCTTGCTGCCTTCCAATCCCTTCACCCTACTGCAGTGAGGGGATCCTTTGGAAAAAAAAAAAAAAAAAGCAAACCTCATCTTTACCGCCCTACCCTGGTTCAAAACACTTCAACAGTTCTTGCTTTTCTGAGAAATTACAAAAACCTTACCCTGGTCTAAAAGTTTCTGCAGGGTCAAGCTCTACCTACTTCTTCAATTCCCTCTCAGGCCAAGTCCCTCCACTCCATTTCCTTTATCTTCTTTCAGATCCTTGTATTCACTGTGCCCCCTCCAACTTAAAGGCCTTTGTACATGCTGTTCCCTCTGCTGGCAATGTTGTTCATGAATCTCCACCTAGTTAACTCTGACAGAGCTGAGCTCCATTACCCTTTACTCCAGCAAGCCTTCTCAAACCTCTGTGGCTACTTGTCTTCTTTCTGATATACACTTTCAGACCACACATATTTCCCACTTATGGTACTTACCTTGGATGCTATTGTATAGTTATTTCTATGATTACATAATTAATGTCTGTCTCCCCTCCTATACTGTAAACTCTGAAAATACAAATTCAGTTCTTAGCCTTGTGTCTCCAAGGTTGTAGTATCCAAAACATACTTCTGAAATGAATTACTAAAAACACAAGCTATCCTGGCACTGCACAACCTATATGCCTTGGTTCATGCTGTTTGGGGAACCCGACTTTCAGGTTTATATATTGCAATAGTACCCCACAAAATAACGTATTTTCTGTCAATAAACAATCAGTAACATTGCGGAAATGTTCATGCCAAAATAGTGAGAAAGAGCAGGATACAGAATGTTACCTGCGGTATCCTTCCGATTTTGTATCAACAACAAAATAATCCACATATCAAAATGTTAACAGTGATTATTTGTAAGTGGTGGAATTTCAGGTGACTTTTATTACTTTTTATGCTTTTATTTGCCAGAGTTTACTTTTTCTGACCATAAACACATTAAACTTTTTGATATCAGTGGCATTTTTTAAATAAATTACCCATCCATAGGTTTGCAGCTTAAATGCTGTCTATTCCATGGAAACTTACCCTCACCTCCCCTACCCACAAGTGGCTAATATCTTTCCTCCCTTTAAATATGCACAAGGCCAAGCGTGGTGGCTCAGGCCTGTAATCTCAACACTTTGAGAGGTTGAGGTGGGAGGCTCACTTGAGCCCAGGAGTTTGAGACCAGCCTGGGCAACACAGGGAGACCTTGTCTCTACTAAAAATAAAAAAATAAGAAAGATAGCTGGGTGTGTTGGTCCGCGGCTATAGTCCCAGCTACCTGAGAGGCCAAGGTGAGAGGGCCACTTCAGTCCGGGAGTTTGAGGTTGCAGTGAGCTATTGTAGCACCACTGCACTCCAGCCTGGGGTACAAAATGAGACCCTGTCTCCTTCAATCAATCAATCAATCAATGTGCACATGCCTCTATCAGTGCTTCAGTTGTGGCCCTAATCACAGTTTTCTCTATGTTACAGTGCTTTCTATCCTACCCATTCCTCCCTCCACGCATATTAAATGGATGCCTCTCTAGTGTAGAATCAGTGCTTTATTTTTATCTGTGTCTCCTCACTGTGCTCAGCAAAGAGTCAAAGAGAGAGTAAGGGCTCAACAAATGAGCAGGTCACAGAATGAAAAATATAGAACCATGAGATCCATTCCCTCTGTTGTGAGAGCCCGTCTTCCCTGGCGAAGGAGTCTGTGCATCTCTTCCAGTTGCCACTTTTCCTCAGCACCATTATCACTTCCCCAATTGAGGAGATGGAGCCTAGGTTCTCCCCCAGATAAAAAGGCACCTGAGAACTCGTGAGTCTTCAGTTTCCTGGGATGACAACAGTTTCACCAGCAGAGGGCAACAGGCAACTAGGAATCACAGGCTGGATCCATCCTGAGAGCTTCCAGTGCCCACACCCAGTTACTCAAATCATCACAGATGCCCTCCCAGTGGCCCCAGTCCCACGCCCAGCAATACTTTCAGTTGCTCTTTTAAAGCTGTGTCAAATTATTTTGTGGTTTGGAAATAATTTCCTTCCAAGAAAGATTTTATTTTAATATTATTCTCTGTCTCCCTCTCTTGCACACAAACACACACACACACACACACACACACACACATACACACTCAGTAGAGGTATCTTCCTTTATATTAAATAGTTACTATTCCTAATTTACAAATCAACCTTCATGCACCCTTCAAACCTCTTAGCCCAGCCCTTGAAAAGATAGTATCTTGGCTAACAAGGAATCAGCAACCCAGGAGGAAAAAACTGAATCATTCATTCCACACGTATTCCCTGATCACCCACTGGGTTTCAGGCCCTGAAGAGGATCCAATTTTGTTTTGCTCTTCAAACACAAACAGATGAAAAATGCACGGCACTAAAGGAAAGCAATTTCTCTCCCTCTGAGTTAAGTGGAGTCGTGGAAGACCTTTAGCTAACTAATCCACAGATTCACATATTTTTCTTTCAGTCATTTGGTTCCTCTTCCCCTGGGTCTTTCCAATTTGCTTAAAATAGAGGACTCTCAAAGTAAACACAGGATACTAATAGAAACCCAATGGTCACCAACCTTCCCTGTTCCCAGGTTTCCTGACTTGACTCCCTGGAGTTCACTTTTCCCCCCACTATCCCATGCAGACAGTCACATACCAGGCTCTGTACTAATTACCAGGAACAGAGAGAATATTATACCATTATTAAGGAATATACAATCCTCTGAGATGTGAGGGGGAATATGTAAGGAAGAGTAGTGTGGTGTAACGAGGCTTGACAATGGTAACTCAAGCCCACAGAAGCTGAACTCAGGTCCCCAGATTCCCAGCCTCTTGCCCATAGGGCTTGCTACTCCATGTATCTATTCGATGCCCTTGAAAAAGGTTATCTTATCAACCCTTCATTTCCTGCTGTTTGGTAAAAATCTCAAGGTTGGAAAAGCACAAGTTGCAAAGTACGAATGATTCTTTGAAATGTTCACAAGGAAAGGACTCAGGAGTATTTATTCAGGAGTATTTATTCATTTTGTTAACACTTCTTTAAGGTGCACTTAGTATAAGACAGACAGAGTATCCCCATAAAAGACAGGTAGGAAAAACCTGGAAACACCCATTTATGTATCCCTTAAAAGCTACTTTTTCTCTTTAGTAAGGAAAGTCCTACCATGAGTTCCATCATATTGTTCCAGTTGATTACAGAAAAAAAAAGTGGCCATTTTTTTCTTTATAAAACAAAGGGCTTTGTAAGTTCTAAAAATACAATAAAAATCACAAACATTAAGTTTTAGTTGAAAGAGATAGATATACACCCAAACACACACACACACACACACACACACACACAAACCAGGTTTGAAGCTTCTGAAATTTACATGAACTGAGGAATAATTCTGCCATGAAGTTTTCTTAGATTATAACAACAGAAGCCTCCATATATTGAGGGTCTTCTATGGATCAGGTATTGTGCTAGTAGCTATGCACATATCATCTCTTTTAATCTTCACCAACAATCCTGATAAATACAGATGAGCACAAGATTCCTGAGCAGTGACGGGCTTTCTATCACACAGGTCTGGGGTTGGAAATGCAGCTCTGCCACCTACTAGCTGTATAATCTTGTAAAAGTTACTTATCCATTCTAAGATTTGGTTTTCACGTCTCCAGCATGAAGATAATAATAGTGTATTCCTCATAGGACTGTTGTTAGGATGAAAGAGATATGACATACGGAGAATTTAATGCAATACCAAGCACACAAAAATGTTCAAATATTGTTGGTTATTAATATGATGGTGACGATGATGAAGATTCTTCTAAATCCCTTAAACACTTTGTATATTCACTGAATAACAAATGAGTTAATGAGGGGGTGAGTGAAGTAAATCTACTTAAAGAGAAGTCCTCAAGCCTATAATAGTTTTCGGATATACAAAATATTTTCATTTTAATTTCCTAAAAAAATTAAAAGAGAAGTCATTAATTCCATATGTATGTGTGTGTGCATATATATATATATATATATGTTTTATAGGTGTTTGTATGAGAGAGAGAAGAAAAGAGAAAAAGGTTTCTGTCAGTTTTTCTGGCATAACTAGTTGTATTTTTATTATACTGCAAGTTACTGGAAGTTATACTTAAGTTACTCTGACTTAAAATACAGACCATGCATTATATGTAAAGTTCCCTTTGCAGGTGACTGCTGTGGAACACCTTATAAGTAAGAACCTGGAAAAGTTGGAAAAAAGATCCAAATGGAAACTCATGAGAGTATCAGTTGAAGGAGTTATGCTACATTCATTTAGATACCCTAGCCAGAGAAGCCAATGGAGGAGGCAAATACGAGCCCCCATCAGAAGACACAGGGCAGCAGCTCAGGATGATATTAATAGCTGAAAAGTGAAGTTACTGATTTGTGATTGAACTTCTTCTCACTACGTGGCATAAAGAAGGCATTTCTTTAGAAACCCAATACCAAGTAATCAGGCCAGAAGTAATCCCCCTACTGATCCAATAAATATTAATTAAGCCACTATTGCACTCCAGGCACTAGTGGTATAATGGTGAACAAAACAAGCCCCTATTCCTCTGGCGCTTACATTCTAGGAGGGGACACAGACAAAAGGAGACAGACACATCAATACAGAGACCTGGAGAAAAAGGAAATAGGAGAATACCCGGGAGAATAGTATTCTAGGTAAAGCGAAATGCTGTTGCAAAGGCCCTGAGGTGGGATCCATGGAGGTCCATGAGACAGAAAGGAGGCCAGCATGACTGAAGCAAGAGAGCAAAGAGAGTGGAGGGAGATTGGGGCAGAAGCCAGATCACATGCAGGGACACAACACATTTTTTTTTTGCAATTTATGACTATTTTTCATGTGAAATGGTTATGATCCCCCACTTTACAGATGGAACAACCAAGCCTGAATAAAGTGACATGGATGAAGTGACAGAGCCAAGGCCAGAATCCAGCTAGCTGACTCTCATCCCAGGCTGCATACATTCCATCAAGCCGCTTTTCCCACTTATTTTCCTTACAGGACCAGGCAATTTTGCTCTCTCTACTGCACTACCATCAGTAAGAGGATATTTTAAATGCTACACAAAAGTAAAGAATCTGGGCACGCCCCCATCCTTCTCTCTTTCCCACAAGACCACTGAATAGCTCAAGTACTCTACAGCACACCAGGAGCTAACAAGAGGCCCACCCCTGACCGACTTTCTCCTCCTCTGAATTCACTTGAGGGGATTCACTTGATCAGAAGCCAAGGAAGCTGGCAGGAGAACAAGACCCCATTCTAAGGAGGCTGCAAGGAGGGAAGAACAGACGGACAAGATAGCACAAATGTACACATCTTGCCACCTCCATTGTTTTATTATTTTAAGCAGCAGAGAGATCTGCCTACTGTAGTATGTTCGTTACAGCTTGTATGGTAGAGGGGACACAGCCCAGATCAGGCAAACCCAAGATGAGGCGATGTTGTAAAAATACTCTGAGGAATCCCACAGAAATCTAAGAGCAGGAACTACAGCACAGCTGGGCTTCCTGGTACCTGGAAAGACACAAGGAGCAAAAGCTACTCTCTCAAGAGTGGTCTCTGTCGTGCTTCCTGTGTCTCTCTATACACCTCATGTTTCCTCCTGACTGGTGTGCGCCCTCTGCTACCATAAATATTCATTCCTCTTTACTTCCTTCTTGCCTGTGACCTTTAATCATTTACTTAGTCCTGACTGTACATGAATTTTCAGATCTGCTTTCAAAACTAACTGCAGTATCTCTGTATCTCTCAGTTCAGATTCCCAAGATAGAGAATTTTGTTCATCCAGATCATTTCTTTAAGCTCTCCCTTTGGGTCACAGGCTGTCTAATGACTTAACCTCTCTTTGTCCAGTCAGCTACGGCCAAAGGCTGAACTTCCACCACAGAAAATAGGAACTGCCTGCCAGTTAAGAGAAGTTTATTCTTTTTAAGAATTGCTTTAGCTATTTTTTTTTTGGTCTTTCCACACAAATTTTAAAATAAATGTGTCTATACCTACAAAAATATCTTGCTTAGATTTTGATAGGAATTGCGTTTGATTTGTATTTCAAATTTGAAGATAATGGACATCTTTACTATGTTGGGTCTTCCAATCTACAAACCCGGTATGCCTCTTCATTTATTTGGATCTTCTGTGATTTCTTTTATCAGCATTGTGTAACTTTCAGTATACAAGTCCTATACATGTTTGTGCGATTTGTACCTAAGTAATTCTTCTTTATTTTGCATGATTACAAGTGTTATTGCATTTTTAATTTTAGCTTTTACTTCTTTATTGCTAGTATATAAAAATATAACTGACTTATGGTGCTGATCTTGTATTCTGAAAATTTGCTGAAATAATTTATTAGATCTGGACAGTTTTTTTGGTAGACTCCTTATAATTTTCTAAATAGATTATCATGTCATATACAAATAGAGATAGTTAATATTTTTCCTTTCTGATTTGTATGCATTTTGTTTTATTTTTGCCTTATTTTGCTGGCTAGAACTTCCAGTATTACATTGAATTACTAGAGTATTCAATGTAGTGAGAATGAATACGCTTTCCTTGTTCCAAATCTTAGGGGGGAACAATTAGACATTACCCAACAGCATGATGTTATCTATAGATTTTATGCAAATTTTTCTTTTAAATAGAGGAAAGTTTTCCTCTTTTTTGTTTTTATCATGAGTGGGTGCTGAGTTTTGTCAAATACTTTCTCTGCATCAGTTGATATGATGATATATTTACTTGATTTAACCTGTTAATATGGTTGATTATATTGATTAATTTTCCAAATTGAACCTGCCTTGCATGCCTAGAATATACCCACTTTGGGTTATGATGTATAATTCTTTTTACACCAATTTTTTTTAATACTGTGTTATATTTGCTATTAAGAATTTTTGCATCTACAGTTATGAGGAATACTGATCTATAGTTCTATTTTTGTACTGTCTTTGGTTTTGGTATCAGGTTATACTGGCTTCATAGAATAAGTTGGGAGTATTTCCTTCTGCTTTATTTTTGGAAAAAAAATGTAAATTAATGTTCATTCTTCTGTAAATATTTCATAGAATTCTGAGCCTAAAATTTTCTTTTAGAGGAATTGTTGTTGTCGTCGTTGTTGCTATTGCTGTTGTTGTTGAGATGGAGTCTCGCTCTGTTGCCCAGGCTGGAGTGCAGTGGGGCGATCTCGACTCACTGCAACCTCCGCCTCCCAGGTTCAAGCGATTCTTCTGCCTCAGCCTCCCGAGTAGCTGGGACTACAGGCGCCCGCCACCACACCTGGCTGATTTTTGTATTTTAGTAGAGAAGGGGTTTCACCATGTTGTCCAGGCTGGTCGCGAACTCCTGAGCTCTGGCAATCTGCCCACCTCAGCCTTTCAAAGTGCTGGGATTACAAGCATGAGCCACTGTGCCTGGCCAGAAATCTTTAATTATAAATTAAATTTCCTAATTTTAGAGCCAGGGTCTCTCTGGCACTCTGGCTGGAGGCCAGTGGCGTGACCATAGTTTTACAGTTTTTAATTTATTATTTATTTATTTTTCTACAAATCACACACACAAAGAAGTTCACTGAAATCAACATTTGAAAGAACGCTGATGGGTTACAAATTTACAATGATTGCATTTTTTAAGTTACAGCGTAAGAAGTGTGTAGTAACAACTTGTATCAAAACAGCAGATAAAGAAGCTTCTCTCTACTTCTTCACAGTGAGGGCTACAATTGCGTCAATCTCAAGGCTAGAGGGAAAAAAATGACAGCTCCAAAGCAACCAGCATGACTTTTGAGAGAAGAAAAATTCAGTTCAGGAACTAAAACTGCCACACTGAGCAAAGCCCTGTGCCAGGGACAGAAGGGCAGCTGCCGTGGCCCTCCCTGTACAGCAGTCCTGCTTCCCCCTCCAGGAACTCTGGTAGGAAAGGTGGGGGAGATTCTCACCAGTTACCCTGCTATGGAACTGAGGCCTGAGAACAGGACAGGGCTACAGAGAGACAATCCCAAACTCCTGGGCTCAGGCAGTCCTTCTGCCTTAGCCTCTTGAGTAGCTGGGACCACAGGCATGAACCACTGTCTGCTTGGCTAATTTTTTTCTTTTTTTTCTTTTTTTTTTGTGAAGACAGGATCTCACTCTGTTGCCTAGGCTAGTATCCAACTCCTGGGCTCCAATGATCTCCCTTCCCCCTGCCTTTAGTCTCCTAATTGTTCAGTTTCCTAATTGTTATAGGGTTATTCAATTTTTTTTCTTTCATGTTGAGTGAGTAGCAATAGTTTGTGTGTTTTGCGAAATTGGTTTGTTTCATCTGAGTTGTCAAATTGATATGTGTAGAATTGTTAGCTATAATCCCTTATTGTCTCTTTAACATTTGCAGCATCTGTAGTGATATGCTGTGATATCCCCTGTTTCATTCCTGATATTGGTAACTTGTGTCTCCTCTTTTTTCTTTTTCTTTTTTTTTTTTTTTGTCAGCCTTGCTAGATGCTTTCCATTTTATTGATCCTTTCAGAGAGCCAACTTTTTGTTTTGTTAATTTTTTCTATAGTTCTTTCGGTTTTTTTTGTTTAATTTTTTCATTGATTGCTATTCTTATCTAAGTTATTTACTTTCTTCTACTCACTTTTCATTTCTTTGCTCTTCTTTTTCTAGTTCCTTGAAGCAGGGACTTAGGTTGTTGATTTGAGACTTTCCCTCAATTAATATGTACACTTTTCCTTTAGTGCTATAAATTCCACTTTCAGCACTGTTTTCGCTGCGTCCCACACATTTTGATAAGTTGTATTTTTTCTTCATTCAGTTTAATGTAATTTTTATTTCCTTTGAGATTCCCACTTTGATCACTGAATTATTTAGAAGTATGTTTAATTTCCGAGTGTTTGGACATTTTTCTATTTTTTTTATTATTTATTTCTAGTTTGACTCATTGTAGTCAGAGAACATACTCTGTATGATTTTAATTCTTTCAAATTTGTTGAGGTTTGTTCTGTGGCTAAGGATATGGTAGCTCTTGCATAAGCAAAATACTGCATCAGCATCCGTATGTAATGTAGATGCTTAAAAAGAATGTGCATTCTGCTGTTATTGAATGAAGTGTTCCATAAATATTAATTAGGTCCAGCTGATTGATGGTGTTGAGTTTTCTAAATCTTTCCTGATCTTCTGTCTAGCGGTGATACCAATTACTGAGAGAAGACTGTTGAAGTCTCAAACTATAATTATGGATTTGTCTATTTCTCATTTCTGTTCTATCAGTTTTTATTTTATGTATTTTTCAACTCTATTGCTTGGTACATTCACATTTAGAATTGCTGTATCTTCTTGGTGGATTGTCTCTTTTATCATTAGATAATATCCTTCTCTGTCCCTGTTAATTTTCTTTACTTAGCACTCTACATTTTTAATTAATTCACATGGCAAAGCATTTCAGAAACCACAGCAACTCTTGGACTGTAAAGTTCTGTCTACTGAACAGACCATTGGAAGCACAGGCTTCCTTCTCTTCACCCTTCTTGCTCTACGTGCTCTTCTTAAACCCACCCTACCCTCCCTACAGGACATTTTGGCACAACCCAGGAAACCCCTTAGAGAGAAGACAATGCATTGTTTGTAAATCAAGCGGCATGTTTGCTCCTAACAGGCTATAAAAGTCGTTTGTATAACTGCTGTTAAAATGGTCTAGAAGTGTTGATAGCCTCAACATTAAGACTGAGGTCTTGTTTGTTTGCTTTAAGGAAACACACTGGCAGGCCCCTAAATAATGAAGACTATGTTTAAATTATTGAGCAATTATTTCCAGAGCCTAATGCATTTCTAACAATGTCAACACCCTATTTGATATCCTTCAGTAACTTAAGATAGAATGCCTATAGTGGCCATGAAGGCAACATAAAAGCAATGGTGTGCTGTAAATATTAAACAAGTTCTAAAATAATCATAATAATAATGTCCTGACTTTATTACCTTGGTATAAATAACTGTCACAACTGATTTCAAGACACCAAGGTGAGGTTCCTGAACATGAAGTTGGAAGAGACGGCAGGGCGTGATGGCTCACGCCTGTAATCCCAGCACTTTGGGAGACCGAGGTGGGCGGATCATGAGGTCAGGAGATCGAGACCATCCTGGCTAACAGAGTGAAACCCCATCTCTACTAAAAATACAGAAAATTAGCCAGGCGTGGTGGCGGGCGCCTGTAGTCCCAGCTACTTGGGAGGCTGAGGCAGGAGAATGGCGTGAACCCAGGAGGCAGAGCTTGCAGTGAGCTGAGATCACGCCACTGCACTCCAGCCTGGGCAACAGAGCGAGACTCCGTCTCAAAAAAAAAAAAAAAAAAGAAAAAGGAAGAGACACCTATAGGTGGCTCTCATGAAGGGGTAAGAGCTGGTTCCCATGCACCATTGCACACTGTGTTAGAGAATAAAGAGGGGCTGGTGTAAGGCAGTGGGCAGTGGCAATGTGTTGGCAAAGCTGGGAGCACACAGCCTTTCTGAAGGCATTCAAAATTAAATTTAAAAAAACACGGACCAGAGTGGAAATGGCCTATGGATCCCCAGTTTGTGACTCCAGAAGAGAATATGATCCAAACTCCTTAGGCTACCATTCAGAATTCTTTACGTTCTCATTCATTCCTATTTTTCTAGCTTGTTTCTAGTTCTCTCACTCTTGCTCACTATAATCCAGCCACATTGAACTGTTTGTGATTCCCTCAGCCTGTCTCTGTTACTCTGCACATATTCTTCTCTTTTCCATGAATGTTTTTGTTTTTTTGTTGTTGTTGTTGTTGTTTGAGATGGAGTCTCGCTCTACAGCCAGGCTGGAGTGCAGTGGCACGATCTTGGTTCACTGCAAGCTCCGCCTCTCAGGTTCAAGCGATTCTCCTGCCTCAGCCTCCTGAGTAGCTGGGACTACAGGCCACGTCACCACGCCTGGCTAGTTTTTGTATTTTCAGTAGGGGCAGGGTTTCACCATGTTGGCCAGGATGGTCTCGATCTCTTGACCTCGTGATCCACCCGCTTTCGCCTCCCAAAGTGCTGGGATTACAGGCGTAAGCCACCATGCCTGGCCTTCCAGGAATGTTTTATACCATCATTTCTTTTGGAAACCCCTCCTCCTTTTAAAATCTTGATGTCTTCTTTACCTAATGTAACAATACACAGTGAGTTTTATGTTCCCGTGGAATCATTTGTAGGGCCATATATCAGTATGTATCATACTCTGTTGTGACTTTGTTTACATGTCTGTCTTTCTCACAAGACTGAGAGCACCTTGAGGAGA
This sequence comes from Homo sapiens, assembly GCF_000001405.40. NCBI lineage: Eukaryota > Metazoa > Chordata > Mammalia > Primates > Hominidae > Homo > Homo sapiens. Next base: position 189,223,990 of record NC_000003.12, on the reverse strand, counting down.
GAAACTGTGTCTTATTTATCCCTGTACTTTCATCACTTAGGGCAGAGTTGGGTTTACAGAGGGAACTCAGTAAAAAAATAAATAAATGTATGAATGAATGAATATAAATAAATATTACTACTAATAATAATAATTAAAAGCCAACTCTTACATGACATAACATATGGCAAAAAACTGTCATAAGCATTGTACATTATTAAGTAATGCAATCATTGAAATAACGCTCTTAAGATCCCTATTTTATAGATCACAAAACTGAGGCCCAGAGGACATAAGAGATTTGTACAACCATGGCCAGATAGCTTGTAACTGATGTAGCTAGGCATTTCGCTGCATTAGACTCCTTTCACCTCTTGACTTTTTCTGAGTCCTCCCTAATTGGTAGCAGTCATGAGAAAATAAACACTTCCAAGTACATTTGTGACTGTAGCAACTAAGTGCCCTCACTGTCTTATAATGCAGGTCACTCAGAGACCATTAGCTATCAGGGTAAGGTTGCTGCCATGGTGAATTTATAGAGAAAAGCAATGTGTTTAATTAAGTGGTTGTCAAAAACACCCACCCAGTATAAATGGATTCTGGCAAGAGAGATGCTTTTGTTGCTGCCAGAGTCCTGCCACAGGTCATTAACATCTTGATAGATTTGAGGCACTTTCTAGCCTGAATGCTTTCACCCAAAGACAGAGGCAAGTCTTACTGGGCTTTGAGTTGCTTGGAGGCCCATGGACACGGAGGCAGGACACAACGGATGGACCCTGCTAGTATCAGCCAAGGGCTTCATACAGTGGATTACTTGATCAGAACCAAATCTGAGCCAAGTGTGTGGTAAGTTCTGAGCCCAATCATGTGCCACACACTGTACTAATCACTGGGAACTAGGCTGAGATTGCTGAATATAAGTGACTCAGAATCAGGCCCTGCCTCAAGGAGTGCCTTCTTCACAAAGTGCACAATGAACTACACTTTATCGTATAATGTGAGCACAAAGAAGGGAGACAAGATTATTCCAGTTGAATCAATATGGAAAGGCTCTATGGACTTGGTATCCCTGAATGACAGGAGAAGGCCGGGTTAGCAGAAACAAGGCAGAGGCATACAAAACAGAGGAAATGGGATGAGTGCAATCATGAGGCCAAGGGATAGCACCGGAAATTTGGGGAAACAGCAGGCAGTTCAATTTGACTGATAGAATTTGTAAAGGCTCATAATGGTAAGTAAGGCTGGAGCAAGAAACTCAGTCATGACATACAAAGGCTTGTGGATGTAACAGACGTATATGGAAGCAGTGAGAACCCACCGAAATTCTTATGCATGAACATGAGAGTGATCTGGACCAGTATACTTCTCAAATTTTAATGTGCATAAGGAATCAACTGGGGATCCTGTGAAAATGCAGATTTGTGTTCAGTAGGCCTGGCTGGGATGAGAACTAGGGGTTAGCATTGCTAACAAGCTCCCAGGTGATGCTGGTGCTGCTGAATTCAGGACTACACTTTGAGTACCAGGGGTCTAGACTAGATGAGCGCGTACAAAAATCCATGGGGTTGAGTAGAAAATGCAGTTTCGAAATGGTAGTTTCCATAGTACTTTTATCATTCAGTTCCTCATGATTTAATAAGGATTAGAAATCTCTGATTTCCAGTTTTTTTTAACCTTTTTCCTTTTTAATTATTGGTAGTAGTGTTTTTATTATATGATTAGTTTAGCAGTCCTGATAACATAATGAGACTGTGACAAGGTAAACGTGTGACTGGCTTTAGTCCATCAGCATTGCCCACCATCCCTTACAGGCATTTGACTTTTTTGTTGTTCCTGGTCAAAGACTAAATAAAGTCAAATGAACAGCAAAAACCAGAGAAAGATCTGGAGAGGAAAAGGTCCCTGAACCTGCCCAATGAACCCCTGATCCTATTCCCTGCAAACAAAAGACAATCAACAAAGAAAACAGACACAGGCACAAAGATTATTTAACCAATTTGAACTGCAGTGATCACTGTATTGGGAGATGAAAAAAAAAAATCACAAAAGGCAGCAAAAGCAGTGTAACGAGAAGACAACTGGCCTGGGAGAGAGGTGTCATGAAGTCAAGCCCTCCTGTGACCCTTAATAAGTGGTTGCCCTTCGGCAGGTCATTTAATCTCTAGGTTTCTTCATCCGTAAAATAAAGCCAATAGTCCCTCCCTGCCTTCTCCCATGGGTCTGTTTGAGAATTGCATAGGATAGTAGGTGTGAAAGCGACCACACACAGTGTCACTTTGGGGACCAGGATACTTAAAGAGGCAACCCTGTGCCTGGAAAACAGTCCCTGATCACCATTTCTTCAATGTTCCTTTGTCTCCCAGGCTGCTCTTCTTTTTATTTAAAGATCTAATAGAGCCCTTTCTTCTGCAGAATCTTTCTAAATTAAGCATAGATGCCCTTCACACTTCCACTTACGGCACCAAATCCAAGAGACAGCATTTCTCTGTTTTTCAAATAAGTTTTTGCCAGAGGAGATCCAGCATGCTCTTCAGGGAATGCCAAATATGAAAGAGGCAACCCTTGGCCATTGAAGGTTACAATATAATACTGAGGCACGTGTGGAATCTTTGCACAACAGTGGAAGGGCTATTATGGCAAAAGTGAGGACAACATACCAGGTTGGAGCCTTATTTCCGCAACTTTAGAGCTGTGCTACTCTTCTGAGCCTAGATTCTCTCATTTATAAACTGAAGGTAATGTTTCCTACCTCAGACTGTTACTGTGAAGATTAATCTAAATGAAGAAGAGACTTTTTAAACTATAAAGTGCTATAGAAATATTATTATTATAGAAATAGCCAAAAATAAATGGGGATGCTTCATATAGTTTCATTTATCTTTCCAATCATAAAGTCTTACTCTGCCCCACTGATACATATTTCTTACTTGGATATTCAGTTTTGAAAGAATCATAATAAACCCTTACATTTGTGTGTCATTGACAGTTTGGAGAGTAATTATCTGATAATAGGTGAATGATTGAGTAACTTTATAAAAACTATATGGTAATCAGGAAAAATAAAAGGAAAAAACTGAGAGAAGTTCCAATTAGAGAAGATCATAAATGTTATATACATTTGCACTTTTCACAATAGCAAAGAGATAGAATCAACCTAAATGTCCATTAATACTAGACTGGATAAAGAAAATGTGGTACATATACACCATGGAATACTATGCAGACATAAAAAAGAATGAGATCATGTCCTTTGCAGGGACATGGATGGAGTTGGATTTGGAGGTCATTATCCATAGCAAACTAATACAGGAACAGAAAACCAAATACCCCATGTTCTGACTTATAAGTGGGAGCTAAATGATGAGAACACATGGACACATAGAGGGGAACAACACACACTGGGGCCTACCTGAAGGTAGAAGGTGGGAGGAGGGAAAGGATCAGGAAAAATGATTAATGAGTACTGGGCTTAGTACCTGTGTGATTGAATAACCTGTACAACAAATCCCCATGACACAATTTTACCTCTGTAACAAACCTGCACTTGTACCACTGAACTTAAAATAAAAGTTAAAAATAATTATACGCACTTGTATTCATAAAGACAAATGCATGGACATCAAAACATTTGGTGCATTTTATAAGTGCTCAGTAAATGTCATTATTAATATGTAACAATTTTTGGCAAGAATACATAAAAATAAGCTGGAATTATATACTATATATATATATCAAAAATTAAAAGTGGTTGTGCTTCTTTCAAGAATAGTAAACATCTAATGAACTAAAGGACCTATTAAATGGGGAGTCTTTGCACAACAGAGGAAAAACTATTAAAACAAGGGCATATTAAAGCAAACCTTAACACAAAAAAGGACATATTAAAACAAATTCACCAATTAAAAAAATTAAAAAGACAAACCCTAACCAAGTTCACCCAGCTTTACTGATAGTAAGTAGTAGATCCAGGATTCAAAGCCAAACCTTCTGATTGTGAATTCAGTGCTTTCTCTATGACACCAGGCTGACTCTTCAACTTCACTTTGATTCTACCGTCTATATGTTCCACATGGACAGTCCGATTTCACATATTAATTACACCGAAGCCCTGGGATAGACACCAGGTGGAGTTGGGGGAATAATGAAACATATTTTAAGTATCTTTTATAAAGATGAAGAACAAGAATTACCGGTTTTTAAATACCTTAGGCAACTACTCTCAATGAGGAATAAGAAGAATTAAGAACAACAATCGCCCACCACCACTTCACACTAACGTGTGTGGAGGGAAGATGCTGTCTCCTCCTGTCTCTTTAACCATTGTAGACAAAGACACCTCAAGTACATTCTGCTGAAGAGCCACTTTATTGCCATCATATCATACTTTTTGAAATTCCATAAAGTGTCAAGATGTTCTCCTTGGTGCTGGCTTAATGGATCCGTTCTAAAAGCAAACACATAGTTTTTTTAAAATAATCTTTTTTTTTTTTTTTCAGAAGGGCCAATAAGAAAGGTAATAGGAAACTGCAAGGTGGAAATAAACACTATCCTGTCTTTATAGATGTATATAACAGTCCTGGATGAGCTCGCCTGGAGGCCTGAATCCTAATCGGAGATTCATTAGAATTCTCTTAATGGTGTCAGCTAAACTGGGATCTAGCTGAGGTTTAGGGCTGCTTCTCTCCAGTGCCCCTCTTGGACTCTCTGTTTATTTTCTTTGTCTTCTCTTCCCAAGTGCCTGCAAACTTATTTTTCTGATTTTACTGAATAATGTGCCCATATCAATTTAGAGAATCACAAAGCAGCTTACCTGAATTAATTTGAGTACTACTCCTTGGAAAATGGCTTTACCAACTTAACGTTAGTAAAATAAACAACATATGCATTGTTTTATTCTTCTAAAATCTGAAAAATTCTCATTTCTCATTCACATCTAGTCCCAACAATTTTAGATGAAAGGTTGAGGGCCAATAGTGGTCTTTATACAATGGAAATTGATTGCACTTTCTCAACCCTTCAGTGCCTCCCCATCACGTATGGGATAGAATCTAAGCTCTTTAACATGATGCAAAGGCCCTTAGTCTCTTCTCCAGTCTCTTCTCTTGACAATTCCCACCTTGCCCTCCTACATCAAACTATTTCTAGGAGTTGATCAAATATGACTAAAGACTGAGCTGAGTTCATCAATCAACTCACACCTGCATCTTTGGAAAGAATTAGAACCCAATCAGCCTCAAGACGAATGCAGGAGTGCAGTCTATTTTCCTTGCTCTGTCACTTATATGTTCTTCATTTGGGCACTTCATGTTCTCCAGCCCACATTTCTCGTTTATAAAACAGGAATCATAAAACCAACAAAGTTGTGAAGCTAACGTAAGTTCACAGATGTGAAAATCATTTCACATGTGCTATACACAGTAAAAGGGCTTTTACTCTCATCATTCTGAAATGGGAATCCTTGTTCCAAAGCCAGGCATGCTAGACAGGCAGCCCTGTTGCTAGACAAGCAGCCAGGAGTGTCCCATCTCCATGGAATGAGCTAAAAGTTAATATGCATGAAGCTCAGTCATTTTTGTTATACATAAAAGAGAATCTCGGCCGGGCGCGATGGCTCACGCCTGTAATCCTAGCACTTTGGGAGGCCGAGGCAGGCGGATCACGAGGTCAGGAGATAGAGGCCACCCTGGCCAACAGGGTGAAATCCTATCTCTACTAAAAAAAAAACAAAAAATTAGCTGGGTGTGGTGGCGGGTGCCTGTAGTCCCAGCTACTCAGGAGGCTGAGGCAGGAGAATGGTGTGAACCCCGGGAGGCAGAGCTTGCAGTGAGCCGAGATTGCGCCACTGCACTCCAGCCTGGGTGACAGAGCGAGACTCCGTCTCAAAAAAAAAAGAGAGAATCTTGTGTGGTTGGTGAGGCTAGGGTAGTTGGTCCATATTACAGCTCCTATAATTCATAAGAACTAAATAAATGGGAAGCAAGAAGCCAGGAGTAATTGCAAGCTCTTACCTTTCTGGGCCTGCATGTTTGTTTATTTTCTTTAGTTTTTTTGTTTTGTGGTTGCTGTTGGGGGAGTTGGGATTTTTGTTTTTGTGTTCTCATTGTTGTTGTTTTTGCCTTTCCCTGCCTTGGTGTGCTAGAATTTTCAAACAAACAAACAAAAAGGCTTAAATATGAAAGGCCATTTAAATCCTCCATGAATGCTCCTCTTTTTGACAATTATTTTTTCTTATTTTTCTGCTTGAAAAGTAACAGTGGCTAGACTAGGAACCTCATTTATTTGGACCAGATGCCTGAACCATGGTCTTTACAACTAGCAGCGCTTTCCATTGCATAATGCATCTCGGAACCCACGATGAGGTTTTTAACAAGCAAAGAAAATAAACTGTCAAATTCTCACCATGGCAGAAATGACTGAAATCAGAACTTTTCCTGAAAGTAGGTTTTAATGGGGAAGAGGAGGTAAAGGCTTTTGGCAGAGAGAAGACCAAAAAGAACACCAAGGAACTACGATTTAAAGGGGATGGATGGGTTCCAAAGTGCAAAGGAAGAAAGTCTGCAAGCAAACAAGCAAATATGATAGTAAGAAATTATGTGTATGCAGGACTCATCCCTCATTGTTGTAGTTAATTTAAATAGGTACCACAAAACAAAAGAGAAATGTAAAATGAGTTTCTAGATAGGCTTTACCAACTTTTGAGCTTCCTATTTAGGTTCAAGCTGGGTTCAAAGTTTGGCTCTTTGGGGGACAGCTGTTCATACTTTTCTGAAAACTACTGGTGTTACCAATCATTGTAGTTGATGTTAAATCAAGCAGGCAGAATTGTAGTGCTAAGCTTCAATATAGTTCATGCAGTCTGACTTAGTTTTGGACAATTTATGTCTACACATCTTTATAATCACTGAATAAAAATAATCAAGCAAACAAAAAAAGCATATTTCTATATAAATAAAACCAATTAAAATGTGCAAGATTAAAGAAATTACCAGTTCTATTATCTGAGAACTCAACAACAGCCTTGACTAGATTTAGAAATACCGCATTTGTGTATTCTTTCTTGTAAGGGAGATGCAGTGTAGAAACAGATTAGTTAAGTGTTTGCTACTGATGGGATCTCCAAAATCTATGTTGACACCTATTCTAATCAAGGCAGAATATTCATTTGCAGAAGTCAAATATCACAATGGATGGGAAGTGGGGGTGGGAAATGAAATGCGTGTTGGTAAAAGTGAATTAGGAAAAAGCCTGAATTGCAGAGTTTTCTTTTCATTAGAGGTAACCCAGAAATGACAGAGATGGATAGTATAGAAATGAAGGAAGATGCTACAAAGAAAGAGCCTCTTACTAATAGTTATCACTTGTGAACGAAGAGGGGCACTAACAGCTATTGAAGGTCCATGTGCTAGGCATTTTGCTAATTTACCAACGTTATCTCATTTGGGCCTCAAGAATTCTTCAGATACATACTATTATCTCCATTTTATGCATGAAGAAACAAAAACCCAAAATTAACAGATAAGTTGGTGTCTAAGAGTTCATTTTTATTTATTTGAAACAATAGTATAAAATGGTGAGCAATCAGATGAACTCACAGGTGATAATGGCTCTACTTTCCATTGATTGAAAAATTTGTTCTGCTGGCCTGGATGGTAAAACATTCAAGTGTTGCCCTCCTGAAACTTAGTCTAACAAGACATCCTGCCCAGCAGTTAAAGATTAATGATTATTTACTCAAGGTATAGGAATCACAGAGCTTCTCTGCTGAACCCTTTTGTGATCAAGTTACCAGGCCAGAAAACAGAACTTACTGAATTAATCAAGTATCTGAACTGGGTAGTCTAATCAAATTATCTATTTAATATTAAGGCTTCCGTAGTAAAAAAAAATTGCCTTTTCTCTTATTATAGGGATATTTTACTTATTATAAAGACCATGGTATTACTAATATTTACTTGGCGGGTAAAGAGATGGTCACACAAACAACAGAATTTCTGAGAAGGCTAGAAAGGTAACCATCTTTGTGGTGGTATTTGCAAGCAAAGCTCTTATGGATAAGATAATCTTTGGGGGGAATGCAGGCAGTTATTGAAGCAATAAGGGCTTGAATGTTCGACTTGGTTTTTATCCTAACTCTGGAAATGTACCTGACTTAGCTATCTTCATGATTTCCCTGGTTTTTCTGTTCATGATTGTATATAAGATCAAATTCAAAGTATATATGTTGATTTTATCTATATTCTTTCCCAGACTTTCTTTCCATGACACCTAGAATGAGATGATTAGTAGTTCAATGTGTTTATAGGGGGAGTGCTTTTAAATAAGAGATTAGAATGAGAGAATTAGGAAGCCAATATAACAGTCTTTGAGAGTGGAGATACAGGCCTGACCTAAGGTAGACGTAGTGATGGTTGAGTGAGGGGACCAGCCCAGAAAACAGGTATAGGAGTCATATCTGGTCATATCATCAGCCACGGAATGCTGGAAAATGTGACTAACCTGGTAATTCAATCATTTATCTTATGTAGCAACCAGAGAAATTCTACCACAGGTCCATCTCCTATTCTGCTACAGTGATGTCAAGGAAAACGCTGTATTTCCACGGCCCTTCACTTAGCTGTGACTACTCACTTTGTCAAGAGCCAGAAGCCTTGAATGGTCTCTCCAGAAGTCTCAGCTACGTGACCTTTCAAGTCTTCCATGGCAGTCTCAATGGCCCCCGGCTGTGTGGAAAGGAGAAAATACCTAGTTTAGAGCAGACTTAGCCCACTTCGCGCTTATGATTAGTTAGTATATTCCAGCAGCTCCTCCGGAAAGCTGGTCACAAAGGATATAGTTTATGCAGTTGCCTGTATGCCTAACTGCCTTCCAGAAAACTTACTCTTGAACTCTGGTAAGCTTTTCTCCTTGGGTAGAGAAAAAGTGATCTAGGCCCCATCTTCTATAATCTTACTCAGATTTAATTATATAAATGAAGACAGCCACTTTCAGAGGAACAGTTTTCCCAAACAAGCATTATAAAGTTCAAAGCCTTTAGGAATCTGTACATTTTTAAATTAAACCTTTTTTCTCTTCCTAGAGCACATGTCAATAAAAAACAACATAGCCTTCTTCCAATGCTCTGACAATAAATTTTAGCTGACTCATGGAGATACACTCTTTCAGTCTCCTCACCTCATTTTCTGCTTCCTTCCCCAAACAGGTGTTACTACTTATAGGCCCAACCTTAGCTTAAAGATTGATTGTCATCTGTTCTAGTAAGTTCATAGACTCTTTAGCTCAATGACTCTCAAATTTCAATGCCCGTCAGAATCACCTAAAGTATGTGTTAAAACATAGATTTCTGGGACTCTACCCAGAGTTTTTTATTCAGCTGGACCAGGGTGGGACCTGAGAATTTGCATTTCTAACAAGTTCTTGGGTGCTGCTGGTGGTGTGGAGACTGTACTAAGAGAACCACTGCTCAAATGTACTTCGACAGAGAAGGTTGTGCCAACGTCAGTCACCTCCAGTGACCCCACTGGCAGGAATAGATGACTCTGGAGGGGAGTTGCCTAGGATTCTATGACAATTTTCCCTACACTCAACCTCCACTCTTTGTGATGCAGTCTGACTCTTCCAGTCCCACTTGTCCTCTCAAAAATAATACTTTCTTTAATGACACAACATGGGTATTTTTTTGGGTCTCTCTTCCTGTATTCACATAATTTTGGTCTCAACAAATATAACTGAGTAGTGAGACTAATATTTTTCAGAAGAAAAAATTGTTAAGTAAAGAGTCATGAAATAATCCTAAAATAAGCATTTTATTGAATGCTTTTATGCCAGGCACTTTGCCAAGGATATGTGAAGATGAGTATAATCATGTAGAATTTTTAAAACCTTATTTGCCTCGCTTATGGAAAATAATTGGCAAAGCCTATCAAAATGAAAAATGATCTATCCTTTGATCCATATTTTCACTTCTGTGAAATTATACTAAAGAAATTTTTGCATATATACAAAATGACATATCTATAAAGTGTTCTTTGCAGCCTTATTTTTGGATAGCAAAAATTTCTGGAAAAAAACCGCAAACATCTCTCAATAAAGGACTAGGGATATATATTATAGGATACATTCATACAATACAATATGATGAAGTTATAAAAAGTGTGAAGAAAATTGTGTTAATATGGGAAGATTTTTAAAGGTATTATCAAATGAAAGAAAAAAATGAACAGAAGAGAAGGTGAAATATGCCATTTTCTGCATAAAAAGGAGGAGAGGGAATAAAAACAAATATTTATGTTTGCTTCTATATGCCTAAAGTAACTCTTAAAGGATATATAGAAACTATTAACATTGGTTCCCTATGGGTAGTAACGAATGTGATGAAGACAGAAGATGAAGGTGATGTTTTGCTGTATACCTTTTCAAAAGTCAGACACAAAAAATAAAGCATGTTCTTTACAGAATGAATTGGTAGCCTCTGGAGTTCTATCAGTCTTCTCACTGTGCTGTTCTTATCTTTGGTAAAAATGTAGGTCAAGCCCTTATAGAACACAGAAGGAAAATATACCCAGATACAGAATTGTACTCTCCCCTATCTTACTATTATAGTTACTATAATAAGTTAACTTTAGTCATTTAGTGCCAAATATAATATGAAAGTATAAATACATTGACTTGTGTCTGGGACATCAAGGTGTAAATCTCAGCCTTTCTTATGAGGATCCATTATACACCATTTTGTCATTCCGTACATCAGTTTGCTCATTTATTAGATGAAGAAGATAACAACTGTAACTGAGTCATGCTACAAAACACTATATATATTATTACATATAAAATGGTAAATACTGATTAATAAAAATCTTTATCATCATTCTCATTATGGCTGATATCAGATAGAAGGAAAATAGTTATACCAGAATTTGGGGATCAAATGTTTACTGTAATTGAATAATCAGCTCTGAGACATCATGCAGCCTAAGACAAACAGGGAAATACAGTGGAATAATATGTACACATCATCTGACACAGCGTAACAGGCAATATTGTCTTTTACAGTCTAGCACTGAATAGTTTTAGTCAAAGCAAACCTACTGGGGGAATTTTGAAAACATATGTGTTTGTTTCCTTACATTTCCTTGAGCTAGACTAGCCTGGGGCCAGTTGTCACACAAACAATGTCCATGTCTGTGCTAATTTTTCTCGATGTAATGAGCTCCTTAGCTAAACAGGAGTGGTATAGAAAAGAATGTCTCTGCAGACTCAGACACTTGGGTCTCTCTTGTCATGTCCAGACTGCAGTCACTTTGCAATGAACACATAAAGTAAGAAAATCAGCTCTAAATCAGATGTGATTTTTAAAGTCCAAGCAAATTTGTCTTTACCTGAAAATGAAGGGAATATATCATATCTCATTGTGGTTAGTCCTCTGCTCTCATAAAGAAAAAAAAAAATCATCTTTTTTACAATCTTCACAGGATTTCAGGGTTGGAAGGAGTCAAGAAACCTTTTGCCCAGTGAGATAACTATTTTCTACACCCGAAAGAAGCCCACACAGGCAATAACAATACAACTAATATATTTATTTGTTCCCAATGTGAAAGCAAGACACAGGGAACCCTATAGCAAGAGAAGAGGGAAAGAGAGAGAGTATGAAAGCCAAATTAGTGTCATGGAAGCAATGACATCTTGCTACACAATGGAAAGTCCTGAACCTGCTTATTAAAATCTCGTTGCTCACAATAGAACACAGACTATAAAAACGCCACGGGGAACCATTAATTAAATATTAAAAGATCAAATAGTTTTAGTCCCATTAGTTTGTATGTAATTTACATTCTCGAGTATAAATTTAGAGATAATTCCCCATCCCAAATCGCTTTCAACTTTCTGATAAGGTATCTGCAAATATAGAGTCCTACAGAGAGTTTAAAAATATCTTTCCCCATGTGGACTAAGTATTGTTCCTTTCATAAGAAGTTGCTTTTGAATATCAGTCTCCACAACCAAGATTATCATAATATACCTCTAGTTATTAGCCTTGAGGGGTACTTTTGTTCAGAGAAGGCACTAGGCCTTTTTTTAGATACGTCTAAGCAATAATAGCAGATGAACTGAAACCAAAGGAAAAGGTTATCCAAGCAGACTGATGGCAAGTAGTTTGGATCTTTGTTTCTGTGACTTTTCATTCATTTTCCAAGGTCAGAGGCAGTGGGATGTGGTGGAAAGCATCGAGGGTCCTGGGTTCCAGGCCTGTCTTCTAGTTCTTGCGTGGCCCAGAGGTTGCTTGTTGACCTTGGCACCAAGTCATACCTCATTTGTGTGCATCAAAGGTTGGATTCTGGATTCAATATTCTTCAAGACCCTTCTAGCTGGGAGCTCCGAAGCTAAGTCAGAGGCACACAGTTTCAGAAAATAAATAATAGGTTGGAAGCCTGAGGAAAGGAAGTAACATCCCAGAGTGACCCATAAAGAATACAAGAGGTTTAAGGGGCCAGATATACTTTTTTTTGTGATCCAGTATTGAGTGATGTGGTCTAATATATGAGGTTATGATGCTAAAATTGACTTGTTGGTCAATAATTAATTTATGTGTCAGTCACCTCTTTGTAAATCTAATTTGTAATTCATATAATTGAACTTCTTTCTGATTATGGCATCGGCTGCTTACTCCTGGCACTGGAGAAATTGAGCAATATCCTGCCTCAGGGAGCCAATGAGTAACTTTCTTTTCTAGTTTAAAACATTTAAACAGTAAGAAACCTACATATACAACAAAAGTTAAATAAATTATAGTATATTCCCATAGTTGGATATTATGAAACTATTAAAAATTAGATTATGGAAGTATGTTATTGAAATGGGAAATAATAGTTGGCATATAATCCCATTTTTACACAAGAATTGTGTATATATAAGTAAAAGAAAAAAGAATATGCACCTAAATATATAAGAGCAGATTTAATACATTTTAGTTAAATTTGGGCAGTGATAATCTTTATTTTACTTTGCTTATTTACATTTTCTAATTTTTCATCAATAAACCACCTCCTGTGCAATAATTTTAAAACACTTTAATAATAGAAAATACCTGACCAAGTAATCCCTCCACTCAATGACTACCCTTCTGAATTTACAACATATATACTTTAAGTTCTTACTCCATGATAAGTTGATTTCTTTTTAATTGAATCTAATTATAAATTGGAAAACTAGTTTGAGCCCTAGCTTTGCCACTTGCTAGCCTCTTGGGCAAGTCAGTGATCACTATCTACCGTGACATTGAGCAAGCGACTCCCCCTTCTCTTGGCCTTATTTTCCTTTGAGAACAAGTGTGTTGATTAGCTCACTCACGCTCAAAATGTGGTCTCAGGACAGAGAGCATCAGTATCACCAGAGACTTTGTGGAAATCTAGAATATAATGTTTTGCATAGTAAAGATTGAGAATCATCTGACTATATCATCTGTAGATTTCATTTCAGCTTTAAGAAGTCATATTTTATCATGACTCTTTCATAGATTTCAATCTTTGAGACTCTTTATCTTATTGAATTATCCCTTCAGAAAATGAGTTAGCTTCCTTTTTACTGCTACAGACCCTACACGTCTACATTTATATCTTACCCTGAAGGTCATGATGAGGTCATGGGCATCTTAATGTTGTTTCCTATTACCAATTACAGAAAAATGGATGTAAAGTCAAGAAAAAAGAGAAAGCATTTATAACAACAATGAGATGCCATTTATAAAATGTTGATAGATGTGTTATGCACTCTACTAAGAACTTTTACAAAGTTAGCTTATTTAAATTTCTATATAAAAATGGCGTTTTATCTATACTTTGTAGATGAGGAAATATATGCATATACATCCAATACCCTCCCCCCAACACACACAGACACACACATTTCTCTCCAGTTTTTTTCAACTACCACCCATTAGCAGACTTGTGGTTCATAAGCTAGCAAAGCTGGATCTTTTTTTTTAAGTTTATCATTATAAACTTTAGTTAAGCCAACAGTTATATTTTCATTGTTCTCATGTGTGTGAATGCACATTTATTTTACTCACATGGCAATAAGAGCTCTTCATACTATGTTTGTTGGTCTGAAGGAGGGCAAACACTGAGTATCTTGGGAAAATCTCCCTATTGGTTCCCAGAGTCTTCAGGTTTACTTTAGATCCCTCACAAGCTTTTGAGAACTTAAGATTGTTTTCGATACACCTAATGAAAAAGATATTCTTCGCATTGATTGGAATCAGTCATTGAAAACACTTATAAAGGAGCCATAAATTCTACTGTGCGTGGTCAGGAAAGTATTGGACTTGGAGAAAGAAGTTCCAGAATCAAGACCCGGAATCTAGCTGCAGCCCTTCCACTAACATTATATGATTTGGACAGGTCACTTCATTTTTCTCAAACTTCAATATGTTCATCTTTAAAACACGGATGTTAAGCCCTCTCCTGCCTGCCTCCCAGTATTGCTCTGGGGAATCAAACAGATAAAGGATGTGAGTTTGCTGTATAAGCTACATGGTACAACACCAATACAATCATCATGTGTAGTGGATTTGGACTCTGTCAATTTAGCTGAGCTGAAACTACATTTTCTAGAATTGCTTTTTTGTGTGTGTTTCCAAATTAGGGCTGGCAACAAGAGACACCTGTGTAATATTCAAAAGGTAGAATTGAAACATAAGTCGTTTTCCCTGTTGAAGATCAGTGCAGGTCACCATGCACTGTGACAACTCATGTTCATGGCAACTGTTATCCTGGTTTACTTAACGGCAAGGGGTAGCCCCTGTACCTGCGTCTCCTTCCATCACAGTCAGGCTTTTTTTCTAAGACTTTCCTCTCCCTGGGCTAGTTAAGTGTGTAGCTCAGTAATGAAAGCACTAGCTTCTAAAAGTGACCTCACACCATCAAGGTTAGACTTGGTGGGAGACAGACATAGGTTCCAGTTTTTCCTCATAAGTTAAACATTGTCACCAGACATTCCAGTTTGTCCATGCAATTTTTTCCTATTCCTTTTTCCCTATTTCCTCTTCACAACTGCCAACTGATTGGCCTATTCTAACTTCAGGCCCAACACCAGATTCAGAGAAAACAACTTTCCATAGTCCCAGCCAGCTCTCATAATTGCATCAGCTCCCAGCAATAAATCTTTATTCTATATCGCAGTGTGTTCTTCTATCATCAAACCCTACATCATCAATATCAAAGATAGCACAACTCCAAGAGATGCTTTGATTTCCTTTGCAGCTATATCACACAGCTTAACTTTGCATATTCAATAAAGTTCACATACTTCGGAAAACAAACCATATGCTCTACATATGCAGAAACACTCACACAAACACACATATAGTATCGCACCTACTAAAGCATCTTGCACATAAGAGTATATGCAGTGTTTAAACACAGACTCACACAGGCACACACACACACTCGTTAAGTTGCTTTAGTTAAAACTTTACCTAAACCAAAGATATCTTTTGAAAGCAACCAAATCAGGATTTATTAATTAAAGCTTTGGAAAAGTCACAAAACCCTGGCCCCAATTTTTTATGAGAATGAGTTGAAATACATTTTTTTTCCAAAAAGATCTCCCACGTACACATGAAAATGAGATGTTCTCTGTTGCCATAGTGTAAACTCCCTGATTTTGCCCCCAATTGATTGTAACCTCTAAGCTAACCATGACTGTGCTAATAAGAATGTTGAAGGATTGGAAAGAGGATCTATAAGTAGGAAGAAGAGCTCAAGAGGGAAAGGTACTAGAAACCTATGAAGCACTCTCCACTTGAATCAAATGCTAAAAGTTAAAAATACTGCTTTTTTAACATCCAGATATACAAGCTCCCTCCTGCTTACTTACCCATCCATTTACTTTCCCAGCTCCATTGCACAGGTAAGAGAGCTCAGCTCCAGCTGGTCGCTGTAGGTTTGAGATTTAAAGCTACCTGCTCCCTCGTTGTAATATGAGCATCCCATCGTAAACTTTAGAGAGTCAGTGCGATCTTAGCAACCCTCTCCACTCCATTATCCATATCTTTTCCACACAAACAATGAATACCCTCACTGGATTAACAGCTTTGTATTCTAGCTGCTATGGTTCTCTCTTTATGGAATACTAGTTCTTTGAGATCAGGTTTAGCATAAACACAAACTGAGGAACCAAAGAAGGAAGCTCGAGGACACACTTCTCCTTAATACTATCTGTGGAATCAAACATAGATCTTTAAATTCTCTAAAGTTCAGATCCTTCATCTTTAAATAGGGATAAGGATAGCTACTTCATGATTATTATGACGATTACATGAGACAAATGTGAGTACACTCAGTAAATATGTGATACACAGAAGGATTTTAAGATGTCTTGGGGTGAATTTTTATATAGTATTTAAGAGAACCAATAAATTTACCCGTGTAGCAAAGTACTTCCGTGAGATATAAGGCTGATGATAAGGATTGGGGTAAAGAGTTGATTCGGTCACACTTGACTGCCTTGAAATCTGTCTTGGCATCGGGTCCTCTTCCTCCATCGATAGGTGGTCAGTCTCAGAGGGTTGGTCATCTCCCTCTTGCTTCAGAGACACAGCCTGGAATCCTTCAAAACTCCCAATTGTTGACATTTCTTCAGCCTAAACCAAGGGCAGAAAAATCTCATTGAAAAAATGTTACCTCTGTACCTGTGTCCTAGCTATGGCAAAACAGAATATGATGAGCAAACGGAATTCCTGAAACTTAAAAACATCCTTCATGTTAACTAAACAGAGGCATTGGTGGATACAGCTTCATAACACAGACTTCTAAATACCATCCACAATCCTGCAAGGTCATTTACCAGAGAAGTGAAGGAGAGACTCTCCGGACAGAGAAAAGGAGTTTAATCCCAGGAGACAGGAACCTGAACAAGAGAAGAGCTATATAAAATAATTACCAGACAATTTCTCTTCAAAATTGCATAGCATTTTTGGTTGAAAATTCACCAGACTGCAAGCTTATTTAAGAGTTAAAAGCAATGATAATGCATTTTCTTGTGTGCTTCTTGAGTCATAATAGAGCATAAGAGCACTTAGAACTGAACATGTTTTTAACTGAAAGATTCGAATTCTAAAAATTTATTCTAAGAAAATAATTAGACGAATACCCAAAGACTCACACACACGCACATGCATACACGCGTGCACACACACACACACACACACGGTTGTTCAGCTGGGCATGGTGACTCATGCCTGTAATCCCAGCATTCTAGGAGTCTGAGGCTGGTAGATCCCTTGTGCTCAGGAGTTTGAGACCAGCCTGGGCAACATGGCGAAACCCAGTCTCTACAAAAAATACAAAAATTAGCCAGACATGGCGGAATGTGCCCATAGTCTCAGCTACTCGGTAGGCTGAGGTGGGAGGTTCACCTGAGCACAGGAAGTGGAAGTTGCAGTGAGTCAAGATCATGCCACTGCACTCCAGGCTAGGCAACAGAGCAAGACCCTGTCTCAAAAAAAAAAAAAAAAAAGTTTGTTCATCACAACACCGCATCTAATAGAAAAATATACCAGGTTATATATAAAAGAAAAACACACCACTTTATATCTCATACAACACTGTATGTAAAAACATTAGACATTCATGCAACATTGAGTCTAACACCAAAAAATAAAATAAAATAAGTATCCATCAGTAAGAAGTTGACTAAATAAAATATGTTGCACTGTAAATACAATGTTATCACTGAAAGTGTGAGTGTATATTTTATCACAGAAAAATATCCAAAATATATTATAAATGGAAAAAAGTAAGTTAAAAAATATTATAAATAATATTATTCCAATTTGTTAAAATAATTTAGAAAGAAAGAGAAGAAAGATAAAGAAGGAAAGGAAAGGAAGAAGGAAAAAAGAGAAGAAAGAAAGAAGGAAAGAAAGAAAGAAAGAAAAAGAAAGAAAGAAAAAAGAAAGAAAGACAGAAGAAAGGAAGGAAGGAAGGAAGGAAGGAAGGAAGGAAATGTACCTGCATATGTATATACAGGCACACATGTATGGTATAACAGATTTAAAAATGTCTAAAAAGAGGGCCTGAAAAGAAGTAAAATAAAATATAACAATAGTTATCTCTAGATGACAGTGTTAGAGGTGATTTTTATTTTTGTTTGCATGTCTGTGGGTGCTAGTAATGATCACACATGGTTTAAAAATAAATAAAAATAATATCTTGGTTTCTATTTTGTACATATAAAGCAAAGCAAAATAAAATAGAAGACACATGTTAGCTTAGCCTGTGCACTCAAATCCTTTCAAGCTGACAGTGAGCATGTTATCAATGCTACCTAGAAAGTTTCATGTCCATTTTCACCATGAAAGTAGGAATGCCATATTATTCTCGGAGTCACCTCCTTGTTCTTAAACAAAAGTGGTTTTTAATCAATTTCCTTGGTTCTTGTGAAACAAAAGAAGGTGAGAAGAAGCCCCTATCCCCAGCAAGCTTCCGCTTTTGAAATTGGGATTAACTAGGCTATTCACAAGAGGTAAAAATAGTATGATCATATAATTTATTAGCTAATTTTGGGATATTTTGGCATGAAAAGGGTGCTATTGACAATTATGTCAGGATGATAGGAGTGAACTGGACAGTCTCAGGCAAATGTGGCTCTATATATATGTTCACCCTGAGGATTTGAATGTAGAAAACACAGCTAAGGTAACTCACAAGTGGAAAGCCTTATGCAGTTTGCTTTATATGATTTCTTAAGCTTTATATGTTTTCTTATCCGATCTTTCCAGCAATCCTAGAAGAGCTACTTAGTCTTTCCCCATCTTTCTGAGGAACACAGAGTAGATGGGAACCACCCAGGGTCACACTTGAATAGTCGTAGCAGCAAGTGTCCTCCCAACCATGCCCCCAGTATAGCACACCCAACATCTGCCTTATGACAGAAAAGATGTCTCTGAGCTTTTAGGTGATCTTTTAAAGTTAGGTGTGCAAAAGGTAGAAATTGGTCTCTGAGAAAACAAGGAATGAAGAAGCAGGAGAAAGAGTGTATGTGTGTGTGTGTGTGTGTGTGTGTGTGTGAGAGAGAGAGAGAGACATAGAGACAGAGACAGAGAAAGAAAGACAGACAGAGGAGGCACTCTGACCTTCCTGTCCCTGGCAGCTACATGCTGTATTTATGCAGGTCTGCCACCTTTATCACAGTGGGTGTTGGAAGGAAATGCATTTCTAAAGTTCTCTATAACCTGTGAAGGAAGGTTTGTGCCATTGGGGAAGGAAAGCCTGCTTCTGTATTTGCGCACTCTGTGAACACACGCCTAACAACAGACATCTGCGAAAGGCTCCTGTGCCTGGAAAACAGAGGGAGGATTTAATTAGCACCACTTCCTCTCCCTCAGGCTGTCTTCTCTGGAAACACTTGGGGAAGCTCTGCGCTCTGAGACCAAGCTGTTTGAGATCCAGGAAAGAAGGAAACTCTCAGCTCCGTTTAAATTCTCACTGCCATAAATAGTGGGAAAGTTGAGCCCAGCTATCCCAATCCAGAGTAATTCCAGCTCTGTTCCAGTCACAGGAACATCTTAGAAGAACAATAAACAGAACTTCCTCAGCTTCCCCAACAGGAGAAGCGTGCTGCACATCTACACATTCCACTCTATTTCTCATGACCTCTGGCCCAGTTCATTCCCAATTCAATAGTAAGTGCTCTTCTATCCCTGCATAGGCTGTATTCCGTGAAATGCTAAAGGTACATTAATACCAGTAACAGATCAAAATCAAATGTTCCATTGCTTTCACATAGATCAATCATCCCCTGCAACAAACTCATTGGGAGCCTTTTAGAACTGAAAAGATTTGCTGTTCTGTAATATTTCCCAGTAAATTTATATCTTCATTTAGAGAGTAAAGGCAGCACAATTTCATAGGAAAACAAAGGGTCAAAACTTAGAAAAAGTAAATGATGTTCAGTTTTTTTTTTTTTTTTTTTTTTTTTGAGACAGTCTCGCTCTGTCACCAGGCTGAAGTGCAGTGGCACGATCTAGGCTCACTGCATTCTCCGCCTCCTGGGTTCATGCAATTCTTCTGCCTCAGCCTCCAGAGCAGCTGGGACTACAGGTGCTTGCCACCATGCCCAGCTAATTTTTTGTATTTTTGGTAGAGACAGAGTTTCACCATGTTGGCCAGGATGGTCTTGATCTCTGGACCTCGTGATCCACCCGCCTCAGTCTCCCAAAGTCCTGGGATTATAGGCATGAGCCACCTTGCCCAGCCAATGTTCATACTTTTTCATGGAATCTTCTCATTCCAGGGAATTCATGTAATAAAAACTACCTGAAAGAAGCAAAATGCTACAATATTAATTGCTTATTCTGAGTAGTAATGAAAAATGGAAAACCAACTAAACACCTAATGTTCAAGGAATGGCTAAGTATATCCAACTGGTATTACACAGGCATTCAAAATAACACGCAAACATTGCAGTAGCACGAGATTAACAGTTGTATCTTCTTGAGTGAAATAAAGCAGGAAACCAAAAATATTTTATCTTGGAATGTTCCACTGAATAATTTCACATTGGTAAAGACTAGAAAGAAAATAGTTATATTTATTGAAGTAGTGGATTGTGCGTCAATTTTTGCTCTTTTAAAAAAATTAAATGGCAGTAGTGCTGATTTTTTTAGCATTAAAAAAAAAATCCCAAATAAAGCCTTAAGGAAGTACTACCTTGCCTTTGATTAGACAATAGAAATACTATATTTCTCAGCTGCCAGAAAATTCAGAACTAAATTTAATATAGTATTATAGTAAATAACTTATTTCCAGATCCTGGTCTAAGTATAACTGCTTCCATTTATAAGGAACTTCATCTATCTCTCTGAGAATTTTTCTAATAATATTATAGAAGCATGTAGGGCATAAATTATAGCTTAAAAGTTATTGTTTAGTTCAACTTTTTTATTTGGCAAATATTGAAACAGACCCCCTGAAATGAGGGTTGTCCATGGCCACACAGCTCCATAGAATGAAAACATGCAACCCGACCTCTAGTTTTCTGGACTCCAGTTCGCTGTTCTTTCCTGCTCTTCAAGTTGCCCCATTTAGAAGAAAAGCAAAGAAACGGCCATCAAACTCATGCACTGGCAAACTGGAGGCACTTTTGCCAAATGTCTGAGCCCAGTGAGTTCTGGGCTGAGAGATACGGCTTCCATGAAGCAGGACCAATCCCCAGCTTCCCGTGCATCAGCAGTCCCACAGCGAGCGCTGCAGGCTGAATGAAGCCTTTCTCTTTCCCCCAGAGCCAGGTTGACAAATCCTTTAGGCACAAGAAGCTCAGTGCCTGAGGTTCACAAAACTTTTAGCAGCCCTTGAAATATTTTACTTTCTTTTAAAACAAGAAGGAAAAAAACAGCTTTTAGGGTCACAAATTTAAAAGTTTTAAATTGTTCTCACATCAGAAAAAAGAAAAAGTAAAATTTGTAAGGCACCCCAAACCTATTACGTTTTGCCTAAAAGGGAAAAAACACATAATATTGAACGATTTAAAGTTATAGAAACAGAAGTTTTAATATTGATGTTGTTACAGTGGGAAGACAAAAAGGTTTGGGGCATAGAGATCATAATGTGGTCCTGGCACAAATCCACATTCTTTCTACTCCCATTTCCCATTTGAGGTTTCATTCTGATGCTCCATCCTAGACTGTCAGAGCTAGCCTACCCCCGGTCTGAGGGGGGTAGCTCTCCAGTCTCTTCATCATCGAGGATTCTGCTCCACCACATACTGAAAGATTTCTGTCCTACAGAAAAACCGCATGATCTTAAGATGATTCTTTCCGCTTTTTTTAAAAGCAAAGACAGATCCACCATAGTTGGCCCCCGGTAAATGTTTGTTTCTCAGAGAAGTGGATGAATAACTACCCTGAGAGCTTTTTAATCAGTGTGAAAGGCACCCTGAAAACTTCTAATCAGCTTGAAAGGCATAACCAGCCACACTTAGTTGCCAGAACATGAGTCGGAGGCAAAGAAAAGGCATGTTTGGGGGTGTTTTTCCCTCTCACAACAGTTCAATAAAGGCCAATTTGAGGCTGCGAGCAGTGGCTCATGCCTGTAATCTCAACAATTTGGGAGGCCAAGGTGGGCGGATCACCTGAGGTCAGGAGTTCAAGACCAGCCTGGCCAACATGGTGAAACCCCATCTCTACTAAAAATACAAAAATTAGCCAGGCGTGGTGGCAGGCCCCTGTAAATCTCAGCTACTTGGGAGGCAGAGGCAGGAGAATTGCTTGAACCTGGGAGGCGGAGGTTGCAGTGAGCTGAGATCACACTACTGCACTCCAGCCTGGGTGAAATGGAGCAAGACTCCATTTCAAAAAAAATAAAAAAACAACAATTTGAGTATAACAAAAAGGATCATACTTCAGATTTAGAAAACAGTATTGGCATTAAAGATGCTTGTCTTCTCTCAGGACTATTTCAAGGTGAACCTCTTCACAAGAGCCATGTCATTCTCCATTTCTTCAGCACTACCTGCCCCCTTTTTAAATCTAGTTTTCAGAAAGTCCTTCTGGGCTGCTGGCCCTCTCTGCCTACCGGACCAGCTGCAACACCAGGCACTCCCTTGCTTTTTTCACTTGTTCTGTCTGTCTCCTGATACCTCCAGAAGTCACACGGGATTTTTAAAAATCCTATTGCAGGTATCTATAATATCCACAAAGCTTTTGAAATATCAATAGCTACTTGATGATCCCCATTGCTATCTCTGTGAACCCTTGGGAAGAAAAGCTGGCTGTTCAGCACTCATCTATCCCAATCTTCACTGCCTTAGTCCATTGCAGCTGCTATAACCAAACACATGGGGCTGAATAATTTATAAACCACAGAAATTTATTTCTCTCAGTTCTGGAGTCTGGTTAATCCAAGATCAAGGCACCAGCACATCGGTGTCTGGTGCGGGTCTCTGCTTTCAAGATGGTGCCTTTAACATTGTACCTTCCAAAGGGGACAAATGCTGTGTCCTCATGTGATGGGAGAAATGAAAAGGGTAAAAAGGGCCTAGCTAGTTTCCTCCAGATTTTTTATAAGGCACTAATCCCATTCATGAGAACAGAGCCCTTATAGCCTAATCACCTCCTACAGGCCTCACCTCTTAATATTGCATTTAGGGGATTATGTTTCAATATAAATCTTGAAGAAGACACAGACTTTCAAACTGTAGCATCCACCTTTTACAAGTAAGGAAACTGAGGCCCAGAATGGTTGTGTATCTCTTCTGAACTCTCAGTTAGTTAATTACAATTTAGTTAAATAAAGAATGAAATTACGGTAACCACAGAATTAAAAAATCTTGTCTCTAGAACAGTATTTGTGCACAGACAGGGAACTTAGAAAAGTCTATGGCTTGTTAACAAGAACGATGACTCTGTTGCAGATGGGATAGCGATGGGAATAGGAAGGAAGATCAGGAGTTAGTCCCTGTGGCCTGCGTGTAGTCAAAGATGTCAACTGTGTTTTCTCATGCTGATACCTCTACCCCCATGAAGGGGTTAACAGTCTCAAGGCATATACCCAAAATAAAAATCTACTTTTGATTTTGACATTTTGTGAAGGTAATTTATGTGAATTTATGTGTGCAGGCTTCCGTGAGTCTCTCCGTGAGAACAGCCGAGGGATGTGCGGTGGATAAACAACAATACTCTAACACCTCATAACTCTCCAACAAGCCTGCTTCTGTGCCAGTTGAGATAAGAAAATTGGCAAACAATTCCTTACAATTTCACATTTTGTATATTAGTGATAACATGCCAGCAGGGCTGCTCTGTGTCCTGGGGGAAAGTTGAGTTGATGGAGGCTTTCTCCCTTCCCAGCTCCACCTGGGCCAGGCAGAGTCCTCTGCTCTGCTATAAAGTGCTTCGACTCAGCAGCAGATGGAAAGAGGGCCGTGGGGAAGAATACAGGGCTAGGCCAAGAAATGTGGGTGCTCACTCTTTTGCCGTCCCCTCAGAGTGACCCTGGGTAGGTCACTTTCTTGCTTCCCTTCTCTGCACTTCAGGTTCCTCTCTACAAAATAAAGGTGAGACTTGATTGTTTGCAAGTTGTGCTCCTGGATACTATTCATTGTTTTTTTGTTTGTTTGTTTTTGGTTTTGGTTTTTTTTGAGATGGAGTCTCGCACTGTTGCCCCGGCTGCAGTGCAGTGGCGTGATCTCAGCTCACTGCAACCTCTGCCTCCAGGGTTCAAGAGATTCGCCTGGATCAGCCTTCTGCCTCCAGGGTTCAAGCAATTCTCCTGCATCAGCCTCCTGAGTAGCTGGGATTACAGGTGTCCGCCACCAAACCCAGCTAATTTTTTTGTATTTTTAGTAGAGACAGGGTTTCACCATTTTGGCCAGACTGGTCTCGAACTCCTGACCTCATGATTCGCCTGCCTCGGCTTCCCAAAAGTGCTGGGATTACAGGCGTAAGCCATCGGGCCCGGCCCTGGATACTACTCTTGAGGTTACCTGAGGGGTTCATGGGTGGGTTTCCCGGTCATCAATCTTATTTCAGTCAAAAAAGATCCATTTATCATTTACTGGATTTCTTCTGAAGCTTTTATTTGAGGGAAAAATGTTCAAATTTGAAAACTGTTGGACTAAATTATTCCTAAGTTTCCAGCTCAACGAGTCTACAAGATTTGATTAATTTTTCTTCAGTGTCCAGAATGTTTTAGATGGAAGCCTGTAGAGATTGTTCATAAATGGTTTTCCCCATATCATCATGTGACTCCAACTGAGCAAATTGGTTCTCTTGTGATTCAAAAGCTGTAAGGTCACAGGAATAAGATTGTGATAACGGTCATGAATTTGGGTGCCTATTGTGGAGATTACAGGGTGTTGTTTTATGACTTCCCTCTGACTCAAATAAAAATCCATATAGACCAGAGCTGCTTGGGACATGCAGAGTGGAGAGCTGGGCATCTCACCCAGTCTAGGGCCAAAGACATGCTCGAACCTCAGTAACTATTCTTGTACTTAAGAAGGAAATAATTTAAAGTTCTGTTGAGTTTCTCACAGCATGTATTTATTTTTAGAGAGATTTTCTCAAAAAATACATAAAGAAGAAAATGATAAAGACAAAGATATTGACTAGAGAATTTTTTGAGATTACAGATCCCTTGAGATGAATTTTCTTAGACATTTGAGTGCATGCTTCTACCACTCATCCAGTCTGGGTTATGAGAGCACTTGAGTTCTTGACTCCCGTGGCATTGATCCTACTATTCTGTAATCACCATTTACTTTCCTGTCTTCACTAGTGGGCCATGAGCAATTCCAGAGCAGGAACTGTGCTGCACTAATCTTCATAGTCCAGCACTTAGTATGGGCATGATATAGAGCCGCCATTAAGTTTAAATTTCTTGGATGGATGAATGGATACCCTGCCTGTTCCTTGGCAGTGCTTCAGATTGGAAGGACAAGGCTTAATTTGTTTTATCTGTGCGCATTTCCTCATACACAGCGAGTGCTCAGTAAATGTTTGTGGACCGAGTAATGAAGTTCTGTGCTAAAGCATGAACAAAAGCATCTTCTCTCACAGACACACATAGGAACTCATACCACAGTCTTTAATCTATAGAAGCTCATAGTCTAGTGGAGGTGACAGAAACATGAGCAGATAATGGCAGCCTTTTGTGATAGAGTCATGATAGGAGTATGTGCACAAAACACCATAGAGACAGAAGATGGTGAGTGGGAAGAGGGGAATGCGAGTGTGGGAAGTTAGAGGTGTGGAATAAGGCACCTCAGAGCTGACTGTACACTAGAGGGTAGGTGGAGGATGTTCCAGGCAAATGTGTGAGGTGTGAGAGGAGTGTGTTCCAAAAGTGGCAGGTAATATGGTGTGTGCAATTGAGATGTCAGCCGCCCACCCCCAAACCCAATCCCTTGAAGATCTGGTTACAGTTGGTGAAAACTAACATTTTGCAATGGGAGGAGAATCTGAAAGACTTCTCACACTTTCTCTGTATTCGCTTCTCTCTGCCATCCCCTCCACACCTGCTGAGAATTTTCTCACAGTCAACCCACTTACACATTCTGGCCTTGGCACTGTAAATATTCCAGTTGCCTTAAGAATTTCATGGGGTTAACAACTTCATCAAAGATTTAGAGAGGTCATGGGGAGGTTTGTCACATTGTGTATGGTCCAATATTGTATCATTTATCTATTTCTCACTTCTCTCTTTTCAGAATAACAAATTCTTTCTTGTTTATGTGTTTGGTTTTGGTTAGAAACATATCCACTTAATCTACATATCCAGATCTCTTGGGTTCTCCCCTTCACAGCCCTGTCCAATATTGAAATTCCCCTACAGGGATAAATTCTATAGCTAGCTATTAATATAAACCTATATAAGGATTTGTGAATTAGAAGAGAGTTGGCAGGAGAAGCATCTGAAAAAGTAAAACAAAACCACTCTGTAAGCCAAATATTGAATTGAGTGACTTATCTCAGGCAATAGCAAAAGTGTCCTACTTTGCAACTGGCCTGACCCTGAAGACTGTGGGACAGAAAAGGGACAGAAAAGTGGTGGAATTCTGGGGAGTAGAATAAATAAGACTAAGTCACCAGTTCCCCAACCCCAACCAAACACACATACAAAAGAGAGAGAAAAATATAGAAAGACAGGATAGAGCAACACGCAAGGCTAAAGATGTGGGTCCTGATAATGCACTCGGAGAGCCTGTAAAGACTCAGATGTTTTCTCCATATACAGATGAACAAGAAAGAAGCAGAGAGATAAAAAAAATCAACCAATGCCAACAGCTGAGACCTGCAGTAGCCTTTGTTATTTTCTCTACAAACTAAACACAATCCCTGATTTTGAATCTGCTGATTCAGAAGCTTGGTGGTGTCAATGCCTACACATTAAAGCAAGCCTCTGTCCCAGTTATTGAGACATCCCAGGCGAGTGTGTAGATTAATGCCTACCAGAGATTACTACCTTCCCAGCATCAATCCTGGTGCCAGGCAGCAGTGAGAACAAACATTCCACAACCACATGTTCTTGCCTGGGAGTTTTGTTTAAGGAAGTCACCCCAAAACCTCAGTTTCTTGTTAGACCAACTGTGACTTTTTACACATCGATTTTATAAAATTCATGGAAAGTATTCATCTAAGTTTTGAAAATAGGATTTTCCCCTCAAAATAAAAACTCCAGCCTTTATTATTCTAATGAAATTTTTATTAATAAACACTTTATTGAACTATGACATGCACTCAGAAAATCATAAATATGCAGAACAATGAATTATCATAAAATAAGAATACCAGTGTGATATGATTTGGCTGTGTCCCCACCCAAATCTCATCTTGAATTGTAGCTCCCATAATTCCCACAGTGTCATGGGAGGGACCCAGTGGGAGGTAACTGAGTCATGGGGGCCAGTCTTTTCCATGCTGTTCTCGTGATAGTGAGTAAGTATCACGAGATCTGATGGATTTATAAAGGGGAGTTTCCCTGCACATGCCCTCTCCTGCCTGCTGCCATGTAAGATGTGTCTTGCTTCCCCTTCCCCTTCTGCCATGATTTTGAAGCCTCCCCAGCCATGTGGAACTGTGAGTCAATTAAACCTCTCTCCTTTATAAATTACCCAGTCTCTGGTATATCTTTATTAGTAGCATGATAACAGATATTAATACACCATGCAAATAATTACCGAAGTCAAGAAATAGCACACTACCAGCACTGTGACAGGATTATTTTTCTGAAAGTGACTCTTCAGTTAGTTTCACATGATAAAATCCAACAGGGCTGCCAAACATTTCAGATATTATCTAACTCAACATCTTCATTTTACAAATAAGAAATTAGATCCTCAGATGGGAGTAAGGAAGTGACTTACCTCAGGTCACAAAGTAAATTAATGGAAGCAGTAGGGTTTCAGGCTCCTCTTTTCTGCTTAAACTGCCTCAAATCCCTGAGAAAGCTTTGTTGGCCTATGAAGCAAAAGAAACCTGCTCTCTGAGAGAGGTGATGTCAGCAAGATGGCCGGCTAGAAGCCCCCTAGCACTCTACTCTTTACAAAGACAGTCAGAACAATAAATAAACAACTACATTTTAATGAAAATAACCAAGGAAGGGCACCAAAGTACATCAGGGGAGTAACAGAAACCCTGGTAAACACAGAAATTTGGGATTGTTACGTAGAGATGGGAAGGAAATGCCAGGCCTCTACCACTCCATCCCTTAATCAGGATCACCTAGGAACTAGGAGGAACTTCTGTCTACAACAAGGAAGAAAGCAAGAGGATCCTAGGAATCCCCATCAACACCTTGGACACCAATAGATTTCAACCCTGGGATCCCCAGCTGTGCTCACAGGCACTAAGCCCAGCTGTGGGAGCTGACTGGAGTCCACATAGCTGTGCTCCCTCCAGAGGAGATGCTGACACTGTGCCCTGCCCCCTGTGGCCCACACGGCTACTGCAATACACTGTCTTGAATTAGAACTATGGCTAGAGTGTGTCTTGCTCTAGCGGTGAGTAGTCATGGCTCTCCTTTATCCTTGAGGCTAAGCTACTGCCAAACCACCGCAGACCAGTGGCCAAATATCCTCAAGCCAAGCCACAATCAGCTGTTACAGCTTTCTCTGTTGAGTCGAGCAGAGGTGAAGCCACTTCACCTACCACTCCCGCTGCCTTTTCAGCTAGAGCTGAAGCAGGACTCTGCCTCTTGGGAAATAGTACTTTAGCCACTAAGAGAAGCCACACCTCCCTAGTGTCTAAATTGAAGTAGTTCCCTTCATCCCAGGAAACAGTGCCTTGACCACCAAGAGTGGTCATGCACCCCAGTACCTAAGCTGAAGCAGCAACCTGCATCCCAGGAAAACAGTGCCTAGGTGGCCCAGAACAGTCACCATACCCTCAGGCCTGAGCTGATACAACATATCACCCCCTAGGGAATCAGTGCCCTGGTTAAGCTGAGCAGCTTTGCATCTCAGGGTTGGGCTTACATAGTACCCCATGCTCCAAGGAAACAGAGCAGTGGCTGAGCTGAGATACCTCACCTTATAAGCCAAATAAGTCTAGTACCTTTGGAGCTGGACTAGCCCCCTAGAGTGGTGTCTTAGCTGCTGAGACACCCCTCTTCCTGGGGAGTGAAGTCATCACTGTGCTGTCCCCAGCCCAGCTCCAGGGCTCAGATAATAGCCATGCTCCACCGTTCTGGGGTACTGTTGCCACTGCACCTGGCCTCACAGAGGCTGAGATACTGCTGAGCCCTGAAATCCCAGGGTCTATAGCTACTACTACACAGTATCTCATTCCCTGGGACTCAAGCTGCCACTGAGCCCTGTTGGCACAGGTTTCCAAATTGCAGCCATACTCTGCTCTGCAGGTCCAAACCTCTAGGACACTCCCTTTTCCCCACAGATGTGCCAGTACTCTGAGCTCCCACCCATGGGTAGAATCACAATCATGACACAGACTCCTGAGCCCAAGCTGTTAGGAGATGCCTCAGAGTCACAGATCCAGGCTCTGTGGGCAACCTGTATTCAACCAGCCAAAGAGAGAAAACTTGCAGCCAAAGACCTAGGTGTCACAATAGGTTCATGTAACACTGAGCCCAGGACCTTTGCACCACAGCTGCTATGATTACCTGTACCTGGAACCCAGCACCACTGCAGCTACTTGTAGGCTGTGTCAGACCTGATAATAAAAGGGATCTCCTTGGCTAAGTCTCTCCACTGTAGGAAAAGTAAGGAGAGAAGAACCCCAAAGCGCTTGATACCTAGAACATTAACAACCTATGCTGTCATGGCCACAGGCTTCTACAGCCTAGGCCACTGAGGTGCCCACACTTACTACTGACATTGAATACAGCTAAAGAAGCTGCACAGAGATCATACCATTGCACCTATGCAGAAAAACGGTCACTACACCCTTCACAACCAGCAGGCAAAAAAAACAACAGCAGGTGCAGGTGAAAATCTTTCTTTATGAAAGCTATTGTAGAAAGTTTGCAAGAGATGATTGACCATATGCACAGACAGCAACACATGAATAAGAAACATGAAAAAGCAAGAAAATATGATGTCACCAACAAATTATAATAATTATCTAGTAGCCGACCTCAATAAATAGACAAATAAATGAATCGCCAGGAAAAGGAATTCAAAATAATCCTCTTAAGGAACAAGAAACAAACAACCAAAAACATACGGACAGACGATTCAACAAAATCAGGAAACCAACTCATGGTATGAATGAGAAATTGCACAGAGATAGTAGACATACATAAAGCAGCAAACAGAAATCCCGCAGTATTCTGAATAAGTTGATTAATAAAAGAGACAGCCTCAACAACAGACTTGATCTAGCAGAAGAATCTCTGAATTTGAAGATAGGTAATTTGAAATTACAAAGTCAGAGAAAAAAAAAAAGAACTAAGAATGAAAAGGAGTGAGGAAAGCTTACAAGACTTATGGACACTATTAAGTGAACAAATATTTGTATCATGGAAGTTCCAGAAAGAAAAGAGAAGGGAAAGTGTATGGAAAACCTATCTAATAAAATAAAGCTGAAAGCTTCCCAAGTCTGGGGAGAGATATGCATATTTAAATCTGGGAAGCAAAAAAGTACCCAAATAGATTAAACCCAAAAGTTTCTCTGTGAAGCACAGTGTAGTCAAACTGTCAAAAGTCAAAGAGAATCTGGGCAACACAACAAGGCTCCAATTCCACAAAATATTAAAAATTAGTTGGACATGGTATCATGCACATATAGTCCCAGCTACTCAGGAGGCTGAGGTGGAAGACTTGCTTGAGCCCAGAAGTTCAAGTTTGCAGTGAAATGGAATTATGCCACTGCACTCCAATCTGAGTGACAAAGCAAGACCTCATCTCAAAAAAAAAAAAAAAAAAAAATTAAAAGTCAAAAACAAAGAGAGAATTCTAAAAACAGCAAAATAAAAACATCAAGTCACATATAAGAGAATCCCTGTAAGACTAAACAGCAGATTTCTCTGCAGAAACCTTACAGGCAGGTAGAAAAGAAGATTATATACTCAAAGTGCTAAAAGGAAATTATTGACAACCAGGAATACTATACCCAGCAAAATTATCATTCAGAAATGAAGTGAAAATAAAGTATTTCCCAGACAAACTAAAACTGGGGGAGTTCATCACCACTAGATTGGACTTATGAGAAATGCTCAAGGAAATCCTGCAACTGGAGGCAGAAAGTTAATATTCACTATCAAGAAAACATCAAAAGTTTGAAATTCACTGGTAGAACAGATACTCAAAGGAGAAAGAAAAAAAGAAGCAAACCTTATAATGACAGAAAACCATTAAACCACAATGATAGACAATAAAAGAAAATGAAAGAAACAAAGGATACACAAAACAACCAGAAAGCAATTCACAGAATGACAGGAGTAAATTCTCATCCATCAATAACCATAAATTATTTGATCTCTTGAGGATCATTATAAAGACCTTCTAATTCATGTCCCTTAAGTTTTACTCTTTTCAATTTTTGCCTACTGAGTACTAATCACACTGCATTACAACTACCTGTTAGCTTGCCTTAACTTTCACATCCTCTTCACTAGTACATGAGCTCCTTGATGTTAGGGACCAGGTTTTATTTACTATGGTATCCTTAGCACCAAGTAGAGCACATAGAAAGCATTCATTATGTATTAGCTGAACAAATGAATCAGTAATAAATATCTTTACTACATGGAGCTTCCACGACAGAAAATGCAAAGGGAATTTAGCTAAGAGAGTCTCTCTCTTCAGGTATTATGAAACTAGAACTGACAAGAGAAGATTTGAAATCCTTTCTTCTAAACCTGGCTTCAAACTTAACAGTTCTCAGAAATGTAACATGAATGGCAATTTAGAAATGCAATTTTTCTATGCTCTCAGGCATCATGATCTTCTGTCAACCAGTTATTTAGTTATTGCCTATGACTGGGCTCCATGGGTAAATTGTGAGCTTGGTGAGCTTCCTGTGCCCCGATTTGTCCCTCCTGGATCCCCACAAAATCTGTAAGCCTTTGTGCAGCCCAGTGTGTTCAGTTATAATGTCTTTCACAGAAGATGTTTGCATCACTAGAGACAGACAGAAGAAGGAATCATTTGCTTCTGCCTGAAACCATCCTGAGAAGTAAGTGACGAATATCAGAGTCTTCCCTGAAAGAGGATCTAGGTATAAAGGAACTAGAGAAGAGGCTTAATCTAAACCAATGGGCAATATTCAGGAGTAGGCATTCAAAAGGGGTGGAACAAGACCAGGAAGGAGAGCCCAGGTCTTAAAAATAGATGTGGCTAACTTCTCATCTTGTGGGGCTGTAACTGAAGGATAATTTGTGTTTTAATGATGAAATATATACATTAAGCTCCCAAAATGCTGAATGCTAAACAAGACACCAAATCTGAGAAAATAATGAGATGCAAGAAGGCATCCAAATAATATCATTCTAAGGCTACTTTGACCCAGTTCCACTCCACCTGGGTTAGGATGTTACCACCTAGAATTCAGCCTGTTCTACAAGATGCCAGGAAGATTTAAATAGATCCAGAGAGCTCCATCCAGGGAGAGAGAAAAGGCAAAAGAGCTAGAACAATAGGGGTAGCTCTCATTAAAGTAATAAAGGTCAGAGCACAAATGTGGGAAGAGGAAAGTAGTTTTAAAAATGACATTCAGATTCATTCTAAGATGATTTAATAAAAGTGGACAGTTCAGAATGCTAAAGAATGAAAATTAAAAAATACTTTCATATTGTCTTGCTGAAGGCAGTTAGATAAAAGACTGATGAAGAACGATAACATCTGTCACAAATAGCTCTTTATTTTTCTATATTTCCATAAGAAAACAAAACAATAAAGATATGTGCACATATGAAAATAAAATTATATATGACCATATGTGTATAAATATGGTCATATTTGAAAGTAAGAATACATGTATATTTACGTGTGAACTGCTACAACTACTGAATAAGCAATGACCAAAATTAGCCAGAATAGACAGTAAATGTCCTGAGAAAATTAAAAGACCTACCTGTGATATTCGCATTTCCTTGCTTCTGTGAATATTTATCTCAAAGCCGGCTCATTGCAAAGGGATAATGTTTGGTTTTGATCAGCCTTTCTGTAAATGTATGACTCAATCACAAAGCAGCTAAGAGGGGAGTAGGAATATGGATCAGGGAAAGATTAATGAAAGAACTCATTATGAAGAGTGGTTGGTAATGCCATCTCTATATATTAAATGTACATGTATGTTGTAATCATACCTCTCAACTTCTTTATCTATAAAAATATGCACATTGATGCCAGGCCTGCTTACTCTACACAATTTTTGTGAAGATTAAATGAAAAAAGTTGTGAAAGTACTTTGTAGATGATGAAGTATCTTGATCCTGCATCTTGTGAAGAGCTATTAGCATTCTTATCATAGACGTAGGAGGCAATAAAATAAAATAATTTCTGTGCAGAGGCTGCTGGCAGTTCCTAAAGTATGCCAAAGAGAAAGTGAGGCTGCCCAGAGATTTGAGGGAAACCTTTTATCTATCTTGATGAAGTTAACATTATTGGCAAGATGTGGGGGGTGACAGGGAGGAGAGGCGATGTGTTTAGACCAGGGATGTGTCAATTCTTCCCAGAAGACCAAGGAGACCAGATAGAAACTGAAGCTCACAGGGCCAGAATTTGATGCTGCCCACATCACCTGTGAACATGCTTACTATGTCAATTCTTGCCTCTAGAGAATTTTTTCAGAACATAAAGGCAGTGAAAGAACATCTGTGGCTTATATAATATGTCCTATTTGTGAACAGAGAAATTCAAGTGAATGGATAAGTCTGACTATTCCTTAGAGTTTTCTTTCGATATAGGTTTCACCAGAAGTGGGTTAGTTCACAGCATTAGTGTTTGGCAGTATCTCTGTATCTAAGAACTTCATTGGTGACATTGTATAGTGCTTAAAGAGATCACCTAAATGATGCGACTCTCAAATGTATTCCCTGTTAACTATGAGAGAAGCTCTATCTTCCCTTTTAAATGGGCTATAGCCAGTCTATAATAATCAGATCTATTTCTACTTCATATTATTCCTTATTTCTTCTCCTGCATCCCATCTAAAATAGGTAATGTCAGGCTTCAAATGCCATTAGTGTTTGACAGTGAATCTCTGTAATTCTCCCACTAAAGCATAATCAGTGGATATACTTATTAGAAAATGCTATAGAGAGTAGCTAAAACTAACTCTCCATTTGGAAGTGACAGAATATAGAATCTTCAATTTAGGAGAGGCCTCATGTGCTAGTTCAACACCCCGTCCGGGATAGGTATCTTGAAGAACGTTCCTTTGCATAACTAATAATGTTATCTAACTGTAGATTTATGTCCCATGACATAAATGGGGCAAGCCAGCATATTATCACAAGCTATTCTGGTGTACTTGTACATGTGAAAAGAGAGGAATCATTTGAAATAAGTGACCTTTCCAGCCAGATTTTTTTTTTACTCATCATCTCCCAGGGGCAAATCCAAGTATATCCCTTATTCCAATTTTTTTAAAATAACAATTCTATTTTATTTATAATATCAGAAAATTGACAACTATCTAAATGTAGTTTAGGTAGAATATTATATAACCAATTGACAACTATCTAAATGTAGTTTAGGTAGAATATTATATAACCATTATAACTAACGTTGTACAAATACAATAGAAAGATATCTATGGCATTTTTTTTAAATCAAGCTATAAAAAGGACATAGCATGATCGTAGTTTTTACAAAAATAAAATATAGATATGTATAAAAAAACATTTACAAGGTTATCCACGAAAATGTTCACATTAGTTTTCTCTAGGTAATGGGATTATAGGTTGTCTTAAAATTATATTTTCTAATTTTTTACAATGCAAATGTTATAAAAAGTAACAAATAAGAAAAAAACAGCATTTGTTCCAGTAAAAATACTCAAAAATCTAAAAGGTGCCTACATTTTCATTACAGATTTCTCTTTCACCATCAAGGAAAAAACTATTTTATTTTGTAAACGAAATGTATTAAAGTTTGGCCTTCAGAAAATCTCCAAAAGTAAAAGTCAGGAGAAGATGAAAATTAATGCCCAAATAGAGACTATTTTCTGTACGCAGATAACTGGGTTATTGGTCAATGACTTTTATCTGCCCACTGATATGCAAAGGCTGCATACAGGAAAAAAAGTCAAAAGAAGTTCTGAGGAATGGAGACAGACAGTGTCTCTTGGGCAAGGCTTATCTTACAAGAAGTTATGAAAGTGCTATGCAGGCCAAGAAGTTACAAACCTGTTATGTAAATTATATGAGGGAAGAGGGAGGGAGGAATGTTTGCTTAGAGATAAGCCCAGTACACTTCCAATGAACAGATCTGAGAACAAAGCCCTTAGTTATAGATGGACTGGACAGGGCTTGGCAGAAATTCTAGTCTTATAGCAAAAGACTACAGCAAGTGATGTGGAGGAGGAAAAGGGAAGGATGGCAGTGACTGTTTTAAACATAGGGCTGGGAGACAGGATAGTAAAGGCAGGCTATCCAGACGAGTGATTCCACACCCATCGGACCTAGAACTTGGGCCCCAACACAAGCCAGGCTCAAAAATGCTGGTCTGAAACAAAACAGAGTAAAATATTTTCCACCTTTACTCTTTCATTGTGCCAAATGGGCTAGAAGTCATAGCATAACTCACCTTTCTCTGAGAAGAGGTCAAAAGAAAATGCCTGGCCAAAGGGAATCCATGTCCCAGCACACATCCCTAAAGGTACTCACGTCTGTTAACTCTCGAATGAATTTTCTGATGTCAGTGTTTCTTGAAATGCATCTGTTCTCTAGTAGAGGTAACATTACTTATATTGCACTGAACAGTTTTTCTTTTTTTCAATTATCTTTTCTTTTTATTTCTTTGACTTCTGCAGAAGTTCAATTCTTGCTTGTTTTCAGTTTTTGAGCTTTCACTCCATTTGGGAGTTCAGCCAATCAGTTGCTGAACCAGACAACTTATTATAACTTCCTCCGTTGGAGCCTGAAATATGTCTTTACTTTTGATTTACATACAACATTGTGGGTGATATATCAAGATTATTCACTACAACTCAAAGACACAAATGTTTCGAGAATTAATTACGTCAACGCTTTCAGAAGATAATGGGTAAGAAGCAATTCAGATAAAAATTGATTCATTTCATGCAATCAATACCTTTATCACAAAATAGACCAGCATATTAGAGAAAGCTTTGGAGTCAGAAGGACTTGAGCTTGAATCTGGGCTCTGCAACTTACCAGCTACCTGAGTTTGAGTGGCAATTTAAACCCCTCAGCCTCAGTTTTCTCAAATGTCAAGTAGATCCACACATCTTACAGGACAGTATAAGAATTAGATGAGGCTGGGCACGGTGGCTTACGCCTGTAATCCCAGCACTTTGGGAGGCCGAGGCAGGTGGATCACGAGGTCAGGAGTTTGAGACCAGCCTGACCAATATGGTGAAACCTGGTGTCTACTAAAAATACAAAAAAAAAAAATAAAAATCAGCTGAGCGTGGTGGCGGGGTCTGTAATCCCAGGTACTCAGGATGCTGAGGCAGAAGAATCGCTTGAACCCAGGAGGCAGAGGTTGCAGTGAGCCAATACCGTGTCACTGCACTCCAGCCTGGGTGACAGAGTGAGACTCCATCTCAAAAAAAACAAAAAACAAACAAAAAAAAGTTAGATGAACTTGGCCGGGGTGGCTCATGCCTGTAATCCCAGCACTTTGGGAGGCTGAGATAGGAGGCTCGCTGGAGCCCAGTGGTTTGAGACCAGCCTGGGCAACATGGCAAAACCCCGTCTCTACCAAAAGTACAAAAAATTAGCCAAGTGTGGTGGTGCGAATCTGTGATCCCAGCTACTCAGGAGGCTGAGGTGAGAGGATCACTTGGGCCTGAGAGGCAAGTGTTGCAGTGAGCCGAAATGGTGCCACTGTGATCCAGGCTGGGTGACAGTGAGACTCCATCTCAAAAAAAAAAAAAAAAAAAAACACTTTAGATGAACAAATGAATCTAAAGGCCTAGAAAATATGATAGGATTTCAAAACAGTTTGAAGTCTAATAATTGACTGAATCTATGCTAGAGGAATCTGAACAATTGTGAGCAGAATATATGAAATCTAGCGATAGTGGGGAATTCCTGAAGAAGTAGGCATCAGGAAATCCAGGTTCAAGTATAATCCATTAATCCATTTCTTCTCTAGCTATCTTTTTTTTTTTCATATGTACTAGGAGAATACTGAACTACTTGCCCCCATCTCAATTTTCTCTCTAATTATGCTGGTCTAGGAATCTACTCAGGTCTGGTGTGGAGCCCTCATTCTAATACAAGATGGAGCTCTTACAGGTCATTTATAAAACAGGTCAAATACCAAATCAATAAGACTAAAAGAGCCGGAATATATTTATTTTTATCATTTTTATCCTACTGTAAGTCAAAAGGTGCTAGTTCATGGTTAAATGTTTGCAGAAAATTGCGTCTTTAAGAGCACCAAGGGTAGGAAATCAGAAAAAACAAGTTACTAGGTTTTTTGTTTTGTTTTGTTTTAATTCAACAAGGAAAAAAACATCGAATGGTAGGGACTTTCTGTCTGGTTTCATTAGCTGTTCCCTCCCAGCAATGAGATCAGCACTTCAGAGAGGACCAGCCTTCGTACCCTGGGCAAATTTCCAGCTAGACATGGTCAATCCAAGAAAAATTCCCCTCTCACCCTCACCAATCACAACATTTCGGGTCATCATTGACTTTTCTCCAGTTTATGAAATAACCCAGTCATAGCTTTCTGGATTTTTTACATAGTGAAAACTTCCATTTAGTGTTTATCTCACATAGAACAAAGATTTTATCTTTGTCTATTGACTATACAACTACAAAGATAAATTTTTAAAAAATAACTTGCTGCCTAAAGCTTAGAGCCTAGTAGAAGCATTAATGACTTAAGGATCAAATTTAAATTGGAAATATTTAAAATTAAAGGTTCTTATTGTATCACATGAGGTATGCACATCTATCATGGAGTATAATACAATCCTTGGAAATCATATTTTTAAAGACAATTAAATGACAAATAAAAATCTACAGAATAATGCTTTGTGAAAAAGTAGGGTCCTAAGCTATACATACCATATGGTTTTTCAAATCCTGAAAAATATACAAATAAGCAAAGAAAAATGTTAGAAAGTAACATATTAAAATGTTAAAGGGGGCTTATCTCTGGAAGGAGAAGGTTTAAAAGATGTAGAATAATTCATCCAATGCACATATGCATTGGAAACACATGCTGCAAAATGTTGCGAATATTATCTCTGGCTCACTGGCTTCTGGATTATTCTTACTCTCTTTTTTTATAACTTTCTACATTTTCTAGTGTTCTTTGCTTTGCACGTAGATAATCCTTAGGACTGACAGGAAAAAAAAATGTCGTAAATATTGTTTCAAATAACTGAGCCAGGCTGGGTGCAGTGGCTTACGTCAGTAATCCCAGTGCTTTGGGAGGCCGAGATTGGGGGATCGCTTGAGCCCAGGAGTTTGAGACCAGCCTGGGCAACATGGCAAAACACCATCTCTACAAAAAATTTCAAAAATATACCCAGCTGGAGTGGCATATTCCCATGGTCCCAGCTACTTGGGAGGCTGAGGTGGGAGGATCGCTTGAGCCTGGGAGGTTAAGGCTGCAGTGAGCCGTGATTGTGCTACTGCACTCCTGCCAGCCAGCCTGGGTAACTGAGTGAGATCAGGTCTCAAAAAAAAAAGATTACCCAAGCTGGCACCTTCAAAGGTGACAGATAAGCAAGTAATCATAGAAGAAAAAACCCATCAAAGATAATAGTGACACAAGGTTCTTAGAAGGACTACATCCAGGTCAGAGATCACTGTATGTGTAGGACATGAAAATGCACTTAGTTTTTAAAGTCCACCAAATAAGGATATTGAGCTAACTCATTCCTACCTCCTTAACAGGCTTTGCCTAACCACCAAACCCACTGGGACAGACAGACTTCCACAACAAGATGAAACAATACACGCACGCCAAGGTAAGTGCCTTTTATCTCCAAGGGAACTATAAGCTCCACTAGGTAAGATCCCATCCGCTCTGCTGTTGCGAATCTCACCCCCACTGCTAACACTGAGTGTTCTGAACAGAATAGATACTTAATAAATGTGTATGATGTACACCATGCAGGGGATGGCAGAAGCACAAGGGCAGAGGAATAAGAAGAACATAGAGGTAATCAGTCTAACATTGCCAACTGCAGGATACGTGGCCTTGATGATGACGGTACGGGAAGATTTTAATGAGGACAACAGTGATAACACAGGCAGAGAGCTACAGCTTTGCTAAATGTTCCTTTAGAGAGATTGATCTTAATAATTATTTGGCCTCATTTAATTTTTCTTATTATGTTGTAGACCACACATAAGAGCAAAAGAAGGAAAAAGAAATCTTCCCTTAAGCCCACTATGCAGGGAAAATGAAAGTAAATAATTTTTCTGTATATACTTGCAGACTTTTTCTATATTTATCTGGACATAATATCATTTTTCTACTTAAACAATGGAGTTATGCTATCAGTGTTGTTTCGTAAACTGCCTTTTACACTTGATACATAAAAGGATACCAATATTGACAATGGTGGCAATACTTATGAAGCACTTGCATGTGCTATGCACATGGTTTTATCTGCATTGGCTCATTGCAAACTCATCATAGCCTCATGGTTCAGGTACTCTAATTATCCTCATTTGACAGATTAAGAGACTGAACCTCAGAGGGTTAAGGAGCTTGCCCAGGGTCACACGGTTAGTAACTGATAGAGCTCTAAGTTCATCAAAAGTTGTTGTGGGAAGTCAGGGACCCCAAACAGAGGGACTGGCTAAAGCCATGGCAGAAGAACATGGATTGTGACGATTTCATGGACATTTATTAGTTCCCCAAATTAATACTTTTATAATTTCTTACACCTGTCTTTACTGCAATCTCTAAACATAAATTGTGAAGATTTCATGGACACTTATCACTTCCCCAATCAATACCCTTGTGATTTCCTATGCCTGTCTTTACTTTAATCTCTTAATCCTGTCATCTCGTAAGCCGAGGAGGATGTATGTCCCCTCAGGACCCTGTGATAATTGCGTTAACTGCACAAATTGTAGAGCATGTGTGTTTAAACAATATGAAATGTGGGCATCTTGAAAAAAGAACAGGATAACAACAATGTTTGGGAAACAAGAGAGATAACCTTAAACTCTGACCTCTGGTGAGCCAGGTGGAACAGAGCCATATTTCTCTTCTTTCCAAAGCAAATGGGAGGAATATCACTAAATTCTTTTTCTCAGCAAGGAACATCCCTGGGAAAGAGAATATGTGCCTGGGGGTGGGTCTATAGATGGCCCCCTTGGGTGTGGTCGTCTTCTATGATCAAAACTGTAGGGGTGAAAGAAACCCCAGTCTCCCATAGCACTCCCAGGCTTATTAGGAAGAGGAAATTCCTGCCTAATAAATTTTGGTCAGACTGGTTGCTCTCAAAACCCTTCTCCTGATAAGATGTTATCAATGACAATGGTGCCCGAAACTTCATTAGCAATCTTAATTTTGCCCCGGTCCTGTGGTGCTGTGATCTTGCCCTGCCTCCATTTGCCTTGCGATATTCTACTACCTTGTGAAGTATGTGATCTCTGTGACCCACACCTATTCGTATACTCCCTCCCCTTTTGAAAGTCCCTAATAAAAACTTGCTGGTTCTGTGGCTTGCGGGGCATCATGGAACCTACCGACATGTGATGTCTCCCCCGGACGCCCAGCTTTAAAATTTCTCTCTTTTGTACTCTGTCCCTTTATTTCTCAAACTGGCTGACGCTTAGGGAAAATGGAAAAGAACCTACGTGACTACTGGGGCAGGTTCCCCGATAAAAAGTCACTCTGTTTCCAAGCCTGTTTTCCACTAGTAGTAGTAGTTGCTACTCTACTTAGTTAATAATTTTCTTATACTTGAAAATTGCTCAGAGAATAGATCTTACATGTTCTCACCACAAACAAAAAATTATAACTAAGTGAGGTGATGGGTATGTTAATTAGCTTGATTGAGGTAATCATTTTGCAATGTATACATATGTCAAAACATCACATTGTACACCATAAAGATATATAATTATTATTTGTCAATTATACCTCAATAAAGCTGGAAATAAATAAATAAATTCCTATAATGACATAATAGTGACTGTATAAGGTTCTAT
Organism: Homo sapiens; assembly: GCF_000001405.40. Taxonomy (NCBI): domain Eukaryota; kingdom Metazoa; phylum Chordata; class Mammalia; order Primates; family Hominidae; genus Homo; species Homo sapiens. Next base: position 189,182,738 of record NC_000003.12, on the reverse strand, counting down.
TATTTACTTTCTATTGTTAATTATTCATGTTGCTCCCTTTTTACGTACTTTTATAATGACTATGCACTGAGGGTTCTTGTAGGTAAAACTTTTTATAAGCCTTAATTTCTTTTTCAGTATAAATTTCCAGAAGTGGGAGTGCTGGATCAAAGATTTATGAATCTTGGTATACATGGCCAAATTCCTCCCCCAACCTAATGGTATATCTAATGTTATACCAATTTAAGTTTCAGTAGAATACATGAAGGTCCATTTTCCCACAGGTTAGCAGAGGGCTTTATAATTTAATCCTAAATTAACTGTTTAAAACATGTTAGTCAGATATTTGTTTTAATGTGGACTACTTTTTTTAAGTTATGAGCTTGGAAAGTTGGGGTATGCATGTATAAGCAGACACTTTTATTAGTTTCATCTTCTTTGACTTACTGCTCAGCAAGAGTTCTTCATTGCAGATACTATTGAGGATTAATAGGTAAGAATAATGATACAAAATTTTCAGAATGGACACACCAATTATGCAAGCTTATGAATTCCTAACTAAAATGTAAAATTAACCATAGTAGTTGGCTTCCAAAGTTGTTGACATGGTTTGTCTGTGTCTCCACCCAAATCTCATCTTGAATTCCCATGTGTTGTGGGAGGAACCCAGTGGGAGGTAATTGAATCATGGGAGTTAGTCTTTCTCATGATAGTGAATAAGTCTCGGGAGATCTGATGGTTTTAAAAAGAGGAGTTACCCTGCCCAAATTCTCTTTCTTTGTCTGCTGCCATCCATGTAAGACATGACTTGCTCCTCCTTGCCTTCCACCATGATTGTGAGGCTTCCCCAGTCACATGGAACTCTAAGTCCATTAAAACTCTTTCTTTCATAAATTGCCCAGTCTCAGGTGTGTCTTTATCAGCAGTGTGAAAACGGATGAATACAGTAAATTGGTACTAGTAGAGTAGGGTGCTGCTGAAAAGATACCCAAAAATGTGGAAGCAACTTTGGAACTGGATAACAGGCAGAGGTTGGAACAGTTTAGAGGGCTCGAAAGAAGACAGGAAAATATGGGAAAGTTTGAGACTTCTTAGAGACTTGCTGAGTGGTCTTGACTAAAATGCTGATAATAATATGAACAATAAGGTCCAGGCTAAGATGGTCTCAGATGGAGATGAGGAACTTGTTGGGAACTAGAGCAAAGGTGACTGTTGTTATGTTTTAGCAAAGAGACTGGTTGCATTTTGCCCCTGCCCTAGAGATTTGTGGAACTTTGAACTTGAGAGAGATGATTTAGAGTACCTGCCAGAAGCAATTTCTAAGCAGCAAAGCATTCAAGAGGTGACTTGGGTGCTGTTAAATGCATTCAGTTTTATAAGGGAAGCAGAACATAAAAGTTTGGGAAATTTGCAGCCTGACTGAGATAGAAAAGAAAATCCCATTTTCTCAGGAGAAATTCAAGCTGGCTGCAGAAATTTGGATAAGTAACGGGAAGCCAAATGTTAATCCCCAAGAAAATGGGGAAAATGTCTCCAGGGCATGTCAGAGGTCTTCATAGCAGCCCCTCCCATCACAGGCTGGGAGGCCTAAGAGGAAAAAGTGGTTTAGTGGGCTGGGCCCAGGGTCTCCATCCTTGTGCAGCCTAGGGACTTTGTGCCCTGTGTGCTAGCCACTCCAGCCATGGCTGAAAGGGGCCAACATAGAGCTCAGGCCATGGCTTCAGAGGGTGCAAGCCTCAAGCCTTGGCAGCTTCTACTTGGAGTTGAGCCTGCCAGTACACAGAAGTCAAGAACTGGGGTTTGGGAACCTCTGCCTAGATTTTAGAAGATGTATGGAAATGCCTAGATGTCCAGGCAGAAGTCTGCTGCAGGGGTGAGGCTCTCATGGAGAAACTCCTCTAAGGCAGTGTGGAAGGGAAATGTGGGGCCAGAGTCCCCACACAGAATCCCTACTGGGGCACCACCTAGTGGAGCTGTGAGAAGATGGTCACTCCCCCAGACCCCAGAATAGTAAATGCGCTGACGGTTTGCACTGTGCACCTGGAAAAGCCATAGATACTCAATGTCAGTCTGTGAAAGCAGCTGGGAGGGAGGCTGTACCCTGCAAAGCCACAGGGATGGAGCTGTCTAAGACCATTGGAACCTACCTCTTGCATCAGTGTGACCTGGATGTGAGACATGAAGTCAAAGTAGATCATTCTGGAACTTTAAGAGTAGAGTGCCCTGCTTGATTTTGGACATGGATGGGGCCTGTAGCCCTCTTGTTTTGGCCAATTTCTCCCATTTGGAATGGCTGTATTTACCCAATACCTGTACCCCCACTGTGTCTAGGAAGTAACTAACCTGCTTGTGATTTTACAGGCTCATAGGTGGAAGGGACTTGCCTTGTCTCAGATGAGACTTTGGACTGTGGACTTTTGAGTTAATACTGGAATTAGTTAAGACTTTGGGGGACTGTCGGGAAGGCATGATTGGTTTTGAAATGTGAGAACATGAGATTTGGGAGCGACCAGAGGTGGAATGATATGGTTTGGCTCTGTCCCCACCCAAATCTCATCTTGAATTCCCACATGCTATGGGAGGACCCAGTGGGAGGTAACTGAATCATGGGGCAACTCTTTCCCATGCTGTTCTCATGATAGCAAATAAGTCTCACGGGATCTGATGGTTTTAAAAAGAGGAATTCCCCTGCAAAAACTCTATCTCTTCGTATGCTGCCGTCCATGTAAGATGTGACTTGCTCCTCCTTGCCTTCCATCATGATTGTGAGGCTTCCCCAGACACATGGAACTGTAAGTCCACTAAACCTCTTTCTTTCATAAATTGCCCAGTCTCATGTGTGTCTTTACCAGCAGTGTGAAAAAGGACTAATATGGTTGTAGATTTGATTTGCATAATTAATTAGTTCTGCATATAAGAATGTCTTGAACTTGGGTACTCCCCCTTTTTCTTATGTGACATACATTAACCTCCCTAGTGCAACTCTAAATGGCATAAAAGAGTGCTACATTTAATTGATTAATTCAAACACATTTTGGGGGAAACTTCTCTGGGCCAAGTACTGTGCTGGGGAAAACAGAGAGGTGGAGAGTAGAAAGCAACCTGCAAATACAATTTCTTCCCTTAAGGAGTAATTGTCTGTGAAAGAGTCAGATCTACAAACAGATAATTATGAGATGTCTGGATAAAGCAATAGGCAATAATCTGTATAGTGTGCAATAGGGGCACTCTCAATGCAACTGCAGAAAGTCACGCTGAGCTGTCTGAATACCTATGGATCTAGGAGCTCTTCCAAAAGGCAAACCACTAGAGACACACCAAGTATTCAGTACAATCTGTGGCTGAAAGACAAGGTTTATATGTCACTCTAGGAAGTTACCTTTTGGTGATCTCAGTGATGGGTGAGGAGAGCCACCACTGGGGAAGTGACAAATGGTGTGCAAAGCTTTCCATTCTGGATCAAAATAATATGTCCATGCCTGCTTATAAAGAGTAGCAATGTCCCATTTGAGAACCAGGTAGAATTGGAGACCCAGAAATGTATGGTTGCAGCTCCATGTAAAAAGAAAGAATCTTAACTGTGCATGACCTTCAAGTTGACAGAAAGCATCAGACAGCATAAGGATATATCATAGATGTTGGTAAGTTGACACAAAAGCACTACTAGAGGAAGACATTAATGTGAGAACCAGTCTATGAGTAAAGGTATAAAAAACTGTATTCCCAACCTCCAGCCAAGCAGATGGTTCAACCTGAAGTCTTATGTTGACACTACTTGGGAGAATCTTTCCAAATACTGCAAGTTTTCACTGATGCAGACACTGAGTTCTAATTCCTTTTTAGAGCTCCAAACATCCTCCATTTGATGTAAAATCACTGTCAGTTTAGGAGACATTGCTCAGAAGTGTGAGTTTCCTGAGATTTATAAAATGTCCTTAAACCATGGCTAAGTAAAACTGTTATAGAAAGTTCTAAAGCTATAAGTTATCTCCAAAATTATGAGTAGAGTAAGGCAGTGAAGAGAACCATGAACTCAACTTTTAGAAACCAGGTTTAAATACCATCTGCTATTAATTTGCTGTCTGATTCTGCACAGTTGACTTCAACCCCTGGAGCCTGAAAAAATGATAACTCTTACCAGAACTACTTTACAGGGTTGTAGAAAGATAAAATAAAATGTTCTGCCTATGTACATCAATCAAGTTACAAACTCTACGAAGCATATTTCTTTTTTTTCCTTTGAGATGGAGTCTCACTCTATCGCCCAGGCTGGAGTGCAGTGGCGTGATCTCAGCTTCTGCCTCCCGGGTTCAAGCAATTCTAGTGTCTCAGCCTTGCGAGTAGCTGGGACTACAGATGCGCATCACCATGCCTAGCTAATTTTTGTATTTTTAGTAGAGACGGGGTTTTGCCATGTTGGCCAGTCTGTTCTGGAACTCCTGGCCTCAAGTGATCTGCCCACCTTGGCCTCCCAAAGTGCTGGGATTACAAGGCATGAGCCAGTGTGCCCGGCCCATGAAAGCATACTTCTGTTATCTTTCCTCCACCTCAATAAAAACCCATCCTTTTCCTCACAGCTGGTGCCCATTTTCTCCATTTTCTTTTATAAATAAGCTCCTTGAAAGGAACATCTATATTCACAATCTCCAATTCCTTTCTTCCCATTGTCTTGAGCCTGTGCCAGCACACTGCTGCATGCTCAGTTCTCAGGCATCATCCAACTCCACCTCTCAGCAGCATCTGTACCATCTGATCACTTTCTCCTCCTGGGAAGACTCCTTTGCCTGACTCCCAGGACACACCACATTCACCTAGTGTCCACCCAGCACGCTGGCTACTCCTCCTCCATCTCCCTTCTGGGTTCGAATAGAACCTGAGAGAAGTGGAGGAAAGAGGAAGTAGCAAGAATATTCTGTTTTAACGTGTTGATAATTTAGGGATGCATTGTCTACAGAAAATGTAAATGAAAAGAATTATTCTCATTATTACCATGTGATAGAGATTCTAAGTGATTTAGGTGATACAATACCCCTCTCTGCTGGCATGGGACCACTCTCACCACCCCCCTTCCCATTTGGTACACCACTGACTGGGTTCACTGCACCTCTCTAAACTCAAACATTCAGCACCCCAGAAGTCAGTCCATAAACCTCTCCTCTTTTCTATCGATACTAACTCCTTTGATTACCTCATTTGATTTCATTGCTGTGAATACCATATATATATATGTATATACATAGATAAGTATATGCATATATAAACAGACATATATATGTATATACATATATAAGTATATGCATATATAAACAGACATATATATGTATACATATATATGTATAGACATATATATGCGTATACATACATACATATATGATTCCCATTTTTTATCTTCGGCTCTGATATCCTCACTGAATACCAGATTTATACATTTACTCCCCACTTAACATTTCAAACTTAACCTGTCCATAAGTAAGCTCCTAATACTCCTTCAAAACTTATTCATCTCACCATCTTCTCCATCTCAAATAAAGGCCACTCTTTTCTACCTGTTGCTCAGGTAAAACTGTGGTGTTATACTTGACTTATCTGTCTCACTATCCCTCATTCTATATATCAGCCACTAGAATCAAAACATTCTCATTCCTGCACAACCAGCTACATCCTCATCCAAGCTTCCACATCATTCATCTGGATTATAGCAATAACTCCCTAAGAATCTCTCTTCTTCTGCCACCTCTCTCCCCACTTCATCCTCATCTGTTCTCAACACACAGACAGAAGGATACCTTTCAAACATAAGTCAGACCATGTCATTCATCTGCTCAAATCTGCAAATAGCTCCTATTTCAATCAGAGTGAAAGTCAAAGCCCTTATTGTGTCTTACAGGGCCCTGCATTATCACTTTTCCCTGTTCTCACTCCACAATCATCTAACTTCTAACTTCATCTCCCAAAATCCAAAGATCTTTCCACTCAGTTCGTTCCACGCCTTATTTTTCAAAGATGCCAGGCTGGCAAGCTCTTGCTTCAAGGCCTTTGCACTTCCTGTTCCAGCTGCCTGGAATACTCTTTCACCAATTAGTGCCTCGCTGACTCCTTCATATCCTTAAGTCCTTTACCCAAATAATGCCTCATTCCACCCTAAGCACCCTGTCCAAAATCTAGCTCTCCATAACTTTCTATCCTCTTTCTCTGTTCTATTGTTCTCCATATCTCATATATTACATATTTTACTGAATGGTTTTGTTTATTTTCTGTATCACTATAAATATAAGCTCCTTGAATAAAGAGATTATTATTTTTTTTCACTGCTGCTATTACCAGAACTACTTATGGGGTTGTAGAAAAGACACAATTTTCTTCCCAAAACTTAAAACAGATATTCAATAGCTTTCAATGAATGACACTTGAATAGACGTTTGAATTGAACCATTGTTCAATAAATAGTTTAAAATGAATGAATCTTGTTCAAACACCTCATTTTACTCTGTGTCACATCACCTACATACGTCTCTTGAGGCGCAGAACTCTGAGATATAAGTACAACTCTAAGCCAATCCCACACACAATCATACACATGAAAATGAGAAAAGTTTGGTTATTTATAAAATACCTTGGGGTTTGGAGTTGTGTAAATATTAAATATTGCTTTGGTGACAGTGTAGCCCTTTGCAAAACAAAATCTTTCCCTTCACCCACCTGGAATGCTGTGAAACACAGTGGAGCATGCATATATTTACGATTTTCTCAGTAATGTTTATTATGAAGGAATCCAGGGTCAGGATATCAAGAATCTTCTATGCCTGTTCCTTATAGAGTGACTGCTTCCCAGACCAAAGGACAAAGGTTACGTAATAAAAAATCTTCCCACATCACACAAGTTAAGAACTCAACTTGTGCATCATCATTTTTCTAACATTCAGATAACCCAGAGGAATAGACTTTCTTGAGAGAGAGAAACCTTTTCCATATTTTTAAATGAGTCTTATAGGTTGCTTAACATATTTTAAAAATATTTTTATCCATCTTTCTAATTCTACTGTATAGCACCACCTTGCCTTACTCACTTCACATGATACTGTGTATTGTATTCATGTAAGTGCTCAACTTAATCCTGTTCTTTTTTTTCTGTTACTTCTGAAAATCCTAATGTAGAGCTAAGGTGTGCCTACACAGACATTCTCTCACTGACGACTTACAAACTTGGATAACAATGAGCTAATAATCATGAACTAATGTCTGGTCAATAGCCGTAATGCCCATCAAAGACACCATGTTGTGCCTGATCTGAAACCCTGAGCCTGCCAGCACCCAGGATCTGGTGAAGACCCAGACTTCTGGCCTCATTCCACTTCAGTTCCACTGGCCCTATATTGAGCTGTAGTAAATGCTTCCTACCCTTCAAATATACTTCAAATAGTATTGACTTGGGAGTTTACTTAAACTCTTCTCTTGTTGAAAACTCTTCTCACGTCTATTGAGCCAAAGCCCAGTTCGAGTGCCATTTCATCCTTACAATTATCTCTGATGGCAACCTACCTAGTTGCCATAAATCTCTTCTTCGTGAGACCTCAATATTTGCTTTCTTCTTCGTCTTGAAATATTTATCATATTCTGTCTTGCATTATAGTTACTTGTGTACACATTTTCAATACTAGATGGTAAGCCCCTTTGAGAAAGGGTCTCTACTCTTTACCCCTAAATCCCTAAGCTTAGGGTTGTATAATACACCATAGGTGATCAAAAGGTGATTATTATATTAGTGGGTGAATAAGAGAAAACATATCATTAAGCTAGTCTCTAGTATTTCAGCAATTTGGATTCTTTGGAAACAGGGCATTATATTGCTATCTATGTGCTATCATACATCATAATTTCTTTTCTTGTTTTTATGCCATTGATCGATTGAGTAAAGAGGATTACCCTGCAAGTATCAACTGTCCTTCCTATTCTTTTATAGGCATCTAAATATTATGCTGCAGCAGTGTCATCTTGCTTAATACTTTAGCATTCAAGTCACTGAGTTTTGATAGCTAGCTGAAGAAAATATCCTGGGTAGGTATCAGAGCCAACGGTATGTTCTACTGAAGTCATCATATATCCTATATCTCTTACATAGTGAGAGGTTAGGAACAAATAATTAACTTCACCTCTTCCCTGGTGCCATTAACCTGTAGCCTGGTCTGTCATTATGTAGAACTAGGTTTCCGTTGAAAGAGAATGATTGAAAGGAATCCTAATACCTAAGAGATTGGAAGAGATCAGAAGTGGAAAATTCAAACACTTGGTAGCCTAAATCAGGTAAAATGGGAGCTGTGGAGGATGGGGGAAAACATGTTCTATCTACAGGAAGAAGTTGCTGCCCGGCCCCAGCACAGGTGTTATCCATGAGGGGATGTGGGTCCATTATTATCAGATCTCCTGATCTTCCTGAAAACAAGATATCTGGATTTTTTACAGGAAATTTCCTAGATATCAAATACTTTGGAACTAGTTTTATCTTGTTTAACATGGCAGCACAAACAAAGCACATCTGCATGCTGGATTCACCTGTGGCTGCTGCTCTGCAAGCTCTGGAGTAAATGAATTCTCGGACTTGACGCTGCCATTAGATTAAACAATGTTGAGTAAAATATCAACTATCACTTCAAGTTTTAAAAGGATCAAACTGAGTGGCACTTATTTAGGAAGATCCCAGAAAATATAAAAATCCAGACAGGCTGAAGAAAATGAAGATGCCACCACCTCTTGCCCATCTCCCCATCTTATACCTAAGGAGCAGCTCCAACATTTGGCCGAAGCAAATATTCCAGAAGAACCAAGTCAATAAAGAGAGAGGCTTCTCTGACAGATTTCCCTGCTCTAAAGGGCATGATACCATCTCCAGTAGATGCTAAGCAAAGGTCAAAGTGCCCTAAAACTCTTAATTGGAAGAAATCTTAAAGGACATCTAGTTACAGTCTCCAAAATGACATGGCTAATGCTTCTGCTTGGGACTCCTAGCACCATTCACTACATATTGTGGGCAATGAAAGAGTAAGAGACCCATATGTGACTTGCAGCTCCAATGATACTGGCTGTGTGACTTGTGCATATCACTTCATCTTTCTGGGCCTCAGTTTCTCTGTTTTGAATAAAGTAATCAATTAAACGATTTCTTCAGGATCCTTACAGCCAGAAAGACACCAAGAATATATAGAAGTTCCAGCCTGACCAACATGGTGAAACCCCGTCTCTACTAAAAATACAAAAACTAGCCAGGTGTGGTGGTGCATGCCTGTAATCCCAGCTACTCAGGAGGCTGAGGCAGGAGAATCGCTTGAACCCGGGAGGTGGAGGCTGCAGTGAGCCGAGATCGCGCCACTACCCTCCAGCCTGGGCAACAGAGCAAGGCTCTGTCTCAAAAAAAAAAAAAAAGAAGAAGAAAAGAAAGAAAAAGAATATATAGAAGTCTGCCAAAGATTATATAGCATTACAACCCAATGCATTTGTGGTGGCCCCAAGGGATGACTATCAGTACTGTCATAATAAACTCAAACAGACACACACACACATACACACATGCACACACACACAGAGGAAACATTTCCTTCCACAACTAAGAATGATATAACCTTTTGAGCATGAAAAGAAAAATGATAGCTAAAATTAGCATCTTAAAAAGTAAACTACATAATAACTGAAGATGAGATTTCCTTAAAACTGTAGAACAATGAGATACTATGATAGCTGTCACAAGAGAGGAAATTGCATGAGTGTATTTGAAAGGATTTGGGGGTGTTTTTCCCCCATTGAGATTTGCTTTTCTACATACCACAGTGTGACTGAAAAGCTAAAATATTTCCCCAGGGCCTGTATGATCTGTGCCTCACTACGCTGCCTCTGACATTTGGAGAGTGTCATTTAGCCCCGAATTAAAACCTGCTTATACAGAGATCTGGAGGATGTCTCAGGCGCCAAGTAGTCATCGCTGTCTCATTTGCCTATCACCTTTCAGTTTACAACTCCCCTTTACATACATGCCCTCGTTTGTTCTCTAAAAACAGCCCTGTTTGATGGGACCTATATATTATTATGAAATTTCCCTCAGATGAATTCAAAAATAACCCTCTCAAACTGCCTGCAAAGAAATAATCACCTTTTGTTTGCCATTTAACGGTTCAGAAAGGCTTTTCACTTCTTTTGGCTTTTGGGGATAAGGTATGACCTGCTGGGTTCTATAATAGAGGAAGAGGGAAGAAGGAATCAAATCTAATCTTGGCCTTAACCTGCTGATCCAATTGGAACAAATCACTTCAATTGACCAAGCTTCAGTTCACTAAGCCACCAAATGGAGAAAATTATACCCATCCTACTGCACTATAGGGCAGTTAAGATCAAAATCAATATATAGATAAGTATGTCAAGTGGCTTTATAGGCTAAAAAATGCTAGCCTACAAGCCTCATCAACCCTGGACAGTAAGGAAGAATAGGGAAATTTCACATGGTAATGCAAAACTACAAACCTAAACCAAACTGCAAGTCAGTGGGGGAGGTGACCAGAAACTCGGCTTAGGGGACAGAAGCAATTGGTTCATAGAGAAATAACCCATCTCTGCAGAACCAGTGACAAGCCACTTGATCTTACCTGACTAGGCTGGTCCTCAAGGCTCTTCTTTCTCTTTCTGCACAAAGGGGGCTAGACCACAGATAGTGGCCAGGAGAGGTGTGATTGGCTCAGATAAAGCCAGGCAAGACAGTGCCCTGTGCTGTGACCCCACTCAGTCTGAATCTCACTTCACCAAGTAGGCTGAGAGTTACACTGCCACCCTCAAATAGTCAAATGAAAGGACTGAGGATGTTTACAGGGTGGAACTCAACCCGTCAGAGGCAGAGAATTGGGTTTGTGGGTGGGGCCTTTCTTGTTCTGCAATGACACACCTTTACCTCCTGTCCTCTCCCTCAAGAAGTCCTGCATTTTTCTGCCAACTCCCTCTAATACACATCCAGCTGAGGGAGCAGGAGCAGCCTATCATCCATTCCTCCATGGCTTCTGTATGCCTCCAAGTAGTTATAATTAAGCTTAAGCCTGAGGCCTACACTCCTATCATTAATATTCTTTATGATGGCTTGATTTATTGGATATTTGTGATTTTAAGCATCACTACCACTCTTGTCAAAAATGTAGAAGACATGTAGAGCAGTGTATCTCTGAAAACAAACACATGTACACACAATCTCTGGTCAGTATTCCTATTAGGAAATGTGCCACATGATATTGTCTCTATGTAAGTGTGTATCCCCCTCCCTAGATGGGGGGCCCCTTGAGGGCAATGCTACATCTTATTCTCTCATATACTCCTCAAAACACCCAGCAGATAGTAGGTAATAAATAAATACACATTGAATTAATGATGATCCATTAATATCTATTTAGTGAATCCTGATCTGTCATTTAATGGCTTTGCAGCCTATAGCAAGTCATAATCTATCTTTCTGAGGTTTTTTAATTTTGGTCATCTGTAAGTTGAGAGTATCATTTCTCCTTCAGAAATGCAGATAGAACTTGAAAGGAAGCATATGAGAATAAACCTAGGATAAGATTTGACATAGCAACGGTGCTAAAAAAATGAAATAGAATCTTAATGAACACATTCTGAAACCTAAGCAAGTGTGTTCTACATACAGAGTTGGTATAAAATAAAGTATGAACTGCACAAGTAGGTGGATTGCTGAAAGAAAGGAGAGCACAGAAAACAAAATGCTGTTATGTGTATGATTGAATTTCAATCTTCTATCCTAAATTCTCTACTTCATTCAGCAGACTCTGGCCAAATCAGATTGTATTTGTTTGATGGCTGGAGGAACGGGTGTGCGCTGACAAAGTAAATTGGTTGAATTCCATTCTTTTAAAAGAAAAATAACTAATATTCACCCTTCAAAAAATGTTGTTTAAAGTTCCAGGAATACTGAGGTCATGAAGCGATTCCACAGGAAATGAAGTGCAAACTGGCAACTCGCCACTCAGGAGAGGTCACAATGAATAAACAGTCCTTTTACCTGCTTCCACCGTGTCGAGGACGTCATGTATACTAACTCAACAGTAGTTAACTGAGCAACTACCTTGAGCTTTCTCAGTTATCCACATAGACAAGGATATGAAAAGGAACCAAACACATTCTCTGGCATAAGGAGCTCAAGAAGATAAAATTTGTAAGTGAATTAGCATTGCACGATATAGAAGATGATGAGCACCACAGACAGGATCCTAACAAGTACTATGGTAATCCAGAGGAGGGAGCAACTCCAGGAAGGCTGCACAGCGGTGGAGGCGGCATTAGATCCGGGCTGTTAAGAAGAGCCAGGATTTCAACAAGCACAGATGGTAGAGTTGGGTATAAATGTTATTGGTGAGATGGACTCAGCCACAGTTACCTGATCAAACTGATTTATGCCCCCTCCCTAATACAGACCCCAGGCTGAAAAGAGAGTTTTACAGAACCGGTATCTAGGTCACACCACTTAGACGCCACAAAACTACAGGGCAATTAGAAATAATTGCGAGGCAAATACCGTTCCCACTCAGCTCCAAATGTCTTTATGACAGCTCAGGGTGGGGGCACAAAAGGCAGGAGGAGTGGAGACATGCTGGATCCCAGCCTGGTCTCTTAAGAGAAGGACTAAGCAATGCACTGCTGTTTGAAGTATGCTATTTTAAAGGGCAAGAAACTCTGTGAAAAGACATCAATTGTTCACACGGCATCCATCTAATTATCGTTAGGTTTCCAGCGGCCACTGAACACTCCTCCCAGCTCATGCTGAGCTCCGCCATACTGCAGCCTGCAGTAACATAATACATCCAGGAGGGGCACAAGCAGTAGGAGTAATGCCACACGGAAAACCTCAGCTCTGGTCCCTGCTCAGCTGCTCACTGGGATCAGAGGCAAGTAGCTTAGTTTTCCCCAAGCCTTGATTGCCTCTTCCGTGCAATGGGAGTTACAGTACAGATCCCACCAACCTCCCTGGGCTGTTGAGGGAGAAAATGAGCTCCTGGAGGTGATAAGAGCTTTGTAAAATTCAAAGTATTGGTATGAATGTGAAGCAATACTATGACAGAACATATGGCTATATATAAGAATTCACTTCATGTCTGTATTTCCAGGCATAGCAAAGGCTATGTACAGATCTCCCAGTAGAGGACATGCTCAACAGCCAAGGAGCAGGGAAGCACAGAATAATTTTTACCAGATTGGCCTTCAGAGATCATTTCTCTCTGTGTCCTGTCTCTTCTCTCTCTTCTATAATAACCTTTACAGGCCGGGCCTGGTGGCTCATGCCTGTAATCCCAGCACTTTGGGAGGCCGAGGTGAGCGGATCATCTGAGGTCAGGAGTTCAAGACCAGCGTGGCCAACATGGTGAAACCCTGTCTCTACTAAAAATACAAAAATTAGCCGGGCGCAGTGGCGGGCCCCTGTAATCCCAGCTACATGGGAGGCTGAGGCAGGAGAATCGCTTAAGCCCAGGAGGCGGAGGTTGCAGTGAGCCAAGATCGCTCCACTGCACTCCAGCCTGGGCACCAGAGTGAGACTCCATCTCAAATAATAATAATAATAGCTTTTACAAATTATTGTTCTTCCTCTTCTCATTCAGCTCTAGTGTCTATGAGAAATAACGTATGTTGTTACTTATTTAGGTTAGGAAACACTGGTATGTTAGAACCCCTCTTCTGCCATTTTTCAAATGGGGATGGAGTGACATCCTGATGATCACACAAGCTAGTCTCCTCCCTGGACTCAGCAGGGCTGTTCTCTTACACACTGCCTGGGGCAGCAGATGGGCAGGAGGAAGTACAGGTGGCATGGATCCTGGTCAGGTATGAACCAGAATCACCTCATGTCCAGGTCTCCCTCATAGTGGATCATGCAGATAAAAATTGGTAAATAAACATGCATCACTGGGGGTAAATAGGTACTGTCTACAAGAATCCCATATCCCAACTCCCCAGATACACCCCTTGTCCCAGGAGTCTTTTGGGAAAGAGGAGTTCAATGACAATGAACAGATACTGGCAGCAGCTTTTGAAGTGAACAGGTACTAAGCAATATGAATTTCCCCTTCTCTTGCGTTCCAATAGTACACCACACACGTCACTAGTACCGCCCTCTTATAGTTAGTTTTCTTCCCCAATATGCATCTGTCTACCCTCTTTAAAGATAAGGACCATGTCTTAAACAAGACATTCTTTTTAGAATCTAGCACAGTACAATGCCAATAGTAGGTACTCAAAAGATACCTACTTTGACGGATGGGTGGATGAGTAAACGAATGAATATACAAACTACTCTGTTTTCCTTCACAGCCCTACAAGGCCTCACAGCTAGAGAGGTGACATTTCAGAGAAGGAGAAACAAAAAGCCCCTTCTGCTTTTGACAAGGGACTAAATTCAGCCCAAAGCATCTTTTTTTCTCTCTCTATTTACTCCGGACAATCTGTCCCTTATCAGATGAGCTCAAGGCTGGTTGGAAATATGCATATTTTATTTGAAAATATCTGCTTCCTCCAGTTTTGTTTTGCCACATACACATTTGTCTGCTTTGCTGTATGTTGTGTATCAGATAGGACTCAGACAAACTGCTTTGGCTTCCTAAACTGTTTTGTTTTCTCCATTCATTTATCATTGATCTCATTTCCTTCCCTGCATCTCACTCTTATTTCCAAGTTCCAATTTTATCCGCAATGAAAGAGAACAATTTCATTGTCGCACAGGTTCACTGAGGGCTAAAAAGGGCACTGGCATGGAAGTTAGAAAGCCTAAGATTTAGTTCCCATTCTGCCACTAACAAGCAATGTGACCTTCAGAGGATCGTCTCTTCTATCTTGGCCTCTCTTTCTCCTTTGCAAAATAAGGTCTGCTCTTGACAGCCACAGAATCTCGAAGTAAGTGCAATACTTCGAGACTCTCTGGATACCAATCTGCTAATGTTGCACCATTTTTCACACTCATTACAGATGGGGAAGAATTCTTGTATGTTTTTAGCTTTGGTTTGAGACCCAGTGAGGGTCCTCCACTCCAGATCCTCACCTGACTTTCTGATCCACCCCAACCAAGAATGGCTTCATGGGCATGCAACTCGTGCAGTTACACAGGCCTGCAGGTAGAAGGGCCTTGTGCTTGGTTTTGTTCTGCTGTTGTCATGTTGAAATTCTTAATAGTTCTTGAACAAGGAGGCTGGATTTTCACTTTGCACTTGGCCTCACAAACCAGTCCTGCCCCTACTCTTACACTTGCACTCCCCCAAAGCAACAGAGAACTAAGAAAGAACCAGGAAAAGGAAAACAAGGGTGTACTTTGCCAGCCATTCATGGCAGGGAGAAGGGCTCCCCATAAGGCAGAGCTTCACTTTGAAATGCCCTTCCTTACAAATATAAATCAAAGAAAAGACAAGGCGGGAGAATGTGAAACTTGCCACAGTCTCCACCCCATCACCCTTCCCCATCTTGCTGGATGGGAGGTCTGACTCATACCTGGGGTGTGGCTCACCATTCCTGCTAAGCACCTGGGCTCCTCCCTGTTCACAGGGCTCAGGAGGAAGTGTGGGTTACGCTGGAGTGGATGTGGAAACCATCCAGTCACCTCTCAATGTCAAGAGCTAGATGGAATCTCACAGCCGACTCAGGCAACCACCACAGCCCACCTTCATCAGAGAAAAAAACACCGCTTCTATTAGAGAATGGGCTGAGGCCAGTTCACACTGTGAGCAGCTCCCACCTCTTCTTGGCATTAATTTTGGATTATCTCCCCGTTTCTGCATCTTTGGGGTCCACAGGGGAAGAAGTTACTCCTCTGTCACACAAATAAGAGTCCCACCCCCAGTTCAGTCACCGGCAGACTCGGATACCCAATATATGGTCGAATTAAATTGAAAATGACCCTGATCTTTAAAAACCTCAGTAAGATGAAACTATTACCATTGGATTATTTTTTTCTTCCTACCTAAAGTTCTTCTCCTAACAGCTTGAGGCATTTTACATGTCTCATCAGGGAAGAAATTAAAGAAGGAAGAAGAACCTTGACAAAATTTAAACACACAAACGAAGAGCTAGTGATAAATTACAATGCAAATAAGATAGGCTTTTGAAACGCTGAGACACCAAGGAAAGTATCAGGGATACTAGTTAGGATAAAAGGTATTATGCATTTCTCTGTAGGCATGGAGAGTTACTTCCCTAGTTGACTAACTCCCTGGGTGTGCTCGGTCAAGTATACCCTTATGCAAGTTTCCCTCGGTATCCTTTGGCTTCCTTGTCAGCAAATTAAAGCAGTTTGGACGTGCTCAAAGTGAGGTCTCTTCTAGGTTGTCATTCTATGCTACTAAGTATCAAACTGTTATCACCTCCATGTCAGTGTCCCCACTTAAGGATTGATTTTTAAAGTAAGATTACACTCTAGAACCTAAGTTGGCATGGCAACGTAATGAAAACAACAAAACAGTTCAATTCAAAAACTTGAGTTTGGACCATAGGAGTTGAACCAGAGAGGAAGATCCTATGGCACTCATCTATCAACACAGTCCCTTGAATTCCCATTTGAAGACACTGAATGCTCTGTTCTCTTGGAATGTCTGAAGTTTAAAGGGAAATGGTGGCCTCTAAGGCCAAGGCCATGTTATTGAGGGTCTGGAATGCTTAGCCAAGAAGTTTATGTTTAATTTTCATCTTTATTATGTTGTTGGGGACTCTACTCAGTGATTCTGTCTTGACATTTGATGATTTCTTTTGAACTGCGACTGCTCTCTGGGTTTCCAGAGAGCCCAAATCACCTGGGGAGAGGGAGGGAATCTTCCTTTTGTCTGTCTTAGTCCCTGACCAGTTACAGCCCTGCCTCTGTTCCTGTAGCCTAAGAGATTTTCCATATTGGCAACACTCAATGGCCACCTGAATCACACGGTGAGCAGTTTCCACCTCTTGGCAGTAATTTTGGATTCTTTCCCCCTTTCTGCATCTTTGGGGTCCACAGGGGAAAAACTTACTCCACTGTCACACAAATAATAGTCCCACCCCCAGTGCAGTGAGCAGCCTGAATCAAAGACAGGCCCAGAGTCCAGGGCTTATGACTCCAGTATCAGCCTGGATCTTCATGCCAGGGCAGCCTTTAGTGTCCAGAAAGAGCCTCTCACCCCGAAGACAGCATTTGATGCGCAGGTCCCTGGACACCTGCCTGAGAACCTCATATTAAAAATGCACATGCCCAGGCCCCTTGATTTACTGGATTAGAATCTCTGGGGGTAGGCCTAGAAATCTCCATGTCAACAAGCCTTGCCAGATGGCTGTTATGCACATAAAAGTTTGAGAACCAGAGTGTTACAGTTTCTCCATCTATCGTGACAGTCATTTAGAAAACTCCAACCCAGAATAGACTGTACAAAAGCTCAGGGGCAAGAACCTGTAGGGTGAATCAGTCTTGCTGTAAGGAAACAGCAGTAAAACCTGTGTGTCTGGAACACTGGGCGGCAGGCAAAGTTGAGGGTGTGGTAAGGTTAGAAGGCAAGTAATCTGTACATGAATGACCCACGATTCTTTCATTTTTACATTGCTCCTCACTGTATGATATAAACGTTCCTAGGTAAACTCAAAGTTTCATTACCCTCCATCCCAAATCCTCATAGCTGGATATCTGTACTCTTGCTGACTTACTACACATGAAAGAGGTTCTTGCTTAACAACAGTAATAAGGGTAAAAATGCACAGAGATGGGGGCTGGAGCTAGCTACATTGTACAAAGGCCCAGAAAAGAGAAATCGTGGAGGTTTTTGTGAAGGAAAGGAGTTCAGCAAAGCCCATCCCCATTTCCAGGGATACTCTGCCACATGAAGGCTGAGGACAAGCTCCAGCTCCTCAGAGTTTTCTTAAAGCACGTTTGGGACCCCAGGGGGACATGGGAGCTGTGGAGGGAACCTGCCACACAACATGCCATATCCGTTTTCAGAGGATGTCAACACCCTCCTTCCCACACCTGCTGTTCCCAAATATCACAACCTGATTTTTTTCTCCAACCTCCTGTCTTGATGATGATGATTAAATATTCATGGAATGCTGTGATGCCAGCATACTTTGTGAAATTTCAGATACCTTTTTTTTTTAAAAAAAAGGGAAGCTTTTATTTTTTTTTTTAGCTTATTTCAATTTTCAAAAGAGGTAAAAAGAATAACAAATGCAATGACTAGAAAAGTAGATAATGAACAAAGAAGCTAGTATCCTAGGTTTTCACAACTGTGTTTCGAGCCAAAAATTGTCCCAATTTAAGAAAAAAAGTAGGGGCCAGGCTTGGTGGCTCACGCCTGTAATCCCAGTACTTTGGGAGGCCGAGGCGGGTGGATCACCTAAGATCAGGAGTTCAAGACTACCCAGGCCAACATGGTGAAACCCCGTCTCTACAAAAATACAAAAATTAGCCAGGCATGATGGTGGGCACCTGTAGTCCCAGCTGCTCAGGAGGCTAAGGCAGGAGAATCGCTTGAACCTGTAAGGTGGATGTTGCAGTGAGTGGAGATCGCACCACTGCACTCCAGCCTGGGTGACAGAGTGAGACTCTGTCTCAAAAAAAAAGAAAAAGAAAAAGAGTAAAACTCAGAATTTAGAAAACAAAGACATGAAGAAACAATTGTTCACATTATAAAAGAATCTTCTCTTTTACCATGAGTTCCATTTAAGTAGCAAAGTTCCCAACTTCATGTAAAATACAAGTAAAATGCATGTAGGTATATATGTCTTATTTATTTGTTTATTATGCAAAAAGTTTACCTTATTTGAAAAAAAAATGCATATTTTTTGAGAACCAAAGACTATTAGCTAAAGGTATCATCTTATCCAATTGTTTTCAGAATGATTCTCGGCGGGGTTTCCAGCGTGCCTCAGGGACTGCCCTGCTAGACAAGCAGAGCCAAGAGGGTAGAGCCAAAGGGTGCCCACTCCAGCCCAACCCCGGCAACTCCACTGCTATTCGGGAATATATTGGAGGTACCTGTAAAGTTGTGGAGAAGCCCTAATGGCACACATAGAAGCCTAATTCCTTAATTTTACATTCCGGGAAACTAAGGCACAGAGAGCTGTAAAGTCATATCTTTAATTTTAACTTCAGTCCCGTATTTCCTTTTCAAGGAAACTTGTTGCCCCGTAAAAGTCGTCATTTCATTAAAGAAACAGGTTTATCTCCTATGAATGTTAGGGTTTTAAGCCTAAAACCGGTAAATCATCACAATAACCAAAACAATTGGCTATAACAAGCTTGACATTTTTAAATGTCTTCAGATTAGCTGGCCCGTGTCAGAGTTGATCACGGTTCTGTATTGAATCATAACACAGATAACTTGAGCTAACACATATCAAAATTTTATTTAAAATACCAACTAAAGCAAGGTGTTATCAAGATGAATCAATGTCTCAGAGAGAAATAGTCAGAGAAAAAAGTAAGAACCCCATGTTTTTTTGTTTTGCTTCGTTTTTTGAGACGGAGTTTCTCTCTTGTCGCCCAGGCTGCAGTGCAATGGTGCCATCTTGGCTCGCTGCACCCTCCACCTCCTGGGTTCAAGTGATTCTCCTGCCTCAGCCTCCCAAGTAGCTGGGATTACAGGCACCTGGCACCGTGCCCAGCTAATTTTTTGTATTTTTAGTAGAGACCAGGTTTCACCATGTTGGCCAGGCTTGTCTCGAACTCCTGACCTCAGGTGACCCACCCGCCTGGGCCTCCTAAAGTACTGGGATTACAGGTGTGAGCCACCACACCCAGCCTAAGAACTCTATGTTAAATCAACTTGTGTTTTAAATTTATTTCTAATTATTTAACAAATACTTATATAGTGCTTATCATGTGCCAGAAACTGCGGTAAACACCTTACAAATATTAATCAGTTAGTTTCTACAATAACTCTCTAATGAAGGTATTATATGTTATTGAAATTTTATAGGTGGGAAAATTGGGCACAGAGAGAGATCTGGTTCTCTCTCCAAATTTCCCCACGTGTATCTTATGTATAGAGCAACCTGGATTAATCTGTTTTTCAGTGATCTCCTAGGGTTTTCTACCTCTGTCTTTAGCTTTACTGTCCTTTTGATTTGGAACATGAAATGCTGTCTTTCTCTCTCTTCCATAGCAGCCATCAAAGACCCAAATGTTATTATCTGGCTGTTGCTAGAGCCAGATGTAAACCCCACCACTTCCAAATTCTGATACCAACTCATTGTATCTTCATTGTCATATTACTTACCCTCCTGTTCAAAAAAGCTTTCAATGTTTCCTTATTGCAAATCAAACTGAGTACAAAATTATTATCCTGTCATTAAAGACTCGTAACAACAGTGCTTCACCCTTATTCCCCATCGTTTCTTTGTGCATATCATATTCTTCAGCCAAACTAAACTGTCAGCATTTCCCAAATATGTCTCACAAGCTGCTATCCCCCTGCTTTTCTTAGAATGGTCCTTCTTCGGCTGGGTGCGATGGCTCATGCCTGTAATCCCAGCACTTTGGGAGGCTGAAGTGGGTGGAGCACGAGGTCAGGAGTTCAAGACCAGCCTGCCAAGATGGTGAAACCCTCTCTCTACTAAAAACTACAAAAAAATTAGCCAGGCATGGTGGCAGGTGACTGTAATCCCAGCTACTCGAGAGGCTGAGGCAGGAGAATCACCTGAACCCGGGCAGCAGAGGTTGCAATGAGCCAAGATCACACGACTGCACTCCAGCCTGGGTGATAGAGTGAAACTCCATTTCAAAAAAAGAAAAAAAAGAATGGTCCCGCTTCCTAGAGTCCTTCCCCATCACCCCACATAGAGAAAGTTTTCACAGCCTCAAAGATTCTGGTCTAAAGTTACCTCCTCCATGAAGCTCTCTCCATTTCTCTTCACACCTCCACTATTCAGAAGCTATCTGCCTTCACCTTGACCCTCCATATCCTTTTACCTTTTTCACAGCACGTGCAGTATCTGCCTTACAATATAATTATTTCTAGACTATTGTCATTCCCTGATTAATCTGAGAGCTCTTTGACAGCAAGAGCTGTCACATTAGTCACTGAAACTACCATTATTGCTGGCATATAATAGATATTTAATAAACATTTCATAGAATGATATAAAATGAAGTGGATAAAGAGTGAAAAAATGGATAAAGGTGTGGGCACAATCATTTTCTTTAGACCCTACTGCCAGGCTTTTGGGCCTGAGGGATGGTATATTTTGTATAGTTTTTGCACCCAGAAAAGATATTTGCTGAGAAAGATAAGGCAATGTGGACAAGAATAATAATAATAAAAAAAAAGAACCTACTACTTATTAAGCTAGGAGGCAATAAGCAATCTAATATGCATGTAATGTATTTGAATCTTTTGGTTTTTACAATGCTTCTCCATTTATGGCAGAAGAAACTGAGGAGAAACAAGTGAATAACTTGCCCCAAGGCCGCAAAGATAGTCCAGTTCTGAAGCTCCTTTCCATGATGTACTGCTTCTATAGCAAAAGAAAAATGAGAGAGGCCTTGCCTGTTCCCTCCAGCCCTAACCCCCATGATAATTCCATACTCGATTACCTCTACAGTTGTATGTCGTAAAAGACAATAAACAATATATGCTAACACTTCCTAAATGCCTGTCACATACCAGTGAATTAACAGGTACTTTGAACACATTACCCTAGATTGTCCTGATCATCCCAGGAGGCAGCCATCACCAATCTTATCACAAGGAAGGAATACAATGAAGTTCTGTGTCCAGGCCATGCCACAGGGCAAAGCCAAAAATCCAATCCAGGCCATTATGAGGCACCTTTTCAATTTTGCCTCATTGCCTCTTCTCCACAGATTCCAGCCATAAGTAGCATACTAAGAGATTCTCAACAGCAACAACAACGACAAACAAACAAACACACAAAAAACATAAAGAAGGAATTCATTACTACCTTGAATATGAAGAACACGATAAGTATTTTCCGTGTGATGATCTAAATTTTCATCCCCCAGAGAAGAGTATCCTTGGAAACAGGTCTGGCAGGTAAACAGGGTGGGGCAAGGTCAGCATTCCAACACTTCCCTCTGAGCTTTTGCCTTTCCCTGGAGTTCTTTTATTTTGATTCCTGTAGCCGCCACCAAGCCTAGTCCCCGTCTCCCTGGGTTGGGGAGTTGGGTTGGGGAGGATGAGAGAGAAACGCTATCCCTCTTTTCTTCTCAGCTCAAGGTAAACATAATCTTTCTCCTTGTTTTCCTTTGCACAACTGAGACAGGCTGATACATTCAAAATGAAATTTACTAAATGCTGAGAAAAACCTAAATGGAAGTAAAGAAAATTACAACAGCACAAAATAGATGGCTGATCCCAACACTTCCAATTAAAGTGGAGGAGGGATTTACTGAGCACCAAATTTTATCACATCTTTCCCCAGCCAAAAAATTATCTTCAATCATCTAAATCACTTGCACAGGGTTCTTCCCTCCTCACTGCCATGTGAGATCATCTTCCCACTGTGAAGAAGAAATCACCCCATCAAATCTCTAGTCAACCTGCCAATTGACTGGGATCTTTTCATTCACTCCACGTTTCTCCTTCAGAAGAGTCAACTCATGACCCATTCTCCCAGAGGTGCTGACATACTTAAGCTTCCGGGAGGGCTGCAGCCCATCTCAGCTCAGGCTAACAGCTCTGCCTACTTTCTCTTTAGCATTCGGTTGACCCCCCGACCACCCACACACCATCCACCATACAAGGCCTTCCTTTGGAATTTGAATTTTAGGATTTATTATGAGATTAATCATAGAGTGACAATCTCTGAGAAAGCCAACCCCTCACACACATACTTCTTTGAAATGCTCGTGAAAACTGATGACAGTGGATCTTTGCAGCTCGTGAACCCCTACCCCCACCACCACACACACACACACACACACACACACATACACAAACACTCCATGAAAGCATTATCTACCTCAAAAACCTTTACCCCAGGACTGTGCGTATGAATCTGCAGTGCCTGAAATTGGAAACAGGTGCCCAATTTCTCATTGCCCATTCCACACTGCACTCCTAATACTAAGAACAACATGCCAGAGAATTAAACCACACCAGCCACTGAAATCAGATCATTCCAGTTTGGGACTCCTGGCTGACTTCAGATTGCTAGTAATAACAAGAACACAAAAATAACATCATCAGCACGAGCAAATATTGCTGCGTTAGATAGTGCTGTACTCTATAGTTTATGTGGGAGTTGTACGAGATCATAAGGACAGGGGATAGGACTCTGTCCTTCCCTCTTCCCAACCTGCTCCTCCAGAATCATCTCTCACTTTCGCCTCAATTCTCCGTCTCTATTATCTTGACATACCATGCTAGTTTATGCATCTTTGCCGTTGCCTATCTTATTCCCTCTACCTGAAATGCCACCTCCACTTGGTAGGATATGCCACACACCTGAGACCCCTTCCTTGTGAAACCTGTCATAATTCCCAGAGTTGGGTCTGCTCTTGCATTTCTCTTCATTTTAAAACCTGAAAAAAATAACTGTCTTTTTTTATGTGTATGGCTCAAACGAATTATCATGTTAAACTTTTTACAAGTTTATTATGATTTAGCATTGAAACCAAAAGTTGTGAAAACAAAATGGCACAAACCCAGGGCAGCAGGGTGCACATGTGGTGTGAGAGGAGCACATCTTCATGATCATAGGAACAACTGCCTGCTACTCCAAAGAAAATCCCGGAGACAGCAAATGTCACTTTTTTAACAGCTTTCAGAATAATTCCTCTTAAGAGGAAAATTGCCTTTGTCTGGGGCAAAAAGACCAAAAAAAACAAAAACAAAAAAAAACAAAAAAAAAACTTGATGAGCTCTTTGGATAGAAAAGATACTTTTGAGGACAGCTTCAGACAAGTGGGCAAAACAACTGTGGTGAAATTAGAGCAATTTTGTTTTAGACTTCGGATGAGGGAGTGCAAAACGAAAACGGCAGAGCTAGGAAGTGAAGGAAGGAGACAGAACCCAAGATGGAGACAAACTGAACGAGATGGGCTGGGGATGGTGAAACTCCACAGTCATGGAAAGGCTGAAGGATATTTCAAGAGCAGTGGTGTCTGCTCTTCCCATTGCAATTTATTTATTTATTTACTTATTATTTTTTTTTATTTTTTGAGATGGAGTATTACTTTGTCGCCCAGGCTGGAGTGCAGTGGCGCAATCTTAGCTCACTGCAGCCTCAGCCTCCCGGGTTCCAGCAATTCTCCTGCCTCAGCCTCCTGGGTAGCTGGGATTACAGCCGCAAGCCACCACGCCTGGCGAATTTTTGTATTTTTAGTAGAGACGGGGTTTCACCATATTGGCCAGGCTAGACTTGAACTCCTGACCTCAGGTGATCCGCCTGCCTTGGCCTCCCAAAGTGCTGGTATTACAGGTGTGAGCCACCGCGCCCAGCCCCACTGCAAGTTTTTAAAATGCTTTAGATCCCTCAACCGCTCAGTTCCCCCAGCTGCATAAAGAGAATAATAGTGAAACCTAGTCCACAGGACTGTGTGGTGCACTAAGTAAGTGAAACAGGGTAAGAGCAGTTCGAAAGCCAGGAAATAATGATGATTTCTATTTCCTGTCTTAAGTGGTTTAAGGGACCCTCCAATGGTAAATGACTATGATGTTGACATTCAATATCTTTTTGACTATAAAAGATTTGGCCAGAATCTTTGTTTGATAAACGTGCTCCCCGTGAGAAGCAAAAGAATGATGCGACATATATAAAGTCCCACAGTAAATAACATCCTAAAAGGATGCACTTGCTAAATGCACTTGCTTATTTATTTAAGTCTTCGTTAGTCTCTACAACATACATTGTATAATACTCAGCACCAGTCATTCAGTCTTGTGCTATCAGACAGGCCAGATTTGCTACAGCCGGAAGGAGAAGGAATGGAGGGAGTCATAATAACTCCTGTCACATGGGTCCTACAGGTCCCAACTCATCAGCGTGGCTTAGGAAGGAGGACAGGGAGGGCATTCATACCACAAATTTGTCATCCTCCTGGGAGGCAACAGCATGGTGTTCTGCTTGTGTTTTATTTTCATGGAAACTTCCTTCGGGAGGGTCAAGGATGCTTGCTACGCTCCCTTAACAGATGAATCGCTTCCTTCTTTGCTTTTGCTGTTCTTCCTTGTCTTTCGCCAAAAGCATCATTAGGCAAACCAGAACAGAAGGTGGCCGGAACCTGGCCTGTGTGGCTGCCTCACAGAGCTCCAAGTCAGAAGGAGAGTGCCCCTCACTGAGTTCCTGGCACTTGATGTTCATTCTGGAAAGGAAGCATGACCATCTGCCTTGGACTCTGTCGAATGGAGCCTGTCCTCACTGCTCAGTCCCGTGGACATGTGAGTCATTGGCCACTCGGAATAGAAGTAAGGCCTCTTAACTGCATCCTGAGCAATGACAGGTCTGGGGTCAGAATAAAGACCAATAGGACAGCAGGGAAAAGAAGGCAGGAGAAGTAGGTCAGTGCCTGCTCCTCAGGACCTGAGACAGAACAATGCTGAGATCTGGATGGCTTAATGCTCGATCAAGCTTCTCTCTAAGATGCATAACAAATAGCAAGGCGAAGCAGCCCCATGAAGCCTCTTTGAAAACATTGGCTGTAGCACTCTCAATTTACAAATGGGGAAGCTGAGGCTCAAAAAGAGAGAGTGACAGCAGGTGAATAGCAAAGCCAGTCAAAACCAGGCGCTCCAACTCCCTGGCATAGCTTCTTTGACTACAATAGTATGACTTTTGTCACTGGCTGAGGATAACCAAAGCAGCACTATGGTCGTTGGGGACTATTTCAGTGATTATCAATTTAAGGAATCCATTCCTCAACCTGAGGACCCCAGTGACAGACCATTAACAAGCCTCCAGATAATGCAGCTTACATCAAAGCAACTTTTATTTCCTAGACATTTTCTCAGCTGTACCTTAAAATAAGAAATATATGTCTAATTTCATTGAGCTCTGTGCTGCCTGCTACCATCAAAGAACAACGAGGAAATACTGATAGATAGAGGCTGCAAAGAGGGTGTAAAATTAGGGGAAGGATGATGACAGTGGACATACTCATCTGACCAGCTAAGCTGGTGCATCTCCCATGAATTTTGTCCTGGTTTATCCTCTTAGCATAGCCCGAGCAGAAAGGGTATCGCCAGGGGCTTGGACTTAAATTCACCCCAAACAAGTTTTCCCCAGTAAAAGGCACTCCATCCTTCCAGTTGCTCTTCACAAACTTGTAACGTTATCCCTGACCCTCTCTGCGTCTCATCCATGGGTAAACATCACTGACTCTAACTCCAAAACCCACGTGTTTGTTTCCTTTCGCTGCTGTAACAAATCACTGCAAACACAGGGGCTTAACACAACATAATTTTTTTTTTTTTTTACTTATAGTTCTGGAGGTCAGGCATCTGTAGGGCTGTGTTCCTTCTGGAGGATCTAAGAGAAAAACCTTTTCTTTGATTTTTTCGGCTTCTAGAAGCTGACTACATTCTTTGGCTCCTGGCCCCTTCTTCACTCGTCAAAGCCAGAAGCAAGCATAGCACCTTTTCTGTCTCTGTTTCTTCCATCTTCACATCACCTTCTCTCTTCTTCCTTTTCCAGCTTTGTTGAGTTACAATTGATAAATAAATATTGTATATATTTAAGGTGTACAATGTGATGTTTTCATATAGTTATGCATTGTGAAATGATTACCACAATGAAGCTCATTAACATACCATCACTTCTCATAGTTACTTTTCATTTTGTGGTAAGACTATTTACCATCTACTCTCTCAGCAAATTTCAAGTTTACAATACAGTATTATTAACTATAGTCACCATGCTGTACATGAGATCTCCAAACTTATTCATCCTGCATAACTAAAACTTTGTACTCTGACCAACATCTCCCCATTTCCCTCACCCTCCAACCCCTGCTAACCAAATTCTACACTCTGCTTCTATGAGTTCAATATCTTCAGATTTTACACATAAGTGAGATCAGGCAGTATTTGTCTTTCTGTGCTTGGCTTATTCCACTTAGCATAATGTCCTCTGTGTTCATCTATGTTGTCACAAATGACAGGATTTTACTCTTTTTTAAAGCTCAATAACATTCTATTTTCTTTATCCATTTATCTATCGATGAATGCTTTCACTGTATCCATATCCTTGACCCTTGACACTTCCATACCTGACTTCTATGAATAATCACCTTCTCTCTTTCTAACTCTGCTTGTTTTTTCTTATAAGGACCCTTATGTTTATATAGGGACCACATGGATAACCCAGAATAATCTCCCCATCCCAAGATCTCTAACCACATCTGCAAAGTCTCTGCCTTATAGGAATTAGGACACAGACATGTTAGAGGGCCACTGTGCAGCCTACAACATAGCAAAAATATTATTTTTCAGTACCTCCACAGCTGCCACCCTAATCCCAGACTCTATTATCACTTACTTAATTTATTGCAGAAACTTCCTAACCAGTTTTTCTGCTTCTGTCCATCCTTCTACCCTTAGAAATGTAATTCCAATAATGTCAATCCCTTCCTCAAAACATTTTATGGGCTCCAAGGCCCCCATGATCCAGGCCCAGCCACCTCCTGGCTTTTTCCTCCTGCGGCTCCCCCTTGCTCCCTCTTCCCCAACCATATTAGCCTCCACGTGGGTCCCTTAGCTTGCCAGTTGCATGCAGGCCTCAGGGCATCTTGCACCTGCTGTTCGCTCTGCCTAGGACATTTCCACAGACAGTCACATAGCTCATTCCCTTACTTCCTTCAGGTCTTTGCTCAAATGTCACTGTTTTAGCAGGGACTACTTTGACTGCCCTATTTAAAATGGAAACATCTCCATAATATAGCCACCACACCCCAACCCACTCACCTTTCCTGATTTATTTTTTCTTTCTAATATTTGTCACCGTCTGATGTACTATGTGTTTTATTTACCTATTATTTTTTGTCTCAACCCCCTCTCCCCCAACACACACCACATAGAAATGTACACTGCAGGCTGGGCACAGTGGCTCCTGCCTGTAATCCCAGCACTTTGGGAGGCTGAGGCGGGTGGATCACCTGAGGTCAGGAGTTTGAGAGCAGCCTGGCCAACATAGTGAAACCCCATCTCTACTAAAAATACAAAAAATTAGCCAGGCGTGGTGGTGGGAGCCTGTAATCCCAGCTGCTTGGGAGGCTGAGGCAGGAGAATTGCTTGAATCTGGGAGGTGGAGGTTGCAGTGAGCCGAGATCGCACCATTGCACTCCAGCCTGGGTGACAGTGCAAGACTCCATGTCAAAAAAAAAAAAAATGTACACTGCATGAGGCCATGGATTTTTGCCTATTTTGTTCAGTGTTGAATCCCTAGGACCTAGAATAAGGCTCAGCCCATAGCAGACACTCGACAAATAATTGGCAAATGAATGAACTTAATCTCTCTGAATCAATGAATAAAATTACTTCTCTGAGCCTCAGTTTTTATAATCGTAAAATAAGGGTAATAATCTTCACTTTGCCAGCTTTCAGGAGACACTCTGGCTGTCTCTCAGGTTTTGCTCTTCAGCATCAAACTCCTTTTCCAATTGCTGAAGAATATCGCATGATGTGAGTTATTGGTGAGATGCAATGCCTTCCTTCCATCCAAGAAAAAAGCAGCTGCCTCATCCTCTCTCCATTTAAAGCATGCTAATGATAAATGTGTGCTCTACATTTGGCCAATTGGGTGTTTCTACCCAAAGGGCTGGCTTTGGAGAGATGATGGGAACTCACTTAGAATGGCTGCAATGATGTCCAGTGGCATCCAGTCAAAATGCTGTCCTGGCCAGCAATTATTGCTTAAAAACCCTCACTGTACTGACAGGCTTCTGAGACTTGGTCCTCTTAGTCCTCTAAGATTGCCTTGTCTTCTGCCATAGTCCAGATATGGTCCTCTTGTCTCTCAGATCAGTCAGCCCTCTATTCCTTCCAATCAGTTCTGCTTTTTGCCTATACGAGCCAGAGTTTCTGGCCTGCAACAAGCTCTCTGAGGTAGACTCAAGGAAGCCTGCAGCAGATGCTGCTGATGCTCCACCCAGATCCCATTTGCCAGCTGGATACCCATCTCCCGGCTATGGCAGGTGCTGCAGCTAACAGTTTACACACTTGATCTAGGAAGAATTACCTGGGGCTGATGGGAGCTGGCTCACCCCGAGACACTTGGGGAGTGACACCACCCCTCACCCCAAACATCCAATGACTGAGTGATGCAGGGGCCACAAATCCAAGATACCTTGCCTCAGATTGGAACAATTCTCCAGTGCAAATTTTACATAATTCTTCTGAATCAGAATAAGACTGCATTTTACCTATGATTACATTCTTGCTTAGCTCTTCTCTGTTCTGTTTTCTTCATTCTTTGGTGATGTTTTTTAAGAGTGTAAACTCAATAAACCACATGCACCCAAATTCCTTCTCAGGTTCTACTTCTAGGGAAGGTGAATTAAGACAGGTTATGACTAATAGCCAGGTTACTCAAAATAAAATCTTTATTTAAAAAAGTACTAGCCAGTATCTGCACACTGAAACAGTGCTCAATACATAGGGATGACGACATTTGTAAAAGCCTGGCGATGGCAAACTCACTCTCTGGCATAATTTCCAACTCCACTTACGTTGTACACTGTCAGAGGAATATTACATTTAAGTCAAAAGTTTTTCCCATTTATTTCAGGTCTCTTTGTCTGATATCTTTCCTCTAAAGTGATCTAAGACACACGTGAAACTACTTTCATAAGGTAGCTGTGCAAATAACGGCGGGTAGCAGTCCTACTTTTTAATAATAATGGCGGGTAGCAATCCTACTTTTTAATAATAATGGCGGGTAGCAATCCTACTTTTTAATAATAATGGCAGGTAGCAATCCTACTTTTTAATAATAATGGCAGGTAGCAATCCTACTTTTTAATAATAATGGCAGGTAGCAATCCTACTTTTTAATAATAATGGAGGGTAGCAATCCTACTTTTTAATAATAATGGAGGGTAGCAATCCTACTTTTTAATAATAATGTTGGGTAGCAATCCTACTTTTTAATAATAATGGCGGGTACCAATCCTACTTTTTAATAATAATGGCGGGTAGGAATCCTACTTTTTAATAGTAATGGCGGGTAGCAATCCTACTTTTTAATAATAATGGCTGGTAGCAATCCTACTTTTTAATAATAATGGTGGGTACCAATCCTACTTTTTCTTATGTTTCCTCTCTACCAAATGAAACATTCCTACTGCAGCAGACATGCCTGTCCCACCATCACACATCCCTTTATAAAGGAAACCGTCCACATGTACCCTTCACTTGGAGCTGGGGGTTCCCTCTAATTTGGAGATGACCATGTCTGTATAGTAGAATCTGCCTCTGGCCAAAGCTGATTGGACTAGGAAGTGCCCATGGCCCAAGAGTTGCCAAAATATAGGATAATCAGCAACGATGGTGTGACTTGAAGGAAAACTCCTCAAGGGACTATGGTAATTAAACAGCCTCAGACCATTTCTCTCCAGATATTGTAAAATGAAGTAAATGGTTCACCTTGGTAACATAAAAAAAAAACAGATCTTAAGGGAAGCAGAAACTGACAAAATAGTTGAGTCACATGGAAGGTGAAGCACGAGAATAAGAGCCTTGTGCTCTAGCTCCTGCAGTCCCTAGAGCACACCAAGCCATGCACATCTGCTCAATCCAGACCATACTCCTATTCCAGGTTCTGTAAGGCCTGATGGTTAAGGTTTGCCTGGCTTCCAGTAAAGACAGAGAGGACTATTTCACAAGTGTGTCCTTAAAGTAAATCCTCCATTACTTGACATATAATGGAGGATCAAGTAATCAATTTTTTTTTTGTAAGATGGAGTCATGCTCTCTCGCCCAGGATGGAGTGCAATGGCGTGATCTTGGCTCACTGCAACCTCTGCCTCCCAGGTTCAAGCGATTCTCCTGTCTCAGCCTCCCAAATAGCTGGGACTACAGGGGCATGCCACCACACCTGGCTAATTTTTGTATTTTTAGTAGAGACAGGGTTTCACCATATTGGTCAGGCTCATCTCAAACTCCTGACCTTAGGTGATCCACCTGCCTCAGCCTCGCAAAGTTCTGGGATTACAGGCATGAGCCACCACGCCTGGCCAGGTTTCTCTTTCTGCAAAGGGCTTTGGTGTAAGGTATTACTTTGTGCTTAATTACTGAGGCTGTTAAACTCTTTAGGTTTCTCTTTCTTACAACCAAAGGAGTTTAATGGCCTCAGTAATTAAGCACAAAGTAATACCTTACAACGAAGTCCTTTGCTATAGCATGGTTTTAGCTATATTTAGGGTCAAATTTGTGTCTCCAAAATACGTCTCTGATATACTTAGATTATGAAGTAAGAAGACTGTTGCTGGGATATCAGCTCTATCTCCCAACCCACATCAGCTTTTTCTATATTGGTGAGTTTCTAATAATACAGTATCTTATATCTGGAAAACTCACTTGCTTTTCTGAATAACTGAGCTTATTGAAGGACGACTGGTGTTAAGGGACCCACTTTGGAGGTGGGTTGCCATCTGAAGTGTTTTGCACAGGTCTTTCCACAAACATCTTTGGAAGAAAATGAGAGCCAGCACTGAACTTTTATTAATTGAAAATTACTCAGCAGTTTTAATCACTTATCCAAAGATGGAGGCTTTTGGGGGGTACCTGTGACAAAACCAATGAAATCCAAAGCACTGTCAGAAATGGAAGATCCTCGGGGGTCAATTCCTTCATTTCACAGATGGGAACACTGATGTCTTCTTGCACCGAGTCTTACTCAGGTCACACATGCAGGAGTTGGGAGATTTGGGGCTGTAGGAGAAATGTTATAACATCATCCCACCTGGCTTTATCCATTAACATCTGCTCATCTCTGCCCTCAGGGAGTCGTGGAGCTGGTTGAACAATACCAGACAGTACGTGGAGAGCCTTGCATTGTGTTCACCACCTCGCTCATTTTTATTCAAAATGATTCCAGAAAATCAATGTGACCATCTGGCCTCGGAGAAACTTCACTGAGGTCCCAAATGTCTTCAGTGCCCAGATGAATCCTTATAACTCTATTGAAAATACATTTAAAAAGCAGTTATTGATCATGTATTGTGATCCTGGTCCCAAGCCTCACACTGTCGTCTCCTTCCTTCAAGGAGTTAACAGTTTTATGAAGGGAAACAGCCATGAAAATGAACAGTCGCAGCTGAAGCAGGTAAATCAACAGTAGAAATCCACACAAAGATCTCGGCGCGGTGGCTCATGCCTGTAATCCCAGCACTTTGGGAGGCCGAGGCGGGTGAATCACAAGGTCAAGAGTTCAAGACCAGGCTGACCAACATGGTAAAACCCCGCCTCTACTAAAAATACAAAAATTTGCTCGGCGTGGTAGTGCACACCTATAATCCCAGCTACTCAGGAAGCTGAGGCTTGAGAATTGCTTGAACCCAGGAGGTGGAGGTTGCAGTGAGCCAAGATCGTGCCACTGCACTCCAGGTTGGGCGACAGAGTGAGACTCCGTCTCAAAAAAAGAAATCCCTACAAAGCCTGCAAGTTCACCAAGTCACTTCCACTTTACTCTCTTCATCAAAGGTAGTAAGCAGAACTGCATTTCCATTTGCTGTAATAAAACATAGAACAGCCCCAACTCATTAGTTATAAAGTGTGATATTCTGGGTTATTGTTTATCGAATTTGGCACTGGGTACATCAAAGGACACTGGTCAGTGTGCCCTCAGGAAAATAACAATTAACCTAAGTAAAGCAGGCAAGAGTCGATGCTAAAGTAGTTATTCAACCATGTGGAAAACACTGCGTACATAATCATGTACTGGGAAAAGTCATGCAATGAAAGTTAACATCTTTTTTTTTAAAGGCCTCCAAGAAAAGATGGGGGCTCTGGTTGGAAAGATGTGGCAGATGTCAGCTACCAGATGGCAAGAAGGAGGCAGTTCCGGACACAGGCTCGAAACAGAGAAGTTAGTGTGGGAAAGTGAGAGCAAACTGACCCCACCATGCAGAGAGAGTGGGCAAGGCGTGAGTAAAGACAAGGAACAAGAGAAAGAATGAGAGGAAATGCTGTTTGGTGGGTGGAATTTGTGTTTTGCCTCTAGAAGTGTTGTTCTGAAGAGGGCAGAAGATAACCACGTTGGCTGAAACAAAACAGTCTTTGCCCATCAGGGGACCAGTCACTCTTCATCAGTTCTTAACATCTCTCCTCTGGTGGCAAATGCCATCTAGAAGCTCCATGTCTTCACAGAACAGAAAGTCCTAGAGATCTTGATAACTCAGCCACTCATCAGAAAGCTCTTGAATGCTTTCTCAGAGTGCTGTTCTTGGAATGAAAGCAACAACTTTCGTGCCCTGAGTAAGATCAAACAACTTCTCATAACTCCATCATAGATTATCTGTGCTGCACATATGCTGTAGATACTTAACATGAATTAATACATTAGACAGCATACAGTGATGCTTAACAGACACTGCAGAGATGGCTGCTTTCTATCCACCTCCCTACACGTGTCCGTTAGCAATATAAAGCTAGGGGCCAGGGACCAGGTCATATAGATTGTTTGGGAACGTTAATTTATTAATAAGATAGAGATTACCATAAATGGAATCTTGAGAACAGCGCTGAGATAGAAAAAGATCTAGAACCTACTTTATGGATACCTATGACATAGGAGGGATAGGACGAAGCTGGTGCTAACACCAGAGCAGAGATAGTCACATTAGGTCAAGCAATCGCCCACAGCAGCAGTGTCAAGCAAGAGTCTGCTGAGCCTTAGGCATTACCCAAAGGCATCCGCATGTTCCAGGAACGGGAGAAATGGGATGGTGGAAGTTCTTCGGGCTCTGAATCCCCACTTCTGCTTTGACCAGAAGAACTATGGTTTTATCCATTTCACATAGTGGGTTTCCACAGGTGATTTCAAGTAATGAGAGAGTTCCAAATGTTTGAAAAGCGTGTGTACCGACACTTGTTTTTCATATTGCTTTACCACCCAAATCTGAATCCTTTATATTCTGGCTGTATAATCTAGAGCCGATTCATTGCCTGGGTCAGGCAGTCAAGGCCTCTCATGGTCTGGCTTAAACTTTTCCCAGCCTTTTTTCTATAGCTTCTTGCCATGCTCCTTACTTACCAGCCAGGCTGAACTAACAACTCACACCATGCAATGACCCATGATGTGCCCCTTGTTTAAAATAAACTTTCTCCTCCTTTTTGCCACAGTGCGAGGCATGCTTCCAGACTCAGCTCAAAGGTGGCTTTCCCTAAACTCCCAGAGAGAGGTCCTCTGCTTTGATAACACTCGGCACCTTTTCTTAAAATAGTACTTATTCAGTTGTAACCACGTGTTGGGCATGTCCGTTTCTTCCATTAGACTGTGAGCCCTTTGCAGCCAGGAACTGTGTTTTATACGTTGCTGTTTTGCTGAAGACTAGGAGTTGCCTGGCCCCTTCTAAGTTTAGAGTAAACTTTAAACTTTCCCATTAAAACGACAGTGACCAGTAGTGCCCACCAGATGGCAGTGTGTGGACATTTTTGCTTACCAATCAGGAGGGAGCAGAAAGGTTTTATAGCAACTTGCCTTTCATCTTTGTCCTTGCAGACAAACAAATCCTACAAACACCAAGACTTTTGACTGGGCAGAATTCACATCTGTGAATCAGAACCTTAGGCAGCCTTGTATTCCCTATATGCTGCTACTTTTTGAAAACACTCCTCTCGAAGATTGAGAAAGGATTATGCTGTTTGTGTTCCAAGACAGAGAAACTTAGGTTTGAATTTTATCTTCACAAGTGCAAGGTGACCATCTTTTCAGCACTTGGGAAGAACGACCACCCACATCCACTGACTGCTGGCGTCTGCTGAAGTTCCTTAACCTCCTGCCCACCCCCATCTGCCAGACTCAAGCAACAAGCAAAAGTCAGCCACGCATTCCATGCTTGCTTTTAAAATCACTATCTCCCCTGGGTTCCACTGGACAGCACTGTGCTTTTCAGGCCGGAGACCTACAGGTCACTTTTCCCTCTCTTCCAGGATAGAACTTAGAGGTACGCCCTAGCCTCCTTACCTGTGGGCCTGGGATGGTCTCTGGAACTTCTTAGAAGCAAAGGGGCTTCCAAATGGAAGACATCCTAGTCGAAAGGAAAAACAAAAAGAAACATCCCAGTGGGTCTCCCAGACGATACAAAACATTCAAAGGCAAGAAGAGTCTCAATTTCCACTTCTTTTCTGCCTCCGACATGGCTATTTTGTAATTTCCTCTGCTCTCTAACCAAGTGTTGCGTCTGCTGGTGTAGTAGTGCTACAGGTAGAGAGCAGGGAGGGGTGGCTGCCATATCCACCTGCATCCACAATGCTCCAGGTCCTCTAAACTCATCCTACCCCTATGGATTTTCTCTTTCTCCACTGCTAGAGCAGAGGTTATATTAGAATGTGAGGCCGAAAGATTCTGGAGAGCTCAGCTTCTTTTAACTAAGCAAGTCTCTTTTAATTCACAGGGAATCTCAAGGGTCTACCCTGGAGATGGGATCACTGGATAACTCTTCCCTCCTCTTCCTTCTGTAGATAGTGTAGTGGTTAAGACTCAGGCTCTGGAGTCAAACAGACCGGGGTTCAAATCCCAGCTGTGTCACTCCCTGAATCTATGACCTTGGATGAGTTACTTAGCCTCTCCAAATCTTAAATTCTTTATCAATAAATGGAGAAAATACATGTGGACCCCAGAGGGGACGCTGTGCAGATTAAATGATAAGGCAGGAAAAGTGTTTAGTGCAGTACCTGTGTCCATATACTAAATAATAGCATTAGCATTTGCAGAAGTACTGTGGAAAAGGCACAACTCTCTAGAAATGATTCTTGGTGTTACATTCAGCCCAGCTTTGGAAACCTCTAAGAACCAAACACCTCTTCCTAAATCATGCCAAAACTCATCTTTTAAATGAGATGCATATTGCTTTCATTTAATTACTTTTTTATTTATTAGCATTTATTTAGTATGTAAACTGTGGATAGCTCAGGGTAAGCAGTGAAGATACAAGAATATATAAAACATGGTCTCTGCCCTCAAGGAACTTGTAGTGTGTTGAGGAGATGCATCCACAGCAATTATAATATGGGGGATCAGTGCTCTAACATGGGTATGTACAAGATACAACAGACAGAGTGGGAAGGCGTCTTGAGTCCCTGACACTCTGTACAGGGCATTGCAGGTCCTTGCCTTCCTGGAAAAGTCTACTCCCAACAACATTTGTTTTTTTGAGAATCCATTATGATGTCTCATACGTCTAACCTTGACACTGGCTACTCTCTTTAAATGGAATATCTGCCTGGAAAATTCCTAGTAATTGTCTAAGTCTTCCTCAGATCCCTCAGAGAGACTTACGGGCGCCTTCTCTTCCTAACTGTGACCTAACTGAAGGTGGAGGTCACATCTTTATCCTTTGGCCACCAGCATTTAACTCACTGCCCAACATGAAACTGATCTTTAGTCACGGCAATGCATAAACAAAGCTTTAATACATTCATCATGCAACCAACACTGCCTGGTTTTTCAGTACAGGGAAAACCAGCTGATGTGATGAAGGGTCTCCTGTTCCACAAGCCACACAGATCAATGATAGTAAAGCTCTGACTATTACAGAAAAAGGTTTTAATATTATCCAGATTGTCTCCCTTTTTAACTACTACCAATTTTAGCCTGGCTTTCTCTTAGAAAAATGCAAATAAAGATATGCATATTCTCTTCAATATGGCAGCCATTCATATATATGAAGATATCAGACACATATAATATCAATATAAGATTCTCCTTTGTGATTTCTCAAGCACACACAGATAATTAAGTCATCATTAACGTACTTTCTGAAGTGTCTGACATGTGTTAATCACTTCTTAGCAGCTTGAGTGTCATAAATATGGTCCTGATACCTCCAATATCATCTCCACGCATATCTTTTAAGTTCAGATTTGCTTCATTGTTTTCAGTCCTGTGTTCTAGAAGTTCTAGATCATTTTAGATATTAATTTGCTGTTATTATTAATGTTATTGCTATTAATTTATTGAAAATGTGTGCCAAGCATGATACTAGCTGTTGACACACTTCTTTTTCAATTCTCATCTGATCTGAATCACAAACAACCCTATTGCTACCTTATAGGTGATGGAACTGAACTCTTAGAAACAGTAAGTCTCTGTTCAATGTTACTTCACTGTCAAGGGGTCAGAGACAAGCTGCAAGGTTAGGCCATTCTCTCTCCAATGCCAGAACTCTTTCTCCTTACTATATTACGCCATCTCTTTGTGTTAGTCTATGGTATTTGATTTTTGTTTTAGTTTGGCATGTTTTTTTTTTTTTTAGATGGAGTCTCCCTCTGTTGCCAGGCTGGAGTGCACTGGCACGATCTCAGCTCACTGCAACCTCCACCTCCTGGGTTCAAATGATTCTCCTGCCTCAGCCTCCTGAGTAGCTGGGATTACAGGCGCCTGCCACCACGCCCAGTTAATTTTTGTATTTTTAGTAGAGACGCGGTTTCACCATGTTGGCCAGGATGGTCTCAATCTCTTGACCTCATGATCTGCCCACCTCATCCTCCCAAAGTGCTGGGATTACAGGCTTGAGCCACCGCACCCGGCCGGTGTCATTTTTATACTTGGGTATTCCCTCTTCCAGATAATCTTTCAAGTAATTAACAAAAAATATTGAACAGAATAAAAGGCTTCTAGTCCTCACCAAAAACCTCCTTCTAGCTTACATGGAACAGTTAGCAAGGCTCAAGCGTCATTTTTATTCACCTGCCCGTGAAACCAGTGTGTAAGACATGACCCTGCCTATATTTCACCTGCTTATGTGCAATCACGTCACAAGAGGTCGTGTTAAGTCCACTGCTAAAACTTCCTCATCCTGCTGATTTACCAGTTGTGTGGCGTAATAAGAAAAGGAAATGGGGTGTGTCTAACACAACCTGTTTATGGTAAACTCCTATTAACTTCTAGTGATCAGTGTCTTTTCTTCAAAATACCCATGAATCAGTTGTGTAATGATCTGTTCCAAAATTTCAGCAAAAACCAGTAGGAAACTCATACTATTTCCTGGCTTCACTGTTTAGTCCTGTGATAAGATGCAAGTAATCCCCTTTATTAAAAGAGAAAATCCTGTGAATCTACCAAAATATTAGCTGTTTCCAGGGCTATTGAGAAACTCCCACACCTACACCCCCAGTTATATTTTAATGCTCAGTTTGACAGCAGAACCACCTGCCTCTTTGTTTCGAAATGTGAAGTCACATCACTATTTTATGTACTGTTTCCTCTTCATTGCCTATATGTCACCTGGAGGAGTATTTGGCTAAATATTCCTAAACCCACAATTAAAGGTTAAAAATACCTTGAAATTGCAGGAACAAATGGTTGCCTATAAGTTATGTGGATCTCTGAAGTCCACTTATAGGAAACAAAGCTTTCTTGCCACAACCATATTGAATCCAGGAGGATGTAGGTGATGTCTGCTTGTTCATCATTGTACTCCCAGTGTCAAGAGCATAGCAAGGGCTCAAGAAGTATTTGTTATAGTGAGCAAGGAGAAGACAATAATGAGAATATGTATACTCTTAACAGAGATAACTCAAAGTTTTAAAATCGTAGTAAAACATGTATGACTGACATGAGAATGTTTCCAGAAAGCAGATCTGGTCATTAGACTGTGGGAAGAGTTCCTGAAGATCCTAAAGTAGGAAGCTACACAGAGAGGAAATGGAAGAGGAAAGCAAAGTGTCTGGGGGAGTTTCACCGGAAATGATTGAATAAGTCACGCTATTGGAGAGAGAGGCCCAAGCTTCAAGCCCCCAGTCTTCCACCATTAGCTGTTTCCTACTGGAAAAGCCTGCATCTTAACAGGGTCCCATTTTCCAGTAGATTTGACAGAGACCAGAATCCAAATCTCACAGGAGTGCTGTGGGAATCAATTGTGGTAAAACATATGAAAACATGTTATGAAATCAGTGTCACCTACACCTAAGTCTGGGTTGGGGTCAGCCTGAGTAAAAGACCAAGGGATTACAAAGAGGTGTCTAGGATGAATTAAGAGGTTACTTCCTAATGTGGGTTCTCAGGCTACCTGGAAAAGATTCTGACTCAAGAAAAATGTTGGCCCCCTCCAGGTTGAGGAGACCATACTCACACAGTATTGGAGCAGCTTTTGTATGACAGAGCCATACAAATATGCATCCAGCTTCCAGCTCTCTAGTCAGCTGCAATTTAGAACATCCTACTCTGAGTTTGTCACTTTTCTCAGACAACCATCTTCTCCTCCTAACTTCCTTATTTATCATCGACAGGCAGTATCTCAAGCCACTTGGGCCTGAAACTTGTGTCCTCATTGTCAACCTTGAAGCATATAGATGTCATTCGGAGAAATCCTTTGACTGCTCTCAGCCCAGACTTCCTCATCTGGAGAATGGAGATATTACCAGCGGCTCCTACTTTGTTTCAGTGTTTTGTGGGAATCATCTGATGGATGTAAAACCTTTTGGAAAATGTAAAATCCTATATAAAAAAAAGATGATCCTAAAAATTGCAATATTATAGGATTAAACCAGAACAACAACCTTCATCTAGGTTATACATGAAAATCGAGTTTAAAAATCTCTTATTTAGTAATACCAAAAGATACTGGTTCAAAGAATCATGACTATCACTTGTATAATCTTTCTACTTGTTCTCTAGCTAAATGCCTTAAATCTATGGAGTTCTAATACTGAAAGAATTAAGAAAATCATTGCCACATTAAAGGTGAAAGTTTTTAAAAATATATTAATGAGGTGGTGGGAAGTAGGCTGACATTAAAGTAGGTTTGGAAGTGTTTGCTTTCTCTAATTAAATAGAGCTAATGAGTTTCTCCACTGAGCCTGAGCACTGGGCTAAACAGTCTCACAAGCCTCTGGTTTCTGTGATCTCAGTAAGAGATGGCCAACTGGCAGCCGAAAATAATCTGCATCATGGGGTGATTCATCCTTCACACCTTTGGGTGAAACCTTCCTGTCAGAATGCAGGAACAGGTTGCAAGCACCATGCAGGGTTGAGTTAGAGTCTCTTTGGTCTTCAGAAGCTGCTGACCCCTCACTCATATCAAGAGACTGTAGCACAAGGTCACTACAACAAGAATCAGAGAATGGCAAAATGAAAGCTTCCACAGATCACAAATCAGAGCTGGGAACAAAGTGACAAGGAGGAGATAGAATTTAACTGAACCACCCATCGTTGAAAATGGGGGCAGGGGGTAGGATCTAGAGATACAGAAGGCATGCCTCTACCCTCTCCTTACTCACAAGCATGGGATATGGGTTTTAAAAAAAGAAAATGAAGACAATCTAGCATATCTTCAGTGCTTTTGTGGGGTCTGCAGGTATAATCAATCCCTTGGTGTAGTTTATAAAGCCATTTATGACCTGGCCCAGCTTTCCTCTCCATTTCTGCACATTCCCTGAACATCTCACCACCACCTCGCATCACCACGAAGATGGAAGGAGCTTCTCCCAGACCTGGACGCGTCCTCTGTACGTGCTGCCCGTCCTGCCCGAAATGACCTGTCTTTCCTCTGCACATTCTAAGTCTTCCTTAGTGGAGCCACCTGCTCAGCAAAGACATTCCTGACCACCCCCTTTCTGTCACCCTGTTTCCCCCAGTTCCTCAGACTCCTTAAACTTGGTCCCTCTTTCAGGTCTTTGAACAGGTGCTTGTCTCCATCTTTGTCATCCTTATTGCAATTTATCTCTCAGGTCTCCACTTAAATACCACTTGGAGGAGAAATCCTTCATATCCCATTGACTTCTCCAGTCAGGGCCCCATCTAATTTTCTACTAGAATCCTGTTCTCTTCCTTCATTACACTTGTCACAGCTTTTTAAAGTAATCAATCAATAAAAAATATAGTGTATGAACTTGATTTAAGACTACACACACAAATACTTGAGACTGTAACGTTGGTAAATTTCAAGGACTATGTTTTGCTCTTCATTGTAGATCCAGTAATACTGGGTGCTCAATAAAATATTTGATGAACAAATTCTCTTCTCAAAGTGCTCAGAGCAGTTTGTACAGTCTTTAAATATAACACTTATTCCATAGTAATGTAATTATTTTCCTTCATATCTATCCCCATCCCTGGATTTTGAGCTACTCAAGACTAGGTGAGATGGCCCCACAGCATCCTGCACTTGGCATATCTTAATTGGCTTTAACCTGTCTTCCGGCTTCTTGGTGGCAAGAGCAGCTTGTTAGAAACATGCCTGGTGCCTAACACAGTGTCTGGCACACAAATAGGTTTTAAACAAATGAATGAATGAATGAATGAATGAATGGCTAGAATGTCTTCCCCTCCATTTTCCCCTGACCTCCCAAAGTGCCCTTTAAATGTTGGAGGATATTGCATCCTATCTCTTCGGTGAGATACAGTGCACCGTCTGTGTGTGTTTCTTACTTAAAGCACATTCCATACAACTTACAGAACTTTAGATTTACAGAAGAGATGTATAAGGATGGAAATTACTTCCTTGAAAAAAGGATTTTTTCTGCAACATGATACAGAGACCTGTAGGCATGCAGCTCTTTTTCCTGCATTGAATTTAAAGTATGATTTGCTGAAAACTGCTATTTGTTAATTCTTCAAGGAGAGTCTATTTTATAAAGCTTGATGTACTTGTGTGCAAATAGGTCCACTTTTGAGCTGTGTTAAAGTAATCAGGCAAATCCTTACTCATCACCAGGTAGGACCTGGTTTGCAGGCTGGTGATACAGCAGCTGCAAACACGGCACTCAGCTTGGGCTGCAGAAATCAAGATTGGCGCGGACATACCCAGGCAAGTTCGAGAGGAGGTGTCTGCCTAGGAAGGGGATGCAAAACTGCATAATTCAAAGGAGAAATGAAAGGTACCAAATGAAACTGCAGAATACTTACAGAGTGCATGATTACCCTCTTGAAATACCTGAAGGACTGCCACCGAATTAGGCTTTTCTATATGACCCAAAGGAAAGGCTCAAGGTGCAGGTAAGATTTGTGTTTAATATAAGAAAAAACCATTTAACAGAATTGTACGGAAAAGAACGGGCTGCCTTAGAAGAGACTGGCCTTCTGGACACCAGCGGGGTGCAAGACAAGAGAAGGAGAATAATAGTGGTAACATTGTAGGAGGTATTTAAGCATCAGATTTGGGAATAGGGTTGGTGAGGAAGAGGTAATTAATACTAAGTAATAGCAATGATTTGTTGACATAAGTCCCGTGTGTAGGGATTTAATCCCCTATAATGCTGTAAGTTGTGAGGGTACACTTCGTCCACTCCATTTTACAGATGAAGTAACTGAGGCACACAAAGCTTCGGAATGTGCCCAAAGTCACCAAGCTAGGGAGGGCTGGGGTCAGGATTCAAGCTTAAGTCCATCCACTTCAGGAGCCTACGCTTTTAGCCACAAAGACTGCTTATGTCCTGTCCAACTCTAATTTTCTGGGCCTTAAATATTGAGATACCAAGAGAAAACCTATAAAGGAGTCTCAAGTGTATCTGGTGAAGCTGAGTCCTTCACCTTCTTTCCTTTGTCCTCCAGCATGATTCCTATGCTTACGACTACAGAGCATCAAGCCAGTTTTCAAGTTTATTGTGTGTCTCTGTGTGTGTGTGCATAGATCTGACAGGGCTAGTTCATTTCAAGTAACCAAGTATGTCTTTGGACAGCTCTTGTCAAGATCCAATAGAAGAGCCAATTCCAAAAATATGTTCCTTTAGTGGTTTTTTAGGGTTCTCTGCTCTGCACGGATTGACAATGTGGTAACAAGAGACATTCTGGAGACTGGATTTAATGCAACCATATGCTAGACAGAATGAGAACCCATATTGCAGCAGACCAGCCGGTACATTTCCATGTTAACAGAAGCTTGATTGCAAATTACATTTAGTCTCAACAGCTCAGTTCACTGCACACAGATGCCATGGGGGACTGTAAAGTTAGCGAGATGTGGGGGAGTACGACTAACATTTTTTTTTGAAAAAAAAAAAAAAATCCTTCAGCTGATAGAATGCCAAGGAGCATCAGCGCTGATGCTGAAAAGAAAACGCTGCTATATTTGTTTTGCCAGAAAAGGAAAAATAATCATTGTCGCGAGTTGTTAGTCAAATTATGAATACGAGCTCGGCTGGTAATTGTCTGATAATACAAACAGTGATATTAGGGTTGTCAGATGCGGCACGCACTGTTTGACAGCTAACATGTACGTGCTCTCTGGATGAGGAGCTGGTTCACTGATTCCAGAAGTCAGGCAAACAGAGGGCTGGGTGATGGAGGAGAGCTTCCCTAGGATCCTGGCCCCCAGTCCAGGGCTGGATCCGGGTCAGCTCCCCAAAGTGTGGTCAGTATCTCCGCTACACAGAGGAGGGTCTGTGAAACTGCAAAGAGCACAGTGTGGGTTTCAGTGGCAGATGCATCTCTTACTTACTGTGCAACCCTTGGCAACTTATTTAACATCTCTGAGCATACATTTTTCCACTTCTAAAACAGGGATAATTTTCAACCAGGTCCTCCTCCTTTGTGAGGATCAGCTGAGAACCTTGTGTGTGAGCATACAGTAAACCACATGGTGCTTTCTAAATGTTGGGGCTGTAAGTTGTCTACTTGGCTGGGTTTCTTTTGCTCCCATTTTAAGAGCTGAGCTA
Organism: Homo sapiens; assembly: GCF_000001405.40. Classification (NCBI taxonomy): domain Eukaryota; kingdom Metazoa; phylum Chordata; class Mammalia; order Primates; family Hominidae; genus Homo; species Homo sapiens. Next base: position 189,139,017 of record NC_000003.12, on the reverse strand, counting down.
CAGTGATTTTTTGTCCATTTTCTCATGGCTGGAGCAGATTTTTTTTCTGTCTGAGTACAAACACCTTTCAGATAGAATCATTCATCTTCTTTTCCCCAAGGAGTGTGGCCACAGGGCACCTTTCACCTAGAGCCCTCCCTGACCCCTTTATTACATGCTTGTCCCCTAGGGAAGCTAGAACACTTTCATCAAGTTCTATCTTATATGCATAAAGCCCTCATGCTCTCCATCCTCCTGTTCTCCAGACACAAAGCTGTGATAGACACCGATCTGCTTAACAATGTGTTCTCCCCTTAGCCTCTAATTCCCTGGACCCCTTGCAGTTGAGTGTGGCTGGGTGGCTAAGTTCTAGCCAAAGGCATACATATGGACAGGAGTGATGTACACAACTTCCAGACATCACCTTTAAACTTCCTATGCGTGCCTGATCCTCATTCTCTTTCTCCAACCTCCAGCTGAGTGGCAAAGACCTGAGGAACTAAGGGGAGGAGAAAACCAGAAGATGGAAGGAACCTGGGTCTCTGAATGACTGCCTGGAGCATAACTCCCTTGCCAACCTGTATTGTGCTGGGAAGTGGGTGAGAAATGAAAGTCTGCTCTCTTAATCCGCTGGTATTTGTTGGTTGGTTGTTAATGTAGCTAGCCCTGCCATAAAACCCAAGCAATCATTGACTTTATCTCATTACACAAAATGTGTTGTTACCAGAAAAACAACCAGTGTCTCCTCAAATACTCCCTGAAAACACCATGCTCTTTCACACCTCCAAGCCTTTGCTTACATGACATTTTTTCCCTTGTCTCTTCTCTCCTGAACTCCAATTACACTTTTGTATTGAGTAAACTCCTACTTGCAGGACCCAGCTCTAACACACCCACCCAGAAGTATTGTCACTTCCTCCCCTGGGCTTTCACAAAACTTGTACATGCCCATTATTATGTGATAATGGAACTATGGTTTACACATATGTGTCCCTCCTCTTGAGGCAGGCACTATGTCTTATTCAAGGCTTTAATGGACGTCTAAGGCAGCTCTCTTTTTTCCTTTCTATTTTTGTCTATTATCTATGGAATTAGGTACCCTAAGGCTACATCTTCCAGCTTAAAAATAGAGAGGCACAGAGACAAATGGAATTGTCCATTTGATTCACCTTTAGAAGATCTCATCATAGCGCAGGAAAAGGAAGATCACATTTTTCTTTCTACCCATCCACCAACCAAGGCCTATACTGGCTACATACAGAGACACGAGAAGGGGGAAGGATGCTCACGTGAGAGAAGCAGGCATAAAGTGTTGTAGACATGCGGAACTTCCCTATCAAAATAGGCCTCCTGCCTCTCTCTCCCGCTCACTGCATTCCCACTTGGCACCCTACTGGGACCCCCAAGAAAGATTATCCTTCTAATGGCCAGAGGCAAAGCTGTAGCCTGCTCACATTTGAGTCCAGCAAAGCCAGTCAATAAGGGCTGTGTGGAATGTAGAGCTCTGTTCACAGCAGGGCCTGGATGCTCACATCAAACACTGCTCTGTACAACTTAAGGACACCCTGCTGCATTCCAGATTTGAGGGAAAAATTCTTTTTTTGTTGTTTTTGTTTTTTTGTTTTGTTCTGTTTTCAAGTGGCTATTGCTGCTGTTACTTGTTTTGGTTTGAGAGCTCACTTCACCCAAACACACACACACACACACACACACACACACACACACACACACACACACACACATTTTGGGGTTTTCAGAAGCTGTTTATTTTGTTGCTTTCTTAATGTTGATACTTTGGGCTTCTTTATTTGCCACTTTGATGTTTTCATTGACATTATTTTCTTTCAGTTAACTCCTGGAAGATACACAGGGATTTCCCAATGATTGCAAAGCAGGCGTGGCAAAATCACAGTCTTGGATTCAGAATGGGAAGCCCAGGTTTGAGTCCTAGCTCTACCACCTTGCTGGGACAAATCATTCCACCTTAGTTTGTCTCTAAAATAAGAAAAATATGAACTCTGTCTTTCCAGACTTTCAAATTCCATAAGGACAGGGGTCATGTCCATTTTTTTAAAAATTGTCTCCATACACCTATCCTAGCACCTGGTATGTTGTAGCCCTCAGTAAAGATCATTGAGTGACTGAATGATGATTGTGGAGACCAAATAAGGTAATAGACATTAAAATGCTCTATAAATCCTGTAGTGGTCTACACAGGGAAGTATAATTATTGCCTAGACTGGGAATGTATGGATTGCCCCCAAACTGAAGAGTCATTTATCTATTTTAGGATACTGGAAGATACTTTGGCAAATATATTTCAAATGTGCATAATAACCTTGATGAGGCCCAGCGCTGTAACGAGAGTGAGAGGCAGGGCAGAGACCTAGCTGTTTTCTTGCCCTTGAATTCTGAAATTTCCGCATTCTTAAAGTAAACTTATCTTTGTTGTCCAGTTAGCAGAGACATTTTTTGTTAATTGAAGCCAGGAGTCTTTAGCAAGCCTAACTATTAACTAGAAGCTGCTTGAGGGTTCACATGTATTCACAGTTCTGAGCACAATATCCCGCAAGAAGAAAGTGCTCAGTAAATGTAAGACATTGATACTCAGCTTCAGGGATGTTCCCTAATAGCTCCTCTCCAGAAACGGCTCTCCTCCCTGAGCAGTCTCCTTCCATAAGCATCTTGAACGGCTTCTCCACCCCCAGAAGTCCCCTTCCATAAGGATCAGTAATTACTACTGATATATTTGTCCCACCTTCCCTTCTGAAACAATGTTCTCATGCCCCAGCATACACCCTCCACCAGGACACAGGGAATCATGGTGGAAGTGAAGAGGCTGAACACTGTACTAGAACTGTAAGCTCATTTATTGCATGAAGTTTATTTAGCATCAACTATAAGTTGGTGAATGTTCAAAGAAGTGAAAGAAGGGAGTCAAATTTCCAGACTTGGTGACAGGTGAGTAACATATAGAGCTTAGAATTGTTGGTAGATAGGCACAAACACACAGCTATAATATAATTTAGATATTATAATAGATTCAAGTACACGGCCCTCTGAGAGCTCAGAGGTTATGCCAATGTACTGGGACTTGAGATCAAAGAAGGCTTCAGAGAGTAGGAGATATTTGAATTGGACTGTGAAATATGCGTAGGATTTCTCCAGATGGCAAGAGTCAGGAAGAAGGGCATTCTAAGCAGAGGAAATAACAAGTTCAGCTACAAAGAGGGGTGGACAGATGTGACAATGACAGGGACTACACTGCATCTGGAAAGGCTAGACTAGCATTTTCCAGAAGATGCTCTGAGGAAAAAAAGATGTTCCATAGCCAATAAGTTGGAGAAATGTATCCTATATTCTTTTTTAGAAATGTAAAATGCAGACTTGCCTATTAAAGGCTCTGAGCAATCATTTGAGCAGCTACACATATAGTCCAGAGAAATATAGCAGGGGGGCATGAAGGGCGACAGGGAAAGTGAATACAATAGAGGATAGATGTAGACAGATTTCAGGGGGAGCATAAGTTGCTAAATGTCGAAGAAGACTGGGTGTAAGAGGACTAGGTTTTAGCTTGTTAAACTAAATAGATAGCAATGCCATCTGAGAAGAAAAGTATTTAGAAAAGGTAACATGGGTTTTGAAACTTGTCATGTTGAATGTGAGCTGACAGTGAGGGAAGCATGTGAAGATGTTGAGACAATTGACAGTACACGTCCAGGATCCACAAGTGATGTTGACGCTCAAGAAGATGCTGGACAACCATTAGAACTGCAATAGAAGAGATCAAGCCCTGGACAGGACATTGGATTGGATGAGGCCATTTTGGCCCAGGGACTGTATGATTTTTAGGGTCAGAGGGACCCATGCTGAAGAGTGTAGATGGCCAAGTCTCTGGCTACTGACTGCATCCAAGTTCATAACCACCTGCATCTGACGACAGAAGTACTGACCGCAAAGAAGAGCTCAACATCTGCACACATCCCACTGTAAGGAAGTAGACTAAAAGACATGCATTTAACCAGTAAAACTTTTCAGGGACCCCGTAAAACCATTATTTTTCTGTTGGGCTGTCCTAACTCAGAAGAAACAATAAAGCCACAGCATATTCAAGATCATAGAAAACTGCGTACATTCCTTGTCATGTACTTTACTGATCAGTACAGCCTGGTAGAGTGGAGAGAGCACTGGGCTAGGAGTCAGGTGGTCAAGGCTCTAGTCATGACTAGATCAGTAAATCACTGTAAGTCCTAGTGAAAATTATTTACCTTTCATGTGGCTCTATTAACATATGAGTAAAATGTATTTAAAATAATTATACCATCCAGATGCAGTGGCTCATGCCTATAATTCCAGCAGTTTGGGAGGCTGAGGAAAGACGATTGCTTGAGGCCAGAAGTTTGAGACCAGCCTGTACCACATTGTGAGACCCCAACTCTACAAAATTTTATAAATTAGTCAGGTGTGGTGGCATGCCTCTATATATAGTCCCACCTACTTGGGGAGGCTGAGGTGGGAGGATCACTTGAGTCAGGGAAGTCAAGGCCGCAGTGAGCTATGATCATGCCACTGTGCTCCATCCTGGGCAACAAAGAGAGGCTCTGTCTCAAAAAAAAAAAAAAAAAAAAAAAAAAAGGATACCCCCACTGCTTATTCCTAGGGCTGTTAGGAGGGTTCAATGAGATTGGTTCATTTTGTGAAAGATAACGTTAGTAATGGATACTACTTGTACTGAACATACAACTTAAACTGCTGAAACTTTGAAGGGCCCTGAATACTGAAGAACATAACATGTTCATTTTGCAGATGAGGAAACCAAGCCCCAGAGATGGCAGGTGATTTACCCACGGTCAGACACACAGCAGGGACAGAGCCACCAGATAAGGTGGAAGCTCTTCCTTCCTGGTGTCACTACTTTCAAAGACCAAGGGCTGGGACCTTGACTGGAAACAAACCATACAATGGAAAGAAACTATGGGTTGAATAGCTAACATGTGTATTCAACATTCCAAGCAGCAATAAAGCCTGCAGTATGAGTAGTCCAGATAACACTATTTGCCTCCACACTTCTATGAAGTGAGCAACTTTCTTTTGTTGTGTCAACTTGAGTTGGCCACAGTCTTCAGAGTCTCACACACCTCCACTCAATGACTTTAACATACACTAATCCATTCTGTGATGGTGAATACTTTTATTTATATTAATATCCTCATAGACTAGGTTAGAAATTCAGATGCATTAACACAACCCTCTCCTGTAGATCTTCTCTTGTCTAGCTCGAGATGGAATGCTGTAAGTGAGGAGCCATGTGTTAGTTTGTTCTCACACTGCTATAAAGATACTGCCTGAGACTGGGTAATTTGTAAAGGAAAAAGGCTTAATTGACTCACAGTTCCACAAGGCTGAAGAGGCCTCAGGGAACTCACAATCATGGCAGAGGAGAAAGCAAGGACCTTCTGCACATGGTGGCAGGAGAGAGAAGTGTAGGCAGGGCTTATAAAACCAACAGGTCTTGTGAGAACTATCACAAGACCAGCATGGGGGAAACCACCCTCATAATCCAGTCACTTCCCTCCCTCAATACGAGGGGATTACAATTCAAGATGGCATTTGAGTAGGGACACACAGCCAAACCATATCAGGCCAAAATTAATTTCTTTCCTGAACTGTGGCAAGAGGCTTCTAACTGATCTTGATCTTGCTCCTTTGCCTTTTCCTCTCTGGAGTTGGCACTATTATCTTCCCATAACGTTACTACTTCTTCTCTCCCTGTCTCCCTAGCACACAGCATAAGACTTCAAATCTTCATCCTGGCATTCAAACTCTTTCCAGATCTGATCCCAGTCTCTTTCCAGTTTTATTTCTTCTACTTCCTTATTTGTATGTTACATTTCAACCTAAATTAGACTCATTGCTAAATCCTGAATACACACAGGCCTTTCTTTACACTAGTCTCTCCTCTGGTAGACCATTCATCAAGACCCACCTCTGTTTTCCTTGCACCATCATGGTATCATGTTTTTCCTGTTTTCAGTACATATTTCCGTTCATAGTGTCATGGTATGTGTACTGGCCCCGCTTCCTCATTAGAAGGTCCTCATGTTGATTATATCTCCATCCCCCACAGAACTTAGCTCAGTGCCTGGAAACAAGTCTCTTCCAGAAAAAACTAACTTACATTATTTGAGGAAAAATAGACATACTACACTGGAACTGAAGACCATCATACTAAAACTTTTTAAAATAAACAGCTTTGGCTAAAGATGAAAGTATTTCCATGCAGCTTCAAATCAGATTTGAGTAGCTGATTCTCCAGACAAACGCTAGGAAAATTGTTTTACCTGTTTTCCCGCCTGACAGTTCAGTGGCCTAAGTTGCTTTGAAGTCTATAAAATGGCCAGTATCTCCAATCTGAGCAATGTTTCCTTTCCAGACAGGAAGACTGCTGCTAAGTACAGAAGCCACGCTTGTTTTTGCGGTCGGGCTGCAATGGTGACTCATCCAGTAAAGCCAGAGACTGTCTGTTTTGATCTTTCACTGTTCAGAGACTCTTTACAGTTGTAATTTGCTTTCTTTCTCTCTCTCCCTCATCACCTCTGGTGACTTATCAGAAGGGTCGCACACATTTGACAAACGGAACCTGTATAAGGAGAGAGAGAAAGCACGCGATCAAACACGCTTTCAGCTAACGCCCAGGAATAGATGCTTGTGTTTACAGCTCTGATGATAGGGTTCCAGTAATGACTTGGCCTTTTTCTCCTTGATTGAATATTCCCTTGGGCCTGCCAGTCCAGGCTCCTGTTATTTAATGAGGACATTGGAGCACAACATCAAGATGTCTGCAAAAATGACCTTTCTTTTGGGCTCACTCCAAATGCAAAGAAAAGAAGAGACCAAGTTAGACAGGGTGGTTCTGGAATACAGCTTTGGAATTTGTCCTTTTCCCAGAAGTTCAGAATCAGGGAGTCGTGCACTATCAGAGCCAGAGAGAACCATGGAGATGATCTAGTTAAAAGTTTCATTTTTCACATGGAGAAACTGAGGACTAGAGAAGAAAAGCAAGTTGCCATAAATCACATAGCAGTCACAGCAAATCTTAGTTAGTATTCCTTTGAATAGCTTGAGACAGAAATTAACCATTGGCTAAACGTTGGCTTTAAATAAAAAAGAAGCTTTCCTTAGTTTCTCCTGAGTTATACTGTGGCACTATTATGCTCTCCTTTTCCTTCTCAAGGAGATGAGAGACAAGCAGCACAAGCATAATAATATGCCTCTGGCTATAAGTTCAATGTCTCACTCTTAGCTTTGAAAGCCAATATAGGATAAGGATAAAGGTCAGTGCTGAAGGGTCTTAATGAGGACAATCTCAGAGGTCCCAGATCTGCCTCATTCACTGTGTATCTGCATTTTGGCTTCACCTGCAAAATGGGGGATTCGTTTATTGACTGAGCATTCTTAGAAAGTTGAAATGAGAAAATATGATCAGAAAGTGCTCAGTAATATAAAGTCCTACTGCATTTGTGAGAAGAATTATTATTATGTTATCAACTGCTATCTACATGGTCTTGTTTCCTTCAAGATGGAGATTTTATATTCTCAAATTATTGTAATTTTGCCTTTTAGTGAGCTTTTTTCTAGACAACTATATATATATAAACACACATATAGATACACGTATATACACGTATACATATACACACATGAATATTTATATATAATTCCAACATTAGAATGTATCATATTTACATAATATCTTAAATGATATTGCCTTTTTGTAATGTATAGAAGTAACTCATTAGGGATTTCTTTAGCACCAATTTAAACACTGAAGCCCAAGTTGGAATCTCCCTGAGCCCTCCCATCAGTGAAATTACTACATAATCGCTGCTCCGATTTAAAACATTTTTTAGAGTAAAAGGTAAGATTATTACTAATTATGCTGCCAAAAAGGATAAATCTGAACTGTTCTGGGCAAAGTGGGACATACGATCACGTTACTTAGAGTTGTGCAGAATTTTAGGTATTTTACCGGCCAGAGGTAACATGGCATGAGGTAAAAAGTACACATCTCATAATCAGAAGTTTTGGATCCTAGCTCAAGATCCACCATTGTTAGCAAAAATCACATATGGCCCTGAACCTCACTTTCCTCTTCTCTAAAACGCAGGTCATTCCCTGCATCTCAAACTCAGGTTATGACCTGCATTTGAGGAAGAATGTAAATGAAAGCCTGTTATAGCTGGAATATATAGCTCTACTGTTGGATTTTTTAAATAGTACTTTCAAATGGATTTTTTTAACAGACATTGGTACTCTTCACATCACATTATGAGTGTGTCCTAAGCAGTTCATATTCTGCCAGAATATATAAATGGTTGCTTGATAGTAGAGCCCTCACACTCACAGAAGGGAATCTACATTTGCCTCTAGTTTCATCCTATTACAGTCCATGTCAAGGGACTATTGGTGTTCTCTTTCATGCTGTTGTTCAGTTTTATTAACTACTGGTTAAAATAATCTGCTACGTTTTGACCATGCCAGGCCATTTTCCTCTGATAACATTTGAGTTACTGAGATTATACCTGTAAGGTCCATTTTAGGCCAGTTAAGAAAGCACTGAGAATAGAAGTTTAATTTTTTCAGGTACTACATGTAAGTTAATTCACCATTTCCTTAATGAGGAGCAATGTTTGAATTCTCTGAAGCCTCATAATCTCTCCCAGGCAGAAAGGAATCATGGATCCTAAAGACAGTCAAAATAGTTATTGTCTAGTTGAGTTCTTCTTTCTATAAATTATGAGAAAGATCTCATGGTGCTTATAACCCAACATACTCGGTACTATGCATGTGCCTAGAACCCATGGCACATGATGTATGTGCCAAGATCTGTACATACATCATGATCATCTGGTTGAGGATATTCTATATTACTCAGAGCTGAGCTTGCCATGAGTGCTTGATAACTGCATTACAATTCACTTATCATTGCCATAGTCATCAACATAATCATTTATCAGTTCAACATTCAGCTGAGAAGTTTTATTATCCCTCTTATGAAGAGTACCTTAAGTATTATCTTTGATTTATCAGCCTCCATGAGATTTTTTGTGCATTTCTCTTTCCTTCACAATGCCTAACACAAGGCCCTGTATAGAAGTAAATGTTTGATCAATGTTAGTAAAATAAGTAAAATTATTTTCATACTCCTTCCACTGTGCACATGAAACAATCATAACTTTACCATAGCTCAAAATCCTATACTTTTTTCTTCATCTGTGCTTTAGTGAAAAAAGCAATAGTCTTGGACTTAAAATAACTGAGCTTAAATAAGGAGTGAAGCGACAACTCTTTCCAACAGAGAGTTTCAGTTAATAAATATAGAGAAAATGAGGAAAATAGAAAATGACCATTACAACATCATAATAACAATGGCAACAAGCAAGATCCACCACAAGAGGCTAAAATTAGTTAATGAGGGAAAGTTTAAGTATAAACAGCATATTTTTATAGTCTCAAGTGTCACTTCTCAAAATATTTAGTAATAACAAAGGGGGAAACAGCAAATTTACAGTGGAAAAATCCAGCAGATGCCATCTTAACCAAGTGATCAGGGTTAATGTCACCAATAATATATATCAACATAATATACCTGGTATCACAGCCTGAGAAGGACGCATCCCTGCTGTGGTATCTTTTGCAATACCTTCAGTATAGTCCCAAGAAAAGATCAGAAAAACCAAAATTGAAGGACATTCTACAAAATAACTCATCAGTACTCTTCAAAAGTGTCACAATCATGAAAGAAAAGGAAAAACTGTGAGAAACTGTCACAGATGGCAGGAGACCTGACAACTAAGGCAACGTGGGACTCTGAATTGGAGCCTAGGAATAAGAAAGGACATTTGTGAAAAAATTGATGAAATATGTATAAAGTCCATACTTTAGTGAATAGTACTAAAGTTAATTTCTTAGTTTTTAATCATTGTTCCACGGGTAGATAAGATGTTAACATTAGGAGAAGTTGCTGCTGCTGTTGTTTTTGTTTTTGTTTTTCCTGAGTCTAAAATTATCTCAAAATAAGAAGTTTAAAAGATAACTGAGTTGGGCCGGGTGCGGCAGCTCACGCCTGTAATCCCAGCTACTCAGGAGGCTGAGGCAGAAGAATCGCTTGAACCCGGGAGGTGGAAGTTGCAGTGAGCCGAGATTGCGCCCTTGCACTCCAGCCTGGACAACAAGAGCGAAACTCTGTCTCAAAAAATAATGCTAATAATAAAATAACTGAGTTGAAGAGCCAACACTGACACCTACCAGTGGCATGTCCTTAGGTAAGTTACCTAAGCTCTCTCAGCCTAATCTTTCATTATCACTAAAATTAGAGAAATAGTACCAACATTTTGTTGATATGAGGTCAAAATGAGATAAGGAACATGAGGGCACTTCGAAAATTATAAACCCTTATAAAAATATCTTTATTACTTCTTAACTCTTTGACCTTTTCATCTCATTCAACTACAGTTGCCAGATAAAATATAGGACTCCAGTTAAATTTGAATTTCAGATAAACAACTTTTTTAGTATAAATATGTTTCATGTTATGGTTGAGACATACTTAAAACAATTTTTTTCTTTAGATGCCCTGTATTTTTATTTCCTAAATCTGATAAACCTACCTTGACCTGACTTCCAATACTCTGTCCCTTTCTTGAAGGTGTCTTCTTCCCTCCTCCAGGCCGTCTTTGCACAATACTGACAGCTCTGGTACAATGATTCCATGCAAGGGCCATGGCGGCCCATGCTCCAGGAGAGCTGCACAAAGGTTCATCTATCACAAGACTCTAGCAAAACGAATTCATTAAGAGTACACGACAAACAGGAATTTTCCCTTTCTGACTCATCTTGCAATTGTGCAAAATTTATTTTAAAATTTTTAAGTTATTTTTACTTCTCACTCCCCACAAAAGCCCAATGATAAAAATACTGTGCAGATTTTTTAAGCTGTGAGGAAAGATCAAAATCAGCAACAACCTATAAGATGGTCCTGGTAGACTAAAGTAGGAGCCCACCTCTTGGGACCTGTAGTGAGGTTTTGGGGAAAGAATGAAAGAGAAGAGGAGGAAGACTTTGAACACAACATTTTTACATATACCAGCTAAGCATATAGGGAATTATGCTTAACTTCACTTTCCTAGTGAGAAACTGAGTCTGAGGGAAGACAACTTAGACTCTACCTCACAAAGGCCATTGATTTCATACTTCTTTCTCTTCCATAACATCTGGACCTCAAGGTTCTACCCAGAGGCCATCTCTTTTGTGAGTTTACCTCCTTTATTCTCCAAATCAAGTATGGTTTGTTTTTCTCTGAATCTCCACATTGCTATAAAAAGACCTTAAGACCTTTACCTGGGAGTATAGCCACATGTTATTCACATTGTATTGATATCTCTTATTTTGGTCTTAAGGACAAAGGTTGTGTCATGTTCATGTCAAGATGCCCTACGGTATCTCCAAAGCAAACGTGACTTTCAAAATTGAAAGTTGAGAGGCCCATTGACCACTAACTTGGCACATTGGTTATAATATACACTGTGGCAGATACAATTTTAACTTGTGTCAATAGTTTCCATTTGTTAACATATGTCAGCACCTATATGATCTCTAAAATCCTTCTAGTTCTGACATCTTGCCTTTTAGGATCCCAGTTTTTGATGGAGCAGACACCTAAGTAATGGTTTTGTGGCCTCAATGCTATTCTGGCTACTGAAATCAAATTCCTATAGGCATCATAATTTTCCTTTTTGGTTGCCACTCCCATAGTTCCTTCTACTCACCTTGGAGGTATATCAGAAATATTATCAAGGATCTTCTGTAAGGGATGATCCAGACTCTGAGGACTCTACGGAGTGAAGAGGAACAGGCTTTCTGTGAATCAACAGCATGAAATCTCTGGGTGTCTTTTTGCACAGGCCATCCTCATAAATAATCCTGTCTCAAAGGGAAGATGCAGATTTGTAATTACTGACAGCTTAGAGGTCAGAAGCTCTAAGTTTATATGTTGTTTTACAGGATATTCCTGCTGGATTTAAGTCTAGAAACTGGATTCAAACCCTAGATCATCATCACACTCATCTTTCTGTACTTCTGGTTAGCAATTATTTCACAATGAAATCGTGTGAATAAGAGCTGTCTTTCTTTCCCTACAGGGTTTGGTAGGAATCAAATAAGATACAACTAGCAATAATTTATAGAATACATAGCAAACACCAGGTGCCAAGGTAAACACTTCACTTGTATCATTTAATCCTTCTGATGTCCTCATAAATTTGGAGGTCCAATTTCCATTTGAACAATGAGTAGATCTAAGCTCAGCAAGCTTAAGCAAATTATACAAGGTCATAGAGCTAGGAAATAATGGAAATGGAATTCAGACACATTTTGCTGCCCCAAAAAACCACACTCTTAATCACATGCACCCATTTCCCATATAAAAATGCTTTAAAATCAGAAAGCCTCATACACATGAAGGAATTCTCACTTAACCCTCACAACATACCAGGGGATAATAAGGCAGGTATTTTTTCCCAATTTATAAATAACCAGTGGCCAGTCTTAGTGACATCGAGCTAATAAGTGGCAAAACTAGGAGTTAAGCCTATTTATTATCTTGTTCTCTGAGCAGATTCCCTTAACTAAGGAAAGAAGAAATAACCTTCAAGTTCTGTCTGAAAGCAGAGTGGTATTTTTTTAATACTAGAAGAAGGTCATGCCACCTTATGAGAATATAGCTCTACCCTCCATGTATCTTCTGAGTCAAATTGACTTATTTTATGTGGAACAAAGAGTTTTCCTGGTGTCAGCACCTCATTGCCCAAAATGGACTTTTCTCTGTCTCATGCATCATCCCCCAAACCAAAATTGTCAGTAAAGTCCCACTTCCAGGATTTTTATTATCTATAATGATGCTGTGAACTCAGGAAAAGAGCCCAGCTCTCTTCCAGGCATCGGCAGTGCTTATAGAGCTGGCAGGGAGAAATCCACTTTGTACTTTGTCAGAAAAGTTAATCTGATATGAGACAATAAAGATGGAGTGCCATCAGGGTGATGTTCTTACAGAAGCATTTTTTTCTGATCACTAAAGACATTTTAAAAAATAAAACTAAATATACCAAACACACACACACACACACACACACACACACACACACACACACACACACACACACACACAAAACACCCTGCAGCTCCATCTTCTGAATAGGCAATGGAATCTCTCAATGAGAAAAATAAGTCTGATATAAAGAATTCTGCAAAGGAGGAGGATGGTCTTTTCTGAGATCTGGGGCCCCTGAGCTGGCAGAATCCTAACATGGGGCTTGAAGGTGATACTTCCTTTGTACCTGTTGATTAAGAAGACATATGAATAGAGAGACCAAAGAAGGATTAATTGGGGGAGGAGTTGTTTACATGAAAGCTGTGGCTTTTTATTTCTTTGCCAATCTCCTACCTTTTTGGACCTCAAAAGGGGTGGGGTGGAGAGAAAGAGGAATTAATCAGCTATAAACAGACAACCCTGGAAGAAGATCATATGGTCTGACAGGCCCAGGGCTCAGTAAATAATAAGCACCTTCATTTAATGTAGTACTTTATAAATTCACTGTGTAATTTCTATTATATCATTTCTTTTGATCCTCAAAAACAATACGGGAGGTTAACTGGGATTAATATCTCCATTTGACACCTGAGAATACTGAAGCCAAGGGAGAAAAAGAAACTTGCCCGAGGTTATATGTCTTGTTTGTGGAACAACAAGGATTTGACTTGCTCTGACTCTATAATACAGGTTTCCCTTCCAATGCTACATTATTATCTTAAAGTAAACATTAAAAACAATAAGAAAACTTTTTGTCTGAGTATAAGCAGACTTTTTTATGTAGTTGCCTAGAAATTAATTAAATAAATCATCCAATATTGGAAAACAAGAAGTAAAAGCAAACATTCAGAGCGAAGAGAGACCTAAAAGATTACCTACTAAATTGAAGGTAGAACAGATTAAAGTAAATCACTTAAGATCTCATTGCAAGATCTAATACTACTTTGGTCAAAAGTTTATTTAACTTTCAAGCTAATAAATTAAAAGTTTGGATTTATTTAACATGGGTTATTGTATAGAAAGATAGGTCTAGACTCTGCCATCATTTACCCATTGAACAATTTCTTATCTTGCTCCATGCCAGTAGTGGACCTTCCCAAATTGAATGTGAAAATATTTCAGTAGTTTGGTTTTATGGAGGAAAAAATAAAGATTACTATTTTTAGCAATGCCCATGAAATAACAAATGTTCATGTAAGATAAATAGTTTCCTCATACATAAAGTGGAGAGGACATTGCCTCCTGCTGCCAAGATTATTAGAGTATTAAATGAGTTAATGAAGAAAAGCTATATTAATATATGTACACGTATGTGTGTGTGTGTATATATATATACACACACACACACACAAAGTCCTTTGTTCTTAAAAAAAATGTCATAATATGTATACGTGAAACAAAAGAGAAAGCCCTTCTTCTGAGGGGATCTAGCAGAAGAATAATCTAAACTCTCTTGTTAATCTATGTCTTTCACTTTCCCCATCTCCCAGGGTTGTCACAGTACAGTTTGAAAGCCATTGCTTTAAATCACCATACAGGATGGAGCTTTTGTCACCCCTTCTGAGCTCCCCTTGCACTTTAAATATGCTTCTTTTCTAAGCCACTATGTTTTATTGCCACAAGGAATTTCTCTGCCTGCTTCTTCCGTTAGACTGAGGCTCCTTAAAGACAAGCACCATGTCTTATTCTGTGTACCTACTCCAGAGCCTCCCCAAAGCTGTCTCTGGCACACTGGAACTCATTAATTCATGTGCTCTGAATGAACACGTGAATTAGTGAGTCAATGAATAATAAGTAACTTTAAGAAGGTAATATTCTTAAAATATTACCTGAAAAAGCTGAATAATCAGAACACGTACAACGAAGTAAAGACAAGACTCTGCTGCATTACTCTAATGCATTTCAAATCCTAAACAATCATACAGCAGTACCACCTCTAATTGGCAAATAGGTGAGTTGCCAGCCTTGATGGGCCTGCCACGGCTGGCTGGCCAGGGTCTGAGCGAGAGAGACTCCAGAGCACATTTCCCGGGCACATTTCCAGTCCCAGGGAGAATCACTCCTGTCAAGTTTATCAGCCAAATCCTCCCGATTACCAGAGGTCAAGAGCACACGCAGCAAAGCATTTCTCTACTCGCTTAGGCCAAGGAGAGACTTGATAGAGTGCCAGCAAGTACAATGAATGTTGTACCTTATAAATGCTGATAAGACAACATGTTCCTTTTAGCATTAATTGCTTCATTCAGAAGAAGCCATTTAAAATCCGAGTCTGGTCTTTTTCCTTGATGAGCAATTTCAGGCTGCCTACCAAAGCTTTTGTTTGTTGGGAGGAGAGAGGAAGAGAAAGCATTTTGTTAAGGCATTTTAATTTTCATATTTAATGAAACAGATTGGGTAGCAGGTTCCTTTCATTTTATTTTTCTGTTCCCTGAATACCTTCTTGTACATTACACATTCTGCCGGAGCTTCCTGCAAGAACTTTTCTACATTTCACAAGTTAAGGCTGTCAAATGTTACCCACTGAATCAAATATATTTCTTGCACCAATATTCAGCTATTATTATTGTAACAGACCAATCATAAATCTCAAAGCTGGAGAGAAAGGGAACATGTACTGATGTTTCTCCATATTCTCTTGAGCACATAAAATTATATAACTCTCTAAAGCCCTCTTTTTATTGCTGCATCTAAAATGTTTTGCATGCTTTACAGGATAAATTCTTTAAAGGGGCTATTTCTCTTCAGTAAAGGAGAATTAATCAATCCACCAGAAATGTTATTTGTTTTAATTAATTAGCAGAGATGTAGAGAAAAACACCACTGGACTGAAGTGAGAAGGCAAGCTCACTCATTTCAGCTATTATTTATTAGAGCGTTTTCACTTTCATTCTCCCTGATACAAGGAGGACAAAGCATTTGCCTGTTTTTAGAACAAAACTAGAATAGTGCCTGGCACATAATAAGAGCTCAATCAATATTTGTGCATAAATGAGTAAGATAATCTAACTATTTGACTTAGTTCCTCCGGGCCTCAATTTTTTCATTTGTTAAAAAACCAAAAGGACTGATAATCTCTGTATTTCTTATCTCACATAGTTACCGTAGGAACAAATGAGATAAATGATGGCTTTGTGAAACTGACAACTTATGCACATAAATAAGGGAGCAGCATCATTAGTAATAGCAGCAGGTCTAAGCCTAACCTTGTGAACTTGGCCAAGACATTTCAATTATCTGGGCTTTTGTTTCACAACGATAAAAGGACAGGGTTGGACTAGATGATCTGTAAGTTTTCTTCTAGCTCAAACTAACTAAGATCTTTTAACCAGTCAACAAAGACTCCTTTAATACCCATGCTACGCAAAATACTCTTCTAGGAAAAAAATGCCCAGGAATAATCCAAGAGATTTCAAAGATAAATTAAAACCAATAACTTTTCTAAAATACTTTGTCCTGGTTATATTTTGAAATATAAAAGCAGGCCATTGGGGAAAAGCATAGGGAGATGTGAAAACCAGATTTCACAAGAAAAGTCATTTGGGAAAATCAAAAATTGAGTTAGCTTCTGGTATGCATCTTGTGGAGATCATTCTGACCTTCCAAACTGCTTGTGTAACAAACTTGGATTTAACATTTGGTGTTGGCTTTTACAATCTACCTAATGAGAAATATCTTTAAAAAGAGTAAGAACATGCTGACTAAAAACATTCAGAAAAGACGTCGGAGAGAAAGTGAAAGAAAGAAGGAATATAAATATACTATTGTCATTTAAACAAGCTACTAGTACTTCATGTGAATGTATAGACAACTCAAAGCAATTCTAGGCATGTGTGCATACATACATACACAAACACACACACACAGCTAAGGGAACCAACCCATCAACAAACATAAATTGTATATAAATACTAGATACTAAAGAAAATTAGACATATAAAAACACTGCTTTCTCTCAAAGGCAATTACAAGATCCTGCATGATATAAGGCCAAATATCTTTTCAACATAACATGTCCAATTTAAAATCATACCTTTACTCCTTGAATCTGCTCTTCTTCATTGGGCCTATTTTGAAAAATTTTATCTCAATCCATCATATTTTCTACACAAACCAAAAAACACAAAAGCTTTTCTTGATTCCTGCTCTCTCGCTTCCTAAGTCCAAGGAGTTATCAGGCCTTATTGTCCCAAATGACCCCCATCAAGTCCAAAAGAGGGCATGGGGAAACCTCTGGAAGGAAGAGTACATTTGTCAGGATAGATCAGGCTCTGCTTCAAGAACAAATAATTCCAGTAATAGCAGTAGCTTAGCACAACAAACATTTACTTCTTGTTCAATTACAGTCTGATATAGATTGGTTCTACTCAGTGGTTCTTCTAAGCTATGAGTCAAAGATTCAAGTTGCTTCTGCTTTTTAGCTACAAAATAAACAATCCTGTCTTCCAAATTCAACATAAAAAAGAGAAGGAGGGGTACAGAATATGTCAGAAATTTTTTAGAGCTCAAGGTTTTTTACTCACATTCCATTGGCCAAAATTCCATCACATAAAACTCAGTCCTAACCTAACCTCAAGGAGGCTGAGAAATATTGTCTTCCGGAGTATCCAGGAAGAGGAAATGATGTGGTAAAACAGGGCATTGTCTCTGCCACAAGGGCTGTTACGTAAATTAGATTATTTACTCTACCTAAAGAGATTTTTCAGGTACTAAAATCTACAAACTCTCAGGTTTATCTACCTAACTGACAAAATCCTTTCATAATTAAACTCTTTCTATAATTGTTTTGGTTTTATCCTCTAAGAAAATAAAAATTTAGAGATCTGTATCTTTATTTTCACCTACCACATTCTGGGACAGAAGATTTTTGCTCAATGTAGTACTGCGTCATCTAATAATTTACCTTTAGCTTTCCCACACATGTCCTTAATTTTAATTGAATAAAATGCTTTATTATTTATCTAAATTTTCCCACTTCCTGCACATTCCTCTGAAACTGCAGAAATACTAACAAGACCTGGTCTCAGATGGGGTGTGTGACCATGAGAAGAATTTAGAAGATTTTCAAAACACACACCAAAATTTATTGACCTATATCGAGGTTTACCAGGTTTGCCTTTCAGCTATAATTTAGATGAAATTTCCTGAGCCCTCTTAACAGTTTGGCTGTTCAGCCTTATTTAGCCAACCAACCCTCAGTCATCTTTTAGGATTAATCCTAGACATTACTTTTCTCTGGACAACTTTCCTGGCCTTCAAAGTCTGGTTGGATGTTCCATTTATGTGAATTCAAAATACACTGTATCACATATCTTTCTCATAGCACTTAACACACATTATTATAAGCATTTTTTTAAATGTCAGTATTCTTCAATGAACCACTGACCCAAAGATTCACATATTTTTTCCTTTCCAGTATGCCAGACTCTTTGTCCAGAATCTACATCTTGGAACTTACTGAGAATGAAATATATTATCATTAGATTAATTGAAACAAAGACATTTACCATAACTGCAGGTGGGGAGGATTCACTGGGGCATATTCTCAACTTCTCTTCTTCTAAAAGCAATTTTCTTGCCTTTTCTTAAAGTTTAGAAAATTCAGTGGTGGCGGTTCTAGTCATCATGTCACTTGTTTTCTTTCATCTAGCATATTAAAGCTCTAAAAATTCCCAACTCTATTTTGAGCCAGTTAAGCACTGGATTGCAAACAACACAGCCTCCCCACCCTAATTTTAAAATGCATTCCTAGCATAGTGGTCATTGCCACTGCCTCTGACAGATACTGATATTTGTTTGGGGTTTGTTCGTTTAGTATGTTTTAGTTTGGGGCACAGTTAATGATGCCCTCTCAGGTCTAATAGGTTACCACTTGTCTCCAAGACACTTGACAACTTGCTCATGGAGTGCTCTAGATGCCACTGCCATCCCCGAAACCTCCTTATCTGCTAGCATAGCCTCCACTGTGTCTGCCACGGCTGAGCCAGAGGCGCTCCGGTGGACAGACCCCATTACTGGAACCTGCGTGTATTAGTCTGTTCTCACACTGCTATTAAAGACATACCTGAGACTGGGTAATTTATAAAGGAAAGAGGTTTAATTGACTCAGTTCAGCATGGCTGGGGAGGCCTCAGGAAACTTACGACCATGGCAGAAGGGGAAGCAAACATGTCCTTCTTCACATGGCGGCAGGAGAGAGAAGTGCTGAGCAAACAGGGAAATGTTCCTTATAAACCATCAGATCTCATGAGAACTCATTCACTACCACAGGAACAGCATAGGGGTAACTGCCTCTGTGATTTCATTACCTCCCACTGAGTACCTCCCACGACATGTGGAGATTATTACAACTCCAGGTGAGATTTGGGTGGGGAAACAGAGCCAAACCATATCAATTTGCCCTTGGCCCCTGCCAAATCTCATGTCCTCACATTTCAAAACGCAATCGTGCCCCTCCAACAGTCCCCCAAAGTCTTAGGTCATTCCAGCATTAATCCAAAAGTCCAAGTCCAAAGTCTCTTCTGAGACAAGGTAAGTCCCTTCCACCTATGAGCCTGTAAAATCAAAAGTAGGTTAGTGACTTCCTAGATACAATGGGGGCATAGGCATTGGGTAAATACACCCATTCTACATGGGAGAAATTGGCCAAAACAAGGGGGTTAGAGGCCCCATGCAAGTCTGAAACTCCACAGGGCAGTCATTAAACCTTAAAGTTCCAAAATTATCTCTTTTGACTCCATGACTCACATCCACGTCACACTGATACAAAAGGTGGTCTCCCACAACATGGCCTTGGGCAGCTCTGCCCTGTGGCTTTGCAAAGCTCAACCCCCCTAACAGCTGCTTTCATGGGCTGCCACTGAGTGCCTGTGGCTTTTCCAGGCACACAGTGCAAGCTGTATGTAGACCTCCCATTCTGGGGTCTGCAGGATGGTGGCCTTCTTCTCACAGCTCCACAAGGCAGTGCCCCAGTGAGGACTCTGTGTTAGGGCTCTGACCCCACATTTTCCTTCCACACTGCTGTAGCAGAGGTTCTCCATGAGGACTCTGCCTCTGCGCAGACTTCTGCCTAGACATCCAGGCATTTCCATACATCCTCTGAAGTCTAGACAGAGGTTTCCAAACCTCAGTTCTTGACTTCTGTGTACCCACAGGACCAACACCACATGGAAGCTGCCAAGGCTTGGGGCTTGGGGTTTGCACTCGCTGAAGCAATGTCCTGAGCTGTATGTTGGCCCCTTTTAGCCACAGCTGGAGCTGAAGCAGCTGGGATGCAGAGCACCATGTTTCAAGGCTGCAGGGGTCCCTGGGCCCAGGCTACACAACCATTTTTCCTTCTTAGGCCTCCAGGCCTGTGACAGGTGGGGCTGCTGTGAAGGTCTCTGACAAGCCCTGGAGACATTTTCCCCCATTGTCTTGGTGATCAATATTTGACTCCTTGATACTTATACAACTTTCTGCAGGTGGCTTGCAATTCTCCCCAGAAAATGGGGTTTTCTTTTCTATCACATTGTTAGGCTGCAAATTTTCCAAATTTTATGCTCTGCTTCCTCTTGAATGCTCTGGCACTTAGAAATTTCTTCTGCCAGATTCCCTAAATAATCTCTCTCAAATTCCAAGTTCCACAGATCTCTAGGGCAGGGGTAGAATGCGGCCAGTCTCTTTCCATAGCAAGAGTGACCTGTAATCCAGTTCCCAACAAGTTCCTCATCTCCATCTGAGGCCACCTCAGCCTAGACTTCATTGTCCACATCATTATCTGCATGTTGGTCAAAGCCATTCAACAAGTCTCTAGGAAGTTCCAAACTTTCCCATATCTCCCTGTCTTCTGAGATCTCCAAGTCTCTAGGAAGTCTCAAACTTTCCCACATCTTCCTGTCTTCTTCTGAGCCCTCCAAACTGTTCCAATCTCTGCCTGTTACCCACTTCCAAAGTCACTTCCACGTTTTCGGGTATCTTTACAGCAGCACCCCACTAGCCAGTACCAATTTACTGTAATAGTCCATTCTCACACTGCTATGAAGAAATACCTGAGACTGGGTAATTTATAAAGAAGTTTAATTGACTCACAGTTCACATGGCTGGGGAGGCCTCAGGAAACTTACAAACATGGCAGAAGGCAAAGGAGAAGCAAGTACCTTCTTCACATGGTGGCAGGATGGAATGAGTACAACGAGGGTAAATGCCAGATGTTTAACAAACCATCAGATCTTGTGAGACTCACTCATTATCACAAGAACAGCATGTGGGAAACTACTCCCATGATCCAATTACCTCCCATGGGGTCCCTCCCATGACACAGGACTGTGATGATTACAACTCAAGATGAGATTTGGGTGAGGACACAGCAAAACCATGTCACTGCCTGAACCCACAAAAGTGCTGGTTTCTTCTATCACTTTTATATTTGGTTGAAGTGCTAAACTACAGGGCATGGAGTCCAGCTTCCCCAGGGACTATCTCTTTTGAGGGGCTAGGTGATATAAACTGGAAGTGTGAGGGAATAAACTCCCTACAATGAGAATTTTAACTACTGAGTAACAGGTGGTGGAAAGGTGCTGGCAAAGAAATCTGTCTTCCCACGTCCTTCCAGTTATGTCCCACATGGTTGAGCAACCACTCATGATTTGTTATGAACACATGGCCAATTCAGTAACATGCCACCTTATATATGCTTACCTTCTTTTCCTCTTTACCCTCTTTTCCTCATTGCCCTCTTTTTCCTCTCTCCCTGCCCTGAGATTATAAGTCCCAATAAAGTATTTGCATGACACTTTGGCTCAGGTAAAGGAAGTAAGACTGTTTAAACTGGAGAAAGAGACATCCTTAAAGTAAAGATCTTGGAGGACAGGCGAACTGGTATGAAAAGTAAAGGGGATACAGCCAAGTCTAACTTCTCTTTGAGAAAATTTTTTTTAGTATTTTTTATTATTTGTATTTTTAGTTGTGGTAAAATATACATAACATAAAATGTACCATCTTTACCACTTTTAGGTGTACACTTCAGTACTGTTAAGTACATTCACACTGTTCTACAACCAGTCTCCAAAACTCTTTTTATCTTGAAAACTAAAACTCTACACCCATTAAACAACTCCCCATTCATCCCTTTCCTGAGGCCCTATCCACCACCATTCCACTTTCTATCTCTATGAATATGACTACTTCATGTACCTCATGTAAATAGAATCATACAGTATTTGTCTTTTTATGACTGGCTTATTTCACTTAGCATGTCACCAATGTTCATGCAAGTCATAGCAAATGTCAGAATTTCTTTCCTTTTTAAGGCTGAATACTATTCTGTTGTACATGCATACTACATATTGTTTATCTGTCAATGAACACTGGATTACTTCTACCTTTTGGCTACTGTGAATAATGCTGCTATGAATATGGGTGTAAAAATATCTCTTCGAGCTGGGCGCGGTGGCTCATGTCTGTAATCCCAGCACTTTGGGAGGCCAAGGTGGGTGGATCACGAGGTCAGGAGTTCAACACCAACCTGGCCAAGATGGTGAAACCTCAACTCTACTAAAAATACAAAAAAATTAGCCGGGCATGGTGGTGGACGCCTGCAATCCCAGCTACTCAGGAGGCTGAGGCAGAGAATTGCTTGAACCCAAGAGGCGGAAGTTGCAGTAGGCCGAGATCACGCCACTGCACACCAGCCTGGGTGACAGAGTGACACTCCATCTCAAAAAATAATAATAATAATAATATCTTCGAGACCTTGTTTTCAATTCTTTGGAACATATATCCAAAAGTAGAATTGCTGGATCATATGGTAATACTATTTTGAATTTTTTGAGAAACCAGCATACTGTTGCCCATACTGGCTATACCATTTTATATTTCCATCAACAGCATGCAAGGGTTCCAGTTTCTCCACATCCTTGCCAACAGTGGTTATGTTCTGTTTTTTTGATAGTAGCCATTCTACTGGGTGTGGTGTGGTATCTCATTGTGTTTTCGATTTACATTTCCCTGACAAACATCTGTAAAAGGAATTTTTTTTAATTATTAGTAGATTAAAAGAGGTAACCTGCCCAAGAAGTCTCACAGAGAAAAAGAGAGATGATAAAGTTTAGACCTTCGTATTTCTCTCCTTGGCCTCCTCCATAGTGAATGCAATTCCAAACAAGATAAAGAGTAACAGAATTTTCTCAGGTGGGCCTTATGCTAACTGCTAATACCTAATACAATTTAGAGACCATGTCTCATTCATTGTAACATTGTGGAACACAGTCTCAGTTTTTGTAGTTTAAAGCCCAGGCCTACAATCCTGGCAGAATATATTGTGTAAGAGAGCCATTAGACAACCGCTAATACTTTAAAAGTCTGCATTATAAAGCACAACTCCACAAGACAAATCTATGCCTTCTTTGGACCAGTGAAAATCCAGATACAAAAGCAAAACATAAGCCCTTGCCAATCACTAAGGTCAAATACCCAAGAGAGCTTGGCCTACAAAATTATCAAAGCCTATAGCTATTGCCCTAGCTACTGTGGAAGGCTCAACTTCTCCTAGATTTCAGCCTGCAAACATCAGCACTTGGGACTATTTCTTAAGGTTCCCAGTCCATGCGCCAATATGTTGAAGTTTATAGTGGAAGGCAATAAATAACACTCCTCTCTTCTCTCAAATTCTGATCCATTTGAGAAATAATTCCAGAACTGACAAAAATTTAAAAAGCTGTTTTACTACATAGAAAATGCCTTCTTCCTTCTCAGTTTTTGTGCTCCACCCCCTGAATTGAACACATACACTCTGCCTTAAGCAAAGCTGCACAATACAACCACAACCTCTACCTGTCAGAGAACTTGTGTGTCCTGGGATCAAGTCTCTTCAACAGGGGGTGAAATAAAACAAGGATAAGTGCCCTCTTCCCTTTACTTGTGTAAAAACAGAAATTCCTACTTTATATTCTAAAAGAGATACAGTAGGAGTAGAGTTCTTTCTGTCTTCTTACAGCCACAGCTATAGCTCACAGTCCTGTTGTAGTTGAGATTTTCTGAGTCTTGCCATCCCTCAGGGCTATAACTGACTAAGCCAGTTATCAATCTATTTAACTCTTAAATACCACTAATTTCTATAGCATTTCTATTACCCACGTTTCTGGACCAAGTGACAGGAATCAAATATTAGACAATGTAGAAATGGGATACTGGGCTCCATCTCAATGACACAGGCCAAGCCTGCATCTAGTATTAGCATCACTAGTCCTCTTCTTCCTTGTGGCTGGGCAAATCCTTATTTGGGAGGAATTCGGGGGCATGAGAGGAGTGGACTCTTACCCTATGTGTCATTCATGAAATAAAACCAGTGATCTCCTATAATCCCAGCACTTTGGGAGACCAAGGAGGGCAGATCACCTGAGGTCAGGAATTCAAGACCAGCCTGGGCAACATGGTGAAACCCTGTCTCTACTAAACATACAAAAATTAGCCAGGCATGGTGGTGTGTGCCTGTAATCCCAGCTACTTGGGAGGCTGAGGCAGGAGAATCGCTTGAACCCGGGAGGCAGAGGTTGCAGTGAGCCGAGATCGCATCACTGCACTCCAGCTTGGGTGACAAGAGGGAGACTCCATCTTAAAACAAACAAACAAACAAACAAACAAACAAGCAACATCTAGGTGCCTGGTACAACATCTGTGTCCAACATGTTGGTTTCCTTCCATCTAACAACAACAGAGATTGCTCTAGAGCTGGAGACACTGGAGTTGCATTCACTAGTTATCCTCAAAACACCCCACAATAAAATTATCTTCATAGAAGCTCCCTCATGTAATAAGGGGTTCTGGTATTTTAGCTGACGGAATAGTAAAGTAAAAATTTTAATGTGATTAAATATCTGGCTTTTCTTTTCAACGCAAAAAATTCTTGACCAAGAAATAATACCAATTCTACACAAATTCTCCAATAATATAGATGGGAACACTTTATTTTATTTTATTTTATTTTATTTTATTATTATTATACTTTAAGTTTTAGGGTACATGTGCACAATGTGCAGGTTAGTTACATATGTATACATGTGCCATGCTGGTGTGCTGCACCCATTAACTCGTCATTTAGCATTAGGTATATCTCCTAAAGCTATCCGTCCCCCGTCCCCCCACCCCACAACAGTCCCCAGAGTGTGATGTTCCCCTTCCTGTGTCCATGTGTTCTCATTGTTCAATTCCCACCTATGAGTGAGAGCAAATCAATAAATGTAATCCAGCATATAAACAGAACCAAAGACAAAAACCACATGATTATCTCAATAGATGCAGAAAAGGCCTTTGACAAAATTCAACAACTCTTCATGCTAAAAACTCTCAATAAATTAGGTATTGATGGGACATATCTCAAAATAATAAGAGCTATCTATGACAAACCCACAGCCAATATCATACTGAATGGGCAAAAACTGGAAGCATTCCCTTTGAAAACTGGCACAAGACAGGGATGCCCTGTCTCACCACTCCTATTCAACATAGTGTTGGAAGTTCTGGCCAGGGCAATTAGGCAGGAGAAGGAAATAAAGGGTATTCAATTAGGAAAAGAGGAAGTCAAATTATCCCTGTTTGCAGATGACATGATTGTATATCTAGAAAACCCCATCGTCTCAGCCCAAAATCTCCTTAAGCTGATAAGCAGCTTCAGCAAAGTCTCAGGATACAAAATCAATGTACAAAAATCACAAGGATTCTTATACACCAATAACAGACAAACAGAGAGCCAAATCATGAGTGGACTCCCATTCACAATTGCTTCAAAGAGAATAAAATACCTAGGAATCCAACTTACAAGGGACGTGAAGGACCTCTTCAAGGAGAACTACAAACCACTGCTCAAGGAAATAAAAGAGGATACAAACAAATGGAAGAACATTCCATGCTCATGGATAGGAAGAATCAATATCGTGAAAATGGCCATACTGCCCAAGGTAATTTATAGATTCAATGCCATCCCTATCAAGCTACCAATGACTTTCTTCATAGATTTGGAAAAAACTACTTTAAAGTTCATATGGAACCGAAAAAGAGCCTGCAACGCCAAGTCAAACCTAAGCCAAAAGAACAAAGCTGGAGGCATCACGCTACCTGAATTCAAACTATACTACAAGGCTACGGTAACCAAAACAGCATGGTACTGGTACCAAAACAGAGATATAGATCAATGGAACAGAACAGAGCCCTCAGAAATAATGCTACATATCTACAACTATCTGATCTTTGACAAACCTGAGAGAAACAAGCAATGGGGAAAGGATTCCCTATTTAATAAATGGTGCTGGGAAAACTGGCTAGCCACATGTGGAAAGCTGAAACTGGATCCCTTCCTTACACCTTATACAAAAATTAATTCGAGATGGATTAAAGACTTAAACGTTAGACCTAAAACCATAAAAACCCTAGAAGAAAACCTAGGCATTACCATTCAGGACATAGGCTTGGGCAAGGACTTCACGTCTAAAACATCAAAAGCAATGGCAACAAAAGCCAAAATTGACAAATGGGATCTAATTAAACTAAAGAGATTCTGCACAGCAAAAGAAACTACCATCAGAGTGAACAGGAACACTTTTCAATGAATTTTATGAGGCTGGCATTACCTCCATGCCAAAACCATGCCAAGAAAGAGAGAAAATTATAGACCAATATCTCTCACAAACATAGATGCAAAAATTCTTACAAAGTACTAGCAAATAAAATTCAATAGCCTATAAAAAGTATAGCACATCATGACCAGGTGGAGTTGGTCCCAAAAATGCTAAGCAGTTTCAATATTCAAATATCAGTTAGCGTAATTCATCATATCAACAGAATACAAAGGAAAAAAACAAATGATCATATCAATAGACACAAAGAAAGCCTTTGACATAATCTGACATTCATTTATGATTAAAGACTCCCAGAAAACTAGGAATAAAAGAAAATTTCCACAACCATGTAAAGGGCACCATCAGAAGAGTTACGATAATATCAAATGATGAAAAACTGAATGCTTTTCCCCAAGACCAGAATCAAGGCAAAGATGTTCTCAGTATTTCTATTCAACAATATACTGAAAGTCTAAGCCAGTGCAACAAGGCAAGACTTGATTCATAGGTAACATGATTGCCAAAAGAGAAAATCTCAAAAACATACTTTAGAAACCTACTAGGACTAATAAGTGAT
The DNA here is from genome assembly GCF_000001405.40 of Homo sapiens. Lineage (NCBI taxonomy): Eukaryota > Metazoa > Chordata > Mammalia > Primates > Hominidae > Homo > Homo sapiens. The sequence continues at coordinate 189,111,725 of NC_000003.12, read as the reverse complement.
TTTAGCAAAGGTAGAGGATACACGGGCAATCATGTTACTGTATACAAATGCTTCTCAAATTACGATGAAGTTACATCCTGAAATGTCTATTTTAATAAAAAATATCATAAGTTGAAAATTCATTTAATGCTGGCAACATAGCAGATGGTCCCTGGCTAACAATTATTAGACAAGATTTGTTTATATTATGATGGTGTGAAAGCAATATACATTCAGTAGAAATTATAACCCTATCATAAATAAGAAGCCCCTCCATTTATGATGAGGCTAAATCCTGATAAACCCAACATAAAGTTGAAAAATTATAAGTTGGACCATTATAAGTAGGGGATCATCTATACTAGCAATGAACACTTGAAAATTAAAATTTTAAAACCATAATTTACAATAGCAACAAAAAGCCTGAAATATTTATGTACAAATCTTGCAAAATATCTCTAAGACCTTTATACTGAGAACTACAAAATACTGACAAAAGAAATCAAAGAAGACCTAAATAAAAGGAGATATATACTATGTTCATGGATCAGATGACTCAACATTATTAATATGTTAATTTCCCCCAAATTAACCTACAGATTCAATGCAATTCTAGTAAGATTTTTTTTGTTTGTTTGTTTTTTTAGAAATTGCCAAGCTGATTCTAAAATTTCCAAGGAAAGGCAGAGAAAAAAGAATAGCTGGAATATTTTTCAAAGCAAAAACAAATTTGGAAGACTCATACTACTTAACTTCCAGGCTTACTTAAAGCTGTAATAGTCAAACCAGTTGGTATTAAAGAAAGGTTTTATATATCTATTATATAATATAAATATATATGAACACAGTGGAGACTCCAAAAGCAGATCCACATGTGGAAAACCAAGTTTCAATAAAGGTACAAAAGCAATTCAGTAAAGAAAGGGTAGTCTTTTCAACAAATATTTCTGGAACAATGAATGCCCATTTGCACAAAGCAAAACAAAATACCTAGATACAGACTTTGTACCTTATAAAAACTTAACTGAAATTGGATCACAAACCTAGAATTATCAAACTTTTGTGTAAAAACTAGAAAACTTCCAGAAGAAAAAGCAGAATTAAAAAAATACCAAAAAACTTTGTAACTGTGGAATAAGCAAAGAGTTCTTAGATAGGACATCAAAAGTCTAAGCCAAATTTTTTTTTACATATTTTACCTAATCAAATATAAAAACTTTTGCTCTTCAAAAGATACCAGTAGGAAGATAATACAAAGCACAAACTGAGAGAAAATTTTTCCAAATGATATGTTTGATATGGACTTGTAACCAGAATAGAAAAAGAAGTCTAAAAACCCAACATTTACAAACCAATTTAAAAGTGGACAAAACATTTGAACAGATAATGTATCATAAATATAAATGGCAAATAAGCCATGAAAATTAAAGTCACAATGAGATACTGTTATGCACTTAACATAACGAATTTATTTAAACTGGCAATATAAGGTGGAGTAACTAGAACTCCTCATACATTGTTGATGAGAATGCAAACTTACAGCCACCTTGAAAATCTATTTGGCAGAATCTTACCAAGTTAAACATATACTACACAATGCAGCAATCCCACTTGTAGTTTCTACCGAAGTTAAATGAAAACCTATATTCACACAAAATCCTGTATGCTAATGTTTATAGCAGCTTTATTTGCAACCACAAAAGCTGGACACAACTGTGGTACATACATACAATTAAATACTACTCAGGAATAAAAAGGAGCAAACTGCTGATACATGCAACATGAATGAATTACAAATGCATTATTCAAAGAAAAATAAGATTCATAGGGCTTAATAGTTTATGATTCAATTTCTGACATTCTTGCAAAAGGGGCAAAAGCAAATCAATGGTTGCCAGGAGAGAGGGATTAACTACAAAGGAGCACTGGAGAATTTAGGGGAGTGAGAGAAATGTTCTACATGTTGATTGTGGTGGTTGTTACAAGACTGGGTGTTTGCAAAAACTCATAGAATTGTGTACTAAAAGGGAATGTCTGTAAATTTTACCTTAATTTTTTTAGGTGGGGAAAAAAGAAAAATAGTTATTGATTGTAAGCAAGTGTGCCTCTCAGTAAACACACTTAAATGTATTATACGTTCATTTTCTATAATTCATTGTAATACTTTTTCCTGAGTTTCTATTCTGCTGGACTGGTGGATGAACTTATCTTCAGTTCTTCCTGAGAATTATCTTTTGTCTCTGCTTCTCCAAAATTTATGCCATTAACTGTGCAGTAGCAAGGTGGGAGCAGAGGTTGCCAGGGATCAGTACTCAGGTTCACACACGTTGCTGCATCCCTTGTCCCAGGACATATGAGCGATTACATCTGGTAACTCCAGGTAACTCCCATTGTTTCCACGTCACTCTTACAAGGCTACTGTGTGTCAATTAACACCGCACCACACGCACTAGACAGTCGTTTCCTCTTTAGGATCTTGCTGATGGTCCATCAGCACTGCTGTAAAGCAAAGGCAGAATCCTTCCTCCGGACGACAGAAATCTTTCATTGATCCATTTCATTCATCCCTTCCTCCTCTTCTCCTTCCCTCTCTCTCTGCTCTGTCTCCCACACAGCCCAGAGGAATACTCTGCTCTCTCCTCTGCTTGTTTCTGACCAAAATACTTTGTCTATACCCTTAAATACCAACTTTTACCTTCTCCGCAAAACTCTCTAAGTTCCCCTGAGGGCTTAGGCTTCTTCATGACAAATGTCAGAAAGACAAGCAGGCTATTTCTGAGTTCAGCCCTTTTCCTGCCTCCCCTGAGGCAATCAAGCACAGAGTTAACTACAGGGGTGCAGGAGAGCAAAGCAAGATGGAAACACCGCTAGGAAAAACAGATTGGTGTCTTCAAATGCAGCTCCACCTCACCTGCTTAAAAGTTTTTTAAAGGCGCTACCTTTATTGCACTCTCTTTTACAGGAAGATAGAAATACTTGAGCAAGCTATCCTATTTCATAAGGTACCATAAATGTTGGTTATTGATTTGATATTGTTGAAATTATTTTATGTTATAAAATTATGCTATTCTTCAGAAAGCAGAAACAAAGAATTTTTAGTATATGGAATAATGTGTGAACTAAGTGAAAAAGAATGCACATAAAAATCTTACTAAGAAAAGCTGTGGGTCTATCAGCATTCCGTACAGTTGTTCCGAGGCGAAAAAAAAAAAAACACGTTCTAAAAAATAAAATTTATGGAAACTGTGCTGCCAAATGTTAAGTAAAAAATAATCAGAGAAAAAGTAATTAATTCACATACTACACATTTTCCTTTTTTCATCCTCTGTCATGGCAATTATGTACTTTTTAGTGGGACATCTGGAAACCTAAGTTCACTTAAAACATTTTCTTTCTAGCAAGCAGCTAGCCAGGAATCTCCATGTTCTATAAGTTGCTGTCAGCTTGCCCCTGCTTCCAGCTCCAAATGAAGTCAGCCTGCCTTGCTTCCAGACAGTCTAAACAATCGCAGATTGACTCCAATTGCAGAGCACACTCTCCAGATGTCCAGGATTCAAGGAAGCTTGGGCATACTGTACAGATATAAATAAAGCCCCATATTTGCTGGTGAGTTAAAGGAACCATACATAATTGGATAGGCAACCAACCTGGTTTATCCCTGAGGGCATATAGTTAAAGTGAAGTGGCGACCTCCCCATTAGACAAAGTATCCAAGTAGCAAATAGATGACCTTGGATGGCATATGCACAGGGAATTCAAAGAGTTGGTTTAAACGGCCTATAAAATCTCTTGTTACGATACAACCTTATGATTCTATGCAATTTTTTTTCAAGGAAGTGAGAAAAAATACTACATTATAAGAAATTTCTCTTCCATAATGAATCAAAGCCTGGATGATTCCATAGAGAGATAAAAATAAATGATACCATATTTAAGAATTCTATACCCTGAGAGATAAATCAGAGAGATAGGCTACAAGGTAAATAATGCTTTTAAAATTATGTATCAATTTAGTAAAAAACTTACAGGGATATGCACATTTTTTCATTTAAAGCAGGTTAGTGCTAATGTGACTGTAATAGGATCTTATGATTTTCTGAATGCAGGTGAATGAACAACAGACACTACCAATTTGAAATGATATGAAAAGATTGATATGATTCAATAGGAAAACAAAAAGGCTAAGGGGTGAAATTTCTGTAAGGGAATAATGCTGTATTGCTTTTTTGTCCATACGTTATTGTAAAGGTTTGATTAGTAAAATGAGGTAAATGAATAGGAAAGAAGACAATTTGTGTTAGACATGTATGAAGCAAAAGGTATTTTAGAAAGAATTTTTACTTTTTTAAGCCACTCTTTGGACAAAAACTAATATTTTAATTTTGACTAATTTCTCTCACAAGAACATATATAAACGTGTTCAGATGCAAAAAACTGTTTTCTGCCTTTAAGCAAGATATATTGCATATAGGCTGCCTGAGGTCCTGAAGGCACCCCCAAAAATGGGATTAAGTGAGATCTCCCCTTCACATTCCCCTATATAATAGGTCACCTAAAGAAAAGAAGTCATAAAAGTCAGGGTATTGCAGGAGGTAAATGGGAAATATCTGTACCTTCAGCTCCATTTTGCTGTGAACCTAAAACAGCTCTAAACAGTAAAATTCTGTTTAAAAAGTCAGGGTATTGTATTTTAACCAGAACCTTCCAAAAAAAACAAATGCTATTTTTTCCAAGATTAAAAAAAAAATCACATTATGTGCACTTAAATTATCTTTTAAGAGACTAATATTATTTTTTAAATTACTAAAGGAGAGAACACTAGTCTAAGAGTAAACATGTAGTCTCGGCTCTGACTGCAGCTTCACACATCACCAGGTATGTGAATTTGTGTTAGTCTTTTCATTTTTCTGGGCCCTAGGTTCATCAGATGGAAATTGGGACAGTAATAATTAGTCTTATCTACCTAAAACTACAGAAACATGAAAATTCTTTGAAAAACACAAGGTCATATACAAATGTAAGCAAAGAAGAAGAAAAACAGTGTGTGACAATCATTTATTACATTTATTACAAATGTAATAGTCATTTATTCATTCATGCAATCATCCAGGAAACATTATGTGAACAACCAACACAAACCAGCCTCTCTGCCAGGCACTGGGGATTCCACAGTAAACAAGGCAGACAGAATTGCTTCCCAAAATTAATAGTCTAATGGAAAAGACAGACACTAAATAATCATATCACTAAATATACCATTAAAATTTGTATATTTGCCATAAGAAAAATTTAAAGGCAGGTTACAAAATTATGATGGGTGACCCAATTTAGATTAGGACTGGGGTCGGGGGCAACAAGATAATTAAGAAAAAGCTTTTCAGAGATTTGAAGTATGAAAAGTTGGCAGACCAAAATTTGGAGGGTTGGGGTTGCAGACAATATTCCCAGGGTGGGGGAAGGGGGAAAGCACATTCAAAGGCTTTGAAGTAACTGGACATCTTCAAGGTACTAGAAGGCCAGAATGACTGTTACTGTTTTTCATTTATGTGGTCATCATAATGATCTCATACTGCTTTTAAGAATAAACCAAAACAATTGTGAATATCGACACACTAGTTTTTTTGTTTTGTTTTGTTTTGTTTCTGGTAGAACAGTGTCTTTGTTTTTCAGTGTTTTTGTTGTTGTTGTTGTTGAATTTTCAGTTCCTAGGTACATGTGCAGGATGTGCAGGTTTGTTACATAGGTAAACATGTATCATGGTGGTTTGCTGCACCTGTCAACCCATCGCCTAGGTATTAACCCCAGCATGCATTAGCTATTTTTCCTGATACTTTCCCTCCCCAAACCCAACATGCCCCAGTGGACACACTAGGTTTTACTTAGGCTGAATTTCCTGTCTTCAAAAAATGTTTCCAATTTAGAAAGTCTCTATATCCAAAGTAAGCTTCTAATCTCTATATACTTAGTAATTATTATGTCGGAAGGACATTTTTGACACCCTCTATTCCGTAGGCTTCAAAGAAAATCAGCTTGCTAAATTTAAGAATTTAAAACAGTAAAACTGGTAGACCAGAATATATCCTGAGAAAAAGCAAAGTAGACTCAAAACCAGCAGTTGAAGTTCCCAAGGTTGTTGGGGATAGAAAAGGGAAAATGAGGGAGATGCTATCTTGACCCCACATACCTACCACATACCTACTCAAACTCATATGTAGAAGAGGAACTTAGATTCTCTCTAATGGATATGAGAGAGGCTCATTATGGTAAGTTAGCAGGGGGGCAAAGTGTGCCTCAATGCATGAAAAAGAGCTAATAGTGGGAGATGTCTAATATGGTAGGGTGGAGAAATGGATATTCCTCTGGAAGTCAATTCAGAAGCCATAAATTTCAGTACAGATTACATTCCATCTGAGGGCCATATAGAGAAGATTCAGGTGCTTTTCAGGACCAACATCATGAGTAAGCTTTAGAGTTTCTTCTAGCACTGAGACATACCATTGAAAAAAGCCTCCTTAACGAAAGATTTAGGACACTATTCTCAGTAAAATCAAGTCTCATCTCCCCAAATTATCGATCAATTAGAAATTCTGATCAGGAGTGGGATGTCCTTAATAACACCAACATCAGAGAGTTGTAGAGAGCTTTGTAAACTATAAACGGTTTCTACAAACCACTGAGCCATGAAAAGAAATTTTATTGGAAATCTTTAGCATTTCTCAGTATGAGTTTAGAAGAAAGAGTTTGGTTAGGGAATTAGAGTAGAAGGACCCAGGTACCTGGCTTGTGCCAAAGTGTTCTGTATCAGGTCTTGGAAAAACTTGAATTATGATTTTTCAAAGCTGATGGGGATGGGTCAGTAAAATTATGGAGCCAGAGGAGACCCTGAAGGTTGAGGAGTTATGCAGATGAAGGTAACAGGGCAGAGGAAGGCATTTTAAATATGAGACAAAGAGCAATACTGTCCAAAGGAAGGAGGCACATCCAAGAAAATGCACACATTAATAGTTCAGGTGGGTATATGTTGTGTGAGCTAGTCTGGTTAACAGGGAAGCTAAAGCTTAACTCGTGAAACAGTAGACATTGATCTAGTAGACCGAGGGTTCTTAATCTCCAGTTTCTGTTCGTCTTCTGAACAAGTAAATATAGTCTCTTATAGGTACAAATCGGGGCTTTCTTCTGACACCCTACAGTTTCCCTTAGGGAATGCGCCAACTCAGACTGAGCCAAGTGAGAGTCCTGGGCTAATATTTATGTTGACTTAAGTCTGATTAGAAGACAAGATGGGACATAGAGTTTGATTAAAATTTTATTGGATAATCATGCTGATTGAATTTTAAAAGATAATCTGCTGTAATAAATTCTCCCTTAATTTCCCTTTGCAATTCCAACCCAGATGAGTGCTAGGATATTTAGGTTGCATTTACTGAATATCTACGCCTGTCAAGCACTGTGGTTAGTGCTCTATCGTCAGTACAAGCCTGTGAGGTAGATGCTATTCTCATCTCACAGAAGAGGCTCAAAGAGGTTAATTTCTTTCTTTATTTATTGAGTCAACATACATCAGTTAAGCACCTCCTAAGTGCTACTGTTGGGGGGCATCTACCAGGAGCTACCATGGGGACACCTACTGCCTTGTCTATGTAGCTCTCCCTTATTCTGGGAACAGTACCTCTTTCGTTCTTGGCTCATCCTCTATCTTTAGTCTATCCATAAGTATCACTAACATTTCTGTTTTCTCACCTAACCCCTCTTCCTTGACCACATCAATGGTAAACTGACTTAGTATTTTGGAATATGGGACTAAGACAAAGTCAGGATAAAGGCTCATCAATGACTGAAAACTATAAAATGAAAAACTCAGGAACTGTGATGGGCCGTGATTTTTGCCAGCTAGAGGAAGTCCACGGTGAAAGGGAAAGATGAAGCTGACATGATGAGAAACAGCAGAGACACAAGACAGAGGCTGGATCCTGATAACAATCATTACTCCACATCATTGCTGTGTCTTTTCAAGAACTGGGTGTTCACCTCTTTCTTAGACCCCCTGATTATATCCCAGTATCCTTCAAAAAATTCTTTTGGTGTGAGCTTGGCTTTTGGGGGTTGTTTTCTGGCTTATTTTTACTTCTAATAGTCTGTCACCATGTTAGGCATGTAAGCCAAAAGATTAAAAAACATACAGTCTCTGTCTCATGATATATAAGAAATATTTCATAAGGACACATGGAATGATTGTCCGTGGTGTAGGGAAGGAACATGATCCCCTAGGGTATGTATCTGAATCATCCAACTCTAGTTTTCCCTTGACACTCCTCCTCTGCAAGATCTTGATCCACTTTCTCCCTCAGGGTCTGGCATCTCTGGCTAAGAATTTTGTAATAGTGATGCACAGTAATAGATGAAAGGGGACTGCAAACATTTTCTGCAAAAGGTCAAATAGTAAATATTTTAGCTTTGGGGGATACATAGACTCTGTTACAACAATTAAACTCTGCTCTTTTTATCCAAAATCAGCCATAGAGCACACTGAATGGGCATGCTTCTGTTCCAATAAAACTTTATTTACAAAAACAAGTGGCAGGATGACTTTGGTCACTGGGCTGCTGTTTGCCACCCTGGCTCTAGGTATTTGGAGGCAAAGTAAAGTTGAGAATCATGATGTGGAGAGTTAATTGATTGGCAGAAATAGGTACCAGGTGCTCTGGAATTACAGACGAAGCACCAAAATAAACCACAGGCATCAAGAAAAATATATTTCTGCAAAAGATGACACCTGAGCTGAGACAAGTTTAAGAGGAAGTTAGCCAGAGCAAGGAGAGATGAACAGAAAAATCAGCATTTACAAGTGCAATGAGCTTTGGTAGACCCTGGCGTTTGAGGACCTACCAGAAGTTCCCCATGATTGGGCAAAATAAGTGTTAGGAAAAATGGCAAGAAATATTAACATGATGAAGCACAAAAGCAAGATAAAGTTTTAAAAAAATTAATAAACAAAGAAATTTGAACTTTATCCTAAAAGCTTTGGGGAACCATGGAAGAATTTAAAACAAACAGAATGAACATCGTCTGATTCCTTCTTTTTTAAAAAAATTAATTATCTCTTAAAGCTATAAAAAGTAGGAACAGGGAGGGATTCCAGGTAGGAAAACATGGCAATTATTCAGACGTGAAGGGATGAGGGCCTGAATTTAGGCAATAGAGTCAATTTACATACTAGAACTGATGGAACACAACTTAGAGACAGGTAACATGTAGGGCTGAGAAAGAAGAAGAAAACTATTCACAAGGAAATTGGATGGATAAGAGGGAAAAGCCACCAATATTGGAACATGTGAGGCATGGTGAATGCAGCTTGGTACATGTTGTGTGTGAGATGCCTGTGGGCCATTTGAGTGGAAATGTAGATGGTGAATAAGAAGCTGGCTCTGGAGATAGATAAAAAGTCAGCTTTTTATATACATTTGCTTACTACATACAGCCCTAGGAGGTAGAAACTATCATTACTCTCATTTCACAGATGAGGAAACTGAGGCCAAAGAAAGGCCAGGGGAATGTTTTCTACAATAACACTAAAATTACAGAATTGGGTGTTAACTGAATATAGGAGCACATGAGCAGGACATTTGGAAAAAGTGTGTGGAATGAAAAGGATGACCAAGGTTGAAACCCCCAACACAAAGACTTTTAAGAGATAGAGAGAGGAGAGACATGGTAGTAATATCCTCTCTAGAGCCAGAATATTTGAGCTCAAATCCCAACTCAGTACCTCTATTTGTTAGTTTTCTCATCTGCAAAAAAATTAAAATAAAACAATAGCAGCACCTAACTCATAGGGTTGTATATAGCAACTAAAAAGATGTACGTAAAAATCTGATCATGCAGCACACCAAGTACTGAGTACTCAAGAAATATTTGCTATTATTTTTATTATTAATTTTTATTATTATTTATTTATTATTATTTTTATTATTAATTTGAAAAGAAAACAAACAAAAATGTTAGGTTGGAGAAGTTTGGTGCAGACAGCCCAAGGACTCTAAAAGATATCAGAGAACAGATGAAGGGGGTGAGATACACAATGATCAAGGCTTGTGGTTAGAAAATGAGATCCTGAAGTTTCTGAAAGTCAAGGAATTGGATGGTCCCGAATATTGACCATCCAGAATGATGGTAGGGCTTAAGGAAAGAAGGAGAATTGCAAATTGTGTTTTTAAATATTCAATGACTGTGGAGAGAAATTAAGAGGTCCATGGTTGCCAGAGGTCCATGGTTGACAGTGGGGGGTGAGTGTGAAATGTGGAGGACTTGGATGGTGTCGCCAAATACCTAATTTTTTTTTTTAAGATAAATGTTGAATTGCAGGAAGAATAACATTTTGGAACAGTAATGTGGGATATAAGAAAAAGTCACATAGCTCCAAATTTAGGGTGAGACTTTACATGTCTTAGAAGACCATTAAGAGGACTTCCAACAAGTAGGGGAGACCAAGTTTCAATTAGGGCAGAAGATAGGGAAGGAACTCTATAAAGAGACTAAAACTGTGAGGGTTCGCTGGCATGAACAGGCAAACTTCAAGGGTACTGTGAAAAGAGTTGGAAGGGGGAGGACACAGGAGGGAAAGCGAAGAGAAATCAAAGCAGGACATGGATGCAGGTATGTGAGAGAGGAGCTGTAATGACCCAAGGGCATGGCTGCCAAGGAGAGCTGGAATGTGAGGCCTGGCAGAGTGCATGGCCTTCAAATTTCCAAAAGAAACTTTGGAATAAAGTTGTTTTGATGCTAGAAAACCATGGCATTTGCTCAGAGTTCCAAATAGTATGTTGTGAAAATAGGATGCCTCCAAGCTAATATTTTTCTGGATGTACAAGGCAGGATTTTCTTTTACCAGAAACTTAGCTTGCGGTGGAAGCCGCAGTGGCCCCACTGGCAGATGAGAGGGCACAGATTTCTCTTGGTGGGGCCAACCGCTGTCTGAACTGGTCAAGAAGGCTATCCAAGCTCTCATAGTCAGCCAATCACAAGGTTTATAATTCAAGCCTTAATCTGACAGAGCCAAGGTCTGTGCTTTCTGTACCACCCTACTTCTAAATAAAGCAAACTATCAATAACTACTAGCTACTTTTCAGGGTCATTACAGAGAGCAAACGAGTTACTATTTGCAAAAGTAATACATTTTGCAATGGAAGACACACTGTGCAAATATTATCTTACTACCATTACCAAATAATTCATTATGTGACAGTTAGAGACATATACTAGAACCAAGACATGAACTGCTATGGAGGAGGGTGGAGAGAGAGCCGAGACCCATGAGAGAGATTTGGCAAGGATTCTTGGAGGAGGTGAGATTGGAGATGACCCTTGAATGATTTTTCATTTTCCCCAAAGATACCTTCCCTCTACATCTCAGATATACCCTTTCTGTCTCCATTTCAATGCAGCTGAGGCAATTTGGCCTTCAGGAGAGAAGGAGGGAAAACTGGAAAGGCCTCCCTGTGGCAACTGAAGCTGGGTGTGGGGCAGCAGACTAGAGCCCACCTACCTCTCAGGCAGTCATCTTCTCTTGGAAGAAACACTCCTCACTGCTCCAGCCCAGCTCCTGGGGCCTGACCTCTTTTTCAAGCCTGCTTATCGGGCCTGAACTCCTCCAGCTGGATCTTGTTTTTTATTTGGCTCCTTCTTTTCAGCTGTTTCTCTTTCAGTCCTCTCGTCTTGATTCGTGAAAGGGAACGTAGCCAAGCCTCATCCTCCTGCCCAGGACAAGGCATAGAGATTGTATTTAGGCATGATGGACCTACGTGGGACAAAAGACAGGTGTCCATCACTGGACTTCTGGTAGAGGTCTCCTTTGGGAGCCACTGAGCCTCCTCTAAGTGTTTGGAATTCAGAAAAACAGGACTAGATAACTCAACATGTGTAAACAAGATGAAGAGAGATTTCAGCAGGATGGAAAGGGACAGTATCGTTTTCCCGGGTAGTAGCTGAAAGCAATCTGGGTCTGGAGGTGGCACCCCCTCCCCTGAGCAACCATGGTTGACGTCCTTTCCATTTTAAGCAATTGAGCTACCGGCGGGGCTGTAGGTCAGGCCCCACATGTTACATAGCTTTTATCCAGCTATGAGACCCAGCATGTATAGGGCTAGAAATCCACCCCCACCACCACATAAACAACTAAAACACCGCAGAAACTTTTCCCCAAATTCCCACGCCACAAATCTGGGGGTATGCTTCCACCTCCAGGAGGAAGCGGCTTCCTGGAAGGCTGAAGGAGATGAAAAATGCAAAACTAATCCTCCCTTGCCCACTCTCACACCACCGCTCGGCCTGCCTGCCCCCCTTCCCACCCACAACCCCTCCTATTCCCCAAGGGGTGCCATTTGGGAACCAAAATCCACTTCGTCAGCGCAAGAGCAACCCTGCCTTTTCTTGCTCCACACACCATGTGACACTGGAGAACCTCCAGGGCATATTTCATCTGGCATCAACAACTAGAGGTCACCGTGACCCAAAACTTCCTGCGTTCTCAGGCCTGGCAACGCCTGCCAAAGCTAGCCATGGTGGGGGTAGGGGAGCGCCGCTTGTGGGGAGCTGACCAAGTGTGGTGTCGGCCGCCCTGCCTGCCAACAGACAGCAACACTGGTTTTCCACTGCCGGCCATTCATTGGACTTGGACAGCTTTGTTCCTTCTCTGGGACCAAGTCAACAAGCTGGGACCAGAGGAGCTGCGGCTGTAGCACGCAGGGTAAAGCCGTCTCTGTTTGCTTGCAGCTTGTTTGGGGCAGCAGCTGGGCTGGGTGGCTCCCAAAGATTCTGATTTTCCACCTGTTCTACCTGCCAGACACTGCAGGGTGACAAGGGTTCAGGACTCTCAGGGATTGTTGTTTCATTAATTTTTTTCTACATAGGGAAAAACAAATTGTTATAAGGCCAGAGACTTCATGTTGAATTTTGCTCAGGGTCAAAGGCAATGATGGTGAAACCACAAGGCTTGGAAATTAGTTTAGAATCAGAATGCGGGCTCTACTTCTATGCAAGAATCATAAAGTTTTGGGGCCACAAAAGATCATAAACCATCCAAACCAGCGCTTCTTCATCCAGCTTGGTAAAGAGACCTTTGAGTAATTTATGAGAACAACCCACTCCCTGTCCTGGGAAAAAAAAACCTCTGAACACCCAAGATTTTACTCACAATTTTGGGAGTGCAGGGGCTTTCCTGGAAGCCCATCCCCTGGACGTTCTTGTCTGCCCCCAGTACCCTCTCTTCCCCTCTCAGCCATCTCATTTTGCAGAAGGAAAAATGTGAGACCCATGGAGGATATAGAGTCTTGCAAGGATAGAAGCTGGATGTGGCCCTGCTGAACCCAGATCTCCTGGTTCACAGCCTTTCTAGCAGATGACATCATGCTCTCCTACCACAGGATCCCCCTTCCTTTCGTCTTATTTTCTTTACTCGTATTGTCCCTGTTTTTCTTCATTTATTTCCCTTCCTGTTCACTCCTCCTTAGTTCCTCTTTCTTTAATTCTCATATTTTTTATCTTCAAACATTGTTTCCTCTAGTACTTTCCCTACCCGGCTCTCTTTTCTTCTTCTTTATACTCTGTGCTTCTAGTGCTTGATCAATTGGTCAGTCTTAGCTCTGTGACCCTCTGACTAGGTCACTGGCCCCTGATGAATCAAAGGAGACGATGTCTAAACCAAAGGCAGAATGAGATTGCAGAAAGAAATGAAGTCAAATAGAAAATCCTGTCTCTCCTCTTAAATCTTCGGTATAGATCTAGTACAAACAGGCCTTTTTTACTCTTGGTAAAGAAAAGATGACTACGTAAAGGGGGGAAAACACAGAAACCAATTATTTCCATCAGTAGTTCTCAAATTGTGGTTCAACAATCCCTAGCGGTTTCTGAGATCCTTTCAGAGAAGACACAAGGTCCAATTATTTTCAAAATAATATGAAGCTATTATTTGCCACTTTTCCTGTGTTGCCATTTGGACTGATGTGCAAAAACAACAGCAGGTAAAATTGCTGGGGCCTTAGCACATTTAAGGAAGTGAACCCAAATCAGGCCATATTTTTCACGGCCATGAACAACTATTAAAAGAAAAAGTAAATTTCTCTTTAATTTGCTTTAAAGATGCAGTTAAAATTATTATTTATTTTATGAAATTTATAACGATGAGTACACATCTTTTTCTATTCCATGACAAAATGAGAAATATGCACGAAGGGCTTCTGCTGTTTCCTGAAGTATAATAGTTGTCTCAAGAAAAAGTAGTTGTGCAATTGAGATATAAACTAAGTCAATTGCTTTTTTCATGAAACACATATTTATTTGGAAGAATGACTGACAGACAAACTATAGGTATTTAAACCTGGGTATTTCACAGACATTTTTTCAGTAATGAACAAAGTGAAGCTGCCACTTCAAGAGCACAATCAATAATACCTTTTGCCAATCATAAAATTTAAGCTTTCAATAAAAAATTAGAATGTTGGAAAAGGTGTATCCACCACCAGGAACTTAACAGCTCCCCAATACTTAAAACTTTTTTTATTTGATTAGTGTTGATGTTGAAATATGTGATAATTTGAGTTTTGGAATGAAATGTGCCAACATTTGAAAGACTGGTAGAAGTCAGTGAACCAATATTTCCCAGATGACCAAATGCGTAGTGTTACAAAGCCATGCATGGAGAAAATACACATTTAAAATGCAAGATGCACTAGTAAATTTTAATATAACTGAGTACAAAATGTTCATTCATATAGTTCCAGATCCCACAATGCAGTTAATCTTAGAGAAACTCCCAGTTGTTAAGTTTTGATGTGGTAGCAAAAAAGAGAGAGAGAGAGAACTGTCTACAGTTGTCTGAAAATACTATTAAAATATTTCACTCTTTTTCCATTATACGTCTGTATAAGGCAGAATTTTCTTCATCTACTTCAACTAAACAACATATTATTACAGATTGAATATACTTATGTCTTCAATTAAGCCAAACTTAGGAGATTTGCAAGAATGTAAAACAACACCACTTTCTTTTGGAAAATATGTGAACTAATGAATTTTTTACGTTTCACACTTTTAATTTCTAATAGAGTAAATATGAATAGATCTAACTAACATAAGCAAAAGCTCTTTGGAGTCCTTAATCATTTTAAAGCACACAAAGGAGTCCTGAAGCCAAAATGTTTGAGCACCACTGCTGTAGAAGAACAGGTCAGAAGGAAGAAAAGATCAATCTCTTGGTATCAGACACTATGAGGAATCCAGCTCTTATAGAGCTCATAATTTAATAGGAAGGTAAACATGCAGATCTATAGCTGCTCTACAAGCACAGGCATGCCACAGCAGAGGAGAGATGAAGTGCTCCACTCAAGTGGAGAGAAGAGGGGTGAGAGAAGTCTTCACAGAGAAGGTAACACTCGAGAAGCCAGAATAGAAACTGAGGATTCAGAAAACAAAACCAAAGAAAAGACAGTAGTGATGGGGTGGCACTAGGGCCTCCCAAGCAGGGGGAAGAGCCCCAGGACAGGAGAAGGAAGGTATACTGAGTGGAGAGCAAGCATTCCATTTGATGCAACTGAGGTGTGGTATGCAGAGCCTGCTGGGAGAAGCCTCCTATACAACTGGTGTTTAATAACTGTTTGCAAGATTAATGTGCACATGAAAACAATGATTGACCATGAATGCAGTTAGCAGTGTCTTATCGTTTCCAATTCCCACAGTATACATGAGCAAACGTTATGGATACGACTGATAGAGGTCAAGAGAAGTGAGATGATTCATGCCAAGTGCAAATCAGAGACAGAGCTGGGCCCTGACCAAACTCCCCTCTCCTCTCCCAAGGTCTCATTCACCAGACAACATTTTATAACGTTAGGCCCTGGCTGAGCTTCTTCTATCCCAACCTGAGAAGGATACTGAAGAATGAATAAGGGAAAGACAGACATAAGCTGTGAGGTTCATCACTCAATGTACTTCTGAATGCCCACTTCCTGACAAGAGCAATGGGGATTCTGAGATGAAAAGATGCTGTTTTTGCCCGCAGAGACTTATGAACAAGACATTCAGGGGAGAGAAACCCATCTGACCATGACTTAGAGAGTTCAGTGCTAACCTAAGTACAGAGTATAGAGAGGAGCTTTGCCTGAAGTTGGCGAAGCTTTCCAGAGAGGATGGAGAAGACGAGAGTAATTCAAGAGATTTTTAAAGAACGGAGACTGATGAAACAATACTAATACATCAATCCTAAGGCCTTGAAGGGCAGGGACTCTGTCTTGTTTGGCTATGGGTCCCACATACCTAGCATCATGCATGCCACCGCAGAGACATTCCATAAATATCAGATGAGATACTCTGAACTCAAGGGCAAGGAAGAGACATGCCACTGAGACACAATTTTGAGTATGCCATGAATTATCTATGCTCTGGTCTATGACTCCCCCACTCTCCCTTTGTTCATCATTAGAAACCTTGCCAGTCTTCATTACCCAAATCTGCCTCTAGCAGGCAGCCTCTCCTAGACTGGCAATTAGAAGGTAAAAGATGTCCTGTTCCATTGCAGAGCCTTGCAGGTACTCAGAACAAATGAAACAACAGCCACTGAAGATCAAGTCTTTGTTTCACCTTCACACAACCTCTCTGTCATCTCCCTCTCTCAGCAGGCAGGGGCCAGAAGAATTGCATTGGTACCCTAGTCGTGAGCCAGACTCTCTGTAAGGAAGTCTACAATCAATACACATGACACAAGACTGATATGATGCCCCAGAACGGAGAGTGCCTCTGTAAAACTGATGCCAATCATTTTCTACGGTTGTGCATCCTGCTCCTCCAGGATGGATGGGCCTGCTCCCTGCCTCGACCAGAGCAAGGAGGAAGGCTTCAGTGATGGATGACAGCAAGAGGATTGTCACCCTAAAGAAGGGGAGTTATGGAGTTCTCTCACCTCCCCCATCAACATTGACACACACAGATACTCAGCACTACCTATCATGTCTCAAATCGCCTAAATTTAAGACACTTCCTCTTTTTGGGATTGGCTGCCAATATACAAGTGGCAGGCAAGAGAAAATCAATTACACCTGGGTGAAGTTGAGTGCTATAATTCAAACAGCTGCGTGAGTCAGAACAAATGACGCAAATTTAAGATGCAAGCCGGAGTCTGTGAGGAGGTGGAGGGATTTCAGCTGGATAAATAGCAGGTTGATCTCCAAGCTCAAGGACGTGAAGCAGTTCTGACAACCTGGGACCTCTTAAAGAGCCATTTAACGGGGATTGTCAGCATTTTGAATAGATCCTTTTTCTTCAGAAACAAAGCTTTAAAAGTAGGCATGCAGAGGCATAGTGGAATGAGGAAGAGAAGGAGGGGGCAGTTATGGAGTGTTGGAAGAAGAGAGAAAAATTGTACTGGAGAACATCTCTTCATTTTGTGAGATCCAGGGGCAACGTTGCCTCCTTCACAATGTCTGTTCAGTACTCCACTTACTCAGGCTGAGTGAGGCCCCCTTTCCACTTACTTCATACGCTACCCTGTTACAGTACATATAATGTGTTTTAGCACTCTGTTCCCAAAAATATCTCTGTTTAGGACTCATCTGATGGTCCCTGAACCCAAGAATTTCATGGAATTATCTTTGTGTCCCAGGGTTCGAGCTTAGGGCAAGGCCCATGGTAGAAACTCCGTGTGTTTGGAGGCTGTATCTTTCAGTGAGATTCAAGTTACAAACTGAAAAATGAACAATTTATTAAAAATATAGATAGATTCAAACCAGGCTGATGTCCCGAGGGCTGCTTTGACCATCCCTTTTCTGTTGGGCTGCTTTCTTTATCCAGAATAATATTATCTAACCCTAATTAAAGACAAGTAGAAAGGCCCGTAGAGGCACGGTCAACTCTAAAGATGCAGATTTTATAAGTACAGAACATCAGGATTGTGTTTCCTTTGCAAAACAAATGCCTTTACAAACAGTGGAAAACATTTTAAGAGTGTGAGCTTCAAATTTCCCAGAACCCGAAATATTGGAATTTAGTGGCATGAGCCCAAAATACCAATGGCTTCACCTGTCTTTCCATTGTCTATCCACATCCTGAAAATGAAAGGAAATAGCCCCGAGATGAAAGATCACATTTAGCTGCAAATTCAAACCAGGTTCCAAGATTCAAATGGCTTCTTCTTTGGTGTCTAAATAAATATTGCTAATAAAATCCCCGCGAGCCCACAAAATAAGAGACCATTTCATTCAGCTCACAGAAACAATCCATACAACACAGAACAAGATGTCTCTCCAATAAATTTATGAAAATCTGCCTGTTTAGAAGCCAAAATTAATATTCCTCCTGTTCTCCTGGGTCAAATCTGTAAGGTCACCACAGCCAGGGCTGTGTCTGAATGTTGAAGGCTACTCAATTAATCTTCCTGTTTGCAGAGATGTGAAAGAATTTAAGGAAGGTCTAAACATAAACCCAAGCAAAATGCAGCTGAATTCTTTATCGTGCAAGTTTTACCTCCATTAATCTTCTCCTTCATCTTTTATATTGTCTCTTTATTGACGCTCTCTCCTTGAGTTTACTTTCTTTTATTTCTTCTTTTTTCTTATTCTCTCATGCTCTTTGTCTCCATTCACTGTCCTCTATACAGGGTTCGGTTTGGGGGTATTATCTAGTTATGCTGGAATATTTTGGCTATTTCAACTAGGCAAATATCTGTATATTTAGCATTTTCTGTTTAATCACAGAAGAAGAAGGAGAAATAATTAGAATAAAGATAAATCATGCTCATCAATTTCAGCAAATTAGAGAACACTAAAAACAGAGAGGAACTGTTAATATGGTTTAGATTTTTAAACATGTCTTTGACAAGATGCATTTGTTAAACAAGTTAATACGTGTGTAGCACTTAGAACAGGGCCTTGCATGCAGTAGGCACTCAAAAATGTTAATTTGGTTATTTTGATCATCATCATTATCAGCTGTGCTGGTCAGCGCTCTCCCCTAGCTTATGATAAGCATTTGGTGACAGTGGTATTGCCCGTAGACAGAAGCAGAGCCAGTTCTGAAGTCAGACAGGCAGATGTAGAATCCTCACATTGCTCCCAGTGCACTCTGAGCAGCGTGCCTCCCCTCACCCACAGTCACAGCAATAGATAAGCAACAGGTAACTCTGACAACCAAGCATTTTTAAAAGAAGGAAACAAATTGAGGAAAATCAATACCGGAAGCGAGAAGCCACAGACCTAAGAAATACAAGTATCGCTATCTCAAGAAAACAGAATTAATAGAAGATACCAAAAAAAAAAAAAAAAGAAATTTCAGATAAATAATGTATTCTTCAGAATGGTTTAAAGGGATATCAAATCCATGAAGATGCAGTAGCCAGGGCCTTGATACTTAAAGTGTGGTCCACAGACCAGCAACATCACCATCACCTGGGAGCTTGTTAGAGGCGCAGAATCTCAGGCCTCATCCTAAAATGACTAAAACTGAATCTGCATTTTAACAGATCCCACAGGTGGTTTGTATGCATATTGCTATTAGAGAACTACTGAACTAGCAGGATTGATATTTGAATTTTTGATTATTGAAAAAATCACTGATAAACTGCAAAGTAGAAATAGATATCTCTGAACTGAAAAATAGTGAGTGAAAAGATCCAGTTGTGTTAGTCTTCTTTAGTGCTAAATCTGAGCTCCTGCTGGCAAAACTACATATCAGGAGAAAATAAAGGAGGACAATATTTCTTAGAATCCTACATTTAGCATCTAAAATGCCATTCAAATAGGAGAGCAAAATAAGGACATACAGAATATTGCAAAGATTCAGAAAAGTTACCACCTTTCATGCCCTCTAGGAAAAAATACATGTCTATGTATTTCAAAATATCTGAAAAAAAATGTGGGAAACAAAGATAAATAGATAAAATAAGTAACACAGAAGATACAAGACACAGTGATGAGTAAATGAAGTAGAAAACAGATTAATAAATAACTCAGTGCATAATCTCTAAATGTTTATAACTAGGATCTTAGGTCATCTGAAAATAGAAGGTAACAGAGGAGGAGGAGAGAGAAAAACTACTGAAGTTGTTATTCAGGGGAGGACAGAGGTATTAAATAACTCCAGATAATACAGGCAAAATAATTTTTAATATATGTTACGAAAGACTGCCTGCTATGTGTTCCTATTTATATGAAACTCTAGAAAAGATAAATCTAATCCATAGTGGCAGAAAGCATATCAATGACTAACGGGGTATTGGAAAGAGGTGGAGGGTGTGGAGAGCATTGTATAGGAAATGACACAGGCTATTACTATGTGATGGAAATGTCCTATATCTCAATTGTGGTGGTAATTAAGTGGTTGTATATATTTGTCACGATTCATCAAAATATATACTTAAAATGGGTACATGATATTATATACAAATGATATTTCAATAAAGTTGATTTCAAAATGCATCTGTCACATATACAAAGTAACTGCTAGAACAATAAAACTCAAATGCACTGTTTACAAACCACTGGAAGAAGAAAGGGGGTGGAGAGAACAAATACAAGTGGAAAGAAAAAAGCCACATAATGATAGTTGACATTTATTTCATACACACTCTTTCTCAGGCAAAGTTTTAAATATTTTACATGTAATCATTTCCTTAATCCCTACAATAAGTCAATGAATTGAGCATAATTATAATCATTCTCATTTAATTTATGAAGAAACTGAGGCATAGAAAATATATGTAATTTAAGCAAGGTCAAATATCTACTATGGTAGAACTGGGTTTCCCAGTCAGAGCAAATAACATTCTTTTACACTGCTTCTTGTCATTAAGTTAAAAACATAAATGCATGAAACAATTGCAAAACGTCATTAATCAAAGCAAAGACTTTGGAATAAATTTCCCTATTATAAGTCAGAGACAAAGATTTGTTAAAGAAAAGAATAAAGCTTAGCAATAAGTTATTATAAAAGATATACCTAAAACAGAAAGATCCAGAAAAGATAAAAATGAAAACATTAAAGAGATACATAGGGTAAATGTTGAAAATAGTAGATATATTAACGTTAATATAAAAGGCAGAACTCAAGGGGAAAAGTTTTTTAAATATCAAAGAATTGTTTAAATTGATAAAAGGTATGATTAAGAGAATAAAGCTGTCATTAACCTTCTATATACCTAATTAAAATGGATGCAAAATATCTAAATAAAAAACTATGATAAAGCAAAAACAATGAAATATCTTAATATATCTTTCTCAATAATCGTCATCCTAAGTAGATCAAAAGCAAATACAGATCTGAATAATTTAATTAACAATATATATTTTTTCCACTTTGCATATCTATAAACACTGACCTATTATCAGCCTGCTATGAAGCAAAAATTACGTATAGATCAGAGATTCTGATCTTAAAGCAGTACAGTTAGAAATTAACGACAAACATTATCCATCCTCTCCAAAAAATGACAATCCACCTGAAAATATTGAAACATTTTAAATAATAATTGTGGTCAAAATCCATTTAGAAATAAATGACAATAAGAATACTATGCGTCAAAATTTGGGGGATGTAGCTTTGTATTAAAGTAATATTCAGAAGAATCCGTATGTTCTTAAATGCATTTACTATCAAACAGGAAATACTGAAAATAAATTAAATATGAATTCAATTTAAAATACTATATAAAATAACAATGAAATAAATCCAATGGCTATTGAAAAGTAATACATAGAAAATAAGTATTAATAAAATAATAGATTTTAGGATTAATCAATTACCCCAATAGCTGCTTCCTTGAAAAGACTAATTATATAGATAAACTCCTGGAAAAATCTCATAAAAAAAAGAAGACAAACAAAATAAAAAATATTATTATCAGTTGCTATGGTTTAAATGTTTGTCCCCTCCAAAACTCATGTTGAAACTTATTTCCCAATGGGGCAGTATTGAAAGGTGGGACCTTTAAAAGGTGATTTGATTATCAAGGATTAGTCCATTCATGAATTGATGAAATAATAGGTTAATGGGTTAGTGCATTATCATGATAATGGGACTGGTGGCTTTATAAGAAGAGGAAGAGAGACATGAACTAGCTTGCTCAGCCTCCCCACCATGTGATGCTCTGTATAGCCTTGGGACTCTGCAGAGTCCCCACCAGCAAGGAGGGCCTCACCAGATGTGGTTCCTTGACATTGGACTTCTCAGCCTCCATAGCTGTAAGAAATAAATTTCTTATCAATAACCCAGTTCCAGATATTTCATGATAAGCAGTGGAAAATAGACTAAAATACCAATATGGAACAGATTTTGAAAATGTTAAGAGAGAATATTGTTTATAAGTTATGCCAGTAAATTTGAAAATCTAGACAAATTGGATAATATGTCTTAGTTTTAGTAAAGATACAAAATAGACTACAGAAGAATCTTGAAAAACCAGAATAGCCAGTAGTCAGAAGAGAAGATTGAAAAAATAATCAGAGTATTTCTGTTAAAGGAATCCCATGTGATTCTACAGATGAATTCTATTAAATTTTTAAGAAAACATTCCACAGTGTTTTTTGATGGACAGCTTCCCATTTGATTCTGTAACAGTAGAAAATCCTGATATCAAACTATAGACTGTTAGTCCTGTAATCATTCAATTGGACTTAAGAACACAGATGAAAAAAATCCTAAAACAAATGCCTTAGTTGTGCCTTTTGTAAAAAGGTATTAATAGACAGATGATACATAGATAGATAGATAGATAGATAGATAGATAGATAGATAGATAGATATCAATAGATACACATATATCTGACAGAGAGGGAGAGAAACAGAGGAAGAGCATTAGGGCTTGGAGTGACTTCATTGGTAATTTAATCTAATAACTTGCTTTTTTAAAAAGTTTGATGTACGAAAAAGATATATTACTTACTCAATTTTCACAGCAACAGATGTTAATTTGACCTCCTAATTCAAGTGCAAACCTTTTTTCACTACTTGAGACGATTTTCAAAGTCTTTTATTTCTCTCTTCCCCTCCTCTCACACATGGATCACAAATGCTCTCTGAATGTAGATTGGATATAGGAAATGGGGTGAAAATATATAGATATAGATGATTTATTATAAGTTTAATTACATTTGTAAGTAACTGAAATAAACAGTTAATAGTATTTTTGGAAGTAACCCCGACATTTGAGGTCAAGGTCAAGAATGACTATGAATTAGTGTTGGAAGTTCTGACCAGAGCAATCAGGTAGGAGAAAGAAATAAAGGGTATTCAATTAGGAAAAGAGGAAGTCAAATTGTCCCTGTTTGCAGATGACATGATTGTGTATTTAGAAAACCCCATCGTCTCAGCCCCAAATCTCCTTAAGCTGATAAGCAACTTTAGCAGTCTCAGGATACAAAATCAATGTGCAAAAATCACAAGCATTCTTATACACCAATAACAGACAAACAGAGAGCCAAATCATGAGTGAACTCCCATTCACAATTGCTTCAAAGAGAATAAAATACCCAGGAATCCAACTTACAAGGGATGTGAAGGACCTCTTCAAGGAGAACTACAAACCACTGCTCAAAGAAATAAAAGAGGAAACAAACAAATGGAAGAATATTCGATGCTCATGGATAGGAAGAATCAATATCATGAAAATGGCCATACTGCCAAAGGTAATTTATAGATTCAATGCCATCCCTATCAAGCTACCAATGACTTTCTTCATAGAATTGGAAAAAACTTTAAAGTTCATATGGAACCAAAAAAATCCCGCATTGCCAAGACAATCCTAAGCCAAAAGAACAAAGCTGGAGGCATCATGCTACCTGACTTCAAACTATACTACAAGGCTACAGTAACCAAAACAGCATGGTACCAATACCAAAACAGAGATATAGACCAATGGAACAGAACAGAGCCCTCAGAAATAATACCACACATCTACAACCATCTGATCTTTGACAAACCTTACAAAAACAAGAAATGGGGAAAGGATTCCCTATTTAATAAATGGTGCTGGGAAAACTGGCTAGACATCTGTAGAAAGCTGAAACTGGATCCCTTCCTTACACCTTATACAAAAACTAATTCAAGATGGATTAAAGACTTAAATGTTAGACTTAAAACCATAAAAACCGCAGAAGAAAACCTAGGCAATACCATTCAGGACATAGGCATGGGCAAGTACTTAATGTCTAAAACACCAAAAGCAATGGCAACAAAAGCTAAAATTGACAAACGGGATCCAATTAAACTAAAGAGCTTCTGCACAGCAAAAGAAACTACCATCAGAGTGAACAGGCAACCTACAGAATGGGAGAAAATTTTTGCAACCTACTCATCTGACAAAGGGCTAATATCCAGAATCTACAAAGAACTCAAACAAATTTACAAGAAAAAACTAACGACCCCATCAAAAATTGGGCAAAGGATATGAACAGACACTTCTCAAAAGAAGACATTTATGCAGCCAACAGACACAGGAAAAAATGCTCATCATCACTGGCCATCAGAGAAATGCAAATCAAAACCACAATGAGATACCATCTCACACCAGTTAGAATGGCGATCATTAAAAAGTCAGGAAAAAACAGGTGCTGGAGAGGATGTGGAGAAATAGGAACACTTTTACACTGTTAGTGGGACTGCAAACTAGTTCCACCACTGTGGAAGACAGTGTGGCGATTCCTCAAGGATCTAGAACTAAAAATACTATTTGACCCAGCCATCCCATTACTGGGTATATACCCAAAGGATTATAAATCATGCTGCTACAAAGACACATGCACACGTATGTTTATTGCAGCACTATTCACAACAGCAAAGACTTGGAACCAACCCAAATGTACATCAATGATAGACTGGATTAAGAAAATGTGGCACATATACACCATGGAATACTATGCAGCCATAAAAAGGATGACTTCATGTCCTTTGTAGGGACATGGATGAAGCTGGAAACTATCATTCTCAGCAAACTATTGCAAGAACAAAAAAACTCCTCCAGGAGTTCGACCAGCCTGACCAACATGGAGAAACCCTGTGTCTACTAAAAATACAAAAAATTAGCTGGGCGTGGTGGCACATGCCTGTAATCCCAGCTACTTGGGAGGCTGAGGCAGGAGAATCACTTGAATCCGGGAGGCGGAGGTTGTGGTGAGCCGAGATCACGACATTGCACTCCAGCCTAGGCAACAAGAGCAAACTTCCATCTCAAAAAAAAAAAAAAAAAATTAGCTGGGTGTGGTGGCACATGCCTGCAGTCCCAGAATTTTGGGGAGGCTGAGGAGGGAGGATTGCTTGAGCCCAGAAGCTCCAGGATGCAATGAGCTTTGATTGTGCCACTGCAGTGCAGCCTGGGAGCCTGGGAAAGAGAGTGAGACCCTATCTCAAAAAAAAAAAAAAATTTGAATCAGTGGACTGGGAGAAGAAGACCCACCCACAATCTGGGTGGGCACCATCTAATCAGCTGCCAGCACAGCTAGGATAAAAGCAGGCAGAGGAATGCGGAAGGACTAGACTGGCTGAGCCTTCTGGCCTCCACCTTTCTCCTGTGCTGGATGCTTCTTGCCCTTGAACATCAGACTCCTAGTTCTTCAGCTTTTGGACCCTTTGACCTACACTAGTGGTTTGCCAGGGGCTCTCAGGCCTTCAGACACAGGCTGAAGGCTGCACTGTCGGCTTCCCTGCTTTTGAGGTTTTGGGACTCAGACTGACTTCGTTGCTCCTCAGCTTGCAGATGGCCTATTGTGGGACTTCATCTTGCGATGGTGTGAGTCAGCACTCCTTAATAAATTCCCTTTCATATATACATCTATCCTGTTAGTCCTGTCCCTCTAGAGAACCCTGACTAATACAGTGATTGAACACTTAATTTCATGATTTTATGACTCTTATTTTATTGAAAGCAAAATGAATGAAATACATCCATATCCTCAAGTGTAAATGGATTTTAATCTTCAATTAATTTCATAACGGTAACAATATTTGTGCCTTTGAACTTTTCATTATGGATCAGATCACTTATTCCTGAGAAGTTAAAGTGTTTCCACTATAAAGCTGCTGATGTCATCCTTCAACTGGAAGGAAAGTTGTAATCTCAGTATATTTGCTTCAAATACTTCTTGATTAGGCTGAGGAGTTAGTTATTAGCTCATGTTAAGAGAGGAACATATATTAATTAGGACTCTCCCAGGAAAGAATGAACCAGACAGCAACAGCTATCTCCTGTTAGGGAAGCAAACATTGGTCTAGCTGCAACATTCAGCTACTGGAACTCCATAATACACACACACACACACACACACACACATGCACACACACACAGACACGAGGAATCCAAACATTAATGAAAATGTGTATCCACCGCCAGCCATCTTTCCCTTTTGTTTTCCAATACTATGAGATATGAATTGCATGTCTTGCAAATACTATGAGATGTGAATTGCATGTCTATGAATTGTGGGGATAGCTTACAGCTGAATAGCTCATTGACAGACTGACACACCTTCAGGCATTGAGTATCCTTCACCTCACCCCACCTATAGGACCGTAATGTACCTATGCCCCACTTGGTAACAGAGCCCGGTACTTGCTTTTCGCTTTTGTTTTGTTTTTAGAGTCAAGGCAAGGCTTTACTAGTTTATGATTCATGTAACTTGGATAAAATCACTCAATCTACGTGTCCTCATTTGTTAAACAGCACAATCATATTTTTCTTAGAGGACTGCTGCAAGGATCATATGAGAAAATGTTTGCAACTATTCTTGGTAAAGCATGTGCACATATTGTCTGTTACTGTAATTTAACATGTTTTATCAAGCATCTACTATTTCTGGGGCAAGAGAAATGACAAAAATATGGTTGGCTTCCTTTGGGGGTGCGAAGTCTCTCCTGAAACATTTGGGTAAGGTCAAGTGTTGCGTAACTATTTGTAGCAACTGTGTGGACTTAGGAAGTTTCCTCTTACGCATGATGTCAGATAATGGGCTGTATCTAGATACTACACAGGAAACATAGGTTTACAAGACCAGCATCCATTTAGGCCACATAACAGTGTTCCAAGTGGAGGGTGGAGGAGAGATGGCAGTTCTGAGAGAAACGCATAGTGAGAGACAGAAAGCTTAGTTAATGAATAGCTTTCTCTAGATTCTGATTCAGAATAAAAGAAGTTATATTTAACCTAATTAAGCAAAGTTACTTTAATTAGGTTGAAATCTTTAAGTTGCATACATGGAAAAGATCCTTGGACTTTCTCAGTTTCTTGTCAGAGGAAAAGAAACATGAGGAATGACAAGCTGAGTGGAATTCTGAGGCAAGCCTGAGTAATGAAACAGCTAAAGAACAGGGCATTCTCAAAGGATGGCTCCTTATTTTTATGATAGAATATATATTGAGCAGAAAGTTTCTTAATTCAGTAAGACCCCTTGACAAGCTCATACGTATTGGTATTTCTATTGGTACTTTATAAAGCCACATTTTTATGTATAGGTTAATAGTGTCCATTATTAGAATATCTAATTTATAATAAAATAATTGTTGGCAATATTCACTGAGCACCTATTATGTCTTCAACGCATGGTACATTTTTTTCTTTTCTTTTTTTTTTGGAGACGGAGTCTCACTCTGTCACCCAGGCTGGAGTGCAACAGTGCAATCCTGGCTCACTGCAACCTCCGCCTCCCAGGTTCAAGTGATTCTTCTGCCTCAGCCTCCCAAGTAGCTGGAATTGCAGGCATGTGCCACCACGCCCAGCCGTTTCACCACATTAGCCAGGCTGATCTCAAACTCCCAATCTCTGGTGATCCGCCTGCCTCAGCCTCCCAAAGTGCTGGGATTACAGGCGTGAGCCACCATGCCTGACCCATTTTGTTTTTAATAACCCTAACAGGAGGTGTTACTATCCTCAGTGTTCCTATGAAGAAGCTGAAGATCAGAGATAAAGAAAATTAACAGCCAGTGAATGACAAAAATGGGTTTTGAACCTGGACCTGACAAGCATCACAGGCAACATATACTTATAATTCCATCTCTAGAATTTGGCAGTAGAAACTTGATATAGGCACTAGGAAAATATTTTGTTTGATTAACTGACAACAGATTAATACAATTGGGAGGTTAATTCTGTTAGACCTAGGAGGAACCTTTGAGACCCAATCCCAAATCCTCATTTTCCAGATAGGAAAACAGATCTAGAGAGGGAAGGATGATCTGCCCAAGGCAACAAAGTAAGTTCATGACAAAGCTGGTATTAAAATTAAAGTCACCTAACCCTTCCCTGCTCCAGTGGTTCCTGGGGTCCCTTGGGTAGATGGCGTGACAGGCCCAAGGACCAGTCGATCAGATAGAGTATGCATAAGGCATCTTCCCTGCCCCTCCCTTTCCTTCTCTGGGTTCTGCTAGGTCTTCTCTGTTGCCCACAAACCCCCCAGGAGAAGCCTCACCACAGCTGCTCCACCCATCATTAGCAGCCGAATCCCTATGCCAGAGTGGTCAAAGTTTCCAGGCCTCTGGCCCCAAGGATGTGCTGGCTTCCATGCAGTATCAATGAGAAGCCCCACCTCCCCAGCTCAGTGTCACCCTTGGTCACCTGGGCCCCAGCGGTTATGCTTGTGCCAAGAATCTCACAAAATATTTTTTAAACAGGCCTGCCAGCTTCCACACCCAGCCCCCACCCACAGCCCCCACTAATTATAGCACTCAATCCCAGTCAATGGAAAAATATGAGAAATGAGCCGTGCCATCTTCTCCCTTTTTCTTGTCCTGCTTTTTCCTAGGCTCTGACCCCACCCAAATACCATTTCTCTTCCTTCAGGTAAAAAACAAAATCTCCTGTGCATGTGACATAGCACAAACACAGGGAAATATCTGCTGTGTGTGTGTGTGAATGTACGTTCTTGAGTGTGCATGAGTAAATGTAGCAGGGATATTATCAGCAGTCAAATATTCCGCTATGCTTGGAATCAATTGCTGGCCTTTTAAAGTGTCAGTTACAGGTTATGGCTGCTACAGCTGCATTTATGAATGTTCTAACCACTGGAATTTACCTTCTGAGCTCGAGAAATTCAAGGTAAATTGTAAAGTTTGAAACAGAATCAGTCAAACCAAATTAGAGTGAGTGGCAGGACACCTGAGAGTACCTGTCTCGGTTGCTCAAGTGTAAGATGTCACAAATCTTGACTTGGACTTGGCATCCGTTGTGAGGGACTCCATTAACAGGCATGTATGCAGATAAAGCCCAGAAGACTGCCTATAGCCTTCAAGAGTTGGGAGATAGGACTTACCAACTGTTGTCTTGCTTCTGACAAGATGCCTAACCATTCTTTTAAGTTTTTGTCTTCCTAGATAAAGCATAGTAAAGAAAAACAGTCAAGAACACCTACATAGAGCCAAGCAGCATGCTCCACACTTTCATCTTGTCCTCTTGGTTAATCTTCCCAAGGGTCATGTAAGGCCCAGAGAGGTTAATTGAATGATCTGTTCAAAATCATGCAGGCAAGAGATGGCAAAGCCAGGCAAGGACCCAGGTTTTCTCATTTCAAATAGCTGCATTTCCAGGGTACATGCTTACCTCCAGGTCATCTTTACACGTTGAAGACACACACCCTCTTATGTTTTCACCTTGTGTGTCCCTCTCTTATCACTAGCCACTGATAGTTTCCACCTCAGCAAGATAGACCTCAGATATATCTTGTTCCACCTCAGACAACAAGTCCAATGTTGTCCACTAAGCTGAAGCCAGGTAGATGGCTTATTATCAAATAACCCCCAACTCTTCCTTAGTGAGTTTAGCCTCGTCTAGAATCTCTTTTGATGGCAAAACAGAGCTGAGCTAAATCTCGATGAATCCCAGGCAAATTCCAACCTCCAAAGACAGTTAAATAACACTGCAAAAAAAAGTTTCATCAATACAGAATTATAACCAAAGGAACCTAAAAAATATGCAACACCATAGAGGTACTACGACATGCTATAAATTGTGACATATAGTTTTAACAAGGAAAGAAATCATGGAAGAGAAGATATAGTAAGTGTATGTGCATATGTTTGGTTTATTTTTTAACAGAAAGAAATACATCATTACATTATAAGGAAAATTCAGAATAGAGAGGTAATCTTTGCTACTTAATGATCCAAAGTGAACCATGTAAGGTGTTTTCTTGGTCTGTATTTTTATCAACTTTTCTGTATCATTTAATACTTGTGACCATACTTTTTTTCTTCTATTCTTTCATTCAAGCATGAATTTCGGATTGTTCATCATGTAACTATACCTTGCCAATTGGACCATATTTCCATTACCTGCATAATACTGACTCCTCATCCTGCCCTGACTTGCCTTTTCACTTTCTGTCTTGAAACTCTACCCATCTTTCTGCCTCTTTGACTGCTCCTCGGTCCCTTTCACTTGTGCCTCTTTCTCCTTCTGCCTCTTGGCTCTTCTAAGACATTACCCAAGGTTAGTCCTTGGTTCTCTCAACAATCCCTCTCCCCACGCATTTTTTCCTCATTCATTCTCATGGCCTACTGATGACCTTCAAAGCTGCATCACCACATCTATCTTTTCAAACAAGCTTCAGTGGTATATCTTCATTTTCCTTGATTTGTCCATTCATATTTTGCTATCATCTTCAGTCACCAGCCCGTTTCAATCACAATTATTCTTCTAATTATCCAGACTGAAAATAAATGACATCATTTTTAACCAATTCTTTACCTTCATCTTCTATAAAGAGAAATATTCATCTCTACACCTGCTGCCAATCCCTTGACAAGACTCTAGCTGGCCCACGTGTAACTTATCTCAGTAGCTTCCTTTGTGGCTTTCCTGCCTCTGGTCTCTTCTCACTCAAATCTACCCTGCATGCCACTGCCAAACATTCTTCCTTCAATACCATTTTCTCATGTCACTCCTCCACTAGCATACCAGATCATGACCTAACCCAGTTTACCTAGTTAATCCCAGTGCTATTCAATATGTACTTCCTAATCAACCCAGGATGGCCTCCCCACACTGCATCAATATACCTCATACCTCCTTGTTTTTTATCTTTTAGGTCCCATTTTCCCAAATGCCTCATTCTTGCACCTCCAAGTTTCAAAATTCAACTTATTCTTCCAGACTTAGCCCATGCCCACCTTTCTTTAGGAACCTATGCTGGTCAACTGCCAGTTTGCTCTCAGATCCATCCTCTCCCTTCCCTTTTCCTCTCTGTATCACTACAAGGGAATAAGGTTCCCTTGCCCTCTAGCTTTTGGGTAGGTTTGGCTCCAGGAAAGCAGGAAAAAAGATTCAAGAAAAGAAAGACAAGCCAGTATTTTACTTTTCCTATTTCTGTGTATTTTTGCAGTGTCTGCAGTAATGGCTATGTCTCTTCTATGGCTTCAGCTACTGTGGATAGTCCCAGCTTCTGAACTCTGGAAGCAATACCTCCCTCCAGTCCCTCCAGTTGAGGAGTGGTCTTTGTTCTCTGGGTTGCCTTACTATTCTCTGTTTGGTTTTTCAGCATTTCTGTCACAGAAATGACAAATTCCCGATATTAAAACTCACTCTATTTAAAGATCCAGCATGATTTCTGTTTCGCTGTCCAAACTTAAAAGAAGTTTGAACTAGATAACTTTCAACATCTTTTCTAGCTCTTACAGTCTTGTCCATTGCCATATAATGTAGCCCTTCATTATATACTGACTAGAACTGTGCAATAAATTTTCTCATTTATTCGTTCATTCAACAGATATCTATTTAGCTATACAACGTGCATCCAACCACATCAGGTGTTGGAATTTGGAGGGAGGGCACAAAAAAGTATCAGGTACAAAGCATTTATTATCTTGATGGCAGGAAAAGGCATCCACAAACAAGTGAAGCATTAACACAGGTAGTACTTGGTTACGAGTCAGATGAATGCCTCGGAAAATGCTTACTGTTCCATATTTAAACCTTTTGGCCTCATAGATGAGATCTTAAACATGTGCTTAGAAGACTGAGTTTATGTCCAGAAAGCCAATAAAGATTGAATGATTTAGTTTTTCACTGTAGTAATTGCATGTTGTACTACTGGGATATGGGGAGTGCAGAGTGTCAATCAAAGCCAAGAGAAACAAAAATATTTTCAAGACCAGGAATCTTGTTTAATTAATTATGAGTGTGCATATTTGTGTGTGTGTTTAAAATACTTCTGTTTTTAATTATTAGTAGTATATGTTAATATTGCATAAACAATGAGAAAACACCACAAAAATGAAAAAGTAAAATCATTTATTCAGCATTTATTGTGAAACTATTCTGGGTGCAGGTTAAAATATGGATATAGAAGCCATGGTCTCTATTCTTGAGGGGCTTCCAATTTAGAGGGTGATAACAATCAAGTAAGCAAGTGGTAACAGTGAAGCTTCATGATGTGACATAGTTTGGATATTTGTCCCTTCTAAATTTCATGTTGAAATTTGTTCCCCAATGTTGGAGGTGGGGAACACCTGGTGGGAGGTGTCGGGGTCATGTGGGCAGATCCCTCATGAATGGCTTGCCTCCCTACTTGCCATAAAGAGTGAGTTCTCACTGTATTAGTTCCAATGAGATCTAGCTATTAAAAGGAGGCTGGCACCTTCCTCCTCTCTTCCTTTTGCTCCCTCCCTTGCTATGTGACATTCCTGCTCCCTTTCCTTTTCTGCCATAATTGGAAGCTTCCTGAGGCCCTCACCAGAAGCAGATGCGATGTGAGCACTATGCTTCTTATACCATCTGCAGAACCATGAGCCCAATAAACCTCTTTTCTTTATAAATTATCCAGCCTAAAGTATTCCCTCAATAGCAATGTAAACAGACTGAGACACGATGACAGTTATGGTGACCTACCCATGCCAAACACCACACTATTGCTTTACTTAAGTCATAACACAAAACCCTTGAGGTAGACATTATTGTTACATTATTATTGTACAAAGTTAAATAAAGACATAGACTCAGAAACACTGAAAACTTGTTTAAGGTAGCACAGCTAGTGTGTGGTGGAGCCAATGTATTTAAACATAAGTCTGCCTGAATTCAGAGCCATGGGTTCCTAATTACATAATAAAGCATAATATATCTATTATCAAAAGATTATTTTTCTTCATAACCCTGAATTCATGACAAGAGAAAAGAGCTTACAGTACTTAATAAGACAAAACAATTTAGACTGCAGTCTAGCTATGGGTAAGAAATTTCATTGGCAATTCCAGGTCTACCTTCCTTCGCTCATTCAGTAGAAGATGTATAAGAAATACAGACTGCATCTTCAGGACATTTTAACTATAGAAACACATTTTTAAGAAAAGGGTTTTTGGCCAGGCACAGTAGCTCACACCTGTAATCCCAGCACTTTGGGAGGCTGAGGTGGCAGACAAGCTGAGGTCAGGAGTTCAAGACCAGCCTGAACAATATGGTGAAACCCCATCTCTACTAAAAATACAAAAATTAGCCAAGCATGGTGGCACACACCTGTAGTCCCAGCTACTCGGGAGGGTGAGGCAGGAGAATCACTTGAACCCAAGAGGCAGAGGTTGCAGTGAGCCAAGATAGTGCTATTGCATTCCAGCCTAGATGACAAGAACAAAACTTCATCTAAAAAAAAAAAAAGAAAGGAAAGAAAGAAAGAAAGAAAGAAAGAAAGAAAGAAAGAAAGAAAGAGAGAAAGAGAGAAAGAGAGAAAGGAGAGAAAGGAAGGAAGGAAGGAAGGAAGGAAGGAAGGAAGGAAGGAAGGAAGGAAGGAAAAGGTTTTTAGGAGAAATATTAATGAGACCAAGAGAGTTCTTCAAAGCACAGTAATTGGTAAATGGCTACATGATCATCTTTGTTTGGAAGAAGCACTGACTTTATACTTCAGGTAAACTATATTAAGTTTAAGCCACCATACACTGGTTTCTGTACAAATGCAAAGCTAACAGTGCAATTTCTCAATTCTCCAACTAAAAGAAAATATCTGGTAAGAAAGGAACTCATTGTATTTCAAAGCAGATTAATAAAAATCTAATCTATACTGAGTGCCTAAAAGGTGTGAAGTGTGAATATTTCCAATCAATAAATACAATCTCTGACTGGATTAAAAGGGTGGAATATATCAATTTCTCTTTAGTTTAGGTATAATTAACATACAGTAAAATGCACAAATTGTTAAGTGTTGAGTTCAATGAATTTTGACAATTTTGTACACCTATATAATCATTCCCGCAACAAAATATTGAATATCTTTATCACCCCAAAAATTCCTTGTGTCTTTTTCCACTCAATCTTTTCTAAAGAGGCAACAAATTTCTGATTTCTATCCCCATAGTTAGTTTTGCCTAACTGTTAGTTAGGCAAACTAACTAACTATTAGTTGCCTAACTATTAGTTAGTTAGTATAGGCAAAAATACAGAAAGTGTGTATTTTTGTTGAATCTGGCTTCATTCAGTTAATATGATGTTTTTGAGATCCACGTTGTTATGTGTAAAAGTAGTTCATTATTTTTAAAGGCTAAGTAATATGACGTTGAATTAATAATATACCATAAACATTGCTGTTTAAATCTTTTGTGGATTTATATTTTCATACATCTTGAGTAAATTCCTAGAAGTGGAACAGCCATGGAGTACATAATTGCTGAACTTTAAAAAACTGCGGAACACTCTCCCATAGTTATGCAGCATTTTCACTCAGAACAGCAATGTAGGAAAGTTCCACTTGCTCCATATCATCACTGGCATTTAATGTTGTCTGTCTTCTTGATTTTAGCCATTTACAATTTATCTTATTGTGGTTTTTATTTTCAATAAGCACTTTCTCATGTGCTTATTGGCTATATATATATATATATATGTACACATATATTCTTTTGTGAAGTGTTTGCCCACTTTTCTGCATATAATGCTATAACTTCTTTTCAAATCTGACTCAATAAATGACAATATTTAGCTATTTATTTGAGAGTTTGGGTATTCATCTGTCATTTCCAGTATAAACAGTGATACATTTGCCTAGGTGGCCCATTAGTATCTTCCTGGAAATTACTGGGCATGTTTTTTTTAGTTACATTATCTTATCACTCCCAGTAATGATCTATGAATTTAAAAAGGGGGAAGGAGAGACCATTAAGCCCAGGGCTTAACAACAGTGTTCCATATGGAACCATTAAACTACTTACTAACCATCTGCTCATGGCGATGAGCCCATTCTGTTTTTATACAAGTATTTTTTTGTAAAAAAAAAAACAGTCTCAGTGACAGATAATACACATATTTTTAAAAGATGATATTCAATCAGCAAAATACAGCTTGCTGAGAATGGAGCATACTAAAGGTGCACTTACAGATCATTAGAACTGCAAGGGAACTTAGAGCCCATCTAAGTCAAACCACTTAATGTTTTAGAAGATAAAACTGAGGGCCAGAGACAACTAATTTCCAAGCCAGGAACCAAACTCTGGTAATTTTACTTACAGCCCAGTGTTCATTTCACCATATCATTATGCATTTGTGAGGAAAAGCGCTCTTTTTTACAGTCTAAATTAGAAAAGAAAGTCCAAACCTATTAGATGTTTAGAAAAAATGCTTAATGGACAAACAAAAGCCAACCAGAAGGCCGCTTGGAGCTACTAAAAATATGAAATCTCAGGCCAAGTATACCTGGATATGAGTCCCAGCCCTTCCACATATTAACCATGTGGCTTGAGACAAGTCGTTTCATCTTAATATTTTAATATCCTCACCTGAAAATTGGGGTTGAAGAAAATAAATATGTTGTTATATTCATAAAGAGAAAAAAAGTATATATTGGGAAGGGGAGTTGAAACAAAGAACCTGAGCGCCTTTGGAGAGAGAAACCAGAAGTGGCAGGTATAGAATAATGGAAGAAAAGTGTTCCATGCAAGACAGGTGAACAAAACTAGGCTGACTGCTTGAAGATAGGGATTTGCTAAGTATGGGGTTATCCCCGTGCATAAAAGGGAGCAGAAAATTAAAAAGTTGCCAATTTTATCCCTGAAGATACAGTTGATGGGAACTGTGGGCTAAGGAAGTGGGACTGTAAAAATACACTCTGATGTGGAACTGACCAAGGCAACTAATTTTCTCTAAAATCACCACAAATCTAAAGCCCCAGAATGCCATTATAAAATCAGACTCAGAACTGGGGATAGGGGGAGATAGTTTCAAGTGCCTAGAGAAATGCAAAATACTGACCAGGGAGAAAAAAGAGACAAAAATAATTTGGCTGACTGACAATGGGCCCATCTACTCAAATTCTAAAACTCATAAAGAAGTCTAGAGTGAGGAAAGACAACCAATGAAGCAAAAAAATCAGAGCATGCACCAGGTGCAGTGGCTCACTCCTGTAAATCCTAGCACTTTGGGAGGCCGAGGTGGGTGGATCACCTGAGGTCAGGAGTTCGAGAACAGCCTGGCCAACATGGTGAAACCCCATCTCTACTAAAAATACAAGAAAATTAGCCGGGCATGGTGGTGCATGCCTGTAATCCCAGCTACTTGGGAGGCGGAGACGGGAGAACCACTTGCACCCGGGAGGCAGAGGTTGCAGTGAGTGGAGATCGTGCCATTGCACTCCAGCCTGGGCAACAGACTGAGACTTCGTCTCAAAAAATAAAAAAAATAATAAAATTTAAAAATCAGAGCATGAATTCGCTCTCTGTAAAACTGATATTAAGGGGTAGGCTGGGGAGGCCGAGGTAGGTGGATCACGAGGTCAGGAGATTGAGACCATCCTGCCTAACACGATGAAACCCTGTCTCTACTAAAAATACAAAAAATTAGCCGGGCGTGGTGGCGGGCGCCTGTAGTCCCAGCTACTCGGGAGGCTGAGGCAGGAGAATGGCGGGAACCCGGGAGGCGGAGCTTGCAGTGAGCGGAGATCGCGCCACTGCACTCCAGCCTGGGCGACAGAGCGAGACTCCGTCTCAAGAAAAAAAAAAAGGTAGGCTGACAGACTTTAAAATAAGGATATTAGTGTACTCAAAGTGATAAATGATGAAATAACATAAAAGATTCAAAGATATTTTAAAAAGCATAATTAATGAAAGAATATATGGATATAACAATAAGATCAATAAATAAGCATAGTTGATCAATAAAAGAACACAGTTAAAGAAAGAACAGCACAGGGAAAAAGAAATAAAAACATGAAAGAATGATTAAGAAGCATAGAGAATAAACTAAGATGCTCTAACCTACATCTAATATGAGTTCCAGAAAGAGTTTCCAAACGTAAAAAAGAAAACAATTCTGGGCCGGGCGCGGTGGCTCACACCTGTAATCCCAGCACTTGGGAGGCCGACGCGGGCAGATCACGAGGTCAGGAGATCGAGACCATCCTGGCTAACACGGTGAAACCCCATCTCTACTAAAAATACAAAAAATTAGCCGGGCGTAGTGGCGGGCGCCTGTAGTCCCAGCTACTCAAGAAGCTGAGGCAGGAAAATGGCGCGAAACCTGGAGGCAGAGCTTGCAATGAGCGCAGATCGCGCCACTGCACTCCAGCCTGGGTGACAGAGCGAGACTCCACGTCAAAAAAAAAAAAAAAAAAAAAAAAGGAAAATAATTCCTCAGAATTAAAAAAAACTCCAAACGCCAACATGAATTAATAAAGAAAAATCTACACCAAATCTATACAGCAGCCCATCTTGATGAATCTGAAAAACTTCAAGGACAAAGAGAAAGGCCAAATTCTACAACTAACAACCGTTATTTGATGGCCGACTTCTCATCAGCACCAATAGCTTCCAAAAACTAATAAAGGAGTTCACAACTTGAATCAACAGTTTCAATTAAACTGTCATTCAAAAGTGAGGGTAAGAATACATGAAATAATACAGAGTAATTTCTAAAATATGTTGATAACCATAAAAAGTAAAAATACAAGAGAATATTGGTAGCATACATGCTATTTGAATAAAAATAGAAGCATACATATTACTTCTGTATATATTGTGCATGAGAAAGAAGAAAAAAAGTCATTTTTCCTAAAAGAAACATTGAAAGGATAAACCAAAAAATAATAAAATTGCTCACCTACAGGGGTGTATAAAGAATAAGGGAGAATGTGACACTTTTCTGAGCACATTGTTTTTGTAATGTTTTGACATATAGAATTATCATAATGATCTACATATTCAAAACAAAATTAAATCAACGAGCATGAGAAAGAAAACACTAAAACCAAGTACAAACAGAAAAAAATGAACATAAGAGTGTTTTAGATAAATTTAAGCACACTAAATGGGAAAAAAAGATACCTATTCAAATAACTTAGTTCTCTACTTTATCTATATACCTTTCATCCAAAGGGGCGAAAAAAAGAACTACAAACAAATCTTGAATACTCGTAATTGATTTGTGTTTATAGTGTCATGAGAGTAATAACACTGAAAGAACTTTGTATGTGTCTGTGTTAACAGGACCGAACAAAAGAGCAAATATACAGATATCCCTGGAAGCCAGAGTTCTTGGAAGGAAGAAATACACATACAGAATGGGAGAAGGCAAGGAAAAACCCTGTAAGGTTGGGATGCATTCAGAGAAATAGAAACTTCTGATTCCATATAGGTATCTATTTCCTAGGTCTGTCTATGAAAGCTCTTAAAACAGTGCACTCACATAGAAATGAACACATCTAGTACCCAGATCTCAGTTTCTAAATGCTATTCCCACTAAACAAACCAGTACTCATTGTGGAAATAGCTACTAATTCAATTCAATAACTGGGGCAGGGAAAGCACAAGATAAGATCATCATCTTGTTGTGCCAAAGAGTAAGAAAGTGTCTTAAAAACTTGGGAAGCATATAACAATACACAGAAGCATGCTTGAAGGGGCTCCCACTTTGATATCTGGGACGATGTGAGTAAGGAAATTAATGAGAACTGTTGTAGATTATAAACAATTAAACATAATAAATTCCATGAGTCCCTACTAATAAAAATTACATAGACAGATAAATGATGGATGGATGGATGGATGGACGAATTGATTGATAGAGAGATATAAAGAGAACGATAGGCAAGAAACAACCAATGGATCTTGGGTAGAGGAAGGTAGTTTTATAAAAAATACTTGCAAAATCTAAAAGCATATCACTACAAATTACTTATAAAGAAAAAAGAAAAAAGTGGAGAAACTGAACACTTGCAACCAAGTGATCTAAATTAACATTACCAATGAAGGGCACACAGACATATTGTGCCTCTGGATGTATGCCCCATGAAAAATAAAATATCACCTGTGGAGTACACTAGCCATAAAGGGATAATTTCCATTTTATCATAAAAAATATAAAAAATATCCACATTGAGAAACAATAGTCAAAATATCTGAGCTTTGTTTTTCAAAATTATCAATAATATAAAAAACAAAGAACAGCTGAATATGGTTCCTAATTAAAGGAAAGTAAAGAAACATGACACCTAAATGCAATTCATGACTCTAGATTGGATTCTTAAACTGGGGCAGGAGATAATAGTCATAAAGCATACTATGGGAAAACTGACAGTTCTGGAATATGATCTGTAGGTCAAATGTTATATGAATGTTAAATTGCTTCAAGACATTGATGAAAGAAGGGAAATCCTTAAATGATGGGCCCATTTATTATGCCTGCTCCTCCATATGTTTTAGAATCAAGTTCAGTGAGAACATAAAATGTTCCTTTTTTTCTCCATCATCACTATCAAGTCAGCCTGACAAAGGCCCAGTATGGCCAACATTTCACATTCCCTGATTACTACTTCTCAACTAAATGAGGCTTAGCTTTACTGTCCATGCATATACCAAGAAGGACAGAGATGATACCATGCTGTAAGTCTACAGTTTTCCCGAACCCAGCTCTGCAGAGACTACTTTAAAGAGATCTAGGTGCTGATTTTATTTGTGGGAACCAAAGCTCCATTGAAGTGAACACACAAGCTAATTAGCAGATTTCGAACCTTAGAAACCTTCATTATATTATAATCCTACATCATCTTTTGAAGCTCAAACAAAATGTAACTCTGCTCATTAATCGTTGGCAGTAAGTGCATCATCTCTGCCTTTGAATACCCTCAGGCTAATGATATGCTGAAAGGTGTCAGGCAGAGGATGACTCATAATGGTAGTTTTTGCTGGAGCTATTACTCTGTATGCACACACATATACCACTGTAAATGACTTTTTCTGTACCTGTGTGCTTGCCTCTTTCAATTGCATGTGTGTGTGTCTGTGTGTGTACAGATGCATACTGATGCTTATAGGTGTAAGTTCATGCCTCTGTGCAAGTGTGTGGACACCTCTGTGTCTGTGTGGATAAATACCTCTGCATTGCTGTGCTACTTTGTGTGTGTGTGTGTGTGTAAAACTCATACACTACTAAGTATAAAATGGATGAACAATGTATTTATAAGGATCTCTTTAATGGTAAGTGACATTAAACTAAACTAAAAGTTGTTTAAGGAAAAAGGAAATTTATTGGCTTATTTAACAGAAATATTTAGGGTTAGCTTTAAGTTCCCACATGGAAAAGGAAAAATTGGAACCACCCACACATAGTGATGGCTGGTCCCCTGCATATATCAATTCTGCTGAGCAGGAATAACAGGATTCTCTGCCCTGGTGACCAGAGTCTGCTTTGGGCACCTGGTCT
Organism: Homo sapiens; assembly: GCF_000001405.40. Lineage (NCBI taxonomy): Eukaryota > Metazoa > Chordata > Mammalia > Primates > Hominidae > Homo > Homo sapiens. Next base: position 189,071,119 of record NC_000003.12, on the reverse strand, counting down.
GGGGACCTTCACTGAGCTGTTTCTAAGGCATTCCTTTTTTTTTTTTTTTTTTCTTTTTCTTTGGCTTTTAGTTTCTTTGCTTCCAGGCAATTCCTGGGGTAAGTAACAAAGCCAGAAGTTTCATCAAGTCACCATATTTAAACCCAGAAACAAATCTGAGAATTTCTATTTTCAATCAACAGGCCTTCCTTCATCCCCTCAACCCTCAGCTTTGTGGCCTCTATCTTGGACTGTCAAAGGCCAGTTTAAACAATGGTCACACAGAGATTCACACTTCTCGCAAGCCCCAACTCAATCTCCTGCCATGTTTTTCAGGTAATTGCCTTTGCTCCTACTAACTTTAGATTGGTTGGAATATCTCCTTTTCAATAATGTAAGATTCTGGAATACCTAGATGCTCAGCTATCTTAGATTTCAAGCTGTAGCCACGAAGAATTTTTTTAATAAAACTGTCGTATTGTTCTCTTTCTCTCTCTTTCTTACTATACGTTGATTTAAATTTTTATTGAAATCATTTGGATTCAAATGCAATTGTGAGAAATAATACATATATCCTTAAGAAACCTTACCCAGTTTCTCCAGTGGTAACATTTTGCAAAACTATACTATCATAGCACAATCAGGATATTGACATTGATACGAACTGGCAATCGTAATCAAATATCCCCAGAGAAGGGGACTTATACTTATTTTTATGCACATTCATGAGTGTGTGTGTTTAGTTCTATTCAATTTTATTACATGTATAGGTTCATATAGCCATCACCACAGACAAGGTACTGAACAGTTCCCTCATCCAAGGGTTCCTTGTGTTGACCTTTCATAATGATACTCACCCCTCTCCTGCCTATACCTCTTTCATCACGACTCCCTGGCAACCACTTATTTGTCCTCCATTTCTAACATTTTGTCATTTCATAAGCGTTATATAAATTAAATCATACAGTATGTAACTTGAAATTATTTCTGTCAGTCGAATTCACTGGACATTCTTCCAAGCAGTGTGTATTTCTTATTGTTTTTCCTTTTTTTCTTTTTTTGAAATGGAGTCTCGCTCTGTCACCAGGCTGGAGTGCAGTGGCGTGATCTCTGCTCACTGCAACCTCCACCTCCCAGGTTCAACCGATTCTCCTGCCTCAGCCTCCCGAGTAGCTGGGACTACAGACACGTGGCACCACCACATCCAGCTAATTTTTGTGTTTTTAGTGGAGACAGGGTTTCACCATGTTGGCCAGGATGGTCTCGATCTCTTGACCTCGTGCTGGTATTACAGGTATGAGCCACCACGCCCAGCCTGTTTTTCCTTTGTATTGTGGAGTAGTATTCCATAGTATGTATGTTCCTCAGTTTGTTTAACTACTTACCTGTTGAAGCACATCTAGGCTATTTCTAGATTGGGGCTATTATGAAGAAAGTTGCTATGAACATGTGTATACATTTTGTGGGAATGTCAGTTGTCATTTCTCTGGACTAAATGCCCAAGACTGAAATTTCTGGGTCATGTGGTATTTGCAAGGGCTTTTCTTTTTTTATTAAACATTTTTGTTTTAGATCATTATACCTTTAGATGCAACTGTAAAAAATAATATAGATAAATACCATGTACCCTTTATCCAGTCTCCCCCAAAAGTAAGATCTTAAACTATCTATCGTACAATATCACAACCAAGATTTTGACATTGATACAGTCAAGATACAGAACAGTTCCATCACCGAAAGAATCTCTCATGTTTCCCTTTTTGCTGTACTCACTGTCGTCTGGCCCACTCCTACCTTTATCCCTGGTAACCATTAACCTGTTCTCCATTTCTAAAAGTATGTATTTTAAAGAAAGTTGTTTAAATGGAATTATAAAATATAACTTCTGGAATTGGCTTTTTTCCTTCAGTCACCATAATTCTCTTAAGATTTATCCAGGCTGTTGTACACATGGGAAGTTAGCGATTTTTTCATTGCTGAGCAGTAATTCATGATATAGATGTAACAATTTGTTTAGCTATTCACCCACTGAGTGACATCTGAATTGTTTCCAGTTTTGGCTATTATGAATAAAGCATCTATAAATATTCATATACAGGTTTTTGTGTAAACATAGGTCTTCATTTCTCTGAATAAATGCCCATCTGGTAACCTTCATTCTACTCTCTACCTTCATGAATCCAATTGTTTTAACGTTTAGCTTCCACAAATGAGTGGAAAATGCTAAGTTTGTCTTTCTGTCCCTTGCTTATTTTACTTAACATAATGTTCTCCAGTTCTCTCCACGTTGTTGCAAATGATGGAAACTTGTCCTCCCTCCTCCCTCCTCCCTCCCTCCCTTCCTTCCTTCCTTTTTCTCTTTTTTGAGACAGAGTTTCGCACTATCATCCGGGCTGGAGTGCAGTGGCACAATCTCGGCTCACCGCAACCTCCGCCTCCCAGGTTTGAGCGATTCTCCTGCCTCAACCTCCTGAGTACCTGGGATTACAGGCGACCGCCACCACGCCTGGCTAATTTTTTATATTTTTAGTAGAGACGGGGTTTCACTATGTTGGCCAGGCTGATCTCAAACGCTTGACCTAGTGATCCACCCACCTTGGCCTCCCAAAGTGCTGGGATTACAGGCGTGAGCCACTGCGTCCAGCCAAGAATCTTGTTCTTTTTTATGGCTGACTAGTACTCTGTTGTGTATATGTACCATCTTTTTTTAATCCATTCATCTGTTGATGGACACTTAGGTTGATTCCAAATCCTGGCTATTGCAAATAGCGCATGTTGTGAGTGCAATTATCTCTTCAACATACGGATTTCATTTCCTTTAGATATCTACCCAGCAGTGGCATTGCTGAATCATCTGGTAGTTTTATTTTTAGTTTTCTGAGGAACCACCATACTGTTCTCTATAGTGGCTCTACTAATTTACATTTCTATCAAATGTGTATGACAGTTACTTTTTCTCCACATTCTTGCCAGCAATTGCCTCTTTTGGATAAAAGTCACTTTAACTGGAGTGAGATGATATCTCACGGTGGTTTTGAATTACATTTCTCTGCTGATAAATGATATTGAGCACCTTTTCATATACCTGTTGGCCATTTGTACGTCTTCATTTGAGAAAAGTCTATTCAGATCTTTTGTCCATTTTCTAATCAGATTATTAGATTTTTCCCTATTGAGTTGTTTGAGCTCCTTTTATATTCTGGATAGTAATCCCTTGTCAGCCAGATAGATTGCAAATATTTTCTCCTGTTCCGTGGGTTGTCTTTTTGTCGATTGTTTCCTTTGTTGTGCAGAAGCTTTTTAACTTGATATGATTCCACATGTCCATTTTTGCTTTGACTACCTGTGCTTATGGGTTGTTACTCAAGAAATCTTTGCCCAGACCAATGTCCTAGAGAGTTTCCCCAATGTTTTCCTTTAGTAGTTTCATAGCTTGAGGTCTTACATTTAAGCCTTCAATCCATTTTGATTTGATTTTTTTTACATATGTGAAGAGATAGGGCTCTAGCTTCATCCTTCTGCATATGGATATCCAGTTTTCCCACCACCACTTACTTAAGAGACTGTCTTTTCCCCCGTGTATTTTCTCGATACCTTTGTTGAGAAAGAGTTCACTGCAGATGTGTGAATTTGTTTCTGGGTTCTCTGTCCTGTTCCATTGATCTATGTTTCTATTTTTATGCCAGTACCATGCTGTTTTGGTTACTATAGCTCTGTAGTATAATTAGAGGTCAGGTAATGTGATTTCTCCAGTTTTGTTCTTTTTGCTTAGGACAGACTTGTCTATTCTGGGCATTTTGTGGTTCCATATAAATTTTAGGATTATTTTTTCTATTTCTGAAGAATGTAATTTGTATTTTGATAGAGATTGCACTGAATCTATAGATTGCTTTGGGTAGTATGAACATTATAACAATATTGATGCCTCCAATCCATGAATATGGAATATTTTTCCACTTTTTGTATTCTTTTCAATTTCTTGCATCAATGTTTTATAGTTTTTATTGTAGAGATCTTTCACTTCTTTGGTTAAGTTTATTCCTAGGTATTTTGTTTTATTTGTAACTATTGTAAATAGGATTACTTTCCTGATTTCTTTTTTCAGATTGCTCACTCTTGACATATAGAAATGCTACTAAATTTTGTAGGTGGATTTTTATATTCTGCAACTTTACTGAATCTGTTTATGAGTTCTAATAGTTTTTTGGTGGAGTCTTTAGGTTTTTCCAAATGATAGATTGTATCATCCACAAAGAAGGATAATTTGACTTCTTCCTCTCAAATTTGGATGCCTTTTCTGTTTTTTTCTCTCATTTTGTTGCTCTAGCTAGGACTTCCAGTGCTATGTTGAATAACTGGGGAAAGGGGCATTCTTGTCTTGTTCCAGATCTAATATGAAAGGCTTTCAGTTTTTCCCCATTTAGTATAATACTAGCTGTGGATCTGTTGTATATGGCTTTTATTGTATTGAGGCATGTTTCTTCTATAGCCAGTTTTTTTTTTTTAAGGTTTTTATCATGAAGGGATGTTAAATTGTATCAAACGCTTTTTCAGCATCAATTGAAATGGTCATATGTTGTACTTCATTCTGCTGATATGATGTATCATATTGATTTATTTTTGCATTTTTTGGAGCATCCTTGCATCCCTGGGTTGAATCCCACTTGGTCATGATGAAATATCTTTTTAATGTATTGTCGAAGTCAGTTTGCTAGTATTATATTAAGAATTTCTGCTCAATGTTTATTAGCGATATTGGCCTGTAGTTTTCTTTTTTGTAATGTTCTTTGTCTGGTTTGGGTATCAGGGTAATACTGGCCTTGTTGAATGAGTTTGGAAATATTCTCTTATCCTCTATTTATTGAAATAGTTTAAGTAGGATTGATATTAGTTCTTCTTTAAATATTTGGTAGAATTCAGCAATGAAGCAATTGGGTCCCAGGGTTTCCTTTGCTCGGAGACTTTTACTATGGCATTGATCTGTTACTTGTTATTCATCTATTCAGGTTTTGCATTTCTTCATGGCTTAAACTTGGTAGGCTGTATGTGTCTAAGAATTTACCCACTTCTAGGTTTCCAATTTATTGGCATATAGTTGCTCATAGTAGTCTATAATGATCCTTTGAATTTCTGCAGTATCAGCTGCAATGTCCAATTTTTGTGTTTTAATCTTATATCCTGCAAAGTTGATGAATTCATTTATTAGTTCTAGGATTCTTTTTCTTTAGATTCCTTGGGATTTTTATTAAGATAATCATGTCATCTTCAAAAAATTATAGTTTTATTCCTTCCTTTCCAATCTGTGTGCCTTTTTTTTTCTTAGCTTACTGCAGTAGCTAGAGCGCCAGTACTCTATTGAATAAGAGTAGTATTAAAGACATCCTTGCCTTGTTCTCAGACTTAGGAGGAAAGCATTTAGTCTTGGACCAATAAGTATGATATTAGCTACAGTTTTTTTGTAGATGTTCATATCAAGTCATAGTAATTCCTATTTATAACTTGCTAAATGTTTTTATCCTGATAAATGTTTGATATTGTGAAATATTTTTTCTGCATCAATTGATATCATCATTGCCTTTTTTTTTTAGCTTTTGGACATGGTATATTACATGAATGATTTTTGAGTGTTAAGTCACTTTTCTATACCTGAAATAAATCTGTTGTTCATGATCTATAATTCTTTTTAAATATTGTTAGATAGGGATTGTTAATATTTTGTTTAAAATGTTTACATCTAAAATCATGAGGGATACAAGTCTGTGACTTTCTTTCTTTGTACTGTCTTTGTTTGGTATTGGTATCAGAGTACTACTGGTCTCATAAAATAAGGTAATAAGTGTTTCCTCTCTATTCTCTGGAAGAAATTGTGCAAAATTTGTGTTAATGCTCCTTTAAATGTTTGGTATTATTCTTTAGTAAAATCATTTTGGTCTCAAAATGGTATTTTTTTACTTCTTTTTTTTTAAGAGACAGTCTAGCTCTGTTACCCAGAATCAAGTGTACTAGCATAATTTTAGCTCACTGCAGCCTTGAGTTCCTGGGCTTCAGCAAGCCTCTTGTTTCAACCTCTTGAGTAGCTGTGCGCCAACACATACAGCTAATTTTCAAACTTTTTGTAGAGATGGAGTCTCACCTTGTTGTCCAAGCTGGTCTCAAACTCCTAATCTCAAGCAATCCTCCCATCTCAACCTCTCAAAGCACTGGGATTACAGGTGTGAGCCACTGTGGCCAACCTTGAGATTTCTTAATTATTAGTTTTTAAATTATTAATCCAATTTTGTAATGATTCTAAGACAACTTACATTATCTATTTCAACTTGTTTGAGTTTTTGTGGTGTCTAATTTTTTAGGAATTTGTGTATTTTTTTAGTTGTTGAATTTATAGCACATAAAGCTTTTCACAGTATTCTCTAATTAGCAATGTAATGGCTGCAGCATCTATCATAATATCCTCTATTTCATTCCTGATATTAGGGATGTCATCTCACTTTTTATTTTTACTAGTATTGTTAGAGATTATTGATTTTACTGACTTTTTTGAAGAATCAGCTTTTGCTTTCATTAACTTTGTCTATCATTTCTCATTTTAAATCTTATTAATTTCTGCTATAATCTTTCTTATTTTTTCTTATGCTTGCTTCGGATGTATTTTGCTTTTTTTCTAATCTTTTGTGAAAGAAATTTAGATTATTGATTTGAATTTTTTTTTCTTGTGTACAGGAAAGCGTTAACCCAGTTGTCCTGAGTTGCTCCAACTTTGCAGTTCTCAAGAAAGCCCTATTCTGTGGTGAGGCCTTAAACAGTTCTTGGGAATTGAGATCTTGGAATGTTCTAACTTCTAGGAATGCTTTAAACACTTGGGACCTTGAGCCATATTATGCCAGGCTTTCTAAATAGTTTGTATGAGGAATGTGATTTATGAACAAACTCATTTCCTTTGGGGACCTGGATCTTCAGCAACTGTAGTCAGTCCTACGGATACTATATCCCTATGTAACCAACCCACAATGAAAATTGTGAACTTATAGGCTTAGACAAGTCTCTGTAATAGACAAAACTTTACATGCACCTTCACAATTTATTCTTGGAAGAATTAAGTGCATCTTATGTGTATTAAGTGTATTTTCTAGTGACTCCACTAGAAGAATATTCTTAGAAGCTTGTGCCTGATTTTCTCCAAACGTTACCCATACACCTTTTCTCTTCACTGATTTTTCTTGGGACCCTTTACTATAATAAACCACAATCATGAGTATAATGACTTCTAAGTCCTAAAAGCTCTTCTAATAAAATCACCAAAACAGGAGTGGTCTTGGGGACCTCCAAAACACTTTGCTTCTAGAGTAAGTTTTTACTGCTATAAATTTCCCTCTCAGGACTGCTTTAGATGCATCCCATATGTTTTGACACATTATTGTTTCAATTTAATTTGGTTTTGTATATGTATTAAATGTCCTTTGAGATTTCCTTTTTGACCAATAAAGTATTTAGAAGTATGTTGCTTAATTCCCACATATTTTGAGAATTTCCTGTAGACTTTATTTATTTCTAGTTTGATTCCATTGTAGTCAGAGAAAACACACTGTATGATTTCAGTTCTTATAAATTTGTTGAGGTATATTTTATGGCTCAGAATATGGAATATATAACTGAATGTTAAATGGGCACTTGAAAAAAAGTTTATTCTGCTATTGTGTGGAGTTTTTACATATGTCGTTTAGATACTATTGGTGAATAATTGTGTGGTTCATATCTTTTAAGTATTTTCTGATTTACTGTCTAGGAGTTCTAGGAGTTCTATCAGTTGCTGAAAGGTAATGCTGAAGTACTGAATTATAACTGTAGATTTACCTATTTCTCCTTGCAAATCTATCAGTTTTTGCTTTATGCATTTTGAAGCTCTGTTTTTTGGTGTGTACATTTAGAATTACTACCTCTTCCTAGTAAGTTGATCCTTTTATTATTATGTAATGTGACTTTTTCTCTAGTAATTTTCTTTGCTCTGAAGTCCACTTTATTAGATATTAATACACCACACCTGCATTTTTGCTTAAAGTTTGCATGGTAAATTTTTTCTATTCCTTTATTTTCAATCCACCCATATCATTGAATTTAAAGTGAATTTCTTGTAATCAGTATATCATTGGGTCTTTTTTGTTCACTCTACCAATCTCTTTCTTTGATTGATGTATTCAGATAATTTATATTTAAGATAATTTTTGATATGTTGGTACTGAAGCCTAGTATTTTATTGTTTGTTTTCTATTTCATCTGGTTCTTGTTACTCTGTTACTCTTTTATTGCCTTCCTGTGGGTTATATGAAAATTTCTTATTATTCTATTTTGATTTATTTATAGTATTTCTCAGAGTATTTCTTTGTACAGCTTTTGTAGTTTTTTGTGGGGTGGGGATATTACAACATATACATATGGCTTATTATATGGCTTATCACATTCTACTGGCATCAACATTTCAGACATGGAATCCTCCCTTTAATTTAGGTCCATTTTCCTTCTCCACTTTTAAATATCATTGAATGTCAGATGGTAAGAGAATTTTTATTTCAGTGATCAATTATGATTTATAAAACTCATGAGGGGAAGGATAGTCCATTGTATGTACTCATATTTCTGCTATTTTTTTGTTCCTTCTTTCTTCCTAACAGTCCAAAAAAATTATCATTTTCTTTTTTTAAAGTTTTATTTTAGGTTCAGGGATACATATTCAGGTTTGACATATAGTTAAACTCATGTCGCCAGGGTTTGTTGTACAGATTATTTCATCACCCAGGTATTAAGCCTAGTATCCAATAGTTATTTTCTCTGATCCTCTTCCTCCTCAGTCCTCTACCCTCAAGTAGTCCCCAGTATCTGTTGTTCCCTTCTTTGTGTTCACAGGTCCTCGTCATTTAGCTCCTACTTACAAGCGAGAACACGTGGTATTTGACTTTCTCTTCCTGCATTAGTTTGCTAAGGATAATAGCCTCCAGCTCCATCCATGTTCCCACAAAAGACATGATCTTGTTCTTTTATATGGCTGCACAGTATAACATGGTGTATAGGTACCACATTTTCTTTATCTAATCTGTCATTGGTGGGCATTTAAGTTGATTCCATGTCTTTGCTATTGTGAATAGTGCTGCAGTGAACATTCACAGGCATGTGTCTTTATGGTAGAATGATTTATATTCCTCTAGGTGTATACCCAGTAATGGGATTACTGGGTCAAGTGGCAGTTCTGTTTTTAATTCTTTGTGGAATTGCCCCACTGCTTTCCATAATGATTGAACTAATTTACACTCCACCACCAGTGTATAAATGTTCCTGTTTCTCCACAACCTTACTATCATCTGTTACTTTTTGACTTTTTATAAATAGCCAGTCTGACTGGCATGAGATGGCATCTCGTTGTGGTTTTGATTGGCATTTCTCTAATGATCAGTAATATTGTGCTTTTTAAATATGCTTGTTGGCCACATGTATGTCTTCTCTTGAAAAGTGTCTGTTCATGTATTTTGCCCACTTTTTAATGTGATTGTTTGTTTTTTTCTTGTGAATTTAAGTTCCCTATAGCTGCTGGATATTAGACCTTTGTCAGATGCAATGTTTGCAAATATTGTCTCACATTCTGTACATTGTCTGTTTACTCTGTTAATAGCTTCTTTTGCTGTGCAATAGCTCTTTAGCTTACTTAGATCTCATTTGTCAATTTTTGCTTTTGTTGAAATTGCTTTTGGCATTTTTGTCATGAAATATTTGCCTATTCCTATGTCTAGAATGATATTGCCCAGTTTGTCTAGGGGTGTTTTATAGTTTGGGGTTTTACATTTAAGTCTTTAAGCCATCTTGAGTTAATTTTTGTATATGGTGGAAGGAGTCCAGCTTCAATCTTCTGCATATGGCTATCCAGTTCTCCAAACACCGTTTATTGAACAAGGAGTCTTTTCCTCATTGCTTGTTTTTGTCAGCAATGTCAAAGATCAAATGGTTGTGAATGTGTGGCCTTATTTCTGGGCTTTCTATTCTGTTTCACTGGTCTATGTGCCTATTTTCATACCAGTATCATGCTGTTCAGGTTACTGTAGCCCTATAGTATAATTTGAAGTTGGGTAATGTGATGCTTTTGGCTTTGTTCTTTTGGCTTAGGATTGCCTTTGCTATTCAGGCTCTTTTTTGGTTCCATATGAATTTTTAAATAGTTTTTTTCTAGTTCTGTGAAGAATGTCATGGGTACTTTGAGAGGAGTAGTGTTGAATCCGTACAATGCTTTGGGCAGTATGGCCATTTTCATGGTATTGATTCTTCCTATCCATGACCATGGGATGATTTTCCATATGTTTGTGTTATCTCTAATTTCTTTGAGCAGAGTTTCAAAATTCTCATTGTAGAGATATTTTACCTTTCTGGTTAGCTGTATTCCTAGGTATTTTATTCTTTTTTGTGGCAACTGTGAATGGGATTGCCTTCCTGATTTGGCTCTCATCTTGGCTGTAGTTAGTATATAGGAATGTTAACAATTTTTGCACATTGATTTTATGTCCTGAAACTTTATTGAAGTTATTTATCAGCTTAAGGAGCTTTTGAACCAATACTATGGGGTTTTCTAGATATAGAATGATGTCTTCCACAAACAGGGATAGTTTTACTTCCTCTCTTCCAATTTGGATGCTGTTTATTTCTTTCTCTTACCTGATTCCTCTGGCCAAGACTTCCAATACTATGTTGAAAAGGAGTGGTGAGAGAGGGCATACTTGTCTTGTGTCAGTTTTCAAGAGGAATGCTTCCAGCTTTTCTCCATTCAGTATGATGTTGGCTGTGGCTTTGTCATAGATGGCCCTTATTATTTTGAGGTATGTTCCTTCAAAACCTAGTTTATTGAGTTTTTTGTTTGTTTCTTTGTTTGTTTTTGAGACGGATTTTCGCTCTTGTTGCCCAGGCTGGAGTGCAATGGCGCAATCTCAGCTCACCACAACCTCTGCCTCCCAGGTTCAAGTGATTTTCCTGCCTCAGCCTCCTGAAAAGCTGGGATTACAGGCATGCGCCACCACACCCGGCTAATTTTGTATTTTTAGTAGAGACTGGGTTTCTCCAGGTTGGTCAGGTTGGTCTCAAACTCCAGACCTCAGGTGATCCACCCACTTCGGTCTCCCAAAGTGCTGGGCTTACAGGCGTAAGCCACCACACTCAGCCAAGAGTTTTTAACATGAAGGAATGTTGAATTTTATTGAAAGCCTTTTCTGCATCTATTGAGACAATCATGCAGCTTTTGTCTTTATTATGTGATGAATCACATTTATTGATTTGTATGTGTTGAATCAACCTTGCATCCTGGGGATGAAGCCTACTTGATCTATATTACCTTTCATTCCAGACTATCAAGGTTTGAATCCCAGCTATATAACTACTATTTATGTGATTTTAAGAAAATTACTTAACCTCACTATGCCTCAGTTTTTTCATGTTTAAAACTGAAACAAAAATATTGACTATCTCACAGACCTTTTTTTTTTCCTTTGTTTTTTTCATTTTGTTTTTGTTTTTGTTTTTTTAAGATGGAGTCTTGCTCTGTCGCTCAGGCTGGAGTGCAGTGGCGCGATCTCAGCTCACTGCAACCTCCACCTCTTGGGTTCAAGCGGTTCTCTTGCCTCAGCCTCTCAAGTAGCTGGGACTACAGGCGCATGCCACCACACCCAGCTAATTTTTTGTATTTTTAGTAGAGACGGGGTTTCACCATGTTAGCCAGGATGGTCTTCATCTCCTGACCTCCTGATCCACCCGCCTCAGCCTCCCAAAGTGCTGGGATTACAGGCATGAGCCACTGCACCTGGCCTTCTCACAGACTTTTTCTAAGATTTAATTGAGTTAATATTTGTGAAGTACTTAAGAACTGTGTCTGGCACAGAAAGTGCTTGGAAAATATTAGTTATTCTTACTGTCTTACTTGGAAACTTGGGACTACTTCATGTCATCCTCAAAACAATCCTATGAATTAGATATTATTATTTAAATTTTAGACATCAGGAAACTGAGGCTCGCTAGGGTAAATAACTTGCCCAATATCACAGAACTAGCAAGCAACGGAGCCAGAACTGCTACTACTCTGCCCTGGGACACCCTAATGACTTTTGGAGCCTCAGTGCTAGTGCTAAGAGGGGCAGAACTAGATATGCTTACAGAAAGGACCCCATCTAAATGAAAATTCCTCAGTTTGCTCGATCTTGCTTGCTGGTATCTGTGCATGTGGGACGTTTTCAATGCTTCTAAGTATGCCTTATAGTTAATATATTTTGAGGTCCATTCCATCAATTCAGCCTGAGCAGCAAAAGCATAAAGCATTCAACTCTCCTTCAGCCCCAGCGATAAAGGCTGAGTGTGTATTCTAAATACAGCTGTTGTAAGTTAGTCACATACTGGGTAAATTAGCCCCACAGACAACCCACTGCTTTCCTAAGGAAGCATCAGCTTTAAGAAACCAGCATTAACAATTATTTTTCTTAAAACAATTTCATGATGCATACCTCTTTGTTAGCACCCTTCTTTGTGGAGACTATATTAATTCTAACAGCGCCTTGACTTTTCCGAATCCCTTGATCCAATGACTTGTTTTGTGGGCCCCACAAAGGGTAGATACACAGTTATAAATATAAAGAATAAAGCAGAATTAATTAGGTTGTGTGTTTGGTGCCATTTTATAGAAACCAGCTAACATTTTCACTTTCCGCCTATTACTGTGTCAATTGAGGCCAAACTACAATTGTGGAGACTTTCTGTGTACCGACGTTACACTCCTGAGTACAAAGAAAATAATCTATTGATAAACATGTCAGAGATGGATTTAAGGAGAGCAAAGCTTTGGATGATGAAAAGATCCCAGAGTGCAATGTTGACACTTCAGCTCTAACACATATTTACATTACTTGTCATCGCTGGGACCTCGCTCTTCCTAAGTGTGATATGTGATTGGGGACATAACTGATGATCTCCAAGGCCCCTTTCTTGCTGACAGTCTATGAGTACAAACTCACTCTACAGGTAGTGGATATCCCAGCCCAAATTGGCTTCAATTAACTCACTATGCAGAGGAAGATGGTGGAGGTCCAGAAAAAATCCTGACATATACATACTGTCATGTTAATATTCAGCATAATATATACACAACCTACAATATATGTACATACAACATATATATACACACAATATATACTTATATATTCATATATACAAGATATATACGTGTGTATATATGTGTATACGTATATATATATACACACATACGTATGTGTGTATATATATACACACATACATATGTGTGTATATATATACACACATATATATACATACATACCCATAAATATACATATATGTATATGTGTGTGTATATATATATATATGTATATATATACTAATAGAAATATGAACCATGGTTCCAAAATTAGAATAATGCCCTCTTGTCTCCTATTAGTGAGTCATTTACTTCTGGTGTTTTATTCCATGTTTTTGTTTCAACATGAAGTTTGTCCACATCTATTAACACTTCTCTCCTGGGAGAGCAGTCAAACAGAGAAAAGTGTCTGAAGAATTTTTAGAAAGTGATGGGGTTGTAGAAAAGAGCCCACAGAATGTGTAAAAAAAAAAAAAAAGCAATCAGGGCTCTGTAAGAAGCAAATCCTCTTGCACGTGTCTCCTTATTACCATCTCTGATGATTTTTCTTCCTTTTATTGCCTTTTGTCTAGACAAAATAAAATTGCAGGAGGTTTACAAAATGATTTTCAATCTAAAAATCTTCTCTTTCATGTTACAGCCCAGAGGGAATATTTTCTACTTTAGTGATTCAGACCTGAAGAAATAGTGTACCAATGCAAACGTGAGCAAGCACCTCATGGCTGAAGCATACATCATGTGCTGGCAACACAAGCCATAAGCCCAGGGCCTCAAATGCCACTGTGTATGAAACAATTTTGGATTCACTCACTGATTCCCAAGGAAGATTTTCTCACTCAGCCTGTGCTGTGTTCCCAGAAACTCCCCAATCCTAACGGGCCCTAGAGAGCTTAGAGAAAGCATGATAGATGTGATGTCAAGCCATTAATTTAGCAATGCTTCAAGGGGAAGCAAGAGTGATTAATTTTTACACTTCAGAAATTATCCTCAGGGGGAAGTGAGTTCAAGATGCAGTTGGAAGAGCACTGGATGTACAGTGGAAAAAAAATCATATGAACTTGGGGATGTATATCATCTTCAATCGTGACATAGTACTGAGGCTTTCCAAAGCACCAGCCATCATTTTGATTAGTAGCCTAAGACATTACAGTCCCAAAGGAGTAGGTGTGAACAAGAGTAAAAACTGAAAACCCCACCCTGCTGCAGTATCATGGATTCAATCTGTTCATCTGTCTGCACTGAGAGATTCTTGTAACCACTCCAGTTAGCATCATCTGAACCCCTACCATGTTCAAAAACCTATACTAGGCACTTTCATGGGGGAATCTAACATGATTCTTGACCTCAAGGAACTTGTAAACTGGCAGGGGAATTAGTACATGAGTATAAATAATTATGATTAAGAGGAAAATGGTGTAATCATGGAGAGATTGATTACTTTGATTGGCAGGGAGACTTGAAGTTCTTTTCATTCATTTACTCAACATTTATTGAGGCCTATTTATTGGGTCCTGTACTCTGCCTGGTAGGAATCACACACAAATAAGGGGGAGAGAAAACAAACAGCAAAAATACCTCTGCTAGGCTGGGCATGGTGGCTCATGCCTGTAATCTCAACACTTTGGGAGGCAGAGGTGGGTAGGTCACTTGAGGTCAGGAGTTCAAGACAAACCTGGCCAACATGGCAAAACCCCGTCTCTACTGAAAATACAAAAATTAGCTGGGCATGATGGCATGTGCCTGTAATCCCAGCTAATTGGGAGACTGAGGCATGAGACTCGCTTGGACCCGGGAGGCAGAGGTTGCGGTGACCCAAGATCTTGCCATGCTCTCCAGCCTGGGCAATGGAATGAGACTCTCTCTCAGAAAAGAAAGAGGGAAGGAAGGAAGGAAGGAAGGAAGGAAGGAAGGAAGGAAGGAAGGAAGGAAGGAAGGAAGGAAGGAAGGGAGGGAGGGAAGGGAGGGAGGGAGAGAGAGATCCTCATACAAGAGGTGACATTGAAGCAGAGTAAGAAAGAGCAAATGGACAGGGAAGAGAGGGCCACTGCAGGCAGAAGAAACAGCATATAGAAAGGTAGGAGACTGGAAGGTAAGGGAAAAGCAGAGCAGTGAGAGAGGTTTTGGAGCCAGATCATAATGGGTGTAGTACTCTACCCTCTATGCCTGGAAAGGAACTGTATGGGTCAGTATCAGGACTCCACACATATTCCCTTGGACCTCATTACCAATTTCATGAACGCTAGCTTTGGGTGGAATTTTACTCCTGAAAACTAGCACCTGCCATCTCTTTGTTGGGAGGGCTGTTCTCAAATGGCCAGAAACTGTTTGCCTACACAGTCAGAGAATAAGAAGTGTCTGATATGTTACATATTCCCATCCACAACCCAGCCCTCTGGTCAGGAAGATGGAGAGTTTCCTTTAACAAATGACTGGTGAGTGAGGAATATAAATGTTCTAGCTCCCCTGCACCTTGGTTGGGACAAATTTTTGGGACTACCTACACGCTTCCCAAAACTTCCCTGTGAATCAGAGCCTGAGTGGGCCCTTGCGGACCTCTGGTTGATAGCGTACTCTGACTTGGCCTCCTTTTCTATTGGTTCCACTTCGCTATTACTCTACAAGTTATTCTTGGGAACATTTCCTTAAAATTCAATTTCACATGGATTTTTGCCTCAGGGTCTGCTTCTGAGGATCAAAACCTAAGCTAGGAACAGTAGAAGGTCTTTGGAAAGAAGAGGAAATAAGAGATAACACTAGAAGAAAGACAGTGGTACTTTTAGACTGGGCATTAAGAGATCTCTTCTAACTACCTGGGGACCTTAGAAAAGGATCTCATATTTCTAGCCTAAGTGTTCATAGACAAAACTTTTAATTTAGCCAGGAGAAACTCTACAACTAAATACTAGGTAGCATTTTATTCAAACAGATAGTTTAGTTAGAGAAAAACTGTACACACATACCTCATTTTAATGCACTCCACTTTATTGCACTTTGCAGATGGTGCATTTTTTACAATCTGAAGGTTTGTGGCAACTCTGCATTGAGCAAGTCTATTGGCACCATCTTTCCACCAGCACATGCTTACTTCGTTTCTCTGTGTCACATTTTTGTAATTCTCAAACTATTTTAAACATTTTTTCATTGTCATTATTATCCTATCTGTTATGGTTATATATAATCAGTGATTTTTGTTTTTTAAGAGACAGTGTTTCACTCTGTCACCCAGGCTGGAGTGCAGTCACGCAATCATAGCTCACCATAACCTCTACCCTGGGCTCAAGTGATCCTCTCACTCAGCCTCCCCAGTAGCTAGGACTACAGATGGGTACCACCACACCCGGCTTTTGTGTGTGTGCATCTGTGGGTGTGTGTGTGTAGACATTGTTGTCTTACTATGTTGTCCAGGCTGGTCTCAAACTCCTAGCCCTGAGGAGTTTGCCATTTAAATTTGTCATTTTATAAGAGCATGGTTTGTGGCACGCCAAAAATAATTACAATATTAATATCAAAGATCATTGATTACAGGCTAGATGCAGTGGCTTATGTTTGTAATCCCACCTCAGCCTTTCACAGTGCTGGGATTACAAACATAAGCCACTGCGCCTAGCCTATAATCAGTGATCTTTGATGTTAATATTGTAATTGTTTTGGGGTGCCACAAACCATGGTCTTATAAAATGGCAAATTTCATTGACAAATGTGTATACTCTGACTGTCCTACCAACTGGTCATCCTCCCGTCCTTCTCTGTCTCCTTAGGACTCTCTCCTCTTTGAGACATAACAATTTTGAAATTAGTCCAATAAATAATCCTACAATGACTTGTAAGGGTTAAAGTAAAAGGAAGATTTGCATGTCTCTCATTTTAAATCAAAAGCTAGAAATGATTAAGCTTAGTGAGAAAAGAATGTTGAAAACAACAACAACAAAAAAGACTGAAAGCTGAGCGTCTTACCCCAAACAGCCAAACTGTGAATGTAGAGGAAAAAATCTTGAAGGAAATTGAAAGTGCTACTTCAATGAATACACAAATGTTAAGAAAGCAAAACAGCCTTATTGCAGATACAAAGTTTTAGTGATCTGTAAAGAAGATCAAACAAGCTACAACATTCCCTTAAGCCGAAGCCTAATCCAGGGCGATGACCTAACTCTCCTTGTTACCAAAACACAAGGGTCCAGTCTAGGTCCTGTTGCTCTTTGTTACCAAAACACCAGGGTTCAGTCTAGGTCCTGTTGCTCACCACACAGAAAGCCAATCACTGAGACAATGAGTATTGGCTTTAACTGGGTACTGCAGCCAAGATGGGAGATCAGTCTCAAATCCGTCCTCCTGGCAGACTAAAATTAGGGGTTTATATAGCAGAGAAGAAATGTAACCACATATGGGAAAACAGAAATTAGGGAGGAGCAAGGAGCAGGAGTTGGTCAACAGGAAGTGGAAGGTCACTTAGGCAATCATGGTGGGTGCGGGGTCTGGCATCTTATTGTCCGTATGCAGTGATCTGGTAAGTTTCAATTCCTTGATACTATCCGGGAGCCCAAATGTTTGGTTTCCTGAGAAAGAAACTCGGATAAGACAAAAATAATTTCCTCAAGTTTCAAGACTGGGAGGGTCAATTTCTATGTTTCCTCAAAAGAAACCATAAACATCAGTTCTATGAGAAAATTGGGCTGCTTTTATCTTCAATTCTATGAAGGCTAAGACAGGTGAGGAAGCTGCAGAAGAAAAGTTGGAAGCTAGTATAAGTTGGTTCATGAGGTTTAAAGAAAAAAGCTGTCTTCCTAAAAGTGCAAGGTGAAGCAGCAAGTGCTGATATAGGAGCCACAAGTTATTCAGAAGATTTAGCTAAGATAATTGATGAAGCTGGCTACACTAAACATCTGATTTTCTTTTTTTTCTGTAAGTTATTGGGATACAGGTGGTATTTGGTTACATGAGTAAGTTCTTTAATGGTGATTTGTGAGATTCTGGTGCACCCATCACCCAAGCAGTATACACTGCACCATATTTGTAGTCTTTTATCACTCACCCCTCTTTCACTCTTCCCCCCAAGTCCCCAAAGTCCATTGTATCATTCTTATGGCTTTGCGTCCTCATAGCTTAGCTACCACATATCAGTGATAACATACAATGTTTGGTTTCCATTCCTGAGTTACTTCGCTTAGAATAATAGTCCCGAATCTCATCCAGGTCACTGCAAATGCTGTTAATTCATTCCTTTTTATGGCTGCATAGCATATATATATATATAATAGTTTCTTTATCCACTCATTGATTGATGGGCATTTGGGTTGGTTCCACAATTTTGCAATTGTGAATTGTGCTGCTACAAACATGCATGTGAAAGTATCTTTTTCGAATAATGACTTCTTTTCCTCTGGTAGATACCCAGTAGTGGGATTGCTGGATCAAATGGTAGTTCTACTTTCAGTTATTTAAGGAATCTCCACACTGTTTTCCATAGTGGCTGTGCTACTTTACATTCCCACCAGCAGTGTAGAAGTGTTCCCTGTTAACCACATCCATGCCAGTGTTTACTGTTTTTTGATTTCTTGATTATGGCCATTCTCGCAGGAGTAAGGTGGTATCTCATTGTAGTTTTGATTTGCATTTCCCTGATCATCAGTGATGTTGAGCATTTTTTCATATGTTTGTTGGCTATTTGTATATCTTCTTTTGAGAACTGTCTGTTCATGTCCTTAACCCACTTATTGATGGCATTGTTTGTTTTTATCTCACTGATTTGAGTTCATTGCAGTTCTGGATAGTAGTCCTTTGGCAGATGTATAGGTTGTAAAGATTTTCTCCCACTCTGTGGGTTGTCTGTTTACTCTGCTGACTGTTCCTTTTGCCGTGCAAAAGCTCTTTAGTTTAATTAGGTCCCAGCTATTTATTTTTGTTTTTATTGCATTTGCTTTTGGGTTCTTGGTCATGAAATCCTTGCCTAAAGCAATGTCTAGAAGAGTTTTTCCAATGTTATCTTCTAGAATTTTTATAGTTTCAGGTATTAGGTTTAAGTCCTTAATATATCTGGAGTTGATTTTTGTACAAGGTGAGAGATGAGGATCCAGTTTCATTCTCCTACATGTGGCTAGCCAATCACTCCAGCACCATTTGTTGAAAAGGGTGTCCTTTCCCCACTTTATGTTTTTGTTTGCTTTGTTGAAGATCAGTTGGCTGGAAGTAATTGGGTTTATTTCTGGGTTCTCTATTCTGTTCCATTGGTCTATGTGCCTATTTTTATACTAGTACCATGCTGTTTTGGTGACTATGGTCTTATAGTATAGTTTGAAATCAGGTAGTGTGGTGTCTCCAGATTTGCTCTTTTTGCTTAGTCTTGCTTTGGCTATGTGAGCTCTTTTTTGGTTCCATATAAATTTTAGAATTTTTTTTTCTAATTCTGTGAAGAAAGATCCTGGTATTCTGATGAGGATTGCTTGAATTTGTAGATTGCTTTTGGCAGTATGGTCATTTTCACAATATTGATTCTACCCATCCATGAGAATGGAATGTGTTTCCATTTGTTTGTGTCATCTATGATTTCTTTCAGCAGTGTTTCGTAGTTTTCCTTGCAGAAGTCTTTCAACTCCTTTGTTATGTATATTCCTAAGGTGGTTTTTTGTTTGTTTATTTGTTTTGCAGCTTGTAAAAGGGGCTGAGTTCTTGATTTGATTCTCTGCTTGGTCGCTGTTGGTGTATAGAAGAGCTACTGATTTGTGTACATTAATCTTGTATCTGGAAACTTTGCTGAATTATTTTATCAGTTCTGGGAGCTCTCTAGAGAAGTCCTTAGGGTTTTCAAGGTAAATGATAAATATCGTCAGCAAACAGTGACATTTTGACTTCCTCTTTACCGATTTGGATGCCCTTTATTTCTTTCTCTTGTCTGATTGCTCTGGCTAGGACTTCCAGTACTATGTTGAAAAGGAGTGGTGAGAGTGGGCATCCTTTTCTTGTTCCAGTTCTCAGAGGGAATGCTTTCAACTTTTCCCCATTCAATATTATGTTGGCTGTGGGTTTGTCATAGATGGCTTTTATTACATTAAGGTATGTCCCTTGCATGCCGATTTTGCTGAGAGTTTCAATCATAAAGGAATGCTGGATTTTGTTGAATGCTTTTTTCTGCATCTATTGAGAGGATCATGTGATTTTTGTTTTCAATTCTGCTTATGTGGTGTTTCACATTTATTGACTTGTGTACGTTAAACCATCCCTGCATCCCTGTTATGTAACCTACTTGATAATGGTGGATTACCTTTTTGATATGCTGTTGGATTCGGTTAGCTAGTATTTTGTTAAGGGTTTTAGCATCTATGTTCATTAAGGATATTGGTCTGTAGTTTTCTTTCTTGGTTATGTCCTTTCCTGGTTTTGGTATTAGGGTGAGGCTGGCTTCATAGAATGCATTAGGGAGGGTTCCTTCTTTCTCTATCTTGTGGAATAGTGTCAAAAGGATTGGTACCAATTCTGTGAATGTCTGATAGAATTCTGCTCTGAATCTGTCTGGTCCTGAATTTTTTTTGTTGGTAATTTTTAAATTACCATTTCAAACCTGCTGCTTGTTATCGGTCTGTTCAGGTTATCTAATTCTTCCTGATTTAAGCTAGGAAGGTTGTATTTTCCCAGAAATTTATCCATCTCTTCTAGGTTTTCTAGTTTATGTGCATAAAGTTGTTCATAGTAGCCTTGAATGATCTTTTGTATTTCAGTGGTGTCAGCTATAATATCTCCTGTTTTGTTTCTTAGTGAGGTTATTTGGATTTTCTCTCTTCTTTTCTCGGTTAATCTTGCCAATGGTCTATCAATTTTATTTCTCTTTTCAAAGAACCAGCTTTTTGTTTCATTTATCTTTTGTGTTTTTTGTTTGTTTGTTTCAGTTTCATTTAGTTCTTCTCTGACCTTGGTTATTTCCTTTCTTCTGCTGAGTTTGGGCTTAGTCAGTTCTTGTTGATCTAGTTCCTTGAGGCGTGACCTTAGATTGTCTGTTTGTGCTCTTTTAGGCTTTTTGATGTAGGTGTTTAGGGCTACGAACTTTCCTTTTAGCACCAAATTTGCTGTATCCCAGAGGTTTTGATAGGTTGTGTCATTATTGTCATTCAGTTCAAAGATTTTTTAAATTTCCATCCTGGCTGGTACTGGGGGTTGTCTGCACAGTGTCCTGTGATGTGAACCGTTTATGGGTCTCTCAGTCATGGATACCAGCACCTTTTCTGGTGGAGGTGGCAGAAGGTGCAGTGGACTCCCTAAAGGTCCTTAGCTTTGGTGGTTTAATGCTCTATTTTTGTGCTGGTTAGCCTTGGGCCAGGAGGTGGCGCTTTCCAGAAAGCATCAGCTGTAGTAGTGTGGAGAGGAACTGGTGGTGGGCAGGGCCCTAGAACTCCCAAGATTATATGCCCTTTGTCTTCAGCTACCTGTGTGGATAGGGAAGGACCGTCAGGTGGGGGCAGGGCTAGGTGTGTCTGAGGTCAGACTCTCCTCGGACCAGTCTTGCTGTGGCTGCTGTGGGGTATGGGGGTGAGATTCCCAGGTCACTGGAGTTGTGTACCTAGGAGGACTATGGCTGCCTCTGCTGAGTCATGAAGGTCGTCAGGAAAGTGGGGGAAAGCAAGCAGTCAGAGGCCTCACCCAGCTCCCATTGCAAACTGAAGAGCCAGTCTCACTCCCACTATGCCCCCACTACCCACAGCCCCAAGCCTGTTTCCAGGTGGAGGGCGAGAGGGGCTTGAAAACTTGCCTGAGGCTATCTGCCTCCCAGCTGCAAGAGAAAAGGGCTTTAGTTCTTCCGTGCCTGTGCCTGTGAAGTCTGCCCAACCTATTCCCACCCTTCCCCTAGTTGTGGCCGGGAGGCTTTTCACCCTGTTCAAATTATTACAAAGTTCAGCTAGAGAATTCCTTCTCCCTGTGGAGTTTTACTCCCTGCTCCTCTGGCTACCCTCCCAGTGGATCGCTGTGGTGCCATGCAGGAATGGGTTGCCTGGGGACCAAGCGAGCTCTCAAGGCCTTTCTGCTGCTCCTCTACCCCTGTATTTCGCTCAGCTCTCTAACTTGACTCAGCTCCAGGTGAAGTTGGAAACTTCTCCTGCAAACAGATCTTCAGCTTCTCCAGTGGGGGTGTGTGTTGCGGACGGGAGGGTCTCCCTTTCGCTCTTCTGCAGTTGGGGCACTCACAGTATTTGGAGTGTCTCCCAGGTCCTGCAGGAGCATTCGCTTCCTTCAGAGGGTCTGTGGGTCCTCTTGAGATTGCTGGTTTGTTCTTGCAGTCGATCTGGAGGTAAAATTCACAGTGCAAGCCTCCTCATGCTGCTCTGTCTGGAGCTGAATCTAGTCTTGAGTCCCATCCACCATGATCCAACTCATGTAGCCCAGATTTCCAAGGTAGAAAAAAAACAGCCTTCTATTGGAAAAAGATGCCAACTAGGACTTTCTAAGAGGAACAAGAAATGACTGGCTTCAAAGCATCAAAGGATAGGCTGACTCATCTTTTTAGGGATTAATGCATCTGGTGACTTTAGTTTTAAGTCAATACCCATTTACCTTTCTGAGAATTTTGGGACCCTTAAGTATTATGATAAATCTACTCAGACTGTGCTCTTTAAATAGAACAAAAAGCCTGATTGATAACACATCTTTTTATAGCATGATGTAGCAAATATTTTAAACCTACTCTTAAGACCTACTGCTCAGAAAAAAATATTTCTTTTGAAATATTACTGCTCATTGACAATGCACTTAGGCATCCAAGAGCTCTGATGGAGCTGCACAAGAAGTTAATGTTGTTTTCATGCCTGTTAACATATATTCATTTTGCAGCCCATGGATCAAGGAATAATGTTGACTTTCTGGTCTTAAGAAATACATTTTGTAAGGCTATAGATGCCATAAACAGTGGTTCTTCTGCTGTATCTGGCTAAAGTAAATTGAAAACCTTCTGGAAGGAATTCATTATTCTAGATGTCATTAAGAACATTCATGATTCATGGGAAGAAGTCAAAATACCAATATTAACAGAAGTTTGGAATAAGTTAATTTCAACATTCATGGATAACTGAGGGGTTCCAGACTTGACTGGAGAAAATGCCTGCAAACATGCTGGAAATGACAAAATAACTAGAATGAGAAGTGGAGCCTGAAGATGTAACTGAATTGCATAATCTCATGATCAAACTTTAACAGATGAGGAGTTACTTCTTACGGAGAAGCAAAGAAAGTTGTTTCTTGAAATGGAATCTACTCCTGGTAAAATGATGTGAACATTGTTGAAATGACAACAAAGGATTAAACTATTACATAAACTTAGAAGATAAAGCAGCAGCAGGGTTTCAAATAATTGACTCCAATTTTGAAAATTCTGCTGTGGGAAAAATGCTGTCAAACAGCATCACATGCTAAAGAGAAATCTTTCATGAAAAGAAGAGTCAATTGATGTGGCAAACTTTATTGCTGTCTTATTTTAAGGAATTGATACAGCCTTCCCAGCCTTCAGCAATCATCACCCTATTCAGTCATCAGCCATCAACATACAGACAAGACCCTCCACCAGTAAAAAGATTACAGCTCACTTAAGGCTCAGATGATTGTTACCATTTTCTTAGCAATAAAGTATTTTTAATTAAGGTATGTACCTTGGGGTTTTTGATATAATGCTATTGTACACTTAATAGACTATAGTATACTGTAGAAATAACTTTTATATGCACTGGAAAACCAAAAAATTATGTGATTCACTTTATTGTGATATTGCTTTAGACAGTAGAGTGGAAGCAAATCAACAGTATCTCCAACCTATGCGTGTATATATTTAAGATTGTAATAAAATTGTTGTATATTTCCTGGTAATATATATGATATATCTCTTACTTTGGCATCAGTTTTATAGCATCCTTCGCTCCATCTACTTGGCCTTCAAGAAAGAGCTATACCTGTATTTTCAGAAAAAAAAGTAAAGCTGCTTCAATTCCAGGATACTTCATTGCCTTAAACAAAGCTTTTCTGGTTCCAAAGTTCTTGCTCTTCCCCTCTGCGTTCAGTGAGAACTCATTGTTGTCGTTTTGTTTTGTTTTGTTTTGGTGGTGGTTGTTGTTGTTGTTTTTCTTTAAGGCAGTTTTTAGTGGTGGTAGTCTGAGTTGATGATGGGGGAAGACAGTTAAAAGAACTGACTAGTAGCCATTAAGTAAAAATTGTCTTCCCTGGGCAACTTCCACTATAGGAAAAGTATAATGCAAATATCTTTAATCTTAAAACTTTTTAAAAAGAATCCAGTAAATCTTTTAGAGAAGGAAACGTATACTACAGGAAAAGTATAATGCAAATATCTTTAATCTTAAAACTTTTTAAAAAGAATCCAGGAAATCTTTTAGAGAAGCCTTAAAAACCCTGTGGTGATGTTCCTGTTATACAATCTTTTAATTTTCCCTAGTTTGTCAGATGAATCATTCCCCTTTCACTGTATTTCCCTGTTGGGTTTTAACTTAAAGAATTCTCTGCATAATTATTCCCTATATCTCAAGCCAGAAAAATTTTCCTAGATACTGCCCAAAGAAATAGCCGTTAGCTCTGTCCCACATATTTAATCGGTGGATCTTTGCAACTCTCCTGAGAAGCAGATCTGATTAGCTGCCTTACTGAACTGTCTCTGTGATTTCTGAGTTCACACCGACTGTGCTTACCTCAGTGCCTAAGTGGAGAAGAGGGTTTACCAACAATCTCTGTCCACCAACAGAGATGTTGTCCAGATTTCTGGACCCTGACATTAAATCCTGCTGTCATTGACCTACACAGTCAGTGTGCACAGGAAGAACCATTGGCCCAAACCAAGATTCGATTGGGTTTTTCCTTGGTTTCCCCCAACTTCCTGGTCCCAATATCCTGTCTCATAACTAAAACCTTAGAAGTCTGCTGAGCTTTTGCAGACTCATTTCCAGGAGCAACAGCTTTGCCTCTTACTGAGGCCCTGCACTCGGGATCCTGCCTCTTTCCTGACTTTGAGTAACATCTTCCTGCTGCTGAGTTTTCCCTTATTCTTTTGCACCCTCTTACTTACCCTTCCCTTGCTGGCCCCAGCCCCTACCTGACCTTGGTGTGTATATTGAACCTTTGGATGTAGACCATAGCTGCCCAAATGCCAAGCCTCTGCAGCAGGCAGACTTCCTCGGCCTCCAAACCAGTCAGCCCCAGGCTTGTCCTCTCCACTGCAGGCCTTGTTGCTGTGATCTAAATATAGCCAAGAGCCCAACACTGTTCCAGTTATAATATAAATAATTTCTTTCAGTGTAAATATACAATCAAGGAAAAATATATAATATTAGTAACAATGATAATGATTAAAATAGCTACCACTTAGCAGATAGTTATTCTGTACCAGCTTCTATTCCGTGCACTGTACAGATATTTTGCACTGTACAGACATTTTCCCACTTTACAGAATAAGAAGCTGAAGTGTAGACAGATCAAGTAACCTGTTCCGATTAACTGCTAATAATTGATAGCATCAAAATGAAGTCCAGACATCTAATTCCAAGAGCTGCCATCTTTTCCACTTACATTTGTCCACAAAATGTATAAATCCTGATCTTATTATTTAGAAATATATAATTTGAGACTTGACGTTCTTTTCCATGATTGTTGAATAGCAATTAAAGAAGTCATTCACTTGTATAGATGAAGTAGAAGATTGGACCTGGACTTTGATGAGTACACTGCAATTTTTGCAATAGAGTGTTACTCAGTTAGCAATTAGCCTGTCATCATTTCGGGACAGTCCTTTGGTGTTCTTAAAACTGAAATATCATGATTGCCATTCCAGATGTTTATCTTAGTGTAATGTTTTTAAAAATATATATGAGCATTGATTAAAAATAGACCTTAACCCATGAAGGGCACAGTTAAATAAACTCTCTAGAGGTACAGCTCAGCTTATGCTGGACACATTAGATCTTCTGGGGTAGCAGTTTTATTTGGTGATTTTCCAAGAATATTAATGAATACTCTGATGGCTGAAAGAGTTCATTTTCTTCACCCAGGATAAGCATTACACTGTCAAAAAACAAACCACACTTCGACATAAAATCTAATGTTATGGCCCTTTCATACTATACTCTTGTATGTTTAAATGAATTAATTCTAATCCTTTGATCTGATCATATCATTCCCTTTCTCTAAAACATTCAGTGGCCATCCATTTTATATAAAAGTCCAAAAATTCTGTCATTCAAGTTTCTCCTCAAGAAGACCACCAACTACCTTTTTCAAACTTCTTCCCTGCCTCATGCAACTTAGGCCATTGCTCTTTGCTGTACATCATAGTTCCCCTTTGCCCTTGCTTATGCTCTTCTTAACCTTCGTATCCTCTTTCTATTCTTTGCCATCCTTACATATTAAATACAGAACTGTCCTTCAAAGCTCAGCTCACTTTTTTTTTTTTTTTGAGACGGAGTTTTGCTCTTATCACCCAGGCTGGAGTGCAATGGCGTGATCTCAGCTCACTGCAACCTCCACCTCCCAGGTTCAAGTGATTCTCCTGCCTCAGCCTCCAGAGTAGCTGGGATTACAGGCGCCTGCCACCACGCCCAGCCAACTTTTGTATTTTTAGTAGAGACAGCGTTTTGCCATGTTGGCCAGGTTGGTCTCAAAGTCCTGACCTCAGGTGATCCACCCACCTCGGCTTCCCAAAATCCTGGGATTACAGGTGTGAGCCACCGTACCCGGCCACATTTTTTTTTCTTTGTCATGATGTTGCATCTAACCTCTCCAGCTCCAGAGTCCCTGTGATACTTAGCTTGTCTCTTTCCGACAATTTGCCTTGTATTTATTTATTTACTTGCAGGTCTTTTCTCTCTCTCTCTCTACTATTCTTTGAGGAGATGAACTAATTTGAGAGAGTAATTTTTATATATTCATTTATTTATCAAGCATTTGCTGAATATCTACCTTGTACCTACTATTGTAGCAGACACAGACACCAGCAAAACATTGATACTGGATCATTAGATGGAAAAATAAGAAATGAAAAAAATGAAGTTATTTGTCTTAGTCTCACTACTGGGTATTGCTCAAATGCTGTAGATGGCACTCGTTATTCATAGACCTCATCGTCTCGAGAGACCCAGCTCTCTTCTCTGGGAATAAAAGTCACTTTTCTTAATGACATCCTTGTGGAAACTTTTGGCTCCAATAAGCTTTGGATCACAACCCAACTACTAGTTTTAAACAGTGATTCAACCACTAGCCCCAAGCAGAAATGCCAATGTCACCGTGCCCTCCTTCAATTCAAGAGTGGGTGTCATAGAATTCCAGTGCCATCGCAGTGCCTAAATTGAGGTGGTGTCAATATATACAAGCCAGTCTCTGAAGGGAGTTGTCGCCCAAAAAATTGTAATGGAGTTAAGCAGACGATTGGCTTTTATGACAGTCTGCTTCTTAGTAAGTCAACAAATTGTTCTTCCATCAGGGGTGAAAATATGAAAAATAAAGAGAACACTTAATGTCACAGAAGGTCAGATCCCATAAAGGGCCTGCATGATATGCAGTCCAACCTTGTCATTTGTGTGAATGGAAAAACTGAGGGCTAAGAAAGAAACATCTTGCACGAGGTCACAGAGAAAGTCAGTGGAAGTGTTGAAAGCATCTCCACAATCTGACACTCCTCATTCCAAGCCTCAGGGTCTTTGCAATACCCTTTAAACCGTACTCTTTAATCTGTATCCCCATCATGTTGTTTCCCCAAAGAAAGAATTTTATGTTTATTAAAACTCAGGCACCATGAGGCCCTATGTTCAAGCCAATATTTTGTGGTTTAGATTCATCTTTCGGTTTGGATTCAATCTATATATAGTTTTCCTTCTATTTTTTGAACAGGGCCCATTTAATTGTGACCTTGTGAAACAAGGTGAAAGTAGAAAGGCCTTATAGTTAGCAGATCCCATAGTGTTCTCCTTTGCTTTACAAAATATTTGGAGAATAAACAATGGGTGAACAGTGTGGTCATTGTCTCTGGTTACAAACGGTGACAGGCACCGGGCTTACTCTAGCTTGTTTCAGCTGTCTCCTTTATGGAGGTCTTTGGGTTGAGACCAGGGTTTCCTTGACAGCTCTTCTGGTGAGCCACCACGCAACCTCCTGCTTGTAGCTCTTCCTTCCTATGGACCTCAGTTTCCTCATCCATAAAATAAGGTTCCTCCCAGCCTTAGCAGATTACATGTTGTTATATGATGATTTATCTCAATGCCTAAAGAAACTATTTAGCTTTCCATTGTGTAGCATACTTTTCTTCAAGCATGATTGAGTTCATTTTCATGAGGGATCATCAAGTATGCCTCAAGCAGCTGAGATACAATATAAAGAAGCAGTGAGAAGACCTGGGTTGGTGAGCCAACTCTGACCCCTGCTAGCCCAGAGATCCACACAACCTCTCCAGGACTCTATTTGTTCATCTGAAGATACAACGTCTTCCTCCTTCCTCTTCATTCAAAAAGTATTTCTTGAAAATCCATAATTAACCAGGATTGGCATGAGATTTTTGAAACATAACAGATACCTAAGTAACCTATAAATTATTAAACATCTTATAGATAGAAAATGTTATCAATATTTTACTCACCTCTGACATAAAGCTTATTATACACCTAGCAGATCAGGATGACCCAAAGAGGGATAAAACACAAGGTAAGATACTAGAAAAATAAAATTAACCAAAAAAGCTGAAATTGGAAAAGAAATATATTCTTGATAGTTCAAAAAAGGACGTTAAGGTTGTCATTATAGCTAAAAGTTTATCTTTCTTTGACTTTTTAATACTTGTTTTATAATTTCAGATTTTTTTTTAATTTCTAAAATTGAGGATATTTTCATTGTTCAATGTTTAGGGCTTCTTAAGGACCTAACCTTAAGAAGATAGGTCAATTCCCATCAACATGTGTTTACAGAGCTCCCCAATGATTCAGAAACAAGCTGCTAACATTGGCATTAACAATACAGAAGCATCCTAAGGCTGGAGGTAGGGAAGTTGATTTTCATATCAGAATCCAAATTATTGGGTGAGGCTCAAGCAATGGCCTGAGATGGTATTTTGAGAGCAAGAGAAGGCAGTGTCTAGTTGTATATTTTACGTTCAACATCCTAAGGAAATAAACAGTTCTGCAGCAACAGGGACAGCTCAGCATCTGAGTCTGAGGCCTTTGTGCATGGCAGTTTCAGAATCTGCTGGGGTTTTCCCCAACCCTTCGCCTCCACTTGAAAGCAGATCTAAGGGCAAGCTGGTCTCTCAAAAAGAAATCACATTCTCTCCTGCCACCAGAGGGCCCCATCACCAGGTAACATGGCAGAAAATTGCTGGCATCTGAGTAAAGGGCTAAGACTAGGAAGCTTGTTCCACCTCCCCACATGGGGTGAGAAGGGAAGCCATGAGTGCCTTGCCCATGCCCCATGTGCAGTTTTGCTTTGCTCCCTAATTAGAAACAATAATATCTCCCACACATTGAGTGCTTACTTAATCACAATAGTCCTGTGAAGTACGTGCTAAAGAGGCTCAGAGTTGTTAAATAATCTGCCCAAAGCATACAGCCAGAAAGGGAAGAGCCAGGATTTGAATCCGAGACTCTCTGATTTCAAAGTTCAGATTCTTAGTTGCAATACTATATTTTTCCTGTTACTTGAATAACTCAAGCAGCTTTTAGTTTATCATTTGGGACCTAGAGGTGAGTTTAAGGAATGCAATGACCATGCTACATGAGAATCCAGCTTATGAAATGATCCTCTTTCTAGGGGGAGGTGGGCTCCTTCCAACTTAGCAAGAAGGAAGCAAAGAATTGGGAGCAATAAGGAAAGAGGAAGTAGAGGAGCCTAGCGACATCCTAAAATGGCTGTGGCTCAGGGGTTCCCTGATTCTGTTTCCTTTCACCAAATCTAGAGCTGTGATGTTATCCAGGCTAAAGTGCAAAGGCACCCTGGTTCAAGATGCAGGTGCTCTCAGCCTAAAATGGAAACAGTCAGGGAAAGACCAGAAGACTGTGGAGGGGCGACCAGGGCTGAACAGGCTTGAGGAGCCTCTTGGGAAGTAAGTCAATCTAAGGAATAGCTGCCAAAGCCCAGGCAGAGATGCCTGAAAAGTGCCTCTGAGCAATAGAGGAAGAATGACACTGAGGACCACCCTTTGACTCATCTCGTGGCTCAGTCCCTAGGGACTTGTGCCCAAATCATGGGGAAAGAAAACAACCTGGATGGAATGTTTTACCCATCGTTTCTTTAAGACTTTGAGAGTAAGGGATCATACCACTGTGGGACCAGTGTAACAGACAATGGTACAAGGTTGGGAGAAAGGGGTTTTTTCCATTGCAGAAGATATGAGCAGAAGTAGCACCAGTATCAGGGGGCAAGAACAGCAGTACTCTTAATGGTGGACAGAATGGCATTGTGCTCCCACTGAGAGATGCCAAGAGCCTTAGCCACAGCAGGAAGCCAAGCAATGGCCTGAGGTGGTATTTTGAGAGCAAGAGAAGACAGAACCCTTGGTATAACTCTCTTGGCACCATCCATGGGGAATACCACCAGCAGCAACAGTGATGAAACTACCAGGGAAACAAACATTTTGGCAACCAAAACTGAGGAGGCTTATTTGTCCATCATGTATACCTCTGGGAATACCTGTAAATAACTAGGAGGATGGCTAAAGAAGGGATAGAAGTTCAATATTTCGCTGTTTTCCTAAATGTCTAAGGAGTCATAAAAGTCTATTTAATTTTCATTAAGATTAATTCACTTTCATTAAAATTCGTTTCTTTCATCTACCACAATGAGGCCATTCAAGAGAAAACATGACTTATAAAAAATGTAACCCCCAAATTTGGAGTTTAGTGGAGGCAAGCTAGGTCCAAGAGTTATAACCTGGCCCTAGGGTGTCAGGGAGGCAGCTTTCCAGGCATAGCCTCTATAGAAAGAGCTTACATAACTCCCTTAAGGAAGGAGTAATGTATCTTAAAGTAATGGATCAATGGTCTGGTTCCAGTAGATTCTTGAGGTTTACATATAAGGAAATGCATGTTTGTAGGAAGAATTCCATAGCAGACTGGAGCTGTGTTACTTAACTTTAGAGGCTACTTCTAGCTCCAATGTTCTGTTGCTCTTTGAAAAGTCAAAAAAAAAAATAGGAGTGAGAAGAAGATATCAGAATGATCTCCTTTCCAAGGTGCCATCTGAATTAAGACAAGCTTCACCTATTTTTCTGGCTTTCAGTAAATGACAAAAAAACAAGTGTACATTCTCTCTCAATGATTTGATCTTCAAAACTAGACTTCTGCTAAAATTGCAAAAACTTTGTGGTTTTCAATAGAAATGTTCACTGTCATGTTCTCTTATGAAATTGCTTTCTTTTCACTACACAGAAGGAAAGATCTAAAGAGGTCTCCAAATTTCTGTTGGGGCCTCTAAGTGTCTGCACTCAGTGATGTCACAGATTTCTGTTGTTTAGCTATCACTGAAACCTATATTGTATCATTTTCCCCTTTCAGTTAAACGTTGCCCTCATCTTGTGGTAACCCTCATTTTTTAAAATGCTCCTTTCAATTTCTAACATCATTCATGTATTTAACTTCCCAGAGAATTTCACAACAGGGCCCTGAAAGTTTGGAGAGTGCCAGGAACAAGGGTGTACCTGGGCCTTGACAATGCCTAGGACTGGGGTGGAATGGAAGTAACCTTTGCTTTCTTCTTACTGAAGATTCAGCAAAGAATATAAGCCTACAGAGAGCCAGCTCTGGGTTCACTGTGCTCCATTTCTTTCTGAACATTTCCATAAAGCAACACCTCCCTACCCAAACTGTAATGCTATTTCATCTAGATAGCTATATCCTTGTATATGTCACATGTGACCCTGCATAGGTTTCCCTCCGGGAATTTCTGGGTCAAGGGGTATATATATACATATACTTCCAACAGATTGCCCTCCAGAATGGCTCACCAGTTTCCACTCCCACCAGCAGTGCATGAGGATTCTCATTTTTTCACATCTGTGCCAACAATGATACCATCTGACTTTCTCATTTTTACCAATCTGATGGGTGTAAAATGAGTCTCATTATGGTTTTAATTTATAGCTCTCTCATTACTTATGATGTTGGGGATGTCTTCATGAGCATGTAAGTAATTTGGGTTTGCCCTTCTGTGAATTGTCTATTCATTTTTTTTTTTTTTTTGCCAATTACTCTCTTTTCTTTGTTGATTTGCAGGAATTGCTTAATTATTCTAGGTATTAATCCCTTGTCAGTTTTAAATGTTGTAATTATCTTCCCCCAGTCTGTCTCCCATCTGTTACCTTTATCTACAGTGTCCTTCAATGAACAGAAATTCATAATTATTATGTATCAGATCCATTCATTTTTTTCCCATTATACTTTTAATTTTGGGAGTATTGTTCCAGAAATCATTCCCCACCCCGAAGTTGCCAAGGTACTTTCCATTATTTTCTCACCAGTTTATCTTTACATTTTACATACTAATGTTTAATTCAAAATTTTATCAAATTTTACTTTTCTCCATTTAACAAGCCAGTTTTGCCAATACTATATGCTTTTAAAAAGCCTATCTTTCCTCCATTGATTTATTATATCAATTGATTATATATGAAGACATCATACAATATATTCCAAACTGAAAAGTAAAAGAGGACATTATT
Organism: Homo sapiens; assembly: GCF_000001405.40. Lineage (NCBI taxonomy): Eukaryota > Metazoa > Chordata > Mammalia > Primates > Hominidae > Homo > Homo sapiens. The sequence goes on along the minus strand of NC_000003.12, from coordinate 189,038,315 downwards.
TTTAATTTTGCTAGGCCAATAGGCATAAATGCAGTAAAATTTTCACAGGCAAATTAAAATAGTCACCTTAATTTTATACCATATTCCATAAGGGACGGTTTATGGTTCTTTATCCCATTGTTTTACTTGTCTGATCATGTGGCAGGCTATTTTTTTTTCTTTTATGGTTATATAATAATAGAGGGTAGGGAAGGTATTCCTTTTTGCTCTTCCAAAATTATCATTTACTTATGGACTTTTGTTTTTCACAATATATTTTAGACCTAAGTTTCTCTGTATAAGTTTTGATTGGAATTCTATACATTTTTTATTTAATTTGGCAAAATTTGACCTCTTTAAAATACTAAGTTGCCCCATCCATGAACATGGTTTATCTCTGTATTCATTCAGATCTTGTATGCCTTTTGATAGAGATGGTAGTTTCTCCAAAACAATCTTTAGACTTCTTAATAGGTTAATATATTTATATCTTAAAGTTTTGCTGGTATATTATACTTGATGGATATATCTTACTAATTTACTACTGGTAGAAAATATTGTTGGTTGTTTAATATATTTTATCCAGAAATACTCTTACTAGTTGTATACAAAATCTTGGAGAAGACTGTTAGTTTCCATAAATGATTAAATCATCTGAAGCTCTTTCATCTTCCAGCAGTGATATCTCATTGTATTTCTTGTTTCATTATATTTGGTTATGTCCCACTAGTACTAGGTTAACTAGTAGTGGCGACATAATGTTTTCTTGTCTAATATTAAATATACCTTAAGTTTCTTCTTTAAAAAATACTTACTGAAAGTTGTTCATATACAGCCTTTAACTAGTTAATAAGGTTCTCATTTATGCCTGATTTTGTGAAAAGTTGTATTATAAACAGAAATTACATTTTATTTAATAATTTTTCTACTTATATTGAGCTAAACATATGATTTGTTTCCTTAGTAAATTACTACTGTTACATTGATAGAGCTTCTGATATGAAATCCTCCTTATGTTACTGAGGTAAATCATACATGTTCATCATGTTTTTTTCTTTTCTCAAATAATATTTTAGTGTGTGATCTAATGATTTTCGTAGAATTTTTACACACAAATTTATAAATAAATTTGTTCTATAATTTTTTATAGACAATATTTTTATCAAGTAAAAATAATTACTGTTTCATGAGTATCAAAGAATGATTAAGGCACTTTGGCCTTTTCTATTATTCTATTATCTAGGACAACTTGTATGAGGAAAGGAGGGTGATTTTTTTTTTAAATATTTGTTTCGTTTTTTTTTTCAGAAGTCACTTATAAATCATTTGGGCCTCGGATTTTGGTGGGGCAGGAGTAGGAGTAAGAATGGGGACTTTTTTGATAACTATGTCAGTTTATCTTATGATTTTTAGACCTTTCAAATTTTTTATTTCTTCTTCTGCTGATTCTGGAATTTTTAAAAAATGATTTGGTTTCATTTAATCGGTTTATAGATCTCATTAATAGTATTTACTGTCTTTATAATCTTCATTACATCTATAATTATCCATCTGTACATTACATCTAAATTTACATCACCTTTTTTATTCTATATTTTGCTAATTTTCAACTTTTTGTTACCAGTGTTACCAGATACCTGTATATGTTACTCATCTTTCCAAAGAATTCAAACTTATTTGTCTGTTGTCACGTATATGGTGTTATTATTTCTTATTTCTTGAATTTTATATTATCTTTATTATTTTATTATTCCTCCTTTGTCTGGGATAGCATTATGTTGTTGCTCTTTTTATATTTTTACATATGCAAACAATTATAGCTTCCTTATCTCCTATAACTTATCTCAACTTCATGGGTGTCCATTCCCTTAACTTTTTCCACACATTAGTGGGGTTTTGTAATTTTTATTTTAGGTTCATGGGGTACATGTGCAGGTTTCTTACATGTGTAAATTGCATGACACTGAGATTTGGTGTACAAATGATCCTGTCACCCAAGTAGTGAGCATAGTACCCAACAGTACTAATTTTACACTAGTAGTTTCTCAACCCTAGCCCCATTCTACCCTCCCCTCTCTAGTGGTCCCCATGTTTATTGTTCCCATCTTTGTGTCTGTGTGTACTCAATGTTTAGCTCCCACTTACAAATGAGAACATGCAGTATGTGTTTTTCTGTTCCTTCATTAATTCACTTAAGATAATGACCATCCATGTTGCTGCAAAGGACAGGATTTTGTTTTTTTTCATAGGTGCATAATATTCCATGGTGTATATGGACCATATTTTCTTTATCCAATCCACTAGTAATGGGCATCTAGATTGATTCCATGTCTTTCCTATTGTGAATAGTGCTTCAATGAACATACAAGTGCATTTGTCTTTTTGGTAGAACAATTTATTTTCCTCTGGGTATAGACCCAGTAAGGGGATTGCTGGGTAGAATGGTAGTTCTGTTTTAAGTTCTTCGAGAAATCTCAAAACTACTTTCCACGCTAGATGCACTAATTTACATTCCCACTAACAGTGTATAAGTGTTTCCTTTTCTCTGCAACTTCCCCAACATCTGTTATTTTTTGACATTTTAGTAATGGCCATTCTGACTAGTATGAGTTGGTATCTCATTGTAGTTTTTGATTCACTCTAATGAATAGTGATGTACTTTTTAATATATTTGTTGGTCACATGTATGCCTTCTTTTGAGAAGTGTCTATTCATGTCTTCTGCCCATTTTAATGGGGTTACTTGGTTTTTGCTTGCTGGATTAAGTTCCTTATAGATTCTAGATAGTACACATATGTCAGATGCATAGTTTGCCAATATTTTCTCCCATTCTGTATGATGCCTGTTTATTGACAGTTTATTTTGCTGTGCAGAAAGAAGCTCTTTAGTTTAATCAGGTCACATTTGTCAATTTTTGTTTTTGTTGCAATTGTTTTTGGGGACTTAGTCATAAATTATTTTCCAAGGTGATGTACAGAATGATATTTCCTAGGTTTGCTTCTAGGTTTTTATAGTTTGAGGTCTTACATTTAAGTCTTTAATCCATCTTGAGTTAATTTTTGTATATGGTGAAAGGTAGGGGTTCAGTTTCAATCTTCCGCATATGACTAGCCAGTTATCCCAGTACCATTAATTAAGTAAGAAGTCCTTTCCTTATTACTTGTTATTGTTGACTTTGTCAAATATCATATGGTTGTAGGTGTGTGGCTTTATTTCTGGGTTCTCAACCCTGTTCCATTGGTCTATGTGTCTGTTTTTATACTAGTACCATGCTGTTTTGTTACCGTAGCCTTGTAATATAGTTTGAAGTTTTTTAGTTTGATACCTCCAGCTTTGTCCTTTTTGCTTAGGATTGCTTTGTCTATTCAGGCTCTTTTTTGGTTCCACACAAATTTTAGAATAGTTTTTTCTAATTCTGCGGAAAATGACATTGGTAATTTGATAGAAATAGCATTGAATCTGTAAATTGCTTTGGGAAGTATAGCTCTTTTAACAATATTCATTCTTCTTATAAATGAGCATGGAATGTTTTTCCATTTGTTGGTGTCATCTCTGATTTCTTTCATCAGTGTTGTGTAATTGGTGTAAAGAGCTTTCACCTTAGCTTCTTCAGTGGAAAATGTATTTAATTATTATTCTTTTAGAGGTATTTAAAGCACCAGATTTCCTTCTAAATGTTCTTGTTTACAACTTTTATGTCCTTGCTTTTTCTTTTTTATCTGTTTAAACTAACAATTTTTAAAGACTCTCTAGCTCAGCTATTCATTTGCCTTTATTTCACCACAGTTCTGTCATTCTTGCTTTATGTATTTAAAACATAAGGTACATTGATATATTGTTTATGTTGCCAATATATTAAATCTATGATTTTTGACAATGATAACTTGTCTCCATTTCTAATGAGCCAATTTTGAAATTGCTATCTTAATTTGCTATCTGATCATATTTGTCTGATGTCATTTTATGTCTTTATTTTTAATCTTTCTGTAAGCTTTTGTTTAAATGCAGCTTATGCAGATAACATAAGTGTGGATCTTGTTTTTAATCCAATCTGAAAGGATCTGCTTTTGATTTTGACTGGTAAGATAATTCATTTATATTTATTGTAATTCCTCCTTTGTTAGAAATTACTTCTACCACATTTTGTGTTTCCATTTACAAAACTTCTATTTGTCCCCTTTTTTCCTCTCAACTTTCATTAGATAGATCAAATTTCCTTCTCGTTGCTTAGAAGTTATGCATTCTACTTTTAATATCCTGGGGTTATTCTTAAGTTATTAAGACACATAGCTACACGTAAACCATCAATATTTTAAAAGTTAATGTCTATTTCTTTTCCTCTAGCAGACAATGCTTCCATGTATCTTTTATCTCTCTTAGCCCTCTACAAGCTTTGTTGGTATCATTAATAATCTATGGCATAAATTACTCTATACCTTTTTTCTTTTATTAAGAGGAGTAGGCTGGGCACGGTGGCTCACGCCTGTAATCCCAGCACTTTGGGAGGCCGAGGCAGGTGGATCACGAGGTCAGGAGATCAAAACCATCCTGGCTAACACAGTGAAACCCTGTCACTACTAAAAATACAAAAAATTAGGGCATGGTGGCTGGTACCTGTAGTCCCAGCTACTCGGAAGGCTGAGGCAGGAGAATGGCATGAACCCGGGAGGTGGAGCTTGCAGGGAGCCAAGATTGCACCACTGCACTCCAGCCTGGGTGACAAAGTGACTCCATCTCAAAAAAAAAAAAGGAGTAGAAGAGTAGGCTAAGTGCAGTGGCTCATACCTATAATCCCAGCACTTTGAGGAGGGCAGATTACTTGAGCTCAGGTGTTCAAGACCTACCCAGGCAACATGACAAAATCCCATCTTTACAAAAAATACAAAAATTAGCTGGGCGTGGTGGCACGTACCTGTTGTCCCAGGTACTCAGGAGGCTGAAGTGGGAGGATCTCTTGAGCCTGAGAGGCAGAAGTTGCAGTGAACCAAGATCATACAGCTGCACTCCGGCATGGGTGAACGTGTGAGATCCTGCCTCAAGAAATTAAAAAAAAAAAAAAAGGAATAATGACTCTGCGTAGCTGTTCTCAATAGCCAATCTCCTTTTTTTCTGTAGTAATAGAGAACCTGGCTTTTAGTTTGGTACAAAGCTACCCAAAGACTAAATTTCCCAGCTTCACTTAAGGCATGGTCATGTGATAAGTTCTGGTCCAAAATGTGTGAGAAATGATATGTGTGATTTTTGAAATACATTTCCTAAAGAGATTTCCTAAAGAGACATTATCTTTCTTTTCTTTTTCTTCTATCCAGCTGTCTGAATCGTGTGCACGGTTGTGGGACATTTGGACTACAGATAAGAAAATGTGGCACATATACACCATGGAATAGTATGCAGCCATAAAAAATGATGAGTTCATGTCCTTTGTAGGGACATGGATGAAATTGGAAATCATCATTCTCAGTAAACTATCGCAAGGACAAAAAACCAAACACCGCATGTTCTCACTCATAGGTGGGAATTGAACAATGAGAACACATGGACACAGGAAGGGCAACATCACACTCTGGGGACTGTTGTGGGGTGGGGGGAGGGGGGAGGGATAGCATTAGGAGATACACCTAATGCTAAATGACGAGTTAACGGGTGCAGCACACCAGCATGGCCCATGTATACATATGTAACTAACCTGCACATTGTGCACATGTACCCTAAAACTTAAGTATAATAATAATAAAAAAAAAGAAAAAAAAAGGAGAGATTAATAACACATAAATAGCCAACTGGTGGAGCAAAACTCTCACAACCAGCCCAGGACCACCTGCCACTTGATTCGTATGTACGAGAGAAATAATTTATCTAGTGTATTCTATTTTTTATTTTTTCTATTGCTCCTGTAACAAATTACCACTGTATTAGTAGCTTAAAACAACTTGAATTTATTTTCATACAGTTTTGGATGTCAGAAGTCCAAAATTCAAGGTGCAGGACTGCTTTCTTTCTGGAGGCCCTAGGGGAAGAATCTGTTTCCCTGCTTTTTCCAGTGTGTAGAAGTCACCTACATTCCTTAGGTCACGGCCTCTTCCTTGCATTACAGCAACCTCTGCTTCAGTCATCACATTTTCTTTTCTGACTCTGCGCCTCCTCCCTCTCTCATGTGAAGACTCTTGTGATTACATGGCGCCCACTCAAATTGTTCATGGTAATTTTTTGTCTTATAATCTTTAACTCAATCACATCGGCAAAGCCTCTTTTGCTATGTAAGGTAACATAGTTATGGGTTACAAACATTAGGATGTGGATATATTTGGAGTAAGGGGGCTTTATTCTACCTCCCACATCTTTTATAAACGACTGTTACTTTGGGTCAATTTTATACCTAACTGGACCTAAATTCTAACTAATATACCCTCTTTCCCAAACTCTATTAGCTTCTTCTTATTATTATTTATTTTTATTATTCTAATTGCTACTTTCCTTGGTGAGACACTTTTTCCAAGAGTGCTTTAAAACAAGATCTTTGTTTAGGAAACACTTTTTAATATGTTACATGCACTGTTTGCCTCCCCACTTCCCAAATAAAGGTTGCCTGATATTTCCTCTCTTCATCTCAACCACTCCTCCACAGAGTGAATCACCAACCGTCTCATTAAAGAACACTGTCCTATACATATTTGTATTTTGTGGACCTAAAACAGTGCTTGGAATGTGATATTCACTCAGCAACAGTTTGCTAAATGATGTATTGAATTGGTCTTTATGTGATAGCCACAACAGAAAGAGAAAAGCCAGCAATGTAAGGAATACAAAGAGGAAGACACTGAAGAAAATACTAACCTACCACCCAATGTTGCTTGTCTTGACTTCCAGAGATGTTAATATCTAAGTAAAATAGGCTTCATATAAATGTATAAATATATGAAACATCATGCATACATATGCCATGTGTATTGGTACCACATATCCTGTGAGGTAGAAAGAATTGCCTTGTTCGCTTTTCAACCTTACACGGTTTTCAGTGTCCCTTTTAATTTTTCTTTTTTTTTTTTAAGACAGAGTCTCGCTCTGTCGCCCAGGCTGGAGTGCAGTGGCGCAATCGCGGCTCACTGCAACCTCCATCTCCCAGGTTCAAGTGATTCTCCTGCCTCAGCCTCCCGAGCAGCTGGGATTACAGGCACCTGACACCACGTCTGGATAATTTTTTGTTGTTGTTGTATTTTTAGTAGAGACGGGGTTTCTCCATGTTGGCCAGGCTGGTCTCTAACAGCTTGAGATCTCCTGACCTCAAGCAATCCACCCGCCTCAGCCTTCTAAAGTGCTGGGATTACAGGCGTGAGCCACGCTCGGCCCTTTTTAATTTTTTATTGAATATTTTCTCCAGTAATAAGTAATAGGGCACAGACACTGAAGACAGATAGTCTGGGTTAAGGTGCTGGCTTTGTCTTTTACTGGCTGTGTGATCTTGGACAAATGACAACTCATTTCTGTGTCCCAGTTTCCTCATCTGTAAAATGGGATAGTGACAATAATGAAAGCTAATTCATAGAATTGAAGGGTAGGTTAAATGAGTTAAGAAGCATGACATATGGTGATCTGCCATGACCCCTTCCTCATACGTACAGAACAGGTTGTACACTCCACTCCTCAGGGTAGGTGACTGGCGTAACACTTTCAGCAACTCTTCTTCATACTTCTAGGGCATGTTGTCCTCATGTCCTAGAAGTATGTACACTCCCCAAGGTAGGGAGCTTGGAGTAACACCTTTAGCAACTCTGTTCACTTCTTCCCCTGTAGGATCATTACCTGGATTTTACTTTTAGTAGATTTAATTGGGAATAATGGTTGGAGGAATTGGAAAGTGAATTATTTAATGCAGATTAATTAGAAAAAAGAAAGAAACTGATATTTTGATTTTTGATTCCAGAGGCTATTTAAAACTTATTGGAGAAAGGAGTATAGTATTGCCAGAAAAAAATCCAAGACATCCAGGTAAACTTGAATTTAAATTTAACTGGATGTTGTTTTTTACTTTTGTTTATATCTTTTGCTAATTCTGGCAAACCTACTCTGAAATGCCAATATTCATCTCACACAATTTCCTTATTTTGTGATGGGAAAATTGAAATAGATAATGAAATAAAGTCGCCCACATCTAGAAAATGAAACGCAAGACTCAAACCCAGATCTTATGACTCCTTTTCAAGTCACAAGAAGCACAAAAAAACATCAGAAATGTTCAGGCAAAAGAGCATAGAAAAAGAGAAGAAACACCTCTGGTTTCTCCTCCCGTACCCAGTTTGTCTTCGTGTTGCTATAAAGAAATACCTGAAGCTGAGTAATTTGTAAAGAAAAGAGGTTTGACTGCCTCACAGTTCTGCAGGCTGTACAGGAAGCATGATGCTGATGCTGATATCTGCTTATGGTGCGGCCTCAGGAAGCTTCCAATCATAGCGGAAGGCAATAGGGAGCCAGCGTATCACATGATCAGAGCAAGAGAAAGAGAGCTGTGGGAGGTGCCACACTAATAAACAACCAAATCTCATGGGAATGACTACGGTGAGAATTCTCTCATTATCCAGGGGATGGCACCAAGCCATTCACAAGGGACCTGCCCCCAGGATCCAAACACCTCCCACTAGGCTCCACCTCCAACATTGGAGATTACATTTCAACATGAGGTTTGGGTGGACAAACACCCAAACCATATCAGCTAGTTACATAAAAATATCTTTCTTAAATTTAGAATCCAGCTTCTAAGCCATTTATAAAGGCTTATACTACATTGCCTTTTTGTTGTTGTTGCTAAAATCATTAACCCATTAATTAAGATTGTGTGGGCCTGCTTGGGAAAAGCCTATTGAATTGCTTTTGTCTGTTCTATAATGAAAGACAGCACAGAGACAGGTTGGCATTAATTATGTTAAAGCCCTATTCATCTCTATTGATGTTAATTTACATGGAATGTTTTATAACATCGACATTCTATACTGTTTATTCCCTGCTCTTTTTATCAGAAGCAGCAACATCATAAAACATTGCATCTCTAAATAAACCACATTTCCAGGTGTCTGTTTTCAGCTGTTGAAGTCACATCTCACAAACTGATTCCTTTCTCCCCCTTCAACCAATTTAAATTTCAATAAAAAGGTATTATTTTCTCTGGCTCCCTTAGCTCAGGATAGCAGGCATTATCATATTAACTATTTTAGAGTAGAAAAAAAGGCTCAATTTTTATTGAACCTCTTTCCAAACTGTTCACTTTGCCTAAAATAAATTATCACTTTCAACCTACTAAATTACTTTTTTTTTTTTTTATTGAAAACACTTACTCAATTCCATCTTCAATAGGAAATAGACCATGACTGGGGACGAGGAGAAAGTTAAATTAGCCTCCCTTGCTCCTTTATTTCGAGACACTTGGTATTTTTATTAAAATGCCTATTATAATCTGCTCTGTAGTCATACATTTGTCAGCCTCACCTACTGGAGGGCAGGGGCTATGATGTACTCTAACTAACGTACAGTAGAAATACATTACTACCATTTGTTTTACTGTTTACAGAGACAAATGACCATGCTAACTACTATTTATTGGCCTTACCATACACAGTGTGCAGTGTGCTCAACATCTTACCCCTACTACATCACAGCAATGATACTGCACTAATAAATATTAGCACACGCAATTAAAAACCTGATACTTGCAAGGGAAAGGGCAGGTAATTACAAACCCTAAAAACTGCTAAAGGGGGAACTGGAATCTAGATCCCTTAACACACAAAGTTCTTTGTTTTCTTATCTGTTAGCTATAATGGGTGAAGATCTCAGATATGACAGAACCACGATCCTAATTCCTCTTTGTCTCCCACTTACTACCAAGGAACACATGAGCAATGCATGCTATATGAAGGACAGCAAAAGTGACCCTGTCCCCCATAGAAGAAATAGTTGTGACACTATTGGTCATCTTCAGTGGCTTATCTGGCCTTTCATTCGTTCTCTCCACCTTTGCACAATGAGCAATTTATGGAATGCCCAAGCGTCTCCCTCAAGTGCCAATCTTGGGTGGCAAATAGGGCACTGGAATGCGGTCAGGGAACTTGAAGCCTATTTCTGACAATATGATTGACTGGAGTTAGGCCTCAATTTCCCCATCCGTGAAGTCATGGAGTACGATTATATAACCAAAGGCTCCTTCTAGCTATATCTTCCTGTTATTCACCAGAATGTGGGTTTCCTGAGAAATCCCAGCACATGGCACACAGTAAGTTCTCAAAGTAAATACTTGATGAAATAATGAATAATCACCAGAATATGAATTTCCTGAGAAATCCTAGGACATGGCACACTGTAAGTTCTCAATAGTAAATACTTGATGAAATAATGAATAATGAGGGAACGAAAAAAAATGGCCACTACGTCAGTTCTCAGGAATCGGTAATAAGTTTTTCCTTCACATCAAGGCATAAGAGGGAATGCATGCTCACTGTTCACAATGCTATTGCTTTTAAGCCTTCCAACACACTTCCATCTGGCCCTGATTTTCCATTTTTCCAATTTGGAACAACTTTTCCTATCCATTGGAATCACTTCCTTTCTTATGTTTACAAAACATATGATTTGGGGATTTTGCATAATTCATCCAAAACATAGACTAACTCAAACTGAGTCCAAATACCATCCACCAAGCAGCACGGAATACAGCATTGGATACATAAAAACATAATTTTGTATGCCTTTGAAAACCTAGTGAAGAAATTCAACCTAGCCATATTTTAATCACAATAATATTGCCCCTGTGGGCTTGTCTTGCATACACCATGCGTGTATTTATATTTCTACATAGACTTTATGGTGTTTTGGTTCATTACAGTCTGGTTGTTCAAGTTGAATGCAGAAAAATGAGATTTTCAGCATAGTTCTGACTTTCTATTTACATACCTTACTTAGTCCAGATGTAAACTTTTAGAACAGCTGCATCTTTTAGAAGCAAAGGATTTATTGATTGCTTGTAGGCATTCTGAATACTGGTGGGGTATTTTGGTTTCTTTTGGCAGGGTCAGAGTGAGGCAGGCTGAGTGAAAATCTAATTGTTTACAAAAGTAGGCCTGAGGTACAAATGTAGTAGACACCACAGAAGTTATTAACTGAAAAACTCTTATTTTAAGGTTGGTCAAGGAAAGAAGAAAGTGTTGATTTGGAATTTTTCTCTAGTGCTTTCCCACCTTCACTGCACAAGAAAACAATTGCATAGCATTGCGTGCAAGGTATTTTTCTAAGCACCCTACAGATATTGACTCATCTAATACTGTTAACACATTGATCAGCACATTTTACTTACAAAAAATCAAAAGCTCAGAAAAATAAAGACATTTTTCTAAAGTTATTGATATATATAAGTGGCACAAGTCATGTTTAAGACCTGACAGCCTGGGTGTGGAGTCAATGCTCTCAACAAACACGCCATGTTGCCTCCTACCTGGGCTCCTTGCCTCCATCTTACTCCTTCGTCTTTCAATCCATCCTTCGCCAATGTGACTGTCTATAGCACAGCTTCGTTCCATGTTATTCTTCAGCTCAAAACTCATTAGTGTCTCTTAGCTGTCCTCCCAAATCAAGTGATGCATCCCCATTCTGCTTTTCCAAGACTCTACAACTTCACCTCAATATGTCTTTTCTAACTAATATTCTAAATCTCTCCCTGCACAAATCTTATGTTCCAGCTAAGCTTAAACCCTACTTGCCATTCCCAAAACATGGTTTTGATTTTTCCATCTCAATGTTCTCGTCCATGTGGAAAGAAAAAACTTCCCCAATACCAGGGCTAGTATAAACCTCACCTGCCCAGCAATGTGCAAAAATCACTTGCTCCCTGTTATAGACTGAATTGTGTGGCCCCAAAGTTCATATGTCAAAATCCAACCCCCAATGTGACAGTATTTGGATTTAGATCTTTAAAGAGGTCTAAGGTTAAATGAGATCTGAAGGCTGGCTCCCTAATCTGATAGGACTGATGTCCTTATAAGAAGAAGAAGAGACACCAGAGCTCACTCTCTCTCTCTGTCGTTTTCTCACTGTCTCTCTCTCTCCACAGAGAAAAGACCACATGAGGACAAAGTGAGGAGGAGGCAGTTGTCAAGTCAGGAAGAGAGGCCCCATCAGAAACCAACCCTGTTAGCATCATAATTTCAGTCTCCAAAATAGTGAGAAAAAAAATGTCTGTTAAGACACCCAATCTGTGGCATTTTGTTGTGGCAGCTCGAGCTAACTAATACACTCTCCCTCACTCCTTAGAATAGGGATTCTCAACCTTGTGTTCAATGACTGTGAAGCCTATAAATTTTGGTGATGCACTAATAAGGGCCTAAAAATATTTTAAAAAACTGAAAAAAGTCACGATTAATAACAACACATCTCTTTTGAGGAAGAACTGTATCTCTGAATGTTTAAAAATCATCCACCATTTTGCACTTTTTCTGGATCACTGTTCAACATGAAGTTATTATTTTTTTCACTGTAGATATGTCAACTGATTTGTTAATGCTTTCTTAGATACTCAAAAGACAACATTCTCTTATACCCTAGAGAATATTCCAGAAAGCAGGCACATGCTTGATTATTCCATGTCTCTTTCCTCTCAGTGTCAGCAAGTTACTCCTTGTTTTTCCCCTTATTTCAGAGGACATGTCAACCATTAGAGTGAATACACTATCATACCACACACAATTCGCTTCAGTATACTGCTCACATTTTATCAGCACCCTTGAGAAGATACATCCACAAGCCAGTTGAGAATTATTAAGGAGGGAGACAAGATGGCTGATTAGAAGCAGTTAACTTGCATGGCACTCAGGGAGAGGAACAAAGGGAGCAAGTAAATACAGCACCTTCAACTGAAATATCCAGGGACTCGCATTGGGACTGATCAGGGAAGCAATTCAATGCAGAGAAAATGGAGAAAAGCAGGGCAGGGCAGTGGCCCACCCAGGAGCAACACGGAGCCAAGGGAACCCCCACCCCAAGCCAAGGGAGGCAGTGAGTGAATGTGTGACCCCTGGAAACCACACTTCTCCTATGGATCTTTGCAACCCTCAGATCAGGATATCCCCTCATGAGCCCACCCCACCAGGGCCTTGGGTCCAACACACAGAGCTGTGTGGAGTCTAGGAAGAACCGGTGCTCAGGCACATACAGAGACCCAGGAGCTTTACATACTCCAGCCTTAGGATCCCCAAGAAAGGTGATGGCATCTCAGGCAAGGCAGGATGTTGGTACATACCCCTAGGAAGGGGGCTGAATCCAGGGGACCAGGCAGCATCAGTCTGCAGGACCCACTTCCATAGCACCTCCCAAAATAAAACCCACTGGCTTGGAATTCCAGCCAGCCACTGGCAGCAGCGTAATGCCTGTCTGAGATGGGACGAAGCCCCTGGGGGCTCTGTCATTTGGACAACTCAGCCAGCCTTTGCAGAGTCCAAAGATCCGAACGAGAAAGGGATCCCCAAACACAGCACAGATGCTTTATCAAAATGTGGCCAGACTGCTTCCTTAAGAGGGATCTTTATCCATTCCTCATTACTGGGCAGGACTTCGCATCCAGAGCCTCCAGCACCTCTGCCTATATTCTATAGGCAGAAATCTGATCTCTCCCTGGAACGGAGTGCCCAGGAGGGAGGGGTAGGCCACCATCATTGTTGTTTGGACAGCTCATCTGTTCCAGACTGCAGGCTTTAGAGAGTCCAAACCGTCTGGACAAGGAAGAAACCCCCCAGCACAGCACAGCTGCTTCACCAGAACATCGCCACACTGCTTCTTTAAACAAGACCCCAGTCCACTCCTCCTCACTGGGCAAGAGCTCCCAGCCAGGGCTTCCAGCCACCCTTGCCTATATTATATAGACAGAGTTTTGATTTCCCCCTGGGATAGAGTGCCCTGGGAGAGGGGCAGGCTACTACCTTTGCTGTTTGGGTGACTTGGCTGTTCCAGCCTAGAGGCTTTGGAGAGTCCAAACGAATCAGGGCAGAGGCGGTTCCCCAGCAGAGCTGGCCTGTTTTGTTGAGGTGTGGCCAGACTGCTTCTTTAAAGGGGACCCTGATCCATTCCTCCTCACGGGGAAGGTTCTCCCAGCCAGGGCCTCCAGCCATCTCTCCCCATGTTCTACTGGCTACAGAGTTCTAATTTCTCCCTGGGATGGAGTGCCTGGAGGGCAGGGTGGGCCACCACCTTTGCTGTTTAGACGTTTCAGCTGGTCTAGCCTGTGTGCCTTGGAGAGTCCAAACCAACTGGGGACTGAAGGGATCCCCCAACACAGCAAAGCTGCTCTACCAAAACACAGCCAGACTACTTTTTTAAGTGGGTCTCTGATCCCGTTCCTCCTGAGTGGTGAGACCTACCAACTGGAGTCTTCAGCCACCTCATGCAGGTGTATTCAGGCCAGCAACAGTTCTGTACACCCCTAGGATGGAACTCCCAGAGGAAAGGGCAGGCTGCCATCTTTGCTGTTTCAGAGCTTTCACTGGTGAAACCTCCAGGTACTGCAAAAACTGAGGCATCTATGGTCTGGAGAAGAACCCCGCAAACTGCAGCAGCCCTAGAAAAGAGTGGCCAGACTGTTAAAAGAAAAACAACAAACAAACAAAAATAACAACAAAAAAGAAACACAATAACCCCATCCAAAGGGCAGCAACCTCATAGATCAAAGGTAAGCCCATAAAGATGAGAAAGAATCAGTGCAAAAATGCTGACAACTCAAAGAGGCAGAGTGCCCCCTTTCCTCCAAATGACTGCAACACCTCTCCAGCAAGGGTTCAGAACTGGGCTGAGGCTGAGATGGCTAAAATGACAGAAGTAAGCTTCAGAATATGGATAAAAACAAACTTCGCTAAGTTAAAGGAGCATGCTGTAACTCAATGCGAAGAAGCTAAGAATCATGATAAAACAATGCAGAAGCTGACAGCAAAAACAGCCAGTATAGAGAGGAAAATAACTGACCTGATAGAGCTGAAAAACACAGTACAAGAACTTCACCATGCAATCACAAGTATTAAAGCAGAACAGACCAAGTGGAGTAAAGAATCTCAGAGCTCGGGGAGGAGCCAAGATGGCCGAATAGGAACAGCTCCGGTCTGCAGCTCCCAGCGTGAGCGACGCAGAAGACGGGTGATTTCTGCATTTCCATCTGAGGTACCGGGTTCATCTCACTAGGGAGTGCCAGACAGTGGGCGCAGGTCAGTGGGTGCGCGCACCATGCGCGAGCCAAAGCAGGGCGAGGTATTGCCTCACTCGGGAAGTGCAAGGGGTCAGGGAGTTCCCTTTCCGAGTCAAAGAAAGGGGTGACGGACGGCACCTGGAAAATCGGGTCGCTCCCACCCGAATACTGCGCTTTTCCGACGGGCTTAAAAAACTGCGCACCATGAGATTATATCCGGCACCTGGCTCGGAGGGTCCTACCCCACGGAGTCTCGCTGATTGCTAGCACAGCAGTCTGAGATCAAACTGCAAGGCGGCAGCGAGGCTGGGGGAGGGGCGCCCGCCATTGCCCCGGCTTGATTAGGTAAACAAAGCAGCCGGGAAGTTCCAACTGGGTGGAGCCTGCCACAGCTCAAGGAGGCCTGCCTGCCTCTTTAGGCTCCACCTCTGGGGGCAGGGCATAGACAAAAAGACAGCAGTAACCTCTGCAGACTTAAATGTCCCTGTCTGACAGCTTTGAAGAGAGCAGTAGTTCTCCCAGCACGCAGCTGGAGATCTGAGAACGGGCAGACTGCCTCCTCAAGTGGGTCCCTGACCCCTGACCCCCGAGCAGCCTAACTGGGAGGCACCCCCCAGCAGGGGCACACTGACACCTCACACTGCAGGGTACTCCAACAGACCTGCAGCTGAGGGTCCTGTCTGTTAGAAGGAAAACTAACAAACAGAAAGGACATCCACACCAAAAACCCATCTGTACATCACCATCATCAAAGACCAAAAGTAGATAAAACCACAAAGATGGGGAAAAAACAGAACAGAAAAACTGGAAACTCTAAAAAGCAGAGTGCCTCTCCTCCTCCAAAGGAACGCAGTTCCTCACCAGCAACGGAACAAAGCTGGAAGGAGAATGACTTTGACGAGCTGAAAGAAGAAGACTTCAGACGATCAAATTACTCTGAGCTACGGGAGGACATTCAAACCAAAGGCAAAGAAGATGAAAACTTTGAAAAAAATTTGGAAGAATGTATAACTAGAATAACCAATACAGAGAAGTGCTTAAAGGAGCTGATGGAGCTGAAAACCAAGGCTCGAGAACTACGTGAAGAATGCAGAAGCCTCAGGAGCCAATGCGATCAACTGGAAGAAAGGGTATCAGTAATGGAAGATGAAATGAATGAAATGAAGCAAGAAGGGAAGGTTAGAGAAAAAAGAATAAAAAGAAACGAGCAAAGCCTCCAAGAGATATGGGACTATGTGAAAAGACCAAATCTACGTCTCATTGGTGTACCTGAAAGTGATGGGGAGAATGGAACCAAGTTGGAAAACACTCTGCAGGATATTATCCAGGAGAACTTCCCCAATCTAGCAAGGCAGGCCAACGTTCAAATTCAGGAAATACAGAGAACGCCACAAAGATACTCCTCGAGAAGAGCAACTCCAAGACACATAATTGTCAGATTCACCAAAGTTGAAATGATGGAAAAAATGTTAAGGGCAGCCAGAGAGAAAGGTCAGGTTACCCTCAAAGGGAAGCCCATCAGACTAACAGCAGATCTCTCGGCAGAAACCCTACAAGCCAGAAGAGAGTGGGGGGTAATATTCAACATTCTTAAAGAAAAGAATTTTCAACCCAGAATTTCATATCCAGCCAAACTAAGCTTCATAAGTGAAGGAGAAATAAAATCCTTTACAGACAAGCAAATGCCGAGAGATTTTGTCACCACCAGGCCTGCCCTAAAAGAGCTCCTGAAGGAAGCGCTAAACATGGAAACGAACAACCGGTACCAGCCGCTGCAAAATCATGCCAAAATGTAAAGACCATCGAGACTAGGAAGAAACTGCATCAACTAACGAGCAAAATAACCAGCTAACATCATAATGACAGGATCAAATTCACACATAACAATATTAACTTTCAATGTAAATGGACTAAATGCTCCAATTAAAAGACACAGACTGGCAAATTGGATAAAGAGTCAAGACCCATCAGTGTGCTGTATTCAGGAAACCCATCTCATGTGCAGAGACACACATAGGCTCAAAATAAAAGGATGGAGGAAGATCTACCAAGCAAATGGAAAACAAAAAAAGGCAGGGGTTGCAATCCTAGTCTCTGACAAAACAGACTTTAAACCAACAAAGATCAAAAGAGACAAAGAAGGCCATTATATAATGGTAAAGGGATCAATTCAACAAGAAGAGCTAACTATCCTAAATATATATGCACCCAATACAGGAGCACCCAGATTCATAAAGCAAGTCCTCAGTGACCTACAAAGAGACTTAGACTCCCACACATTAATAATGGGAGACTTTAACACCCCACTGTCAACATTAGACAGATCAACGAGACAGAAAGTCAACAAGGATACCCAGGAATTGAACTCAGCTCTGCACCAAGCAGACCTAATAGACATCTACAGAACTCTCCACCCCAAATCAACAGAATATACATTTTTTTCAGCACCACACCACACCTATTCCAAAATTGACCACATACTTGGAAGTAAAGCTCTCCTCAGCAAATGTAAAAGAACAGAAATTATAACAAACTATCTCTCAGACCTCAGTGCAATCAAACTAGAACTCAGGATTAAGAATCTCAATCAAAACCGCTCAACTACATGGAAACTGAACAACCTGCTCCTGAATGACTACTGGGTACATAACGAAATGAAGGCAGAAATAAAGATGTTCTTTGAAACCAACGAGAACAAAGACACAACATACCAGAATCTCTGGGACGCATTCAAGCAGTGTGTAGAGGGAAATTTATAGCACTAAATGCCCACAAGAGAAAGCAGGAAAGATCCAAAATTGACACCCTAACATCACAAGTAAAAGAACTAGAAAAGCAAGAGCAAACACATTCAAAAGCTAGCAGAAGGCAAGAAATAACTAAAATCAGAGCAGAACTGAAGGAAATAGAGACACAAAAAACCCTTCAAAAAATTAATGAATCCAGGAGCTGGTTTTTTGAAAGGATCAACAAAATAGATAGACCGCTAGCAAGACTAATAAAGAAAAAAAGAGAGAAGAATCAAATAGACGCAATAAAAAATGATAAAGGGGTATCACCACCGATCCCACAGAAATACAAACTACCATCAGAGAATACTACAAACACCTCTACGCAAATAAACTAGAAAATCTAGAAGAAATGGATAAATTCCTCGACACATACACACTCCCAAGACTAAACCAGGAAGAAGTTGAATCTCTGAATAGACCAATAACAGGATCTGAAATTGTGGCAATAATCAATAGCTTACCAACCAAAAAGAGTCCAGGACCAGATGGATTCACAGCCGAATTCTACCAGAGGTACAAGGAGGAACTGGTACCATTCCTTCTGAAACTATTCCAATCAATAGAAAAAGAGGGAATCCTCCCTAACTCATTTTATGAGGCCAGCATCATTCTGATACCAAAGCTGGGCAGAGACACAACCAAAAAAGAGAATTTTAGACCAATATCCTTGATGAACATTGATGCAAAAATCCTCAATAAAATACTGGCAAAACAAATCCAGCAGCACATCAAAAAGCTTATCCATCATGATCAAGTGGGCTTCATCCCTGGGATGCAAGGCTGGTTCAATACACGCAAATCAGTAAATGTAATCCAGCATATAAACAGAGCCAAAGACAAAAACCATATGATTATCTCAATAGATGCAGAAAAGGCCTTTGACAAAATTCAACAACTCTTCATGCTAAAAACTCTCAATAAATTAGGTATTGATGGGACGTATTTCAAAATAATAAGAGCTATCTACGACAAACCCACGGCCAATATCACACTGAATGGGCAAAAACTGGAAGCATTCCCTTTGAAAACTGGCACAAGACAGGGATGCCCTCTCTCACGACTCCTATTCAACATAGTGTTGGAAGTTCTGGCCAGGGCAATTAGGCAGGAGAAGGAAATAAAGGGTATTCAATTAGGAAAAGAGGAAGTCAAATTGTCCCTGTTTGCAGACGACATGATTGTATATCTAGAAAACCCCATTGTCTCAGCCCAAAATCTCCTTAAGCTGATAAGCAACTTCAGCAAAGTCTCAGGATACAAAATCAATGTACAAAAATCACAAGCATTCTTATACACCAACAACAGACAAACAGAGAGACAAATTATGAGTGAACTCCCATTCACAATTGCTTCAAAGAGAATCAAATACCTAGGAATCCAACTTACAAGGGATGTGAAGGACCTCTTCAAGGAGAACTACAATCCACTGCTCAAGGAAATAAAAGAGGATACAAACAAATGGAAGAACATTCCATGCTCATGGGTAGGAAGAATCAATATCATGAAAATGGCCATACTGCCCAAGGTAATTTACAGATTCAATGCCATCCCCATCAAGCTACCAATGACTTTCTTCACAGAATTGGAAAAAACTACTTTAAAGTTCATATGGAACCAAAAAAGAGCCTGCAATGCCAAGTCAATCCTAAGCCAAAAGAACAAAGCTGGAGGCATCACACTACCTGACTTCAAACTATACTACAAGGCTACAGTAACCAAAACAGCATGGTACTGGTACCAAAACAGAGATATAGATCAATGGAACAGAACAGAGCCCTCAGAAATAATGCCGCATATCTACAACTATCTGATCTTTGACAAACCTGAGAAAAACAAGCAATGGGGAAAGGATTCCCTATTTAATAAATGGTGCTGGGAAAACTGGCTGGCCATATGTAGAAAGCTGAAACTGGATTCCTTCCTTACACCTTATACAAAAATCAATTCAAGATGGATTAAAGACTTAAACGTTAGACCTAAAACCATAAAAACCCCAGAAGAAAACCTAGGCATTACCATTCAGGACATAGGCATGGGCAAGGACTTCATGTCTAAAACACCAAAAGCAATGGCAACAAAAGCCAAAATTGACAAATGGGATCTAATTAAACTAAAGAGCTTCTGCACAGCAAAAGAAACTACCATCAGAGTGAACAGGCAACCTACAAAATGGGAGAAAATTTTCGCAACCTACTCATCTGACAAAGGGCTAATATCCAGAATCTACAAAGAACTTCAACAAATTTACGAGAAAAAAACAAACAACCCCATCAAAAAGTGGGCAAAGGACATGAACAGACACTTCTCAAAAGAAGACATTTATGCAGCCAAAAAACACATGAAAAAATGCTCACCATCACTGGCCATCAGAGAAATGCAAATCAAAACCACAATGAGATACCATCTCACACCAGTTAGAATGGCGATCATTAAAAAGTCAGGAAACAACAGGTGCCAGAGAGGATGTGGAGAAATAGGAACACTTTTACACTGTTGGTGGGACTGTAAACTAGTTCATCCCTTGTGGAAGTCAGTGTGGCGATTCCTCAGGGATCTAGAACTAGAAATACCATTTGACCCAGCCATCCCATTACTGGGTATATACCCAAATGACTATAAATCATGCTGCTATAAAGAGACATGCACACGTATGTTTATAGCGGCACTATTCACAATAGCAAAGACTTGGAACCAACCCAAATGTCCAACAATGATAGACTGGATTAAGAAAATGTGGCACATATACACCATGGAATACTATGCAGCCATAAAAAATGATGAGTTCATGTCCTTTGTAGGCACATGGATGAAACTGGAAATCATCATTCTCAGTAAACTATCACAAGAACAAAAAACCAAACACCGCATATTCTCACTCATAGGTGGGAATTGAACAATGAGATCACATGGACACAGGAAGGGGAACATCACACTCTGGGGACTGTTGTGAGGTGGGGGGAGCAGGTAGGGATAGCACTGGGAGATATACCTAATGCTAGATGACGAGTTAGTGGGGGCAGTGCACCAGCATGGCACATGTATACATATGTAACTAACCTGCACAATGTGCACATGTACCCTAAAACTTAAAGTATAATAATATAAAAAAATATATATTTTAATAAAAAAAAAAAGAATCTCAGAGCTCAAAGACTGTCTTTCTGAAATAAGACAGGCAGACAAGATTAGAAAAAAAAAATGAAAAGGCATGAACAAAATGTCCAAGAAATATGGGATTATGAAAAGATACCAAATCTACAACTGATTGGGGTACCTGAAAGAGACAGTGAGAATGGAACCAATTTAGAAAACATATTTCAGGATATCATCCAGGAGCACTTCCCCAACCCAGTTAGACAGGCCAACATTCAAATTCAGGAAATGCAGAGAACCCAGTATATTAATTCGTTTTCACACTGCTATAGAGAACTACCAGAGACTGAGTAATTTATGAAGAAAAGAGGTTTAATTGACTCACAGTTCTGTAGGCTTAATAGAAAGCATGACTGGGGGGCCTCAGGAAACTTACTATCATGGCAGAAGGTGAAGGGGAAGCAAGGGACATCTTCCCATGGCAGAGCAGGAGAAAGAGAGCATGAAGGGGGAAGTGCCACACACTTTCATAAAACCAGATCTCATGAGAACTCACTCACTATTACAAGAATAGCAAGATAGGAGTCCACCCCCATAATTCAATTACCTCCCACCTGGTCCCTCACCAAACACATGAGGATTAAAATTTGAAATGAGATTTGGGTGGGGTCACAGAGCACAATCATATCACTCCATCCCAGCCCCTCCCGAATCTCATGTCCTTCTCACATTTCAAAACCAGTCATGCCTTTCCAACAGTCCCCCAATGTCTTAACTGATTCCAACATTAACTCAAAAGTCCACAATCCAAAGTCTTATCTGAGACAAAGTATGTCCCTTCTGTTTATGAGCCTATAAAATCAAAAAGAGGCTCATATACAGAAGGGACATACTTAGTTACTTCCAAAATACAATGGCAGCACAATTATTGGGTAAATACTCCCATTCCAAATGGAAGGAATTGGCCAAAATAAAGGTGCTACAGGCCCCAAGCAATTCTGAAACCCAGCAGGGCAGTCTTTAAATCTTAAAGTTCCAAAATAATCTCCTTTGACTCCATGTCTCACATCAAGGCCACATTGATGCCAGGGATGGGTTCCCAAGGCCTTGGGCATCTCGACCCCTGTGGCTCTACAGGGTACAGGCCTCTTGGCTGCTTTCACAGGCTGTTATTGAGTGCCTGCAGCTTTTCCAGGTACACGGTGCAAGCTGTTATTGGATCTACCATTCTGGGGTCTGGAGGATGGTAGCCTTCTTCTCACAGCTCCACTAGGCAGTGTCTTAGTGGAGACTCTGTGTGGGGGCTCCAACTCCACATTTCCCCTCTGTACTGACTTTGTACAGGCTCTCCATGAGGGATCTGTGCCTACAGTAAACTTCTGCCTAGACATCCATTTGTTTCCATAAATCCTCTGAAATCTAAGTGGAGGTTCCCAAACCTCAACTCTTACCTTCTGTGTGCCTGCAGGCCCAACACCACATAGAAACCACCAAGGTCTGGGGGGCTTGCACCCTCTGAAGCAATGGCCCAAGCTGTATCCTGGCCCCTTTTAGCCACAGCTTAAGCAGGAGTAGCTGGGACACAGGGCACCATGTCTCAAGGCTGCAAAGAGCAGCAGGGCCCTGGGCCTGGCTTATGAAACCATTTTTTCCTCTTAAGCCTCCAGGACTGGGATGGGAGGGGCTGTCACGAAGGTCTGTGACATGCACTGGGGGCATTTTCCCCATTGTCTTGGCTATTAACATTTGGCTCCTCTTTACTTATGCAAATTTCTGCAAGCAGCTTTAATTTCTTCCAGAAAATGTTTTTTTCTTCTCTACCATATAGTTGGGCTGCAAATTTTCCAAACTTTGATGCTCTGTTTACCTTTTAAACATAAGTTTCAATTTCAGACCATCTCTTTGTGAATGCATATAACTGTACACAGTTACAAGCAGCCATGCCACATCTTGAATGTTTTACTGCTTAGAAATTTCTTCCACCAGATACACTAAATCATCTCTCCCAGGTTCAAAGTTCCACAGATCCCTAGAACAGGGGCACAATGCCACCAGTCTTTTCCTAAAGCTTAGCAAGAATAACATTTACTCCAGTTCCCAATAAGTTCTTCATCTCCACCTGAGAACACCTCGCCCTGGACTTTCTTGTCCATATCACTATTACCATTTTGGTCAAAATTATTCAAAAAAATCTCAAGGAAGTTCCAAACTTTCCTGCGTCATCTTATCTTCTTCTGACCCCTCCAAACTGTTCCAACCTCTACTTGCTAACCAGTTCCAAAGTTCTTTTTACATTTTCAAGTATCTTTATAACAGTGCCCCACTATCCTGGTACCAATTTTCTGTAGTATTCCATTTTCTCACTGCTATAAAGTACTACCTGAGACTGAGTAATTTATGAAGAAAAGGCATTTAGTTGACTCAGTTCTCCAGGCTTAACAGGAAGCATGACTGGGGCTCCTCAGGGAACCTACAATCATAGTGGAAGGCAAAGGGGAAACAAGGCACATCTTCCCCTGGTGGAGCAGGAGAAAGAGAAAGCAAAGGGGGAAGTGCCACACACTTTCAAATGACAATATCTTGTGAGAACTCCCTCACAATCATGAGAACAGCAAGGGAGAAGATTTCCCCCATGATTCAGTCACCTTGCACCAGGCCCCTCCCATGAAATGTGGGAATTCTAATTCAAAATGAGATTTAGGTGGGAACACAGAGCCAAACCATATCATACATTATAACAGTCCATGAGAAGATTACCCCAAGACACATCATCATCACATTCACCAAGGTCGAAATAAAAGAAAAAATGTTAAGGGCAGTGAGAGAGAAAGGCCAAGTCACCTACAGTGGGGGCCCAGTAGACTAACAGTAGGCCTTTCAGTGGAAACCCTACAAGCCAGAAGAGATAGGGGGCCAGTATTCAACTTTCTTAAAGGAAAAAAATATCAACCAAGAATTTCATATCCAGCCAAACTAAGCTTCATAAGTGAAGGAGAAATAAATAAGATCCTGTTCAGACAAGCAAATCCTGAGGCAATTCGTTACCACTAGACCTGCCTTACAACACCTTCTGAAAGAAACACTAAATATGGACAAGAAAAACTATTAGCAGCCATTACAAAAACACACTGAAGTACACAGACTAGTGACACTATGAAACAACCACATAAACAAGTCTGCAAAGTAACCAGCTAGCATCATGATGGCAGGATCAAATTCACACATAACAATACTAACCTTAAATGTAAGAAGACGACATGGGCCCCCAATGAAAAGACAGAGTGGCAAGCTGGATAAAGAACCAACACCCACTGCAATGCTATCTTCAAGAGATCCATTTCACAGGTAAGAACATCACAGGCTCAAAATTAAGGGATGGATGAAAAAATTAAAAAGCAGGGGTTGCAATCTTAGTTTCTGACAAAACAGGCTTTAAATCAACAAAAGTCAAAAAAAGACAAAGAAGGGCAATATATAAGGGTAGAGGGTTCATATATATGTAGCATAGAGCTAACTACCCTAAATATTTATGCACCAAATACAGGAGCACCCAGATTCATAAAGCAAGTTCTTAGAAAACTTCAAAGAGACCTCAAATCCCACACAATAATAGTGGGATACTTTAACACCCTACTGACAATATTAAACAAATCATCAAGACAGAAAATAACAGGGATTTTCAGGACCTGAACTCAGCTCTGGATCAGGTGGACCTGATAGATATCTACAGAACCCTTTGACCCAAAACAACAGAATATACATTCTTCTTATTGCCACATAGCACTTACTCAAAAAAATGATCACATAATTGAAAGTGAAACACTCCTCAGCAAATGCAAAAGAACTGAAATCATAACAAGCAGTCTCCTGGACCACAGCACAATCAAATTAGAACTCAAGATTAAGAAATTTACTTAAAACCATACAACTACATGGAAATTGAACAACCTGCTCCTGAATGAATTTAGGGTAAATAATGAAATTAAGGTAGAAATCAAGAAGGTTTTTTGAAACCAGTGAGAACAAAGATACAAAGTACCAGAATCTCTGAGACTCAGCTAAAGCAGTGAAAAGAGGGAAATTTATATCACCAAATGCCCACATCAAAAAGCTAGAAAGATCTCAAGATAACAACCTAACATCACTAAAAGAACTAGTGAATCAAGAGCAAACAAACCCCAAAGCTAGCAGAAGGCAAGAAATAACCAAGATTAGAGCTGAACTGAAGGAGATAGAAATACAAAAGATATTTCTATCTCCTTCGTAGAGATATGAAAAATCCTTCAAGAAATCAACAAATCCAGGAACTGATTTTTTGAAAAATTAATAAAATAGACCACTAGCTAGACTAACAAAGAAGAAAAGAGAGAAGATTCAAAAAACACAATCAGAAATGATAAGGGGGATATTACCACTGACCCTAGAGAAATAAAAACAACTATCAGAGGATATTATAAACATCCCTATGCACATAAAATAGAAAATTTAGAAGAAATGAATAAATTGCTGGACATATACACCCTCCCAAGAATGAACCAGAAAGAAATTGAATCCATGAATAGACCAATAATGAGTTCTGAAATTGAGTCAGTAATAAATAGCCTACCAACCAAAAAAGTCCAGGACCAGGCAGATTCACAGCTGAATTATACCAGATGTACAAAGAAGAGCTGGTATCATTCCTACTGAAACTATTCTGAAAAATTGAAAACAAAATACTGGCAAAACCAAATCCAGCAGCACATCAAAAAGCTTATCCACCATTATCAAGTAGGCTTCATCCCTGGGATGCAAGACTCGTTCAGCATACACAAATTAATAAACATAATTCATCACATACTTAAAGACAAAAACCACATGATTATCTCAAATGCAGAAAAGGCCTTAGATAAAATTCAACATTCCTTCATTTAAAAACTCTCAATAAACTAGGTTTTAATGGAACATACCTCAAAATAATAAAAGTCATATATGACAAACCCACAACCAATATCACAGTGAATGGGCAAATGCTAGAAGCATTCTTCTTGAAAACCAGCACAACACAAGGTTGCTCTGTCTCACTACTCCTATTCAACATAGTATTGGAAGTTCCAGCCAAGGCAATCAGCCAAGAGAAAGAAATAAAGCATATTTAAATAGGAAGAGAGGAAGCTAAATTAACTTTGTTTGCAGATGACATGATCCTACCTCTAGAAAACCCCGTCATCTCAGCCCAAAGGCTTTTCAAACTGATAAACAACTTCAACAAAGTCTCAGGATACAAAATCACTGTGCAAAAATCACTAGTATTCCTATACACAAACAATAGGCAAGCTGAGAGCCAAATCACAAATGAACTCCCATTCACAATTGCTACAAAAAGAATAAAATAACTAGGAATACAGCTAACAAGGAAAGTGAAGGACCTCTTCAAGGAGAACTACAAATAACTGTTCAAAGAAATCAGAGAGGACACAAACAGATGGAAAAACATCCCATGCTCATGGATAGTGATATGGTTTGGCTCTTTGTCCCACCCAAATCTCATCTCATAGCTCCCATAATTCCCACATGTTGTGGGATGGACCCAGTGGGAGATGATTGATTCATGGGGGCCGGTCTTTCCCATGCTCTTCTCATGATAGTGAATGGGTCTCACAAGATCTGATAGTTTTAAAAATGGGAGTTGCCCCGCACAAGCTCTCTTTGCCTGCCACCATCTAAGTAAGATTTGATTTGCTTCTCCTTGCCTTCTGCCATGATTGAGAGGCATCCCTAGCCACATGGTACTATGAGTTCTCCATTAAATTTCTTTCTTTTGTAAATTGCCCATTCTCGAATATGTCTTTTCAGCAGCATGAAAATGAACTAATACAGATAGAAGGAATCAATATCGTGAAAATGGCTATCCTACCCAAAGTAATTTATAGATTCAATGCTATTCTCATTAAACTACCATTGACATTCTTCACGGAATTAGGAAAAACTGTTTTAAAATTCATATGGAACAAAAAAAGAGCCGATTAGACAAGGCAATCATAAGCAAAAAGAACAAAGCTGGAGGCATCAGGCTACCTGACTTCAAACTATACTACAAGGCTACAGTAACCAAAACAATGTGGTACTGGACAACAACAGACATATAGATCAATCTAACAGAATAGAAAACACAGAAATGAGACCACACACCTATAACCATCTGATCTTCAACAAAGCTGACAGAAACACACAATGGGGAAATGATTCCCTGTTCAATAAATGGTGCTGGGAGAACTGGCTAGCCATATGCAGAAGATTGAAGCTGGACCCCTTCCTTACACCATATACCAAAAAAATCAACTCAAGCTGGATTAAAGATTTAAATGTAAAACCCAAAACTATAAAAACCCTAGAAGAAAACCTAGTAATACCATTCAAGACATAGGCATGGGTAAAGAGTTCATGAGGAAGATGCCAAAAGCAAAAATAGACAAATGGGATCTAATTAACTAAAGAGCTTCTGCACAGCAAAAGAAATTGTCAACAGAGTAAACAGACAACCTACAGAATGGGACAAATTTTTGAAATCTATCCATCTGACAAAGGTCTGTTATCCAGACTCTACAAAGTACTTAAACATATTTACAAAAGAAAAACAACCCCATTAAAAAGTGGGCAAAAGGCATGAAGAGACACTTTTCAAAAGAAGACATACATGCAGCCAACAAACATGAAAAAAATGCTCAACATCACAGATTATTAGCGAAATGCAAATCAAAAACCACAATGAGATACCATCTCACACCAGTCATGGCTATTACTAAAAAGCTAAAAAATAGCAGGTACTGGTGAGGTTGTGGAGAAAAAGTAATGCTTATACACTGTTGGTAGGAGTGTGAATTAGCTCAGCCATTGTGGAAAATAGTGTGGTGATTCTTCAAATAGCTGAAGACAGAAATATCATTCAACCCAGTGATTCCATTACTGGGTATATACCCAAAGGAATATAAATTTTTCTATTATTAAGACACATGTTCACTGGAGCACTATTCACAACAGCAAAGACATGGAATCAACCTAAATGTCCATCAGTGATAGACTGGGTAAAGAAAATGTGGTACATATACACCATGGAATTCTATGCAGCCATAAAAAGGAAGAAGATCATGTCCTTTGCAGGGACATGGATGGAGCTGAAGGCCATTATCCTTAGCAAACTAATGCAGGAACAGAAAATGAAATACCTATGTTCTCACTTATAAGTGGGAGCTAAATGATGAGAACACATGAACACATGGTAGGGAACAACATGCACTGGGGCCTGTGGGAGGGCAAGGGGTGGGAAAGGATCAGGAAAAATAGCTAGTGGATGCTGGGCTTGATACCTGGGTGATGGGATGATCTGCGCGCAAACCACCATGGCACACATTTACCTATATAACACACCTGCACATCCTGCACATGTACCCCTGAACTTAAAATAAAAGTTGGAAATAAAAAAAAGAGAGAGAATTATTGCACCTGGGTGTCGACCACCTGAGAGTCATAAGATAACACTATTGGTAAATACTAGATATAAATATTATATTTATTTCTATTGGGAAAGAACTTTGCATTAATAAATGGAAAAAATGATCAGAAAGCATTAATAGAGAAGATTATGAGATGATTTTAGTTTTCTTGCTTTTTAAAATATATTTCTTTGCATTTCTGCAGGTGCTGTATATGTATATAAAATCAGGGGTTACTTTTACAATTGGAGGGGAAAAGAGACCTTTTCACTGAGTAGAATTTTTACTTATCCAATTTCGCAGGCCCTCCTTAAAGGGTCTCAATACATCTGCCTTCCCTAACTAGCATCATTCTCATCCTACTCCTTGGTCTAGTATACCCACTTCTCTTAGGTATTATTTACATTTACTAGGCCAATGTCCTTTCCCTCAGACCAGTCAAATAAATTATCAATATTAATGGGAGCTAATGAGTTAATAGGGTTAAGTTTTCCACAATCCTTCCACAACCCTAATGAACATACTTGGATTTTGATCATGGCTTCAGAAAACACACCCCAAATTTGGACTCTGTAGCTCTCATAGCCAGCCGGTGGGCCACGAAACAGTGGTGGAATCAGTGAATGCATTCTGGTTACTGATTGAAGATAACCAGAATGCATTCATTGATTTAGTAGGCCTACTCTGTGCTGGGGTAAACAATTAGTTCTATGGTATCAAATGAAAAGCCACAGCACAAAGGCAAATAGCAAATCCCCAGTTTACTCGCACACCCTTCTCAATCACCTTTGCCGACCCACTCATTCTCAATCCAGGAAGAGTAAAGAGGTCTTGGAGAGATAAGAAAAAGTACTGAGTTGCCCATTCTCTGCCATTAGGCACTATAGAATAATGCTTAAAAACTCTATTCAAACAGAGACAATATTTTATTGTGTTCTGTTGTGTTTTCCTCAGCACATCTTAAATCCCAAGGGACTAGCCCGATGGCTGTTTCCTTTTCCATACAATTTTGATGCCTTCCAGTGTCCATAAACTCTGAAATCTATTGTGCATGGAGCATGCACAATCTCTTACAGCAAGAAGAAAACCCAAATTAATAATCCCATTGCTTTAGAGCCTCCCAGGCTTCTTGTCAGTCCAAGAAAGACAGTAAAAAATACTGCTTTGGAAGGAAAAAAAAGCATGAATAGCAACTAATTTCTCATTTATACACTCAGTAGTTAGTTAAAGTAAAATTGTACTAATTCTTGGGCTGTGAACTACATTTTAGAAACCCAGGCCAAGGTTATTTCCACTACATTATGATTTGCAACTTTAGCGGCACATTGGAATCACCTGTAAAGCTATAATAATCACTGATCATCAATCATATTTGAAGAGATCCTAATTACATTGTTCTGGGTACAGCCTGTGCATGAAGAGTTTTAAAAGATGTCCAAGTGATTCCAATATGCAGCCAAACTTGTGAACAACTGATCACAGTGTGCTGCCTCTCCTAGTGACTAACTGCGAACAAAGTAGATTCCATCAACAGTGGACAAAGTCGATGGCACTCGCATTGCTCACCCCATTGGCCCCTCTCACCACTCACACACATGCAGATACATGTGTAACATGACCATTATTTTTATTTAACTGATGCCTGCTGTCTCCATTTAAAGTAGGATCCCTTGAATCATTTTTTTTTTTCTAGAACGTTTTTTTTTTTTTCTTTCTTTTCTTTTTTTATTATACTTTAGGTTTTAGGGTACATGTGCACATTGTGCAGGTTAGTTACATATGTATACATGTGCCATGCTGGTGCGCTGCACCCGCTAACTCGTCATCTAGCATTAGGTATATCTCCCAATGCTATCCCTCCCCCCTCCCCCCACCCCACCACAGTCCCCAGAGTGTGATATTCCCTTTCCTGTGTCCATGTGATCTCATTGTTCAATTCCCACCTATGAGTGAGAATATGCGGTGTTTGGTTTTTTGTTCTTGCGATAGTTTACTGAGAATGATGGTTTCCAATTTCATCCATGTCCCTACAAAGGACATGAACTCATCATTTTTTATGGCTGCATAGTATTCCATGGTGTATATGTGCCACATTTTCTTAATCCAGTCTATCATTGTTGGACATTTGGGTTGGTTCCAAGTCTTTGCTATTGTGAATAATGCCACAATAAACATACGTGTGCATGTATCTTTATAGCAGCATGATTTATAGTCATTTGGGTATATACCCAGTAATGGGATGGCTGGGTCAAATGGTATTTCTAGTTCTAGATCCCTGAGGAATCGCCACACTGACTTCCACAATCGTTGAACTAGTTTACAGTCCCACCAACAATGTAAAAGTGTTCCTATTTCTCCACATCCTCTCCAGCACCTGTTGTTTCCTGACTTTTTAATGATTGCCACTCTAACTGGTGTGAGATGGTATCTCACTGTGGTTTTGATTTGCATTTCTCTGATGGCCAGTGATGATGAGCATTTTTTCATGTGTTTTTTGGCTGCATAAATGTCTTCTTTTGAGAAGTGTCTGTTCATGTCCTTCGCCCACTTTTTGATGGGGTTGTTTGTTTTTTTCTTGTAAATTTGGTTGAGTTCATTGTAAATTCTGGATATTAGCCCTTTGTCAGATGAGTAGGTTGCGAAAATTTTCTCCCATTTTGTAGGTTGCCTGTTCACTCTGATGGTAGTTTCTTTTGCTGTGCAGAAGCTCTTTAGTTTAATTAGATCCCATTTGTCAATTTTGTCTTTTGTTGCCATTGCTTTTGGTGTTTTGCACATGAAGTCCTTGCCCATGCCTATGTCCTGAATGGTAATGCCTAGGTTTTCTTCTAGGGAATCATTTTCTTAAAGGACCAGATTGTAAATATTTTAAATTTTGCAGGCCATGCGGTCTCTGTAGCAATGACTCAAGTCTGCCATAGAAAATACATTCAAAAATGTGCCTGGCTGTATTCCAATAAAACTTTATTTACAAAAACAAACACTTAGGCGAGAAGCTAAAGTTTGCTCACCCCTGACTTAGAACCCCTAAGGCATATAAAGAAATTACTACATTTTTTTTTAAACTGGGACTGTAATGATTGTGATGACAGTGCTCTTTAGAATACAGTTGTTTCTCAATCCATATGTAGCTTTCCCCCACCACTCCACACACTTTCTTGTAGTCACAGGGCCTGAGTTCAAGTTTAGATTTTTGCCTTGTGATTAGAACTCCATTATAGTTGTCAGAGTGTATCTGCCTGCCAGAGGAGAGCCACTCTTTCAGAGCAGAAGCCATGGCTGCTCCCCAAAAGCCTATATCCACAAATGTTTATTACTGTTCTGATATCCCAACAGGGGTGTCTCTCCCTCTGGACACCGCTACCTTCTCCTCAGTGCCTGTATTGCATCATTTATCACTTTCCACACTATTGTGTTATGGGTTCTACACAAACCCTTTCACATCCTCTAGGCCCTTTGATTAGAACATCCTCCTGGGAGATAAGTAGAGCCAAGATGATCATCATCCAGATGTTAAGGTAAGAAAACTGAGGCTCAACAAACATTAAGAGACAAAATCTAGACTTGAACCCAGCCCCTGTACTGCAAGAAAGTGTGCTTAGTGATCGGGAAGCTGCATGCGGATTGAGAAACAGCTATATTCAAATACGCTTCGTAGTTTTACCAATTTTCTTAACTATAAAAATATGTATATTAGTAAATACTTACTTTGAAGGGTTATTTTGAGAGTTAGGAATTATATAATTAGTGTTCCTGGCATGAATACATGCTGAATAATAGCAGCTACCATTACTACTGCTATTGATACTGCTGTTGTTGCTGTTTATCCAGTATTCTTTTCATTTTGCATATGCTTCCATTTTCTGTTACATGCTTCATCCTGTTTTGTATAGTGCCTTTAGTTTACTAAGTGCTCAATTACTGCTGAATAAATTTAATTAATTAATTATTTCATCATATGGACCTGTGTTGAGAAGTTTCTTCCACCATTAGCCTTTTAAAAGTAATGAAAATATCCCCAAAGGAAGAAGAAAATTAGATGACTCCTTTCAAGAAAGATGGTATATAATGGGAATTTCCTTCTCAACTCAAAATGAATCTCCTTAGCCACATGTACGTGCCCAGAAACACTTTTGTTCACTTCTTTAAATAAAGGAACATAATCCCCAGCTAATTTCTCTTTTTTATGGAATTATTAATGCTTAAAAGTCAACACAATCAAAGCTGTCAGCAAAATTTCCTAAATTACTAAATATTCAACTTTGGCTAAGTCCTCAATAAAAATGATAGTTTTTTCCTGATTTGAAAATTTTCTTGGAAGATACCTCAAAATACTCCTGGAGAGTTCTAGATTGGGCCAAAAGTTCAGACTCAGAATCTGATGTGGAGATAGCTCATTCAAGCTCCCCAGTCACCTCTCATCTGTTCCACTAGAAAATCAGTGAATCAATTAAGATATACTGAGTCCCCACTTTGTATCACACTTTACTCGGCACTGAGGTGATACAAGAAGCAAAAAACATTTTCTATGAGTTCAAGCAGCTTATGATCTGCCGAGTAAGAACAGATGTAAACTTCTAAATTAGACTGTAAAATATGCTATAAGGCATTGGTTTAAAAGTGAGCAACAGTCCCACCTTCTCACCCCTCCCAGCCCATTACTACCCTTCCCAGCCTCTGGTAATCATTCTTCTACTCTCTATGTCCCTGAGTTCAATTGTTTTGATTTTTAGATCCCATAAATATGAGAACATGTGATGCTTGTCTTTCTGTGACTGGCTTATTTCACTTAACATAATGATTTCCAGTTCCATCCATGTTATTGCTTATTTCACATTGCATGTCTGTATCAAAACATCTCATATATCCCATAAATAATATACCTACTATGAACCCACAAAAATTAAAAATAAAAATAAAATTTTAAAAAATGGGCAGTATGGGTTAGGATAGGCAGAGAAAGCTTCTGAGGTTAAATCCCCAGATCTAGATTTCTAGTGATACACGTACTTACACTGAATACTAGAGGCTGAGTAGGCATTTGAGTCGGAGGGAGGAAGTAATTGCTAGAAAAGGAGAAAGAATCTTTTCCAGCTGTCTCAAAAAGGAGGCCTGAAGAGCAGGTTTGCGAAGGGTTCTGCTCCATGCAGTCATTCAGGGTTCTGTGGTGCCTTATAACTCCCCTCTTGCCTAAGCCTTCAGAGTCCTCTACATTCAGCCAGAGAGTGAGAGCTAAAAGAGAAAAGATCACATAAGGAAGAGTTTTATCCACACACGAAGTCTTTATTAGATAGAAAAGAGTGTGAATATTGGTGAACACTATGGCTTCTGCCAGAACTATCCATCATGTAAACAGGGGGAAATAAGAATATGCATTTATATTTCTTGTCATTTCAAAACTACACACTAGAAACTTAATCACAGTGAGCAAGGAAACACACAGTGACTAGGAACAGGAGTGGGAAACAGATTTTTAGTGTACATCTGTTAACACTGTATTTTTTTTAACTTTAATTTTAGGTTCAGAGGTACATGTGCTGGTTTACTATATAGGTAAATTGTGTCATGGGGGTTTGGTGTACAGATAAACGTTAAATTTTTGAACCACATAAATGCATTACCATTTCCAAAAATACAGCAACTATTAAAATGAAATTAAAGAAAACCTGGTGCTCACATTCATCCAAACATTTTGTCTTTTTTGGCCCTTCAGCAGCATCAGTTTTCTCTGTCGGATTCACTTATAATGTTTATTTTCACCGAGTTTTACTCGGACAAAATGGCGAGCAGATTTAATCAGGGGCAAGGGCCATATGGTAAGATCCATTCCTGGATTCTCAGCCCTATGGTATAAATCCCCCACTACCCCCAAGAGAAGGAATTGCAAGATCTAAGTATACAGCTGTGAGTTTCAGAAAAAAAATATTACAGCAAGGAAAACTTTGAAGAAGAACAGAATATAAATATTGAACCATGGTACCCTCTGGCATACACAAAGAGTCTTTAAAAGGGTAGCATTTGGGAAAGTAGAAGGATCAGGAATGACTTCTCATACCAGTCTACAAGAGAGAACTGTAATGCCAACCCATCTAGGGATAAAACTAAATCTCTAGTCATACTCAGTCACCAAAGATGAATCAGGAGAGTACATTATACAAATTGACCTTTGAAGTCAATCAATATACAAGCCAGAGCTCTACAACTAGATCCTAGAGTGCTTAGCTACTGCAGGTCTCCAAGAATTTTGAAGAACAGTCTCAAAGAGGAGAGATTAAACTTTTCCTGTGTGGTATCAGAGAACAGAACTGGAATCCTAGGTAAAAGTCCTAACGTCACATTTTGTTCCAAATTAAGAGGATTTAACATAGCT
Source organism: Homo sapiens (assembly GCF_000001405.40). Taxonomy (NCBI): domain Eukaryota; kingdom Metazoa; phylum Chordata; class Mammalia; order Primates; family Hominidae; genus Homo; species Homo sapiens. The sequence goes on along the minus strand of NC_000003.12, from coordinate 189,003,404 downwards.
ATCTAGAGATAGGATAGGCTACTTTGCCATTTTAAGGAGACAGTGACACAGAGCCATGGGGCTTATTGGTTGGAAGTGCTGTAGGAGCCTTTAGGGCTAGGTAGTCTCCAAGTCCATGTTAACCTCAAAGCCTTGTGACTCAGTGCCTAATGGATGACACTGGCACTGTCATTTTCTCTAATTCTCTCCCTCTCTGTGCGACTACCTGAACACTAGCGCGTGGAATGTGGTTTACACCAAGCAGTAAGTAGTACCCAAACACAATCATTGTCTCTGAAACAACAGCTTCAGGTGACTATGGCAAATGAAAAATAATGTCGTTATGCCTTTAATACACCTAACAGGTTAAGCCGAGCTCATATTTCAGTCTTTGTTTAGAAGACTCGGAAGCCATTTTAAAATTATTAATAGCTAATATTTATTGAGTTCTTACTATATATAAGCTAGGTGTGGTTAAATGTTTTTCATGTATTAAATCATTCAAACCTCTTGGAGTGGGTGGCCATTGAGCATGTGCTTAAAAAATAAGTAAGGTGCTGACAGGTCAATATACTGAGCAGATAGAAAATAATGCCCAGGTTCAAGTCCTGGATGAAACCAGTGTTGGTTCAGAGCAAGCTCCTACTAATGTCCACAAGTCCTCTATTGTACTGGAGAATTCTGTTTCAATATTCATCAGATGAAAGGTCATGTCTGCAGACATAAAAGATGTAGATTCATAAAATTCCTTCGGGTAATTTATCAACATGGAGCTCCAGGGAGAATGGAGTGAGCAGGTTTCCCTTAAAGTTAAGGACTTCAGAGAGGCATTTGGGATGCTGCATATAAAGGTTCTTCCAACTCTGTGAATTCATACGCTATATGGAATCTGTCCAATGGCCAGGCAAGCCCTTCCTACATAGTATGACTCTAGAAACTGAAAAATTCACCTGGATTAAAACATCACCTTTCTAGCTCAGCTCTCTGATGTCTATGGCATCAGATTTTTGCCTCACAATTTAGACTTTAGACCTGTCAACAGCTTAAGTGTAAGAAAATCCCTGTGAAATTTATAGATATATCAGTTGTTTTCACAAGAACAAGCTGTAAAGGAGGAAAGTAACAAGGAAAAAAAAAAAGAGAATGTTGGCCTCTGTGGAGGAGACAAAGCAGGAGGTTGGAAATGTAGAAACTAAGTATCCCTGAATCAAGTATCTGCATCAGGGTGGCCTGGGCCCATGAGGCAGCGCGCTGCATATTTAAGGCTCTTCAATTTATACCCATCCTTTTCTTCATAACCAGAACCCACTAGGCTAAGGAGTATTATGGAGCCAGCTCCAGAATCCAAAAGACCTAATCTTAAGCCAAAGGCCACGTTAACTAGTTGTGCTGTCCTGGGCAACTTGGGCTCTGCCCGCTAAGTTCCTCTTCTATAAAATGGAACTTTAAGCAGTTTGCCTGCCTTCCTCCAACAGATACTGAGAAGGTTAAGTAATATTTAGATTTAAAAAACACTTTGATAAGTAAAACAGCAACACACACATATAATGCATTATTGTTGTTTCTGTATTTCCAATCCTCACACTCAGAAAGGGTCATGGAGCTCATCTTATCTTGAGTCATGGAAGTCAAAGAAGTGAGTCATGGAGCTCATTTCCATGACTTGAAACTCACTTCCATGACTTCCATATCTTGAGCCAAGGAAGTGAGTCATGGAGCTCATCTTGTCTTCAGCATCTTTCAATAACACAAAGCTGCACTGGTCTGAATGTTTGTGTCCCTCAAAATCTATATGTTGAAACTTAACTCCCAAAGTGATGATATTAAGAGGTAGGACTTTGGGGAGGTAAGTAGATCATGAAGATGGAGCCCTCATTAATGGAATTAGTGTCTTTTAAAAGAGACCCAAGGGAGCTTGTTTGCCCTTCCAACCAAGTGAACACACAGTCCTGAAGTGAGCAAAGGTTCAGCCTATGAAGAAAGGGTCCTCACCAGACACTGAATCTGCCAATACCTTGATCTTAGAATTCCCAGCCTTCAGAAATAAATGTTTGCTATTTGTAAGCCCCCAGTTTATGGGATTTTGTTAGCAGCTCGAACAGACTAGGACAAAGAGTAAAATTTCTTCAAGACAAAAAGGTTTTGTTGTTGTTGTTGTTGTTTTATTGTTGTGATTTAGTTGTTTGTCTTTCTTGCTTAAATATTTCAACTCAAAAATTGTGAAACTTGAAGAGTGAATGAATACATGTCTCTGGTTGGGGAGATTTGATGTTTCATGTTGTTAACATTCTCCAAAATTCATTTTTACATTTAAGACCATTCTAGTTAAAACTCCAATGTCATTTTGAAGTGAGGAATAATTTAGAGGACTTACACATAACATATTAAATGAGGTCAGATGTGGTGTTTCATGCCTGTAATCCCAACACTTTGGGAGACCAAGGTGGCAGGATCACTTGAAGCCAGCCTGGGCAACAAAACAAGGCCCCATCTCCACAAAAATACAAAAATTACCTGAGCACAGTAGCGCTTGCCTATAGTCCCAGCTACTCAGGAGGCTGAAGCAGGAGGATTGCTTGAGCCCAGGAATTTGTGGCTGCAGTGAGCTGTGATCATGCCACCACATTCCAGCCTAGGCAACAGAGTGAGATCCTGTTTCAAAAAAAAAAAATACATATGTATAATATATATAAATATGCACATGAACATACATAATGGAATTAAAGAGCTACAATTACCTCACTAATAGGATACTGGTATAGGAATACAGAGATGGCCAAATGAAACAGAGAGGAAAACTCAAAAACAGAGCCACACACATGTAATAATTTTGTACATTAAAAATGAGGTGAGTGTGTTCCATTTTTAAAAATGAATCCATCTGCATACTTATATACAAACTCCTATAGAAATAGCTCAGTAGTGTTTTAGGGTAAGCATTTTAAATTAAAGGAGAACAAAAAATTCAAGAGTAAATAAAGGATATGGAACAATTAACTATTTTGAAAAATAAAAACCTAGATATTAGGTTTATATCATAATATCTATGGTATAAATTTATACCATATGCTGAAATAAATTAGCCCTTTAAAAATATGGTTGATGTTTACATGATATCAGGATGAAGACAAATGCAATATAGTAAAAGATGTACACATTGAATCCAACAACCACCACCAAATGATAAACTAAACTAAATTGAAGCAAAAATAGCAGGTAAACACTGCTACAAATCAAAAAGAAAAATCCAAATACTCCAAAAGAAAACTGGCCAACAGCTAACTATTGCATAAAACATTCAGTCTATTCCATAATTTTTAAAGTCAACTGAAATAATAAGAATGTAATTTTTTCTACCAAATTTGTAAATGTGTTATTTTCTTTTTTATTATAGTATCCAAATTTGGCTATGGTGTAAGGAAATACTCAGCTAGTGGGAGTATAAAAGGGTATAATATTTGGCAATATGTATCAAAACTCTTAAATCATGCATCTTTTAGATTATTTAAGCCACCAGATTCAAACCGTAGAAATTTATCCTGAATAAATAATCATAATAATGGAAAAGTATGTACGTATATATGTATATATGTGAAAGAGTGTTCATTGTATAACTATAGCTAATAAAGCCCATTAGAAATCATCTAAATATCCAAGAAAGTGGGGAGACCTATTATATAAATTAATACATTTACATAATCAAATATTATACAGCCAATAAAAAAAGTAATAAATATAATAACTATCATTTCTTGCCAGGCATTTTCCTAAGTACTTTTCATGTGTTAACTCATTTAATTTTCACAAAATCCTATGAAGTGTGTATTACTTATTCTCCTCATAAGAAAAAAAGGGCAAATAAGTTATTTTAACCTAGATCCATAGTCACCATATGGCAGGATGGAATTACGCAGTTAAGCAGTGTGGCTCCAGAGCCACTGCTCCTAACCCCTGTGCATACTGTCCATACTGTGGTGGAGAAATATGTAATGTCATAGGAAAATGCTTTGCTTACTTCAGAATGGTCTCTTTTCTGTAGCTCTTATTGTAGGCATGCCATGAGTGCTGTGATCAATGAATAGTATTTAGACACCAACAGCTGCCTTTGACTCGCACCAGAAGTCAAGGAGACTTCTCTTTCCCTCACCACCACCCCATTTAATCCAACAGGGAGTCCTGTTATCTTCACTTTCAAAATATGTCCCAACTTCAACCACTTTCCTTCTCCACTGATTCCACCCTAGAACAAGCCAGCTCTTACGTTCCCCTGAACAACCACACAACACCTCCCTAACTGGTCTCACTACCCTTACCCTTACCTCCTGTGATCCTTTCCACACAATAGCCAAAGAGATTTATGTTTTTTATTGATACATAATAATTGTAATGACCAAATATGGGTAATTAGGATACTCATCACCTCAAACCTTTATCATTTCTTTGTGTTGGGAGCATTCCAAATATTCCCTTCTGGCTACTTTGAAATACACAACAAATTACTGTTAACTATAGTCACCCTACAGTGCTGCTGAACAATAGAACTAGTTCCTTCAGTCCAATTACATTTTAGCGCCCATTAACAAACCTCTCTTCATTTCCTCCCACACCCCCTCAGCCTCTGGTAAGCATCATTCCACTCTCTACTTCTATAAGATCAACTTTTTTAGCTCACATATGAGTGAGAGTATGTGATATTAGCCTTTGTGGGCCTGGCTTATCACTTAACAAAATGAACTCCAGTTCCATCCATGTTGCTGCAAATGACAGGGTTTCATTCCTTTTAATGACTGAATAGTATTCCACTGTGTATGTGTACCACACTTTTTATCCATTTATCCATTGAAACAAAAAGATTAACATTTTTAATGTAATTCAGACTACATCACTCTCCTTTTCAAAACCATCTAGTGTCTTTACACAGATTCTTTACCATGACCCACAAAACTCTAGCATGCTGTGGTTCCTTTCTGCCTTTCTAACATCAAGTCATACCATATGTGTTTCCTATGTTCCAGCCATACTGGCCTTGTGTCTTAAACAAGTCCAGCTGTCTCCCATTTGGGGAACTTTATAGTTGTCACTCTTCTTTTCCCTAAACTTTCTCAGAGCTAGCTTCTTCTCATATTTCTAAGCTACAGCTCACATTTGATTTCCTTACAAAGGTCTTTCCTTAATGCCCAATTTTAAATACATCCCATTATTTTTTATCCCATCACACCACTTGATTTTATACTCATGTAAATTATGTTACTATCATATTTCTGTTTGTTTATGGTCTGCTCCCATAAGAACATAAGTTTCATGGCAGCAAGAACACTTCTTTTTTTTAACCACCAAATTCCCAGCACCTAAAATCGTGCCTGACCCTTAGCAAGAACTTTGTATGTTTTTTAATTGAACAAATGAGTGAGGGAGGGAATGAATGAATGAATGAATGAATGTGAATTTTTTTTTCTCTGGCAAGGGTAAAGTTAAATTCTGATGTGTAGAGAAAGGATCTATGTAAAGTAAAGCCAATGGGGAAAAATCGTGTCTCAAACTAGAAACAGAAATCAGGGTCTTGGGAGAGGAGCAAGGGGAGGAAGTACAGAGGAGAAAATTTCCCTTTTTATACTTCGTGATATAGTCATAAAGATATATAGGAGACAGCTCCTGGAATGTAATTGTTCGGATGTCCCTTCATGAAGATATTTCCAGGAACTATAGATATGATAAACTTTGTTTCAGGAACCTGAGAGGTTGTGGCCATTCTTTGAGGCTGAAGGGTAGCTATCTCAGACAGTGAATTACTTGAGTCAGATCGAGGGTGACCAACTCATCTCAGTTTATCTAGAACTATCCTGGTTTTAAAGCTGAAATTCTCATGTTCCAGTAACCCTCTCAGCCTCTGGCAAACTGGAACAACTGATCACTCTAGAAGATCAAAACGTTACACTGTACTTCATAAGAAAAACATTTTCCTATAGCTTTCCTCAGAGTTTGATGTATTTAAAAATCTGAGGAAAGATTTTCTGAACTGTACAGAAAGTAAGAGAGTATTTAAAGAGGACCATCTGATGGAGCCAGCGATTACAGTGAGAGCCCCAGGGGAAAAGTGACACATAAGGCAATAGAATGGATGCTTCTCAGCTTAGAAATTATTCTACCTATGTCAAATCTTGAAAATGTTTGCTAAAGAAAAAAATGCATAGAAGGAGGGAGAGAGAGAAGAAAACATAAATGACATGAATTTAAAAAGCACTTCTGGCCGGGTGCAGCGGCTCATGCCTGTAATCCCACCACTTTGGTAGGTTGAGGCTGGTGGATCACGAGGTCAGGAGTTCGAGACCAGTCTGACCAATTTGGTGAAACGCTGTCTCTGCTAAAAATATAAAAAATTAGCCAGGTATGGTGGCACGCGCCTGTAATCCCAGCTACTCAGGAGGCTGAGGGAGGAGATTCACTTGAACCTGGGAGGCAGAGGTTTCAGTGAGCCAAGATCGCACCACTGCACTCCAACCTGGGTGACAGAGTGAGACTCAGAAAAAAAAAAAAAAAAAGAGAAAGAAAGAAAGCACTTCGAACTGGCACTGACGAACCTCACTTGCTTTGAGTTGTTTTTCCAGCAAGGAAAATAGTTTGTGCCAGTGTACCTACCCTCTAGCACCAAGTCCCTCTTGTAGTCATGTTGCTCATAGCTAAGAGGTATCTCACAGTTTAAGACTCAATTTCAGTAGAAAACATATTTAATTAATTTCAACATATTTTCCAGATTAAACGTTAAAGTAAAATACAAATAGATGGAGATGCCATTTTTATTTCTGATCTTTTTGTATATGGCATCTTCTCTCCTAGTAGCTTTTAGAAAACTTCTCTCTGTCCACAGTATTCTTGGTCTTTTTTTCACTTCTTATGATAGCCATGACATGTACATCTTCAACCTGAAAAATCAGGTCCTTTGGATCTGGGAATTTTTTTTCAATCATTGATTGGGTAATTTCTTCTTCACTGTTTACTCTGGTCTTTATTTCCAGAGCTCCTGATAGTTGACTCTTTGAGGATATGGTTTAGTCTTTCAATTTTCTTCTTTATTCTATTAACTATGTCCTTTGTCTTTTTTATTTTAATTTCCCGGTTATGTCTGTATTCCAGCCATTCTTCAGACCTTTTTATTACATATTTTTAATCTCCCAAAGCTCTTTTTTATTCTCCAGTTGTTCTTGTTTCTTGTTTGGTTTTTAAAGATATGAAACATCATATTCTTATTTCCAGAATATTCTATATTTTTATATCTCTCTGAGGATATTGTTTATAATTTTAATTGGCTTCTTTCATTATATCTACTTTAATTATTTTTATTTGTTATTGTATTTTATTTATTTAGTCTGTTTTGTGAGAGGCTTTCCACAGATGCTTTTCTTTTTTCTTGGAATTGTCTGTTTCCTTTGACAATTTTTCTTTAACTTCGATACATTTTTCTTGTTGCTATTGAACAGCTCTTTATATATTAAGGATATTAGCTCTCTGCTTTAGTATGGTCATAATTTTCTTAGCAATTAATTACTTGCCTCATTAAGACATCTGCATAGAAAATTTTAATTGCTATTTGGTTATATTTAGTGATCATTTTATCTTGGTGGTTTCAGTAATACTTAGACAAACCTTCCACAATGGAAGATTATATTTTATAAAATGTAGGTTTTTCTAAAATTTCAATGGTTTCTCTCATTTTTTACATTGATATTATTCGTTCCTACAGAATTAATTTTGGTGTAAAAAGAAAAGATTTCACTTCCTTTTTTCCCACACAGCTAGACACATGTATCAACATAATTTATTGAGAAATACACTGATTGGAAACGTCATTGGTATCAGTTAGGGTTGTATTTGGCTGGATATTTTATAAGCCTTACCAAAGTCATTAAATTAAAAAGATATTTTCCAACATTTAAGCAGAGATCCACAGATGAAAAGTGCTGGACTGTTTTTGCATTGCCATTACTGTCTCTAAAATCCTGCTCCTTATATCTTTATTCTTACAGTTTCCTCATGTGATGTAAAGGCTGCTCAACCCCTCACCTAAAATCAGTATATTCAGACAAGAAGGAAGAAGACAGAGCAGAAAAGGAGGGGAAAAACAAGGAGAAGGAGGATGAAGAAGAGGATGTGATGGTGGTGGTAATAAGGAGAAATAGGCAATGCCTTTAACAGGAAAGGACCTGTCCCTAAACCCCAGTAGACAGCTATTTACATCTTCTTTAGAAGGCTGTATCTTATGGACATATTTGCTGCAAGAAAGGCTAGGAAATGATTTCTAAAGCTGGACATATTGTTACCTTAAGCTTGTATGCGGCTCCCATTAGTAAAAGAAAAAAGGACAATGGATGTTGGATATATAACTAACAGTTGGGTACCAATTGCTACATGCACTTGATGGATGATTTAGTGCATTTGGTTGTGTATAAAATAATAATGCAGAGTATTTTATAAAACAGAACATCTGGAAACAAATTAGTTATATGTATTTAAAAATAAGAAAAATTAATAAACAAGGCAACTATTGACTTCAGGGAAAACAAAGAACTGTATAAAAACTCAAGCAATCATAATTTATTATTTATCTTAACAATAAACCTTGCTTTTACAGTCATAATAATATAAACATTGAAATCTTTCTGACTTCAGAAGATAAGAAAAAATATTTCAAACTTAGCCTTTAAAGTTCAATTTATTCATCCTTGCTCAACTCCTGAGCCCCAGGTTACAATGCATCAAGAACCTCCCTGAGGAGACTAATAATAACTAATATCACAGACACCCTGGGTTCAAGTGGATATCACATCAATTAAGACAACTCTCCGTCTTAACTCTTTAAAATATCTCTAGCAAGTGGTTACTTAGCTTCTGCTTGAACACATCCACTGACAAGGAGCTCACTGGTCTGGACAGTTTATTCAATTTCTAGACAGCTCATTCAATTTCTGGACAGCTCTAAACACTGCAAATCATTCCCTGTAATCAGGTGAAGGGACCTACTCTAACTTTAATTTAGTCTTTCTTTTTTACTCCCTTAAGTCCTACAGAACATACAGTTCTTCTTTCACAGGAGGAATAGATATCTGCTATTTGAATACTATTGCCAAGCTATGCACTCTCTGTCCTCTTTATGTTAAATTCTTTAGGCCCTTCAAACATTTTAAAATGATATGGTTTTATATTCCAGTGACATTTTAGACATGTTATCTGGAATACATGTCATCTAGTTAATGTCCCTCTTAAAATGTGGCACCATAGCAGAACATGGTTGCCAAGGAAAAAATATGAAAAACCATGTTTCCAAATTTCATTTTCTATTAGGAGATACCTTGTAATATGATTAAATTTCCTTTTAAATCTTTTTGGGATCGTCTTGGAAGAAGATAAGATTGTTGGTCTTTAAAAAAAAAAACTTACGGAAAAGTATGAATTCCATCTTCTAGAACTTTACGACATGTTTCCATTCACTATCCACAATACTAAAAAAGTGCCAAAGTCTAGGTATGAAGTAAGAAAAAATGGGGTCTGGGTGAGCCATTCTCTCTTTTAGGAATCAAAGAAGAATTGTAAACTAAGATATTTTTCAACAATCCTAAATATCAGATTACTTTAGGATAAAATTATTTTCCAATACTCTGTCCTAGTCACATGGAGAAGATGTCCCAATTTGCTGAATTCAAACAGCCAGAAGCTGTTTCTGATCTGCAGTCTTCTTCAGTGTTCTTTTTCTTCGTATCTGCTTATTCCTCTTTATACTGATTTAGAACACACTAATGGAAGTAGCCTGACACGTGGCTTTCCATTTTGCCACTCTTTCTCAAGAAATGTGATTAAAGAACTTGGAGTGGGCTGCTTTATGCACAAATATTCAGACAGTCTCTTAGCAATAAATGGCTGTCGCTTCTATTATCTGTCTGGCTCTGAGTTCTATTATCTGTTGTGAATTGGTGCAGGGCTCTGTAAAACAGTTTTTAGGCAGCCTCATTACACCCTTCCACACCTTCTGCTCCATCTGAGTGATACTGCTGTGATTGCTGGGTAATGTTTGCCATTAGACGAGGCACAAAAAAGAATCAAGCTATGACTAATTCACTCGATGGCTGTGTGCCCTGTGTCATGCTCATTAACACCTCTCAACTCTGTTATTAAAGAGAATCACACAGCAGACCTCAGCGGGCTCACATTTATACTATAGGCTGCCTTATTTTTCCATTGGAACCCCATTTTTATCACAGACTAGTCCTGAGCACCCTTACCTTCTACCCCAGGCCTATTCCATCCTGTTACACTCATAAATGCTTAGGAGAATCTACTGATAAGAAAGGCCTTTAGATTGTCTGAAAATGAGGGTTTTGCCCACTGAAGAATCAGCCAATTTGATTTCAGCTGAAAAGTCATCCTGAGATGCTCCTAATGAAAGCTCAATGAAAGAAATAACAATAACAACACCTTAAACTATTTGTTGAATTTATTAAAGTATATCCAGCCCTTTTATAACCATTATTTCCCTTGAGGTTCACAGCAACCCTGTATGGTAAGCTGCATAAACAGTACCCTACTATTAGCTTCAACACTAGATTTCTAACTCAGAGGCGACATTATATAAAAGACTAATAGCTCATCTACAATGCTGAGCAAAATGTAAAGGAATAGCATCATTTTTGTTAGGCTTTCTCAAGCATAGTAATCAAAGTAATAGAAAAAGCAGAAAGAGAGAGCGAACATTTTTCTTAGTACTGACTCATGTGTTCTAAGATGATAGGGGCATCATACTTACCTTCCTTAGTCATTTAACTCCAACTGAATAGTCAGTCAGTCAGAAGTCCATAGGACTTTGGGGTCCATAGGGTAAGTATTGCAATTGTTCACCAATATCTAGATATGCTCTACTTCTGAGTACATGAAGGATTCCACTAATCCACCTCTCGAAGTTGGACATGGCCATTTGACTTGATTTGACCATGAAATGTGAGTGGAAGCATTTAATTGCAGATACAGGATTCTCTAGTTTGGCTCTTCCCGTACCATAAGAATTGTAAAAGCTTGTATCTATATGGGGAGACCAAAATATTTAAGCAATTAAAATACTGAGTCAGCACATGGGACACAGTTGTCCTGTAGAAACACCTAGATCTTCAGTAGAAACCGAATGAGCAGTAAATAAGACTGTGTCACCAAAAAAAAAAAAAAAAAAAAAAAAAAAACTACTGTAGGTCAGGTGCAGTGGCTCACACCTATAATCCCAACACTTTGGCAGACCAAGGCAGTAGGATCACTTGAGGCCAGGAGTTTAAGACCAGCCTGGACAACACAGCAAAACCTAGTCTTTACAAAAGAATAAAAAAGTTAGCTGGGTGGGGTGGCATGTGCCTGTAGTCCCAGCTACTTGAGAAGCTTAAGTGGGAGAATCATTTGGGCCAAGGAGATTAAGACTGCAGTGAGCAGTGATTGCACCACTAGACTCCAGCCTGGGTGACAGCCAAACTCTGCCTCGAAAAAAATAATTACTGAGATTTTGGTGTTATTTGTTACCAGAGCATAACCTAATCTCTACTGACTGATGCAATCTTCGTTTGCTCTAGACGTATCATACAATTGAGCTATTTTTAGAAACAAAAAAAATTAGAAAAACATTAGAAATGAAAAAATGGGGAAAAACACTGTAATTGGGCTAACTTGAATACTATGTCCTCCATGGAACAATAAACTACAGCCAAGGTTAGGATCAAGGTCGTGAAAAATCATGGTAGCTCAACTAACACTAATTAATTGGAATCAAAAAAAATAAGAGTTTCTAAATAGAAATAAGAAGTATCAATAATAAAGAGAAGCCCTCTTTGGATTGTATCTTAGGGTGAATCCATTGGGGAAAGTGATGATAACAAAAACAAATTCAACTTTGGGAGGCCGAGGCGGGCGTGTCATGAAGTCAAGAGATCGAGACCATCCTGGCTAACATGGTGAAACCCCGTCACTACTAAAAAATACAAAAAAAATTAGCCAGGCGTGGTGGAGGGTGCCTGTAGTCCCAGCTACTCGGGAGGTTGAGGCTGGAGAATGGCGTGAACCCAGGAGGTGGAGCTTGCAGTGAGCCGAGTTCACGCCACTGCACTCCAGCCTGGGCAACAGAGCAAGACTCCGTCTCAAAAAAACAAATTCAATATTCTGGTGGGAAAGGGAGATCCAATTATCTCTAACATGGGTCAGTGACAGAATTTAGCAATGTATTTCTAACTATTTGAATAATTTTCCAGAAAGAGATTTCCTGGGCCAGCCGGATGCTTTTCTGTCCATTCTCTCTCCTACTATAGGGCACCACTTACTCACCAGAAAAACTTGAAGCCTGAACTGGAAGCCTTCTATCTAGATTCTCCAGAACCTCCTTTGCTCTATGATTCCAGATTTGACTTTGCTGATAAGAAGAACTCACATGAGATTTTGAAAGGCAGGACTTGGGGGATCAAGGCAGGCACATAGCTAACCAGAAGGAAGTTATTCAGCTAACCAAAATAGTCAGCTGGGGGCTCTCCCTGAAAATCAAGAATTGCAGCAGTTTCCTAATACATTTTATAACTACTCACTACAGAGTTTCAGGGTTTTTTCCCTAACATTTTGGATATACCCTTCCTGATTTCTCTCCCAGGTAATCCCTAATTTCTATATTAAACTTTACTATTTCTGCATTGCTTTACATGACTGTTTTCCTGTTCTAACAAGGACTGGAACAGGTAGAGATCTAGTTGGATACAGGTAGAGAGATTCTAGGCTGGTTGACTATAAAGTACTTAAAATGGTCAAAAATCAGGGTAGGTTTGGTAAAGAGATAATGAAAGAAAGAGAGAGAGAATGAGAATGAATCAGCAAATTGATTGAATTCCCTTTGAAATAATACAGCAAACCCCAGGGTCCTACATCAGAGGACATATTTCCCTACAAAATGTTTGAGTTTTTTTTTTCTTTTACTATGAAAGATACAAGTGATACAATTGATGAAATGTGAATAATATCTATAAGATTAAATAATGTTGCATTCAAGTTAATTTCATGATAATGATTGTACCCTGGTTATGTAAAAGAATATTCCTATTTTTTGGATGAATTCAGGGCTTCTGGGCAGCAGCCTTCTCTAGTTCCGGGTGTGCAGAGGTGGCCTCTCCCAACACAGGCCAGGCTGCACACAGTCGCTGGCTCCAGGACTGTACAGGGCCGCAGTCCACGTTGCTCTACATCCTCCCTACCGTCAGGCAGATTCCCATAGTAGCATCCAGTAGGGAAATGGTCGTGCTTTCAGTGCCCACTGAAGTCAACCTGATCCCATTAGACGTGGAAGGACATTTTATTTCCTTATATTGAAGAAAATGTTAGAGTATCTGCAGACATATTGGGCAGAAGAGGAGTGCCCGCAGGATATCAATCTCTTGAGGAAACAAGCTGAAGAGGATGGGGCTGTTCCTATCCCTGCAGCAGGAAGATATGCGGCCTGGGAATGGAGTGGATGATCTGCAACAGATGATCCAGGCCGTGGTAGATAAGGTGTGCTGGCAGATGTCCCTGGACGGAAAGACCACCATGTTCAAACAGCTGCAGGACCACACGTGAAGGGCAGCATTCACAGCTCGGCCCATGAAAGCGGAGTTCTTTGCAGATGTGTTTCCAGCAGTCAGGAAGTGGAAAGAGGCTGGAATGAAGGTGTATATCTATTCCTCTGGGAGTGTAGAGGCACAGAAACTGTTATTCGGGCAGTCTGCGAAGGGAAAGATTCTTGAGCTTGTTGATGGTCCCTTTGATACCAAGATTGGACACAAAGTAGAGAATGAAAGTTATCAAAGGATTGCAGACTGCACTGGGGGCTCAACCAACAACATTTTGTTTCTGACAGATGTTACTCAAGAGGCCAGTGCTGCTGAGGAAGCAGATGTGCACGTAGCGGTGGTGGTGAGACTTGGAGACATAATTGAAAGATGATGAGAAGACTTACTACAGCCTCATCACATCCTTCAGCAAACTGTACCTGCCCTCCTCAACCTAAAGAAGGGTTTCCAAGGAAGACCACACTGTTTCTCACAGAGTTGTCCCTGTTGTGTCCAGTTTTATTCTAATGGTAAAAGTAACTTACTTAGAAAACACACATGTATACACATATGTATGCCAGTATATATATATATATGTGTGTGTATATATATATAGTATGTATGTATGTATGTATGTATGCTCAAATTAACTTCCACAGGAACATAAGTGAAAATAGAGAGTCAGTTCAGTGAAAACAAAACTTATTTAAAGATGCTTATATGTAGAAATTGTTTGAAATCATACTCTAAATCTTACTGAGGGCAAAGTGTAATTGATAGAAGAAATTGCTAAAATACTTACCTAATGTGTGATGTTTATAAAGTCATGTACCAAAATGGAAAGCTACTTTGAGAAATTATTCAGAAGTTTTGTTATTTTAATAACGAAATATTTCAAAGACTTGTAATAATTCTGTGCCCCTGTTTAACTGTGATTTAGAAGATTATAACAGCCGTATTTCATATTTGACTCCTTACATATCAAAGACAAAGGTTTTTGTTTCTGCTCCAAAAGAGAGCAAAATTGAAAAGGAAAACTCACTTCAGTCTTGATCAATCAAGTGTCTTTAACTTAAGAAGAAACTTGCTAATCAGCATGGCACCCATAGCAAACAGCTGCCTTACTAGTGAAAAAGGTACACTGATGGAACAGCTAAAATAGCGATGTGGCTCCTAATGCTTAACAGAACGATCCTAATCCTGCTGGTCGTTATCATTACAGATTTTATAGTTGCCTTTTTAACTGCTTCTGAGCACAGTTTGAAAATATATGTTAATTGCCATTGACTATTTAAAATAGTTTTTACTGAAATCAGTCCATAAGATTAAGACAAGCCCTAATAAGTAATATTTTCCTTTGGAATGGAGGTGAGAAAGGTAAATTTCATAACACCAGTATTAATCTTGGTTTAATTCTAATAGGATGCCACGTCAACTGCATGTTGTGATTAATAAAAGCATTTTATTCTTAAAAAAAGAATATTCTCGTTTTTCATTTTTGTGTTTGTTTTTGTTTTTGTAAGACAGAGTCTTGCTCTGTTACCCAGGCTGGAGTGCAGTGGTGCGATCTTGGCTCACAGCAACCTCCGCCTCCTGGGTTCAAGCGATTCTCCTGCCTCGATCTCCTGACTAGTTTGATTTACAGGCACGTGCCACCATGCCCAGCTAATTTTTGTATTTTTAGTAAAGACAGGGTTTCACCACGTTGGCCAGGCTGATCTCAAACTCCTGACCTCAGGTGATCCTCCCGCCTCAGCCTCCCAAAGTGCTGAGATAACAGGCATGAGCCACTGCACCCGGCCTATTCTTGTTTTCTGAACGTACACACTGAAGTTCTTAGAGTTTGCAACTTACTCTGAGAGGGTTCAATAAGATTAGATAGAAATAAATAAATAAATAATGACTAAATAAATATAAAGCAAAGGGGCTAAAATGTTAACTATTTGCGGGCACTATGGATAAATTACATTCAGACATTTCTTGCACTATTTTTGTAACTCTTTAATGTCTAATAGTATTTTAAAATAAGATGTTGGAAACATTTATTACAATAATATGGAGTCAATGTTGTTTTTTTTAATCTCTCCTGCTAAGCACAACTAAAACCCCTGAACACATATATGAAACAAACACCTTGTCTGAAAGGCAGAGAGAAGAAGGTAGATAGTCTAGGGACCTTAGGATACAGGAGACAACACAGTGGTGAGTTCTCTTTTCATCTCACATAACTCAAACTTTGCAGTGCAGAAGATGGAAACCCAGAAACACTGAATGGGCCCAGACAAATAAATAAAGTCTCACCAAAATCAGCTCTCTAGCCAAAGGGCCAGGAAAGGGGGAGCCTAGCAAGACAGAAATACTTTTGACAATAACCACCCTATTCTCCAGACTTCACAGAAAAAAACTTATGCCTCTTTTCACGTACACCAGCAAAGGCCAAGGAGGAACCTGGAATTCCACGCTCACCTGGCTGTAATGAGCCCCTTGCAGGAGGAGTGCCTGAGATGGCCAAGTTAGAAGCTGAAACTTTCATCGCTATAGGGCAAGGACAATTTCTCCCACCCACTCAATGTCAGTCGAAACCACAGGGAGAGCCTGGACTTCCATACCCACTAAGCAGAAATGAAACACTCTCTTATTCCCTTCTGGAGTCCTATCAAAAAGGGCCTAGTACAGAGTTAGGGCTTTCACCGTTTCCCATGGTCCTGAGACTGCCACCACCATCACCACCATCACCACCATCCCGTGTGGGAAGTGAAGACCATGTGGACATCAGTAACCTAGCACTCGTCTCTTCCATCTAAGCAGGTATCAGCAGAGGCTCCCAGTAGGAGCAGTAAGTAACTCCACTCAGCAGTAAGGAGGAACCCACTCTATTGTGTGTCAATGGAGGCCAAGTTGGTAACAAGACAGTGTCCCCCTCTTTCCCTACCGAAGTGGTGTCAGAAAGAACAAGCTAAAACAGAAAGTTATTAATAAGATCCAGTTTTTTATAATGTAATGACCAAAATGTCCAGATTTCAATTTAAAACATTCATGCCAAGTACCAGGAAGGTCTTGAACTGAATGGAAAAGAAGAAAACACAATCAATATAAGCCAACACTAAGATGTCAGTGACATTAGAATTATCTGACAAATATTGTAAAGCAGCTATCATAAAAATGCTTCAATGAACAATTATTAACACCATTGAAACAAATGAAAAAAAAACAAAAAATCCTAGCAAATAAATATTTCTCAGCAAGAAATATAAAATATTATAAAAGACAAAATGAAAATATTAGAACTTAAAAATGTAATAACTGAAATTAAAAACTCAGTGATGGGTTCAACAGCAAGATGGAGGAGACATAATAATTAATGAACTTTAAGAACAGTAGAAATTACTCAATTTGAACAACAGAGGAAAAAATAGGCTAACAAAAATATGAACAAAGTCTCACTTCCTGTGGAAATATAACAAAAGACATAACATTTGTGTCATTGAAATGCCAGAATTAAAGGAGGAAAACTGAGGAGCTGAAAATGTTCTTAATGGAATAACTCAAACTCCCCAAATTTGGCCAAGAAATTTCCATAAATCTGCAGATCCAAAGGCTGGATGAATCACAAAGAGAAAAAAAAAAACAAAGAAATTCATAACAAGACACATTATAGTCAAAGTTCTCAAAAGAAATAAAAATTGAAAGTGATGAAGAAACAGTAAAACGATACCTACATAAGAAAAAAAATCAAATAACAGTGGATTTCTCATCAGAAATCATTAAGGCCAGAAGAAAGTGACATAACATTTTTCCATGTGCTTTACAAAAAAAAAATTGTCAAGTGGTAATCTATTAGCCAGTGAAAATATTATTTAGGAATGAAAGGAAATCAAGACATTTTCAGATGCAAAAAAATTAAGATAATTTGTCAGCAGAAAATTTATAATAGCAGAATGGCTAAGAAAGTTCTCTAAACAGAAAAGAAATAACTTTTTAAAGACTCTTGGAACATCAGAAAAAAGAAAGTAAATGATAACAAAAATATAAACAAATAAAATAGACTTTCCTCTTCATCTTGAGTTTTCCTAACTATGATGATTGAAGAAAAAATTACAACACTGTCTAATGTGGAGTTAAATGTATATAGAGGAAATATTTAAGAATATTATCTTATAATAATATTATGTTAAGAAATGCAAAAGAAAGTAAAGTTTATACACTTCATTTAAACTGGTAAAATGCTCACGCCTGTAATTCCAGCACTTTGGGAGGCTGAGGCAGGCAGATCACGAGGTCAGGAGATCGAGACCATCCTGGCTACCACGGTGAAACTCCGCCTCTACTAAAAATACAAAAATTAGCCGGGCATGGTGGCGGGCACCTGTAGTCCCAGCTACTCAGGAGGCTGAGGCAGGAGAATGGCATGATCCTGGGAGGCAGGGCTTGCAGTGAGCCGAGATCGCACCACCGCACTCCAGCCTGGGCGACCAAGCGAGACTCTGTCTCTAAAAATAATAATAATAATAATAATAATAAATAAATAAATAAACTGGTGAAATGATGATACAAGTAAACAGTGATAAGCTATGTATATATAATGAAAAATTAACAGCAACCACCAAAAATGCTGTATAAAGAGATAACACTCCAAAAGGTAAGAAGAAGTCAAAATGAAATGCTAAACAGTGTTCACATAACACAGAGAATAACAGAAAAAAAAGAAAACAAAGAAACACAAAAAATAGAATAAACCCAAACCATAAAATTAAAGGGAAAACTTAACCTTAAGAGATCAATAATTACGTTAAATATAAGTGAACTAAATACATCAATTCTTATTTAAAAATAAAAACAGAGATTGACAGGAGAAAAAAGAAGAAAGTGGGAGAAAAAAGAAGAAGAAAGTGGGAGAAATCACTCTGACTGATATTAAGGCTTTATCAATACAGTGTGGTATTTGGTGGAGGAATAGACACGTAGATCAATGGAACATGTCAGGGAACCCAAAAACAGACTCATACACATATGCCTAACTGATTTTTGACAAAGGTACAAAAACAATCCAGTGGAAAAAAGGTGGCCTTTTCAATAAATGGTGCTAGAGTAATTGGATTTCTATAGACAGTGAACCGTGACATAATCCTCACACTTTGTATAAAAATTAACTCAAAGTGAATCATGGACTCAAATGTAAATTACAAAGCTAAAAACATTTTATAATAAATATAGAAATTACTCTGGCATATTGTTAGCTAGGCAAAGAATTCTTAGAATTGACACTAAAGGCATGATCCATAAAAAGATACAAGTGATAAAGCAGATTTCATCAAAATTACAAACCTTTGATCCACAAAACACCTCTATTAATGGGAGGATAAGACAAGCTATAAACTGGGAAAATATAAGCCAAGTACATACATAACAAAGAACTGCTATTCAGAATATATAAAAACCCTCACAACTCAACAGTAGAAACAAACAAGCTCATGAACAGAAGTCCATCATCATTAGCCATTGGAGAAATGCAAATTAATATCATAATGAGATACCAATATATATCCAGTGGAATGGCTAAAATAAAAACATAGTGACAACATCAACCTTTAGTGAGAATGACAAGAATTTGAGCCATCCTTTACATTGGTCTGGGAATGTAAAGAAGTACAGCCATTCTGGAAAACAGGCTATTTTCTTTTAACTTAATATGCAGCTACCCTATGACCCAGTAATTGCACTCCTGGCCATTTATTCCAAAGAAATGAGGATTTGTGTCTGTACAAAAACCTCCTATACACAGATGTTTATGGCACTATATTAGTTTGCTAGTGCTGCCATTAACAAAGTACTGCAGAGTGGTTTAAACACCAGATATTTATTGTCTCACACTTTTGGAGACTGGATGCCCAAACCAAGGTATCATCAGGGTTGCTTTCTTCTGAGTGTTGTGAGAGAGGATCTGCTCCATGCCTCTCACCTCACTTCTGGAGGTTTCCTGGAGATTGGTGTCCCTTGACTTGAAGAAGCATTGCCCCAGTCTCTGACTTCATTTTCACATGGCAGTCTCTCAGTGTGCATGGCTGTCTCTAAATTTGACCTTTTCATAAGGACACCACTCATATCGAATAACGGCCTACATTAATGATTGTATTTTAATTTGAGTACCTCTGCAAAGACCCTACCTCAAAATAGGGTCACTTTCTGAGGTATTGGGGGCTAAGAATTCAACTTTTTAGGAGAACAAGATTCAATCTGTAACAAGCACCTTTGTAATATCCCATAACTGGAAACAACCAGACGTCTTTCAATAGGTGAATGTTTAAACAAATTCTGGCATGTCCATATCGTAGAATATTACTCAACAATAGAAAGAAAAATATATTGATCTATGGTTACTACCTGGATGACTTTCCAGGAAACTGCACTGAGTGGGAAAAGCCAATCCCAAAAGGTTACATAGAGCATGATTCCATTTATATAGCATTTTTGAAATGACAAAATTATGAAAATAGAGAACAGATTGGTAGTTGCCAGAGGTAAGTAGGGGATGACATGAGCGGGATGAGGATGTGGCTAAAAGGGCAGCACAAAGGCTCCTTGTGGTAGTGAAATGTTCTGTATCTTCACTGCATCAAAGTTAATACTCCGGATGTAATATTGTACCAGAGTTTTGCAAGATGCTACCATGGGTAGATACTGAGTAAAGGGTATATGAGATCTCTCTGTATTGTTTCTTACACCTGCATGTTTATTTAAAATTATCTCAAAATTAGGTTGGGCATGGTGGGTCACGCCTGTAATCCCAGCACTTTGGGAGGCCAAGGCAGGTGGATCGCCTGAGGTCAGAAGTTCGAGACTAGCCTGGCCAACATGGTGAAACCCTGTCTCTAGTAAAGATACGAAAAAAAAAAAAAATTAGCTGGGCATGGTGGTGGGCACCTGTAATCCCAGCTACTCGGGAGGCTGGGGCAGGAGAATCGCTTGAACCCAAGAGGCAGAGGTTGCAGCAAGCCAAGATCACGCCACTGCACTTCAGCCTGGGTGACAGAATAAGATTCCATCTCAAAAAAATAAAAAACAAAAATAAAATAAGATAAAATAAAATTATCTCAAAATAAAATTTTTTAACAAAATGTTTTAAAAGTTTGCACTATTTTTTCAAGATTATAGTAGTCACATGGAATAAAAGTTGAAGGCTTGGAAAATATAGACTAATTCATAGATAAACATTTAAAAAATCATTCATAATGTAATGTAAGGTTGGACTGTTTCTTATAATTAAAAATGTTACTATATACATGTAACCTAAATAAAATCTGGGATGATCCTGCCCCATAAAAGGTGGATAAGATTGAGTCAAACACATCCTCATTCTTACATCCCTTTCAGTGTCCTGTGAAAACTGAAACAGTCCTCCAGATTTCTGTTTTTACTTGGAGGTAGGAGTAGAGGGTGCTTACAGCTCACAGATATCTGTGTTTCTAGAAATCATGTTTTTTTAATCAGTTCCATTTATAGGTCATCTGCCAGGTCTGCTCATGGCATATCCAATGCCATTGCATACTTGGTTTCCCCAAAACTCTACCCTCTTGAGATAGGTGTGTACATAGTATGTTTTATTGATGATCAAAGGAAGGTGCTGAGGAGAGTACTACATCACACCAGCAAAAATATGCTCAAACGAGACATCAGACTTCTTCATTCTAGGAAGACTTGATTCTCCCACAACTGGATATTGTCCCTGTCCAATTTTCACTCAAGGTCTTCAAGCCTTGTGCTATTTTCTAACTTCTCATGTTTTCCCCTACTACCACATTTCAGCTCATGGTTTATTCAAATAAGTTTAAGGCCAGGTGTGGTGGCTCATGCCTGTAATCCCTACACTTTGGGAGGCCGAGGCGGCTGGATCACCTGTGGTCAGGAGTTCAAGACCAGCCTGGCCAACATGGTGAAACCCCATCTGTACTAAAAATACGAAAAATTAGCTGGACGTGGGTGGTGGGCCCAGCTCCTTAGGAGGCTGAGGCAGGAGAATCGCTTGAGCTCAGGAGGTGAAGGTTGCAGTGAGCAGAGATCGTGCCACTGCACTCCAGCCTAGGCGACAGAGCGAGACTCTGTCTCAAAATAATAACAATAAGTTTAATCTTTTCTTGTCTTATTTTGGCTGCTGGTAGCCCATGATCTCTAAGAATCACTTTCCCACTAATCAGGTGTCAAGAATTTTTCTAAACCAATATTTATTCTTCCTTAAGAGAAGTTATTGTGTCATTTGTTAAGAAAATCCATTTATTTTCTTGGACACACACTTGCTACACACGAATATGCTCTCACTGGATACTGCTGGCCACGTGTCCAGGGACATATCTAGCAACAGAGGTCATCATTATTATAATCTTCAGTTTTCTAAATTATTTCTTATATTGGGCTCTTTCATCACATTTTGGGAAATGAAGGCATCTCAACAATTATTACATGAACAAAATAATGAGAATAAGTAAAGACATAGGTGAGAGTCTCTCCTCTGTCTTTGTTAATCAGGCCCCTGTGTTACCAGAGCAGTAATATGCTGATCTCAAAGGATCAATCATGATGGGTGATTGGGGGTGAATTGTATGTCCCTCCCTCCCCCTTGTTGAAGTCCTGAGTCTTATTACCTCAGAATGTGCCTATCATTGGAGATAAGGTCTTTAAAAAGGTAATCAAGTTAAAATGAAGTTGTTAGGGTGGGCCACCATCCATTATGACAGGTGTCCTTATAAGAAGAAATTAGGACACAGAAACACATAGAGGAAAGACCATGTGAAGACACAGGGAGAAAGCAGTCATCTAAAACCAAAGAAGAGAGGTCTCAGAAGAAGCCAATCTTACTGACATCTTGATCTTGCATTTCTAGCATCCAGAATCATGAGAAAAAAAAATCTGTTGTTTGAGCCACCCTGTCTGTGATACTGCCATGACTATACTACCAAACTAACACAAGGGGTCTAGTCACTCATGGCAATTTGTTTTTACTTTGCATGTGACCCGGTTATGAGAAACACAATATAAGAGGAAACCTTATAGGTCTTTAAAATCAAAGTATCTTCTGTTGTGTTTTAATCATTGTTATATGAAGACATGTGGTTCAGAACTGCAGCAGCCATCTTGAAACCATGAAGAAAAGAAAAAGAAAATGCCAGGGACATTGATCTTAACCCTTGACATCGATGTGTTACTGATCTACTCCCAGAACTGCTAATCTCTGGACATCACATTTGTAAGTTTTATTAATAAATCTCCATTGTCTGAGTTAGTTTTGATAGGTACTCTTTTATTTGTAGCCAAAAGCATCAAAACTGTTAAACCTCCAAATATTGCATTAACTGTTTTCATAGGAAGTCAGTCCACTCTTTGAAATCAGGAAGATTCATTGTCAGAGGTAATATTAGTAGAGCAATCACAAGATTGAATTTCATCACATCAGAAAAGTGGAGAGAAATGGACAGAGGTACACTGTAAAAAGATTTCCTCCCTAGGTCTTGGCATATTAATTCTTTCACTCAAGAAATGTTTACTGAGCATCATTTATGTGCCTGTGCTTGGTGTCATTTCCATTGAAAGGGAATTTGAGTCTTGAATCTGAATTCAGTTCAAAATTGTTTATTGCGTATATGGAGACTAAATATTTTAGCAAGACTCATTTGGCTGATGAGTAAATCTAAACGAGTGAGGTAAATCCTGGCCTGTTGCCTCTGGCTCCAAAAGCAGCCAGACACTGTCCTTTCCACTTTCTGCTTCATGCCATGATAGAGAGGCCTCTTGTAATAGAAAAACCACTGGTCAGATGAGACAATACCTGAAGAAACAACATTAAATGGCAGGTTTGTTGGTAGCCACAGGGGGACTGCACAGCTGTGGGTCTCTGCTCCAGAGAGCAGCCCACCGGCACAGGCTGCCTGCCAGAGGGTAATTGCAGCTTGTAAAAGCATGCTGGCGCCACCAAGACACAGTCAACTGCCCCTCTCCCTTGAGCCTCATTGCTCCAGAGGTGGGAGAACAGGGAGAACAGCTGACACAATTGGTGGCAAGTTAAATTGTCTGTCCGAACCACGCAATTCATAATCAGAGGGAGGAGGGGCAAGTAAAATAAGCCTTCTTTTTTTTGTTTTTTGGTTGTTGTTTTTTTTAAATTTGTTTTTGTGATGAGTGCCAAGAAATCATTATTTTCCCTCCAGGTGCCCAATAACTGAAAAGCCACTTTTGCAGGCGCCAACGCTGCCATCTCGGTATTGTTGTTGCCCCACTGAAGAGTGGGTAGGGACTGGCAGTTAGACAGACTGTGTTTTAATTGGCCTCCTCCTGGAAGAGAAAGAGCCAAATGTTTGCAGGATGCTTACTCGAGCCAGTTTCAGAGTAATAAAAGTGCATCTTTGATACGCAGAGAGTTTATGCTCTTCATAAAAATGCTAATTTCAATCTTTGCTGAAAGGAGCGGCAAGAATGCTTTCCCCCTTAGGCTTTTTAATACGAATACAGTTGTACTATGTGGATGACCTTGTGCTTCTTAAAGAGGGGCAAAGCTTAAGTCCTGTCTACAGCCTTTCAAATCCCACTCTAAGGATTTTACCACTGTGAATATGAGAGTATTCAAACTCTTTTCATGGAAAACTGGAAAGCAATGTATTTGTTTCTTTAAAAAAAAATCTCTAATACAAATACACAGGGAGAGCTTACCATATTTTTTTCCTTCATTGAGTATGTTTTTCCAAGGTCAATTTAGAGGTTCTTCCTACTTGGCTGAGGAAAAACTGGAGCCCCAGTAACTGCGTTCACAGCCCTCTCGGTGGCTTGGAAACCTTCCCCACCTACAGATGCTACAAGAAGTTGCTGATGTTTTTCCAGGGCCCCAGTGTTTGCTTCTCTCGCTACAGAGAGGGAAGACAGGGTGATGAGTGAGGTTTTATTTGTCCTGTGGGATGACTCATTCGGTAAGAGTTTCTGACCCAGAATTCTAGTCTTTCTCTTCTCTGTTCATCCTTCCTCCCATCCTCTTAGATTTTTCAGTCCTTGGGCAGGTTTCCAGTCACCCTCTCCCATCATCCTCTCCCTCAATCTCAAAATACAACAAGATTTCCTTTAAAAAGTTAAACTTCCCACAATTGCATTCAATTTACTCTGGGAACTTGTTTAAAGGGCACGGGTTTTGAAACATGATCAACAAAATAATCAGTTCTTGATTACATTAAATAGTATCCTTACAGACTGCGCCAAGCCTTAAGAGGGAAAACAGCTACCTTCAATCTCTCTCACCATGAATGGGACTCTGTGTCTCAAAACTTTTTATTGAATATTTCCCGAAATGAAGTCTGTCTTTCCAATAGGAGAGTATGCAGTCTTTCTCAGAACTCAGACCCATCTTCAACCCAGCTGCAGCCAGGTGTGGCTCAGCAGCTTTCAGCAGCTCTCTGATGCTGCGCTGTGTCTCCCCAGCTGACACTCTGCATTCTCAGGAATGCTGGTCAGGTGAAACGGTCAGGTGAGAGGGCATTAAATATGAAGAAGTCAAAACACAGTAGACTAACTGAACAAAACACCACTAATCAAATTTCACTGAAGCCATGAAAATGCAAGTGATCGAATATCAAAATTTATTTTCATAATGCCTGATTTGTAATAACCCTATCATCTCTTCTAATCCACTGTAACATGTACAAATTGCAATTCTCTAAACCTCCTCTTCCCATCTGTAAATTGGATGAAGAAAAAAGGAAAGAAACACAGAACAATACTACCTCTTCTACTCTTTTTTAAGAAATTCCTAGGAAAAACAAGAATACTTCTTATGAAGATGCTGCTGCCCAACTTTATAATGCACTTCCCTTTTATTCCAGGTCACATAATAAATGGTCATACCAAAACTGTCTCTTCCGCATGTTTTAAATCTAACACAATCCAGTAATAACCAAGAAACCCAGTGAATAGACGCTCTTGTAGACTGTATCTTAAAGGAGACAGTTTCTACCCCCACGCCAGAGTGACAAAGGCCAGAGGGGTCAGTCAAATCAAACTGTGTGTTAGGGAAAACGGAGGCTTTAACTCAAAGACTTTCTACAAACACTAAGTTTATGTCAAGGTTAGTGTCACAGAACAGACTAATTGGTATCAGATGCTATCATGCTGTCCTGGAAGTATGAAGAGTGAACGGGTACCTAATGGATGGGATGAAAGGATGGAGAAAAAGCTTGTGAGCATGTTATGAAAGGCTTCAGTGAAGAGTGGAGATGTCTTCCTTGAAGTGTTGACATCTGCATTAATCAAGGTGTCTCTTCAATTAACTAAGTGACGAGTGGCTGGGTGCAGTGAGGTATAAAGAGAGTGCTGTGGGCAGAAGGAACCACATTAGCAAGAGCATGGAGACAATGAAGAGCATGGTGTGAAGGAGAACAAAAGAACATACGAATGATGAATGAATGAGTAAATAAATGCTGTGAAATAAATAGGTAACATTGAGGGGCACTGATGGCATTTGAGCAGAAAAGTGACATAGTCAGACAAATGAACATGGCAACATCATGCTGCAGGGCTCGGTAGTATCAGAAGACAGATAAGCCTGTGACTTCTCTTATTTTTCCTATATGGTCAAATTTAACAAGTTTTATCATAAATTTTTTGATGTGCATCTTCCCCCGTGAGAACAGGTTCAAATTCTCTTTTTGTCTTGTTCACTTCTATATTTCCAGCACCTGCTAGATATCTAGTATACAGGAACCATCCAATCAACACGTATGTTGAATGAATGAGCACATGGATGAATAAATGTATAGAGCTTAAGGAAGCCTAGGACAATGACAGCGAGGACAGAAACAGATGTACCAATGCAAGTCTTCATGCAGTATTAAAATCAACATCATTTGGCAACTGCTTTAGATTTGGGGATGCAGGGTTGGGGCAAAGGTGACAGATTTTGGGATTAAGCTTGTTTGGGTGGGGCTGGAAGGTAGCACTCACAAGAGCAAGAGTGGGACCAGGTTCAGAAGGAGTTGAGGTTGGCTTTGGTCCTGTCAGGTTTGGGTTGCGATGGCAATCTTGTTTAAAATGTCCAGAAAAACTGGGAATGCAGAAACTGGGGCTCAAACGAGAAGTTAAAGCTAAAAAGAGAGGTTTGACTGCTCCCTCTAAAGAAGTATCAGTTAAAGCTGTGGGCAAGGATGGACTTGTCCAAGAGGGAGGGCGGCGAAGAGAAAGCAAACAAAGATAGTGCCTCAGGGAGGAAGGCAAGATGAGCTGAAGTCTGAAGTTTGAGAACCAAGTCTTGATCTCCTGATCCAGTTATCTGATCTCTTATGCATTCAGCTGTCCCAGAAAACACCACAGATCCTTGTTCTGCCTAGGGAGATGAGTCCTTTAAATGCATGCTGCATTTTAGCCACTAACTACAATCACCAATTCTTGCATCAACCACTAACAGTGGCTCAGAGATTGCCACTTGAGGCTGCACATTGCAAACTTATTTTCCCCTCTGATGCTATTTAGTTTCTGATGGTGTTATTAAAATAAAAGGCTATTTTTTAATGAGCTGGGAGAGAATCCACTTAACCGAATTGTTCGTAAAAGGAATAAAACACGTCAAGACTCTGCTTAGCGCCAATCCACCAATATAGGATCCTGCCTTTGCAAGAACCTTCTTATGTAAATATTTACAAGGAGAGTAAAAAAAGAAAGCGGTTTGGGGAGCCACCAGATGGAATAATACAAGAACAAACTTGAACACAGTCAAAATGGGCTTCACCAACAACAGGCGTCCTCTTAGGAATCTACCATTGCCTGGGGGGGTGAGAAAGGAAGAACAGAGAGTTAAAAGGAAAAGCGGCTTCTGGCAAAGCTTCTCTTGGGACTTATTTCAGCTAATCTCTGAAAACTAGGTTTTCGTTTCTATTAAAATCTTCAAAAACAATTTATAATAAACCCTCTAATAGTATTTATGAGTTAATTCATTATCCGTCACTTTTGCCTCTCTAACCAAGCTCTACTGTTGTCTCCCAAAGATTTTCAAAGATGCTGCTTTGGTGCTCATGGGTGGTTAAGCAGGAGTGAAGCTCTCTCCAGGGTTCTCTTCCCCAAGTCCCAGGCTGGCCCCTTTGCATTTGACTTCTGAGGCAGAAGAGTCTGTTCACGCTGCCGCACATGAGCCTATTATGCATTGTTTCCATTTCTCCGTCTACCTTGAGTAGCCTAATTACAAAGCAAGGAGCAATAACTGATATATCTATTATATGATGTTCTTGCAGCTGCTCTTTACCCTCCCCTCCCATCTCTCTGGGTCCCCTATGTAACCATTTTCTGACTCAGAGCACATTTGAAGCAAACTTGGCTCACAATGCATTTTGCAAATAAACCACAAAATAACATGATTGTAAAAAATGTTAACTGCAAAAGTAATAAATAAGAAACTAAATAAGTACGTAACCACAGAGCCTTGTCTGGCTCCTCGGCTCGCTGACCACAGCAGCTCTCTGTTGTCCGTCCTCACTACGGGACAGAGTGAGAACGCTAAGAAAAGGGGAAGACACACCATCCTCGCCCAGGGGTCTCATAGATGGAAGTTACACATAGATAGATTGTTCTCTCATTGTAAGACAGAAAGTTTTATGTCAGAGCTCCCCAATCTAGACAAGCATTGTCAGAGAAGAGGAGAAGCAGGCTGTTTGTCACCATGGTTTCATGTTCACCTATTGCTTTTGTGAGCACCTAACAGGGGTCTGGCTCTGTGCCTGGAGGCATACACATAGCATCTCATGTCACTCCTTAGCAACCCTCAGATGTGGGTATGATTAGTCCCAGTGCACAGAGGAAGAAACGGAAGTCCACCAAGAATCGAATAGCAGTTAGACCACAATATTTCACAGATGCTGCAAAGACTTTATACAGATGAGAGTGGAAAGAGGAGAGTGCAGCAGAAATACGCTGTGATGTCCTTCTCCCCCACCACCACTTCCAAGCCTGGCTGTTGAGATGTGCCCAGTGTCAAAAGAATTGGGGATTAAAACACCAAAGCCTAAATATCAGACTTGCCAATTATTTTACTTATATTTACTTTGAAACCCTGCCAGTCTAAAGACCGTCTTCACCAGAAGACTTCTGTGGCTGGGAAAAATCTCTCAAGGCAATGACCAGTGTAGTCCAGTCGAAAATGAAATGGGAAATTGAAAGCTAGGCCTGAAGCTGAATAATACAGTGCAAAATTTTCAATTCAGGGTCAGTACACAGTAATATTTTATGCCTCAGGACAGGGCTTAAGTATTAAGGACAGAAAAAGAGTCACTAATGTTTAATACATACAGAGACAGCAGCACGCTAGGCCCTATGGCCAGGACCCCTACATCACAGAACCGTGGAGGACCCTATTCACATTATCAGCTATGAATAGTGTCCCTCCTCCAGGGTCACACAACACACATGACCTGCAGAGCCCAAAACAGGCTTTTCTCAGGGAGATACCAAACACAAAACAAAAACCAGGGAAAACACAGTCTCAAGTCAATTACCAAGCAAGGGAAAGAGAAAGGTCCACATGCAAATGACAACTAGGGGAGGGGGTAGTTATAATTGCTCTGCATGAATTGAGAATGGAACCACTGCCCAGTTTACTAAGCATGCTCACATGCATTCATGCCTTTTTTTTCACAATAGCTCCACGAATAAGGGTTATTATTCTTATTTTCTGAATGGGAAAACAGGGGCTCAGAGAGGGGAAGGGACTTTTCTAAAATTTCCAACTTTTAGGTTGGAAGCCAAGACCCATATCCAAGTAGCCCCTGCCTCAGAGTTTCTCCCACTGCCCCCTCACTGGCACATTGGAAATGCAGAAGAAGAAGCATCAGCAGGAGCTCCGTGCGCCAGACTCCAGAGGGGAGTTGCAGAAAGCCTCAGTCAAGGAAGAAGCAAAAGAAACCTTAGGAGTGGAGGAGGCATAGACGCGATAAGCAGGAGTTTGGATGAGAGTGTATGACATAATGTGATCCACAGAACTTTGGAATTTATTAAAAGTCAAACCAAATTATTTCTTCTCTGATGAGCAGCATTCCAAATACTGAAGGTTTATGGTTTAAATACAAACTCCATTGTAACTCAATTAGGATGGAACTATTTCTAAAATCGATTATGCATTTGTCTATCTTCTAAGACAAAGCATAAAGAAAATAATTTAGCCTTTCACAAGGGGGCACACTGTAGGCTGTCACTTTCTTCACTGCAATATAATATATGATGACATTCTAGAGGACTCTCTAAATTTAAAGCACCTCTTGACTCCACACTCGATCCGGATTGCTGTGATTTTTAAGTGACTGAGGATTCGCGGCAGGGGTTCTGTTTATCTTGTTTTCTGTCTCCTCTCTTCTTATCAAGTCATCAACCTTGTACTTGTCTTCCTTTTTAGTAGGCCTGCCTATTGTAACCCATTCTTCCTCATCAAATGTGCTGTTTTGGGTCTTGTATATATCTATAGGTAGCCAAGTTTATTAACAGTTTGTGTAAACTAAAATTATTCAAGCTCTGAGTGAGGAACCATAGTAATCAGCAAATGATGTAGACATTAGCACACGAAGCTTGAGTCCTTCTTGGAGCTGTGCCTGCCTCCCTCACTCATTTTGCCAGGTTAATTTGTGTCTTTTTAAGATCTAACTTAAATGAAAAGATCTAAGTTAAATGAAACCTACCCCAGGAAGCACTCCATGAACGCCCAGCTGAAGTTACTTCTCCTGCCTCTGAACTTCCAAAACCACCAGATATGCCTGTCTCTGGGGTCACCACTGCCTTCCTTGGGTTATTGCCTTGGGGATGCTCCTTCGATTACTAAAGACAGGATTTGCACTTTTTGTCTTGATAAAGGCCCCCTAACTGGGGCTTTGTCTTTAATAAAGATATTAATGCTGTCCTGAAGAGAATTTCATCCTATCAGAAGGGGCAAACAGAAAAACGAGAAAGGAGAAAAAGTTGGTGGGAAAAGAAGTTAGGGAGGAAGGTGAGGTCAGAGAGGAGGAGAAAGGAAAGCTGGAAGACCTTTCAGTTCCTCAACCTAGTCCATTTTCCCAAAGTAGCAGCAACACAAAGTCAGGGGCCATTTCTGGCATTTCCCAAGTCTCTCGCTAGATTCTATCCAGTGACTGCCAACAATGTAGCCAGCTGCCACAAGAGCTGGGACAGAGCATGGATACTGGGATAAGCTCACCAGAAAAGTGGGCTCATCCCAGTGTCCATGCTCAGGCCCAGCTCTGGTGGCATCCCTGCCCACCACAAAAGACACCAAAGGGTGGAGGCTCGGCTGCCGGGAGACTGCTGGGGGGAGGAAGCAGCCCCAGCTGGCAGGAAACAATACACTCCTGTGGCTGCAGACTCTTCCCTTTCCTGCCTCTTGGCAGCCTGGCTCCATAGCGCTGAGCTTGTCCTGGGCTGAACTCATCAGAGGCCCTCCCGCTTTTAGACAGGTATTCAAATGAATGAATGATTTATTCTAAAAAACTTTGTTTAAAAATATGGTTTCAGAACTTTCTCTGTTCCTCTCACTCTCATGCTCACCAATGCCAGTATAAGAAAACTTCAGGCCAGTTTGAAATCAACATCAAAGCAATTAAACGTTGGTTGGACTCCCAATATACGTCCTGTGAATATCCCTGTTTTGGAACTTTCTACAACTTGTCTTCTTTTAGATTTCTTGTTGAATGCATTGATTTGCCTCACAAGACATGGACTCTGATTCATCACAGCATTGTCCCAATGTGTGCATCATGGCACATCCACAAAGAGTATCTGCCCTTTTAGCTCCTGGCGCCTTGACTTATAAGGCTACTATAGTGATGCTGTAGTTATAGCCTTTTAAGCACCTACTTTCTCATATTCTGGCAACAGCATCACACTTTTCCTTTAGGGAACCACCGCTCCCACTCTCAATCCATGTAGTAAGAAACTGTCTTCTTC
Source organism: Homo sapiens (assembly GCF_000001405.40). Taxonomy (NCBI): domain Eukaryota; kingdom Metazoa; phylum Chordata; class Mammalia; order Primates; family Hominidae; genus Homo; species Homo sapiens. The sequence continues at coordinate 188,971,902 of NC_000003.12, read as the reverse complement.
ATGTAAGTTCCAGCAGTGGAGTAGATCCAGGCTTAACCAATCAGCATATCTAACTTCAATAGCCACTGAGACTGAATTATAGATAGTTGCATGCCCATTTCAGTACATGGAGAATTGATTCTTGGATTGTTGCCAAAATTACTTGGGGGAAAAAAGACTTTTGATTAAGGTTATTCAATGGATATGATACAAACCTGCAGCTGCTGAGAGGCACCCAGGAAGAGATGCCCAAAAACTTACAAGGGATGTGAAGGACCTCTTCAAGGAGAACTACCAACCACTGCTCAAGGAAATAAGAGAGGACACAAACAAATAGAAAAACATTCTATGTTCATGGATAGGAAGAATCAATATTGTGAAAATGGCCATACTACCCAAAGTAATTTATAGATTCAATGCTATTCCTATCAAGCTACCATTGACTTTCTTTACAGAATTAGAAAAAAAAAAACTACTTTAAATTTCATATGGAATTAAAAAAGACCCTGTAGCCAAGACAATCCTAAGCAAAAAGAACAAAGCTGGAGGGATCAGGCTATCTGACTTCAAACTATACTACAAGGCTACAATAACCAAAACAGCATGGTACTGGTACCAAAACAGATATATAGAACAACGAAACAGAACAGAGCCCTCAGAAATAACACCACACATCTACAAGCATTTGATCTTTGACAAACCTGACAAAAACAAGCAATGGGGAAAGGATTCCCTGTTTAATAAATGGTGATGGGAAAACTGGCTAGCCGTATGCAGAAAACTGAAACTGGACCCCTTCTTTACACCTTATACAAAAATCAACTCAAGATGGATTAAAGATTTAAACATAAGACCTAAGACCATAAAAACCCTAGAAGAAAACCTAGGCAATACCCTTCAGGACACAGGCATGTGCAAAGACTTCATGACTTCATCACCAAAAGCAATTGCAGCAAAAGCCAAAATTGTCAAATGGGATCTAATTAAAGAGCTTCCGCACAGCAAAAGAAACTATCATCAGAGTGAACAGGCAACCTACAGAATGGGAGAAAATTTTTGTAATCTATGCATCTGACAAAGGGCTAATATCCAGACTCTACAAGGAACTTAAGCAAATTTACAAGAAAAAAACAAACAACCCTATCAAAAAGTAGGCAAAGGGTATGAACAGACACTTCTCAAAAGAAGACATTTATGCAACCAATAAATATATGAAGAAAAGCTTGTCATCACTGGTCATTAGAGAAATGCAAATCAAAACCACAATGAGATACCATCTCATGCCAGTTAGGATGGCGATCATTAAAAAATCAGGAAACAACAGATGCTGGAGAGGATGTGGAGAAATAGGAATGCTTTTACACTGTTTGTGGGAATGTAAATTAGTTCGACCATTGTGGAAGAAAGTGTGACGATTCCTCAAGGATCTAGAACTAGAAATAACATTTGACCCAAATATCCCATTACTGGGTGTGTACTCAAAGGATTATAAATCATTCTACTATAAAGACACATGCACATGTATGTTTATTGCAGCACTATTCACAAAAGCAAAGACTTGGAATCAACCCAAATGCCCACCAATGTTACACTGGATAAAGAAAATGTGGCACATACACACCATGGAATACTATGTAATGATAAAAAAGAATGAGTTCATGTCCTTTGCAGGGACATGGATGAAGCTGGATACCATCATTCTCAGCAAACTAACACAGGAACAGAAAACCAAACACTGCATGTTCTCAATCAGAAGTCGGAGTTGAAACTTGAAGTGGGAGTTGAAATGAGAACATGTGGACATAGGGAGGGGAACATCACACACCGGGGCCTGTTGGAGGGTGGGGGGCTATGGGAGGGATAGCATTAGGAGAAATAACTAATGTAGATGACGGGCTGATGAGTGCAGCAAACCATCATGGCACATGTATACCTATTTAACAAACCTGCACGTTCTGCACATGTATCCCAGAACTTAAAGTATAATAAAAATAAATAAATAAATAATTTTTTAAAAAATCCAACCATGTGCTACATAAAGAAACCCACCTAACTGGTAAAGACGTTTACGGAGTCAAAGTAAAGGGATGGAAAAAAAGAAAAAGAAAAAAACAAGAAATCTACATAGAAGAACCATAGCTGAGAGAAGACATGCATAGTTCTGATTTTCTTACTTAGTATTTGTTGAAATTATTCAGTTATATTCCCCAAATATGCTTTTCTGCTTAGCCTTCTTTGTGTTGGGTTTCTGTTAGTGGCAATCAAGAGTCCTCATTAATATAGATATAGAAATAAATGCAATATAAAATTACTATATTTATAATTTTGTATAGTTTACAAAGTACCATCGTATGAATTATTTCATTTAAACTTCATAATAATTTTTAAAAGTGGCCATTAGCGTGCTCCCCATTTAATACATGAAAAAATGGACGTTAATCAATTTACCCAAGCTGCGGTAGCCAGTAGGTACCTGAGTCAGAGTTCAAATATCTTATTCCTATTCTGAATCCAGTGGCACCCATTTTGTTTCAGGGAAATTACAATCAAGTACAGGAGACAAGTTTAGCCCGTATATAAAGTTAATATAACAGTAAGATATAACTAATGAGGTAGCATTTGTTGGTCAGTAAAACTGATGGTCCCTTCGTGTGTTCAGAGGGTAGACAATGCTGAGGCATGGCCAGCATTAGGGGAATATACAGGGGAGAAGGGATGGCACCGTTGATAAATTTCCCCAGAGGATTTTACAACATGTTGGGGTATGAGATTCGGAAAGGCCTTTAAAATTTTCTATTCCAATCTCATCTTTTTACAAAAAAAAAAAAAAGCAAGATTGGTAAGAAAAGGGGGTTTGTTATTATTATTATTATCGGTCATTCCTTGATTATCTACTAACTTTCAGGCTCTGTTTATACACAGCATTGCCAATGCTTTCAACAACATTGCAACATAAGTATTTTTACCTCCACTTCACAGATTTAGAAAACGAAACTCAAAGTTTCTTCCCTTGGTTCTTTTGTACAAGCTGTACTCTGATTTCTTTTTTGTTGTTATTGTTGTTCTTTTTTTATTATTATTATACTTTAAGTTTTAGGGTACATGTGCACAACGTGCAGGTTTGTTACATACGTATACATGTGCCATGTTGGTGTGCTGCACCCATTAACTCGTCATTTAACATTAGGTATATCTCCTAATGCTATCCCTTCCCCCTCCCCCACCCCACAACAGGCCCCAGTGTGTGATGTTCCCCTTCCTGTGTCCAAGTGTTCTCATTGTTCAGTTCCCACCTATGAGTGAGAACATGCGGTGTTTGGTTTTTTGTCCTTGCGATAGTTTGCTGAGAATGATGGTTTCCAGCTTCATCCATGTCCCTACAAAGGACATGAACTCATCCTTTTTTATGGCTGCATAGTATTCCATGGTGTATATGTGCCACATTTTCTTAATCCAGTCTATCATTGTTGGACATTTGGGTTGGTTCCAAGTCTTTGCTATTGTGAATAGTGCCGCTATAAACATACGTGTACATGTGTCTTTATAGCAGCATGATTTATAGTCCTTTGGGTATATACCCAGTAATGGGATGGCTGGATCAAATGGTATTTCTAGTTCTAGATCCCTGAGGAATCGCCACACTGACTTCCACAATGGTTGAACTAGTCTACAGTCCCACCAACAGTGTAAAGGTGTTCCTATTTCTCCACATCCTCTCCAGCACCTGTTGTTTCCTGACTTTTTAATGATCACCATTCTAACTGGTGTGAGATGGTATCTCATTGTGGTTTTGATTTGCATTTCTCTGATGGCCAGTGATGATGAGCATTTTTTCATGTGTCTTTTGGCTGCATAAATGTCTTCTTTTGAGAAGTGTCTGTTCATATCCTTTGCCCACTTGTTGATGGTTTTTTTTTCTTGTAAATTTGTTTGAGTTCATTGTAAATTCTGGATATTAGCCCTTTGTTAGATGAGTAGATTGCAAAAATTTTCTCCCATTCTGTAGGTTGCCTGTTCATTCTGATGGTAGTTTCTTTTGCTGTGCAGAAGCTCTTTAGTTTAATTAGATCCCATTTGGCAAATAAACTAGAAAATCTAGAAGAAATGGATAAATTCCTCGACACATACACCCTCCCAAGACTAAACCAGGAAGAAGTTGAATCTCTGAATAGACCAATAACAGGCTCTGAAATTTAGGCAATAATTAATAGCTTACCAACCAAAAAAAGTCCAGGACCAGATGGATTCACAGCCAAATTCTACCAGAGGTACAAGGAGGAGCCAGTGCCATTCCTTCTGAAATTATTCCAATCAATAGAAAAAGAGGGAATCCTCTCTAACTCATTTTATGAGGCCAGCATCATCCTGATACCAAAGCCAGGCAGAGACACAACAAAAAAAGAGAATTTTAGACCAATATCCTTGATGAACATTGATGCAAAAATCCTCAATAAAATACTGGCAAACCAAATCCAGCAGCACATCTAAAAGCTTATCCACCATGAGCAAGTGGGCTTCATCCCTGGGATGCAAAGCTGGTTCAACATGCGCAAATCAATAAATGTAATCCAGCATATAAACAGAACCAATGACAAAAACCACATGATTATCTCAATAAATGCAGAAAAGGCCTTTGATGAAATTCAACAACCTTCATGCTAAAAACTCTCAATAAATTAGGTATTGATGGGACGTATCTCAAAATAATAAGAGCTAACTATGACAAACCCACAGCCAATATCATACTGAATGGGCAAAAACTGGAAGCATTCCCTTTGAAAACTGACACAAGACAGGGATGCCCTCTCTCACCACTCCTATTCAACATAGTGTTGGAAGTCCTGGCCAGGGCAATCAGGCAGGAGAAGGAAATAAAGGGTATTCAATTAGGAAAAGAGGAAGTCAAATTGTCCCTGTTTGCAGATGACATGATTGTATATCTAGAAAACCCCATCATCTCAGCCCAAAATCTCCTTAAGCTGACAAGCAACTTCAGCAAAGTCTCGGGATACAAAATCAATGTGCAAAAATCACAAGCATTCTTATACACCAATAACAGACAGAGAACCAAATCATGAGTGAACTCCCATTCACAATTGCTTCAAAGAGAATAAAATACTTACAAATCCAATTTACAAGGGAGGCAAAGGACCTCTTCAAGGAGAACTACAAACCACTGCTCAATGAAATAAAAGAGGATACAAACAAATGGAAGAACATTCCATGCTCATGGGTAGGAAGAATCAATATCATGAAAATGGCCATACTGCCCAAGGTAATTTATAGATTTAATGCCATCCCCATCAAGCTACCAATGACTTTCTTCACAGAATTGGAAAAAAACTACTTTAAAGTTCATATGGAACCAAAAAAGAGCCTGCATCGCCAAGTCAATCCTAAGCCAAAAGAACAAAGCTGGAGGCATCACGCTACCTGACTTCAAACTATACTACAAGGCTACAGTAACCAAAACAGCATGGTACTGGTACCAAAACAGAGATATAGACCAATGAAACAGAACAGAGCCCTCAGAAATAATGCCACATATCTACAACTATCTGATCTTTGACAAACCTGACAAAAACAAGAAATGGGGAAAGGATTCCCTATTTAATAAATGGTGCTGGGAAAACTGGCTAGCCATATGTAGAAAGCTGAAACTGGATCCTTTCCTTACACCTTATACAAAAATTAATTCAAGATGGATTAAAGACTTACATGTCAGACCCAAAACCATAAAAATCCTAGAAGAAAACCTAGGCCATACCATGCAGGGCATAGGCATGGGCAAGGACTTCATGTCTAAAACACCAAAAGCAATGGCAACAAAAGCCAAAATTGTACTCTGATTTCAACTCTCCTTCCTTTCCTTGTCTGAATGAGGAGCACCTACTCATCTTTTAAGACATCTTTGAAGATCTCTTTCATAGCGACTTATCTGTCCTTCACAGTTTACTATACTTCTCCCTCAACTCAAGTCCCAGCTACTCCTATCAAAGCACAAAAGTGTATTAAACTTAGAGGTCTTTGTTCAGACATCCATTGGCCCTCTACTAGACTGTGGTAGCCAGTAGGTACCTGAGTCAGAGTTCAAATATCTTACTCCTGTTCTGAATCCAGTGGCACCCATCCTTGTTTCAGGGAATTTACAATCAAGTACAGGAGACAAGTTTAGCCCATATATAAAGTTAATATAACAGTAAGATATACCTAATGAGGTAGCATTTGTTGGTCAGTATCTAACCTTGAGGTTAGATATGATGTTTCACATGTCTTTGTTTCCTAGTGCCTAGCACAACACTGGCAGAGCAGGTGAAAAAGAAAGAAAAAAAGAGAAGAAAAAACGGAGGACCACAGGTTTAGACTTAGGGAAATGTCCAAAGTTATAAGGTAGAGAAGGAAAAAGCTACGAAGTTTTTAGAGAAGGCCAGGATGCAGGTATAGGAGAACCAGAGTAACGTTAAATTTCAAGAGGTACTAGAGGTAAAATTGTCAAAAATATGCAATGCTGCAGAGCGGTACAAGACAATGGGACTGAAGAAAAGGTCACGTAGTGAATAACTATGCTGTTTTTGCAATCTGCTGGTAATTTCTCAGAGGAAATTATCAGGGGTTTGAATTATTGAGAGAAATGTTTTTCTCTGAAGGCAATCTGAAGGATCTATGAAGTTGAGCAATGGTGTAATTAAACTGCAATGTCTAGTTTGCCTAAATAGCCTACGTTGAAAAAACCTTCAGGGCTTCCGGTTTCCATGCTCAGAGCAGGGACTGGTTGTATCGGCTAAGCTTTCACCGGGGAAAACCCAGAGCAATGAAGGTGACGCACATTTCATATGCCAAGGAAAATAGGATTCAAAACCAAGGTATAGGCTGAGCTGAAAATGAGCTTCACAAAGCCTTAGCTAAACTCACAGGTGAGAGATTCTTAATGAATGACTGTAGGGAATCTAGATATCTAGGAGCTACACTCCTAATTTGGTTGTTGCAGTCAGGGAGACAAACCAGGCTCTTCCGCAAAATGCCCTCCATCGCCTCTGTCAGAGACGCAGTGCCAGGATGAATTAGCTTTGCGTTCGTTCCCAGGAAGAGGAACGAACAATGAGCCAGAAGACCAACTTCTAATTTCAGCACCTCTGTTTACCAGATGTGTGATGGTCAGACAAGATATTTCCTCTCTCTGAATCTCTATTTCCTTATCTACAAAGTGGATAGTATAATAATACTTTCCCGCACAAGGTTGGTGTGGGAATCTAGTAAGACACTGGCCTTAAAAATTATTTAGAATTCTTTGTTATACCAATATTCAGTATAGTAGATGTGTTTTTGTTATTGGTAAAGACAAAATGTCAAAATAGGCCTTAAAGTTTGCAAACCCAACCCACATGATTCAGTCCTTTTCCATTTTTTTCTGACCCTTAGGATTCATTAATCCTGGTGTAAGTATCTGCTGGGATGCAGACTTTCTTTTGCAGTCTTTCATTATCTGTTTGTTGAATAACTGTTATGTTATTCATAACATAACATTGTTCTAAGCACTAGAAATATGAAGGGAACAACAACAGTAACAAATAAAAATAATAATAAATACCCAGCATTCCTTAAGCACTTTCTATGTTCCAGATTTGACATATACCAACTCATTTAATCTTTTTTACATCACTATGAGGTAGGTATATTTATTATCTTCATATCAGAGGTGAGAAAACTAAGACTTGAAGAAGTTCAATAATTCACCCAAAGCCAGATGGTGGATAAGCAGAAAAGCCAGGAACTAGGACTGGCCCAGGTCGCCTGGCCCCAAATCCTGCACATTTCACCATTGTGCTATGCTCCTACAATAGTCATGGTCCCTACACTCGCGGAGCTCACACAGTAACTGAGGATACACACAGGTCAGCAGCCAAATACAATAACTGCCTCCAAGGAGGAATTCCTGGAGGGGCAACCGCTCTCAGAGAAAAGAATTCTGTAAGTCTATTGATCAGCACTTGGAAACCAGGCTCTGATAGACAAGGCAGTACCTCCCTCTAACCACATGCCTTGAATCTGAATATTTGCCTCTGAAATATATACAGCCTTTTAGTTCTAACCATAATACAACCTCTTCCATGTATGCAATACGTCACGACCTATTTATAAGGTATGTTACATCCATGGTCTCATTTGCTCCTCCCAGCAGTGATGTGAGATGGGTGGGCTTGGGACTATTATCCCCATTTTATACATGAGGAAAGTAAGGCCCTGAGAAACAAGGTCACTTGTCCTGTTATTAACTTAGTAAGTGGCTGGTTATCAGATTCATGTCCAGCCTTCACTCCCATATTTGCCCTCAAGAGCATATCATCTATCATCTCAGTTTAAAGCTTTGACAGCGTGAATTACTTCTCTGGTCAAACCTGCAGATATTTCAGAAGAGGTTCCAGAGTGGAGTTTTGAAGTTCTGCTTTCCACAAATGTATACTTTTTTTTTTTAGGTAAAGCTACTTTGCAGTGTCTTTTGTCGCTTACATCTAAGTTCTTTCAGGCTCAAAGTTTAGAGAATTTTGTACCCTCAGGATTACTTAGCCATTGACTTGGATCACCTCTGACCTTGTCTAAGGTGATCATCTAATGTGATGATTTTGGTCATTTTAAAACATTGCTAGCCACAGTTCATATCATTTAAGGAGGCCTGGCACAGGCAGAGAACACGGGTACCGGAAATGTACCATTCCTATTTCCAGGGCAAGGAGAGCCTGGCACAGGCAGAGAACATGGGTATCGGAAATGTACCATTCTTATTTCCAGGGCAAGGAGAGCCCTCCAAGCAGATTTTTCCATGAGCCTGAACTTGAGAACAGCATTAGGATATGAAATTGATTTCCAAGCATCATGAAAAAACGTCTCCAGAGACTCTGAACACATTCCTACTTGCTGAGTATAGCCGAGATAATTTTAAATTCTAGAGTGCAGTTTTATTTCTACCTTGTATCTCTTTTTTTTTCTTCCTCACCAAAATCATCCAGCTATCTAGCCAGGAGCAATGCCAGGTAGGCAGTAACTTTTATGGTGATTGACACTTGGAAAGGAACAAAAATACTATTACTGACTCTTGCATATCTCAGTAGTCATGAAGGATAAGAAGGTTATGAAAGGCTGGATTCTATCCAGGGGCTTGAAAACTCACAAAGTCGTTAATTTAAGGCCCATTCCCTTCTACATTTTATCCAGAGTTGTTCATATAACCAAACATCCTTGAGTTTGATTTCTGTTCCTCCTGGGTACATCACAGCATGCCCGAGAATAACTAAACTAAGTATTAGTATTTTTAGGTGACCCAGGTTGAAATATGTTGTGATCTTATTTATCAAACTCAAAATTTGAATATGTAATCTGACAAGTATGAATAACTTTACGGTGACAAAGGCGCTGATATTCACTGAAACCTGTAAAACCAAAACCCTGACCACACTATGATCACCACAAGGCAGGTGGGTGGAAAAGGGCAGGGCCAGGCAAACCGCAATTTGTACACATATCTTGAGAACTCAAGGATATCAGAACAAGCCATGGAACATCATAATTGTATAAATGAGAGCTACTGAAATCCCTACTCTATCATCCAAGGTTATCCTTCGAAAAGCACGGCTCCGATCTTGACATTCAGCAGCTTAAAATTCATCCCTTTCCATCTCACTCATGAATGCTTCATGTTCTCTGTCTCTAGGCTGTTGTACACACTATTCCCTCTACCTTGAATGCCCCTCTCTAACTTTTTCCCCCTGGCAAACTCCTACCTCCTATTCTCTGGCAAGCACAGAGGTTAATCTCTCTGAGAAATCTTCCCTGACTACCAGTACAGATAGCTGTTCCTTCCTCTGTGTTCCCTTACCACTTTGTACTGGCCTCTAGGGTTGCATTAAGCATGTTGCATTGCAATTTTTTACAGGTCTTTCTCCTTCACTACATTAGACCAAAATCATGCCTTCTATAGCCTCAGTATCTTACACGATGGCCAGCAAATAGCAGGCACTTAAATGTCTGACGAAAGAAAGAAAAGAGCTTTTCTTTTTTTTTCCCCCAAAAGAGGAAAGGAAGAAGGGAGGGAGAAAAAAGAAATGGAAGGTGGAAGGGAGAGAAAGAAAGAAGGAGAGAGAGGAGAGGGGAAGAAAGAAAGGAAGGAAGGATGGAAGGAAGGGAGGGAGAAGGGAAGCAGGAGGAAACAGAACAAGGAAGGAAAGGAACTTTATTTTCCCAAAGATAATCCTATATGAGATAGTAATGATTTCTCCTACCTCTCCACATATATGGAGAATCCATATTTATTTCAGTATCTCGATTAAGTGGCTTATTTGGATCTAATAAGACATTTATTGACTCTTGGTTTTCTATCAATTTTGAAAAGGCCTCTAGAAGATTTAATAAAGTATAGAAAAAATAAATAAGTGTACAGGTAATAAACTCTAGATTACATAAGCAAACATTATTTAATTACATTCCCATTAATATACTAACTCTGTAATGAATTTTTGAGCCATTTAATTATCAATTTGACAAGATAATCTAGGAGTAGTTAATGATTATACCAGTAAATTGTTTAAAAAAATCACTGACAATTATTAAGTCTCATAACAGACATCAAATTAACTTGCTAGAGCTGTCTGGTTAAATAGACAGCAGTTAATTATGAGGTATTTACACATGCCTCAAATTTTAATATGCAAGCCTTTTTAATAGTGTAACGTCAAAGGTGTTGTGTAAGGGAGCAGTTTACCCATGGGGAATACTCAAATTCCATGCAGTGTGGCCACTAAACAAGCAAGAGCATGATCTTAGATGCTTTGGCTGGGTTTTCCCGGTTTTCATCCTGGAACAGGAATATAGAGCTCCCTAAAAGAGGAAAATGACTGTCATACACAGTCAGGCTTGTGAGCCATTTGACTAGGGGATGTGGTCAGATTACAAAGGTTTAGGGTAACATTTGCCCCCTTACATGCACTAACGATGGGTCGGACCTGTGCAAGATGTTGTATATAAACTGCCTCCTTTAATAATCAAAAAATAGAAAATCCCACATCAATAGGCAGATTTTCCTCGAAAAGCTTAGTAAGAGAGGGAGAACGAAGAATCATATATACCAGGCCACTGAAATGGCTTCATCTTAGCTTAAAATGGCAGCCGGAGGCTGTCAGCCACTCCGGCTGGAACTAGACAGAGGGCAATGGTCTCACTGTTGAAGACATAAGCCCAGTCTAAGATCCTCTGCTTTTCAGGAGTCCAGAGTACCTATGTTTCAACTTGTCCTCTACCCACACTCTGTGGTTCCAGGAGACCCTGTCTGACCCCACGAATGGGTCAGTTTTCATTCAATGAGCAGTAGAGAGGAGAAACTTGATAAAGCACGCTGACCCTGATCCTCACAGTTCCAGATTTGAAGTTCTTTCTTGAAACTGCCTTCTCCACTGCATATTTCACCATCATTTTTATATGTGATTTATGCTTCCCCATCAAATTGCAAGTTTCTTGGGTCCTACTCCTCCCTCACAATGCCAAACACAGTGGCTATTGATGCAAACTAAACATTCAAAAAAATATTTCTTGAGCTGAAATGAATTAAACTGAAATGAATTGGAGTGAATCAGATTGCCGTGGATGGGACTGAACTAAACTGAATGGGACCTTGTAAGAAAGAAGAACAGATTCTAGAATTTATATTTGACTTTGGTTTCTCTTAGGCCAAAGCTGTTTCAGTGATAATAAGGCAGCATGAGGGCTGTGCATGGATTCTGTGGCCAGAATGTCTAGGTTCAAACCTCAGCTCCACCACTCACAACTTCTGTGATGTTGGATAAGTTACTCAACATTCCTGTGCCTCCCTGAGTAAAGCAACAATAATGATAGTACCTGCCTCATAGAATTGCTATAAGGAATCCATTCAATGAATTAATTGTTATAAATCCCTTGGAATAATGCCTAGCACATAAAACATACAATATAACTTTTTTAATAAAATAATTTTTAAAAATCACTACTTTGAATTGCATTGCATTTTACATGTGGCAACTCATATTTCATCCGTATAAGAAGAATGATTTTCATTTATCCAATAAGAAAACTGAGGCTCATAAAAACAAATGCAGAATAAGAACTCGAGCAGGACATACACTGTTGTAGAAGTTGAGCCCAGTTCTGTCTTATTTAAGGCATGCTTTCAGTTCAGTAGGCACCCTTTCCTTATGATATCTCTGGCCATTTTAACAGGTAGTTCTGACTATAGTGTATGCTATTGGTCACCTGATAGACAAGAGTTATGTAAAGTCACAGTATCCTCAGTATTATCGGAATAAGCTTTCTCTTACCCGGTGCTCACGAAAGCAAAGGATTTTAGTCTGGGTAAAGATGAAAGATCTATGACATAGTGTGACAGAAAAAGCCCCAGTAAGGAAGTTGAAAAAAGTGAATTCTGGCCCTGGCTCAACCACTGGCTTCTGTGATATCAATAACTAACATGTACTGAGAGCTTACTCTGTGCCATCTACTGCATTTATATCATTTAAACCTCACCACAAAACTCAGGCACAGATACTTTTATTATGCCACTTTTCAGGTAAGGAAACTGAGGTTTAGCAAAGACAAGTAACTTATTCAAGATCAAATTGCTTTTAAGTGGTATAATTCATCTTAATGATCTCAAAGGTACTTTCCAACCCAGTCCACCTATAATTGAGTGAGCTCTTGCCTAATCCTCACTCCTCTAGAGGGGTGATCCTGTGGTTCTAGCCAACTTTAAGTCAAATCCCAGGCACCTCAAGGCCTCCCAGGATGCCAGTGTTGAAAAACTGGTGAATTATTGCATAATGTGGGGTTTTACAATCATCGAAAGAATAAAACAGAAAAGAAAAATTAGCAAAAGGTAAAGCCTTAAATCTTTCCCCGTTCATACATTTCATACCTTTATTTACAAAGTTGGTAATTGTGAAGTTCATTCCATTTTGTATTTTTCTTTCTTCACTTAAAATACTATCATGAACAATTTTCCTTATTGATAATAGTTATATTTTAGAATTACAGAATTTGACTATGAAATTTTCAAGGTTCATTTCTAATTCCAAAAACAAAGTCTGGCCTGTTCTTATTTTTTTGGACTTTTTTCCTTCATTCCAACAGAGTCATTGTAATTACTACATGAGTGACGAGCAATAACCACCAAATGATACTTGGCCAAAATATCACAATAAAATGATTACCTTGTTGCTAAATATTTAAGTTGCTTCTAGTGTATTTGGCTAAAATATCACAATAAAATGATTACCTTGTTGCTAAATATTTAAGTTGCTTCTAGTGTATTTGCTATTACACATAATGCTGCAATGAACATCTTTGCACAGCATATTATTTCTATAACATGCATTCCCCAGAAGACAAGGCTACAACGAGTGTGTCCATGTTTATGGCTTTTACATTTTGAAAAAGCAAGATGTAATATTGATAGTGTCCACATATGGCCCTACACTGTTCAAATCTTAAGACATCAAACATTGGATCTTGTTCTAGATCCTGAGTGACTATTACTGAATTGCTAAAGTGAACAAACATTAATTTAACAGAGGGTTTGAAAGCTGAATTCTTGGGGCCTAGTTCAGAGACAAAGCTTACTTACTGTCAAGGGGAAAAGGATCTGCGGAAAGTGCCTGCAAAAAGGAGACTTATGGAAATAAAAACGGATCTTACAGGAATTGTTGAAAGACCAAATCCTCAGGAGATTAGCACTCAGGAGATATTAAGTAAACCAGTTTTCCTGGATCTCACTCTGATATCTGAATCTTAATACTAAAGAAATACTTTCACCTATTACAGTTCAGTGTCAGCTAATCAGAAATTTTGGCTAAAGCTAGGAATCATATAAATACATATATTTTAACTTAAGACTTTCACTTGCCAGTAGGTAGAGCCAAGGCCTCTCTTTAAGTGCACATTTTCCATTTGTGAAGCTCCATCTCATTTTTCTTGAATAAATCACTCCCATCATGCATCCTCTATTAGTTGAAGTTTCAGGTATTTTTGTTTTTGTTTTCTTTTCTTTTGTTCTTTGTAGCAGATAAAAACCTTAGAAACTTGCACAATTATTCTGGATTTTAATCTTTGTGTTATTCTTCTACAGTTATCTCATCCACAAACTAATTTTAGATCATTTTTTCAGCAATTCTTCCCTCTTGAGCCTTTCCAAAGCAATCAATTTAATTTTTATGGACACAGTCTCTTTATTTTTATACTTATATTTCATCTATTTGCATAATATTTAAATTATATAATTGCATTTACTAATAAAAGTAGCATAAACGGGTTTGAGGAAAAAATCAGCTGGTTCTTTGTATGCATCAGATTTGATTAATGGGAGAAGACAGACATCAGGAAACTAGAAAGCAGCCTACCACCCATGAGCACTTAGCATGCTATGAGCATCTGTCAGAATGTACAAAGGGAATGGAGAACTTAGGTTGGTTACCTGAGAGAGAGTTACATCTACTGAACAATTAAGTGCTCCTCATCACGAAAGAAAAGGAAAGAATGCGGACTGAATCCTGTGCCCTGAAAGTCGAATCAGCATATACCTGCTGTTTCTATGTCACCAAGAGGCTGATTCCAGGTGGGAGACTCTGGAAGATGAAGCGATTGGATCTTGAACCCAGAGCACCAGCAAAAGGTCCTGAGTTCCATAACAAGCTTTACTCCAGAGTCGCTGGTGTTGGGGAAATATTTGTAGTCATTTGGTCTAAGTTCCCTTGTTTTAGAATTAGACAATTTGACTCTCACATTTCTAAGGTTCGTTTTTAATTCCAAAACAAAGTCTGGTTGTTATCATTCTTTTTGGCCTTTTTCCCTTAGGTCCAATGCAGAGACGATGACCACTAGGGGTCAGACTTTTTACATTACTCCTCTTGAAAGAAGGAACCCAAGTCTTGGATTTTTTAACTGGGGAAAAACTAGAGAGGTCGTCTATCCTGGTAAGTAATGCTTCATTTAAACTCATTCAACATGTGTGACTATTATATTCTTAAAGATTTCTAAGAAATAGAGGTTTCATGATGCTCCCTTCCAAGGAAGTTTTTGATATCTAACCTAGATCCTTCAAATGTAATTTCAATCTATTTCTTATTTGTGATGTCTCAGTGGAAACTATTAATCATTGACTATTATCCTCTGAGTAAGAAATGTATTTATCTGAGCATGTATCAGTTCATGTCTCATTTCTCTAGCTGTCAAATAGGGGTCTAGGACTAGAATCACTTTTTCAATTAATAGTTCAATAAATAAGCAAGAAAAATAAGGTTCCAACTTAAATAACTCAAAATCAAACTGCCAGTCAATGGCTGGGCCAGGATTAAAATTGGGTTTTACATAACTCCAAAGTCCACATTGTTCTCACTAAGAACACTTCTTGCTGTCTCTTACTTAGTGCTCCTGCTGGCCTCTGGCTACTTGGGAGAACCATCGGCCTTTTCATTTAAAAAAAAAAAAAAAGTGAAAGTGGGGGATGAAGAAAGAGGGTCCCCTCAAGCTGTAATGAAGCAGTCACTTCCTTGGTCATCTAGACCACTGCGGTGATGGGCTGAAGTTAGCTCAAGAAGCCATCGGCATCTCTCAGTGCAGGTTTTGACATGAAATGGCAACATTCAGGCTTTGTAGAAGAAGCTGAAGGCAGTAAACTCCAAGCCAGAGTAAAAATCAAGTGTGTTCTGATGTGTTGGATCAAAACTTGGGAACCTCATGTGCTCTATCCTACCCCTGATAACAGCTGCAAATGTTTGTTTTTTTTTCTCTAGCATCTGGCCGGCCCATGTGTAAACAGAATGAAGAGTCAGCATGGGGAAAGAATCTGAATGCCCCGTTTCTCAGCCTCTTAAGGATACAGTGAAATGGGACAGGGTCTGAGTTAGGAAACTCTTTGAAATTACACGGAGATTCAGGCAGCAGCTCCCAATGGCACTATAGAATCTCTCACCTATAAGTCCCTTTTTATGCAAGAAAGACAGTTAAACAAAGGTAGTGTTGGGTAGTGGTAAGAACAGTGGATTGAGAATTGGATGACTCAAATTCCAAATGAGGCTCCTATAATAACTGACCGTGAGCCTTTGGGAAGACTATTCTTTCTGGGTCTCATTTCACCATCTGAGTTATAAGATGGCGGAGTCTTCTCTAAGGTTTCATCCAGCTTTACTTTTCAACTTTTTGGCATAATTCTAGCTGTAAAACAGGGGTCTAGGACTAGAATCTACCATATTGCTATGTTTATTCAATAGGTATATTCCTAGCTACTGTTTCTTCCTTTGACTAAATGACACTTTAAAGGTTATATCAACTCCCCCAAATCTTTTATGTCGCTTTACCTTGTCTCAATCCTAAACAACAAGTTAGGACTAACATCAGTGCTAAAGATAGAATTCAACCTATCAATTATTGTTTCTGTTCAAAAGCTAATTATTTAATCAGGGTCTTCCACTTGTTCAAAATTATAAGCAGATTAAGTGCTGAGCATGATTTTTAATGTGAAACATATGACTTTGGTATTCAAATGTACTTTTAAAGTTTTCAATATCTTTTCAATTTCTAAAAAGTAGATCAGAGTAAAATTTTTTTAAAGTAAAGATACTATTAGCTTTGATAAATGAAGTACAAACTAAATAACATATTATGAATTTGTAAATTCATATACAAATATACCTTGAAAGCTAAGTAAAGAATGTTGACTTAATTTAGCAGGCAATGAATGGAAGAAGGTTTCTAACTGAAGGAGTAATTACAATCTGAGACTAGAAACTGAGTTATTCCAAGAAATTACTCTTTGTAACCCAGCAATTAAACCTCTCAAAGAAGGCAGAATTCTTAGTTTTATGCCCATTTCACTGGATTACATTTCCCCTCTTTAAATTCTATTTTTTCACCACATCGTGATCCTCTTAAGAAAAGTTGTCAAAGAAATGGAAATAGAAGGAATGAGAAATAAAAGTCAAGAAGACATTGTAGACTTGATCTGTCTTATTTGGAGCTTGTATTTAAACAGAGGTACTTTTCATCCTTTCAGAGTTCCAGTTGGCCCCACTTCCAAGATGGCTGAGGATGTTGGCTCCTGCTCCATTCCAGCAGAGGGCGCTCTTGGAGCAGGATTGGGGATGGCAGTGGGAAACTGGGAGGACAATCTGAGCCTCATTCACCAGCCACTTAAGTTTGGTGTGAATCTGAGTCCTTCTGGACTGACCTAAAAGACAGCTCATTGGTCCGTGCCTTACAGAATTCTATTCATAGTCTAGTTAAACTCTGATGAAGACCCCATTTTCCAGCTCTACCTTCTCTGCTTACTGTAGAGAAAAAAGTGACTAAATTATCCTCAAGAAATAGAAAATAAGTTAAGAAATGTGACATCTGGGCACGTGCACAGAGGAGCTACTGAGGACTGAGAAATCAGGAAAAGGTTAGCCAAAATAGGTGTGTGTGAGAGATGTCAAAACTGCTTAGCAAAATCGCCTGTCTACTTTCTACCTCGTCTTCCAGAAGGGAATTCATAAATTTTTTTAAAAAGTAGTAGCAATATCATGGGCAGAGCCCAAATAATGACACAAAATGAATCTTGTACAATTGGCCCTTTGTATCCATAGGTTCCACATCCATGAATTCAACCAAGTGTCGATGAAAAATATTTGGAAAAATAAATGGAAGGTTGCATTTGTACTGAACATGTAGAGATTTTCTTGTCATTCTTCCCTAAATAGTACAGTATAACAACGATTGACATAGCATTTACACTGTATTATTATGAGTAATCTAGCAATGATTTAAAGCATATAGGAGGATGTGCGTAGGTTATATGCAAATACTACACCATTTTATATGAGATACTTGAGCATCCCTGGATTTTGGTATCCTCAGAAGATTCTGGAACCAATCCCTCAAGGATACCAAAGGATGACTATACTAGGAATGAATAGCTGAAATCCATAAAGGTTTTTGAGCTCAAGAATGATGTGAGCAAAGCTTAGCAACTGGGTTGCCTAGCAAAAGATTTATCCATTGCAACCCAGGGACTGAGCTCCAACTTGTAGCAAAAAAAAAAAAAAAAAAAACAAAGAGCACCAAGGAGCAGTGGAGATCTGGGCTGTAGCCCTAGCTCCAAGACTTCTTGTCTCTGTGTCTTTGGCCAGGTTCCTTGGGTGCGTCTCTTCAAGCCTCAGTTTCTCTGTCCATCAAGTGTGGGAGCTAAACCACATAACCTGTCAGATTCATTTCATATTTTACATTTTGAGTCTGTGCGTTTGTAGCATATTAGAACAGTAATTTAATTTTTCCTCAGGGAATCCATGGAAGGCAGGTTAAAGGTAGCTGACCATTTATTATGTCATTCTTCAGTGAATAGACATGTCCCTGAGGGAAGAGAAGAGCTCTTCTCAGAGACTTCCAGTCGCATCCTTCCCTCCAATCGACATATGCCCTCCAGTCATGAGCAGTGGGGGTGTGGTGTGGGGCTAAGGGTGAGGAAGAGAGTATCTATTTCTTAGCTGGTTTATGGAATCCAAGGTGGAAGTGGAGTTTGATCAGTCACTCAGTGTAGACTGACTTTGGGGCAAATAGAAAGCGAGCACTAGAAGAAGCTTAAGAGCTCAACTGCTCTTCCCTATCATTTAGTAAATGCTAAAATGTAGATCTCAAGGCCACACAGTAATTGGTAGAATAAACCTGGATTATGGTGTTTTTATAGGCTAAATGTAACCTCCAGCATATAACCTCCTCACTTACTAATCCCTATATCTCTACCAGAACTATTTAGATTTTCTCCTCCTGCTCATCACTAGATTTTTGCACTGCTTAGAGATGATCACAATCTCTTTGATCCTTCTCACACAAAACTTCACCTCATATATAGGAGCAGTAAGGTAATAGTTTCAGTGGAATCTGCTGTCTCTTGTGATGCTCTGAAATTTGGATCTTTTGCCTGAACTAACATCTTAGGAGGGCTTCAGTCAGTTCACCATTCGTAAGTGGATTTATTTCTTCATTTCGTGCACTAACTTGGGTCCAAGTGAACCTTTATTTATTTATTTACTTACTTACTTATTTACATAAACCTACTTGAAAAGATATATGAGGAAGCTTATAATAAAAATCACAAGTATTTTTAAACCCAACTATAAAACAGGAGCACAAATGCAGTTATACTTAAACCTAAGTAGATCCACCCAAATTTTTAATGATTTTTTTTTTACTATATAAGTTCACTGATGAATTTTCCATCTGAAACTTTATATAAAGCAACTTAACAGATGCTATCTTTATAACACCATTATAATAAAGGCTCTTCTATGTACCAATGTTACAGCAAACCTTGGTAAGTGTCGGAGGTGTACTATCAAGTTGTACTTTGAAGATAGAGTTCTGGGGCCTCCAAGCCATGTAGTCCTCATTGATATAAAACTTCCTGAAAATTTAATAGGAAGATACAGACAGATTTGAAATATCTTGAGAAATAGCTAGTTTGCAAGAACCCCTATGCAGTCTTTCGTTTTGTTTTGTCTTGTTTTGTTTTTGAGACAGAGTTTCGCTCTTGTCACCCAGGCTGGAGTGCAAGGGCATGATCTCGGCTCACTGCAACCTCCGCCTCCCGAGTTCAAGCAACTCTCCTGCCTCAGCCTCCCAAGTAGCTGGGATTACAGGTGCCTGCCACTACGCCCAGCTCATTTTTGTATTTTTAGTAGATTCAGGGTTTCGCCATGTTGGCCAGGCTGATCTCAAACTACTGACTTCAGGTGATCCGCCAGCCTCGGCCTCCCAAAGTGCTGGGATTACAGCCGTGAGCCACTGCGCCTGGCCAGTCTTTTCAAATATTAGCTCTCTCAGCTGAACTAGGAAGTAGACAGCAGACACGTCTAGACAGAGGTCGCTGGCCAGGCCCTAAAGTGCAGATGTGCTGTGCTGTGGCCTAAAGAAAGATACCCAGAAAGTTCTTCAGACCTGCTAGAGATCGTGAGGCTGCTCAGGCTTCCTCCCTAAAGAACAAGGTCTCTGGACTTGGCTTTGTGTCTAACAAAGCAGTTACCGCATTCCCACCTCTTCCCCTGACCCAAACACACACACACCCTCCACACACACACGTCAATATGACAAGCTGTTTCCTCATGTTCTTTAGTATAGAATCACAGCATATTAGACCAATTTGCTGTTTAACCCATCTATTTAACAGATGAGAAACTGAAGCTCAGACAGAGGGGAGCTGCCATTTGCTTACAAGGTGACAGACCCCAGCTCCCATTTCTGCCCCTCCATGAAACAGTGTCTCACTGAAACACACTGTGGGTCGTGCCATGCTCCTGCTCAGTCACCTCCACTGATCTCCCATAACCCTCAAGGGAGTCCAAACACCCCAGCCTTGGCATCAGAGCCCTCCACAGAATAGCCTTATTTGGGTTTCCATCCCAGTCTCCATGTTCTTCTTCTTGATTGCTGGCGAGTGATCTCCTCAAAGGTCTCCTGCTCCCACGTAAACAGACCAGACTCATTCGCATCTCCATCTCAACATGGATTCTCCTGCCCATTCCCACGTTCTGAGAGCCTGTTCTCAGTGAACTGGGATGTCCAGAAACGAAGCAAGGTCATAAAATGGCTTCGCATACCCTCCACGTGTGCCTCTTCAGAGCGTCAAAATCACACTATGGCTTATTTTTACTTTTAATAATATTTTTGTGTGTAATTAGCAAGGACTCTGAAAGCCTCAGCCCCCTCCTGTGTGGTAGGAATGGCAAATACGCCCATTTTATAGGGGAGATGAAGGAAGTGAGACCCAGTGCTGAGAAAGGGCATATGATTCATGTTTCAGCAAGCAATGAGTCAGAGGAGGAGACGTCGACCCAGGCTTCCTGATGCTGAAGCTAGAGCTCCATTCACACGGCTGGGCGTATTGCCTCTGTTACTTCCAAATGCTTGATATCTTGTTTAAAAAGTCAACAAACACTCACCCCAACAGGCTGACTTTTGAGTAAGTTTTTTATTATGATGAAAAAGCACAAGAGACCTTATCTTTTCTGACCTCTGAACAGAACCTAGAATGTTAACTACATAGTTTATAATAAAGAAGCTTCAAGCTTTCCAAGTTGTGATCCTCTCCTAAGGCAACTGTGTAAATAGAGGCAATTCTGAAAACTTGGACTGTCAAAGAAATTGGGCAAGTCTGGCTGGGCGCAGTGGCTCATGCCTATAATCCCAGCACTTTGGGAGGTTGAGGCAGGCAGATCACCTGAGGTCAGGAGTTCGAGACCAGCCTGGCCAACATGGTGAAACCCCATCTCTACTAAAAATACAAAAATTAGCCAAGCATGGTGGTGGGCACCTGTACCAGCTACTCGGGAGGCTGAGGCAGGGGAATCACTTGAACCCAGGAGGCAGAGGTTGCAGTGAGCCGAGGTCATGCCACTGCACTCCAGCCTGGGTGACAGAGCAAGACTCTATCTCAAAAACAAAAACAAACAAACAAACAAACAAAAAAAGAAATTGGGCAAGGCCAAAAGTCCAGTTGAGGCTGGAAATGATATATCGCACCAGCTGTGTTCTGACCTTCTCTAGTGTCTGATACCTATTTCCAATATCCAGTGGCTGTTCTACTGTTTAGGGGCTGAGAAGAAGGGGTAGGATTGTGGTAAGTGATTTCTCTTGTTGGGTCAGAGCATTTTGAAATCCTGGAAAGGCTTGTCAAAAAGAAAGTGGTCATAGGTCATTCTGCAGTCCTTGAGAGAAGAGGAACAAATGGTAGCCTGCCTCCAGAAAAGGAGTGAAAAGGGTAGGGCTGAGAGCC
Organism: Homo sapiens; assembly: GCF_000001405.40. NCBI lineage: Eukaryota > Metazoa > Chordata > Mammalia > Primates > Hominidae > Homo > Homo sapiens. Next base: position 188,950,109 of record NC_000003.12, on the reverse strand, counting down.
CCAGTGACCTGGGTATAAAAGATCCTTTAAATGCCCTTTAAGGTACTTTGCCACATTTACTGAGCCCCTGCTAATGTACCATGTACTTGGATAGAGACCCTCAGTAAGGTGACTGTATAATTTATCATCCAAACCCAAAAACTTCAAGGTGAAGGAGGGACCTATTAATAACTAATTATACCAAGACAGAGTCATAAACTGAGATGGCAAATCAGGATGTATTATGATGTACCTTATGATGTACCTTAGCCATAAGGTACATTTTATATTATACCAAGACAAAGTCATAAACTGAGATGGCAAACCAGGATGTATTTATGATGTATTATGATATACCTTAGCCATCAGTATTGAGATCAACAGCAGAGTTTGTATCCACAGAGAAATCTCTATGGCATAAGAGGGATCTAGCAAGCACAAAAATGGCATAACCCAAGGCTGGCTGGGTGTACTGAGACTGAAAGAGAAAGAAGTGACATCTAAATAGAGGAGATGGCATTGAAGCTGGGTTTTGAGGGATGTGAAAGATTTGAATGTGTGGCAGAGATAGGCCAAATAGAGGCCATCAAATTCTGATGAGTTTAAAAAATTTTTTAAGACATCTCAGCCAAGGCCCAAGTGGCAGGAAAGCAGGAGGCGTCCATGGAGCACCGCGACCAGCCAGAACCCATCTGATGTGGCTGCCATGGAAGGAGTGGTAAGACCAACGAGAGATGAGGCAGGAAGGGTGCTGATGCCAGGCTGGGCTTGGTTCTAATTTCCTAGAGAGCACCAGGAGCGAGCTTTCCTCCTCTTATCAGCATGGCTGCACAAATCTCCATTCTCCTCATCCTGGACTTTTGTTGAGACTGCTCAGACCCACATCTCGTGGGCTGCTGCTAGTCTTACCAGGCTGACTGTCTTCCCTCCAACAAGGAAGGGAGTCTCATTTGAGGAACTGCACAACCTCTTCTGGTTTCTGTACCGGTCACTTTCTCTCTCTAGCCACTGGAGAAGTGGGTTGGAGCATTAGGGGGAAGTGTCTGTTTGGCAACCTCACAGGGCTAGAAAACTTGAAGAGGGTGGATTTTAGGGGCTATCCCCTTGAAAACATTCAAACGTTTGAATCTTTCTGGTGAGACCACTTGTATTCCTATTTTCCAGGAGTACACACAAGGCCAGAGGCACTTTGGACCTCAGGGCTTTCAGAGGGGTGAAAGACAAGGCGGTCAGGGAAAGACTTTCTCATTTGGCCTCACTGTTTTGTGATGTATGTCAGGAAGGTGTTATTGTGGTGAACAATGGAGAAGAAGGGAATTTAAAAGCAGAGAAATGAGTGACTCACCCAAGGTCACATAGCAAGTAACAGAGCTGCAAGCGGCTTGAATGCAAATCCCCTGGACCCAGGCCATGTATTCATGAACCTACCTCAAAGCCTGCTCTCAGAAAGAAGTGGAAGAGGGAGAGGAGGAAGACAAGAAAGAAGAAAGAGGAGGGGGAGGAAAAAGAGGGAGAGAAGCAGAGGAGGGGAGAGACAGCAGAGCCCTTCACTGTAGGTGAAGGACCTGGAACCTTCTCCTTTCACCCCTACTCACCCCCACTCCCTTAACTCCTCCTGGACCCAAGAAAATGTGTCCAAGGCTGTGCGGTAGGGAACGGCTGCTGGGTAACTTCTTTGCTGAGGCGCAAGCATGGCCCTGCGGGGTTGCTGAGCCTTTCAAAGGTCACTTGTAAACTCTGATGTGGCGCAGGGGCTGGCCCGGAGGGGCTGGGGCCTGGGCCAGGACGAGAGGACGGGCCTGCCTTTGGTGCCTAGAAATCAAAGCAGTCAACCTTGGGCTTTTTCTTCCCCCTCACACTGAGGCACTTTTATTGGCGAGATGAAGGGAGGCAGAGCGGGCCTTACAGTCCTCGCTTTGCTTTTGGAGGTTAATGACCCAGTTAGCAGCTCTTGGCTGCGTTTCCGACATTTTGCAGACATCAAGCCCCGCGTCTCTGCCAAGTACATTCTGTTCCCTGGAGCACATCCAGTGCATCTCAGATTACTATGTAATGCGACAAAGAGGGAGAGGTGGCTGGGAGGGGCATCGGGGAGCGGGGCGGGGAGGGGAGAGGGCGGGACGCAGGAGCGTGCGGGGAGGAGAGGAGGATGCCACTCTAAATATAGCTGCCCTCCTGGAATGCATCTTTCAAGGTGCTTATTTACTGCACAAGAGTGATCCCAGAGTGAGGGTACGATTGGGCCCTGTCGTCCAGGAATCCTGGAGCGCCGAGAGCGAAGCCCAGAACCAGGGCGAGGACAGACAGTGGGGGTGGGGAGGAGGCTGCAGGAGGCTCCTGGCTGGGAAGGGCTGGGAAGGTGGAATTCGAAGGGGGCGGGGCTAGGAGGTGGTGGCCCCGCCCACAAGGCCGCCGCCCCGCTTTGCAGCTCGAGCCTGAGCTGCAGCCTGCGCGCTAATTATAGACGTGAATGGAAAGCGGCCGCTTCTGAATGATCGCGTTGCTCGAGCTGCCGTTGGAAGCTTAGAAGCAGGTGCTACCGTGCTAGATACAAAGCGATCTATTTAAAAGCCCTCTGTCACGCACGCACACTTACTGACGAATCCTCTGGCTCTCTCCTACCACCGCCCGGTGGCGGATTCCGGAATTGGTTCAAAAGGCCTTGATCCCGAACACCCAGGACAGAGACAGAGTACTTTTCCTACCTCTTTCGCCTGCATCCTTAGAAAACTCCCGTGGATGAGAAGATCCCCAGGCCTTTACAAGCTGTTGTTTTACAAAAGGAGAAACTGAGGCAGGAAGAGGCGGTGGATGTGCACCAGAGCACGTGGTGCGTCGGTGCAATAGCTGAGGTAAACTTCTGGTCTCCTGACAGCCTCTCCATTTGCCTTACCGGGTTGGAACCTGAAGCAAGTCTCACTTTAACGCCGTTAATTTCCAGGCATGGATCTTTAGCCAATGATGAGCATCCTCCTCCTTTCCTGGTTCAGCGCCTGCTCCCTCCAGTCCCCACCCCCACCCCACTCCCACACGGAAAACTTGCTAATGCTGGCTGATTCTCATTGCTGGGTTTACTAGTTCAGGCCTGGAAACTGGGTAACCTCAATAACTATGACCATTTCAGTATGTGTGAGTCAATCTAATGTGCCCTCCCTCAGCATAATCCTGTCACGAGGAACGACGCAGGGGGCAAAACCTAGACTTTTCTTTCCCATCAGCATCTTGGCTGCACCTAGTGCTCACAGCCAAGTGTGTTAATGCACATGATGGCCTAATCCAGTCCATACGAGCACAGTGAAAATTCTTATGCCCATTTTATGGAATCCCTGTAGAAATGGAGTCTTGGAGGGAGGAAGTGACTTGCTCACAGTCATCTGCTGATGAGTGGTCGACTTGAGAGCCAAAACCAAGTTCTCTACCCTCGATGTGGGCTATGTCCAGTATTCATGCTTTGGCCTGCAAGGGGGAGCAGCAATCCACTTAGTAATAAAGAGGGATAAACCTACGTTCCCTCAGACACCTGGAGTGTCCTGAGGATCTCCACTCTGACCATTGGCCTTTTCTGCCTGTGGGTCTGGGGCCACTCCCACGCTAATCCACAGTATTAAACTGGGCATGGAGAGCTGCTGTCTTCTCTAGAAACCGAAATCTCCAAGTCCAGTAACTACATTCAGCTTCCAATAACAAGGCCAATCCTACTTACCACCTGGACCCATCTATGTCTCCCCACCTTTGCTGACTGCTTTGGACTTAACTCTGCCTGTGTCTCTCTTGGCTATTCCTGTAACCTCAAGATCTCCACCAGGGCAGATGGATAAAGAGGCAGCATCCAGTAACATGCTGAAAAAAGAAGGGAGAGGGAATAGGTGTGGATGATAGAATATTTTAGTTGTTTTTTATTTACCTCTTGGAAGCAAAGACTGTATCTTAGTCTTTGTAAGTCCTCCTTCTTCCCAACATATACAAGGTCCAGCCAGCCCAATGCACCGAGCATAGCAGACAACCAGAAATGTTAAAGAGTCATAAAACTTTCACATGGCTGTGGAAAATTGTATATACCTAGGTTGGTCACAGTCATGTTTCTCTGATAACAAAGATAGGTAGTTTTACAATACTGACAAATTATTTAAGCTTTCTAAGTCTCAGTTTTCTCATCTGTAAAATGGGCATAATTGTACCTCAAAGAAGCAGTACTGGCAGTGCTGAGCCAGGAAAAAAGCAAAATGTTCGCATGTGAATGGTTGTATCTACAATCAGGCTACTTAATTTGGAATCTGAATTCAGCTATGAGTCTAGCACTATGACTAGTGTCAGCACTCAGTAGTTCTTCTCACACAGGGTTGTTCTAGGAATTAAGCTGGATAACATATATGAGCACTCTGTACAGTGATATAAGATTGCTCACATACTTTATTATTAATAAATAAAGTTGCCCAGGGTTACACAGCTAACATACAGTAGAACTGGGATTTAAATCCAGATATGCTCCTGTCTCTGTCCTAGGTCTCCAGTCTCAAGTGCATAATAGTCATCATTACTGAGCACTTATTCAATAATATGGTTTTGCATTAACTGTGTCTGCTTCTATTTGAGATGCAGAAATAATAGACATGCCTTTAGGTTGGAGATAAGTAGGTAAGGGCCTAGGACAGATACACAAGTAACTGTGTAATACCAGTCAGTGGATGATGAGCGCTCTGATTAGCACAATAAACCAAATGCCATGAGCACCAGGGAAGAACAAGCAGATACTCCCCAAGGTGGGGAGAAGGGTTCAGGATGGCTGCAGTGAGGGTAAAGGAGCATGAACAGATCCTGGAAGAATTGGTAGCATTTGGACAAGTGGAGGTAGAGGTGAGGGAAGTTCCTGATAAAGGGATCAGCAAGAGCAAAGACCCAAAAGCAGGAAAAGAAAGGGAGGATTTAGAGAACAGCAAGCTTGCCAGCATTCAGAGAACATAGTGCCGGCGGAGAATGAGCAGGGGCAGAATGAGAAAGCACACTGGGAGCTAAGCAAGGAGACCAGGTGTCCCAGGGAGCCAGGGCAAGCTCAGCAGGGCCAGGTGAGTCTCTCTGATGACATGGAGGGCAGATGTGCTACAGTCTCAGGATGATAATGAGTGGAGAAATTTTGCTCTGGGGCCAGTTATGAGGCAGCAGAAGCTAGGGTAGCTTCATAGCTCCTTTGTAGCACCTCCTAGATGTTGTATTTGTGTATTTACTTGTGTTTCATCTTTTACGTTGGCCTATAAACTCCATGAGAGATGGGAACAGGAGCCTTTCCTTTCTTACTTGTCCCAGGGCTTACCACAGTGACATCCATAGTAGGAGCTCGATAAAGACTTGATGAGCAAGTGAATGCTTCTTTGACCCCAAGGCCAAGAGGACCACCACAGTGATCCAAACGTGGACAAAGGTTTCTCCAAGAAGGTTGTTCCTACCTTTAACTTCAGTAAACAGGTAGCCCAGGGTGGTGTAGAAGAGTTTAAAATTCACTGAGCAGGAATGCAGGACTTCTTTAATGATCCCTCAAATATATGTGCTGCAGTTTTAGAAAATGAAATCAGAAAGAACTGGGGAGAAAAGAAAGAAAAAAAATGAAACCTTGAGCTGAAATAAAACCCTTCCTGTGACTCTCTATCTCTTAGTTATCTTAATTACCCATCTTCTGGTTTTAGTCTTCCCTCTCTAAAAAAAAACAAAAGAAGGATGAAAGGGAAGAGAGAGAGAGAAGCAAAGAAACTTGCCCGAGAGAGCTATGAGTTTAGGCAACTGATTTTGTTGTCTTCTAAAGCCTTCTATGGCCTGGCTCCCTTCCCAGCTCAAGTTGGGAAACAGAAAAGAAATCCAATTGGTTTCCATTGTTAAGGGTTTGGGACAAACTGCTGATAGAAGCTGTGCCAACTGTCCTATCCTGGCCTTCTTTAAAATATGAATGTCATTGCCTTTTGTCATTCCACTTGGAAAGGCAATTTAGTGCTATGTTTTTTGAACAAGGGGACAGGATTCCAGGGCTGGAACAAACAGAACCTAGAGGTTACCTAATTCCACTCCTTCATGTTATAAAAGAGAAAACTGAGGAAAAAGAGAGAGGAAATGACTTGTTGATGGCTGCCCATCACATAAGTGATGGAGAATGGCAGAAAGGGATGAAGCCTTCTCATTTTAATGTTAGTGCTCTTTCCATACATGATGACAACTTCTTTAAGAGAGAACTCATATTTCTCTGAAAAGAGGGTAGTTTTAGAGAAGCAGATCTGGATTTAAATCCCAGTTCTACTGTACATTAGCTGTGTAAGCTTGGGCAAGAACCCAGATCTTCTGCAATAACAATAGTCATCATTACTGAGCATTTATTTTGTGCCAGGCTTAGGACAGCTAAGAAACTGGCCCAAGGCTGTGTAAGTTGCAAGTAGTAGAGCCAGTTTGAACCCAAGTCTGCCTTATTCTAAATCTCATAATATTTTCATAGTAGCACATTTCTTCTGTATGCCTCAGCTTTCTCATCTGTGAAGTAGTTATTTTTAAGAAGGAATAAGATATAAAGTGCCTAGCACAGACTTGATATACAGTAGGTGCTCCATAAAAATCAGCTACTATTATGTTGAAGGAAACCTTTTGAATGTATTGTGTTACACCTTAGATCTTACCATTTTGATTATATTACTCAAGAATGTTGCCTATTATCAATCATCATCCTCACACTCATCAATCTCCACCAGCACTGTCTCAGCTTTCCCCGGATGTGTCCTCTCTCGGGGTTACGTTCCAAACATGGAAGATCTAAACAGACAGGTAGGGCAGGATGGGCACTGAACCTCCTCGTTGGTGCTGGAATGCTGAGGCAGACAGGTCAGGTCTGACAAGAGCAGCTATGGCCACTCACAGATCCAGGTGCAGGAGCCAGGTGGGTTGAACTAACTAGGGGCCAGATTACAGGGATTTGGGGTGAGTAATGCCTAAGGTGAGCAGACCACAGCCTCTGAAAGGCCAATTCATAGGAGGAGGGTTCAAGCTACCATTTCTGGCAAAATAAAGACAAGACGTTAGCTAGGAGGAAATAAAACTGGGTAAGTAGATCACCAGAGAAAGAACATAAAAACCAGGATTAAAGCAAAATCCATTTGGAAGGAATTGAGATTATAAGGGATCTAGGACCTCTAAAGATGACAGATGAGTCTTCCTTCCTCTGACTATAAAAAATAATAAATATCATGAAATAGTCTCGGTCATAAATTGCTGTGGATACATTTGTTTGGAGTGAAAGTATAAAAACATTCATGAGAATGATATCCACTAAATTCAGGAGAGTAGATTCCTCTGTTGAGGTTGAGAGTGAAAGAAGGAGGGAGGAAAAAGGAAATGGAAGGTGGAATCTTTTACTTTGCGTGTTACGTTTAATTTATTTTAAGAAAAAAAGAGATCTGAAGTAAATATGGCAAAATGTTAGGATCTGTGAATTCTGGTGGTGAGTACATGGCATCTGTTATGTCTTTTCTGTATGGTTACATATTTAATAATTTAAAATAAAAATATAAAGTCATAAATATATTTAAAATCTAATAAATTTCATTAACACTAATATGTGGCCTCATTGTAGAAAATCTAGGGACTTTATGAATAATAACACAGAAAGATAATGAGTTTTAAATGTTCTGATGTTGGCTAGCTGACCTGATATTTCCTAGATACAACAACAGGCCGTATTCCAAGGGGAATTTATGTAGGATCTTTGTAGTAAGTTAGCATACTGACAGCCCATATATGTGCATTAAGAGAAGAATTTCTGGATTCTTCAAATCACACCATCTGCCCAATCATTCAAAAAATCCGCACTGCTGCCCTCTAACCTGGTTACCCAGAAAGTCCCATTTTAAAATAAGATTCAGGATCTTGTACTCTTATATAAAAAGAAACCCTAAAAATGCTTTTGAACAATCAAAGCTAATGTTACAAAGTCTATAAATTAAAATTTGTTGATGGAAACCCAGCAAGGATATGTAACTAAACAACCACTGAATCTAATTGACCTTTGTAGAACACTCTGCCCAATAACAACAGAATACTCATTCCTTTCCAGGGCACATGGAACATTCACCAAGATAAACCATATGCTGGAACATAAAATTTATGGATGTCACCCATGAAGCAGAGTCCTTCAGACCCTCAATCAAAAACAAGTCTCATTTTACATTAAATTGGAGGACTATCTGGAGTCTCTGACCACCGTGTGACAGAAAAGAGAGCAGAATTGTTGCATGATGGGTAACACTCATCAGTAATCGCTGTTTGCCAAGCCATCTGGGAGGAGACCAAAGAGCTATAAAATAAGTTCAGGCACGGTGGCTCATGCCTGTAATCCCAGCACTTTGGGAGGCCGAGGTGGGTGAATCACCTGAGGTCAGGAGTTCGAGACCAGCCTGGCCAACATGGTGAAACCCTGTCTCTACTAAAAATACAAAAAAAATAGCTGGGTGTGGTGGTGGGTACCTGTAATCCCAGCTTCTCAGGAGGCTGAGGCAGGAGAACTGCTTGAACCTGGGAGGCAGAAGTTGCAGTGTGCCGAGATTGTGCCACTACTCTCCAACCTAGGCAACAGAGCGAATCTACATCTCAAAAAAAAAATAAATAAAAATAAAAAATATATACATAGGTACCAGAGCTGAGAACGTAGCAGCCTGGGACCATGTCATTCAGGAGCAAATAACAAGCCCAGAAAATGCCTGGGAGAAGTCTTGTACCAGTCCACTTCATGGTTTAGTAGGAACATCATGGACTCAGCTGACAATGATTTGGGCATGGCCCTGCCACTAACCCACGAGAAGCTGTAGACCAGTCCCTTTCATTTCCCCTTTCTGGGGACCCGCTTCCCCTTGTGCAAAATGGAGTCACTAGAATCTAGTGTCTTGATCTCCAAGATGATTTCCACTTTTACCTTTCTGTGTCTATTTTTGTGTTCCTTCTAATTCCCCTGGGTCTTCAAGGAAAGGATGAATAATTCTTGGTAGTCTTTGTGTTAGAAGGCAGGGGGTGGTCTGAGACCTGCACAGGGCATATTTGCTTATATGGATTGGCTTATATCGCCTCCCAAATCCTGGATATGCTCAGACATATCCCAAAAGGTTCTACAAGGACATATTTACAAACAGCTTCCAAACAGCAGTAAAATGGCAAAACAAGCCTTGCAAGAGAAATTCTGTATACCAGACAATTTAATTCTGAACAATGGACCACATGAGGGTGTATAAATAACTAATTATGCTGGACAACATGAACAGCTTTTTTGGATGATTGCAAAATTGGGGAGGAAGGAAATGTGATGGGTATTTATATATTTGGGCTTCAGTCAAAGATTTCATATTCATTCTTAAGCAATTTGACTTACAAAATTAGCTCAGACTAGAACATGGTCAAACGACTTGAAACTGGAAGAAAGTCTGCTATCCCAGGGGGATGGTTTGTGCCCAAGAATCCAAGGGAATGGAATGGAGTACTGTGTGTGTGCTCCTGCAGCCTCTGCAGGCTGCTCAGTGAGAGGTTTCTTGGTCTTCAGAAGGACCTGCAGAAAAGGAGTAGGGACTGTTTTGGAGCATTTGTAATAAGTGTTCCAATATGAATCCACTTCATCTTGTTATCACACAAGCACACGCTCCTGAACACGCAGGTCCACATTTTTCCTAGGTTCCTCCTATTCCATCAGTACTATGCCAAGCCTTGAAGTGACGGAGACTGGATTTCTGGGAGGTGCATGGGGACACTTGGCTCACCTCTAAATCCAGTGCCTGCTACTACTTCTAGTGCCTACATACCAGGTACACAGAAATACTTGTTGAACCAACTAGTTTTTTAATGAAATAAGTAGCAGACTGTCCTTGTGAAAACAGAATCCTTTGTGAACACAGAGGGGACAGAACAGTTCATTCTGACCTTAGGGATTGCAAGGCCCTTTCCTTCTTGCCGCAGGGCCTTCAAACATCTATTTGCCCCTTCTTGCCCTCTGCCTAAATCCTATTCATCTTTATATTGCTTCCAGAGAACCTTCCCTAACTCCAAACCCCTCCTCCTTGTCCTTGCATCATTCTATTTCATGACATCATGTCCTTTCTCTTCAAAATACATAGCACAACTTACTATTAATATCTATTTGTGTGTTTGTTTGTTGGGAATCTACTCCTACAATAGACTATGAGCAATAATGTCTTTCTTATCCATGGCTATCTCGCCAGTACCTACTATGGTGCCTGATGCCTAGGAGTGCATAGTAAATATTTGTAAGTTGTTTATTGAATAAATGCATATTATTTACAAAGGAAGTAGAATTTGAGCAGGACCTTGAAAAAGATTTTGACAGAGATATGCAAGAAGAGAATTCGAGGAGGATGGAACAACCTAATCAGAAAAAAAAGAACAGGAAAAGTACACATAGGAGTAATTTGAATGGCCATGAGAATGTCAGTGTTTGCCAGAAATGACATGCTAAGAAACAGCAGTGGGAATCACCCTGATTTTTGCAGAAGATAAATAAAACTACCAGAGCTGAGCCTTAGACAAGTGGCTCAAGAAGTTCCATGAATAATCGATGGTTAAAAAGAGAGACTGGAGAGAAGGATATTATTAGGAGGCTGCTAAAGTGACGCATGCAAAAACCGATGGGGGATCAGACAGAGCAGCTGTGGTGGGAATCGAAAGATCAAAGACTGCAGAATGATTGAATAGAATGCGTGCAGGAGAAAAGAGAAGGAGAAATTAGCAATAATCCTCAAGTTTCTACCTGGGAGGGTGGGTGAAGCAGGTGGAGCTGTGAGCAGAGATTGCAAACACAGCAAAAGTCAGAAGACTTTGGGCTGGAAGTAAGAGAGCTTTATATAGACATCTGGTGTTGGAAGTGTTGAAGAGCCACCAGCGAGAGCTATCTGGTAGAAAAAAGAGAGATCTGAACTTAGATGTGGGTTTAAGTAACACCTGCCCAGAGTGGGCAGCTGGAGTTGGTGAGCCAACTCAGAGTCCCAAGAATGCCTTAGGACCCACCTTCTTTACTTTTTCTGTACAGTAACTGAGCTTGAGCCTCAAATAGTGGTCCCCGAAGAAGGCTTCTAGAATCCGCCAGGCTGCTAGGATCTATACTGGCTTCCTTTGTTGGACATTTGGTAGAAGTGAGAGACAGGACTAGCCGGATTTCCTAGGCCAACTAAGAATCCCTAACCCTAGCTGGGAAGGTGACCGTGTCCACCTTTAAGCATGGGGCTTGCAACTTAGCTCACACCCAACCAATCAGATAGTAAAGAGAGCTCACTAAAATGCTAATTAGGCAAAAACAGGAGGTAAAGAAATAGCCAATGATCTATCGCCTGAGAGCACAGCAGAAGAGACAATGATCAGGATATAAACACAGGCATTCGAGCCGGCAATGGCAACCCCTTCAGGTCCCCTCCCTTTGTATGGGAGCTCTGTTTTCACTCTATTAAATCTTGCAACTGCACTCTTCTGGTCCCTGTTTGTTACGGCTGGAGCTGAGCTTTCGCTCGCCGCCCACTGATGCTGGCCGCCGTCACAGACCCACCGCTGACTTCCATCCCCCTGGATCCCGCAGGGTGTCCGCTGTGCTCCTGATCCAGCAAGGCGCCCACTGCTGCTCCTGATCGGGCTAAAGGCTTGTCATTGTTCCTGCACAGCTAAGTGTCCGGGTTCGTCCTAATCGAGCTGAACACTAGTCACTGGGTTCCATGGTTCTCTTCCGTGACCCACGGCTCCTAATAGAGCTATAACACTCACCGCATGGCCCAAGATTCCATTCTTTGGAATCCGTGAGGCCGAGAACCCCACGTCAGAGAATACGAGGCTTGCCACCATCTTGGAAGCAGCCCGCCACCATCTTGGAAGCAGCCCGCCACCATCTTGGAAGCAGCCCACCACCATCTTGGGAGCTCTGGGAGCAAAGACCCCTGGTAACAGAAGCATGTTCCACATATCGTTGAGTTGTTGTCAAGATGTAGATGTTGTTCTTGCATACTGGAAAATCACCTCCTACTTCGAATATCTTCTTGATTCTCTCTCCTGCTGTGCCCTTCTAACCAGCACATGAAGCCTAAGTTCCCTTTCTCTTGACTCTCTCCTACCCCACACTGCAAGTAATCAAATCGGAGTTCTCCCTGACCATGATGAAGTTTGTGTCCCCATTAAGGAAATAATAAACATGGGGAAAATATCCCACATAGAGCTAGAAAAGAATTCTCCTAAAAGTAGAAACTTTAGCTTTGACTGATAGAAAAGGTATACCCCTGAATGTTTCCAAACTTAAGTCACAAGGAAGCCCAGCCAAGTACCAGACTGGTGTGAAATAATTTCCCCAGGTGAAGAGTACCACACTATTAGTCGACCGTGCAATTGAAGAAGAGAACGTTGCTTTTCACCAGTCATCTAGGGTCTGGAATGGGAAGGCACGAGGCCAGTGTGATGTAGACATACTCAGCTCTCAAAGAATTTTTCCTTGAAAGAGAAAAACAAAGGCAGGATGAGAACTCAATCAGCTGCTTCCTTCGGGAGACTGGGTGTAGCAGGACGGGCCCCTCACAAATATGCCAAGAATGAAGCTTTTAAATTACCACCACCAAGAATACTGGGTCAGAAGTTCCTAGAATTACTTCCTACTTGGATCAAAGAAGCATAGAGGTACAACAAGGTCTGACATCAGATGTGAAGTGATTTTGAACCCTGACCCACACTCCGATCCCCTTGGAGAACATAACTACTCCTGGAGGTGGAAGCGGATCCTGCCTTAATGGATAAAAACTGAGACAAGTCTTTTGTTCTTTTTAATACCCCAAAGGGTTGAGCTTAAGCCTTTCTGTAGGAGCAAAGACATCACCGTAAGGCAAACAGTGCTAGTACAGAACCATAAAACCCTTCTCAGCATCTAAAGGATACCCATTATGTTCATCTCAAAGTCAGAGTTATTTACTTTGCCTTTTACGTTGACATTCTTTTCTCTACTATGATAGTTAGCAAAATTGAATGAGAAAAGGCCCAAGTTCAAAATCCGCTCTGCTGCTTACAGGCCTTCTTGGTTTCAATAGTCAAACCCAGTGATGATTCTTGCCTGAGCAATCTCAGGTTGTTATGAGGAGTAGAGAATATGTAAATATGGGAAAGGGCTTTGTGACTATTCAGCTCTCCACATGTAAGCGGTTGTAATCATTCACTGACTAAACCTATCAGGTGGATTTTCTTCAACCTCAGTTGCTGCTTCATTCTCCCTTAGGGTCATGAAGTATCAGCAAGAGGCTGTTACTAGTTTTCTTGGGCTGCCTCCTGTCTGTCTCAGTCTGTATCTACAATGGAACCGACAATGAATCATATCTGTGGAGCACCAGGCAACTCAGCACTCCAGTCTGTTAAAGTGTCTTGCACTGCTTATATTACAGCAAATAAAACAGGAAAGGAAAATATATTTATTCCCATCATTAATAATCCATCATGCCTAGTCAAATTGGTCATAGTAAACTGGAACAATCACTCTTGCCTACAACAGTCTCAATATAAGGGAGTTCATTGTGCTAGCTGGGAACTTGGGACCAGATCATCCTGGATCTCAGTGGGCCACTTTCTGGCTGAGTGACCCCACAAAGGTCACTTAATTCCTCATAATTTCCTTATAGATATAATCTTGGTTAATAATAACAACCTATGTAAAGAGTGAGCATATTAAGTTAAATGAGGAAATAATGATAAAAGTGTTACATAGTAAGTCCGCAAGCACATTTGGGTTCCCTTCTTCCTTGCAGGTGAAGGGAAAATAAATAATAATAATGATAGCTGGCTGGGCAAGGTAGCTCACACTTGTAATCCCAGTACTTGGAGAGGCTAAGGAGGGAGGATTGCTTGAGCACAGGAATTTGAGACTAGCCTGGGCAATATGGCAAAACCCTAGCTCTACAAAAATGCAAAAATTAGCTGAGTACGGCAGCATGCACCTGTAGTCCTAGCTACTCAGGAGGCTGCAGTGGGAGAATAGCTTAAGTCTGGGAAGTTGAGGCTGCAGTGAGCTGTGATTGTGCACTGCACTCCAGCCTGGGTGACAGAGCAAGACCCTGTCTCAAAAAAAAAAAAAAAAAGTAAATAATGATAGGTAATACTTACATAGCATCTATGATACAGCAGGCACTGTTCTGAGAGTTCTACTTATTAATATATTAGCTCACCTAGTCTTTGCAACTCTGAGATAGAATGCTGTTTTCATCTAACCTTTACAGGTGGGTAAGCTAAAGCTCAGTGAGATTATATACTTACCTGGGGTCACATAGCTCACAGGGACAGAACCAGGATTTAACTCAGGTGCTCTGACACTACAGTGCTGTGCTAACCTACCATGCTACAACGCTGCCCATGATTATGGATATTAATCCACAGGCTTCTTTCAACTTTATATTCTGAGAGCTGAAACATAGGCTTTTTACCCCTAATTAATATGGCATGTCTTCCTAGACAATATATATTCTAATTACATTTTTAATATCTGTCATTTGTAATGATTCAGCTTCTGATAAGCTTGTTAACTGAATGTCATTTTTTTCTCCACCTAAACTACCTTTGGAAAGTTCACACACATCATGCAGTTATTTATGATTTGAGGAAGAGCATCATATATGTAAACTAAAAAATGTTTATTAAAGTTAGAATTAATAATGATTGATTTGATTTCACTGATGAGTTAATTGGGGAAATGAACAGGTAATTGGGTATTTACAAAAGAAGGTCAAGAATGGTTTGTGGGAGTAGTCAGTCAGATCCATTTCCTAAGCTTTTGCTCAGCCTTTCCTTCCTAAAACCCAGCCTGCTGGGGAGCAGGAAAAGAAAGCAAGGCACCGTACATTTGCTTACGACTGACACACTTTTCTCACAAAAGCTGTGCTCTGATCTGATCTACTCTGACACCTCCAAAGGCACTTTTGTCTACAGAATAAAACCAAACCTCATCTGTTTCTCAAGGGTCCTCCGCACTCGTCTGGCTCCAGACCGCTTGTTCATGACTGTCTTCCAATAAGCTTCAGACCCTTGCCATTCCCCCAAAAAGATTTTTCCCCCCAAAATCTCTAAGCTCTCCATTGCTCCAACAGGCCCTTCCCTCTCTAATTCTGCCAAAGTTCTAGTAAGTTTTCAAGACTGTTTCTGGGGTGTCCAATCTTTTGGCTTCCTTGGGCCACATTAGAGGAAGAATTGTCTTGGGCCACACATAAAGTACATTAACACTAACAGTAGCTGATGAGCTTGAAAAAAAAATCACCGGCTGGGTGTGGGGGCTCACGCCTGTAATTCCAGCACTTCGGGAGGCTGAGGCAGGTGGATCGCCTGAGGTCAGAGTTCGAGACCAGCCTGGCCAACATGGTGAAACCCCGTCTCTACTAAAAATACAAAAATTAGCTGGGCGTGGTGGCAGGTGCCTGTAATCCCAGCTACTTGGGAGGCTAAGGCAGGAGAATCGCTTGAACTCAGGAGGCAGAGGTTGCAGTGAGCTGAGATCATGCCATTGTACTCCAGCCTGGCGCAACAAGAGCGAGACTTTGTCTTAAAAAAAAAAATCACCAAAAAATCTCATAATGTGTTAAGAAAGTTTATAAATTTGTGTTGGGCCAAATTCAAAGCTATTCTGGGCTGCATGAGGCCCACGGGCCATGGATTATACAAGCTTGGACTGTACCTTCTCTACTTGTATGTCCCACATACCCTCAGTTCAGAATTAGCTTTTTCTTTCTTCCATTTCCAATGGCACAAAATAATACTTCTATTTTAGAACTGATCCCTCATTATGTTGCACTGAATTTTGTATGTGTGTCTACTTGTTCCACCAGAGTGAGCCCCTAAATAGTAGGGTGAAGGTCACATTCATCTCTGAATGGTCCTTCATTAACATAGTTCCTGGCAAGAGGAAGTTTTCAATAAATTTGGTTTACTTGAATTGAGCTTCTTATACAGCAGAGTGAAATTATTTTGTGACTACAGTTTGAGAGCATACTCCCCAAGGCTAAAACGGACAATGAACTTTTTTCAACTAACTGTAAGATAGTATAAGCCATCAATCTCTTAAAGCCAGAGGGAAATTCACCTTTAAGCACTTGGAGATTTATTTAACTAAAGGAGTCATTCCACCAGAAAGCATCATTGTGATTTCTCTCATTATCTAAAATGAATAAGAATTATTATAATGATAAATTAGTGGCAGGAGACACTGATTTTTAGAAAGGAAAATTAATAATGCACAGTGAATAAAATCTCATTTAGATGTTCTTTGCACATGCTCTCCAATAATAATCATTCAATTTATAGCACTTTACAGTTAGTGCATCCATATATAATTTCATCTTCACATCAACACAGAAAAGCTAGTCTCATTGCCAACTTACAAATAACAAAACTGAGTCTAGGCAGGCAAGGAAACAAATAACTATTAAGTACCAGAGTTGGGTCTCAAATCCAGGACCCCTGACTATATCCTGGGTTATCTTCTCCCAGGCATTGCCAGCCCAGGAACCTCCCAAGGGTAAGTCCTGCAGATGAGCAGCTTCCTCTCCAGGCCCCTGGGCATCCTAGTCAGAGGCCTCTGTGTATCTGTGCCACCCCAGCTACACTTGGTAGAGCACACTTGAGGTGTCTCAGTGCTATAGAACCACCCACTTCAGGGTGTTTCACTGTGCATAGTCCTCTTAGGCCTCTAATGACATTTCAGAAAATTACTTTCACTTTTTTAATCAAAGTCCCCTGCCTTTACGAAACAATCAGTGTCTGACTCTCTAAATCTCTTCTTCCTATCATAATTGCCATCCCCAGTAAACTGCCTTATTTTTTTCAAATATCTTCTTTCAAAATGAAATTAAGCTTTGGGAGGCCAAGGCAGGTGGATCACGAGGTCAGGAGATGGAGACCATCCTGGCTAAAACAGTGAAACCCCGTCTCTACTAAAAATACAAAAAAATTAGCCGGGCTTGGTGGCGGGCGCCTGTAGTCCCAGTCACTCGGGAGGCTGAGGCAGGAGAATGGCATGAACCTGGGAGGCGGAGCTTGCAGTGAGCAGAGATTGTGCCACTGCACTCCAGCCAGGGCGACAGAGCAAGACTCTGTCTCAAAAAAAAAAAAAAAAGAGAAAGAAATTAGGGAGATAGGCCGGGGGTGGTGGCTCATGCCCGTAATCCTAGCACTTTGGGAGGCCAAGGCGGGTGAATCACCCGGGGTCAGGAGTTCAAGAGCAGCCTGGCCAACACAGCAAAACCCTGTCTCTACTGAAAATACAAAAATGACCCGGGCATGTTGGCGCAAGCCTGTAATGCCAGCTACTTGGGAGACTAAGGCAGGAGAATCGCTTGAACCCGGGAGGCAGAGGTTGCAGTGAGGCAAGATCACACCATTGCAACCTGGGCATTAGAGCAAGACTCCACCTTAAAAAAAAAAAAAAAAAAAAAGAAAGAAAGAAAAAGAAAAGAAAGAAAGAAATTAAGGATATAACTGTACTTGGAGGGAAAACTATTTTAACTGAGTTAAATCCTTATCTATTTTAGTAAGGGATGAATTGACAATATAAGTTCCTCAGTGCCTAGAATAGGACTTGGCACATAGAAGGTGCTCAATATGTATTTGCTGTTGAGTAAAGTAAATAAAATAAGAAATAATATTAATAATCATAATAATCATATTATTAAAAACCATTAATAGTAATATTAACAATCTCCACTTGTGGACATAATCACAGCAAAACCTCGAGCAAGAATTGCTGACAGTCATTGCCTCTGAAGTGATGCGAAGGGCATGAATCCAAAAACTGTTGCCTTTTGTTATGTTCCTTCTGGAATATTTGATTTTGGGGTGAAGTCAATCTAATCCAAGCTGAAGCTTTTGCTCAGGCATCCTACCTGAAAATGGTACCTTCCCCATCTGAAAACAGAAAACCACTACCTGGAGAGCATACACGTGCTGTGTCTGTGCCTGTTTTAACCACATGTATGTATTACTTTAATAAAAATTCAAACATTAAATATGTTTCACAAATCAATCCGGTTATGTTCCTTGCCTCTTACAGTATCTGGGTTGCATAAACAAAGGCACAAAGCCTCTAGTAAGAGCCCTTTTCTTCTAGTCTCCTTCCTATATCCTAGAACAACAGAGGCAAAAATGGAAGAAATAAACCAAGAACCACTAACAGGGACCCATTTCCCTCCCACATGCTCAACACTGTTTCTTTCAAAGTGGCTTTCTAGTCTCTCTCTACCAATTCTCTCATGAACCTCTTCCCAAAATATGCCATAGCTCCAGACCACTGCTATGTTCTCCTATCCAAGTTGAGGCTCGGGCCTCCTGAGCCCTGGACAGCACTGCTCAGTGCAGAGGGTGCAGGGAGACACCCTCCAGGCCAGTCTCCCAGGACATGCATGAGTGACTTCTGAGTAGCCTAACCACAGATGCTGAATGCAGGTGATGAACCACACTGCAAAAGACAGGACTGTAGCAAAAGTTCGAAATCAATGTCTCAGTTTGAAATGAAAGAAGAAAGACAAAGAACAGTGGATGCAAGTAGGAAATGTGTACTCTGGGCCTGCCTCTCTGTCGCCAAGGGGTTGTAGGTTCCTGAGCGAGCTACAGGCTGCTCCCCGATGAAAAGAGGACAAAATCCTGGCTTGCCAACCTTGTAGGATTGTTGTGAGGATCGGAGGAGATCCTGGGTGTGAAAAGGACTTAGAAACTGTAAGTTTTCATACATTTTGAAAGATTTTTGTTATCATACGGTGAGTTGTAAAGAGGAGAAGTAATTGGTATTTTTCTCTGGACTGGAACTTTGAATCACAAAGCAGCTAACTCAGCAGCTTTGGGGCAGACCTAGGGGAAAAATTCTGGCCTCCAGCCTCATGTCCCAGTTGTTAAAACCCAGCACATTTCTCTAGAATAGAATGCATCATATAGACGTAATCTTTAAAAGTAACCCAGGGGGACTCTCCAGGCCTTTCCTGCAAAACCCAGAGGACAGTTGTGCTGACTCTGTGAAGCCTGTACTCTCTCCCCAGGATTAACCTTCAGAATTAGAGTCAGAAAATCGGCACTGAAGTCTACTGTTTCTGAGAAAGTTTCCTGGCATTTAGCTAAAGACCAACAACCCTGTGAGGCATGTGCTGTTATCGCCCCATTTTCAAGATGAGGCTTGAGGTTGAGAGAGATGAAGTGGGCTCAAGCCTATACAATGTCAAGGCCCAGATCTCCTCTGTCTGAGCTCCTGGGCCTTATGGTCACTGGGTGTGGGATCAGAAAATCAGTCTGTGGGTGTCAGAAGCAGAGTTCCAAGCTAGGCTGGGATAGAGGTGGGTGGATGTCTTCCCCACCTGCCAAGTACTTACTCTCCAGGAAGGTTCTAGGGGCTTCCAGGAGAAACACCTCTAACCTAGTAACAATAGCACTGCCAGCCTGGAGGGTGAAATTGACGGGCTTGACCTTCTCAGTTCTCTTCCTGGCTTCTGCACTGCAAGGGCTCTTACAGGGAACTGTTACAGCCAGGACAAATCTCCAGGATCTTCCCATGGCAAAGGACCCTCTCTTGGGCGGCACTCCAACGTCAGTCTCACTCAGGCTCTGTCTGCACAGCACGAGCAGCTTCCCAGCCAGCCACAGCCTCATCTGAGGGCAGCGTGGATCCCAGTGGGCATTTGGGAACGCCTGTAATAGGCTCTGATCAGGGTGAGACTCCGGAGAAAGGGCTGTCTTCCTGGAGGTAAAGCAGGTGTTACAAACTCTAAGGCTCTCCGGGCCCCTGCGATCTTTGTGTCAGATTTTGTTTTATCTGCCTGAGCCATTGATGATATAAGTTCCAGTTCAACACTAGGGGATATGGGCTCTAGGGTACCCTTAAGCCAGAAACGTTGCTGAATATCTAGATCTGGAGCCAAGACTAGAATCCCATATGGAGCACACTCCTCCTTTTCCAGGTGTGGGGGTAGATAGGTCCCCCGCCTCACCAGCAGCTCTGCCCCTACTCATCCCAAGACGCGCCACCACTCACAGCTATGTTTCAGGGAAGCCCCGGAGCCCTCAAGATCCCACTGTGGGTTTTGGTTGTCCTCATAGCTCAGCCTCCCACGGCCCCTGACTGTGGTCTGGGGCTTCCTGGACTGGGGTCTAGAGATTTAGGCTTTTTGGCTGCAAAAACCCTAGCCCATAGATCAGGCTGATTCTGGTCCAGGGCTGCAGGAAAGCACCCAGGCCTGGGCCCATCTTCTGGGGGAGGCACTGTGGATGGCGGGGGTGCGGGGAGCTCCAAGAGGGCTGTGAGTGTGGGGGTAGCACGGGGTCGTGGAGGACGAGGACAGACAGAAGCCACGTGCAGGCTCCTTTTGTTCTACCCTCTTCCAGGGAGGAAGCAGGTCAGCTTCCCTGGCCTCTGGCAGTGGGCTGGGGGATCTAATTCTAGCATTTGTTGGGCCTATATGTGCAGACCATGGAAGGGCTTTCTGGGACTGGAAACAGGCTGGATCTTCCCTCTCCACAGGGTGAAGGCTGCAGGGTTGGGGCAGAAAAAGGAACAGCCATGGAATTTCAGGCCTCAGAATTAGACATTCCTTGGAAGGCTCTGGGCACAAACTTGGACTGGAGTTGGTTCAGACAGAATTTGTGAATTTGTGGGTCTTGTAGTATCTAGGGAGAGGGAAAAGATTGGAAATCCCTGTGACATGATTGGGCTTGGTTGAATGGCTACAGTCTCTGCAAATAAGTCCATGAGTGTTTTGCTCAGAGCTCTCCTGGTCAGGCAGAAGAGGGCATTGCTGAGCAGAATCCTGTAAAATTCTGACAGGAAATCCAGGAGCGGGCAGGTGAAAGGAGTAGGTTGTGAGAGTGTGATTTAGAGTGGCTACACTAGCCAGATGGCCGTGGGGGTGGGGAGGCCTAAAACTTTCTATTTTTATTTTTTGAGACAGGGGTCTCACTCTCCCCCAGGCTGGAGTGCAGTGGTGCAATCATAGCTCACTGCAGCCTCCCACCTCAGCCTCCTTAGTAGCTGAGACCACAGGCATGCGCAACCATGCCCAGCTAATTTAAAACATCTTTTTTTGTCTTTCTGTAGACACAGAGTCTCCTATGTTGCCCAGGCTGGTCTCAAACTCCTATGCTCAAGCAATCCACCTGCCTCGGCCTCCCTAAGTGCTGAGATCACAGGTGTGAGCCACCACACCTGGCCTGGCCCAGAGCATTTTTTTTTTCTTTTTTTTGAGACGGGGTCTCATTTTGTCACCCAGGCTGGAGTGCAGTGGCGCGATCTCGGCTCACTGCAAGCTCCACCTCCCGGGTTCACGCCATTCTCCTGCCTCAGCCTCCCAAGTAACTGGGACTACAGGCACCTGCCACCACGCCCAGCTAATTTTTGTATTTTTAATAAAGACAGGGTTTCACCATGTTAGCCAGGATGGTCTCGATCTCCTGACCTCGTGATCTGCCACCTCGGCCTCCCAAAGTGCTGGGATTACAGGCGTGAGCCGCCGTGTCTGGCCACCCAGAACATTTTTAAGTCAGTCAATCCTTTCCACCGCCACGTAGCCTCCCCAAAAGGCTACAGGAAGCCCAAGTCTGTGGACACAGGCACCTTGTCAGGAGAACATAAGTCCAGGCAAAGGGAGAAGGCAGCCAGGAGAGGGTCTGTGTGAGGAAAGGTAGGGCCAGCTGAACATGGTCAGCATGGTTGGAGGCAGGTGAGTAGAGATTCAAGCAGTAATTTGGGGTCAGGGGGCCTAGGAGCAGGTACACATTCTCATACCTGGGCCAGGCTCAGGGCAGGCCAGGCCCTGGTTGGATGGGGAATAGGAGAAGAAAGTTAAGTATACATTAACAAGTAGTAGGGCCCCTTCCAAGAGATTTTATAAAGGCAAGGCTCAGGAAAAGGAGGAATGGAATTGGGCCCAGGTTCCAAGTACAGGGAGAGGAGCCACAGCACCAGGGCCAAGGGGGCAAGTGGCCAGGCTGGCTTGGTGCTCATTTCCTGGAGCTACTGACCCAGGGCTTCCTAAATCCCCACTGATGTTTTCCTTAATAAAAACAGCATTTACTGGCTACAGAACCTAGGGCAAGACTGTGCCTACATAGGGTTGACATGGGATCTAATACAGGTTACCAGAAGGAAGCCTAGAAGGCCAAGAAAGTCCCTGGAGAACCCCAACTCCTCCCTTATTTCCCTGTTTGACTTCTAATAAATCCCATCTCCTCCCTGGGCCTTAGTTACCCCATGCACAAAATAAGGATATTGGACCCCCCTAGAGGTATCCAAACTGCTATCTGTGAAGTCCAGGATACGAAGAGGGGATTCACAGGACTCTACGGGGGTCCTATAAGAGGCAAGTTCAGAAAGGGAGACCAGAACCCGTTGCCCACCAAAATTACCTGGAGCAGTTTTATTTTTAAGTTTCATATGTTGGGTTTCTAGATAAGATTTTATTTGAAAGCCACAACAAGAAAAGGAATGAAAGGCAAAGGAAGTGGGGAAGGGGGAGGAGGGGAGAAAATATTAGAAAAGAAGGGAAAGAAAGAAGAAAAGATGAATAAGAGTGTTAGCTAGATGATCTCCAAGCTCTGTTCCAGGCTTGTTGTTTTTTGAGTCACCATGATACTCTCTTGCCCACATTTTCAAGAACCACTTCTGCCATCCTCTCAGGGAAAATCCATACATAAGGCCAGAAAAATCCACTGCCTTAGATCTCATTTCGCAGCTCTGAGGAGTGCTGGCTCGCAGAGAAGGAAATTGGGGGGTTCTTGTGGGCTGAGTGGGAGGAGACCTAAGGCCCAAGCTGTAAATCAGGCTCAGAGGTTTGGATTCCCTGGAGTTTGACCTTCAGATGCCCCTCTTGACTCCAGAAGCCTTCACACTCACACCCAGGCTCAGGGAAGCATGCCCAGCTCCCAGGCTACACCTGGAAGCTGGGCCCACTCTGAGGAGGAGTTGTTTTGATTTTTCAGGAAAAATTGCTCCTAGCCAAACCTTCCCTCCCAAGAACAACACAGGCAGGGATTTTCTACATGCTTGGGAGATGAAAGCTTTGTGGGGCCTTTTGCCATAGCCTGGCGAGTGAGACCCAGAGATAACATCCATACCTGAAACAGTAGATATGGTTCATAATTGCTGTATGTTTTTACTCTAAACACCTCCCAGCCTTGCCAAGCCTCTGAGCTTCCCAGCGTGTTTTAAATGGTTTTGCTCTACCCTTGCCTACCCTGACTGTGCTGCCTCTCTGTCAATACCCAGCCCACAAGCCGGGAATTCCAAAAAAGCTTGGAGATGTGGCAAATTCAGATCGAACTGAGGATCTTCCTTGGGCGTACACGTGCACGTAGACACACACACACACACACACACACACCTTCCAGTGAGGGCAATACTACTTTCTTAACAGGAGGATTTGTTGAAACCCCTTGAGAATGTAAGGTAGTTGAATGAGCACCAGACTAGGAGTCAAGAGATGAATTCCTTTGACTCTCCCTCCATGTAGGCTCAGATAAGTCCACTATTGTTTCAGGTCTGTTTTTTCTTCTGTAAAATGAGGGGGTTCCTTCACTCAGTCAACTTCCATTTACCATGTGCTTCCTTTGCTGGTGACCTGGCGATCAAAGTCACAGATCAAGGAATGGCACCAAAGCCACACTAGACAAATTAACTCTAGGGATCAGTAGGGTATCCGATTTCAAGTCAATTTTGCCTCTGATGCAAATACCTAAAAAAATAAATTAGACACATTCTCATCCCTCAAAAGCTCAGAGTGTAGTGTGGTAAATGCTCCGGTAGCGATTACTCAGCTATTATGGGAACACAGAGAGGGTGGTCCTGGAGTGTTTCCCAGAAGAGGCGACATCTCTGAGTTTTAAAAGCTGAGCACCTCTTTGCCAGACAAATAAGGGAAGGAAGGCAGAAGGAAGAATATGGAGAGAGTTTGGTGGATTGGAGGAATTTCAAGTAATTCTCCAATGGCTAGACATTGTGGGATGGGAAGGGAAAAGGAAGAGATTAAGTAAATCAGGTCTCCGGGGGTCTGCGTATGTCAGGCTATGGGATTTTGAGTTGTTTTTTTTTTTTTCCGGAAGGCAATGGGAACACATTGCAATGCAAAGGAATAACATACTCACATTTGTATTTTAGAAATTTCAGTCTGGCTGTCTTGCAGGGCATGGTTTAGAGAGGGGGGAAAAAATGGAAGGCAGAGAGATTCCTCCGGAAGTAAGAAGGAAAAGGTGATGGGCTCCTGAACCATGTCAGGCACAATGGGAATGAAGACGAGGGAAGTGAAATCAAAGCAGATAGTAGAGGCCATTCTTGAATGAGAATTTTCCATTTCTAACTTTCTAGGACTCTACAGTTAGAGAAATTTCCCTGCACACATCTCACCTCCCATTTTCACCCACTCCTCCCACCTCCCACACACTGTGAAGCTGGGCTGGCCCCTTCCACTCATCCGCTGCTCGGGTGAGGCTTAGATAATAGGCGTGGCAGCAGGCCCAGGCATCCCCGCCATCTTCTCCACCAGCCCGTTCTGCTGCTTGAGCAGTTGGCTGCCGCCATGAGTGTTAATTGGAGAGACATCTGAAGTGACCAGACTGGTTACGCCGCCGCCATGATAGACACACTCCATCTGCTCTAACCAGGCGCGTCTCAGCACACGCAGGAGGCCAGCCTGATTCCTTGTGCCCAAGACTTGTTAGAAGTTAGACTCAAAGAAGTTAGATTCATAGGCTTGTAAATGGAAAACTGCCTCAGAGAACATTAAGTCCATGCCCTTTGGTTTGACGAAAAGAAGAATAAGACCCAGTCTTGCCCAGGGTTAGACAGAGCTCATGACCAGGTCTCTTGATCTTGTCCTCTGCCCTTTGTAGGTGAATAAGACGTGAAGCTGGAGCAGCACTTCTAACAGTTTATCTCCTACACAGATTCGCTCAAACTGTCCATTAACCACTGAATGGCTCTCACTTGACTTGAGAATGGCATTTTGTATTGAGCCGATTAATTTCTTAGAAATTTTAAATTTAACTTGTTCGATTATCTACCAGAAGGGACTTTAGAAATGGTCTAGTCTAATGATTTTCTCGCTGGCATTTGTTTATTTGTTTGTTTATTAGTAGTAGTAGTAATAGCAGAGCCTTTTTCAGACGCTAAAACTGAGGCTTAGAAAGGGGCGCTCTTGGGTATTCGTGACATAACGCATAAGTGGGAAATTGTGACTAGAAGAAAGCTCTCGTAACTCCCATACATACTCCACATTATCTTATTTGATCTTCATATAACCCCCACTGCTGCCCACTCCCCAGCTCCGCCATTGGCAGAGACAAGAGAGGAGGAGGAGCTTGCTCAGAGTTCCATAGTGAATAAGTAGCAGGTACATACCATTCTTGTTGCAAGCAATAAAATCTTCCAGTAGACTCTTTTCATATGACCTGATTTGGTATGGCGTTTTCTAATTACTAATGCACATTCACACATATAGTTCCACATTCACTGTGAAAAAGGTCTCGTATGCCCAATTTTCAGAAGAGGTAGCAAAACGAGTAATGAATTGCCACACAGTCATTAAGTGGCAGGGCCAAGACCCCCCTTTCTCAGTGTCCAGCTGCCCATCAGGACCCCTGGATTCCTGGACCCTGTAGTAATTGCTCACACTGGGAGTACCCATGCTACTAATTTTTTGTAGAATGTGAGAGACCTGGAAGAGCCAAGGATAGGAATGCAGTAACTTGAATTGATACCCTTGCATTAGTTGCTAATTACATGAACAATTCGTCAAAATGTGTATGAGAAAAGAGGCAGGTTTGGGGAAGATAAGGGGTAAGTTCAGTTTAGGATGTCTGTTGAGTCTAATGTGCCTGTGGGACAAGCAGGTGGAGATGCCACCAGGTAGATGGAATTTCAGAATCATGGGAAACAATCTTCGGATGGACCTTAATTGAGAGATCAGGACCCCTTTCATCTGGCTGCCGCTCATTTGTTTGGTGTGAGGGCACAGCTCACGTAAGTTTCTTAAATGAGATGCTGAGAACAGTCATCACGTGGCAGAAATTCTAATTCTTAAGACTGAAAGAAGCACTACAAGAGGCCCCATCATTACCCGCAGCCTAGTGATTTTCAGACATGACATTTCTATTTGTAAAATGAGGGAGCTATGTCTTCAAAGAAACAAGAGTAACAGCCCTGTGTACCTGTAATCAAAGACACCCTGTGTGGGGATCAGGCCTGGGAGCAGAGGCAGAGAAGAGCAGGTAAGAAAACAAAGGTTCGCAGGAGGTGGGTCACTCCCCTCCCTATGCATATGTTCAACCAAACCCTCCTGCTTTCCTGCCTTCATGACCTGCTTGCTTTTCCTTCCACTTAGATTGAGCTTTCCTCCTCACCATCAAGGCTCAGCTCAAATGCCACTCCTCTAAAAAGACTTCCATGGTTCACCTCCAAGGAAATAATGCTGTCTACTTACTACTGCTTATATTTATTTTATACTTCTCTGCGTATAGTATCTTTCTGTTATCATTATCTATATATTTAAGGCTCTCCTTCTCACCAAACTAGGAATTTCTTGAGAGCACAGATTCTGCTTGATTTATTTCTGTGAGCCCAGTAGCACCTTATATAATGCCTTATACACCATCAGTGTTCCATAAATTCAGGATGAATGGATAAAAACATTCATTTGCGCACTTACTATTTCCATTCTCCCTCTTCTACCCTTTATTTATTTTTTAAGAGACAGGGTCTTTCTCTGTTGCCCAGTCTAAAGTGCAGCGATGTGATCATAGATCATAGCTCACTGAACCCTCAAACTCCTGGGCTGAAGCAATCCTCCCACATCAGCTTCCCAAGTAGCTGAGACTACAAGCGTGCACCACTACACCTGGCTAAGTTTTTAACATTTTTTTGTAAGGACAGGGTCTCACCCAGGCTAGTCTCAAACACCTGGCCTCAAGGGATCCTCCCACTTTGGTCTCCCAAAGCACAGGGATTGCAAGTGTGAGGCACCACAAACAGCATCTTCCACCCTTTAAAAATAGACTTTGTGTGACCTTCTAATGGGCAGGGGTTAGCTCTTAATTCCCAAAGTATCTACCTTGGATATCTTTCAAATGACCAAAACTCAATCATTGTTGAACTCAGTTGTATAGATGACTTATGACGTACAGCAGAGACTTACAATAATAAGGCCTGGGATAGTTATGTTGAATGAACATGCCATGAGAGCTGAAGGACAGATGAGTCTTGGCCCCAGGGTGGGAGAGGAGAACACACTGTAAACCCTGGCGAGAAGAGCATCAGGGTCCAAAGCAGGCAAATCCTGGTTATCTGGACAGATATGTGGACTCAGGATTCAGGGGAAAAACCAACATAATAAATCACTGGAGGGCCGAGTGCGGTGGCTCACACCTGTAATCTCAGCAATTTGGGAGGCCAAGGCAGGCAGATCACCTGAGGTTGGGAGATCAAGACCATCCTGGCCAACATGGTGAAACCCTGTCTCCACTAAAAATACAAAAAAGTAGCCGGGCATAGTGGCATGTGCCTGTAGTTCCAGCTACTTGGAAGGCTCTGGCACGAGAATCACTTGAACCCAGGAGGCAGAGATTGCAGCGAGCTGAGATCGCGCCACCGCACTCCAGCCTGTGTGACAGAGTGAGACTCAGTCTCAAAAAATGATGATAATAATTAAATTAAATTAAAATTTAACACAGGAGGAAGTCTTGAGTCCTGGATGCTAGGCCTGGGTTGATTTCTGATTAGCTCTATAACCAGATTTTTCCATGGCACCTTTTTCTCATCATTCAAATTTCAGCTCAAATGTCACCTGCTCAGAGAGGCCTTCACTGACCACCCTAGGTATAAAACAACCCCACATCACCCTATTTTCGATGTATTATAACACCAATAGAGTACATACAATTATTTGTGTGTTTGTTTATGTGCTTACTTTCTGCTTCCCCTCCTAGAATACAAAGAGTTTGTGGGTAGAAACTCTGCCTGTCTGGTTCATATCAGTAGCCCTGTAATTGGTGTTTGCCATCTTCTAGGCAATCAATATTTGTTGAAGCTAAGGAGTAAGAAAGATTATATCTAAGAAAGTTATGTATTTCCTAACTACACAACATTTTATTCTGTATATCTCTGTTGCCCTTGGAAAGTCTAAAATGAAATGTAAATTTAAGGCCCCATCACTGTCATAATGGCTCTTCAGTATGTAGCTAGCCTAACGGTTTCTCAAGCCTTTTCAAAATTAGTATCAATAACATCTCTTGTTTTTGTTAAAGACTGTAATTTACAGTGAAATTTCTAACTTGATTCTACAACCACCTTTGGGGGACAGTATTATTATCCTCATTTTACAGGTAAGGAAACTTGAAGCATAGAGGGGTAAGGTATATTGCAAGGGTCAGACAGCTTGGACCTGGCCAAGGCAATACTCTACTCCAGGTCTTGTAATCCCAAGCCCTGTGCTTTTCCACTAGACTTCACTGTGTCCTGGCCATGAGTAGGGCAAATCTCTATCCTGTATGAGAAACAGTGTTTGTAAGGAAAATTCTCTGGTGTGTACTTGCTAAGTCTTCCATGCTGGCATAAGCAGGTAGGTTCACTGGGTCATTTAATTCTTCTCCCTGTCAATACGAGATTAGTTCAACTGTGTCAAAACACTGGGCTCTGAGGCCTCTGGTCATAGAAGGATAGAATGTTATGTTAGAAAGTGGAAGAGTACCTAGTTCTTACCTACTATTTTTACAGAGGTAGAAAATCTAAGGCTCAGAAGAGGAAGTAATTTCCCAGTTCTCCTGCATCCATCTCCTGCATACCTTAGTGTCTCATGAAGAAACAGGAAAAAATCAAAACTTGACTTTTTGCCTTAGAAAGGGTGAAGCCAGGTTTGCATCACCAGCCCTAAGCCTAATTGGGAAATCCTAAATTTGTCTGGTAAAAGGAATAAGAAGGGCCCCTTTTCCCAGAGAGAGAAAAAGAGTACAATCCTAGGTCCCTCAGAGAAAATTCAAAGCA
The DNA here is from genome assembly GCF_000001405.40 of Homo sapiens. Taxonomy (NCBI): domain Eukaryota; kingdom Metazoa; phylum Chordata; class Mammalia; order Primates; family Hominidae; genus Homo; species Homo sapiens. The sequence goes on along the minus strand of NC_000003.12, from coordinate 188,921,113 downwards.
AAGATGCTCTCAGTAGTCTGGGAAATTAGAGCCACCATCCTTTGAGGAATGAATGTGACAGCCCAAGGGTGTCTGCCTTCGCCATGAGATGCCTCTTCCTGAGTAAGTGGGCTGGGAGACAGGCCAGGTCCTTGTCACCCTACACACTCAGCCAGAGTCTGAAGAGCACCCATAGGCAAACCTGAGAGGTGCTCCCAGGGGTGGACCTACCTTAGAACCCTAGATAGAGATAGCTTCCAGGGGACATAAGGTAAAAGATTTGGTTTTCCTTAACTCTGGAAAAGATAAGCTCATATCCATCATTTTCTCGTCTGTAGAATATGGCAGAACAGCCAGGAGAATTAAAAGTGATTTCATGTGTGACAGACACTGGCAACAAACAAGCCAAAAGTAGTTTTTTAAGTGGAGGAACTGGAATTTAAACCCAGCTTTGCTAGGTGACCTGGGCTCTTCCCTTGTCTACACATGCCTCATTGCCCATTGTACTACATCATTATTGTATTGCTATAAAGAAATGCCTGAGGCTGGGTAATTTATAAGGAAAAGAGGTTTCATTAGCCCATGGTTCTGCAGGTTGTACAGGAAGCATCGCGTTGGCATCTGCTCAGCTTCTGGGGAGGCCTCATGGAGTTCTACTCATTGCAGAAGGCAAAGGGGAAGCAGTTGTCTCACATGGCAGAATGGGAGCAAGAGAGAGAGGGTGGCTGGTGCCATGCACTTTTGAACAACCAGATCTTGTGTGAACTCACTCATCACTAAGGGGATGGCACAAAGCCATTTGTGAGGGATCCACCCCCATGTTCCAAACACCTCCCACCAGGCCTTACTGGGGATTACACTTCAACACGAGATTCAGGGGGGACATATATCCAAACAATGTCATCCATCTCTTCACATAGAAATTTAAAGGGATGTCTATGGCCATACCACCCTGAACGCACCCGATCTCGTCAGAAATTTAAAGGGATGATCACTCCTCTCTTGCTTCTCTCTCTGTCTTCCTTTCTTCTCCTGATTTACATATTGCTAAATGATGAAATTATACACTACATAATTCCACAGCAACTCTGCAGCTCAAAAAAAAAAATGGGAATGGAGTAATTAGGCAGAAAGGATTCTCAATTAGGCAGTGGATTCTGTTTCTAAAGCAGTAAATGGAGAAGAGATATTTTTTTAACTGTCTCTTGAATATATTGCCAGGAAGAGATTGCTGCCTAGGAGAGCAGCAGCATAGCTCAGAACTGGAACCTTCTGCACAGGCCTTGAAGCAGTGTTTGGCAAGTAAGTTTTCTGCTCAATTCTAGATGTCAGGGCTCAGAACACAATACCCCAAAGTATGGCATTATGGTGTGCTGAGTATTTTGAACTGAAGGGGATTGGAAGCAAGGTCTTTCTGATCTTCTCCCATCTTCTTGTATGCTGCCTTTTTTTTGTCCACCCAAAGTGATGCATAGAGATCAGAATTCTTCTCATCCAGGATGGGTTACAGAAACTAAAACTCCTCTTCCCCAACACACCCGTAAAACCTAAAAAGCTCACACTCTGAGCTTCTCCCTTCTCCCTTAAAGACTGTCATGCATAAGGTACCGTGTGCTATGCAAGAGAAAAGGACAGCCACACAGATCAAGAAGAATCTGAATAGGTGCTGGGTTTCTCCCCCGAGTCTATTATCATTAGATCATACCCTTTTGTCCCATCACATTTCTACATGGCTGTCTAATCTTCATTAAATCTAAGCATAAAAATAGTTTTCCCTGGGTCTTTAGGCTTTCATTTCTGAAGGTTCCCATGTCACATAAAACATTGATTAAATAAATTTGTTATGTTTCTTCTCTTGTTAACCTGTCTTTTGTTATAGGAGTGACAGCTGTGACTCTTACAGAAGGGGAGAAAAGGGTAACACCTTTTTGACACTACATAGACCTTCAGATTTTGGGGGTAACTTCACATTTTAGGACTCTGGCAAGGCGAATGGTCAAGACTACTTGCTTTAATCCGAGATGTCTTCTTTAGTTTTCTGTTTTAAGGTTAGCCCAGGTTGAACATCCCTAATCCAAAAATCCAAAATCTGAAATGCTCGAAAATCCAAAACTTTTTGAGAGCTGACATAATGCCACAAGTGAGAAATTCCACACCTGAACTCATGTGATGGGGCTCAGTCAAAAAGCAGTCAAAACTTTGTTTAATGTACAACACTAAATATACATACACATACACACACACACACACACACACACACACACATAAATTACCTTCAGGCTATGTGTATAAGTTGTATATAAAACATAACTGAATTTTGTGTTTAGACTTAGGTCCTATCCCCCATGATATCTTATTGCCTATATGAAACATTTCAAAACCCCAAGATATTTCAAAATCTGAGATACTTCTGGTCCCAAGCATTTCAGATAAGAAATACTCAACCTGTATTGATTTTTGACTGAACTCATTGAGAGTCCCATGTTTCAGAAAGCTCTGTTTTAGACAGGGCTGCTGATTGCAATATTAAGAGTTTTCTCTTCTGAAGATGGATAATCTTACAAGCTTCTGAATAAGAACAAGTTTCCTTTCATCCATTTACTTTATTTTTTATTTATTTACTTTTTTATGCTGGCTGCAAATATTTTCTCTGCCAGGAGAAATAGGTAGAATTATTCGAGAGAAAGCTGCTCCTTTGTTTGAAAAACACATTTATCAGCATTTTGGTTATTATGCAAGGGCTGGGTCCAGGATCATACTGGAAGAGTGAGCTAAATCAATGAAGAGATGCATTCCTTTGCGTAATAACACACAGTGCTCTCTTCCTTAGGCAGAGATTTCTAGAATATGTGCATATGAAGAGACTCCTACTTCCCCTTGAAGGTTGAAAGGATAAGTGCTTTGGTGATAAGATTAGATAAGGAACTCTGTTTAGAAAGAGTAGACTATGGGAAAGAGGCCAAAGGCAAGGGAATCTCTTGAATATTAGATGGCCACAGACTACATCACTATGGCTGATTTGCAGTTTTAAGATGTTTCCTATTCTGTGTCCCTTCCATCAACCAAATCTTAAATAAAAACTGCTACACAACAGCTTTGTGTCACTGAAGCAAGAGAGAGTGAACAGGTCAGAGGTGGAGTGCTGATTCCATGATCCTAATAAAAAGGTGTGAAAAGATGACATTTGTTAGAACAGTTGACAAGGAAGCCAATGGTGACTGGTGAGAAGCTGAAGAAGGAGCTTGGAGAGTGAAATGTCAATTGGCAAGAAGAGGTAATCTTTCCCTAAAATCCTCCAAAGTATTGGATTTCTTGTGGTATGAAGGGCTAGAGGCTTGATATTTAATTTGTATGTAAAGGTGAAAGTGACAATTTAGAAGACTGAGGACACAGGGCTGAGGACACAAGTAAAGATTGTCTGGCTCAGTTTCAGTCCTGGTTAAAGTTCACAGCACCTGAAAGGTATTAAGTGCAGGAGGCTTTCCAGGCTCCTTTGTTCTGGGAAGCAGCAGAAAATGATGGAAGGTACCTGGGCTTTCCAGGGCTGGTCCTAAATTCCTGACCTGTCACCTCTAAGCTGGGTGGCCTTGCTGAATTCCACCTGTCTGAGCCTTAGTTGGCTAATGAACATTGAGTAATTCCAAACCCATAGGATACTAATAGGATGATGGGAGGTAACGGTTTAAACTGTCTAGCATACTGTAGGGAGTAAATGAAAGATTCAGTTTCTTCTCTAAGAGGAAATGTTCACATTGTTCAAATCAAAGAAGAGTTGTCATGGGGGAAGTGGGCAGATTTGTTGAACTGACTTCTGTGTGGTGTCAGAGGATGTAACTAGAATTAGTGGGTGGAAATCACAAGTCAATTATAGCTCAGCCAAAAAAAAAATACAGAGCTGTTCAATTGTAGAGCTCAACAGGATGTAAGTTTCCTGTCACTGGAGATAATCAAGCAATGGCTCAGCACCTATTTGGAGGAGATGCTTTAGAGGGGATTTCAACTATCAGTAAAAGTTGAACAGTTTCAACTCTTCAGTCATTTCCAAAGCTGAAATTCCACAATTCTGAGTGTGGTCACTTCCCTTTTGTGGCATGAGTGAAAGACCAACAGTTACTAGTCCTTTTGCAAAGGCTTGTCTCTGCCCAAGGAGAGTGAGCCCAGATGTACTAACTTTTAAAATCCTGACCTTCCTCCTTCAGCATTACTGCTATATATTGCATTAACAGAAATAGCATTGCAATCTCTCCCTAGGCCATGTGTTCTGGGAGATTGTTAGAAAGATTCCCGGCGAAGTTTAGATTGAAGACAAAGATGGGGCCTCATGGACCCCTGCATCTTTTCATGCAAAATAAAATTTGAAAGATCCCTATGATTATTTGCAATGGGGTACTGGCTTTGCCAGTGTTGCTTGTTTGCTTTTCGTTTTTGTTTTGTTTTGAGACAAGGTCTTGCTCTGTTGCCCAGGCTGTAGTGCAGAGGTACGATCACAGCTCACTACAGCCTCGATCCCCCGCAACGTCCCCCCACTGCCTGCTCCCCAGGCTCAAGTGATCTTCCTGCCTCAGCCTCTCTAGTAGCTTGGACTACAGGTGTGCACCACCACATCTGGCTAATTTTTTAATTTTGTTCTGTAGAGATGAGGTCTCACTGTGTTGGCCAGCTGGTCTCAAACTCCTAGGCTCAAGTGACCCTTCCATCTCAGCCTTTCAAAATGTTAAGATTAAACAACTGCATAAGAAAGTTGACAAAGAACACAAACAGACACTTTTCAAAAGAAGACATACATGTGGCCAGCAGTAATTTAAAGAAAAGCTCAATATCACTGATCATCAGAGAAATGCAAATCCAAATCATAGTGAGATACCATCTCACACCAGTCAGAATGGCTATTATTAAAAAGTGAAAAAAACAGATGTCAGCAAGGTTGTGGAGAAAAAGGAACACTTATACACTGCTGGTGGGAGTGTAAATTAGTTTAGCCATTGTGGAAGGCAATATAGCTATTCCTCAAATACCTAAAGACAGAAATACCATTTGACCCAGCAATCCCATCACTGGGTATATACCCAAAGGAATATAAATTATTTTATTATAAGGACACATGCATGCATATATTCATTGCAGCACTGTTAACAATAGCAAGGACATGGAATCAACCTAAATGCCCATCAATGATAGACTGGATAAAGAAAACCTGGTACATATACTTCATGGAATATTATGCAGCCATGAAAAGAACAAAATTATGTCCTTTGCAGGGACATGGAAGGAGCTGGAGGCCATTATCTTTAGCAAACTAACACAGGAACAGAAAACCAAATACCACATGTTCTCACTTATAAGTGGGAACTAAATGATGAGAACACATGGACACATAGAGGGACATAATAACACACATTGGGAACTTTTGAAGGGTGGAGGGTGGGAAGAGGAAGAGTATCAGGAAAAATAACTAATGGGTACTAGGCTTAATACCTGGTTGATGAAATAATCTATACAACAAACCTCCATGACACAAATTTACCTGTGTAACAAACCTGTACTTGTACCTCTGAACTTAAAGTTAAAAAAAGAAAAACAAGAAACAACACAACAAAGTGTTAGAATTACAGGCATGAGCCACTGTGCCTGGCCACCAATGTCTTAATCTTGGTTTTCCCCCAGAAGATAAGACGTTTCTTGGGTGTGAGCCCCAATAGGAGGGTCACTATTTATTATTCCAAATTCTGCATGCTCTGAGCTGGACTATGCCTTTGTCACATGGCTAGTGAAATCTGCCAAATGGGTAATGGGTAAGCACCACAAAGCTAAATGAATTTGATGCCAGACTTGTATGAGTGAAACAGAAAGTTTAACCAACTCTTTGAGGTTGACACATCTTCATATTTGCAGGGAAAGCAGAGCTATGAGTTTCTTGGCAAGATTCAGTCAGATTGAAATCATTCTAAGCACATGATATGAGAACTATTGACAGGAATTCACATGGATACTTACACAGCCATTATTTCCTAATTCTATTACCTAAAAATGTTTAATGCTCCTATGTTATAGTTGGTTACATGACTTTCCCAGGAAGGGATCGTGGAATCTACATGTAAAAACCAAGAGTATCAGAGATCATCTAGGTTTTACATGAAAAGATGTAGTCCAACTGGTTTAGAGAAATTAACAATGGAACTTATTTTATAAAGTCTTATGTGAAGTAACCCTCTGAGTAACATAAGTAAATGTGGAGCTGCTCTGCTGCATGTGAGTGGAAGACTAGACACTTGCAGTTGAGGAACCTAAGACAACCCAATACAGAAGTGACTCATTTAGGGTCATACAATGACAGACTGAAACCGAGGCCTTTTCTTACTTAGCAAGGAAAACATGAAGAAGCTGACAAAAATGAAAAATGAGAGGAAATGCCTAATCTTCAGACTCTCTGGAAACACTGCTCTCCAACTCTGAGAATGCATCACACGCTTCATGATTATGGTCCCCAGCTCTAGGACATCTGCTTTAGGACAAAGTGCAAGGAAATTGAGCTTTAATTGTCAGCTTTGAAATGGTGACTTAGTCAGACTGATAAGAACAGGACAAGGGAAGAACCCTTCTCATAGGAAAGAAAGCAGCAAATTTCCATAATACCAACGACAATCAACAAATATCCTAGCCTGTTCTCTAACTGTGGTCACAATGCCTTGCATTTGCATTGTTCTATAGTTTCCAAAGAACTTTTTACGTACACAGTTTAGTTTAATCTTTACAACTATCTTCATTTTGCAGGAGAAGAAACTGAGGCTTGGAGAAGCTAAGAATGTGGCTGTGCCCAATTAGTTCTTGTTTGATAATTAATTTAGGTGTTATGTAGTAAACAGAAAGAAAGATGTTAGAAATATTTTTTTGTTTGTTTTGAGAAAGGCTGTCACTCTGTCACCCAGGCTATAGTGCAGTGGAGGGACCATGGCTTACTGCAGCCTCAAACTCCTGTGCCCAAGCAATCCTCCTGCCTCAGCCTCCCAAGTAGCTGAGGCTACAGATACATGCCACCACACCCAGCTAATATTCTTATTTTTTGTAGAGATGGGGTCACGCTGTGTTGCCCAGGCTTGTCTTGAACTCTTGACCTCAAGTGACCCTCCTGCCTCAGCCTCCCAAAGTGCTAGGATTACAGGCATGAACCACCATGTCCAGCCTAGAAATCTTTCTACATATATCCAGGGATTTCTCTGGACACATTGGAGGAATGAACTGGCATATAAACCTTCCCAGTATATGAGAGATATTACCTTGACATATTTAGTAAGATTTCTATCTTCCCTTCTATCTCCCACATATCACTCAAAACAGTTATCAAGCCAAAACCACCATAAAAATGTACGCTATATATGATAATATATTAAATATTATATAATATATCTATATTAGAGATGTATATAAATATAAATTAATGTGAAAATATGTACATGTATGAAAATATTAATGTAAAAAAGTATGAAAATTTTACAGTTCAGATAAAAAAGTTCTTTTTTTCCAATTTTATTTTGGATTCAGAGGGTATATGTGCAGGTTTGTTACATGGATATATTTTGTGATGGTGGGGTTTGGCTTACAGATGATCCCATCGCCCAGGTCATCAGCATAATACCCAATAGGTTTTTCAGCCCATGCCCCTCTCCCTCCCTACCTGTTTAGTAGTCCACAGTGCCTATTGTTCCCATCTTTATGTCCATGTGTACTCAATATTCAGCTCCTGCTTATAAATGAGAATACGTGCTATTTGGTTTTCTGTTTATGCATTAATTTGCTTACATAATGGCTTCCAGCTGCATCGACATTGCTGCAGAGGACATGATTTCATTCTTTTTCATGGCTGCATAGTATTCCATGCTATATAGGTATCACATTTTCTTTATCCAATCCACTGTTGATGGGCACCTAATGCAAATCAAGACCACAATGAGATACCATCTCACACTAGTCAGAATGGTAAATAGTTCTCAAATGAAAATAATGTCTTACAGTTTCAGACAAAATAATCAACATATTTATGGTGTTTATGTGTCAGTATTAGAAATTTTTATAATATTCCATAACATTTGGTGACTATTATATGCTAGGTACTATACTAAAGATTTTGTAAATATTAATAATAATTATAACAACAAATCCCATGTTTTCTATATACCAGTTGATATGGTTTGGATCTGTGTCCCCACGCAAATCTCATGTTCAATTCTCATCCCCAATTTTGGAGGTGGGGCCTGGTGGGAGGTGATTGGGTTACGGGGATGGATCCTTCAAGAATGGCTAGCATCATCCCTTTGGTGCTGTTCTAATGATGACAGAGTTCTCATGAGATCTGGTTATTTTAAAGTGTGCAGCACCTCCCCCCCCTCTCTCCCTCCTGCCCCCACCATGTGAGACACCTGCTTTCCCTTCACCTTCCTACCATGACTGTAAGTTTCCTGAGGCCTCCTCAGAAGCAGAAGACACTATGCTTCCTGCCTAACATGCAGAACCGTGAGCCAATTGAACCTCTTTTCTTTACAAATTACTCAGTCTCAGGAATTTCTTTATAGCAGTGCAAGAACAGACTAATACACCAGTTTAGCCTGGCAGTAAATGTGGGGCTATGATTTTAGTCCCTAAACAATCTTGTACACCTACAATCCCCATAAAGTCCTTTACAACTAGTTCTGAGAAGCCTGAGGTGACTTACGTGTGCATCATTTGGGATATTTCATTTCGTTCTTACGAGTTCTTTCTTTTGACTCTGGACTGAGGCAAAACCTTCTATGCTACCATCCGAAATTCCACTGCATATGAGCTATTAAACATGCAGACATCACTCATAGTTGCACACTCAAAGCATCAGAGCTACTTCGTGCAGCCCTTCTTTACATTTGGATAGAATGATGTTCTATGGACCCCAAATTGGAGCTGCCTGGTGCTCCTAAGTAGTCAATGAAATCTTGGTTTCAGACTTTTTGTAAGCATCCATTTTCCTGAGCTTTGGCATGAGTTAAGGCAGCAGGCAGTTCAGAAGTCAATGGGTACAACACTCTGAGAATGAATAGACACTCTCTCTTTTCAAATGCCCCATTTTTTGTGGACCTTTATTACAGGCCTTCACTCTTTCTTTTTCCTTAGAAACCTTCCTTTCTAGCAGGTTGTTTGGCCACCACTGCAATAATCACCTGCTGACCTATCACCATAGATCTTCTAGTCCTCTTCAGACAGATCCCCATCCTAGGATAAACTCAATCTAGCTTTTGAATCAACACTCCCACATCATAGATATCCACTTCTCTCTTTGGGGTGGTGGGGAGCGGGGGGAGAGAGAGAGAGAGAGAGAGAGGGAATTCACAGGTAATAAAATATTAAACTGTTCCATAAAGGCAAGTGAAGAATACAAATGAGGTATTAACTGACTATGGGGCAAATATTTAGGCTCTGAGGTCAAGTTTGCTTTCTCTCTGATCTTGGAAAGTACAAGAAGTATGGGCTGCTCCACATGCCTGAAACAGGTATCAGGCTGTACTGCATTCTCCCAGGTATGAATGCCACTGATGTAGAATCCATTTCCGTAATTCAAATGCTCAGGCCAAAGTCTAATGAGGCAGCCATAGTCCTCGCTGCACTCAGATCTCTCAGAGGCAAGTCCTTAGACTCCTATTGCTCTAATTTGCAGAAGCACTCAGAGGTCCCTCACAGACCTGCTGCCATCAGCCCAGAAGTGCCCGGCAAATGTCTGCAGCATCCTGCTCAGAGGTTTTGCTCTTAGAAAGTAGTGCAGAAACTCCTTAAATGAAGAGAGCCAATGAACGATAGATCACTTTGTATGTCCATTTCACAGAGGAAGACAATATTTCAAGGAAGCAGATGTTTCACATCTACACAGTTTCCACTTAGCCTCTGACCTACCGCTGCGGTAAATCTGGTTACTGCCCAGCTGTCAGCCTCCCAGACAGCATTGCTCTCCAATATCCTTTTAGGAGGAGAAAAAGTACACCACAGGAGAGAGAAGCTGTTTCAGGCAAGGTTTGCTTTTCTCTGTCTCTGTGAACAAGGCAATGCTGATAATGTGAATACGTTGAAGAGGCATGAGAAAGAAAGGGCAGTATCTGTTGCATGCACAGGTGTGATGTGCAGGCCTCTTGAAGCACTATCTTCCTAGTGATCCTTTCTTCTTGGTGCCTCTATAGGAGTAGAAATGGTTGTTTAGGAATTCGTTCTGTGGTTGCTGTCAAAAAATCCCTTTGTTTTTTGTTTGTCTGTTTGTTTTGAGACAGAGTCTTGCTCTGTCACCCAGACTGGACTGCAGTGTCACGATCTCTGCTCACTGCAACCTCTGCTTACTGCGACCTCCACCTCCCAGGTTCAAGTGATTCTCCTGCCTCAACCTCCCAAGTAGCTGGGACTACAGGTGTGCGCCACCACTCCCAGCTCATTTTTGTATTTTTAGTAGAGATGGGGTTTCACCATGTTGGCCATGTTGATCTCGAACTCCTGACCTCAGGTGATCCGCTCGCCTTGGCCTCCCAAAGTGCTGGGATTATAGGGTTGAACCACCGTGCCCAGCCCAATCACTTTGTTTTAATGTGCTGTATGATGTTAAAGTTGGATTTCAATCTTGTCTCTAGCCACCCACAGGCTAAGTGACCTTGTACAATCCATTTAACCCCTCTAAGTTTCCTTTTTATGTGTGTGGTTGAGAAAAATGTATTTATTCTACAAACGTACATGGAGTCCCCACTGTGTACCAGTTTCTATTCTAGTTGCCTGGGGTACAGAAAGGGATAAATGAAGAAGATAAACAAAACACAGTCCTTTCCATCAAGTATTTACTGGATTACTTAATTCTTAAAACTCTCTTCTCTCTTGGCTTATGTGACACCATTTTCTTTCTGTTTGATCAGGCCCTGCCTTTCCCCTGCCCCAATTTCATCTTTTGCTGTACACACCAGTACATGTTTATACTCATACACTCTGTCTCCCTTTCATGCCACTTTCTATATTCTTGCTATACTGAACTATAAGAAATATATGTGGCTGGGTGTGGTGGCTCATGCCTGTAACTCCAGCACTTTGGGAGGCTGAGGCAGCAGATCACCTGAGGTCGGGAGTTCGAGACCAGCCTTACCAACAGGGAGAAACCCTGTCTGTACTAAAAATACAAAATTAGCAGAGCGTGGTGGTGTACGCCTGTAATCCCAGCTACTCGGGAGGCTGAGGCAGGAGAATCGCTTGAACCCGGGAGGCAGAGTTTGCCGTGAGCTGAGATCGTGCCATTTCACTCCAGCCTGGGCAACAAGAGCAAAACTCCATCTCAAGAAAAAAGAAAAGAAAAGAAAAGAAATATATGTATTGTTTAGGGTTCTTGAAATCTTTCTATATATAATCCACAAAAAAAGCCATTTCTTTCACCTTCATAGCATTATCACAGTTATAATTTTTTCTTTAGTTCTGTTCTTAATTAGTGGCTATCTCGCCTGCTTGACTAATACCTGCATATGTACAAAGCTCATGTCTGCTTTTCCTCACCATTCCATCTGCAGAGCCTAGCACAGTGCCCGATGTGAACCAGGCACTTAATATTTGCTAAATAAGTGTATTAATAAAAATCTGGTTTCAACTCCCCTCTTCTCTATTTGTCTTAGGGCTTATATAGTTCAATTGTCTCATTTTACAAATGGGAAAGCTGAGTTACCAAGGGGAAAAAACGTTCTCAAGTTCACACTATATATTAGATGCTGAGTGAGAAGGAAGCACCAGGTTTTCTGACTTCAGGGAAAGAACTTGGGGATCTTTCCATCATGTTCTTTTTTGTCCTGTTGAAAATGGGTAATAATTAAAATAAAACTAAAATACCTTAGGCATTACCAGTTTGTGACTTACCACAAACAAATGTGAAGACTTCTTTTTTATAAACTGAAATTTTGATAATGCAACCCCCTACTAGCTCAGTTTCCAAGAATTAACTCCCTCCCCAGTGTCTCCCATTTATGGTTGGGAGATTCCAAAAAGGGGATTCACATGGCCACCCAAAGGTAAATGTCAGCCAAAACCACAGCTCATCTGCCTCTTCTTTTGCTTCTACCTCTACTCCTCTTGTTCATAGCTGATTTCCATAGCATCAATTGCAGAAATCTTACTGCCTCCACCCAGCATTGTGGGAACGCCAGTTTGGGGTCAAGGCATCCAGTGTTTCCAGTCTGCAGGCTACAAGACTATCACTAATTTCCTGAAGAAGAAAGAGAAACATCTCCTTCCTCCCCCATGCCTTGTATCATCTGTTCTTTGTGCTCAGTCTCATAAAGCTTTGTACAATTCTGGCAGATTCTATCAGTCTCAAACCCTTTTCTCCATAGGAGTCCCAAATGAGCAAGGACCAGTCAGGGACAGCTGATGCCATTGATACTCTGTGTCATCTCCCCCAACACAAGCCACCAACCAAAGTCCAGGAAGATACACTGATGGGGACAGGGCTAGGGGGATGAGAAGTTGTGCCTACACTATTTTAGTCTAAACTCAACCATCAAAAAGGTCCTTTTCATTAGTCACTGGGCTGAGGCAGCCCAGAAGCTCAGACAGCAAAGTGTTCTGCCTTACAACAAAGGCATTTTTACTGCACTCAAAGTGTCCTAAGAAAAGGTACTTCTGTTACTCAAGGGACTGCTTTATATCATTTTGCATCTTTTATTGAATGCAGCCCTTTATGCTTCTCATGGAAAGCTCCTGAAATACATGTTTAATGTTTATAACACATCCTCCTACAGGCTAACTGAATCATTTTTATGCTGTGAACTTTATCAAAATAAACACGTGGTATAATGGTTAATTTTATAATATGTGCCAACTTGACTGAACTAAGGAATACCCAGATAGCTGGTAAAACATTACTTCTGGGTGTGTCTGTGAGGCTGTGATATGTTTTGAAAGAGTTCCCTACAAAATTCAGGTGTTGCCAACGATAGCATTAAGAGGCGGGGCCATAAGGGCTCTACCTACATGAATGGGACTGAGTGCTCTTATGAAACGGTTTGACAGAAGGAGTTCATCCCTTTTTTGCCCTTTGCTTTCTGCCATGTGAGGGCACAACATTCTCCCCTCCAGAGGATGCGGCATTCAAGGAACCACCTTAGAAGCAGAGAGCAGCCTTCAACAGATTGATTCTGGCACCTTGATCCTAAACTTCACAGGCTCAAGAAATGTGAGAACTAGGTTTATGTTATTTATAAATTGCCCAGTCTGTGGAATTCTGCTATAGCATCACACAAGGGACTAAGGCAGGGTGTTTCTGGAAGAGACTAGTATTTGAATTAGCAGACTGAGTAAAGATCTGCCTTCCCCAATAAGGCTGAGTATCATCTGTTCTTTCGAGGGCCTGCATAGGAAAAAAGGGTGGAAGAAAGGTAGGTTCTCTCTCTCTTCTTGGGCTGGGACATCTGTCTTCTCCTGTCCTTGGACATCAGAACTCCTGATTCTAGGGCCTTTGGACTCAGGCTGAGTTTTGTTACTGGCTCTCCTGGTTCTCCAGCTTGCAGACAGCAGATGGTAGAACTTCTTAGCCTCCATAATCACGTGAGCCAATTCCCATCATATTTATGTTATATATATATATATATATATATATATATATATACACACACACACACACACACACATATATATCTTATTGGTTTTGTTTTTCTGAAGAACTCTGTCTAATACACTTTGATAGAAACCATATAGCCAGTCTGAAGGATGGAAATGGAATGGTGCCCTACTTGGCCTCTTGTAGCAAGATCTTGATGGGGAAATAGAGATTCTCTATCTTCTCTCTATTTCTTCATTTCTCCTTTCATTAGGGTTTGGGCTAGGATCTGGGGCTACCAACAAAGATAAGACCTGGCCTGGGCCTTAAGATGCACACATAGTTCAGCTGAGTTAGACACGTAAAAACAGAAACAATGTAGCATCTAGCATGATCTGTGCTGTAAATATGCCAGCCATTAGGGTATCTTAGAGAGAGGTGGCTAGAATCCAGGTATCAGAAGAGCACCAAGTCTATTCCGTAAAGATCTGAAATAAAGAGAGAAGTGCTAAAACAAGAAATTGGATAAAACATGAACAATAGGGACCCGGTAACTGAGTGCAGAACCAGCTAAGCAGGACCAGATGTTAGGCAACAAATGATGTGTATTTGGGTGGAAATAGAACTGATCTAGAAGAAAAGAGAGAGTGTGCACAAGGGTCAGAGCATGTACAGCACAGGTAGGCTCCTGGGGAAAGTTGGACTGACACCGCCAGCAAGCCACGAGACGTGGTTCAGACCCTCTGCTTGAAGGCCCCTCTGTTGACTGGGATTCGGTGTGATACTGCTAATAGTTTTATAATGTCCTAATTATTATTATTATTTTGCACCTTGAAGTGACTTTTTGAAGGTCATATTGAAGCTACAAATAGGCCCCCAGACTCCACAGATTCTCCTGTTGCCTAAGGACTCCCAACACTGCAGATCGAGAAGACGAGGCAAAGAGAGCTACACTGTGAACTACGGATGTGGTGGGGAAGTGGAAACCAAGCCGACATTTGGTGTGTTGTAGCATTCCCAGCTCTGGTTTAACACAAGCGATGTGTTTTGCTCACAAACTGGCACTGAGAGCTCATTTCCATTTAAATAAGAGGCTTGTTAATGCCAGCAGGAGGACGCTGTCAATGCCAAGCCTGGCTAAGGATTCCTGCCAAGGAGTTTCTAAGAGCATCGCTCTAGGAAACTCCCCCAGAAGAGAAGCAAGCATGCCTTCTCATTAAGACAACTCCACCACAGTGACATTTGCCTCAGAGCGGCAAGCCTTTGGCTGGGCTGAAAGCAAGTTGTTGAGTCTTGGAAAGTTGTATGTTGCCAAGACAGTCGTTTAGTTCAATTTGGCTCCACACACACTCAGAGACCACCTGGCACGTGTGAGATGCCCTGGTTGGGAGGATGGCTCATTCCTGCCCTCTGGCACCTCCCAGTCACATTGGGAGGACCGGGTGTTATGAAGAAGCACATACAGAAGATCCTGTTACAACGTAAATAGAGGGCCTTCTCCATTGTCAGATAATTCAGTATTGGAAGATTCTTCCTAACATTAACAGGAAACATGTTTGTCTACAGCAGATATCATGTACTCAAATGCCTACAGATGCCAAGCAAGAAACATGGATGGGTGAAATGGGCTGCTTATAAAAACCTTCAGAAGTGGCTGGGATTTTAGTAACCTAGAGTGAACCTCTCTAGTCTAAAGGGGCAAGCACTGCTCAGCAAGATCTGATCTTGGGTTTTATAAACATGGGTCTTGTCCTACGCAGCTTAAAAATTAATGGGGAAGTCAGATCATTAGACATGAATTTCAACACAGTTTATAAGTTCTCTAACAGGGAAGTAAAAAGTGCTGTAGAAGCACTTGATAGTAGCACATAACCCAAAATTTAGGAGTCATGAAGGAATTGATGTTTAAGTTCAACCTGAGTGATAAGCAGAAGTTGCCTAAATAAAGATGGGTGGGGTGGCCGGGCACATGCCTGTAATCTCAGCACTTTGGGAGGTGGAGGAGGATGGATCACCTGAGGTCAGGAGTTTGAGACCAGCCTGGCCAACATGGTGAAACCCCATCTCTACTAAAAATACAAAAAATTAGCCAGACATGATGGTGCGTGCCTGTAATCCCAGCTACTCAGGAGGCTGAGGCAGGAGAATTGCTTGAACCAAGGAGGCAGAGGTTGCAGTGAGCTGAGATCACGCCATTGCAATCCAGCCTGGGAGACAAGACTATCAAGAAAAAAAAAAAAAAAGATGGGTGGGGAGAGAGGGAAAAGCAAGTGCAAAGGCCCTGAGGCAGGAGAGAGCAAAATAGGTAAACTAGCAGCATTGAGATTAAGTAGAGGAGTGAAAAGATCAGGACTAGTGCTGGTTGAGTCTTCTAAAGGTTCTTATCCCAGTTCTGATAAAGGAAGTAGCAAGGTAGATAAGAGTTCAAGGCCGGGCGGGGTGGCTCACACCTGTAATCCCAGCACTTTGGGAGGCCAAGGCAGGTGGATCACGAGGTCAGAAGTTTGAGACCAGCCTGGCCAATATAATGAAACCCTACCTCTACTAAAAATACAAAAATTAGCTGGGTGTGGTGGCACTCCTGTATTCTCAGCTACTGTGGAGGCTGAGGCAGAAGAATTGCCTGCATCCAGGAGACAAAAGTTGCAGTCAGCCAAGATTGCACCACTGCATTCCAGCCTGGGCGTCAGGGTGAGACTCTGTCTCACAAAAAAAAAAAAAAAAAAGAAGAGCTCTGGACTTGAAGTCAGAAGTTTCTATAAATAGAACCCCTGGGCTGTGGTTCCATTTATACCACTCTGTGAACATGGTACATCTCAGTTACCTCTCCTGGAAAAAAGGAAGAATATATATCAATGTAGGTGAAATAATGGGGAAAAAAGAACTGTCCTACCATATTGATTATATGGTAACACAGTAAATGATTATTAAAACTTTCCTGTTAGTATTTTTGACAGTATGTATCCGAAGCCTTAAGAGCATGAATTTTCTTGTACCTAGCAATTCGTTTCTAATTATTTAGCCTTTAAAAAGTTAAGGATATGTGCACATATTCAACTACAATGGTGTTCAATGTAGTTTTGCTTATAAAAGCCCCCCAAAAGCATAATTTAAGCGTCTGCTGACTAGATATTTCTAAAGTCCTTTATTCTACTGAGATCATTTTGGCCTTTAATATTTAAACAAGATTGGATCAGCCAATTTTCTTATGCAGTGAAAACCTTCTGACCCAAATACCAATATCTCTGGCGATTCTTGTTTTCCTACTCGCCTCTGCCTCCAAATTCTGTTTAATTCTCTATCCCTACTCCATATTTCGTACCTGTCCCTGCTGTCCCTTTTTTACAATGTATCACCCTGCATAATACAACCCACCCCAAATATCCTTTACTCTTCCAAGTACCTGGGCCACAGCAAGGAGTATGATCAACTTTTTTCTGAAGGTTTGTGCAACGGAAGGGTTAACATCCCAACAGACAACTACCTTGCCTAGTGGGGACTCCTCTCCCCATGTCTAAGCCTCTTTCCATCTCCTCCTGTCTTTCTTTTTCCAGGATTCCTTATTCTTGGCCTCTTCTTTGGCTACACATCCCCAAGCTATTTGTCTTACTTTGTATTTTTCAAATTCATCTGGCTCTCCTTTTCAATTCTACCTTAGCCTAACTGAGATTCATGAACAGGTTCTATGCAGGCCCTTACCTATTAACAGCACAGAGGAGTCAAGAGGTCTTGATTTAAGATTCCCCTCTCTCTTTCTTGTTACCGCAATGGTCTCTGTAAGTGAAAGGAAACAGTATAAGTATTTGTTTCTCTATTCATATGCAGTATGCTAACCTTCTCCTATTTTTGAAGGCAAAATTGAGACAATGTTTTTTTTAATGCCCTTACTACCCTTGGAAATAATCTCAATGTCCAAAAACTGAGGGTTAAATAAACCATGGTACCACCATGCTATGGAGCACAGCAGAGCTACTAAGATGATGCTATAGAACAGGTATCAACATATTCAGGATACGGTTAAGGGAAAATCTTCAGGATATACCGTTAAGTGAAAAATGAAAATATAAAACTATATATACTACAACTCCATTTTAAGATATATGTGTGTAGGCTGGGTGTGGTGGCTCACATCTGTAATCCCAGCACTTTGGGAGGCAGAGGCAGGAGGATTACAAGATCAGGAGTTCGAGACCAGCCTGGCCAACATGGTGAAACCCCGTCTCTACTAAAAATACAAAAAATTACCTGGGCGTGGTGGAGGGCGCCTGTAATCCCAGCTACTTGGGAGGCTGAGGCAGGAGAATCGCCTGAACCCGGGAGGTGCAGGTTGCCATGAGACAAGATCCCACCACTGCACTCCAGCCTGGGCGATAAGAGCAAAACTCTGTCTCAAAAAAAAAAAAAAAAAAAAAAAAAGATATATGTGTGTATACAAATATAAACACATACATATATGCATACATATATGCAGGAAAAAAGGCCAGGAAAATGGCGTCACTGGTTATCTCTAAAATGATTTTCAGTGAGAGTGATCTTGCTCCTAGGTGGCATGTGGCAATTTTTGGTGACATTTTTGGTTGTTAACAAATGTGGGGAGGCTGTGCTAATGACATCTAGTGGGTAGGGGCCAGGGATACCACTCAATGTCCTCAATGCAAGGATAGTCCTCACAATGAAGCATTATCCAGCCCAAAATATCCCTAGTGTCAAGGTTGAAAAACCCCACTTTAGACAACAGGTTTATGAAAGACTTTCTTTTTGCTTGTTTGTATTTTCTATTTTTTCTTCAATGAACATGTAGATCTTGCATAATTTTTTATTAATTTATTTTTGATTGACAATAATTGTGTATATTTATGGGGTACAATGTGATGTTTTGGTCTATAGATACAATGTAAAAAGAATCAATCAGGTTATTAAAGGCACATCAAGTGAGCACTTCTGAGAATGTTCTGGAGCCAATGCCAATATTTTTGCTATGCGATAACTAATGTAAAAAAGTATTTAGCACAGTGCCTCAGGTTTCCTTGCCACTACGGTCCCTTTCTCTAAACCTACTCCCTTACATTGGGTCCAAGGGACCTGCGACCCTACACCCCAGAAGTAGCAGATGATTTTCTCACTGGATGGCCCAAGCCTTCAGGCAGTGTCGTCTCATGGTATACCCAGCGAATTTGCTGTTAACTAAAATTTACTTTGTCACATATATGGCCCTTGGAGGCATCTTGCCAGAACCCAAAAGGTAGAGCAGGGGACTGACTAATTGAGACAGGGTTGTCTGTGCTCATCCAGAGTTCCAGTCTACTGCTACTCCATTTATGGAGCCATGTCTGGGGGGTTCTATTCATTGGCTCAAAAAACCTGTGCAAGGGAATGTTTCTTGTGGTAATCAAAGTGTGTTTACTTGGAAGTTTCATCACTTGAAGAAGTGGTTTATTGCTCGCACAGACTCCTCTGCTGTGAACATTAGATCTAATTAGTAGCTGAAATAGTGATGATTTAGCAAAGCTTCTGCATTTGATGGCTGTGGTTTCTGGGCCACCAATTGCAGTTAAAAAGAAGGCAATCATCTCTGCCATGGAATGAATCCTTTTTCTTAAAATTCCCAGGGAGCTGAAAGGCCCTGTGGGGGCTGGCTTTTTCTTTGACCCTAAAACTGGTGGAAACTCAGAGTTATGGAAATGACTCACACCCCGGGAAAAGCGTATCCCACAGTTGAAAGGGGCTTTAATTGATTTTCAGAGGGGTACTGCACCTCCTTGTGAATGCTCTAGCTTCTAACAATAATGGGAGGAAAATCTTTTTGAGAGGGATAGCAGGCTTTCTCTGAAGGTGGCACGGGACAGCTGATCTGTGCTGCCACCAGATTGATTGGGAGAGGCAGAAAGCTGAGGGTGATGACTGTTCAACATATAGCCTAAAGTGGTAGCTAATAGAGACTGAACCTAGGAGTTGGATGGGGCAGGGGCTTATTGGTTTTAGAAGGAGTGGAGAACATACTGGAACTTCATTCAGTCTGAAATGCTTGGATCAGACAATTTTGGTTATCTATCATCTGCCATACATGTGAGAGAAGGGACTTATCTGACCTTCCAGACGCACGTTTAAACAGTATCCTTTGTTTCCACTCTCTGAAGACATTCCCAGAGCTTAGGCTCTGCTTACTTCTTCATTTCCTCTGTGAGAAAAGTCACTACCAATCGTGTCTCCAGTGATCTAGTCTGCATGGAACACGGCTCTGAATCACTTTCCTTTCCTCAAACACCACTTGCTTCCCAAAAGGCAGAGCTAAAAAGAAGAGTCTGCAGGGAGGCAGAAGAGAGTGCTAATAGTCCAAAGGTGTGAGAGCTTGTTTTTGAAGGAACAGAACTCCTGAAGAAAGAGAGAATTTACCAGTCTGAACTGCTTGGCAGGGAATGTCGTGGCGACACTGCAGGTCTCAGGATGGCCGGAAAAATGTTGGCTCCTCAATGAGCAACTTTGGCAAGGTCCCTTCCAACTTGGATTTCAGTATTCTTTATTGCTTTTGTGAACAAAACATAACAACAAAAACAACAAAAATCCAAGCCAAAAGCCATTGCTAAACTTAGGGGTATTCTTGGGAATTTTGGGATTCTCACCCCTTCTATTTTTCTCCATCATAAGTGGTTATGATGTGCAGGAAGTCATTCTGTCCAGACAGCAAACTATAACAACAGCCTGGAACATTTCCATTGTACTGAGTCAAAAAAAAAAAAAAAATGAAAAGTGCCAGAGGAAGTAATATTAGTCAGTATTTAGTCACACTTAAAAACAATGGGATAGCTTAGGTTGGCTTGACATCACACATTTTCATCTGGTTATGGCCAAGATGAAGCCCTTTCAGCTGGCAAATTTTGTCTGGTGTTTGAAAAGATTTGAGTCCCCTCACTTCTCCCCACCCCATTACAATAAATAACAGAAAATAGTTCTTCACAGCCCTGGAGGAAAAAGATCTTGCGTACAAACTAACAAAGATTTGGGAAGGGTAGAAATGGAATGGAAAACATCTCAGAGGCAACGAAGGGCAAGTCCACACTGGTCTGTCTTCATCTCCTCCTGGAGAAGGGTAATTGCCTTGCTCCTGCTCTGCAACCACACCTCTGGGTCTCCATTTTTTACAGGGACAGCTCTAGAAAGAGGCCTCTTAACCCTTACAATCCCACACACAGACACTCATTCCCTCATTCATTCAAGTCTCCACTTGATATGCATTTATTCAAGGTCTGTTCTATACCTGGCACCATGCATATGGGAATAAGTAAAACCCAATTTGCGACCTTTAGGGCTTTAGTCTAGATGGAATTTTGACCAGAGGAAAAGGAAATTTTAGTTTCACATGACTATCCTAGTGTATGTGTGTTTCAAGTTGCATAGGCACACTTACGAGAGGCAAACACCTTCCTGGAGGCCAAAGAAAGGAGATTTCCTGGAGGCGGTAACCTGAGGGCTGGGTCTTGGAGTGCGGAATTGTTAAAGATAAACAAAGGCAGACGTGTTAAAGTGGTGAAAATAAATCTTGCACAGTAAGCGCTGACAGTAGGGAAAAAAAGCTCAGCTCTGTTCCCAATTGTGTGGAGGTAACTGGGTGTTTTAGAAGGAGAATGAAGGAGTAGGGACAGGGAGTGAGCTCAAGCAGTCAGGAAAGTGAACAGTTACAAAAAGTGGGTTGGAGGGCAGGTCAGTGTAAATGTGATGAAGCCAGCCGTGTCTGCTTTTTAGGAGTCTATTCTCCCATGGAGATTTAGAGACCAAGGCCCTATCCTTCCTGATGATTACCTTTCAAAGGAATGGCTTTGCTTTCAGGTCCTTGAGAAAGACACTCCTGGGTTGTAGGAGACACATACACATACATCTCAAAGTAACAGAGGAAAGATTTACAATTGCAAGCTCCTTAAAGTAAATTCTCTAAGAAAGAGGGAGACGGCGACCTCTCCTCAAGTCTCAGCTAGAAGATACAGTAAATTCTTTTTACAACTACTAAGTTTTTCAGACAGCAACTAAAAGATGGGCTAGGTCTTCCCAGAGATGCAGCCTTGGGTTGCCAGAAGCTATGCTAGGGTTGGTCAAGTCTTTTCCAGCAGGGGTTCAGGATGGAGGCATTATGTGCCGAGAGTTCTTTTATAATTCTCAGAAAGGAAGGGGAAGGAGCAGTCTACCCAGAGATGTGAGATCTGTTGGAGAAGGGTATGTACTTTAATGGCAGGTGTGTTGGGGAGAAGTGGGAATAGATAAGATAACCTGAAGACTTCAAAGTTTTGCTGAGGAATTTTGATCATGTCTTAGGGGTGAAGGAGAGACAGTAAATAGGATCAGGGGATCAGGGGGACAGTGGGGTCCAATTTGTGGCTTGGAAATGCCAGGCTGCCTGCAGTGGTGGATGGCTTAGAGATGGTGATGAGGGGGTAAGGACAGAACTGAGACTGGGATATAAGTGAGGACTCTGGAAGGGTTTCCTAGAGAAACAGAAGCCTGGACTAGGGTGTTATGGACCAAGCCCAAGTGAGGGAGAGAGCCATATTAAGGGGAAGGAAAGAATAGGGCGTGGGAATGAGAAAGAGGGATCTAGGATAAAATTGAGATTTGGGCGCTGGGTGACCCAACAGACATGCAGACTTTGTTGACATGACTACCTTGTCTTTGCTTTTTTTCTTCCTTTTCTTCCTCCTGTTTACTGTGCTCATCCCCTTTATTAGAGAATTAGGAGTGAAGGAGGCTGTCCGATCTGAATTTAGGAATCTTGCTTGTGGCACTTCATGCAGAATTCTCTACCACTATTAGTTTTACATCATCCTAGGGAAATCATGAGAATGTACTGACTTCCTAAGCAGACTTTGCAAGGCAGAAAGAGGTGAATGCTTTGCTTTGGACATGAATCTGGAGTGAACTTGAAGAAGAATCAATTTAATTCCATTGGATAATAACTTATTTGGGATAAGTATATCTAGCTTATCCAGGATATGCTAGAAACTTTGGGAGCATTTAGGTTAATAAGATAATTTTCTGGCCAGAGGAATCATGACAATTGCATAGGTATGCAGACATGTATGCAACTAAGGAATGATAGTTTGCATAGTAATGGGAACCCAAATGAGGGAATACTTATTTACAATAAAAAAGCAGTAAAGATTTCATGAAAGAAAGTTTTTATGAAAGATGCCGGAGGCAGAGAAGTGTGTAAAGAGGCAGGGGCAGTGTCCTGAAATTATGTGGCCCACACAGAGCTCTGCTCTCTAGTCCTTGTTTTCCATTTATCCATTTATCCTCATCTACATTTATCAAAGGAGCTGCTTCTAGGATTTTGTATTAAAAATGTTGAGAAGTATTTGGGCTTCTCTGTAGCCCTCTCTTGAGGCAGGCTTGTCCCCAGATAAACTGGTCATTAAGAATATATTGAGCACCTGGCCGGTAATCACACCGGTAATCCTAACACTTTGTGAGGCTTAGGCAGGTGAAACACTTGAGATCAAGAGTTCGAGACCAGCCTGGTCAACATGGTAACACCCTGTCTCTGCTAAAAACACAAAAATCAGCAGGGTGTGGTGGCACGTGCCTGCAATCTCAGCTACTTGGGAGGCTGAGGCAGGAGAATCGCTTGAATGCGGGAGGCGGAGGTTGCAGTGAGCCGAGGTAGCGCCACTGCACTGCTGCCTGGGTGACAGAGGAAGACTTTGTCTCAAAAAAAAATACATAAATAAAAGATTATATTGAGCGCTTGACTGTGCTGGAGAGGAAAATGGAAGGGCAAGGGAACATTTCTTCCCTTTCTTTCTCTGTAAACTATTATAAAATATATGATATAAATATAACACATATTATAATGTATAATAATAAAATGAATGCCTATGAACCCATAATGCAACTAACAAAATTAATAAAGACTACTGAAGGTTCCCAAATGTCTTTCACCAATCACATCTCCTTCACTTTATCCTATATTTCCAGAATATGTGTGTATGCATGTATCCTTAAACAATGTAATTAGTTTAGCTTGTTTTAAAATTTCCTACCAATGATATGGTATGTATGTGTTTATTCTTTTATGACTATTTTTTCCACCCAATGTCATGCTTCTAAGAATTGACCATATTGATTTATTCAACTATAGTGCATTAATTTTTACTGTTGTACATTATTCTACGGCAGGAATATACTATTTATTGATTGATTCTTCTTGGATAGATATTTTCAGATTCTTGTCATTATAAACAGTGTAGCTCTGTACATTATTGTATATGCCGCTGAGGCAAATAGACAAGAGCAGAATTGCTGGTCTTAGGGATGGCACATCTTCATCTTTATTGATACAGCTAAATTATTTTCCAAGATTATTTTAGCAATTTAGATCCCATCAATATTTGTATAAATATTCATTGCTCCATATCTCTCTAACACTTGGCATTATCATACTGTTAGATTTTTGCTGATTTGGTTGGTATAAAAAAATGGTAACTTACTCCCAGCACTTTGGGAGGCCGAGGAGGGCAGATCACGAGGTCAGGAGATGGAGACCATCTTGGCCAACATGGTGAAACCCTGTCTCCACTACAAAAATCCAAAAAAATTAGCTGGGCGTGTTGGCGGGTGCCTGTAGTCCCAGCTACTCAGAAGGCTGAGGAAGGAGAATTGCTTGAACCAGGAAGGCAGAGGTTGCGGTGAGCCGAGATGGCACCCTGCACTCCAGCCTGGCTACAGAGCGAGACTCTGTCAAAAAAAAAAAAAAAAAAAAAAAAGGAAGCATAAATTACATTAGTTTTAATTTGTAATTCCCTAATGACTAACTCAATTGTTCTTGCATGTGTCAATTGGCCATGTGTGTTTCTTCTTCCATGAAATGCCTACTCTTGTGCCTGTTTTTCTACTGAAACTTCTTAGGAATTTTAAAATATATTTTGGATAGTAATCCTTTGTCAATTTTATGTCTGGCAAATAGCTTTTCCCAGTTTAAAGCTATTATGAATCTTTTGATTTACCAAGTTTATTAATTTTTGTGGAAACTTATTTGTCCATTCTTTTAGTTATAGCTTTCACAGTTTGTATTTTGTTCAAGAAATCATTCACCAGCTGGGCATGGTGGCTCACGCCTGTAATCCCAGCACTTTGGGAGGCCGAGGTGGGTGGATCACTTGAGGAGTCAGGAGCTCAAGACGAGCCTGACCAACATGGTGAAACCCTGTCTCTACTAAAAATACAAAAATTAGCTGGGCGTGGGTGGCATGTGCCTGTAATCCCAGCTACTCGGGAGGCTGAGGCAGGAGAATCTCTTGAACCCGGGAGGCGGACCTTGCAGTGAGCGGAGATTGTGCCACTGATTCCAGCCTGGGTGACAGAGCAAGACTCTGTATCAAAAACACAAAACGAAAAACCCAGAAATCATTCATAAAAGTCATAAAGATATTTTAATACTGAGTTAGACATTGGATGTTATTTTTTTCCACATGTAAAAACAATTATTTCAGTGATCTGCAATATCATCCCTGTTACACATGGAGTTATAATACCATAAACAGGTGATTTTTTTTTTCCAAGGATTCTCAACCGTCATCTATTTCTACTTTTCTCCTTTTTTTTGGTACAACTAATACACTCTGTTAACTAACATAGTTTTATAGAAAGTTTTACCTGATTAAAAAATAATCCCTCATTTTTCTTAAAAAAGTGTTATTTTGCATTTGTTTTTCATGTAAACTTTAGAATTAGTTTGTCAGAGTCCCTGAAAAGATTTGGTGAAATTTAGAGTTTCATTAAATCTATGGATCAATTTAGGAAAAATTTACATTATTATGATATTATTTTCCCATTTTTGAACATCTTTATCTTTCCATTTATTTCCATCCTCTTTAATGTCTTTCAGTAAAGTTTTAAGATTTTATTCATTAATCCCTTGCCCATTTAAAAAGATATTCTGAGGCACATTTTTTTTTTTGCTATTAATGAATTTTTTGGTGCATTAATGTTATATCTACCAAACTTGATAAACTTTTCTGTTTTGTTTTGTTTTGATACGGAGTCTCGCTGTTGTCCCCCAGGCTGGAGTGCAGTGGTGCAATCTCGGCTCACTGCAACCTCTGCCTCCCGGGTTCAAGTGATTCTCCTGCCTCAGCCTCCCGAGTAGCTGGGACTACAGGCGCCTGCCACCACGTCAGGCTAATTTTTTATTTTAGTAGAGATGGGGTTTCACCATGTTGGCCAGACTGCTCTCAAATTCCTGACCTCAGGTGATCCACTTACCTCAGACTCCCAAAGTGCTGGGATTACAGGCATGAGCCACCACACCTGGTGATAAACTTTTAAATGTGAATTTTTTACATATTACTTTGAGTTTCTATATAGTTTGCTATATAGCTATATCATAGGTGGCAGTTTGGCTTTTTATAGTCTTTATATATATATATATATAAAATTCATGTTTTTAATATAGCTGCACTGACTAGAGTCTTCATTACAAAATTGAATAGAAGGGGCCTATCAATAAAAGAAAGATAGTGAGCATCTTTCTCTTATTTTAGACTTAAAATAATTACTTTTAACGTTTCACTATTTGGAGTGATTTTTGCATAGATAGCCTTTATCCAGTTAAGAAAGTCCTTTCCACTCCTGCTGTGTGTTTTTTTAAAACATAAATGTTTTCTTTTATTATACTGTTTTTAAAAATCTATTAAATAATTTAATCAAAAGACCTTTCTTTTAAAACAAACAAACAAAGAAACAAAAACAGAGTCTCACTCTCTCACCCAGGCTGGAGTGCAATGGCACAATCTTGGCTTACTGCAAACTCCACCTGCAGGGTTCAAGCGATTCTCCTGCCTCAGCCTCCTGAGTAGCTGGGATTACAAGCGCCTGCCACCATGCCCAGCTAATTTTTGTATTTTTAGTAGAGATGAGGTTTCACCATATTGCCCAGGCTGGTCTCGAACTCCTGACCTCAAGTGACCCACCCACCTCGGCCTCCCAAAGTGCTGGGATTACAAGCATGAGCCACCACGCTCAGCCAATCATAAGGCCTCTCTATTTTGTTCTGTGAATGTGGTTCCGCTCACTGTAACCTTGGCCCCCCAGGGTCTAGAGATGCCCCTGCCTTAGTCTCTCGAGTAGCTGGGATTACAGGCACCCACCATCACGCCTGGCTAATTTTTGTATTTTTTAGTAGAGACGGGGTTTCACCATGTTGGCCACGCTGGTTTCCAACTCCTGACCTCAAGTGATTGCCCACCTCAACCTCCCAAACTGCTGGGATTACAGGTGTGAGCCACGGCTCCGGGCCATGTTAATAGACTTTCTAATGTTCAACTACTCTTCTATTTCAGGGTTACACCCAACTTATTTGAGCTTTGTTGTTGTCGTTGTTTTCTTCATTACTGTGCTTGGTTTTCCAGTAGTTTATAAGATTTTAATCGATATATTCACTAATAAGATTGGCCACTTGCCTTATAGATTATGTTGGAGAGTGTTCCCTTTTTTTTTCCATTGTAATTCTAACTTGAACAACCAGTAGAATTCACATTTAGAATCAAGATACTAGGTAGTTTTCGATAAAGAAAATATTTTATCCACTGAAGTAGTATATAAATAAAATGCACAAATCATAAATGTATTGCTCAATACATTTTCAAACACTAAACACAATCATATAACCAGCACTCAGATCGTGAAGCAGAATGTTACCAACCTAAAATGTTAACCCAAAAGCCATTCTCATGCTCCCTTCAAGTAATTATTTATTGGGAATATTTTAACCACTAATACAATTTAACTTTATTGGGTTATTCATGTTGTCTATTTTTTTTTACTCACTTTTTGTTAGGTTACAATTTTTAAAGAGGAACATTTTTATTTCATCTACATTTTCAAATTAATCACATGAAATTGCTCATGCTATTCTGTTATGTTTCTAATACCTGCTGTTATCTATAAATATTTTTCATGCCTTTTTTTCTTGATAAACCTTCCCAGAAATTTGCAATTTCTAACGCTTTTTCAAAGTGCCAAATTTTGACTGTTTTGATATTCTATTATATTCTTGTTTTCTATACCATTAGTTTCATTTTTTTCATATTTTAATTATGCCCTCCTTATATTTTGAATCTTAATTCTGTTCTTTTACTAACGTGAGTTGGATGAGTAGCTCATTAATTTTCACTTTATTTTTAATGTAATCATTTAAGGATTTACATTTCCCTCTTGGAACCATTTGAGCTGACTCCTACAAGTTTTACTACATAGAATTTTCATTATTGTTCAGTTCTTATGATTATGATTTCTATTTTGAAGTAAGCCATTTTAGGGATGTTTTAAAATTTCCAAATGTAAATTTTTAAAATTACCCATGGTTTTTAATTTGCGTTAAATGTTGACATGATGAAAATATTCAATTTGTGTGAAAGATGCTTTGAATTTTGCAGATAATTGGCCTAGAAGGTCAGTTTTAGTAGATTTCTCATATGCACTTTATATATATATATATGATGTATATATATATATATAATGTATATATATATAATGTATATATATATATAATGTATATATTTTAAAAGCTTATTTTTTATCCAATAAGTATGGAGATTCTTATATATCCATTAAAATCAAGCCTTTTAATAATGTTAAAATCTTCTATATCTTTAGTGATTTTTTGTTTTTAACTCATTACTTGAATAGTTACTGAAGAAGGTGTTATTAAAATATCCTTCTCTGAGGGTGGATCTTTGAATTTTTATGGGTTGGGTGTGATGGCTCACGCCTGTAATCCCAGCACTTTGGGAGGCCGAGGTGGGCGGATCACCTGTGGTCAGGAGTTCGAGACTAGCCTGGCCAACATGGCGAAACCCCGTCTCTACTAAAAATATAAAAATCAGCCGGGGGTAGTGGCGGGTGCCTGTAAGCCCAGCTACTTGGGAGGCTGAGGCAGAAGAATCGCTTGAACCCAGGAGGCGGAAGTTGCAGTGAGCTGGGATGGTACCATTGCATTCCAGCCTGGGCGACAAGGGCACACTCCAACTCAAAAAAAAAAAAATTGTTTCATTTCTGCTTTTCCCCAATTCAATTTCTCCTTTCTACTGATTTTGCAGTTATATATTTGTTTTCTTTAGATGGCAGCCATTGAAATATTTACATATATACATAACTTAAAAATGTAAAGATAATCAACAGCACCAGTCTTCTCCAAAATCAACAAAAATCTTACAAAGATTTAACTCTAGTCATTGGGCCTACATTCCACTATCGTCCAGTATTTTAGCTCAACTTTTTTAAGTCCCTCAACTTAGAAAATAATTGTTTGCTATTCCAGTCTGTTTAGAATTGACTATATGGTTGCCTACCTTCTTTGCTCAGCCTTCCTGTTGCCTTGTTGATATTCATTCCTTCTCAGCTTTCTCTCTTCCTGCAACATGATTTTTAGAATTTCTATTAATTAGGGTATCTGGACATTAAACACTCAGTTTTTTTTTCATTTGAAATTTCTTTTTCCTTGAAATGTAAATTATAAATAGAATGCGTCTTCCACTCTCTTCTGCATTATTCAAATCATTTGTATACAGCAATGGACAGAGAGTCAGGAGGCCAGGACTCAAGATCCAGCCCTGTCATTAAAATATTTTATGACTTTGGATAAGTCTTTTCATATCTCTGAGACTTAGTATTTCTTCACAAAGTCAGAGTAAAATAATCTCTAAAGGCCCTTCTAGCTCTTACACTCTGAATAGAACAAATGAATGTATACTATTAGAAAACAGAGCAGAAGGGTAGGTGAAAAAACAGAGTAATTTGAGAAATACAGGGAGAAGGAAGATAAGATTACCTCTTACAGCTTCTTTGTAGAAGAATAAAGAGAAGACAAGGTTACATCTCATGTATTCTTTTGTTTACAACTTTCTGGTAAGAAATTACAAGTACCACAAGTCCCATTGATATACCTACCCTTTGTTTGTTCAAAGATTGATCTTGTGTATGGCAGTTTAAAATAGTGGTCTTTAGTACAGAGTCTTCCCACCTGTAGTTCTCAGATGTCCCAGCACTAGTAGGCAGAAATGTGATGTTGGAGAGATAAGTAGAAAAGAGAACAGATAATCTTTTCTGACTTTCGTGGGGTGAGTTTCACGTATGCTGTAGTGCTAATCACTCTTATTAAGCATCAATAGACTGGGTATCAGGAGTCTTGGTTCTTCTGTAGAACTGCTACTTTAAAAAATGAAAAAAAAAAAGGCTCAGCAAATGAATGCTGATCTTGGGTTATTAACTTTTTTCCTCACTCTTGGAATTTTCATCTATAAAATGAGGGTAAGATAATCACAAGGATATTGAAAATGGAGTGACAGTGAAAAGTCTGGAACATGCTAAGTTACTTTTTCCTGTTTGTGGTTATTCCTTTCCTTTCCCCATAGGTATTTGTATCCATATCTATCAGCTTAACTAGACTATAAACTCATTGAAAGGAACTATATGTCATTGATAGCTGTATTGCTCAAGATGCCTAGTACAGAGGAAATTCTCAATGTTTGAAAAGCATGCGTAATACAGATGGAATAAAAGTATGAACAAGTCAGCCACTTGTTTGTGATGAAAATGGAGAACCCCAACCCCACCCTAAGGGACCCATTTACTTGGATCCAGCTTTAAAAATGAAAATGTCTTTGCAAGGTCAAGACACAGAGTGGTCAAATAATTTTAGAACACCTCTGACCTTAAGTTCTTCTGTGCTAACAGTGGAAGAGAGTGGGTGCTTTCATACTCTTGTGGCACCATATTTGCTATGAGAGATATTCCGTTTCTCAGAAGACCATATGGAAAGCAAATGATGTAAAAAATGAGTCACACAGTAAAGGGGGTTAGAAGAAAAGGAAACAGAGATTATCCAACTCAAAAAGAATTCCACACATAGGCAAGTAAATGTAATAAGAAGTTTATTGGATTTCTAAATATAATAAAGTAGTTGCAACTCTTTTACAGAAAAAAGAAATATAATTTCCATATTCATTCTTATAGAGCATTGAAAAAACATAATTGGTAGAGAAAACTGATAGAAGGTAAATAGAAAAACAGGTTTTAATATAGTCAGATAATGCATAAACACAAAAGAAAATACCTAAATCACTTGCTTATAACAGATTTTATTCTCTTATTTTCATACTGAACTATGTGTGCTATTTTGGATACATCAGTGATGGTTTGTAATGTAGTGAATAAATGCAATTTGCTAAGAATACAAGAAAAAAGAGAAACCTATATTTTAGGAATACCATGGCTCTGTCAGTATCACACATATGAAAATAGACATATTCTTTATATGTTTTTGTGTGCCTTTCCCTAAGTCAGGGAATGTTATTCAGACTAGCAGCTCATCACGGTGGGGCTATGATTGTGCTTAGCTAGTAGGAAGTGCTGCTCTTAGTAGACACATTTAGCATAGAGAAAACCCGGCTTCTCACCATCTCCGCCTTATCTATCCACTTGTAAACACCATTTAACCTTTACATAAGACTATCTTCCATGGTCATAATCATCAGATTGAAACTCAGAGCAAAGCCATGCTGTGTTTCTTCCCAGTCCATTTGTTTCCAAGGAAAAAAAAAATCTCTGTATCCCAACATCCTTATGACATTACACTGAAATTTTTGAACTCATTTTCCAGCGCTAAAATCTGATCCTCTAAAAAATAAAAAAAATGACTAGTGTGGAAATTGGACAAGGTAAAAACAGAAAAGGAACATCAACAGGAAGAGTAGGCATTTTTAGTGAAAAGTATCACCCTTTTGCCAAAGAGTCAACTGGATTCATCCAATGATGATGACTAGAGCAGGGTGGTCACACTCTTGAAATTATGAAACATAGCTGTTCCAACCTCACCCGTAGCTTATGTAATGGGGCTCCTTATATGGAAAAGAGAATGGTGGCTGACTGCAATGGCATGGAGTCCATCTTCCATAGTTTGTCCCCTTTTACTTCCATTTGGTAAAACTGGGTTAGGTAGGAGACAACTTTATGACCAAGAGGACACCAAGAGCTTCCTTGGATAAAGGTTAAGTGGAGGTATCTTGCTTTGCCCAAACAGAGGCATATTCAAGTGAATATGGAGCCAACTGACTTAGAAGGAAAGGGAACGACTTGGCAAGTGTAATCTGCCAGCTGGTTGAGTCAGACGACACATTGAGAACGATCTTTTTTGGAATCATGTCCTCCCTTCAACCCTTCTCCTACAATCATGCACTGTCTACCTCGTCCTATTTACATGGACCCTCTCCTATTGCCACCTCTGGGTAAGAATGCATCACTCTAGGCTATGCTGCTGCTCCATCAACAGTATTGACAGTTTTGTCAGTGATGGAACTATGGAAACAAAAGCCATCAAATAACATACACTACTATTTTTAGGAGTCAAAGTAATGCTCTAAGGATCTGGCAAGGACATTTGGCCCCCTGAGCTTCCAATCCCCACAGCCAAGACTTTTCTATTTTCTCTCATGTTAGCCTGAGAGACAAAAGGAGAAGGAATGTGCTGACACTTTAACACTCTAAACCCACCGATGCTTAGTTTATAGAACACACATATGACACACATCCTAATACAGACTACGGCTCTATTAATTCTCTTAAACATCTTTTTTTTCCCTAAATGTTTCAATGCCATAAAGCTTACATTCCCTTGAAGCAGAGTACAGGAAACCTTAGCAATATGCTACCATCCAGTAGGATATAAATATAAAGAAGCTGTATCAGCAAGGGATGCTCAGGGAATGTGTTTGCAGCCCGTTTCACGGTAGCCGCTTGAGAGGGGATATTGGAAGTGAGTGACTTTCTTTCATTTGGCAAAGTTTCCTTATCTCAGCACCTACTCTTTCTGATGGTATGTTTTTGAAGGCTGCACAGTACGACTCTGGGTACCGTGTGTACATACATATGTAAGGAATAACGTTTATGTTGCTCAGAATAGGCACTTTTTGAAGGCAGTAAATCTAAAAGTAAAGTTAATAGAGCCTATATTTAGTGCTCATCTTCTCACTTTGCTGATGTGTATGCTGAACAGAAGATCACAGATTTGAGTCAGTCTCGCAAAGAGGCCGGAGTCGGCAAATGGCTATATTCAGAGCTGGGGAAGTCTTGCCAACTTAACTGTAGCTGTTAAAAAGGCAGACTTGGAGAAGGTGCAATCGTTTTTCTCAAAGGTGACGGCACAGAAAGAGAAAAGGCATGAAATAAAAGCCTGTGTGCGTGGCTCAGGGAAAATTACTATCCTCAGGCTCTGTATCTTCACGCCACATCTACTTCATGGCACAGATTTGCTACTTAGAAAGTCCTTTCCCTTTCCTTTTTTGTATGTCTCATAATTGCACATATTCCCTTACTTAGCTGTAGAGAAAGAGAAGCCCTAAATCTGTTAGAGTAATGATAAAGGTGTAGGTTAAAAGACAAAACAAACAAAACAAAAGTGGTTTATTATACAGAAAACATGCAAAAGCTCAACGCTACATCCAACTGTAAAGGTTTCAGGTCTAAGTTTAAATTTTCACTTAAGGCACATTAAGCCACATGATAATTTTATACATGCCAAATAATCAGACAATCAAGTGTCATGTTTAATTCTATTTGCTCTTTGAGATATTTCTTGAAAAAGAATGAGGGCATAATTCAGATTTTCAGAGGGGAAATATTCTGACTTTGCCTAATAAAGAAATGAGTCTTGGATAATTTGCTCATCAGCTTTCCCAAGAGAGGAAATGGGTAGTAAAAGGAAGAAAGTCTTTTAAAAATAATTTTGCTACTACTTTACTATAAAGTCTTGGTGACAAGATTTAGTTTCTAGGGTCCTAAATGTCTTTCATCAAAGATACTCCTCAGTTCAGACTTCTCCATTATGCTAGAAGGATGGCATGGTCCCATGTTAGTTTCAATTTGCTGCCTACAGAGGGAGGACCAAGGCACTTTAACTATTTTTGGCACTATAATCCTGATATGTTGATGTATTTGACACAATTCTAAAAACTAAGCTCAAAGTATATAGGATTAGTAAAATGCAAACTCTGCCCAAATACCAACTCCCCATTTATTATTTGAAAGTTAAAACATGAGGCCATTCCTGTCGTTGGCATTTAAATTATAAAAATCTCTTTTACTCTCAAAGTTTATGTTTGAAGGAATGAAACACATTGGGCAGATATATCATAACCTGCTCAAGCTACTCTCCTATTTCCAGTTTATAATTACTAAGTGAGCATTGCTGTCACCCAAAGAGAAAGAGAGAGAAGAAGGAACTGACTTTTTCCCTTTTATACTTAACGTCTCCCAAGAAAGAATAAAAAAGGAAGAAATGTATCTAAGAAAAGCTAGCTCTTCCCATTTTGCATTTCTTAAACTAGTTTGGAAGCAGAGTTAAACAATTTGGGGGTGAGGAACGACATTCAGACTTCATATTTACTCTCTTGTGATGAAGGAAAGAGTCAAGATAGTAACGATTACTGCTATGCCTCGGGATAAAGCACAGCAGGCACCATACAAAGTGGCAACACAATACATCAATAATGACCAAGAATAGTTCTTTACCCTTTTCCCAACAGATAGAAATATAAAGAGAGAATCACGCATGAGAGATAAATACCTGTTTCCACCCCCACCTCAAATTGCTTTGGCATATTTTAAGAGATAAATGGATCCACACAAAATTTAACTAGCTTTTTCTTCTCCTTTTTAGCTGTTACAAAAATGGGTCAGGTTTAGGATTTATTAATTTTCTGGCCTGAAAACCCAAGTGCTTAAAAATAAGATTTATTTTCTGAAGGATCAGCTTTCTTGGAAGGGGTGTGTGTGTGTGTGTGTGTGTGTGTGTATGTGTGTGTGTGTGTGTTTTGAAGACAATACAATTGTATGATCCCTAAATATGGGAGAACATATTATGTAAAGTGAAATACGAAAATTTTTATTAGTTTTTTCTTTATATTATGTGAAGATAAATTAGATGATTTATAAAGGTATTTGAAAATAATGTTTTTCTAAAAGGCTGCTTTTTTCACATTTACCACCTCATTGTCTTTTTATTCCCTCTGATGAGACAACACAGATTCCACCCATGTGAGTCTCTACTCAGGCATACTAGATAATTCTGAGAAGTGCTCAAATTGTGTCTTCTATTAATCCATTCCTGGGGTGGGAATACTCTGTCTATTCGACAAGAATCATTTTCCACTCACTGGCCACAATATTCATCAAGCCTCACAGGGAGGTGAGGCACTTTTCTTTTTTTTTTTTAATTTTATTTCATTATTATTATACTTTAAGTTTTAGGGTACATGTGCACAATGTGCAGGTTAGTTACATATGTATACATGTGCCATGCTGGTGTGCTGCACCCATTAACTCGTCATTTAGCATTAGGTATATCTCCTAATGCTATCCCTCCCTCCTCCCTCCACCCCACAACAGTCCCCAGAGTGTGATGTTCCCCTTCCTGTGTCCATGTGTTCTCATTGTTCAATTCCCACCTGTGAGTGAGAACATGTGGTGTTTGGTTTTTTGTCCTTGAGATAGTTTACTGAGAATGATGATTTCCAATTTCATCCATGTCCCTACAAAGGACATGAACTCATCATTTTTTATGGCTGCATAGTATTGAACAGACACTTCTCAAAAGAAGACATTTATGCAGCCAAGAAACACATGAAAAAATGCTCACCATCACTGGCCATCAGAGAAATGCAAATCAAAACCACTATGAGATACCATCTCACACCAGTTAGAATGGCAATCATTAAAAAGTCAGGAAACAACAGGTGCTGGAGAGGATGTGGAGAAATAAGAACACTTTTACACTGTTGGTGGGACTGTGAACTAGTTCAACCATTGTGGAAGTCAGTGTGGAGATTCCTCAGGGATCTAGAACTAGAAATACCATTTGACCCAGCCATCCCATTACTGGGTATATACCCAAAGGATTATAAATCATGCTGCTATAAAGACACATGCACACTTATGTTTATTGCGGCACTATTCACAATAGCAAAGACTTGGAACCAACCCAAATGTCCAACAATGATAGACTGGATTAAGAAAAGGTGGCACATATACACCATGGAGGTGAGGCACTTTTCTAGTCTGTGAACGTGCATCTCAACCAAAGCCACCACTCTCCCGCTCCCATTAATGTCGCCCTTATTCCTCAGGCATGAGGACTAGGAAGGGGTGAGAAGTCATTTGCTATTTAACTTGGCTCTCATTAGTCCCAAGGAATAAGCAGGTGGATGATGATACTGGCTTGATGGATGATAACACTCCAGGGAGGGAAATGCATAAAACACTTATCAGGTGTGATTATTTTAAAGGATTCTTAGATTTAATGCAGGAGATTTAATGAGAAGAAATGATATTTTTTCTCTCACTTCACATATTTTAGGATATAGCAAACAATGAAAGGAGTGAAATGAGAGGAAATAAAAAGTGGAAAGCACAC
This sequence comes from Homo sapiens, assembly GCF_000001405.40. Classification (NCBI taxonomy): domain Eukaryota; kingdom Metazoa; phylum Chordata; class Mammalia; order Primates; family Hominidae; genus Homo; species Homo sapiens. Next base: position 188,885,120 of record NC_000003.12, on the reverse strand, counting down.
CCTAAAGGTACAGCTTCCTGAGGGACGCAGCTCAAGAGAAGGAACACTTGCTTGCTGAACTGTTACGTAGAGCAACTTCTAGAGCATACATGGAGACTTTCTAGGAGGTTTTTTGAAAACAACATGGTACCAAATTCCTTGTAATTATAAAAAATCACAAAATGACAGCATCCTGGGAAGCAAAGTCTATCAAATGGCAAAGGCCAAATCTCAGAAATGCCAACAGTTCCATAACATTTGTTTTCAGACATTGTTAGCTCATGGATCGGCTCTATCGGAAATGCCTGTTGCAGCAACATGCACGTGGTGTGCTCTCAGTAAATGTGAATGGAGAGAAAGACTAAAATGCATTGCTAACCTACGGCGGTTTCTGCCTCTGTGGAACGTACATCGTGGTTCATGGGAGAGAGGCTTCTTTTAGGAATCGAGTCACCTCTACATGCCAATGAATTCTAAATGATATGGTCTTGGTTGATATTCTGAACCTGACAGTTCCAGAGAGGTTTTTGGTGAATGGAATGTAAAGGAACTCTCTCTGGGGAAATTTATTGCAATGTGCTTCCTTCTGCCCATTGTTTGTTCTTATCAGTGGCCTTTTCCCACCAACTTCCTCACAGTGCTGATCAGACAGAATACCTAGAGGTTTCCCACAAGAAGACACAGATGTGTGCAAGCTCTAAATGATCTCTAAAGACCGCAGTACACATGTGGATTTGCCACCTGGCAGTCAATTGGTCTCTGAATTTCCCTGGATGACTGGGGGCTTGGTAGTCTGTAAGAAGTCGATATTGTCCTCTAAGGTGTTCTCAGCTGTGAGCGTGGCTACTTGGAGACAGCACTGGACTTGCAAGACCTGGTTATATCCCCAAATCTGCCACTTCCCAGCTATGTCACAGCTTTTGGCAAGTCACTTAATGGCTTGAGCCTCAGCTTTCTCTTCTAGAATAGGGGTACTAATAACTGTCCTCCCTGCGCTATTTTCTGTGTGGAAGCAGTTTGTAAGCTCTCTTAGGAATTACTATTTTACAGCTCAGAAAGTTACCTCCAGGTCCTGCCCAGGAGACTGATGGCAGTTTCTGCTTACAGTGCTCTCTCATTCAAAGTTGGGGTAGAAGAAGCCACAATCATGGTCTTCCCCATGACAAAGGTATATTATTTAAACTAAATAGTCATCCAGAGCAATGAGGAAAGCATTTGTACATTTCCATAGAAAACTATAGCATAATAGAACCCCTCTCCTCAAGAACGATATCCTTTTCCACAGATGAACTAACTAGAAATAATGAGTTTTCGGCAATACCACTATCTTTTGCTTTTGACTTCTTCCTTGTTAGACATGGGGATTATACACCAATATTTCCCAACCTTTTTTTTTTTTTTTTTTTTTTGAGACGGAGTCTCGTTCTGTCGCCCAGGCTGGAGTGCAGTGGCGCAATCTCTGCTCACTGCAACCTCTGCCTCCTGGGTTCAGGTGATTCTCCTGCCTCAGCCTCCCAAGTAGTTGGGACTACAGGCGCCCGCCAACACGCCCGGCTAATTTTTGTATTTTTTTTAGTAGAGTCGGGGTTTCACCATGTTGACCAGGATGGTCTCGATCTCTTGACCTCATGATCCGCTCGCCTCGGCCTCCCAAAGTGCTGGATTACAGGCACGAGCCACCGCGCCCGGCCCATTTCCTAACATTTTTAAGGTCATTATCAACAAGTCAGATAAAAGGGGTGTACTGTTCATGGGTTAGTTACTGGGGAAGGCATGAAGCTACACAACAACTGTCAGAACGGTCTGTCTTCTAAATAGGAAAGTACAACCAGCAACAAAAAAACTCACAAATTCTAATGTCTGGCCCTCAGAACATCCTTCAGACTAATTTTAGAGATTCTTAAAAATTCAAAAAAGTAATGCAATGCCCAAAACAAAACAAATATATATGGAAGGAAAAGGAGGGGGGAAGCAACACTGTATCATGTACTACAGGTTTTGTGTGGCACCAAAGAGAACATATGCCCCAAAGGCTGGCTCTGTTTTAAAGTCGTGTAGCTTGGAACAAAATGTGCTGAAAGAAATGTAAGACCTCAAGGAATAATGAGCTCCCTGATACAGGTGATGTTTAAGTAGAGTCAGAATTGGCACTTTGGGAGGCCGAGGCGGGCGGATCACGAGGTCAGGAGATCGAGACCACGGTGAAACCCCGTCTCTACTAAAAGTACAAAAAAAATTAGCTGGGCGCGGTGGCGGGCGTCTGTAGTCCCAGCTACTCGGGAGGCTGAGGCAGGAGAATGGCGTGAACCCGAGAAGCGGAGCTTGCAGTGAGCCGAGATTGCGCCACTGCACTCCAGCCTGGGCGACAGAGCAAGACTCCGTCTCAAAAGAAAAAAAAAGAATTGGCACTTAGCAATGAATCTGTAAGGGAATTTTAATACCAAGTAGAAAAGATGGCTGGGAAGTCCTTTCTAATAATGGACTCAGACTCAATAGGAAAATAGAGATGTCCTGCTTGTTCTTTTGTGGAGGGTCAAAGGACATGTACCCTTGCTGCAAGAATAGAAGATGTAGCTGTGGATCAATAAGAATGCTCATATTCTGTGATAATAAAGTTCATGGAGGGCTGCTTCCTGTCCATACTGTGCATGCTGGGTTATATTTTGGCAGATCATCTTCTCTTCCAATTATAAAGAGATGGGAAAAGCAAGTAAATACTTCCTCAGGCTTCCTCTATGCCTTTTTCTTCCCATTCAGCCTGATTATTTGGAAGCCTTTTTTTTCTGTTAAGAAGGAATTTCCAGAATCCATGATATTTTGGCCAATGCAGAGGGTCTTCTCTGAGTATAGCCCATGTTTCCCTGTTGTGCCTTAAATACTCTTTTCTCAACTTCTAAATCAAGTCAAAGAATCAGCTCAAGATTTCTTATCAAATTTTATGTACTCCATAAAGTCTTACTAATGTCACTGGAATGACTCTTCCTGATGTCACATTCCTTCCTATTGAGTAAGTACAGATTTAAGTGGTTGGATCTTATTACAGTTGGCCAGAATCAAAGTTACTTAGGGGCTGATTCTCTAACAGTGATTATTTGGTAATTATAAATTGAAGAGCTGAGTAAGAGATAAGGATGTTGGGAGAACAAAAAGAAAAGAAAAATATGGACTCCTAAATGATTAGAGAAAGAAGCTGCTCACTTTTTCTAACATGTAACGTCTCTAGGTACAAATATTTGAGCACAGAATGAATGAATCTCGAAATCAATCAACCAGCAAATATTTATGTATAACCTGTAAAGTGTCCATATATTAAAGTAGAACCTATAAAGTGTTAATATTTAATATGAAAATATGGAGGAAAAATGTCTTATTCTGAAGAAGACAAGGATAAAAGGAAAAGGTTGAATGGAATATGAACTGACCCAGAAGTGGGAATCTCATGGATGGCATATGCATTAGCTTGCTTCCTGTTTTCAGGATGAATTTGATTTTGGCAACATCCAAAATAGTACAGAACAAAAAGTAACAGAACTGTCTGTAGACATGGGAGTTCTATCCTTCTGTAGCTTTTACACTTCTGGGTCTGAGGTTTTTTGGGGAAATTCTCTTTGGGTGATTCCAATTTCGTTTACTTTCAACCCTAAAGAAAGCCTTTCAACCTAGCCTGACTCATGGTGAACTGCCAAGTTTCACTGAGTACACTGAAAATTAGAAAATATGTTTGTGTCCACTGTTTAAAGAAGCAGCAGAGAGTGATAGGACATGACACTATGTCAATAAGTGAAGAAAAGCTGAATGAGTTGGTGATATCAGACATGAAGAGGCAAAGATTTGGACTTAAGACTTGTTTTGTGGAGCTACAGAGCTAGAATAGACGTATGTGAGCGCAACTACATACTGGCCAGGACTAAGAAGATATGGGATGGTGATTCATCAGGAAAATAACAGAGAAGATTCAGATCTTTAAAAGGGCCATGATCCTATTTTTTTTTTTTTTTTTTTGAGACGGAGTCTCGCTCTTTCGCCCAGGCCGGACTGCAGTGGCGCTATCTCGGCTCACTGAAAGCTCCGCTTCCCGGGTTCACGCCATTCTCCTGCCTCAGCCTCCTGAGTAGCTGGGACTACAGGCGCCCGCCACTGAGCCAGGCTAATTTTTTGTATTTTTTTTTTTTTTTAGTAGAGACGGGGTTTCACCGTGTTAGCCAGGATGGTCTCGATCTCCTGACCTCGTGATCGGCCCGCCTTGGCCTCCCAAAGCATGATTCTATTTTATTTGGGAATAGCATTCGTGTTTGGGGGCAACTGTAACTCTCTATAGTGGTGTAGAACACAAGATGACATGGTGATGCTTCTCTTTCTTGGTAGAACATTCCATTCGTAGGGTAGAGAACTGATTTTAGAAGCTACATTCAGTGCCAAGTTGACTGAATGCGATTGTGGCTGTTTAATAACGTTTTTATTTGGGTATGTTACATAAATGCCCACCAGAGTTAAATGAATAAGGATTTCTCTGGCCCTTAAGTGGATGGGTATCTAGGAAAAATTAACAATGCCACATAACATGAAAGGCTTAATGCAATCATCTGAAAGTATTATAAAGGAATTAGCTGCAGTGTTTCACCCCTCTCTAGTATATGTAGGTGTTTGTAGAATATTAATTTTTATTTTTAACAAAGGCTAGATGTAGAGATATTTATTCGTGCATCAAGAGACTTCTGTCAATTAAATAACAACCAGAATTTAACAGCAAAAATTAGCACTTTTTTTTGTAACTTTGAAGGGGACCTGTCAATCAGCTAAAGAAAAAAACACGCGGGGCACGGTGGCTCACGCCTGTAATCCCAGCACTTTGGGAGGCCGAGGCGGGTGGATCACGAGGTCAGGAGATCGAGGCCATCCTGGCTAACACTGTGAAACTCCATCTCTACTAAAAATACAAAAAAATTAGCCGGGCGTGGTGGCAGGCGCCTGTAGTCCCAGCTACTCGGGAGGCTGAGACAGGAGAATGGCGTGAACCTGGGAGGCGGAGCTTGCAGTGAGAGGAGATCGTGCCATTGCACTCCAGCCTGGGTGACAGAGCCAGACTCCGTCTCAAAAAAAAAAAAAAGAAAAAAAGAAAAAAAACGCATCTTTCACACAGCTCTCCACAAAATAAGGGACATGCATGTTGTAACTAAGATAGAGTCCACAATTTTTTGCACAAGGGCCAGGAAAATTAAATAGAAAAGGAAATTAGTGTCCTTTTTTCTGGATTGAAGGGAAATTCTGCCTGTAGTCTGTGATCTAAGAAAAACTGGTGCTGTCCAACCTGCTGAAAAATATTTTAGTATCAACTATTACAATATATTATTAGTCTTACAGGCTAAGTGTTAATCTGTGTTAAAATTCTGAAAATACAATAGTTATTCCTTTGCTATAAGGAAAGTTATCAAGCTGCAATGGAATAAAATAAAATGCCATCATTAAAATTATAATTTTTTGGGGTTACATTGCTTCAGACTTAAAAAAAAAATCTTAACCTAGTCTTTGAAAGATTACTTTGCATACAGCTGAGAAAACTAGATCAGTCACAAATGAATTTTCCAAGAATCTATGACCTCAGTCCCTGATGAAAATTCATTAACATGAAACAGAAAGACTCTATTATCTCATTTCACTTTACGAATAAATACAACCTAAAAAATATGCCCCTATAAAAGAAGATTTTATGGATGCCACATATATTTTCTGGTAGCCTTCCCCTTATGAATATAATCATAATTCCCTAAAATCATAATGCATTGATTTAATTTACAAAAAATCCAAGTACAGCAACACTAATAGGTAGGATGGAAAGTAGGAAAGAAAATAAGAAGAGGAGGAAGGAAGAGGAAGAAAGGAAGGGAGGAAGAAAGCAAGAGAGGAAGAATCCTTACCAAGTCATAGTAGCTTCAGTCAGGTAACTTTTTAAGGTTTGAAATAAGGCTATGCTAACCAAACAACAGCCTCATGAGAAAAGTTTCATTCTAGTTATCTGTCAAGTGAATAACTTGGCCTGAAATATTCATGGTTGCACCATATTAATGCCTCACTGAGAACAAGTTTTGAACTTGTCTGGACCACTATTAAGCAAATACAATGAAGACAATTAAAAAATATGCTGAATGGTGGTAAAGAATCAAGTTGAAGTCTCTGTCCTCATTATCTGACTAAAACTACTGTAAAATCAAATAAAAAACACTAACATCCATTATATCACCTTCTGGCATAAAAATGTTTTACTCATTTAAAGACCTATGAGATACTTCCAAGACAAGGAAAAAATAAATACTACTAGAATATATTAAGATGAAAAGTTGACTTCTCTCTCTTTCTTTTCTTTCTTTCTTTTTTTTTTTTTTTTACTTTTTTACTTTTTGGTGAGTATATTTTTGAGATTTGGTGGTTATCATTTACATCATTGACTCTTCAGTGGAATATTCATAGTAGTGTAAATAGATTCTTTGAAAATAAGGCACAAGTATATGTTGTTCTCTGATTGTCTCCCACGAGAGTGCACCAAACGAGCGATCCCAAGAAATGGACTTGAGGCACATTTTGCAGAGGTGTCTTTTTCAGTTTGCTGGTTTCCCACAGATGGCTAAAGCAGGGGTATGGAACATGCTGTCATATTTCATTCATAACACACATGTACTATAGCTCTAGGCAACAGATGGACAATCGCTTGTTTGAACTACAAATGTGAAATACTAAGGTAGAATAGCAATATTTCTAGAAATGTATATGAAAAAATAAAGCCTTTCCAAGCCAAGAGGAATGGTGAGAGGCTTTGAGGTTACATCAGTGTTTCCCTGATCTCCCTAGCAGCTGCCATAATTTCCCCAACACCCTTCAAAACTTGATAATGGAAGGATCAGGGGGCAGCCGACACAGATTTGACAAGAGAAGCCCAAACCATATCCAATAGAAATAACACTGTTATTCCTGGCTGGTTCACATTAATAGGATTTTTACTAACTAAAAAAATGGCTGGAAGTTGTGTTTTCAGAGTCCTGTCTATATTCCACTAACTCTCTACTATAGCCCCATGGAAAAAGCCCTCTCTTTCTTCCTCTGTACCCAAATATAAAATACTTGTTTAAATGTAGAGTTTCATATCCTTTAAACCTCACCATAAACATCTCTGTGGAATCTTTCATAGGGAACAATTATAGTGTTGATAAGTCCACCCCCTTAATCAGCACATACCCAGAAAAGTAATTTTGATCAGAGAAGTTGCTCCTACAGAAATAACAATGTGTTAATGACAAGAAAAAGAACCCACATCTTTGAGCTGCAGAGATGCCAGCATCTAACAACCTGATGCCTTATGCTGGGACACATGACTTATTTTTGAGTCGATTATTTATTTATTTGTTTTTTTAAACAAGCGCATGCCACCATGTCTGGCTAATTTGGTTTTTATTTTATTTTATTTTTTGTAGAGACAAGGTCTCACTATGTTGCCCAGGCTGGTGTCAAACTCCTGGCCTCAGGCAATCCTCCTGTCTCAGCCTCCCAAATTGCTGGGATTACAAGTGTGAGTCACCACACCTGGCCTTATTTTCGAGTTTTAAAGGCAATTTTCTTGGCCAGTGAGACTCCATGTTGAGTCAGTATGGTCTGGGGGTTGAAAAATTTAAGAAATCCTATTTTGATATGTTCTGCAGAGCCCATGATATAGTGGATTTTTTTCCTTTTCCATGTCTCTCTTGTTACACAGAATTACCAAATATTTATATTCCTGATACTTTTCAAAATCAGTATATTTTTACAAACTTTCTGTTATAGACTCTGATTTTTCTACTATTTATGTATTTAAACCACAACAATTATGATATTATATCAGCAGACAGTATGATTATAATCATTAAAGTAATACAATCTTTTTCTCTCTGTTGCAGGCAAAATTTCATGCAACTAAAAAAGAGTGACTTGGCATTGTTTAAATCAAATGATTAATAGAAAAGACAGTAATATAAATCATATATTTAAGAAACCCTAGAATAAAATATTGTAGGATCCTTTCCTTATTATACCTTGTGAAAGAAAAAAAAAACTCTAAATCTAAATGTTTCTACATATGTATGAGTGCACATTCATTATTATAAAAGAATAAGTCTATCTTAAAAAGAGATTTACTTTAAAAACCTTTGGTAAAGATACTCTGAGGTTATGTTATAAGAATGCATAATAAAGATTGTAAGCAAGCAGTATTCTGCTGACGATGCCACAGGGATGGGTCTGTGACAGCATTTTCTTACAGCTTTTCCTCTTGACATGTAAACATTCAGTTACACAAGGATTTAAATGTAATAAGCAAGTAGAATGTTACTGCATTTTATAGTATAAATATTCAATAAATTCTTCTTCTTTTGGCAAAATTAATAATAATATGACCACTTTAAGAGATACAATCTATCCCTCAATAAATTGGACTCTCTGCTTTGTCCTAAAGAGAATTTCTCCGAAAGTATTACATAAAAAGTTACTAAGTCAAAATTCAAGCCGATTACATTATCAGCCCTATTGTCAAATAGTCAGTGCTACTTGAGGTCATCAGCATGGTCTGGCTTCAATTTGGAAGACAGGAATTCAGAGACACAGTTGACATTGCCTCCCAAAACTAACATGCTGCCCCTAAGTGAATCTCATCATATTTCACATTATGAGAAATATACGATCAAAGATAAGAGAACTAGGGTAAGAAAAAGACAGTGGTCAAAGGAAGCTCTTAAAAGCTATAATTTTGGTGGTTCTAACACAAAACCGTTTAGTGACAAAAGCAAATGAGCCATACATTAAGGATGAGCTATAGTGACCATCGGCTTAAGAATTTCTAGTCACAAAAAAAGAATCACTTTTATGATCATTCCTATTCAAGTAAAATAAATTTAATTGGAATTCCTGAGGAATAGTTTGCAATTCAAAACACGTATCCATAATTTTTTATTTCAGTTCTGATGTTAAAATTAAAAACTAGAAAAAAAACTAGAAATCTGAACATCACTTCACAATAATGAAAAAGATATCTGTGGAATAAGGAAACGGTACATTGGAGGATGTAATTATACTTGTTATATTTGGTGTCTTAAACTGGGTATTAGGTATATAGGAATTCATTATATTATTATTTATACCTTTTTGTAGACTTAAAATACTCCATAATTTAAAAGTATATACTTGTGGGAGATTTGAAGAAAGATTTAAGAAATCTCAGTCCAAAATCCTTAGTTTACAAAATGGCAACTTGCCATGACTAAGCTAGGTGTCTCTCCTTAAGTGAAACATGTTCGAACTTAATAAGTATGGCTTGGCAGTTGGCAAGCAAGTGTTTCACTGGCTAATAAAAGTTTGAATAAAGATTCTAGGCAGAGATTCTGCATATTTTTAGCTCATAAAGACAATTTTTGTTTCAGTGATTGTCTTTGAAAGTGTGGTGTAAATGTCACATTGATGATATGAAAATGTCTCCTGCAATATGTAATTTCAGTTGCAGAAGGATTATGAGAATAATGAAACTGTGGTTTCAGAATCTTTTCAAGCTTTCTACTCTTTTGAAAGTAAACCAAACAAAACTGCACAGTTTTATTTTGTATGCTCTGATTTGCAATTGTCAGGCAAAATGGACCTGGTAATAAAAAAGAAAAAGAAGAGAATTTGAACGGTTTTTTCACAGCCTTCATCCTCTAGAGAAAAAGGCAATTTTGATAGTTGTGTTGGATATTAGAATAAACATGACAATATTTTTAAGATGAGAAGTGGGACAGTATTGAAAATGTTATCTTCTAGAAGAAATCAAGTTTGTCTGTATTACAATGTTCAGGTAGTGCGGAAAAGAAAAATCTTAAGGTAATATTGTGGGACAATAATGTTTTTTTAAACATAACCCCAAAATGCCTTTTCTAGCATATCCCACCTGTAATTTCTTTAGAAAAATATTGAAGCTTGGTTGTCTGTCACTACTTATTAGCTATGGGCCGATAACTCTTTTCCAATTAGCCTTGATCACTGGTCACTATAGATTCTGAATTCTGATGGTTGCAAATTAAATTTGGGCTTGTTCTAACTTATGTAATTTACAGCTTAAATTCTTTACAGCCTAACAAAAAAAAATTGTGCATTTCCCTCCCCAAGGACGTGAGTAGTATAAAGCAAGAGAAGAATATCCTCTTCAATACATGGGAAAAGAATGGCTACTCTTTACAGTCACAGGCAAAACGGAAATGATAGGATGGAGATTTCAAGCCTAAAAGCACCTGTGAGTTGGCAGACTCACCCAGGAAAAACTATGTGACAGCAAATACCACACTAAGAAAAGCCATTCAACCAGATGAAAAGTGAGACAAACATAGGGATTAAAAGTTACAGGAATGCAGAAGTGAATGGGATGGAGCATAATCTGTGCAAAAATGTGGAAGTCCTTGGGAACAAAGGCCCATCAAGATCCTACATGATTCAATGTGAAATGTGTATTTGGTAACAACTTTTAAAAAAAATCTCATAATTTATGTGTTTCTAAGGCAAGGTTAATAGCAGATGAAGAACAGAGACTATCGCGTAGTTTGATGGCCTTTACTCTAGTATTTCTTATCTTTTTCTTGTGTTCGTTCTTCTCAGTGCCGGCTGAACAGGTGACTGAATCTAAAGGTCAGTGCTCGCCTTGGCGGTCAACACCCTGATGCGGGCAGAGTTGCAGGTCTTGCAGAGGATGTGCCCATCCAAGGGGTAGCAGCCTTGGTTATCTCCTTCAGACAGGAGACCACCGCAATCCTAGAACAGTAAAGACAGATGGAAACGACATAAGTAAAAACGTTAAGTACACATGTGGAGAACATCATGATTGAGCTTTCTATTCAAGGCCTCCATAATGTGGCCACTTACTATCCTTCCTGCTTTACATTCTGCTAATCCCCTGTATCCTTTCTCCCAATATATAACATAGTATATCTTGAATGTAATTGAATTAGAGATTGGGGACATAAATATAAATGGACATAAATATAATCCTCCTAAGCTCACTTGATATGAAATACAGGTATAAGAAGAGAAGAGGCCACCCATCTTGGCTCCCATGTAGAAGTTTGCTGCCCCCACTCAACAAGAGAAAATAAGAATGTCCCTAACCACCGATGCATTTTTTACCCTTTACCATTAGTTTAAGGATCTCTCAAAATGCATGCACAGGTACAGGAATGGAATGTTTTGGCCATTTCTGGCCTAGAGCAAAGGTAGACTGATGTCTGCCAAGCAGAAGGGCCACCAGTGGGTTCGGTGTATTTACTTCAACTGCAGTAAGAAAATAAAATCCTAAAGTTTGTGGGGAGTAGTGGTTTGCTGTACTTTCTAAAGGAGACAGCATTGTGGAGAGCAAAGATTGCTAGTCCAGGGGACAGGCCTCCTGAGCACCACCCACAGTTTTGCTACAGTCTGCCTCAATGCACACAGGCCGACTGCCACTCTGAAAATAACTTCTGCCTTTTCTACCTTACCAAGCTGTTAAGAGGATCAAAGAAGATAATGGATCAAAAAAAAAAATGCAAAGAACTGCATAACTGTAAAGGAATATACTACCGCTGACAGCTCCTCTTAGGGTCCATTTTGAAAAGTGTTATATAACAGTTAAATGCTGGCCTTTGTCTTTGGAGAAAATAGAAGTTTCTTTGGAAAATAAATACATAGTACTTCATCAAGAGGTGTGTGTTTGCTAACTTTAGTATAAACTCTCAAAGGCCACAACAGCTATGAACCTCGCCTCTGCTATCTACCATGGTGGCAAGGAGGTCAATGGAGTTCATGTCTTCATTTGACATAGAATGAAATTTAAGTTAACGGGGTATCCAGAACACAATAGCAGCAATGGTTATACTCTGCGGGAAGTTTGGCTTTACTGAAAAGAACATGCAGATATACTGCAGCTCTAGAGGCGTTCAGGAAACTGAGCAATTAGTAGTGCATGCTAACAAATAAATAAATCTCCATGACTCTGAACAAGAAGTTCTAACCAAAGCCTCAGAGCCAAAGTTAAATGTTCAATAACACCATTTCTCACTAATTTAGTATTTCACAATTTACAATGTCCTTTAATATACAATTTTGTATTTCACTCTCACAGCCATATTTGGAGGAGTTAAGGACTTGAGTCCTTTCTTCCGGTGAGCAAGCAGACTGAGAGAGGTACAGTGACTTATTCAACAGCATGTGCTCGGAATACTAGTGTCAAATCTAAAACCCAAGTCCTATGAGTACAGGCACTAAGGCCGTTCTGAGATTTAGTAATTGCTACATCTATGTAAACCTAGCTCGAACGAGCCTTTCAACGCCTGCCACAGACTGGCAGGGCAGGGCTGTCAACCAGACCTCGCATCGGTAGCAGTGAACATGGAAATCTCGATCCAAAGCCACAATACGGACAGTCTCCTCCTGGCCCGGGGCTGGCATAATAGGCTCCTTGCACACAGAACATCGCGGGGCAAATTTCCTGAAAGTGAAGAGAGAGTTCTGGTTAGATACTGCGCGTCGACACTGAGGTGGGACGCAGAGGTAAAAGGAAGAGGTGGAAACTGAGAGTCGGTATACCTGCTTCCTCATCCGTAAGGTGAGGGAGTTAGACTCAGGGACTGTGGAGGTTCTTCCATCAATCGGTGGTAAATATTGTGATATTTGGCGAGGTGAGAGAGTGAGCGTGTGAATTGCTTGGGCATGAAGAGCATCTAGCATCTCTTTCCTGCATGGTGCGCGGTATGAAATTCATCTTTAGATAGATTCTGAATGCAAACCCTGTGCTTGGGATAGGCTAACTGGAGGAGAGAACAAAGTCCTGTCCAGCCCCTATTTGTTTCTGACTTTTGTTTCTAGACTTTTGTATGCACTCCTTAGGTCCTAGAAAAATAGTCTGAGGTTGGTATCTTTGCCTTGTTCCCACCTTTTAGAGCTTCTTTCTTGGAAATTTGCCTTGACTTCTAGGAACTGACATAAGAAGACTCAAATACATAGCTTTTCAAAAGGGCAGAGGTTAGTGCGTTTAAATATACATTACACAAAACTTAAAAGTGGCCAAGTCTGCATTTCCTACATTTTTTATTGTGTTAAACTTTTGCTTAAAAATTAAAAGTTAAAGAGCTATCAAATTCTTTATTCTTTAAAGGATTTTAGCACTGTTAAAGGGTGAGTGTATACTAACACACATACACATACATATACATATAAATATGCATATGCATATGTTTTTGAGGCTGCTGGTAAATACTTTTAATACTTATTAATTTCTTAGTATTTCTCAATATGATCAATGGTACCTAACAATTTTTTTTCTATGACAGGTTAATTGGCTGAAAATATAAGCCATGTATCTCTCTGTATCTTCTGGAAATTGGAGATGGTATTTGTGAAGGTATGAAATGACATATTATTTGAAATGGACCTGGATAAGAACTGAAGAGATTTAAAAAAAGAAAAACAGACTGTGACTCAGTTTTTTCATGGTACTGGTTTTAAGATAAACGATGTTAAAAATTTATCTATTTGTAGTGAGACTTAAAAAGAAATAATGATAATAATCTAACTCTTTGCAGAGCACGTTACGGTTGTCAAAGCATTTCTACATACATTATATTCTATATGTAGGTAATTAATTTTCCTGGCAGCACCCAAAAAGCATCTGTATGGCTGCAATCTAAATAAATATGAATTAAGCAGCAGATCAATTGATTGCTGTGAAAGAAAAGTTAGAAGGATCATGGTACCACTGCAGCAGTAATCAGAGTTGTTATAATTGGTATTTTATGCAAGAAGTTTATATTCAGTGGCAAAAAATTGCTTTGGACTACCAGATTATTTTTAAATCTGGGTCATCAGTGGTGAAATAAGTAGGCTTCTGGGATCAACTGCAAAATTTCCTTTCCCCAAACTCTGTGGGAGCAGAAGTATGTTTTCCTTTTCAGTGTATCCATAAGCCTTCTCCAATTTCCCCAAATAGAATTATTTACTCCTCTAAGATAAGAATTCTGTCATTGAATTTATCCATTTTGGTAGTAATTATTTGGATATATTTATGGGGCACTAAACTCTAAGTTTCCACAAGATAGGACTTTGCTCCATCTCTGAGTCTCCAGGAACAACCACTGTGACTGGTGCAGAAAAAAAAAGTTGGGCTGTATCTAATGAAATGAATCTGCCATATTTCTGTATAAAAAAAGATATTAGTTGGGCTTTATGTTCAATCTCAAGGTTCTTCCTCTTTGGGAAGACATAAACTGTATTCTTGCTGAGTAATGATTCTTTCCTACCAATTGGCCTCATTTCCATAATGAGAAAAACCAAAGCGAAGAGGCAGGAGGTGGTTCTCATAGTCCCCACAGTGTTCCTCCGATAGCAATTCGAGGAGGGCTCACAATCCCAGGTGGTCTATTTCAAGGCTTAGCTCACTGAGTGGACAATAATCGTAAAAGTAAATTTGATGAAAACAACTTTCGATGATTAAAGCTACCATTTATTGAGTGCTTATTATGTGCCAAGCCCTGTTAAGTGCTGTACACACTTGACGTAATTTTCTACTGACAGCAACATTATGAGGAAGTATTTTTATCATTTCTACTTTACAGCCAACAGAGCGAAGGCTCAGAGAGGGATGATCTTGGTCATCTTGTATTCCGGCACATTTCTGGCAATCAACTAATGGATGCTGATTAAATACATAAATGAATGAGGGTAATATTCCTGATAAGAAAGCACAGATAGGGGAATAAAGCCTCCATACATGCAAAGAGTCAGTTAAAGAAATCTGCTTTTCTGGGTTTTCTCACTGGGAATACAAGAATAAGCAACGACTTCCAGTACAGACCTGAGAAGGAGTTCTATATATTTCTGCAGTATTTCTATTAATTTATATATACAAATCCTTATTGCAAAAATGATACAAGATGATTATTGTAAAGTTATATATATATATACACAAACACACATATGTATATACACACACACACATATGTATATTTCTATACCAGTCAGACTGTGGTAAGTGCTATCTACAGCAGACTTATAAAACTCTATAAAACACAGAGATTAAGATGTAAATCTAAACTTGAGAAAAGGGAGGGGTGGAGATCAGAGAAGTTTTCTTCCAGGAAACGGTAATTGAGTTGGGCCTTTAAAGATAACCATTTAGGTGAAATGAGAAAATGTGTACGTGTGTGTTAGGGTAGGGGAGATAGTCTTCCAGAAGACTGCAGTGGTTGCAGCGGTCATCTGAAATGACATATGTGAAAGATTGCATGTCCAGTAGGCTGGAGGATATGAGTCAACATTGACCAAAGGTGTTTATGTAGAGGATGGTCCATTAACAAGTTCTCAAAAACAGTATTCCAGAACCTTGTTACACAAAGTGCAGGCCATGGGCACCTGGGAGCTTGACAGAAATCCAGAATCTTAGGCCCCACTCCAGACCTGAATTAAAATCCAAAGTTTAACAAGATCCCTCTGTGGATTACAGGCACATTAAAGTTTGGGAAGCACTGGTTTAAAACGCAGACTAAGGCTGGGTGCAGTGGCTCACGCCTGTAATCCCAGCACTTTGGGAGGCCTAGGCGGGTGGATCACCTGAGGTCAAGAGTTCAAGACCAGCCTGGCCAACATGGTGAAACCTTGTCTGTACTAAAAATATAAAAATTAGCCAGGCATGGTGGTGGGTGCCCGTAATCCAAGCTACTTGGGAGGCTGAGGCAGGAGAATTGCTTGAACATGGGAGGCAGAGGTTGCAGTGAGCTGAGATTGTGCCACTGCATTCCAGCCTGGGTGACAAGAGTGAGACTCCATCTCAAAATAAATAAATAAAATAAACAAATAAATAAATAAAAGGCAGGCTAAGCAGGTGAGGTAAATCCCTTCTTATGGGTCTCCTGTATCTCAAGGTAATCTCTACTCCCAGGCTGCTCTAGTTACAGCAAAGCAAATCTCCCTGAACACAGAGAACCCTTTACTAACTCTGTGCCTCTGCTTTTTGCCTGAGTTGTTCCCTCTGCCAGGAATCTCCTTGTTTCCCACTTAAAACACTCTTGACATTCTCCGTCCACAAAGCCTATTCTGACCACAGAGCCAGGTGATCTGACTTTGACAGTGCAAGCCCTTACCTGTGCCTGTCTCATGGAGTTCAGCCCTTTCTCCCTGTCTGCACACTTTCTCTGCCCTCCTCCTGGCAAGCTCCTTGCTGACAGTGACTTCTCTATATATATCTGCACAATTTCTCTCCTTGTATCTCTCTCCTTCAGCATTTAATGCAACAATTGGCACACAGAGGGTTCTTTATAAATGTGAGTTGAACTGAATTAACATGCATTTTCTAAAGGTCCACAAAAGGAGACCCATTCAAAAGGACCACAAACAAGGCCCCAAAAACTGTCTGGAGGAGGAATATCCCTTTGTCTGCCCTCTCTTTGGTCTTTCAGTGATTAGCCTATGCTGGACTTTTAGCTGCTTTGTATTCTAGTAATTTTAAGGCTTATAAATAAGAGT
The DNA here is from genome assembly GCF_000001405.40 of Homo sapiens. Classification (NCBI taxonomy): domain Eukaryota; kingdom Metazoa; phylum Chordata; class Mammalia; order Primates; family Hominidae; genus Homo; species Homo sapiens. The sequence continues at coordinate 188,868,614 of NC_000003.12, read as the reverse complement.
TCCATAAAACAGTTTCTTATTTTCCTTTAGGAAATGGAGAAAGGATCAAAAAACTTCTCTCCCTACATACCTGCCAATCATGAAGACAACATTATTATCATTTTTAATTTATGTTTTAACATGCATTGAACGAGTGGGGAAGGTTATCTGGGGGTTTTAATTTTTTTCCCCCTTTTAGTTGCTCAAGTCTGCTTTTTGGGAGCTTTCAGACCCACAAACTGATGTCATCAGTCACCAGTCTCTAATTATGCTCCCTACCCCTAGACATGAAAGATAAATGGCATAGATATAAATTGGCATTTGTCAAAATTGATTTCCTGTTTTAATTGAGGGGTGTAATGTATCAGTCTTTTCTAGCCACAGAAACATGTGTGCTCCGATTATAAGTATCAGTCTTTCTTGGATTAGGATAAGTCTAAGAAAGGAGAGAAACAGTAACAGAACATACTCCCCATTGAGATCTTTTCACTTCCCTTAAGACGCAGGGATTTTTCAATGTGTAATTACAAGCTAAAAATATCAATAATGTGAAGCACAATTTATGCTGTGACTGCCCTTTAAAAGTGAGTCCTTCCTTGTCTAATTCAGGTTGCAAATTTCCGCCTCTGGGATTTTTTAATTCATTCAACCTCACGTCTTTTGGTGAGGTTTTCACTTTCTTTGCTACTTGGAAAGTGGTTAGGACATTCATTCTTAAAATATGAGTCTCAGATCTCCAAACTCCTTGGGGTAAGTGCTTCCTGGCTGTTGACAATCAACACAGTGGTGAGAATTAACCCAGAAGACTTCACACTTGGAAGCCATAGAATGGATACCCAACCTGGTGAGCAATACAAGCTTCATCTCTTTGATAGCCTCAAAGGCTGTCTTCAAAGCCACTGCCCAGCAAACACATACAGAAACCTGAGTCCACCATTTACAGATCATATCTATAGGTTTAGTACAGTTCTTAAAAATATAAACCAAACGTTGGCTGGGCACAGTGGTTCATGCCTGTAATACCAGCTCTTTGGGAGGCTGAGGCAGGTGGGTCACTTGAGGACAGGAGTTTGAGACCAGCCTGGCCAACATGGCGAAACCCCATCTCTACTAAAAATACAAACATTAGCTGGGCATGGTGGTGCATGCCTGTAGTCTCAGCTCCTTGGGAGGCTGAAGTAGGAGAATTGCTTGAGTCAGGAGGCAGAGGTTGCAGTGAGCTGAGATTGCACTACTGCACTCCAGCCTGGGCAGCAGAGTGAGACTTTGTCTAAAAAATAATAACAATAATAATATACATGTATATAAATAAATATATTTATATATAAAATATATAAAAATATATTTACATATTATTATGTATATATATAAACATATATATAAAATGAATGTTATTGAATAATTAAGTAACAAACTGGTCAAATAAAAATAAGCACAATACAAAACTGTTTAAATTTCTTAATTTTCATAAAGACCCCAGCTGTAATACAGGAAAGAAGGACCTAAAAATGAGATAAATGAAGTAGTGGGGACAGATTATTTTGGGCCCATGAATAACTGGCCTTGATCTTGAGGCACCATTTTTTAATCCTCCTCAAAAGAACACACAATTTGCATTCATTAATTCTATTAAAAAATAACTTGAGAAAGAGAAGACTTGGGTGGAAGAAAAGGCTAGGGAATGGCATCAATATGTTGACAATGGCATGAAACTGCCTTTGAATATGTGAGAGGCTTGCATTAGTAAAAGAAACTGAATGGTTCTCTGTGTCTGTCCACCATAACTCCCTATCAGTAGAGTGGCAGGGATGCACAGATTAGCTCTTGAGAAAACTCTGGGTCATCACAGCTGAGAGAGCTTTAGAGAGGGTTTGATCTAAAGACCAAACTGAAGAGCTCAAATAAGTTGAACAATGCCAAATGTCACAAATTTTGTTCATATTTAGGCCAGGATCCTGTTTCTTTCTAACACATACACACTATAGCTGAGCCAGCTTTTTCGTCATTAGAATTACCCAGAGATGCAATGGACAAGCTCTGGGGAAGCCTTGACACAGAGACCAGGCTGGATGACTGCATGGATTGTCTGATATTAATTCTTGCATTGGAGGAGGGGATCAATAAGCTCTTTTAAAAGCCTCACTAAATCCTGAAATTCTGTAGTTCTGAGAGAGAAGAATGTATGCCCAGATGCCAAGCAGTAAGAACAGACTCCAAAAGGACTGGCAGGGTGGTGACGAGAGAGTAGGTTGCCTACTTGTGGAAGTCCTCAATGCAGTGAATGAGCCCGCCAGCATCCACAGTGAATGGGATCCCATCCAGGCTGCGGTGGCACATCACGCAGGTGAAACAGTGAGGATGATAGGCCTTCCCGGTGGCTCGGAGAATCCGCTCCATGATGGGCTTGGAACACACATTGCACTGCTCCAGAGTATTCTGGGGAAGGAAACAGAAACCACGTCAGACTGGGACAGAAGGGGGTCCATACTGCATGACAGGCATCTTTACAAAACAGATTGTCTCAGGTCCTTATCACACCACTCTAAGGAAGGCATTTATCACCATTTACAAACCACATCTACAGCTTTAATACAGTCCTTACAAATAGAAAACAAGTGTTATCGGCCAATTAACTAACAAACTGGCCAAAGAAGTGTGTTATAGAGAGAAGGAAACACAATTAGATGGGTCAAGTGGCTTTTCTAGTATTACTCAGGTAGTAGGTGGCAAGTCCAGAACTGAGGACATGTGTTTTCTGACTGCTATCCTTGTTCCTTCCCTTGTTTCCTACAGCATGGGTGATGGCAAACTTTTCTCTAAAGTCCCATATAGTAAATATTTCTGGCTTTGTTGTAACAAGTCAACTTTGCTATTATAGCTGGAAAGCAGTCATAGCATGCAAGCATATGGGCATGCTTGTGTTCCAGTAATACTTTATTTACAAAAAAAAAACAGACAATGGGCTGGATTTGACCCATGGGCATAGTTTGTTGACCCTTGAACTATACCACTCTGGTTCACCGATTGAGGAATGCTTCACTATTACTTCTAAAACTTGATTCATTATCAAAGACATAGTGTGACCACTTAGACCATAGTGCGATCACTAAGACCCCTACTTTTTACAGAATAGCCTGTCAGATGACTGAGACAGAGCATGCTAAATGCAGAACCCAAATCAGAACTCAGCATAATCAATTAGGCTTCTGATCATTTAAAGCTTTGATTTACACACCATCTCCAAGTTTAGAGTTTGCAAACTCTTGACAGAAATGTTGAATGTAGAAGGGAGCTGGTTTGAAAAAGTGAATTAAGAAACACATTTATCTGGCCTTAAAAATATTCTAAGCTTTAAAAATATATAGCACCCCTTAAAAGAGACACCAGTTAGTGAGTCAGGTCTCAGAAAGATCGGCTGTTAACTTTCCATCCTGCCCTTTAATTCCATGCTCTTAGCAAACAACCACGTTTCACATGTAAAATGCTATATTACAACTGAGGTATCTGGATTAACTCATTGAGTTTACAATCAGGAATAAACCCGGGATGTGGATCTTATTAGAAAGATGCAGAACTGAATGGGATGTGGAAATTCAGGGGTAGCTGCTCTTTTACCATGAGGATATATAAATGGCTATGAAGCAAGAAGTGTCTGTACGTAGGTAACTAGTGTCCTTATGTCTAACCTATAGCAATGACCTATGATTTGGCTTCTTTGTATCTCTCTTCTTATAATACTCCCCTTGCCCCTGTCTCCAATGACTTCCAGTTTTCTTTCCAAACACAGATGTGATCAAATACAAGTACCTTTCTGGATAATAAAATCTTAATGGCTTCACAATGTAAAAAGAGCTTATTCTTTACATGGTATCCAACCCCCCTTTATGGTTCTCATAACATCTCAGACCACTCACTCTTGTTCAAACCTATGTGAAACTCCCATACTTCTGTGCCTTGGCTAATGCCTAGATGTATCGCAATTTGCCATTTTGACCTTTCAGGGTACAGGCTAGAAGGCCATTCCCCAGTGAAGCCTTCCTCAATGGTCCCACTTGGAATGAATTGCTTCTTTCTCTCCCATTCCTGAGCACTTTATTTGGTTTGCTTACAATACTTTCAGTGTGCACTTTATTTAAATTATTTGTGCTTATGTCTATTTCCTCTACCAGACTTTAATTTCATTAGGGGCAGAGACTATGTCTTAAGAATGTATTTCTCTGTCCTATAATGCACCCAGTATACTGTCTGAAATAGAAATAAGCCTGAGATGAATGTGTACAAAAAGAATGAACGAATGAATATTGTTTATATCCCACTCTGGCAGCACAGTGCTGGCCTGACTCCCTTAACTCTGGAATCCATCCCAAGATGAATTGGTAAATCCATCATCATCCTTCCCTCAAAGCTGTGGTTGCCTGAGGTTCTGAAATTGCTTCGTATGCCTCTGGTCACAGTCTAAACGCATGGAAACTATTAACCTATTTGTTTTTCCCATTTTGAAGTGGTGAAATTAAAATAGCAGAAGAGCACAGGGTAAGAGTTTGGAGATGATGATGGTTTGAAGAATGAGGGCCTGTTTCTTTTCTACCCTGACAATGTGAGCTAATGTGGCTGGAAATTGTCTTCCCAGGACTTGTGTTTTGCTCCTCTGTGGGTTTTTACTTTTTTTTTTTTTTTTTTAGTCAGCCCTGTAATGGAGTTGAATAACCAGAAAATGTTTGGCCAGAAAATGTTTTTGTTTGCACTGAGGCTTGGCTGCAAGATTCAGCTCATTTACTCAAAACTAGCAGCAATATAACAGGCTTAGTTCCTATGGAAAGACCTTGTGGTCTACAGATGCTGCATTCAAAGAACAGGTAATACAAACATTTCTGCAACAAAGGAAAAAAAGTATAAAATGTGATTAAAATCAGCCTATTGCAAAATGCCCGCAAATTGGAAAATAAAGGTTCCAAGAATGAAGTTGACTGGCATCCTAGGCTAGTGAATGATGTAGAAGGACATGTTATCCTTCGACAGCCTGCGCCTTTTACTGCAATCTTCCCCTTTCAGTCTCCAGTGGGGCCTACCAGTAGCCTTCGAGAAAGGAAAAACTCACAGTGTCAGGAGGAGGGGGCTGGGAGTTCCCTTAGTCCAGACTCTCATTCCACAGGTGAGCAGGCAGACTTTGAGAATGGATGTGCTGGACCTGAGTTGTGGAGAGCATGAGATGCAGAGGTGGGACTGGTACCCCAGTTACCTGACTCCTAATAATGCAGAGAGGGAGCTAAGGAATTCATTATGTGGCCATGAAAAAGGAAAGTTGCTAGGTGAAGAATATGAATTATCCTTCTGGCTTTGTCAAAATCTGCTGTATGACATTGGGTAAATAATTTATTCCTTCGATCTCAGTTTTCTCATTTGAAAAATGATTAATTCAAACTCTGTAATTGTATTAATCTGTGATAAATCAGTATTAACAACAATAGAAAAAGATACATGTTTACATTATCAGAAATATACAAAAACAACTGGATAACCCCTTATCAGAGGTTTGAAAGGGGCATTCATTTGCTAGAAACCTGGACTATATTACCTTTACTATGCACCTCCACTGATAATTCTAGAAATTGCTAATGGTAAAATTGTAAGGATCATAGAGGGATATTTTTGTGTTATAGATGATTATTTTAAAGCCAGACAAAAAGATGCACGCTTCATACAAATATTGGATTCATCTGAACCCATGACATGAAATGGTTGACAAATAAATCGGTTTTGAAAAAAAAGAAAGTCTTTAAGCAAATAAGTGAAAGAGGGATGTCTCTAAATATGCCTATTCAAATCACTTTTTTCTTTTTCTTTCTTTCTTTCTCTCTCTCTCTCTTTCTTTTTCTTTCTTTCTTTTCTTTTTTCTTTTATTTATTTATTTATTTATTTTTTTGTCTAGTAGGGTTGCCAGCATTGATAGCTGGGGATTTAAAAGAAAAGAGCACCTTCCAGCTTATGAACCTTCAATATCAGTAGCGTGCTTTGTGACTGGACTGCTGATCCAGCTCCATCGTGGTCCCATGGACTCCTCCTCCCAGCTGCCACACTGAGCTTTCTGCCACATCTTTAATAAGCAACATTCTTTTACCAGCCCAGACTATCTTGTATTCTACTTTGCTTAGAGAATGCCTACTCATTCTTCAAAGTGAAACTCAAATGTCACCTCTTCTGAAAAATCTTTCCTAAATCTTTTTCTGTTGTATTCCAAGAAAAGTAAGTAACTTCTTCCACTCCCATAGGATTGTATTATGCTTCCCCTATGACACTGAACACAATGTACTTGATTTAGTGGTTTATGTCAACCTCTATGACTAAACTGCAATCACTCCTCTCTCCTCCCATGAAGCCATAGTCTGAGGTTGTGTTTCCTAGGAAACAAATTCTGAAGCAGATTTGCACACAGTTAGTTATCAAGAAGTGTCCTTGCAATCAACACCTGTGGGAAAGTATAGGAAGTCCTTATACTTCTTATACTTCCTATTCCTATTGTACACTCTATCTACGGTATCCACAATAGTAAGCATCCTTGCCCAGGGACTACAAAGTTCATGACACACAGTAAGTAATTGGTAACGAGCTGTGGAAGGCCTTTGGCCAAAGCTGAATGAAGAATCCAAATTTTATTCATTTTGCAACAGGCACTGTTTGAGGACTTTTTTCCATAAAAAAATGTTTTAGGCTACTCCAATGAAAGTATGGTTAAAATGAAAGGACGTAGAGTAGCAGAAAAAAGCAGATTCTGTTGCTAAAAGTCACAGCTTATAAATTTTTCTGAAATGTTGGCAATACAATTGTGACTAAAAACAAAAAAACTCAGTGAAACTAACAATTAAATCACAAATCAACTTTGTACAGAAAACCCCCAAATGCAACGTTTTTAAGTCAGAGATACAATGGGGTAGTATTTTTTTCTATCTTTGGATATTGTATAAATAACTTGTAACTCACAGGCAGAAGAGCTGAAGAATCATATGAATATAAATGAAGCATATAGATAACATAAACGTGAACTACTAATGAGATGATAAAGAATAAGAATATTACCATTATTTACATATTACATAGGTATATGTAAGTGTTCAATTTTGAGTATTTAAAATCAAGATATACAGTCTTCATTTACATAAGTAATTGAAGATTCAGAAGACTATAAAGTGATTACTGCCATTTGGAAATGTTAACAACATTTTCATTTTATAAAATTAAAATGTGATCTTATATTCATCTTTACCTTTTTTAGGTACAAAAACAATATCGTGAAACAGGAAAGACTCTTGGAAAGATAAGGAGTGACATCTCATGATCTAGATAGTTTAGGTCTTGTTGAGATAAGAACAAAAAGAAAAAAAGAGAGAGTTAGAAGACATTCAGTCTTGAAAAGTCTTTAGAGATTACACTAGCCCAGGAATTTTCACCTTCTTTTACTTGGCCATTCACCCATAATCCTTTCTTCAGGGAAACAATTTATCAAAAAAAGCACATATTAAAGAGCCCAAAATCACTTCTGGCTGAAGGGCATGAAGGGATGGAACCTGTACTATCTGAAAACCATGATTCTAGTCCAACTGCTGGATTCAAGAAACTAAGGTATAGATAGAGAACACAGCTAGTGACAGATTGGGAGTTACAATAAAGGTCTCCTAATTCTCTGTCCAATGGAGACTCTCTCTGCTACATCACATTATATGGAATCTGTATATCGGTAGACACACACTGTATTTCAAATAGAAAGAAGACATTCAGGCTTGCTATCTGCAAGTTACATGCAAATAAATAGAGAAAACATGTTAAGATCTTAAGACAGTTTGTCTCCTAAACTCCTATAGGACAAGAGAAAACTCGTCGTTGGATCCCAAGCATCTACAACAGTATGCTTGCATAAAATTAATGCTCCACAAATATCAGTTAGTTAATGAATTAATAAAGTCCAGGTAAGTACTTTATATAAAATAAGTTTTTTTTTTCTATTTAACCATGCAAAACAATTCTCCAGTCTAGAACTTCTCAACTGGCAGGTTAACACACAGTGTGTTTCAAGTGGGTTCCGGATGCACCATATTTGGGAGGATTCGGAAGGACCAGAGGTGTCCAGAGTTCCTGAGCGGTTGCCTCAGGAACAGGACAGGAGAGATCTCATCCACTTACTCCGTGTGCTGAATGAATGCCATCATTTTCCACATGAACTGGGATGTGAAAAAGGTTGGGAAGTACAGCTCAAGTGTAGGTGTTCCCAACAGAATGGTAATGTGGTACAGTAAAGGAGCAGGGCTATGACTCAGCCAATTTCTCTTGAAATGCCAGTGCCATTATCTGAACTCAGAATACTGCTATTGCCTAACTTAATTATGGAATAAAAACTTATTCTCTACCTTGATTCTGGTCATCAAGATTGCTTCCCAAATGATGGCAGTACTTTTGGGTTTGCTTTGCAAGTGAAGATATCATTTTACCTTGGTAGTTCTAATGACCCTATACTAGATAACCTTCCAACAGCTCTGCCTTCCTGTGAGACATGAACTTTTTATTAACATTTCTCTTGGTCTTTCTAATGTCCTTTGTCTATATCTTAATCTAAGTCTATATTTGTATCTGCATGTAATGTGTGTTTTGAAACAGACTGAAAATAATAATCTCAAGCTTAACAGCATCCCACCCCTATGACTGTGATTTTTCAATTAGAATCAAAATTCCTCTTTTACAGATGAAAGTTTTCCTGATAGATAGGAAACGTTTTGAAACAATTTAATAGATAGCATCAAATCTCTAAACTGTACTTTTTTGATGTCATGACACACCCCCCTACCCCTGAAGATGACAGCTATGAAACACAGAACTGAAAATTCAGTGAAATAATTTCAACTTTTTTTGTTAATCTTTTGGAGCATAACTTTTTGCATCTATTGCCTCAGTTTTCTTATAAACTCTCTTTAAACAAACTTCTTATATGCCTCTCTAAAGAGCAGAGCTGCCTCCTCACTTACTCTAATATTGCAGAAAGCCTAAAGAATGGAACAAAGTGTTCAACAGCCTGGCAGGTACAGAGGAAGAGATGGAAGATAAAGATGCCATCCTTGCCCTCAAAGGTTCTCAATGCAGTGAGACAGGTGGACACAACTATTAACAACTGATTCGAGGCAAAGGGCATGACAAATTGCTATCATTGAGGCACGAGTAATGAATGATGGGAATGCAGAGAAGAGAGTAATTACTTATGAATGGTGAGAGAGCAGGCAGTATGGTGGTGGTCTATGACTCTTAAGAATCTATTCTAGTTGGGATTGGATTTGGCACTTGAAAAAAAACTTATTTTAACCCACTTTGGAATTAATGTTGTGCTATAACAAGAGTCTTTAATATCTAATACTCTTATAGGAGTCGCAGATAAGCCTGCACTGAAACAAATTCATTTCACAGGAAGAATATTGTAACGAAATCTGTGTATTGAGCAGCACTGATGAAGGGGAACTCAATATTGCCAGACATGAACATCCTTTTTTTTTTTTTTTTTTTTTTTTTAAAGACAGAGTCTCACTCTGTCACCTAGGCTGGAGTGCAGTGGCGCGATCTCGGCTCACTGCAACCTCTGCCTCCGAGGTTCAAGCGATTCTCCTGCCTCAGCCTCTTGAGTAGCTGGGACTACCGACACACACCACCACACCCAGCTAATTTTTTATTTTTAGCAGAGACAGGGTTTCACCATGTTGGCCAGGCTGGTCTTGAACTCGTGAGCTCAGGTGATCCGCCCACCTCGGCCTCCCAAAGTGCTGGGATTACAAGCATGAGCCACCACGCCCGGCCGAACATCCATGTTTTAACTAGCACAGACAAAACCTATGTGTTACTATCAAAATAAAATTTAGAAAAACAATTTTCTTATAAAATTTTCTGTTTGTATTTGGACTACATAAACTGGCTTTAAAATTGAGAAATATGCCCTAAAACCATAAGGAAAAAGCCAACAGAAAGAACAAAAAGATCACAGCAATTAGGCCGTTCTATTCAATTTTGCCATGAGCTAAAAATCACATTCTTCACAAAGTAAATTACGCCCTGTTTTTTATTCTTAAGCACTAGGGTTAGGATTGTGATCTGAGCTTTACTAAATCGGAAAAGAAAATCTCAATTATAGAACATTTAGTTTATTTATACCTTAATGCCCGGAGAGGTAATATTTTACTTTAAAATGCATAACCCATGTGACATGCTAGGTCTTCCAAAACACTTCTTTTGAATGTGTTCTGATCCTTGAAAAATGTGGGGCAGGGGGAAGGGGCCTAAGAGCTGAGGACTGTGGGTCAGACCCTCATGCCATGGGCATAATGAACATATCAGAGAAGACTAAGACTATGGTGAGAGAGAAAGAAAAGAATTGAGTTCCTTTCCTTCCGAGACAAGTCAAATGATAGATTTTGCCTTTACAACATAAGTCATGTGAAGATTTATTAACTCAGACATCAAAGAAGGTCTGCCATATTATAGTAAGAGAATTAGTGAAACAGTAGGAAAAAGGTGATCTGGGTTCGAAAAGCTAGGCAATTTTCTTGACCTTTCTGGCCTTTGGTTTTTGTAGACTGAAATGTCTACATTGCAGTGTTGTGAGGTTTAAATGAGTTCACATATTATCAAAGCGAGAACCCAGTCCTGACTATATAATAAATGTTAGTTTTATAAATTCCCTATACAAATTTCAAGGGGCTAAGACATTTATTCAATTAACTTGTCATCCTTTGATCATTTAATGTAACTACCACACTGAAGCACCGTATTTCTATTTTTTCCCTTCACCATTAATTCTCCTATATTTTATATCTGTCCTTTCAACAAATGGATTATCTAAGGAATTGTGTATATGATACTCTGGGATAATTGGATAATGTCATAATATAAAATGGGCTTCTAGATTTCTAAGTGAGTTTCCCCCTGCTTTCCTGGGAATTTTGTGAAAAAGCTCTTCTTCTGTGTAAACCTTATTATACCCCAAATCCATACATTTCTTAATTCTTCATAAAAGTAATTTATATTCCTTTATACACCAAAAATAATAACTGATACTTTGATTTGGTACAATCCTTAAAGTTTACTAAATGTACACAAACAGGAGCCCGTCTAATCTCCAGAGCAATCTGGTATAGGAGGTAGAATGGTAGAATTCTTTTCCGCATTACATGACACACAGCTATAAATGCAGCCAGGATTTGAACCTGTGTTTTCTAAAGTACAAAGAGAAAGGCTCATTCTTCTACTTCACACTGTCCTCCAATTAACAAGTTTCTCAGATATCTTTCTCCGTTATTCTGTATAAAGGCAATTATTCAGAATGCAGTTAATAATCTTTAGCATGCAGATTTCCCATAGCCTCTCATAAATACATAGTTTGGTTGAGCTTGAAAAATTCCCCGAATCATCTTGTCCAACTGTCTCACCTCACATACTAGGACACTGCATTTTGTGAAGCTGATTTGCCTATTGTGGTATATTTGCCCAATGTGATATACTATTTTGTGAAAAAGTCCAGGACGCAGATGGCATGGTTTCTATGCAGTGCTCTTCTCCCAACCCCACACTAGGTCCCTTTTTGAATACCAACACATCTCCCTGGTGTTCTGTCCCACTTAACAATAAGAATATGATAAAATTAACATAATTACTTACATAGCCAATGAAAAATTGTTAAGCTGAGTATGTGACACTACTTGGGTTTTGTCGCTGTCAAAACAAGATTGTTGCACACTGATAAATATGGGGGCCTTCTGGCTAAGAGCTCAGAGCAGATAATCCTATCCAAAGCCTCACATTAGGAAGCCTTAGGTCCAGCTTTCATAATTCCTACTATCAGCAACCTATAAATAGAGGCTATTAACCAACATTTAGACCAGTTTCATTGAGGCAGTGAATTTCCAGAGTAGCTGGAATTCACAGCACCTTGAACAAAATTCCATAAGCTACATGGGTGTCAATTTTCTCATCTATAGAATGGGATACTAAGTATTCTGCCTTAACAATCTCTTAACAATGAGAATTAAATATTATAAGAAATGGGAGAAGCACTGTTTAAGAATGTAAATAGATATAAAGATATTGTTATAAAGCTCTTTTCGCTGGAGAGAATTACTGTTACACAGAAGGATCGACCCTACATCTTGGTTCAACAGCCTCTGACTAATCAACTGAGCCAACTTCTATCATTCTTATTACTGGAGAGAAGTAGACAAGTATAAAATATATACACAAGTACCCATACTCCCTTGAATATTGAATATTGAGTTTGGAAAAATACAGATTATTTTGTTTTTGTTGTTTTGTCTTCAGCAGGTAATTTTTCTTGCCATGTATCTTATTTAGTTTACATACCTGGAATGCCTATCAAGTGATGGAGTAGTTACATACCATGCATTTAGAGTGTGTACAGAGAAGTCTATGAGCCAATAAGAAGTCTCATACAGTTCTCTGTCTAGTTTGCGGCAGTTATACTTGGCAAGGTCCATTTTCTTGACTTAACCGTAATCAAGGTCCAACAAAGCCCCTGGTACCCACGCCTGTGAAGCCCCATCTTAACAACCCTCAATTTTGTTACCTTTATTAAGAGTAGACATGAGGCCTTGATAGAGAAAAAGACTTATCTTTGGGTCACAGTGCTAACCAACCCCAGCACTAAACTAGAATTGCTGACATAGATGGTTACAGAGACTCTGTATGGCTCAGTGGCAAGGAGAAATAAAGCAGAAGTCAAGGGCTGTATTCCAGTCTTGCCAACGTCAGCCACCAGCAGTGAGTTTTGTACAAAGCATTTCCTCCCTGGGCCTAAATTCCGTCAGCTATAAAATAAGGGAATTAAGTTAATAGGGCTTTTGGTCCCTTGAAATGGAGTGATTTGAGGGCTGAACAAAAGCTTCAATAGGGCATGGTTCTTTGTCTTGTTCAAAGCATCACCCTCAGTTTCCAGAACAATGCCTGGGGCACAGAGAAGGAGCTCAGTAAATATTTTAGTAAGTAAATGAATGAACAATCATTTGGGAGTACTCCAAAGATTCATCCAACAGCATCTACTCCCATAGACATCCCCCAAATTTCATTACTATCCTCAGATGGCCTGCATCACCACACTATTTCAGCAGCCCCCTCTCCAGAGCCAGACTCTGTCTCTTTATCCTGTTGCTTTCTTCATAGTGCTTATCACTATGATATCACTTCATGAATTTAGTTGCTACTATGCTTCTGCCATGCTTATTGTTCATCTTACACTAGTTTGTTCAAGACACTACTGCATTTGCAGCCTCTGCGGCAGCGCTTAAGACATAACAGGCAATCAGTAAGTATTGGTTGAATACAAAATTAAATGACATTAAATAACCTAAAATCTAAGGCCTCTTACAACTTTTCTGTTCTTTATTCTACCTCAGCAAGAATATATCTTTTAAAGAAAAAATAGTGCTACATATTTCTCCAGGAATATAAATGATCTGAAGTTAATCACACAACATAGAAATTAGGAGAATGCTCTTTTTACTTACAGTATTTGTCTACCATGGGTAACTAACTCATCCAGGAGAATGTCTAAAACCCATGCTTAAGTGATGATGTTTTCAGCTATGTGTATACAGAGTAATGACTGCCTGCCTGCACATTTCAGATCAGAATTAAACCAGTTTGAGTCATCCATTAGAATCAAGATCTGCAAGCAGAGACTAGAAATGTTCCCAATACCATTCCACTCACATGTTGGTTCCCTTCAGAGCTGCCTGAAACTCAACCCTGCCAAGATGTTTATTATCTACCTGGCTTTATGAATTACAATTACTTCCTAAATTACAGTAAGCTATAAGTGGTCTGAGCCAAACAACTAGGGTCATGGAAGGGCTCTCTTTGTACTCCTGGGGATGATAGAAAAGCTTCTTTGAACCAAACTTGATCCTCTTTCAAAAGAAAGGGATAACTTTAAGCCTATAACTCCTGGGAGTGGCAAAGAGAACAGCCAGAGGGCCATGAGCTAACTTCAATTCTCTAGAGATCAGTTGAACAGATTTGGCAATCATTTGGCTTCTGTTGAGAACAAGGCCTTCTAATTGTATTTCTGCCAATGGAAGACAAAAGACAGCACATGACTTAGGAAGGCCATAAAGACATGCCAACATCATGGCTGTGACTGTGCGGTTCCCTTCCGAAGAGGGCACTGCTGATGTGTATGTCAAATGTCGGCTCTAGGACCCATTCATGAGAATTAAACCTCATGAGGAGCTCAAAAGGAAGCTGGTGAAGTAATTTGCTTCCCTTAAACAGTATCTTGGCTGTAATATTTTCTGACACTAGAAATAAAATAATTCCATGTTTTGATTCCTCCCCCACCCTGCCAAAAGTGATTTAGATTAACTAGGTATGAAACGCACAGCCAGGGAGTATAGGGTTTTCCATTCTATAACTGCTTAAAGACAAAGAGGCAGGAAATACAGATGTTTTCTCCTTGCTGTTGCAAAAGGGTGGTGGACTAACTCTTTCAGTGTCTCTGGAATGCAAATTTTCTTTCACAGTTTAGCAGTCTTTTTTGGATTTCAGCACAGTGAACTAACACTTTCCTGGATTCCAAGACCTCCAGAGAACCAGATGGATGACAGAAATTGGGAAAAAGAACCCACACTGCTTGAAAAAGGTATGAATTTCTCACTCTGCATTTAGCCAAAAAGCACTGAAAATTAGAAGAGTGAAATCACTTTTGGTTTGTTCAAATGCATGCCATTCTAGAGTTGTTTGTGGTGAGTAAAAGAAAAGGAAAAAAAAAAAAGAAAAAAATCTAAAGTGCTTCAATGGTTTGGAGTCTGTGTTCAGTTTAAGCTAGGAAGCAACTTTAACAGAGATGATATGTTTACTATCAAAGGAAAGAAAGATTGTAGATGGAAGAGATTACCAAAGACGATCAGTTTATATGCCTGTGCTCTAAAGACAGTGACTGCTCCCCAAAGCCAAACGTTTTAACTTGATGTTCAAGGCCCTTCAGGATGCTGTCCTACCTCCCCTGTCTAGGCCCCTAGCCTGTCACCTCTCCTACAACTCAGTCTTTGTTCCTGTCAACCCAAGCTTTTAAACACTTTGTGCTCATTGTTCTTTCATGCCTTTCCACCTGCTGTTGCCCCTGCCTTGAACGTATTTCCTTAACAAGTTACATACATCAAATTATATGGCCCATGATATGTGAATGTTACCTCTTCTGTTAATCACTCTCCTCTTCTGTTCTTTCACAGCACCATAGCAGAGAACCCAAGTATAGTGTTATCTGTTCATATGCTATGGCAAGTTGTAATTTTCAAAGATGACTACACCAAAACACATCCCATCTCACAATGTGATACTAACAGTCCACCACTAAGAGGTGAGGTCTTGGGAGAACCTATGCAACTGCCTGGCCAAGAGAATGTCATAGCAGTGATGCTGCCTGACTTCTAATGCTAACCTTTTTTTTTTTTGAGACAGAGTCTCCCTCTTTTTGCCCAGTCTGTAGTGCACTGGCACAATCTCGGCTCACTGCAACCTCCACTTCCCGGGTTCAAGCGATTCTCCTGCCTCAGCCTCCTGAGTAGCCGGGATTACAGGTGCCCGACACTGTGCTCACCAATTTTTTTTTTCTGTATTTTTAGTAGAGATGGGGTTTCACCATGTTTGGCCAGGCTGGTATCGAACTGCTGACCTCAGGTGATCCACCTGCCTTGGCCTCCCAAAGTGCTGGGGTTACAGGAGTGAGCCACCACACCCAGCCCTCCTAATGCTAATCTTAAAATGTGATATAGTTTTCTCTTGAAATACATACCTTTGAAGTCCTCAGTTGCTATCTTAGTTTGCTTTGTGTTGCTATAATACAATACCACTGACTGTGTCACTTTTGAACAACATAAATTTACTTGGTTTATGATAATGGAGGGTGGGAAGTCCAAGATCATGGTGCCAGCATCTGGTGAGGGCCTTCATACTGTGTCATTCCAGGGCAGAAGGCAGAAGGTCAAGAGAGGATGACAGCAAGAGAGCAAGAGGGAGTCAAACTCACTTTATAACATCCTACTCTCTCAATAACTAACCTACTTCCAAAATAATGGCATCAATCCATTCATAAGGGGAGAGCCCTCATAACCTAATCATCTCTTATTATACCCCACTTCTCAACACTGTTGCATTGGGAATTAAGTTTCCAACACATTAACTTAAAGGACACATTCAAACTATAGCAGTTACCATGTAAGAAGTTAGGTTATCCCAAAGCTGGAGAGACCACATGCAGATAGAGGGAGATACCTGAAGACCCCAAGTTGTTCCAGACTAGCTGTTCAAACACTCCTGGCCCAGGTGTAAGGAGAAGCAGCCTTTGAGAGACCTCACACCAGAAACCTCATGAAAGACCCCAAGCCAAACTTGCCCACTTGAGACACAATCAAATTTCTTTCTTTCTTTTTGTCTTTTTTGAGACAGAGTCTCACTCTGTCCCCCAGACTGGAGTGCAGTGGCATGATCTCAGCTCACTGCAACCTCTGCCTCTTGGGCTCAAGTGATTCTCATGCCTCAGCCTCCCAAGTAGCTGGGACTACAAGCACGTGCCATCATGCCTGGCTAATTTTTGTATTTTTAGTAGAGACAGGTTTTCGCCATGTCAGCCAGGCTGGTCTGGAACTCCCCGGCCTCAAGTGATCTGCCTGCCTCAGCCTCCCAGTGTGCCGGGATTAAAGGCATGAGCCACCACGCCTGGCCCAAGATGCTATCAAATTTCTGACCCACCAAACTGTAAGAGATAATAAATGATTGTTCCTTTCAGACACTAATTTTTGGAGTAAATAGGTATTTGGAGCTACAGTAATTGACACATAGACAATATTTTTATATTTAATTATAAACTCTTCGAAGACTAGGATTTAAACATTTTTAAATTGATGTTTCTAGCACTGACAATAGCACATGAAATATAGTAGGGATTGTTTGTTGAATAAATACTTGAATAAATGAATGAATATTAAATTTTGGACATGGCCATGTTGAATTAATGCAGTGTAATTTCATGAAGCAGGTTAGGTTTATTAAAAATCCTAGAGCATATGAGCAATAATAATGCCCAAGGCATAAAGTACGGATGCAAAATAGACTTTCCTCCTCCATACAGGGGAAAATGTGGTTTCAAATTTTGCAAGCTCTTGATTATCCCTGCAAAAGCGTAATACACTGGTATGGGATTATTTGCATAAAATTCCTTTTCTTCAAAAGCATGTAGTATTATTCTTATCATCTCTAGACATGAAAAGACAGTAGCTTTTTTAATGATTAGTTCTCAATCAATAAAGACAAATTATTTAATTATACAAAAAAATAGTTAAAAAGCTAGAACTTCACATAGAATCATAGAGTGATGTCAGAGAGAGGAGAACCTTTGGGGCTATTTTCCCCAATCAATCTGATCTATAAATTCCCTCTACAACATTCCCAGTCAGTCAGTGTTTTTCCAGCCCCTGAGGCTGCTTATACCATGTCCAGGGACAGCTCACTCTCTTGGTTCGTTCATTCCACTGGTAGGTCTAATTGTTAGAGCTTTCTTATTTTGACATAAATATCTTCTTCCCCATTGGCCCTACTTCTGTCCTCTCCAGACAAATCTGTTGCCTTTTCAATTTAACAGCCCTAAAGAGCACTGAAAACATTGCCTTTCCTTAGTCTTCTTTTTATTGGAATAAAGGGATACCTTCCATCATTCCTTATGAGAAATTTCTGTCACCTCACTCTCCCAAGCACCTTTGTCTGCCCAAGGTCTAGTTTATCCAGGTTCCCTTCATCATGTGGCGCCCAGAACTGAACTCAGCACTCCAGGCACTGCTGCTTCCCTGTTCTGCATGCTCCTCTTTAGATGAATGCAGTCCAAGATTTCATTTACTTTTCTGTGGTCCTACATTATTATTATTATTGTTGATCTTGCGGTCAGACTATCTTCTCTACCAGTCTTGTTTTCTTTCTTTTTTTAAAAAATATAAACAGCTATCAAAGTAAATGACATTTATATGATGTACTTGTATAGCTAACTTTTAAAGGTAAGAATGAAATTTGACTTGACCCTCTTAGATTTTATCTTGTTGAGTTTGGCTCATTATTCCAGATAATTAAGAATTTTCTATATATTAATAATGTTGGAAGAATTTTCTAAATATTAATATATTTCACATATCACAATTTCTCCTCTCCTTTACCCCGAACCAATTAGTTCAGGTCAGATAAATTTCAAGAGCTACAGTTTTGCTAGTGTTGAAAGATGTATTAAGTTTATTTTTCCTATATCTCATCAGGTATCAAGTCCTATTAATTTTGCCCACTAAATATTTTAATTCCATCTTTTGCCATATTGTTCTATCATCTCTCACTTAGATAATCACAATACCTGCCTAAGTGACCTCTCAGCTTCCCCGTTTTCTCTGTTTCATTCTACCATCATATTGATCTGTGTAAAACACAATAGCACATCAGACTCACTCAGGCAGATAAAAACTAAAAACTTCATTCAAAAACTAACAACCTCTAGGCCTGTTTAATCATTATCTCTGGGGCTGGGGCTCAGGCATCCATAACTTTTAAAAAGTTCTCTGATTGTGTCAGAACCTCCTCATCTTTTAAAATGAACAGAGTATGTATCTAGACATGTCCGCTATGGATAGCCAGAAAATCATTTTGTCAAGGATTTAAATTCCTTGTAATTATCTATGAGAAACATACGTTGTCTTCAGGTTGGAGGGAACCTAAGGAAGTGAGGAGAAAGAAGGAAACTGGTATCTGTACCATTAGATATCTACCTATTCAATACTAAACACTGGGCTAGGCTCTTTCATTAATATCATCCCATTTAATTTTTAAAACAACCCCAAGATGACATGTTGTTACTATTTTAGAGAGGAAAAAACAAAATCAAAGCATAGATTTTTTTATTCATATGGACCCAAAGTCACAAGTTGGTAGACAGAAATTAAACTTGGGTCTGCCTGACTCCTATCTATATATCAAGGGATTAATAAAAACAAAAATTGATCTTAAGCAAAGGGGAATCACTGCATCCCGTATGGACATATAAAATGATGAATTTGTGCATATTCAAAATGTTCTTATAGGCTTCTTAATTAAAAATCACATCTTTATGAGAATTAAAAATCTGTGGTATAGAAAAAACATTCTACTAGGAGTTAGGAAATAGGATACTAGTCCTAGAAATGGCACCAATTTGCTGTGGTAGGCCTTGAAAATTGTTTCCATTCTCTTCCTTTCTTTCTTTAGAACCTCCAAATTGTAGCTAAGTACATGGCTGCCCAGAATAAATATATTTCCCAGTCGTCCTTGCAGCTATGCAACTTTGTTCTGGCCAAAGGGGTTAAGGTGAAATGATGTGTCCTCAGAGGAAAAGGGTCCCTCCGTCCTCAGTGCACTGGAATGGCACAGCCGTCTGGCATCACTCCACAGTGGTCGCATGCTAGGCATGGCAGAGGAACACAGCAGAAAGCTGGGCCTCGCTCACCACGGTGCTGTGCCTTCTACCTCCTTCAGTGGGAGAGAAGCAAGCATTGTTTAATTATTTAATTAAACAATGTTTAATCATTATTACTTGCTGCAACACCCGGAACCTATTTTCTTTTTTTTTTTTTTGAGACAGAGTCTCGTTCTGTCATCAGACTGGAGTGCAGTGGTGAGATCTCAGCTCACTGCAACCTCCGCCTCCTAGGCTCAAGCGATTCTCCTGCCTCAGCCTCCCGAGTAGCTGGGACTACAGGTGTGCACCACCATGCCCGGCTAATTTTTGTACTTTTAGTAGAGATGGGGTTTCACCATGTTGGCCAGGATGGTCTTGATCTCTTGACCTTGTGATCCATCCGCCTCGGCCTCCCAAAGTGCTGGGATTATAGGCGTGAGCCACTGCATCCATCCTTAATACACTTTTTGATTTGAGCAAAGTTCTTCCCCTCCTCTGTGCCTCAGTTTTTACATCTGTGTATCAAAGAGGTTGGACTAGATGATGCCAAATGTCTACTTCAGGTCTCACATTTTCTAAGACAGAATGGCATGCCATAAGGAAAAGACAGCAGTGAGAAAAATAGTACAAAGGACTTCCTTGCTCCAGCATCTTGACACGCTGCCCTGCTATTGACTGGCCCATCAAAATCAGCAAGAGTGCGACATGAATATCAGTGGGATCTGCATCAGCAAGAGTGCGACATCAGTATCAGTGGGATCTGCATCAGAGAGGGACCCATTCCATGCAGTATGCTGGTGGAAACAGTTCTCAAGCAATTGCCTCTCATTGGAGCTGCAGCCAGTTCAGCTCTACCCGGAGACTCATAAGACAAGACTCGAGGCTCTTATGGTTTTCACAAGTCTCAAATTCAGAGCTTATTCTGCCTGTATCACCCCACAATGGGTACATACATAACAATTAGATAAGATCATAAATCTCAAATGACTATTGTAATCATATCTAGGGAATTTCATAAAATTGAGAATAACAGTTTGTGATATATAATCATAAACATTTCTAACATATATTTTTCAAAAACTCAAGGCAAGGATGAGGATGGGAGCAGTACCTAAGGAGATGCTTACCGTCAGGGTCCCACAAGTGCCTGAGAGGGGAAGTCTCCTTAATTTGGTTCCCCAGGAGCCTGACTTCCTTCTTCCTAGTTCCAGCTCTGCTTCATGTGTTACATTCACTTTATTAATTTTTTTCCTAACAAAATTCTCCATAATGGTTATCACTCATTTCAAATTTGCATTCTATTAAATAACATTACCCAGTTATTTCACATTGGCTGCTAAAGACTGTTTCTACTTTTCCATTGTAAAATATCATTTACAGTTATAAGCCCACTCTAGGCATTTCAAATATCCCAATTTCTTGATTTGTTTTTCTGGTTTCAAGAACAGATATTTGCCTGACAACCTGTTAAGAGTTCAAGATAAACTGTGAGAGTTAGACAATAAAAGTTATTTTTACAACTGCTTGGGTCATAACAATATTATTTTAGCACAATACTTTCTGACCAGGTTCCTGACCTATAAGTACTTTTCAACAGTCTAATCAATATTTTCCAAAGTCTTGAACCACAAAAAGCCACATTGAATACACTGTCATCTTCCCAAAGCCTTCTCTTCTTTCTGGGTTTCTGACTACATGGGAATCCTACCCAGTTACCTAAAATTACAACCTGAGAGTCTTCTTTGATTTCTCCATCTCTTTCATCCATGACACATCTAAACAATCAGCAAATCCATCCTTGCCCTCCTCTTCATTCCTCAAGGCTTCCACCTTAGTTTAGGTTTTCATCAGTCCTGACAGTACAACTGCAACATCATCACCAGTGATCTTTCTGACCCTGGGTTTGCTTTACTCCAAGAGTCTCACACTCAAATACAAGAACCAGAAAAGCAAATGTCAGACTGCATGCTCTAGCTGAAGGTGGAAGACACTTCTCAGCAACAGCTGTTTCTTGCTAGGCAGATATTGTGCACTCTACTTCTTAATAGAAGCTCGAAAATCTAGATTTTTATGTAAAATTTCCCAAATTTTAAATGTTTGCAACTAGTTTACATTAAAATCATTTGGCTATCAAACACAATAAATGTATAGGTATCTGACCTCAGGGCAGATGTGTGTGGCCTCTGTCCTACTCTGGTTGATCACCTTTTCTATTCTGCCACAGCATATTTCGAAGACACAGGCAAGTTCATAAACTCTTTCTTACCTAGAAACTATAAACAGATCTCTCTATGCCTTCTGGAGAAATCCAACTCATTGGCATGATAAGGATGTTTACAACTCTGACCCATGCTCAGTCATTCCCCTATGGTACCCTATATTCTAGCCAGATAAGATTACTTACAGTTCTCTACATGTAACTTTTCTTTTCTCTCTCTTTTTTTTTTTTTTTTTTTTGAGATGGAATCTTGCTCTGTCAACCAGGCTGGAGTGCAGTGGTGCAATCTTGGCTCACTGCAACCTCCACCTCCTGGGTTCAAGCAATTCTCCTGCCTCAGCCTCCCAAGTAGCTGGGACTAAAGGTGCCCGCCACCATGCCCGCCTAATTTTTGTATTTTTAGTAGAGACGGGGTTTCATTATGTTGGCCAGGCTGGTCTTGAACCCCTGACCTCACGTGATCCGCCCGCCTCAGCCTCCCAAAGTGCTGGGATTACAGGCATGAGCCACTGCACCCAGCCTCTACACATATCTTATACTTTCTTGCCCTTGGCACCTCTCTTCATGTTATCCTTATCACTTATATAGCTGACTGAACCAGTAAAGTCTCCGATCATGTGTGCCCTGTTCTCCAAAGCCTTCCCTGAATTAGTCCTTCTCTGGCAGAACTAATTAATCCTTCTTTCTTCACCCATATAACTTTTGCGGGTATACTCCTGTGGTATTCATTATACTGTGTTCTGGTTTTGTATACGTGCTTGTCTCCACCATATTTTGAGTTCTTTGAAATGGGACCAGCACGGACTCATCTTTTGCATCCCCTGACTAGCACAGTGTCTGCACAAACAGCAGGCGTGCAATAAGTGTTCATTGACTAATGACTGACCTAATAAAAGCACAAATGCAAAGAATTGATTTTGTCGAGATTAATAGTGTGAATCCTTATCTGGTTTAGGAGAGACTGGACATCACAGGGGAAAGCAAGCTTAGAAGACAAAGACAAAGCCTCGAAGTTTGGACTAATTATTAGTGTTTTCCTTATCTGAACTAAGAAACTAAATAACCTCTTTGTAGTCATGTAGCATCTTTCTCAGATAAGCTTTCGGTCTAGGACAGATATGATCTCCTTCAGCTTGTTTGTGAATCCACTTGTCCCAAGGTCACAGAGTCATTCTCTGGCAGAAACAACAGACCTGAGAGCTCCCAATTCCCACGTCAGTGCTCTGAGTTCCAGTGCATACTGTCGCCATTAATAGTGTTCTCCTTGTCAAGGGTACACAGCATATATACCAGAGGAGATTTATGAAAGAAACTTGCTGTGAGACCTGTTTAGATATGCTTCACACTCACTCACATTCAATCAAGGAGAACAAATCACAGGCAATCTACACAGTGACCTGAAAAGAGACCCTTTCTAAAATTCTAGATAAATAATGTGTCTCTTGCAAGTACAAATTCACTTTACGGTGTGGATATTATTGTAATTCAGTAATCCTCCCTCAAGCCCACTGAACTTTTCATCTCTCTCAAGCTTTCTGTCCAGCCCCCATAACCCCATCCTTTAGTGACAGAGGCATAA
The DNA here is from genome assembly GCF_000001405.40 of Homo sapiens. NCBI lineage: Eukaryota > Metazoa > Chordata > Mammalia > Primates > Hominidae > Homo > Homo sapiens. The sequence goes on along the minus strand of NC_000003.12, from coordinate 188,845,343 downwards.
ATGCTCTGAGGTTTCCAGCTCTGGGGCTGTCTGAGCCTTGACCGCAGAATCTCAAGACACATCTCCCCACACAGAGGTAATTTATCTGCAATGCAGTTCAAAGTGTGGTCACTTAATAAGCATTCTGATTATGGCCTTCTAGGTACTTCTTTAGAAAATGGCATGAACCAGGGCTTTAAAATATGATTTCCTGAATCCAATCTCAATTTGGTAAAAAATTCTGGAGCTTCTAAAATGAAGTGTGAACTGCATTTTCAAACTCACAAGGCCTCAGACCTTTCACACTTCATTTTGGAAGTTTCAAAGTTAGAGTTTAAAGCTCTGCGCCTCAGTAAAGATTGAAGGAACTAATTTTGATGTTCTAATGAGAAGCCGCAGAAATGACAACTCCTAATGAAGGTGTAATTGCATTGGCACCTTCATTGGTTCACATTTTATGTTCCATGAATGTTATATGTATTACCTAAGATCCTCAATGCAACCTTGAAAAACTGGCATTATTATTCTCAGTTTACAGATAAAAAGACTAAGGCTAAGAGAGCTTAAGTGATTTTCCCAAAGTCCAGGCAATGTAGCCAGGCCAATATTAAAAATTTAGCCCTCTAAATTTCTGTAGGTCTACGCTCCTTCCGCTCCACTGTGCTGCAAAGCATATGTCCAAAGAGATGGACAATAAAAATGGTAGATACTTCTCAAATTCCTTTTTAATTAGAGATAGAATTTTGAATTTTTGACTAATATATGAATAAATACACGAACCTCTCAATTCCCTTGGAATCACTACATTATTGATTTAACACAAGCTAGAAAAATATTCTCCTTTACTGTTCATATCCCTCCAGTATTTTTTCATGCTAGGGACAGATACTGTTTTGTAAAGTGAAGCAGTTTGTATTGAAAATGAAAAATTTATAGAAAGCATTTCCCATAGGGAGAGAAATTATGTTTCAAAGGCCTTTCCTCTATGTATTGTAAAGAGGAGGAGAGGAAGTATTAAATACGTTGAGTCCTAAAGTAAAACAGACATTGCCACATGAATAATATTAACCCAGGACTGGCTGAAATACAGGCAGGCCAGCACTTTCACTATCTCTGCCTAAACTTAGATTATACAACATCTACTACAAATCAGAAAGAAAGAAAATAAGTCAACAGTTTAGAAGGTGCCACCAAAAATAATGATTAAGCATGGGAGGAAGACAGAAAGAACAAATCCATAGTGCAGTTTTGAAGTATGATTAAAAAGCATAATAAAGTATGCCATCCATAATCAGCTTTGCAAATTAACAGTATTCTAAGAACTTGAAAATGAGATGAAATTTTAAGACCCAATACTTTTTAGGGAAATTTTCTTGTAGCAAGCTCTTTAGACAATATTTCTTCTCCAGGCTTCAATTCTAGAAAAGCAAAGTGTAGAGTGTGAGAGAGGAAGAGGACCAGAAATATTATCTCAAGTAATCCAATGCTTTGGATACTTCCTCACAGAAATGCTAAAGAGAGGGACTGCAGGGGCAACTGAAAAAGATGAGGTACCCAGAGGAAGGATTTTTTTTTTTTGAGACGGAGTCTTGCTCTGTCGCCCAGGCTGGAGTGCAGTGGCGCGATCTCGGCTCCCTGCAAGCTCCGCCTCCCGGGTTCACGCCATTCTCCTGCCTCAGCCTCCCGAGTAGCTGGGACTACAGGCGCCCCCCACTGCGCCCGGCTAATTTTTTGTATTTTTAGTAGAGACGGGGTTTCACCGTTTTAGCCGGGATGGTCTCGATCTCCTGACCTCGTGATCCGCCCGCCTCGGCCTCCCGAAGTGCTGGGATTACAGGCGTGAGCCACCGCGCCCAGCCCAGAGGAGGGATTTTTAAGGGACCGTAGGATGTCAGAGATGAAAAAGGGACTGTTCAGTCCAAACCAAACATTTTACTGATGAAGAAATTAAGTCCTGGTGATGGAGTGGCCAGTTACACTGCCAAGCCAGCGCAGAGCTGCCACTTGAACTCGAGTCTCCTAACTCTCGGGCCAGTACCCTTCCCACTTCACATGACGCTAGTAGAAAAAGTGGAGGAATAAATGACTGCTGTGAGAAGCAAAGGTCCATTCCTAATAGTCCAGGCTGGTGTCACAGCCCCTCATGGCAAATACCCTGAGGCCCTTAGAACTGATAGAAGATGGATTTGAGCCAAAGATACAGTTCATGTATTCCCATGTTTTTCCCTTATATAAGATTATGATAAAAAAGAAAAATGGGTAAATTAATTATGGTATAATCGTGGCATACTAAACAACAAAAAGATGAAGACTGCTAATACAACAACATGGATGAATCTCAGACAACTGCACAAAATGAAAGAATCCAGATACAAAAAATAAATATGGTGTGATTCTTATCTGATTTAAAAGAACATATAGAAATAATTTCTGGTGATAGAGGTCAGAAAGTCATTGCCTCTGAGGGTGGCAGATGGGACTTGAATAGAAAGAGGAATAAGGGAACTTAAGGGAACTTTCTTGGGTAATATATACAATTGCCAAATCTCCTAAAACTACGACTCATGATCTGAGTATCTCATTGCATGTAAATTAGGCCTCAATGAAAAATGAGAAAAATGCAAGATGAAAACAAATGATATTCAAAGTGATATTATGAATAAATATATTGTTATATGAATATATAAAATAGAAATAAATATAAAATGAATAAATAAAAATAGGAAAAACATTAATTCTATAGCTCATTTGACAAAGATGAATGTTCTTTGGATTGGGCAAAGATTTCTTGAGTAACACCCCACAAACACAGGCAACCAAAGCAAACATGCATAATTGGGATCACATCAAGTTAATCTGCACAGCAAAGGAAACAAACAAAATGAAGACAAAAACCAGTGAAAGGGAAACATATTTACAAACTATCCATTTGACAAGAGATTAATAACCAGAATATATAAGGAGTTCAAACAACTCTATAGGAAAATAATCTAAGAATCTGATGTAAAATTGGGCGAAAAATATGGATAGATATTTCTCAAAAGACATACAAATGGCAAATAGGCATATGAAAAGCTGCTTAACATCATTGCTCATCAGAGATATGCAAATTAAAACTACAATCAGATATCATTTTGCCTCAGTTAAAATGGCTTTTATCCAAAAGACAGGTAATAGCAAATGCTGTCTTCTGGAAAAAACAAATGAGGATGTGGAGAAAAGGGAACCCTTGTACACTGGTGGTGGGAATGTAAATTAGCCCTCTCTCACCACTCCTATTCAACACAGTATTGGAAGTTCTGGCCAGTGCAATCGGGCAAGAGAAACAAATAAAGGGTATTCAAATAGAAAGAGAGGAAGTCTAATTGTCTCTGTTTGCAGATGACCCGATTGTCTATTTAGAAAACCCCATCGTCTCAGCCCAAAATCTCCTTAAGCTGGTGGGTAACTTCAGCAAAGTCTCAGCGTACAAAATCAATATGCAAAAATCACAAGCATTCCTATACATCAATAATAGACAAAAGGAGAGCCAAGTCATGAGTAAACTCTCATTCACAATTGCTACAAAGAGAATAAAATACCTAGGAATACAGCTCAATCAATTTCTTACATAGAAAAGTTTAAAGAACAACTTCAGAGGAGGAAGGAATATTTTAAGTCATCTGTTTCAAGCAAATAAATGGGTAGTTAAGAAAACAAATTCAGGGCTGGGCGCAGTGGCCCAAGGTGGGCGGATCACAAAGTCAAGAGATAGAGACCATCCTGGCCAAGATGGTGAAACCCCATCTCTACTGAAAATACAAAAATTAGCTGGGCGTGGTGTTGCACACCTGTAATCCCAGCTACTTGGGAAGCTGAGGCAGGAGAATCGCTTGAACCTGGGAGGCAGAGGTTGCAGTGAGCCGAGATCGTGCCACTGCACTCCAGCTTGGTGACAGAGCGTGACTCCATCTCAAAAAAAAAAAAAAAAACAAATTCAGAAAGGGCAGGTGACCAACTAGACTAGAAGAGGCAGGAGTAGAATTTAGTGTCTTAAGTTGTCAGGATGAGCTTAAGTTGTCAGGACACTGTACCACACTGTCCCATGGCATTGAGAGATGTTTCAAACCCAGCCCACCTTCAGACATCCACCTTCCTAAAGCACTATGTCCAAAAATACAAATTACAGAGATTGTTTTTCTAAGGGGTCTTCCACGTGGCTGATGAAAAGACTTCACAAGGACTCATGAACACACGCTATCAATTGGCTGGTCTTAATGAAGGACCTACAGTTAACTACAGCCCTGGTGGTCTCCTAATTCTCCTGCCATGGCCAGGGACAGTCTGATGGCCCACATAGCACACAGTACCTCCTGCACTGGGACCCGGGAGGAAGAAAAGCGAGTTCTAAACAGAGTAGCATTTTCCCAAGTGTTTTGGATGCCCGCCACATCAGATGGCTCTACTTTTAATGTAAAATGAACCCCAGCTTGCTCTGGAGGCCAAAGGGTGCTAGAAACAAGGCTAGAGGTGGAAAAGAATGTTGCTGGATTTCAGAACAGGCTAGTACTGGCATATGTAATTTCACATGATGGGCAAGCCACTTCACTGGTAGTTTCCTCATGTGTAAGATGAGGATAATAATAATGCTTGTGGCCAGGAGTTCAAAACCAGGCTGGGCAACATAATGAGATCCCATCTATATAAAATTAAAAAGAAATTAGTCAGATGAGGTGGCACATACCTGTGTTGCTAGTTACTTGAGAGGCTGAGGTGGAAGGATCACTTGAGCCCAGGATGTTAAGGCTGCAGTGATCCATGATTGCACCACTGCACTCCAGCCCGGGAAAGAGAGCAAGACTCTGTCTAAATAAATAAATAAAGTCCTTGTGTGGGGTTGACAGAGCTAAACAATATGGTAGAAGCCAAAGTCCAGCCCTCTACAAATGCACAAGATTCACCATTACAAAGGATGATGTAATGCCTTCCCTTATCCTTGGGAGTGTCAATATGGCTTCCTTTTGCATTTTCAGTATCTAGTCTCTAGGTCTAAGAGGAAGATGTAGTTGTATGTAGGTAAAACATAGCTTCCAGTGACCCCAAATTCTCTGTTGAATTCCCAGATACTGGTTTCTAAACGGAACAAAGATACAACAAAGATCTGAACATATTACTCCCTGACCTCATCAATAGCTGGAAAAAGAAAGAAAGAAATCGTGGGTTTCTTGGAAAAGGAAGGAATAGGAAAAAGAAGACTGAAGAAACCAAACCAAACCAAAACAAAACTATCTCCTTCTAGTGATACACCGTTGTGTCTTCTGAGTATTCTAGGAGGTAAGACTGGAATAATACCATTTACCCCAAATTAACTGGATTGATGCATTTTTATATCATATATGTAAAGCAGCAATTTATAATTTATTATTTGTGGATAATAAAACTAAAGTTTAAAAAGTTGAGCAACTTACTCTTTTTTAAATTTAATTTAATTTAATTTTATTTTATTTTTGAGACGGAGTCTCACTCTGTCGCCAGGCTGGAGTGCAGTGGAGTGATCTCGGCTCACTGCAACCTCCGACTCCCTGGTTCAAGGGATTCTCCTCCCTCAGCCTCCTGAGTAGCTGAGATTACAGGCGCCCACCACCATGCCCAGTTAATTTTTGTATTTTTTTTTTAATAGAGATGAGGTTTAACCATGTTGGCCAGGATGGTCTCGATCTCCTGACTTCGTAATCTGTCCGCCTCAGCCTCCCAAAGTGAAGCAACTTACTCTTAATGGGCTATGTAAGATTTAAGTAGTGAGGCTGGTTTTTGTACTCGGGCCTGTCTGACTCAATCCAATGGTCCGTCCCTGCGCCTTATCACCTTGCTGTTTACTCAAATGAACAACCCTGTTAGCAGATGTGTTAGCTCAGTCTTGCAATGATTACATTTACTGCTAGTCCTACAAGTGATGAGCAAAATGTTTGCTGAAGCCTTGGGGGCTCTAACTACAGAATAAACATCAGTTATCCTTGTTGACATCATAATGGAGCTGTGGGCCTTGAAATCTACCTAGAGTAATGATCGGCCCTTGCAGTAAGATTCCAGATATTTAGATAAGATTCTATTAAAACACCAATAAAATGTTTTCCCTGTTTATATGCTACACTGTAGGACAGTTTCAGAGTTAAAAGCAGCTTTGCGTAACTCAAATGCCTTTCCCTACTTGTAGGTGCAGTCAGGGTTCTCTCTTTCCTAGAGATGTTAGGTAAAAGAAGAAATACTATTTGGTGATTTTCATCAGGTGGTAAGAAGTGTGAAAGATAGCACTGCAAATTGTGATTCCTATACCCTGACTTCAACTTCTTCTTATTTTAAAAAATTTTACTTTTGAGATACATGTGCAGAATGTACAGGTTTGTTACATAGGTATACATGTGCCATGGTGGTTTGCTCCACCCATCAACCTGTCATCTAGGTTTTAAGATCCACATGCATTAGATATTTGTCCTAATCCTCTCCTTCTCCTTGCACCCGACCCCCACGACAGGCCCCACCCAGTATGTGATGTTCCCCTCCCTGTGTCCATGTGTTTTCATTGTTCAACTCTCACTTCTGAGTGAGAACATGTGGTGTTTGGTTTTCTGTTCCTGTGTTAGTTTGCTGAGGATGATGGCTTCTAGCTTCATCCATGTCCCTGAAAAGGACATGAACTCATCCCTTTTTATGGCTGCATAGTATTCCATGGCGTGTATGTGCCACATTTTCTTTATCCAGTCCTGACTTCAACTTCTAAAGTCTTATAAGAAATTACGCTTCAACTTTTCAAATGAGGAATGAAAATCAGAGTATGAAATGGAGCTGCACCTATCCTAAAGCTGTATATTTTCAGGGAGTAAAGTTTTTTCTAGAATATTTTGAGATAGAGGAGACAGTGAGGAACCAGGAGCTGGATAAGCCATACCTTTTTATAATAGACTCTGATTATGTCAAATGTTTAGGACCACCAAAGCCTTTGGGGAATCAACATGGGTTTAGGAGTTTCAAAAGGTGCATATGAGTCCCCCCATCATTTAGAAGCTAACTTTTGTGACAAAGTCCCTTATCCTCCTAGAATCTTTTTTTCATCCGTAAAATGTAGATCACAGTACATCTGAAAAACAGTAATAAAGTAATGGAATAATAAAGTAAAAAAGGAACATTTATTGTAATAACAGAAAGTTTGATATTATTACCAATACTACAATGTTAAAATAATGAAGTACTTTGTAAGCCATGAAGTGCTAAACAAATATTAGCCAGAATTTGAAGCTGTTATTAATTGGAAGCTACCCAACCAAACAAGACTAGGGATAGGAACCACTAGAGATAGGCTTTTTAATAAGACAAGTTTGCATATGTTGAGTTTGCATAGAGCAATCTATGGCCCAAAGTTGTTTCACGTTTTCCCACACTAGATAGAGAGATGAGGTTTCTAGGGCTCCTGAATTACCTAAAGTTAGAAAGAACACACTGCCAGGATTCAGACCCAGATCTTATAAAACCAAAGCAAGGGCTGTCTCATTTCATTACCATTCTGCCTCCCTTTCTTGCCTCCTGGGCAATGACACCTTTATATTTCTTAAGGCATCCTTGTTAAGTTTGCTTTTCTCAAAGTAATGATGATATTTAAAATAATCTCAAAGGTGGAAAAGATTCTGGAAAGCAAGGTTCAGGCTTTAAAAAAAGCAAGTAATGGCTTTAATAATTAGTCACTGACCATCAGACTTGAAATAGAGGCAATTTCAAGATTTATATGAAAAGATACAAGCAAGGTTGGCAGAACAGACTGAATTTCTCAGTTGCTGATGAGGGTGACTATTGTTCTCTGTTCTCCCATCCTCTGACCAAACGCAAATCAAATTTAGCTGTGAACACAAAGGACAGAGGTTGGGCCTGATAGTAGGAATACCAAAACTAGAAATTAAGCAGGAAGCACAGATTATTATTATTATTATTATTATTATTATTATTATTATTATGTTTGAGATGGAGTCTCATTCTGTCACCCAGGATGGAGTCCAGTGGCGCAATCTCAGCTCACTGCAACTTCCACCTCCCAGGTTCAAGCAATTCTCCTGCCTCAGCCTCCCGAGTAGCTGGGACCACAGGCGCCAGCCACCACACCTGGCTAATTTTTGTATTTTTAGTAGAGACAGGTTTCACCATATTGGCCAGGCTGGTCTCGAACTCCTGACCTTGTGATCTGCCTGCCTCGGCCTCCCAAGGTGCTGCTGGGAAGCCCAGATTTCTTCTCTGGCTCTTCTTTATCCCTAGAACCAGCCAGTCTAGGAGCAGTCACAAAACAGAGTAATGCTACATATTTATGAAAAACAACATTGTGAATATACACACAATATCTTGATGAAGGCACAATATTTTAATTCATTCACTGCCAATAAATGAGGCAAATATGTCAGCTTGCTCGTCTGTGAGTGAGAAGGATTTAGATGGGCTCTAAAAGCCCACGTAGTTCTGACAGTTTAGAATCTTATGCCACATGAACACAAAGTTAGTCAACCAAGCATGACCATGAAACCCGGGAACCAAGCCTTATAAACCCAGTGTTATTTGTGGGAAGATACTGAAAATATTTCCTCTGTAATTGGAAACATTTTAATTTATATTTATTTGGACTCTACTGCAAAGAACACAAAACACTTATGGAGTATTAAAAAGTGATAAGAAACATGTACCAATTAAACGTCTTATAAAAGCCTAGGGAGCGCATCTAATAGAATTAAGCAGCTCACGGAATCAAACTGAAAAATTCATCCATGCATTCATTCATGCATTGAGCCTCCATCGTGTGCAGAGCACAATGAAAAGTCCTGCAGGGATAGAGTGAAGAATCTGACCACGGATGCCACTCTTGTCAAGTTGTTCACACAGAAACAATAAGAGGGAACTCCATACAGGATTGGAAAGTTGACAAAGCTGAAACGTCATGGAATGCCAAATGTTTATCATATAAGGCTACGGCAAATACAACAGCCCCAAAACCTGCATCAATTATTGTTATAGAAATATGAATACCCAGGAATATGTCATGTTTGCCCACCTCCAAGCCTACAGACTAAAGGGAATAATCTTTTATGTTATGCTTAAAAAGACAACATCAAAGAGTTTAAGGCTCAAGATGTGGAGAAGCCATAGCTCACACAAAGAGAAATAAAAACAGTGGGCTGGCAGTCGATACATTTTTCATTACTGTCTTCTTCTTTAAAGAAAAGTAAAATAAACATTTCCTGCAGTTTTGAAAAGCCAAACATGATCCTACAATTCTGGACAGAAACAACATATAAAATTTATCTGAAATAAAAGGCAAAATTGCCCAAATGCATTTGTTCTAAATCCTGGCTGACAGGTATTCACAAGATCTATAATAAAGCCTTTGGTTCCTCATCAAAAATACAAAGAAGTACCCTGGAACAAGATGCACATCTGAGACAATTATAATGGTTTCCCTTCAAATGAAACTACTGTTTCTTTACATATAAAGACTGGGCAGAAGGCTTGTCCTTGATTCAGGAATTGCTACCTTATTTATGGACAGCTTCCCTGTTAGGTAAGAATGGGCACAGCCTCTCTGCCCATTCATAATTCCATTGATATCAAGGTAGAGACTTGTCACATCGTAGGGGCGTTCCTTTCTTGTTGCCACTACTGACTGCTCTGTGGCAGTCCTAACATGAGTCTTGCCCTATATCTCACTGCCTCATAGTGTATTCTTTTTATTTTTTTTGGAGATGGAGCCTCACTCTGTCACCTAGGCTGGAGTGCAATGGTGCAATTTTGGCTCACTGTAACCTCCACCTCCCGGGTTCGAGTGATTCTCCTGCCTCCGCCTCCCGAGTAGCTAGGATTACAGGCATCTGCCACCACCACCAGCTGATTTTTTTTTTTTTTGTATTTTTAGTAGGATGAGGTTTCACCATGTTGGCCAGGGTAGTCAAGTGATCCGCCCGCCTCAGCCTCCCAAAATGCTAGGACTACAGCTCCTGAGTAGCTGGGATTACAGGCGTCTGCCACCATGCCCAGCTGATTTTTTTTTTTTTTTTTGTATTTTTAGTAGAGACAGTTTTCACCATATTGGCTAGGGTAGTCTAGAACTCCTGACCTCAAGTGATCTGCCCCCCTCGGCCTCCAAAATGCTAGGATTACAGGAGTGAGCCACCGCGCCTGGCCATAGCTTATTCTTTAATAGTGTTATGACCCTGTGAATAATTATTTTATCTAACACTGGATTAAATTTGCCTTCTTGTGGGTTAATTGAAGGATGCAAATAATTGATATATGGGTCTGTTATCAAATGAGAACAGGCAGTAAGGAAAATACACTACTAGGTAGAAGTTACTTCTGCCACAAGCTCTTCCCAGGACATTCAGAGGTCGTTCCTCTCTCAGAGATCAGTTAGCTCATCTATAAAATGGAAGGCTAAGATGAATTTTGTCATGCTCTATGAACTGTAAAACTCATTCATCTCCAAACCATTGGACATAATTCATCTGTAAATTGGCAGCTGCTGACATGGATTTTCACTGATTACCTAAATCATCATACGTGGTGTCCCAGATGCTATGGCAAGATCTAGGATTGCATTATTTGGTCCACGAGACATGGAACCTAAGAACATTAATTCATTTCAGAAATAAAGAGTTAAGGAATGTCAGCTTTCTGCAAGGCCTTGTGCTAGGCACTGAGGTTGTACTGAACAAGACAAAAAGGTTATCTGTATCGCAGGAACTCACCACCTGGTGGCGGAAACTGAGGAACTGAATGGAGAAATTAAAATTTTCACTGGTGTGTTGTGGTTAGTTGGTGAAGAGGATCAAAGATGAGAAAGCAGGCAACTTCCTTGGTGGGGAAGGCTGGTAGCACCACATCTGAACCACTGCAATAGTCACCCAATGGAACGTCAAGGAACCAGGCTCAGAGAGTTCACACTAGCATCAAATTAGCACTGGACCTCAGGCCTAGATTGGAAAACCAAAACCAAGATCAAACAAAACACACCAAAAAAAAAAAAAAAAAAAAAAACACCCAAAAAGAAACAAAAAAATCCTAAAATGGTAAATAATAAGTTTGATGAAAACAAAGATACAAATTGCAGCACCAATAGCACATTTCTATATGTTCCCGCCACTTGATATCAAAGCAGCATGTATTATCATGCTGGCAGGAGAATAGAGTGTGCACAGACAAAGGAAAACATTCAGACCAAAGGGGAAGAAAACTTTGTAGGACCAAGTATCAAAGGCTATAGAGTTGGCTGGCTGACTGAAAATTTCCTAATCTAAGTTTTTAAAAGGAAACTTTTGTGGAAGATTTTGGTTTTAATAATGGGATCTTGGTCTTGTTCTTCCCGAAGCAGGCAAAATAAACTTACAATAAAATGGGGATGCTTTAATAGTAATGTGAACAGTGTAATATAAACAGATATATAAAATACACCCTGAAAAATACATATATGAAAACTTATTTCTTTCTTCCAAATGAGGAGAATCAAAACATATAAATAGTTTACGTTAAAAGAATGAACAGTCCTTGCTGGGACATCCTTGAATGGATAGATTCAACATCCTCATAATTGCTCAGGCTCTTGGGGATTAATTTAATTCTTGGTGGTTCGTGGTTGTAGGGAAACTCTAAAGAAAATAAATGAATTTGAGGCTGACTGAGAGTGCAAAGTGGCTGGATTTGTAAGTGAAGACATTTTGCTTAGTGAAATCTTTCGTCAGATACACTGCCAAGGCTCTAACAGCCCTTCAAGAAGAGAGAAGCATGTCCAAACCAGTTTTGCCTGCAGACAGAGGGATGCTAATTGCTTTACTCAGATTCTCTTAAACCTTCTTGCATGCAGAAGCATCAAAATAGCCAAGCTGTATACACCGCCTCTAGGATCCAACGCTCCACCTGCAGAAAGGAATTCAAGTTTCAACTCTGTCTCACTGGCATAGGTTTGCTTTGGTGCCTAATTAGCAACTAAGTTTGATGACAACATAACTGGCTCTAGGGGATTCTTGTTCCTACCAAACAAAACAAAAAACAAATTCCTGAAGCAAGACCTGAAATGTACCATGGGGAATTCAGAATCAGTGATGCAATTCCAAACTGGGGCTGGTCTCCTCTTTATCTCTGCATCAGCAGTTTCCCTGGAGAGCCTGTCTCCCTCAGTGTGGACCAGCTTTGACAAATATTTACTGACAAATGACTATTATTTTAATAATAATCATCATTTGCAATCATTTGCTGACTTACAGCCAACAAACACTGTCATAGATGCTGTCTTACTTGATCGTCACAACTCTGTGAAGCAAGCATGCAGAGCAGGGCTCATTAAGTTATTTAACTGGGTGAAAGTTTGCACTGATGCCAAGTGGTAAAGCTGGGAGCAAACGATCCAGTGTTATCGACTTGCCAGATACATTTTCCTCCAGTCCTTTTGTCATGAAGGAGGCAGACTTGCAACTGTTAGAATGGCACTGGGATGGTTCAGGACCAAGAAAACCAGGAACCCCTCACCAGCCTACCTTGAAATCCCTGGCATGTCCTAGGCTCCCGCTGAAGACCACAGCTGAACTTGACAACATGCAAGCCTCTGTAATACACACATGGTTGCCCTGTGAAATGGAAGTTCCTTGCCACTGAAGATGGTGAAGCAGAACCCTGATAACCACCTACTTGGAAAACTATAAAGGGGACTCTTTTATTGGGTGGGAGGCTTTTCTAAATAGCAGCTGTCTAGAAAACAGTAAAGGGTATTATTGTATTAGGTTTTGATTGTTGGCTAACAATCTCAGTGGCATAAAACAACAAACATTTACTATCTCACAGTTTCTGAGGGCCCAGGCATGACTCTGGCTGGGTCCTCCACTCGGAGTCTTACAGGCTGCAATCAAAGTGTCAGCTGAGTAGCATTCTCATCTGGAGGGTTGGCTGTGGAAGAATCTTTTCCAGGCACATTCAGATTATTGGCGGAATTCATTTCCTTGTGGGTATGTGAGTCAGGATCCTAGCTTTTTGTTGGCTGTCTGCTGGAAGCTGTCCTTAGCTCCTAAAGGTTGCTCACAGCTCCTTGCCTCATGAGCTTCTCTCATATGGTCACTTATTTCCTCAAGCTGTCAAGGAGAGTCTCTCTATCTGCTGAGATGGACTCGTATATCACAACATGTAATCATGGTAAGTTACACCCCAACACCTTTGCCTTCTTCTATTGATTAGAAGCAAGTTACAGATTCACCTGCACTCAAGGAGAGGTATTACACAGAGATGTAAACACCAGGAGGCAGGGGTCATTGGAAGTCACCCTAGAGCCTGTCCTCCACAAGTATCTATGTAGAAAATTTAAGGTCCTATCCAACTTGCTCTTCCAATATCCCAGAATAAATACTACACCTTCCCACCTACTGAAGTCTCATTAAAATCTATGGGACACATATATAGCACATCTTTATGAGATCCTCTGTTAATTGTTCTGAGGGAAGGAGGTGGTATAGCATACTCAGAAAATGGAGGGCTTAGCCCATATGGCAACAGTCATCTTTATGATACATGTTAAGGTACATGTAGGGAGAGAGAGCTGATTGAAAGTCAGAAAACTTGGGTTCTCATCCAGTTCTCCTATAGACTCACTGTGTGATCCTGCACAAGTTATGTCTAAAATATTATAATTTCAAAATTAAGGTAAAGGAAAATCCAAGAGTACTGAGAGATCTCTTTAACCTGGGTGTCCACTCAATCTATGCAGTGTACATGGAACACCGGAAAGAGCCTGGGTGGCCAGGCCTGCAGGGTTATCTCCTTGTCCTCCAGGCTCCCTGCCTTGAAAGTGTATCCTTGTTATATGCTACAGAGGGGGAAGCACCCAGCTAGAGACCAAAAATGTCACTTTAAATTGAGGCAAGTGGGACTGGGCTGAGACCTGGTTGGCTCAGACCAAAAAGGATCAGGACTTTCTAGCAGCTGTTGGGGCAACTACTCCTAGGAGACTCCTCTCTCTCCTAACTGCTGGGACTGAACCCTTTGAGCCCCAGTGCTTGATTTTGCTCTCCAGATAAATGTCTAGGTATGACCACGCTGCTCTCAGTCTTTGCACTCTTGCTGGCTTCACACTTATAGTGGTGTCATCATGTCTTTGGGGATGAACTGCTCAGTTCCTCCTTCTCCATCTTTGCCAACTCCAGTGATTTGGACCAGAATACATTAAAATATGGAACTCTTACCAGGCGCCATCTCCTGGTAGACCATGGCAAACATAGCAGAATGATAGAGAAATCTTGGCATCCCCCCACAGATTAGCTTTATAATTCAGCCTACAGATCTTTGCTACAAATATTACTCAATTTAATAATCCAGAAGTCTATTGAGCACCTGTTGTAATATACACAATACTACAGGATTGAGATTTCACAAAAACTCTATGCAATTTCAATATTTCCAAGTCTCAAAGGACAGTTAATTTGTGAAGCAACAGTCAGCTGGACTCAACAACAATCCAGGGTAAGCACACAATGTAAATGAATTTCTGCAGTGTCCAATAAACTCGGCCCATAATGCTGAGCTTCTTACTATGTAATAGGAAAAATTGACATGTCAGCTCTGAGCATCACTGAATTTTATAGGTAGATGTGGAGACCTCTTGGATTTTCTCAGTGTATAGAAAGTTGTCCCAAAACATAACCTTCTTCCCTATTTCCTAAGTGTGTTTGTTCGTTCGTTGGGGGTGGGTGTGGGGAAGCATTTTTTTTTTTGTTTTTTGAGACGGAGTTTCACTCTGTTGCCCAGGCTGGAGTGCAGTGGTGCAATCTTGGCTCACTGCAACCTCTGCCTCCCAGGTTCAAGCGATTCTCCTGCCTCAGCCTCCGAGTAACTGGGACTACAGTCACGTGCCACCACACCTGGCTAATTTTTTGTACTTTTTTAGTAGAGACGAGGTTTCACCGTGTTAGCCAGGATGGTCTTGATCTCCTGACCTCGTGATCTGCCCGCCTCAGCCTCCCAAAGGGCTGGGATTACAGAGCCACCGCGCCTGGTTGAGCCTTTTTTTTTTTTTTTTAAATAGTGCTTACTCTTTTTTTCAGCCTATAAGTTTTAATAATTAAAAATGAGTTTCCGCATTCTATATTCTTTACAATCAATGTAAAACCTCACTCATGCTTGGAAATTCTAAAGATCTTTTGTTTTGTTTGGTGTGTATGGAAATTACATAAAATGTCCATTTCTATCTTTCACACAGGGACGCCATCAGCCATTATATTTTCACAGAGCTTATTTCATATCTCTTACATTTATACATGATGATTTAGATGATTTATACTTTCAAAAGTTTCTTAATATATCTTTTTTTTTTTTTTAATGAGATGGGGCTTCACTGTGTTGTCCACGCTGGTCTGAAACTCCTGGACTGAAGTGATCCACCTGCCTCAGTCTCTCAAAGTGCTAGGATTATAGATGTGAGCCACCATGCCCAGCCAATGTATCTTTTAATCTTCAAACTATCCCATGTGTCCGGGAGGGCAAGAGTTACTGTTTTACAGAAGTAAAAAAACCCTGAGGCTTCAAGGCACTATTCAGGGTCACATGGTGAGTAAGTAGCCAAGCTGGGGTGAGGACTCAGGTCATTCAACTGCTAAGTGTGAACTTTTTCAAACCCAGTATGTATATTGCCCCAGATAATAGGATTTCAGGTGTCGACGTGGCCAATTTTAGCCACATATACTTGGATTCTTTCATTCCCCCTCTCTGAGCTTCTGATTCCTTATTAGTAACATGCAACTGGTAATATCTGAAGTTTGTACCTCACACAGTGACTCTAAGTATCAAATGAAAAGATGTATGACATTGGGTCTTCAACTGCAAAGTGTTAAACATTTGTATAAGAGTATTATGACTAGGGGTATGGGGCATGCATAGAGGTTTTAGGAGGTGAGTGGGTGACTCCCACTGGACAGAAATGGTTAAGATCGTGTGTAAGTGGAACGAGGCTATGGGAACTGGCCTTGTAGATCATAGTAACTTGATCTGTGAGAAGATTCCCATGAAGGGACAAAGGATAGGCAGGTCATTGAGACAAGGACCATTAGTTCGGTATTCCCGTAAGAGGTGGGAAGGTATGGTGATTAATAGGCGAGGAGAGGCGGTGGAGGGAATATAGCTCTTCTTCTGATGTGATACAAAAATGACAGGAATTAGAGAAGAGTTCCAAAAATGAATGCTAATATAAGATGATTGTGCTTAGAAGAACAGTATCCCATTTGTTTCTCATTCAGCAGCCAAACATAAAATCTCTGATGTGCTGGGCACAATGGGGGGTATAGAGATAAATGAGAGGTGGTCTTTGCCGATAAAAGATCACAATCTAGTAGGAGAAAGAAATACCGACAAAACTATAGATATTTTGAGAAGCATGTAATACTAGAGGCACGAAGTCAGATAATGCTATATACATAACGCATACATATATTCACACTATATATTACATACATAATACCTAAAACACAATATATAATATTGTTTAAATAACAAACGTGACAATCACTATATTTATAGGAGACAGGCCCGAGGTAATGATTGTGTTACATGTGTCATCTCATTGAATCCCTGCAACAACCCAAGGAGATACTAGTTTCCCTAATGACTCTTGATAAACAGACAAGAAAACTGAGGCTCAGGGAGTTCTCTTAACCTGCCCAGGTCACATGACTGGGAAGGATGCAGCTGAGTTTTTTTTTTTTTTTTTTTTTTTTTTGAGACAGAGTTTCGCTCTTGTTGCCAGGCTAGAGTGCAATGGCGTGATCTCTGCTCTCTGAAACCTCCACCTCCCGAGTTCAAGCAATTCTCCTGCCTCAGCCTCCCAAGTAGCTAGGATTACAGGTGCCCGCCACCATGCCCAGCTAATTTTTTTTTTTTTTTGTATTTTTAGTAGAGACTGGGTTTCACCATGTTGGCCAGGGTAGTCTCAAACTCCTGACCTCAGGTGATCCGCCCACCTCGGCCTCCCAAAGTGCTGGGATTACAGGCATGAGCCACTGCATGCAGCTGGGGTTCTAATTCCAGCTCAGGCTGCCTAACTCTGGAACTGAGACTCTTAGCTCCTTCTCCCCCAGCACTCCCTTTTCCCTCCCAGCTTATTTCTCTCCCAGCATGTACTTCCTTCCAATATTCTATATAATTTGCCAATTATTTTGTTTATTGTGTCCCCACTAGAATGGAAACTCCACCAGGGTATTATTTTTTTGTCTGTTTTCTTTACTGCTGACCACTCAAGAACTAAAGTGGTGCCTAGGACACAGTATGTGCTCAATAATATTTGCTGAGCAGATAAATGAATAAATGTTACACTTTATCCTATTGTGAGCCTGTCTCATTAGGGAAAAATGTGGTCAGATGGAAATATTTAGAAGAGGGATGAGATGTACCATACAAAGGTAGACAGAGAGGAAGGTAGGAGAATGGAAAACGTTTTTTATATAAAGAAAAACTGAAAGGCAGGTGGTCGGGAAGCAGATGGGAGGAGCAGGGGTTGCTTGTGGGTCAGTGAAGAGGACGATGAGAGATTTACAGTCCACATTCCAGCAGGCACTTGGCTCAGAACACACAGAAGCTCTGAATTCACTCCCATAATGCTGTTACATGCTGGAGAAAGGAATCTTCCCCCTACCCCTGCCCCCACCATTTGGCTCTGGCCTTCATCTCCTTCTACTGATGGGGCACAAGACTCCCAATATTTTCTGTCTCTCTGTTCCACTCCCTGTTGTGGAAATGTTGCCCAGCTTCAACCCCACTTCTTTAATGCTGCCAATGACTCCGCCAGTTTGAACTCCAGTCATTAAGTCTTTTAACAAGAATGAAACTGAGTAGGACTTTTCTCTTTACCCAGGTTTCTGATTCTGCTCTGTAGAATCACCATATGATGGAAATAGTCATGTTTCCCTCTAAAGTTGCTGTTACTTTGTCTGTACTATTTGTATAGGCAGGGACTTAAACGTATGGGGTCATGTGCTGTGGGGTGGAAAACTGTCTTCTCACAATCATGTGTCTAATATGTGTGTCTCACTATTATTCCAGCCTTATTTCAAAAGAACATGTGGTGTTGGATGTCAGATGAGGTATGAGTCCTAGGTCTATTAATCACTCACTATGTGATCTGGAATGGTCCTATCTAAATCTTAGATTCCCCATTTGAAAATGAAGATGACCTGAGAGGTGGTTGTGGCTAGATTCTTTTGATGTTCATGCCAGCTCTAATAATCCATTCCATTAATATGAAAATTGCTCAGATCTCCTATACAATCAGTCTCTTTTTAAAAGCCCCCAGTCAAAGGAACTGTTTGCACCAGCATTCCACATAAGGTTTCTGCCATTTATTCATTTACTTTTTCATTATGTATTCTCTTAACAGTACAGTGTGGGAGGAACTACCCTAGGCCTGATCAGGGAAGAGACAGGAGAAGATAAGATAGGATCTTATCATCATTATGAAGTTTAATATCAAGTAGTAGAGATAAGGCATATTCAACTATGTAAGAACACAAGTCAGAAAGTGATTAAGGATGACATAGAGAGGTGCAGAGATGAGAGTGGGGGGGGTCCAGAGATGACTGTCACTTTCAGCCAGGACAATTAGGGCAATATGTTTTTGAGGCAGAGGTATTTGAGTTGAGTCTTAAAGAACAGGGTACATGCTGGTGGTGCTGGTGTGGGGAGCTTGAGGGAGGGAATTCAAGGCAGAGAAAATAACGTGAGCAAAGACAGTGATGAGAAAACCTACAGCTAATGTTAAGGGAGGATGAAGGGAGTTAGAGGAACCCATGGGGTAAGACCATGGATGGCCTAGAGTAGCAATCTAAGATATCTAGATATCATTTGATAGTTATTCTGCATTGCACATCTCTCCTTGTATACAGTTTTCTGCCTATTAAAATGTCTATCTTAAAATGTACTGACCATGTGGTACTAATAATAGAACTTTCCAGATGAGACCCTCAACTATTTACTGCTGAAAGCTAATGGGGCAAGAATCGACACGAGGATAACAGGATCTCCTATAAGGAAACCTGCAGAAACCGCAGAGCATTTTGTTAGCCCCTCACCCAAAACAAACATATATTGGATCCACTTGCAAATGGTAAAAAACTTCAGTGAGTAGGAAAGCGTAGGCTTCTCTTTCTTTAGAGGTAACCTGTCCACTGGAGAGTCTACAAGTGTTTGCAAGTAGACTGTCCTCTCCAGTTCATCCTCTGCAGCTGCTCCTGAACCAAAATAAGTAACAGGCTATCCGGTATGAGTTGTACTCTACATAGAGTAGCACACATAAAGACCCATGGGAGGGCAGGGTGAGAGGCTGAGGGGGCGGAGGGAGGAAAGAAAGGCTAGGTATGATTATGTCACCAGGTATCCTTGGTAGACAGAAAATATCTTATACATTCTGCTTGAGTGTGGTGGCACACGGAGAAAAAAACGTGTCCTACGTCTGTCAGCATCAACAGCATGGGAACAGGACATCTCTGTGCCTCAGTCAAGATGGGAGAAGAGATTTCCCTTAAGATTGCCCTTAAATCTTAAGTATCTGGCAAAACAAACAAACAAACAAAAAACAAAAACAAACGAACAAAAACCATAAGCTGAAATGTGTGTGTGTATGTCTTTTTCTAGGTACCCATGGTAAAGGTTTGCAAAGGAGGCAGTCGGTTAAGGCTGTGGTGACCCTGGGCTGGGGAGGGGAGTTTTCGAGGTGCCCCTGGTATCTTCAAGAGCAGAGACATACACATTCCATTACTCTCTCACTCTCAGAACCCTGTCGCCTGCCAAACTGAGGATAATAGCAATAGATTCACACTTCAGATACATGTTTCCTGTCTTGGGAGAGCAAGAGCCCCCTGGGTTGAACCCTTCCTTAGCAGTATATACACCCAACTCTCGAGTTGACTAGTTAACCTTAGTGCTTTCAGAACTAGCTAAGCTCAATGCTTTGGGACCTTCACAGTACCTCCTTCTGAACTTCTGTGCTGTGACAGCTTTCTTCACCACCATACTCCAGTGATCCTACACACACACACACACACACACACACACACACACACACACACACACAGAGAGAGAGAGAGAGAGAGAGAAAGAAAGGCTGGGACTACTGCACCTATACAAAGACAAAGGCAGCACAGATGGTCACTATTCTATGACTTTACCATAATGACATTTAAAAACAATCATTGATGATATTCATAATCAGTCCTAACTTTGGGAAATGATTTTATAGTTTAAAAAGAACTTTCAAACTCAGACATTGCACATAGAATGTGTTGGGATAACCAAAACATAAGCAGAAAGGGCAAATGTTTTCTAGCCATTATGCAGCTGCTCTTGGTCACGTAAGATGAATTTCTGCTAATCCATAAAAGCAGCATGATTCTCAGATGTCCCTTCATTCGTCATTCCCAGCACCAATATCCCACCCTACTTGAGGATTCTAAAGCTTGGTATGTCATCATCACCTTGGTCTTTGATGGCTAAATTTATGAAGGCGGCTGTGAGATTTCACTTCGGAACTCAGATGAAGCCAGATAAATGTGCCAAAGATGACACTGGACATATGGTACTTAACGATTCTGACGGCACTCAGAATAAGCAAGTCTGCTGATCTCACATCTGTGGTGATGTAGCTGACATACCATTCAGCACAAAATAACCACTCCCTCACGCATCCCAGGTTCACAATTTTGCACGCGGTTAAAGGAGAGTTAGAGTTCTTTGAGAACTGCATTACTCCCAGCAGGTCACAGACCAACTCAAGGTGATACCATCCCCAAACAGCAATTCCCAGTGCCCTACACGGAGCTGTCATTCTAGGTCTGTGCTATTCAACAGGATTATCTGCAATAATGGAATAGTTCTTCTGCACTGTCCAATATTGTAGCCACTAGCCATAAATGGTTCTTGAGCATTTGAAATGTGGCTCGTATGACTAAGGAGCTAAATTTTTAACTTAATTTAATTCTAATTAGCTCAAATTTAAAGAAGCCACATGTGGCTGGTAACTATCATATAGCACAGTCCAGTGCTACATCATCAATACTCATGTCTTCATTCTATTGCTACCGCATTCTACATTCTACTTCATTCTACTCTACCAGGAGTCATTTCTTTTAAATCTCACGCCACCCGAATGAGTGAACGTACTTTTCAGAAGACAATGCTGAGGCTACAGAGGATAAATTACCAACTTAAAATCACACTACTAGTATACAGTAGAGCCAGAATTACAATATAACTCTCTCGGTTATTTTTCTGGCTCTCTTTCTACTTAAATACATATTTTTGAGATGAAAGTATGAGACAAATGGATTATTATAAGTAAAATCATGGCTTCTAACTTCCCATTTTCTCCTTAAAATTAATGACTTTGGTAGTGGAATATACTTAAGATCTAATGGTTTTGAGAATCAGCAACAGTAATAACAAAAGCAAGCCGGAGAGATGGGAAAGATAAACATAGGGAGGAATATAAAAGTTTATGACTAACAACAGAATTGGCAAGTTGAAGACATTAAGAAACGTATACACTTTAAAATTTATTATTAATTTCATAATATTTTTGGACTAATACAAATTATGCAAAAACCTCCAAAACCTCCAATAGAATCTTTACCAACTGACCACTGTCATTCTACATATTTCTTCTGTTATTCTCTGCATTTATGTAACTTTATTTGTTCTTTGTCTGTCTATACTAAAGCAGTTATAGATTGCCATAAAATGCAAAAGTATTTTGAAGTCATGGGAATGCAAAAAAGCCTTAGTAAAACGAAACATTTTCATTTGTTTTACTTATTCTTTTTTTATTATCATTTACAACATAGACTTTGTGTTTGTTTTTTTCTGCTCCCCCCAAGTCTGTGCCCAATAAAAATTGGTTCCGAACTGGGATGCCAACTTTCCATCCAAATTCCATTTTATTTAATATCCCAGGGTGAACTCTCTTTAAAAGAAAGGTCTACAATGGAGCTTGAATGGACACAATGTTTAAACAGCAAGATAAACCATGCTGCAGCCATATGAACCTCTCAAGCTTAGATGGCATTAGGAGGAGATCCTTCAAATGACAAAGGTCCAGCTTGAGCAAAGTAAGATGCTTTCTGTCTGGCTACTAGGGGAAAGTTATTTACTGACCCTGAAAACATTTATTTTCACCCATCTCTTCTAGAAAGGCTAAGAAATTTCACACCTTCTTGCCACATTACCTTGATTATTATACTGGCTCACTCCTTTCTGGCTCACAGATTGGCTGGAATTCTAAATATGGCTTTTGGAAGGAAGTAATTGAATTATAAAATGTCCAAGTATCTCTACAGGAAAAGAAATGTCATCTAGCCCATGACAAGGCTTTTGCACAAAAAAACCTGCCCTAATAAAAAGTTTACAGTTTTCTGTATTAAAAAAGAATAAACACCAATAAAAAACCATAAAGGGGGATTTACTTTGGAGGGATTTCACACTGACATAAGAAAGAATTTCCTGTACATATGGTCCCCAATTTTAGACACAATGCATTCCTGGAAATTGTATCATAAAGCAGATCACCAGAAGGGAAAGCTGTGATTGTGCCTGCTTCTTCCATTCAACAAACACCTACTGAATGCCCACTATGTCCCAGGCATAATGACAAGCTCTGCCCTGTTCACATGGCCTAAAAAATGATCAGTGCATCAGAATGGGTAAGGCAATAAGAACAGAAATGTGTTTATGAGGTTATCAAATGAGCATGGCATCACAGTGAGAAAGACTGGGGGCCTCCAGGACATTCTTTCCACCACAGAGTGTGGAACTTAATCGTATACTTCCCCAAAGTGTGACAGAGATAGATGTCTTGTTTCTCCCTTATTTTCCAGGTATCCCATAAATATATGCCATGTCACACGGGTGACCCAAATCACACTGGAATTTCAGTGCTCTCATCAATCGTCTGTCCCTTCCAACCCTCTTGATGCATTTCTTCTTAAGTTTGTCTCAGACCTTCCTGAAACCTTAAGCCTCCAAATCCAGGCTCACTTCTCCTAGCCCAAGTAGCTCAATTTTTTTTGTATCCGAGAAGAGAGTTTTTACATGCTACACCCTCCAATGTTGCTTCATTTCACTTCAAAGAGCCCCGTCATCATTTAATGACCTCCCTGTTCTTCCTGTATCAGAAGAGGAAGTGGACCCACTCATTTCCAAGACAACTTAGCTAGTAGAGACCCTTTCGGTGCCAAGGTCCCATGCTTCTGAAACCTGTGACAGTATATTATTACATCCTGAATCTTTAGGAAGAGCAGAAAACAGCCATTCCTTCGTATTCTAGAGAAAAATGAGATATCAGGGAGCAAACAGCATCTTAGGGGGCTACCATTTTCATTCTTATGGACAAAATTCAGCCCACATAGAAATAAATCAATAGATCATAATTTATTCCCAAGGAAAAAAATTGGATTAGTCACACAAAAGTTGTTTAAGGATGTTGTCTGCAACATTAATATGTAAGAATAGAAGAATGAGTAAAAAAAATGGTCTAACTACAAGTATTAATGTTATACAAGCATTAAAAACCAGGTTCTCAGAAAATATATCTGGGAAGATATGGGAAAATGTCTCTGAGAATAAAACAGATTTGGAATAAAACAAATACACATATTGTAACGTGTACATGTATGCCATATATATATAAGCATAAATATGTAAATTGTGTCTAATATATAAATGAATACATTCACTATATATGCACATATATTATTGTAATTTTAGTTTAAAAGAAGAAGGAAAAAGCAAAAGAAAAAGGTTAGCAGGTTAGCTATTTTTAGGTGTTAAGAGTGACTTATAATAAATTATGGGTTTACAGGTGATTTTGAAATTTATCCTTTTGGAAATGTGTTTCTGTAAAAATGATGAACATCATAATAAAGAATATCTAAAACAATGAATCTTAACATTGGAATGACATTGGGCAGCTTTAAAAAAAAAATACTGATGTCCGTGACCAAACCCAGATATTCTGATTTGAGTGATCTAGGATGCTGCCTGGGTATCAGAGTTTTAAAACCATCCAGATAATTCTAAATATTTAGCTATAATTGAGAACCACTGTTTTAAAAACATGTTTCTTTTTAACTATGTGCATTACTTATTTTAAATATACACATTCAAAAGAATTCAACCTGTAACTAAAAGTTACATTCATTAGGATTTTTCCAACTGAAGTCTGAAAAAAAAATCAGAGGCTACAGAGAGGAATGGAAGAGAGAACTGTATCAGAAATCTAAACATGATGGTCACTTGTGCTGTCTGGTAACCAGGACAAAAGGGAGAATATGAATCAAAAAAAGATAATTTCTGTTAAAGAAGTTTAGAATGAATTCTAAGAGGAAATCATCTCGTATATGTAAACGATGACATGGACATGATGGAAAACATATTTATTAACAGTTTCATAGATAATACAGAGACATTTTCCTATACAAGTTTCGTATACTAACTTCTTATAAAAGCCAAGGTATAACGATGCTGATTTTGTGAAAACATTTCGGTGGTGAACTCAGTGAAGTAGTCTGGACTTATCGGAGTTAACGTTATATTTATTTACAATAAAAAGGATTATTTAAGAACACTAAAAATGAAAATGTATTATCCTTTTAATCTAACTTCCATTTATCTGTAACACAGAAGTTAATTTCTCAGTTAAGCACTTTGTGGTATGTAGATAGGACAGATTTAGGAAATTAAGTTGGGATATGTTAGAAATGGGCTATAGTGAGGAGAAGCAAACACACAGAATGTAGGAATTCACATTCACATATATGAAAGTAGGCTTTTGGACAAGAACATTGGTGTGTACTTTTGAGAAGAGTATTCCTCCTTTTATACCAATGAGTGCACACAGATTCACACAGATACAGACACAAAGAGACACACACTTTTTGTTTTTTAGTGATAACTTCCAAAGTAAATGTACAAATATTTGACTCAAAATAACTTGACATTTTCAGCCTGAGTCTCCTCTCCTCTGTTCTTGACTCAATTGAACACACACACACACACATACACACACAAACACACACACACAAACACCAGTTTCTAGGACAGCAAAACATATCAGGGAGTATAGTAAAGAAGTTCCAAAGGGGAAAAGCTTTTTTTGACTTTTAGCACATAAGCAATAATTTATTGCTAACAGCAGTTAATGTAATGGTTTGAGAAATGTGATTACCACACTTCCTTGGGAGAATCTGCTAAAAACAAAACTAACCCTATTACACAACAGTGAAAATAAGTCCAGAGTCTTGTGGATTATCCATGTGTAGCTGAAGTCACAGACACTATGTAACCTTCTGAAATTTCTAGGCTACTTCAAGTTAGAGTGCAAAGCTTCCCTTTCAGGTAAGATGGACAGCGATCTTAATTGCTTCGGTTTTCAAACTGATGGCTGGCAGTTAGTGGCTTGACATATAGGTTTGGGCACACTCCTGCAGTTCTAACAAACCTTCCCGTGGACCACCAAAGGTGAGTTTGCCATTCAAAGACCCCCTCATAAACCAGGCCTAAACTGTCTTTCTACTTTTATGTCTTAGTTCCTTCACATTCCTGCCCCTCTGCCTGAATCATCGCCACCCATGTGTTCATTTTTTCCACCTCCAATCCCTGGCTGAAGCTCACCTTTCTTTTTCCTCATTCCCACCGAACACCATCTGTCAAAGATCATACTCCGTCTTCAAAATCCAGAACCCACCTCCTCCACAAAGTATTCCCTAATTGTGTAGTTAGAATACATTCCTTCCTCACTCAGTTTTATGATTCTATTACAATACCCTTCAACAAAGTCAATTTTCATTTTTTTGAAAGCTACATTTTTCCTTCCTTTTATCAATGCCCAGGGTATGGGGCCTTGTTTTGTGAATCCTGTAGCCTCTACAGTGAGGCATGCAATAGGTATTCAGGGTTTTTTTTTTCTTTATAGCGAAAACTTGGGTACACATGGATGTAAAGATGGGAATAACAGACACTTGGGAATCCAAAAGGAAGGAAGGAAGGAGGGGGAGAAAGGGCTGAGACACTTCCTGTCAGGTATTATGTTCACAGTGTGGATGATGGGATCGATAGAAGCCCAAACTTCAGCATCACACAATACAATCTTGTAACGAACCTGCATATGTACCCCCAAAATCTAAAATTGAAATTAAAAGAAAAGGATAAAGTGTTTAGCATTTTAAGACCTGACTAATCAAATACTGTCATACAGGAAGAGATGGCAAAAACATTGTAAGTAACACACACACACACACACACACACACACACACACACACACACACGACCCCCATGAGTTGCAACTCTTTAGACAGAAAGGTAAACAAATCATTCAATTATCATCAACTGAATTCTCATGACAATTACCAGACAATTATCTTCATAATAAATTATCTTATCTTCCAACAGCCAAAGTTAAGTGGAAACCAGATCTGACCAGCAAAAGCCTGGGAAGGAAGCTGGTGTATATTAGGTATTTGCAAGGAGTTGGGCACTTCACATATATAACGTTCATATAATATTAACAACTCTGCAAGGGAAGGCTTATTCCATTTTTTTATTTGAAGAAACTGAGCCTCGGAGAGGTTAAGCAATTTGCCCAAGGCTACACTGTTAGGAAATAAAGCTGGGATACAAACCTGGGGCAGTAGAACTACAAAGTCTAAACTCTTTCCATCCTACCAAGCTGCCTCTCAATCTCACATATAAATAGCTCAGAATTTTACTGAAGATTAACAGGAGAGTGATTCTCAAACTACTTTATATTTTTGCAGGGCCTTAGAGTAACACCTGTCCAACTGACATGGAACCGTGAAAGTCCAGAGTCCTGTGGACTATCCATGTGTAGTTGAAGTCACAGACACTACGTAATCTTCTGAAATCTCTAGTCTGAAAGATTCAAGGTAGGGAATAGCTCAAGAGAGAAAATACCAATAGAAAGTATTATAATACTCAGAAGAGCTTGAACCTCAATAAACTGAGGATACATACTATCAACTATTAAATAGTTCTGACAGATTACACCTATTATATGTTATTATTCACAAAAAGCATATTAGCTGTACTGGGGGAAAAAAAGGAGGATTAATTAGAAGTTATGAAACTTGGAATTCAGTTCAGAAAACCATGAACTTGCTGTGGTGTCTTGAGCAAGTCATTTTTCTTGCTGGGTGTCATTTGTGCCTGTTTGCTCAATACCGGGATTGATTACAGGATATGCACCCGTTACTTCTAACATTCTGTAAGCCTGAAGTTAGTAACTTGTAGACCTACAGGACCTCACTAGCAGAGAGGAGAGATTCTGCTCATGCTTGCACTCTGAACATATTTGATACGCCTTAGAATATGATCCCTGCAACTTTCCTAAAAGCATGTATAGCCAGTTGAGATACTAAGATAATAATCGTGTGGAAGAACAAAAACGTAAACTCTTAAACAGGTGTCTGCAGGTGGTTCCCTTGCTGCATTCCTTTGCGGTGAGCCCAGACATTTCCTTGCCCTGTAGTATCTGTTTCTCCACCTCAGGTTAGGTTTTGAAATTTTAGTTTTTAGACAAACACAGGATCTGGTTTTCCATTTTTGTTCTGTATACAAAGTGACGTTAAAACCATTTCAAAGTCAAACAGGTCTCCTCTCCATCCCTCAGCCCTCAAGAATTCAAACAGGGCTGGGTTTTGTTTGGCAGCAGGGAGTGGCAGTAGCTGTGAAAATGCTTGTCAAATGTAAGAAGGTGTGATATGCTTCAGGAAAGAAAATTGCCAGGAGCAAGAAGGATAGAAAACATGGCATACGAATTGAAACAGCTGCAGAAGAGACATCCAGTTTGTTATATCCATTTGTGTATCTCTATAATACAGAACTAAGTGTTTTAACAGCCCTTTTGAAATTTGAAAATGGATCTTCCATCGATTCAGAGCTATACACTGGCTCAAACTAGCTCTTGTTCAAAGAGGTCATCTGGTAGGTCACTGCCCACTACTACACACTGGAGTCTACATCAAACTTTGATAAGGCTCTGTGAAAACAGGGCAAGTGCTATTAGGAGATCTGTAGAGGAAGAAACGCACCAGATTCTACTCCAACCCCACTGCTATGATCACCAGTGCTCTCAACACAGGGCATTTTTACAAGATATCATGAAGAGATGATAGGAAATAGACCCAATTGCTCTGATAACCATGTTGGCTTCTGTATAAGTTCATTTCAAATATATCTGAAAGCAGTCCTGCCTTTTCAAGGAGCCAAATTTTCCCATCTTAATTATTTGCAAATACTTGTTTCCATGCAACAATCAAAAAGGCAAAGAAACTCTTGGGTACTTTATGCTTCTCACTACTTACTCTTGAGGAAGAAAAAAAGGTCAAAAGCAGCTTTTCTTTACCAATGAAGAAGTTGTTGTCAATATTTTGTAAGCAATTCAGATCATTGCAATATTTCTTGTATTCCTATTCGGTGCTTAGCACTATGCTAAGTATTAGGGATTATATAAGATTTTTATAGTATTTAGGAAGACAAGATTAGTTATTTCATAAAACTTGGTCTTGGGTTCCCAAATCCTTTCGAGTTCTGTTTATTCCTCAGCAAGTAAATAAAAATGTCAATTTCTTTGGCACTGAATCTAAATAGCAGAGAATTTCAGAAAAGGAAGAAAGTAAATAAGAGAGATCTCAGGAAAAGTTTCATTAGGAGGATGCACTGACTCAATACATGTACATGTAACATACATGAAGGGAGGTATAAGCTCTGCCTAAGAGAGTGGAATTGAGAAAGCAAGTCAGAAAAACCTCCCAGAAGATGAGAAGGAATCATTCAGGCCGGGCATGGTGGCTCACGCCTGTAATCCCAGCACTTTGGGAGGCCAAGGCAGGTGGATCACCAGGTCAGGAGATCAAGACCATCCTGGCTAACATGGTGAAACTCCGTCTCTACTAAAAATATAAAAAATTAGCCGGGCATGGTGGTGGGCGCCTGTAGTCCCAGCTACTCGGGAGGCTGAGGCATGAGAATGGTGTGAACCCGGGAGGTGGAGCTTGGAGTGAGCCAAGATCGTGCCACCGCACTCCAGCCTGGGCGACAGAGCGAGACTCCATCTCAAAAAAAAAAAAAAAAAAAAAGAGAAGGAAGCCTTACAATTCAGGCTTAGATAAAGAATAAAAGCAATGACCATTGTGTAGAAAAGTGTCTATACAGCAGTTTGTAGTTTATCAGTTATAGTTTCTGATTTCATATCAATAATGTCATTTGAAAAAAAAGGTCAAAAGTGGCCAGAAACTTTACTCAATGTAAAGGAAAAATTTTAAAGTCACCTGAGCTTGATGTATAATCATTTTTTTCTTATGAAATTTACTTTCGGATCCTGTCTCAACAGAATCACAGTGAAATAAGTGATTTGTTGATACAAAGACCCCAGTAATGAAAACTGCTTCCCTGTGGCTTGCAGGAGAACCTGCCTGCAGTCCACCATTGGCTTGAGGTAGAGAAAACAGCTAGTCTTCCCTGAACAGTTGCCAAAGAAACAGCCAGTGTTCTATGACATTATGGTCAGATTAAAGGAAAATAGACTGACCCTGTAACAATGCCATTGGAAGACCAGCTGCTTGGAAAATCGCAATAATTATCCAAAGTCTTCTTTCACAACACACATACAACAGAAAATCTAAACCAACACATACAAGCAGGAAAACATTTTTTTTTTCCCCAACAAATCCATTGTGGAGTTCTTGCCTAAGCGTAAGAGTCAATTACTGCTGCTGCTGCTTTTTTTTTTTCTTTTTTTTCTAAAGGGAGATAGAATCATCTATTATTTTGTCTCACTCAGAGATACAATCTTAAGCCCAGGCTTATATTATTTTAACTAACATCAGCCAGAAAGGAAATGAGTCTAAGATGAAGTGCTTTAAAACCAAACCTATAACTGGCTCTACAGTCCTTGAACATCTTGGTTCTCTATACAATATATACTTGAGAATAGATCTAAAATCCAGAAAGTCTAATTATGCTTGTATTGTATTGGTGTGTTCATTGAAATGCCAGAAAAGTTATCCAGGTGGCCTAGGAGCTGGCTTCAATATAAGGAGGTGGGGTTAGCTTTGGAACTAAATCCAAATAGCATAATAAAGATTGCTTATCCATATGGCAAATACTACAGTGAAGTGTTAGGGGCACTAAATTCTGGTCATTTCCATTGGACAAGTATTTATTTAGTGTCAGATGCCAACACATGTTGGCTAAACATAATCATAACTAGTATTTATTAAGCTTTTATTGTGCGCGAAGCACTGAATTGACTGTGTGACGTGTTTTCTCATTTAATCATCAAATACCCAAAGGGAGGAAGACATATTATCATTGTCCCCATTTTACGGATAAGAGCATTCACTGAGTCTTGGAGTTGGGTAAAGTAACTTGTCCAGATCTCCACAGCTCATGGGCAGGGATATCTTCTGGGCTCTGCCGCTAATGACTTTGCCATATTGACTTTTAAGACTGAGAGACAAATGCAATGCAACATCCAACTTCCCACAGTGGGTGACACATGAATCACACATTGCTTTTGTTTTCTAAGAGCTAGCAGAAAAGTCTGAATTTCAGTGTATGTGTGTGTATGCAAGAGCAAGATGGAATGGAAAATACATCCATTTACAAATAAGTCTCATTCAAGTCACAATAAACCTGATACTACAAGAAAGCAGAGTTTGAGGAACAACAAGAATTTTAATAGCATTTGACTTAGAGAAAGTCATTTAATTTATTTGGAAAAAAAGTACATGGAATTCAAGTGAGGAGGCAGTTGGGCGGAATTTCAGTTATTAGAAGTGAATAGAAAAGCTTAATGTTGTAACTTAGGGCCATTTCCTTATGAGAATTGACTATAATACTGTGAGGAAAGGGGAAGGGAGATTTAACATTTATTCCTAGGATATTAACTATCTTCACCTCTACTTCTGAATTGAACCAGTGTCATATAAGGAGACTGGTGAAGAGAGATCATAACATTTCTCCTAAGCTATGTCCTTATTGTGGCTTTTTTGTAATGCATACTGTCTTAGTGTATATTTTAGGGCAACCTTCTTGTCTACTAAGTGACAGAGGTAGACCAGTTGACCTCCTAACTAAAGGTCCTTTAGCATCTATTAACATGCTATTGAGAAGCACTGCCTGGGACAGATGCTAAATAGACGTGTGTGTGTGTGTCTGTATGTGTGTGTGGGTCTGTATGTATGTGTGTATGTTTGTGTTTTGAGATAGAGTCTCACTTTGTTGCCCAGGCTGGAGGGCAGTGGCACAATCTCGGCTCACTGCAACCTCTGTCTCCCCGGTTCAAGTGATTGTCCTGCCTCAGCCTCCTGAATAGCTGGGATTACAGGCGTGCACCACCATACCTACCTAATTTTTTTGTGTTTTTAGTAGAGACAGGGTTTCACCATGTTGGCCAGGCTGGTCTCAAACTTCTGACCTCAGGTGATTTGCCCACTTTGGCATCCCGAAGTGCTGAGATTACAGTTATGAGCCACTCTGCCCAGCCAATAGATGTTTTGTTAACAAAACTTCTCCAGAATAAAAACTTCCTTTTAAGTATGCTAGATTTGCTCAAGTGGGTCCCCAAACTCAGCAACGGTAATAATCTTATGGAGCCAGGCAATCCCAAGGGGGCAGAGTGCAGCTTTCTGCAGTGTTTAGGGTTATCTAGCCAATAACTGAGTAATGCAACTACAAGAGAATCTAGAACTTTGCTAGACATAGTAGGCATTCAGTGACATGTGGAATGAATAAACACGAGTAGTGATTAAGAATTCATATTCTGGAGATACTACCTGGAATAAAATTTTATCACTACCCGTAGCCTTTTAATTTATGATAACCTACTTTTATATTTCAATATCAATGAAACAAGAATAATAATGATACTGATTTAACAGATTACTGATGATTACATAAGATCATTCATGCAAAATACTCAGTACAATAAATGGCACAGAATAAAGCATACATCAAATAATATCACTGAAGAACCCAGAGGGACATGAGTGACTGAAAAATGGTTTTTATTGCAATGAAATAGCTAAGGTATTTGCTAATCTCACTGGAGTCCAGTAGGTTCATTCATATATAAAAATATACATGGAGTACAATTTATATTATTCAAAGACCATTTTTCTAATTCGATTCGTAAATTCTATATGTGTCTGTCTAGCATGAGTCTATAAGCTCCAAATGCTAAATTTGCTGCAATAACTGGCTCCAGGAATTGGGGAAAATAATAGCAAACTTCATACTGAGTGAGTGGAAATACAGAAGCTATATTTTGTTCATAATCACTGATCAATCCTTTTATTAGTTTGGGTCCATTCTCCTTCCCTTTCCCTGCCCTCACTGATACTTTTTAAGGAGAAAAGCTAAAGGATAAAAAAAAAAGTGTAATTTTTTCCCCAAATCAAACCCGTACCCAGAATGTTAGATGTTTGGAGTAAAATTTCTTAGATATAATACACACACACACATACAGAAAGCTGCAGCGAGAGAGAGAGAGAGAGAGAGGGAGAGTGAGAGAGTATAATTAGCTCCTGGGCATGAGGGGAAATCTCAAAAATTACCCAGGAATGAGGGAAAAATGTCATTCTAGGGTTAGTCCTTTGAATTTATTTAATAATTACATCTACAAAGAGAACGCTAATTTACCCCATCAGTGAACATTTTGGAAACTATTTATTTGGTTTTAAAAATATAATCTTTAAAACATCCTCAATATGCACAAGAGAAGGGGAAAGATAAACACAGATGCTAAAGAAACAAACTGAATTGTGCTTTTTTCAGTTCTTCTAGTCATTTTTGCAAATTCCTTCAAAGTATGCATTTAGATCTTTTTATGTTCTGATTACATTCATCATTAAAACATTGGGTAAAATCCACCACTGCTACCATTGTGGAACTGGAGATTTATGCTAGCTGCAAGAAATACGTTTTTGGAATTCTTTGGTTGCATGAAGAATTCAGTTTGCCCACTGGCACTGCAAGCACCAATAAAAGGAATTGGGGAGCATTGTAGTGAGGAATTTTGTAGTTGAAACACACAGAGGAAAAGCAGAGTAACCAAAATTATCCAGATTTTACTTTATTTCTTATTGCTTAGATCATCAACTATATGAACTACACTTAATGTTGAAAATAAAATATATTTATAGAATATCTATAAACGTACTCAACCTTGACCTAGGAACAGACCAGGAGGAACGTAAGGGAATAAGAATTCTTTCCACAAAGATCCTCTTACTACCTTACAAAAACTTTGGTGGGGAATAAAAGAATGATGAAGACAATATTCTAATGATCTGCAACACAAAGGACAAATGCTTGAAGGGAGATGGATACCCCATTCTCCGTGATGTGATTATTATGCATTGCATGTCTATATCAAAACATCTTATGTACCCCATAAATATATACATCTACTATGTATCCACAACTTTTTTAAGGATTTAAAGAAAAAGAAAACAACAAAAGCACAATGTTCCAATACTCAAACGTTTCAGTGTAACTGAGAGATCTCATTAAGTACATTTACTAGCAAAAATTTACCCCAGGCAAGTCCCTTCCCTTCCCTAAGCCTCAGTTTCCTCATCTATAAGATGAGAAAGTTTTCGACCCCAAGACAGTTTTGGACCCCATGATCTGTAAGGGTCTGTCCTTAATAAATGGTTCTAAGATTATTTCTTCCAGTGCAAAAGACCTGGATATCCCCAGTAATTGCTATAAAACAAGGCCATAGGTTTCTTTCCTAACATAATGACTAAGTTCTATAATCCAATTCTTACGCACTATCTACACTGCTATACTTAAAGGTTAATATCAAATGATGTCTTCTCCAATATGCTTTTATTGATTTCCCCAATCATAATTTTTCTCTCCCTACTCTTTGAGCGTGTGTGCGTGTGTGTGTGTGTGTGTGTGTGTGTGTGTGTGTATACAGCACTTAATCATTTTCTCGCTTTCAAGACCCCTAAGGTCAGTAACTTTTCCTTCACTTTTCATTTCCTAAATGCCCACTGTATAACAGGTTCTCAGTTAATGCTTGGGGATGTGAATATCTATAGTTCTCTTATGTTACAGTCTAAATGATATCCTATGGCCACTTAAGATAGGTACACTTTTCTATGAGTTATACTTCATTGAAAATTTTTATATCAATAATTTACTGAAATCATTATATGCACATATATATATACCCTATAACTCATACATGTGTGTGTGTCGTATGTATTCTCCTACAATTAATGAATTCCATTCCTACATCTATACCCTTGAGAAATATTTTATATATGTACACCAAAAGACATGTGCTCATAGAAGCATTCCTTGTTGTCATGAACCTAACCATAAATAATTCAAATGTCTACTAATAGAACAAAAAAATTATGGTATTTTTCATTCAATCAAAAATTATATAGAATTGAAAATAATTATGGCTTCTGTACAAGATGGAGAAAATGAAAGGAGCACCACTCCCACCCATACAATAATTTAAAACAAGCCAGACAGTGTGCAAATCTAAAACTGGTTTTGAATCCATAGAGAACTGAGGCTGCAGAACAACCAACTACCGTAGTGTCCTTTTATCCGTGGAAGATACCTTCCAAGACCACCAGTAGATACTGAAACTGTGGATACAACCTAACCCCTATACATACTGTTTTTTCCTATACATACATACTTATGATAAAGTATAATTTATAAATTAGACACAAAAAAGATTAATAGCAATAACTAATAATAACGTAGAACAATTATAGCAATATCCTGTAATAAAAGTTACATGTATGTGGTCTCCCTCTCTCTCTCTCTCTCTTTCTCTCTCTTTGTAGAGAGACAATAGTCTCTACATGACTATTGTAATGTAGTCACCTATTTTTGGACTGTGGTTGACCATGGGTAACTGAGACTGCAGAAGGCAAAACTACTGATAAGTGGGAGTTGGGGAAACTACTGTAACCTGAAATCTAAGGAAAGATAGATGCCTCTGAGGAGAGACAGGATGTGAACACTTGCAGAACACTAAGGCAGATGCCTTACTGCCTTAAGGCCTCTGAATGCCATACTATTGGTAACAGAAAAAAAAAACTACAGTTATTAACCAGTTGCAAGAGACTAGTTGTAGGGTAGTATTAAAACACAGAATCTTTGGGCAGTGCAGATAGAAGCGGAATTTAATTTATACTCTTTTCCTCAGATCTCAGCAGATGCTCACACGAAAGACCTGAGGCAGAATAAGAGTACTGATAGACCAATGGAACAGAGCAGAGACCTCAGAATTTACACCACACATCTACAACCATCTGATCTTCAACAAACCTGACAAAAACAAGCAATGGGGAAAGGGTTCCTTATTTAATAAATGGTGCTGGGAAAACTGGCTAGCCATATGCAGAAAACTGAAACTGGACCCCTTCCTCACATCTTACACAAAAATTAATTCAAGATGGATTAAATACTTAAATATAAAACCCAAAACCATAAAAGCCCTAGAAGAAAACTTACACAATACCATTCAGGACATAGGCATGGGCAAAGATTTCATGAGGAAAATGCCAAAAGCAACTGCAACAAAAGCTAACATTGACAAATGAGATCTAATTAAACTAAAGAGCTTCTCCACAGCAAAATAAACTATCATCAGAGTGAACAGGCAACCTACAGAAAGGGAGAAAATTTTTGCAATCTATCCATCTGACAAACGTCTAACATCCAGAATCTAGAGGAACTTAACAAATTTATAAGAAAAAACCAAACAACTTTATCAAAAAGTGGGCAAAGGATATGAACAGACACTTCTCAAAAGAAGACATTTATGTAGTCAACAAACATGAAAAAAAGCTCAATGACACTGATCATTAGATAAATGCAAATCAAAATCACAATGAGATGCCATCTCATGACAGTCAGAATGGCGATTATTAAAAAGTCAAGAAACAATATATGCTGGCCAGGCTGTGGAGAAATAGGAACATTTTTACACTGTTGTTGGGAATGTAAATTAGTTCAGCCATTGTGGAAGACAGTGTGGTGATTCCTCAAGGATCTAGAACCAGAAATACCATTTGATCCAATAATCTCATTACTGGATATATATCCAAAGGAATATAAATCATTCTACTATAAAGACACATGTACCTGTATGTTTACTGCAGCACTATTTTTCAATAGCAAAGACATGGAACCAACCCAAATGTCCATCAATAATAGACTGGATAAAGAAAATGTGGTACATGTACACCATGGAATACTATGCAGCCATAAAAAGGAATGAGGTCATGTCCTTTGCAGTGACATGGATGAAGCTGGAAGCCATCATCCTCAGCAAACTAACACAGGAACAGAAAACCAAACACTGCATGTTCTCACTTATAAGTGGGAGTTTTAACAATGAGATCACATGGACACAGGGAGAAGCACAACATACATCTGAGCCTGTTGGGGGATGGGGGCAAAGGGAGGGAGACCATCAGGACAAATAGCTAATGTATGTGGGGCTTAAAACTAGACAACGGGTTGATAGGTGCAGCAAACCGCCAGGGCACACATATACCTGTGTAACAAACCTGCATGTTCTGCACATGTATCCTGGAACTTAAAGTAAAATAGAATAAAATAAAAAGCAAAAAAGAGTACTGATAAAGTATCTGTTGTGGTGCAGGCTTCAGGAGCGGAACAGCAGCAGCTCTGGGAAAGGCTTAATGCCCTGCCCATATACTTCTCCCGGATTGTCCCTTTGGAATAAAGGTCTTCAGCCCCAGGAAAATAACAGTGAGTCTTGTGGCTCTTAGGGCACCAGTGATAACTCATCATAGGTAGGGGAAAAGAATAAGAAGTGATTTTAGTCCCGGGGAGAGGCAGGATCACTGAAACAGCCTGCTTCGGAGACTCACAGCCACACTGCCTCTCTAAAACTGAAGGTAACAGCAGAAAATGTCCCTCTGCCTCAAAAGCATCAAGTAAAAAGTAACAGCAATCAAGTTCAACCACAAAACTAATTTACATTCCCACCAACAGTGCAAAATTTGGGAGACAGACAAAAAAAGAAGTTGTCTCTGTGGTACAGGCACAAAAAGAAGATCTAAATCTGAGGGTGGAGCAAATACTGAGAAAGTCCTTTTGGAAAACCACTCCTCACCACAAAGACAAAGTAACATTAGAGATATTTGAAATCTGTGGTGCACTAAGGGGAATCACAGCAACAACAACAACAAAAAATTCAAATCAAGGCCAACTTCTGACAAGATTGACACAAACACCCCACACTAAAGGCCTAACAAAAGAAAAGGCATGTTCATTTACAGGTGTGAAATATATTAGCCTATCTTTATTATCCTATATAATATGTCTGGCTTTTAACAAAAACTTACCTGGCATACCAAGAAGTAAAAATAACAACACACTGTCAAGAGACAAAGCAACAAACAGAAATAGACTCAGAAATAAGACAGATGTTGGATTGATCAGATAGGGAATTTAAAATAACTATGATTAATGTTTAAGGCTCTAGTGAAAAAGGAAGAAAATTTGCATGATCTCAAAGATATAGAGACTGTCATATGAGAATATTTCTCATTCTGTCTTATGAAAATAAAATGAAAATGCTAGAAATGAAAATCATAGTAACAGAGAAGAAGAATACTTTGAATAGGCTCATAAGCAGACTCAACTGGGGAAAGAATTAGTAAACTTAAAGATAGGTCAATAGAAATTTATAGAAAGAGTGAAAAGTAAGAGAACAGAGCATCAAAGAATTATAGAAAAATATTAAGCCTGTATGTAGTTAGAACTCCAAAGAGAAAATATAAAAGAATGAAGGCAACAAACCACCAAAACAAAATAAAAATTGAAGAGATATTGGCTATCTTCTAAAGAATAAACAACCAACTGAAGATAGAAGAGCCAAGAAATTAAGGGACTGACAAACAGGATATATACAAACACTAAAACTAAAACCAGAAAACTAAAACTAAAAACCCTAATAAACATAGCTTCAAGCTGTTAGAAAAGAGACAAAGGATAAAAGTTTGAGATCAGTCAGAAAACAAAAATTCATACTGCATTGAAAGCAAGAAAGACATTGACAGCAGACTTCTTGTCAGAAACTATGCAAGTGAGAAAACAATGAAGTGACATCTTAAAAGTGATAAAAGGAAAAAGGCCAACCAATTCTCTACTTGGTAAAAATAGTTTTCAAATGAAGGAGAATTAAAAACTGTTTCAGGACAGAATTGAAGAAATATTGAAGGGAGCTCTTCAAGCAGAAGGAATACGGTATCAGACACAAAGGTGGATTTATACAAAAAAATAAAGTGCTGAAAAAGCAGAAATGAATTAGCTTTCTCATTATTTTTAATTGCTCTAAAAGATAACATTCTAAAGCAAAATTAGTATCAATGTGCTGTGTATTTATAGAATATATATAAGTAAAATGAATGACAACAAGAACACGAAAAGATGGTAAGTAAATTGAGAGTAACAATTGTAAGGTCCTGAAACTACTCAGACAGTGATATAATAGTATTTGAAGGTAAACTCTAGTTAATTAAAGGTGTATATTGCAAATCAAAGGGTAATACTAACATTAAAATCAAGAGTATAAATAATAAACAAATAGTGTAAATGAGATGGAATTGTGAAAAACATTTAATTCAAAGAAAGGCAGGAAGAGAAAAATATAGCAGATGGAAAAGTAACAAAAGCTGATTGTGAATTTCAATCCAACTATATCAATAATCACATCAAATGTAAATAGTGTAAACACACAAATTAAAATACAGATGGTCAAATTGGATAAAATGAAAGACGTATCTGTCTAAAAGCAAGCTACTTCAATTATATAGACATTGATAGACTAAAAACAAAAGGCTGGAAAAATACTTTGTAAACTAATAAAAGAAAGTTAAATTAATATTATCTAAAATTCAGAACAAGAATATTTTCAGAGTTAAAGAATCATATTATGTAATAAGGAAGGAATTGAATATGGGGTTAAGATGATATAACAATCCTAATGTATGTGCACTTAACAGTATGGCTTCAAAATACATTAAAACAAAAACCATACAAGTGAAAGGAGAAATAGACAAACCTACAATTATGCTCAAAGTTTCAGTATCCCTCTAATAATTTACTGAAAAAGAAGACAGAAAATCAGTAAGAATAGAGAGAACTTGTACAATACTGTTAGCCAAATTAACCTAATTGACAACTATAGAACACTTCACCTAATAATAGCAGAATACACATATTTTTGAAATGTGCAGAGCATTAACCAAGATATACCATATTTCTAGCACATAAAACAAACCTCAACAAATTTAGATGAATTTAAGTTACACAAAACATGTTCACAGATCACAAGGAAATAAACTAAAAGACAATAACAGAAAGGCCTAGAAAAAATATCCAAATATTTAAAAATTAAATAACACATTTCTAAATAAACCATGCGTCAAAAAAATTACTAGATACATTAGAAAATATCTTGAATGAAAATGAAAACACAATATATCAAAATTTGTAGAATGCAACTTAAGCAGTACTTTGAAATTGGATGTTCATATTAGAAAAAAACAAAAGATCTCAACTCAACAACTGAATCTTTAACTTTAGGGAAATAGAAAGAGAAGAGCAAACTTAACCCAAGCCAAGCAAAAGTAGTAAAATAATAAAGAGCAGAAGTCAATATAATTGAGAGCAGAAAACCAATAGAGAAAATCTCAGTGAAACCAAAAGCTAATTCTTTTGTGAAAAAAAAATCACAACAAACTCTATTCAGACTTACCAAGAAGAAAAAAAAGAAATAAGACATTAATTATAAATATCATGAATGAGAGGGAAACAATACCACAGTACTTACAGACATTAAAATGAGATTAAATGGACCAATTTTCTAAGAGATGCAAACTGTCAATTAACAAGAATAAAATTTGTAGATTAAAGCCTTCTAACAAAGAAAATTCCAGGTCCAGATGGCTTCACTGGCAAACTGTACCAAACATTTAAATAATAATACCAATTCCATACAAATTCTTCCAGAATATAAGAGAGGAAGGAACTCATCAATTCCTTTTATGAGGCCAGCACTGCACTGATAACAAATCTAGTCAAATATATTACCAAAAAAGAAAACCACAGTTTAGTATACCTCATGACACAAATGCAAAAATCCTCAACAAACTACTGGCAAATTAAATCCAATAACACACAAAAGGAGTAGTACAACACAACCAAGTGGGGTTTATCTTGGGAATGCAAGGCTGATACAACATTTAAAAATTAACCAGTGTTACCTACCATATGAACCAGCTGTAGAACAAAAGTCTTATTATCATACCAACTTATGTCTAAAGGCAATTGACAAAATTCAACACACTTTCATGATTAAACCTCCCAGAAAACTAATGAAAAGAAGGAAACTTGCTCAGCTTAATAAAGAGCATGTTCAATAACCTTACTTCTAACATTACACTTAATGGCAAAAGACTCAATGTTTTCTCTTAATATTGGGAACAGCGCAAAAATGTTCATGTTCACCACTTCCATTCAACAACTAACTGAAAGTCCCTAGCCAGGGCAATTGGGCAAGAAACAGAAAAGGCATGACTTCAAATAATGAAATGAAACTGTTTCTACTCACAGAAAATGTAATTTAAATCTTTTAAAATGTTTATATATTTGGGGGTACAAGTGCAGATTTCTCACATGCATATATTGTGTAGTGGTGAAATTTGGGCTTTTAGTGCACCCATAAACCGAAGAGTGAGTACTGGACTGTATCCAATAGGTATTTTTTCAACCCTCATCATCCTCCCACCTTTATTTCATTCTGTATGTCCATATGTTTCCATTGTTTAGCTCCAATTTATAAGTGACCACATGCAGTATTTGGCTTTCTATTTCTAATTTATTTCATTTAGGATAACGACCCCTAGTTCTATCCATGTTGCTGCAAAAGACATGATTCCATTCTTTTTTATGGCTGAATTGTATTCCATTTTATATATATATATATATATATATATATATATATATATATAAAGATGCACTACATTGAAAACATAATTTTTTTCATTAAACCTCCCCCCGAATAAAAAAAAAGCTACTAGAATAAATAATTTTAGCAAAGTTACAGCACACATGGGCAATATACAAAGATCAATCTTATCTATACAGTAGCAATGAATACTTGAAATTGCATATTTTTAAATCACCATTTGTAAAAGCACCCCAAAACATGGAATACTTCATTATAAACCTTAGGAAATATGTACAATATTCCTACGCTGAAAAATATAAAACAATAATTAAAGAAATTAACAATCTAAATAAATACAGACATGTATATTCATGAACTGGAAGACATAATTATTGTTAAGATGTAATTTCTCCCTAGATTTACACCTACATTCAACAATTCTAATCAAAACCCCAGAAGGATTTTTGTAAAAACTGACAAACGAATTTTAAAATTTATATGCAAAGGTGAACTAACTAGAACAGCCAAACAATTTTGAAAGAGCAGAACAAACCGTACTACCTGATTTCTAGATTTGCTGCAAAATGATAATTGCCCACACAGTGTGTGAACTGGAGAATGGACAGACATATATTAACAGACTGATGGAACAGAATAGAGAATCCAGAAATAGACCCATCTATGGTTTATATGGTCTGTAACATGCATCTGATTTACAATCTGCATAAGATTAATTAAATTACAACAAATGGTGCTGGAACAATTGGACATCCCTATGGGGGGAAAAATACCTTTACTCAAAATTTGATCACCTTATATAAAAATTAACTCAAAACAATAAAACACCTAAAAGTAACACCTAAAATTATTAAAGCTTCTAGAAGAAGATAAACTATGGCCATATTTAAAATGTTAGAAGAACCTCATGAACATAACAGAACAAAAGAAAACTGCATAAAAGCATATACAACAAGTTGAGCATAGTGGCTAATGCCTGTAATCCTAGCCAAGGCAGGTGGATCACATGAGGCCAGGAGTTCAAGACCAGCCTGGCCAACAGGGCAAAACTCCATCTCTAGTCAAAATTTTAAAAATTGCTCTCTGTGGTGGTGCAAGCCTGTAATCCCAGCTACTTGTGTGGTTGAAGCACAAGATTTGCTTGAACCCTGGAGGCGGAGGTTGGAATGAGCTGAGATTGTGCCACTACACTCTAGCCTGAATAATAGAGTGAGACCCTGTCTCAAAAAAAAAAAAAAAAAGCATATACAACAAAAGTATTTTAATCTAATATATAGTATTATTATAAGTCAGGATAGTGATCACTTTTAGGAAAAAAGAAAGGCATA
The DNA here is from genome assembly GCF_000001405.40 of Homo sapiens. Classification (NCBI taxonomy): domain Eukaryota; kingdom Metazoa; phylum Chordata; class Mammalia; order Primates; family Hominidae; genus Homo; species Homo sapiens. The sequence continues at coordinate 188,802,958 of NC_000003.12, read as the reverse complement.
CAACCAGGTTGTCATGAAGAAAACTTCTGAAGTAATTAACTGCTAATGTTCCTTCTTTTTTAGGGTGGGGATTATAAAAGTGTGTTTACTTTTGAGAACTTAGCCAAGTATACTTTTATGATATGTAAATTTATCCATATGCAATATATATTTTAAAGCTTTTTTTTTTCTTTTGAGACAAAGTCTCGCTCTTGTTCCCCAGGTTGGAGTGCGGTGGTGCAATCTCAGCTCACTGCAACTTCCACCTCCCGGGTTCAAGTGATTCTCCTGCCTCAGCCCCCCTGAGTAGATGAGATTACAGGCACCTGCCACCACACCCAGCTAATTTTTGTATTTTTAGTAGTGACGGGGTTTCACCATGTTGGCCAGGCTGGTCTAGAACACCTGACCTCAGGTGATCCACCCACCTCGGCCTCACGAAGTCCTGGGATTACAGGCGTGAGCCACCGTGCCCAGCCATTAAAGCTATTATTTTTTAAAAAGACATTCACTGGATGTCATTTAAAAGTCTTTTTCCTTTTTCAGAGACTCAGTTCTTTATATATAAAGAAAGTTCAACCTGACCATCCTAATTCCTTGCTTTGAGCCAAGTGGTAGCTTATTGCAAGTTTCTTAAACTGAATTTTGGTGGTTTAATATTACATACTTGGGACTGACAGTATAAATAACCTGCATTTCTATCATTGATTCCATGAGTTATAATGAAGAGTTAAACCTCACATAATATAAATAATATGCTCTATGAATGGATCCTAAGTAACACAGAACTAAGCATTCAAGAGAATGCCCTCAGACTACTACGTTGACCATTTAGAGTTATTACTTTGTTATATTTCAGAGAGATTGAAAACATAAGAGTCATAGTTACATCCTTTTTCTTTTTCTTTCAAATCTAAAAAATAAAACTGGGAAAAATCAAGACTTTCAGAAAAAAAAGAACTAAGATAAAATACTAAAAATATTAACACTGGTCTACATGATACGGGAATATGCTAAAATCAAAACACATTGAATTCCTGCAGTTACCGTTCAAACTAGCAATCCTACTTTTAACACCATGATGAGGGGCAATAGCTACTTGGATAATTCCTCACAATTCTGTAAGATACTATGCTATTCACAAAAGGTAAGAACAGTCTTTATCCAACTCCATCCTAGTCAGGATATCAATGCATGCATTATTACTCTCATTAAAAGAGAGAAGAACTGAAGCTCTGAGCAGTTAAGAAGATCTACCCAAGGTCACCAGCAAAGAATGGCAAAGTGGGGAAAAGTGCACTGTACTAAGAGTCAAGACATCACGGATCTGGGTACCACTCTGGTACTAACTAGCTGAGTGTCTACATAGATTCGCTATTTATAGAATTAAAAGCTTGGCCCAGTTCAGCTACTCATAACTGTGGGCAGCAGATTCTTGCTGGGCCTTGAGTCAGAGGAGTTCTCAGATAAATGCATCATCTATGGACTAAATAAAATAATAAATACCTAATAAATAAATAAACACCAAAATAATACGCCCTGAGCACTGTTTATAGACGTATGTGCCTCTAGTTTTCAATATATGTTGAAGCTATTATAAATAATAAAATACATATTACTGTTACAGAATATAGAATGCATTAGAGATTTCTTCAGTATTGCATGTATATCAACATATATTAACTGTATAATTTATATTACATGGGTGTTGGTAATAAAATAATCTCTGAAGGCTCTTCCAATTTGAAAATGCTACATTGTAGAGCCTAGGACAGATGACTTTATGACAAAATCTAGGGCTCTTCATTCCATGGCAATGTTTTTTAGACGTTTAGCCCCGGGAACCTTTGTTTAATCTCAAGCACAAAGCCCAACATGAAATGCAGGTAATAATTGGTCTATTCTGTTCGATCAGTGTGTGTGTGAGTTCGGAGAAGAGGAAGGGGAGGTAAGGCCATGGAGAGCTCTGCCAGCCAGTCAGCTGCTCTAAGAAACCCCCAGGGATCTGTGGAGGAGTTCCAAATTAGCCACTGACAAAGGGTTAAAACTCATATAACTACCAATACACTAATAAGGAAAACATGAATAACCAAACCAAAAAGAAACAAAACAAAACAAAAAACCTGGATAAAGGATATGAATAGGCAAGCAGTTACTAAGCATAGAAAATGATGCTAAATCCACCAAAAATCATAAAAATGCAAATACAAACAATGAGATTCCATTTTTAGACAATCTTCTTGGCAAAAATTTAAAAGATGGAACATGCTCAAGGTTAATGAGAGTATGGGGAATCAGGCATTCTTACATACCATTGAAAAGAATAAATTTGGTTTCACTTTTGGAGAGCTATTTCAGTAGGTATCAAAATGGAAACATACATACACTTTTGACTTGGAAAACCCATTTTAAAAATATATCCTGCAGAAAGTTTTGGCCGGGTGTGGTGGCTCACGCCTGTAATCCCAGCACTTTGGGAGGCCAAGGTGGGCGGATCACGAGGTCAGGAGATGGAGACCATCCTGGCTAACACGATGAAACCCCACCTCTACTAAAAATACAAAAAATTAGCCGGGCGTGGTGGCAGACACCTGTAGTCCCAGCTACTCGGGAGGCTGAGGCAGGAGAATGGCGTGAACCTGGGAGGTGGAGCTTGCAGTGAGCTGAGATCGCGCCACTGCACCCCAGCCTGAGCGACAGAGCGAGACTCCATCTCAAAAAAAAAAAAAAAAAGAAAGCTTCAACATTTCATGAAGATAATTGCACAAAGATATTTGCTTTTAATGGCAAAAAAAAAAAAAAAAGAAACAATGTTAAATACTAATCAGTAGAGAAATGACTAAGGGAGTTACGGTTCATGTATCCTATAGAATTCTATATCACTAAAAATACTTAGACCCATATACATTATTATTTTTAGAAATATATCAAGCATACATTCTTAGGGAAAACAAAGAAGCAAGGTGCAGAACAATGTGTGTACTACTGTGTGTGTATACATACGCACGTATATAGGTTTATAATACACAACAAATTCTGGAAGGAAATATGCCAACTGCTAGTGGCTTCCTCTAGAGAGAGGAGTTGAAAACACTTTCACTCTATATATTTGTGCATAACTTGATTTTTTACTAGAAAAGAAATCACTTTTATAATTAAAAACCAAGAAGAACATTGCACTATATAGCATGCTGCCTCTCTACATATGCAAGTTGCTTGCATGAAGAAACTAAAACCTAAGTTAAACCTTAAGTGCAAGACACTATTCTGAACCCCACTTACGTACCTTTTTGTGATAAAGACTATAAAATTAAGGTAACAGGCACACTTTATGAGAAGGTAAGCACTTGCACATTCTGAAGACAGAAAACATGACATACTTCTATGCTGGAAAGAAAAAGGAGTTTAACAATAAAAAAAGATTTAGTAACGATAAAGAGCTTCCTTAAAATAGCAAGTCTCTGTTAAAATAATTAACAGGGCAAGGAGGACATAGGAATGGAAAGCAGTGAATGGCAAAGCTGAGACATTTGCAGTGATCCCCATGTCAAGCTTCAACAATTCTTGCAAAAAATATCTCTGAGGAAAAGTAGGTCAGCATACAAGTCCATAACAAGAGAGCTTTAAATCTTAAGTGGTTTTGTACCCATCGCGAATGTAAAGGTTAAACAGGTATTAAAAGAGCAATAATTCTTTCTGATTAAATTTTTATCCAAAGATAGAGTAAAAGGTTCAAGATGAAGTCAAGACTTTATTAGTTACAGGAGAGGCTGTGAGAGTAAAACTATCAACTGGCTGAGTGAGAGCTTCTATTTATTTACTTTTTAAGCTAAAGGTGATGTAGAATTGGAATGTTCTTGCTCCAGCAGGCTGAATGAGAACATGATAAAAGGCAGTTGACTAATTCTGGATTATTTTTATTATTGAGAAGATTTGGCTCACACTGAAGAGGAAAGAAGCAAAACAACTACACACATGTAGCTGAACTGGCAATTAAATAATTATTCATCACAAACAGTTAATCACCCTTTTAAGTGAAGAGGGTGGAACCCACACTGCAGCTGTATTTTAAGATACTGAGCAAGAAAATTCACCAGCAAGTGACAGAGTTCATAAAGTTTAAACATAAAATCTAAACAGACGCTTCACAGACGGTGAAATTTCCCTTCTCTTAGCATTGTTCTCTTATTCCTACTCAGCATCTTCCCAGCGTGGGCTTCCCATGTTGTTATGAGTGCTCCAGGAAGTCAACATATGGCTACATTAATTAAGGTCTCTCTAAAGTGTTCCTTGACATCAGAAACTACACTATCTATTTCTCTCCCCTCACTGAGCAGTACCGAAAGCCATTGTACCCCATACGATAAGAGGTACATAAAAGAACTGCAGTATGTCCAGGGCAGAGCCACCAGGATGAACACAGTTAGAGCTGAAAACCTGACCTGTGAGGAAAGATAAAATGAACTTAGGATGTTGAGACTGAAGAGACAGCAGCTTAGGGAAGAATAAAAATTCATCTTTGAAGATCAGGGAGACATCTCTGAATGTCTCAACAGGCCTTATTATGTTCCTAGAGTGGGCTAGATTTATGAGTGGCATTGTCTATTATGTGGTAATTTGATACTGAGAAAGTATCAAGAAAGGAATATCAAGAGTATAGGCCCTGCCTGACTGCCTGAGTTGAAGTCTGAGATCCCCTTATATCTGTGCCAACTTGAACTAATTAGTAAATCTAAGTTTCTATTTTCTCCCCTATTATATAGAATGGGCCAGATTGCCCGTTTCATAGGATGAAATGCACTACTGTAAGTATTCACTATTAAATTTGTCATTACTACTTATATTTTATATGTCATGCAAACATTCAATGTCAACACAGACATACAAATGTATGAAGGATATAAAGTGGCCTTCCTGGGAACCTGACATGAGTCAGGCCCTACACCAGGAGCTGTCTTATAAGTTTTCTTACTTATTCATTCCCATTCTCCTGGTGGAAAATTCAGAAGGTTCAGAGTTGTAAAGAAACTTGTCCAAGTTCATAAGCAAATGGTTTCATCATAGAGTTCAATGTGAGCTTAATTCAACCTCAAAGCATTTTTCCCACCAGAAGGAGCTTTGGGAAACACAAATAGAAAGAAAAGTTATAGGCCCTTCTCTCAAAAGCTTCTCTTGTAAGGAATATAATACATACACATATAAATGCATAGCTATATAAATTAATATATGTCAAAAAGTGAGCAGAGCAGGGAGTGACTACTTCTAACTGGGGAGCAAAGGGAATCTTCAGAGATTAGATTACGTTGGAATTGGCCATGTAAGATTTAGACATAGAGATGTGGGAAAGGCATTTCAATGCAGGGGACAGAATGAGGAAAAGCAAAGTCAGAAAAGGATGGGAGCTTTAGGGGAACACACGGCAGGTCAGGATGGCTAGAGTGTAGGATATGCCAGATGAGATCGAATAATCTGGGTCAGAGGCAAGGCTTTGATCTCTCCAACTCTTCTGTATCTAGAAGTCTAGAAGATTATGAGATTTTGATCTGTAGGAACAAACATTAGGCAGCATGGGCAGGATGGACTAGAATAGTGGCAAATGCCTTCCTACTACTTTAAACATATCCCAGTCCTCTTGTGTGGGATGCATTACTTCCCTCAACCTATGAAGTAACAGACTTAGGAAGAACACTTTAATAGCTTCTAGCAAATCCGTGACAAAAACAGACTTCTCACGCTATTGACTTCTGTCCTCCCCTGCTATGTTAGGTTACCAGAGCCTAGAGTAACCAGCTGCATAGAGCCCTGCTGTGTTTGTATTTGCAAGAAGGAGGAAGAGGAAGAGGAGGAGGAGGAGGAGGAGGAGGGGAAAAGAGCTGAAGACAATTCCCTCTAACGGCTATTCTATTCATTGGGAAGAAAATAAAACCAACCAATTTGTTGTCAGGGCAGAGTCTGTGGAGATGGAAGCCTTGAGCTCCAATTTTAAAGTTAGTGGAAGTTTTAGAAGGGAAAGATAGGTCATTTTAGGGGGCAGGAAACGGGATGAAGAATAAGATATCTGGTTCAATCAGAAGGATATTTTGAAGATTGTGAAGAAGGGAGGACTGCAATGGGGTCTGTGTAGAAAAATGGAAAGTATCCTGGCCTAGGAATTGGAAGGCTGTGATCTAGATCTATTTCTCAAAATAATTATCAAAAAGTTGTAGATAAGATGGAATTGGCTAGCAGAAGAAATATGGTTCAAATCCAATGTGTCTTTCTACTAAATCATGTAGTAGAAAATGCAGACTGGGCTCCTATTTGGAACAGGAAATACCTTTCACTCTTCGGGTCATGTTCTTAACTAAACATGGTTTCTTCGTGCTCATCTTACTTTCAGCTCTGGGAAACGATGAGGAGAGTTGGAGAGATGTTGAATACATGGTGTGTGGCTAGCAACCACAACACTTAGGGAAAAGGTTCCCCCAGTCACTTACTCATGATGTTGCTTCCATAGCTCCCCTATTGCCAAAGACCTTTCAGGAAAAGCCTGTAATGGATGGGTGGTATAAAATAATAAAATGGCTAGGCTTTCCTGTACTTTTGGGAAAAAGGCCAAAATGCTTAGCAAGGCCTAAGTCCTTCATGGTTTATCTCTCAAAACTCATCCTGCATCATGCTTCTCCCTCAGTCTCTGAGCTCTGACCACACTGGCCTTCTTTCAGTTCCTCAAATCAGCGTGCTGCACTGTCTGGAGATGTCTAAACTCCTACTCACTCCTCATAACTCAGTGAAGTATCACTTCCTTAGGAATGCCTGTCTTAATCTCTGTCTAAGTCAGGTTCCTGTGTTTTAATTATCTTAGGACAATACTCCTTTCTTTTAAAACACTCTGTCCATCTCCCTTAACAGAATAGAAACTTCCTGAAAGCAGGCCACTTGTCTGTTTTTGCTCACCACGGAATTTCCAGTGCCTGACATGTGATAGGCTGTCAACTGAGATTGGCTGAATAACTGGATAAGCATTTTCTTCTTCAAAAATAAGGCGCACCCCACCAACTGTCAACAAGGAGGAGTAAGAGATTAAATTATCTAGTTGGTGCAAATCGAATCTATATGTTAGTCATTGATATAAATCAGACCACTGCAGAAAACACATATAGGAATAAAATACATATTATGTAGGGAAAATGAATTTTATATACTCTGTTAATATATAACCACAAAATTCGATTTGGAAAATTGCAGGAAAGTATGCTGATCCACAGTAGCTGATGACGATGATGATGACGATGATGATGATGATGATGAAAGCATGACAGAGACTAGATAAATTTGAACCAAACTAATTCCTCTTCTTTTGGGGGTATACAGTGTGGCCACATTTCCAAGCATTCTTTGTTACTGTGTGAAAGTGAATGAGCCCCAGCCAATAGAATATTTGTAGAAGGAACACTGTTTTACATTTATGAGTCTGGAAACTGTAACCATCCCACCACTGTCCCAGAAGATCCTTAATACTCTCTTCTAATTTTAATTCACATAATCTGGCATAGGACCTCTAGGCTTTAGAGACTGGTGGAACCACTGGATGGAATAAGACAGAGTCTCTGAATCCCACGTGGAATGCACTGGCTAAACATGGGGGATTTTTGTCAGACAAAAATAAACTTGCATTGTGTTAAATCCCTGAGATTTAAAAATGTGTTTGCTAGAGTAGTTAGAATTACTTGCTCAAACTAAGACATTAAGAAAATCACGTGTATTTTTTAACGTTATCTTTCCTGATAACACTTTGGGTAAAAACATAAAGGTAGATTTCATTAATCAAATTTACTTCTTTTGTTTTTGTTTTTGTTTTGTTTTTGAGACGGAGTTTTGCTCTGTCGCCAGGCTGCAGTACAGTGGCATGATCTCAGCTCACTGCAACCTCCACCTCCCGGGTTCAAGCAATTCTCCTGCCTCAGCCTCCTGAGTAGCTGGGACTACAGGCACACACCACAACGTCCAGCTAATTTTTGTATTTTAGTAGAGACGGGGTTTCACCGTGTTGGCCAGGTTGGTCTTGATCTCCTGACCTCGTGATCCTCCTGCCTTGGCATCCCAAAGTGCTGGGATTACAGGCATGAGCCTCCGCACCCGGCCTCAAATTTACTTCTAACACGGCTAGCTACCCATTCCTACTGCTCCATGGTTTCTGTAGGTTCCCGGGGCTGAGCATAATCTTGGGGCCATTTTTTTCTGGCTCTTGTCCAATAAAGAAAAAAAAAACCTTTGTCATGGTCTCTGCCTCTGCCAAAGACCTTCCTTAGTGAGGTGCACAAGGACCCCCTGAGGTAGCCCTTCTCAGCTTGTATTAGGTGATATCGAATTCTTTTTTGTGCTGAATCTCAAATCTCCTCGATGGCTTTTTCCAACAAATCGTTTTTCTAACACAAGGAAATGGGTTTGATAAAGATCACTTTTTTTCTATTTGCCCCTTCTTGCCCTCTAATATGAATCCAGCTAAATATAAATTGGGAGTAAGACAGAGGTAGGAGAGTCACTTAAATTGCAGTTTCAGAATATGCCAGAAACTTAGAGAACAAAATACAAATTCACCTTTTATGCTGGTGATACTTTGGGAAATGGCAAGTTCTCCTCCCTACAAATGAGCCATTAAAAGTCTGACTTTTACGTAATATTTATTATTAAACAATGATAAATAATAACAAAACTGCCCATGTCTGGGCCTCACTTTTAGAGATTCTGATTTTATTGTTCTAGGGCAGAGATTTAGGCATCAGAATCGAAAAAGAAAATTCTCCTGGTGATTCTAAAATGCAGCTAGAGTTGAGAACCAGTGAGATATACCTCTATGTAACTATCAACTGTCAATACAAATTATCCATGTATAAATATTGTACTGCAGGGAATAAAATGTAATATGCTTACAGAGACCTCTCCAAAACAGCTTCTAAAATCAGGCTGAATTCATTGCCTGAAGAAAAGCGTCCTTTCTTGTCATGATTTCTGCCCTTTATTAAAGCACCTTAAGTTGGAGCTATGAATAGTCTCGGTGGGGCAGTCCTGGCTGGAGGGAAACTAAGGCAAGGACTTGTGTCCTGCAAAGGCAACTACATAGACAGTCACTTCATTTACCACATATAAGAGGCCCAGACTCCTTTACAAACATGGGAATATGAGTTCCACAAGGGCAGAGACTAATGTACCTGGTTGCCACCTACAATACTGGCCCTAGCACCTAAGGGCACACCTTCTTAAAGATTCTTTCACTGATATTAAACCCAATTAGACGGAAGGCTAGAAAAGTTGCCCATTTACCCATACAGAGAGAAGACAGCTTCCAAGAAGGCCTGGATACCCTTCTGCTAATTAATAAAGCACATATACTCCCATATGAGTAGGCTTTACTTAAAGGGCAGGCTGGCCGCTTACTCTTATGTCAGGACATCATTGAAATGACAGGTTAGATCGCTGATGTGGGTCTCAATTTTGCTATCAGTATAATGAGAAAGTGGCCGGGCATGGTGGCTCATGCTTGTAATCCCAGCAGTTTGGGAGGCTGAGGTGGGAGGATCACCTGAGGTCAGGAGTTCAAGACCAGTCTCTCCAACATGACAAAACGCCATCTCTGCTAAAAATACAAAAATTAGCTGGGCGTGGTGGTGGGTGCTTATAATCCCAGCTACTAATGAGGCTGAGGCAGGAGAATCGCTTGAGCTCAGGAGGCATAGGTTGCGGGAACAGAGATCGTGCCACTGCACTCCAGGCTGGGAGACAAAGCAAGACTTCATCTCAAAAAAAAAAAAAAAAGGATAAATGAGAAAGGGAGGCTTGACTAATCTTCATAATCTCTTCCTTCTAGACTGATACGTACAAAGTAACTTCTCTGGGCCTCTACTACTGTCTGCCAGCCCCTCTGACACTGACAGCCACCACAGCTGGGCTTCCTGTGATGTGGACCGGTGCCCACCAGAGGGACTGGAGGCATACTGACTCGCAGTGCACGGCCCTGTCTTCTTCCCCTCTGCGGAAGCTTCAAGATTCTGTCTCTTTCACTCTGCTTGATAAAAATCTTCCTTCACGCAAACCAGTGAGGAGACTTTAAATTAAATCCAGCATCATCTTAACCTCATACTCTCCATACAGCTGATACTTACTTAAATGCAGTGCCTCCCAGTATTCCAAAAGTCTTGTGATCAGGGTGGGTGACTGAGCAGAGGGAACTCACTCTGATTTTACTTTCTTTACTTCTGATTTCAATCACATTATGAATGAGCGGGAAAAAAGAAAGAGTAAATTAATCTAATGTATTCTCACTTGTTTTTGTTATTTTTCTTTGCCTCACAATCAACCAGGTTTGTTTACACCTAGAAAAAAAACCAAAAAAACAAAAAAACTGTGGGCTTTCCGTTGGTTTGCACTGAACTGCACTGCATCAGAGAAGCTGGTCCTGCCAGCTGAACAGCAGCCCTTTGAGAGAAGAGGGAAGGGGCAATTCTAAAATGCTGCCAGTGAAGATTTTACTGGGACCTGAACAGAAAGGTAGGATTTGGATTGTTGCTTCTCACCGGCAGCAAACCTGGTATGTCTGGCACAATCTGAGGAGGAGGCAGTGAGCTTGCGGTAAGCAGGCAAAGGAGGTGAGTATGGAGCTGCTCCCAAGGGCTGTAAATGTTGACTGTCACAGGCTGAATCCATCTGATTGGAGCTGAAACTAAGAAGGATGAAAAACGTTTCTCCAAGCGGGAACCATTCCAGGTGTTCTCTCCTTTCCCTGTTACACAAAATCTTGAAGGGCGTTAAGTTGTTAACTCGTATCCTGTCCTACAAACTCTGAGAATAGATATACATGATTAGGCTACACACGGTGCTTGGGCTGAGAGAACAGAACCAGGAGGATGGCAGTGGGAAGAAGGACAGCCTGGTATAGCAGCAAAAACAGGGCACTTGGTTGGGTTCAGAAGACCTTAGGGTCTGTGTTGTCTTAGGCGCTTACTCACTAGAGCTCATCCATTCCAACACTAATAGAGCATCTACTATGTGTTAAGCACCAGGTAATGGCAGGGAACTTAATAGTGTCCTCAACACAACAGGGGGACAGAAACTTTCCCTGTCCTCAAGGAATGGGGTGCAGGCAAACAAAACCAAAATCTATACTAAAAAAATAACAGGTGCTATGAAGTGAGACATGCAGCATGCTCTGAGCAGGACATATGAGCAGGACAACGCAATCTTGTGAAGTCAGAGGGGGCTCCATGGAAGAAGTGAAAAATCAGCTGAGACCTGAAGGATGGCAATGTACTGGCCAGGCAAAAGCCCAAGACGAGTGTTCTAGGTACAGAAAGATCACACACAAAAGACTACGGATAGACTAATCATGGTGCAATGGAGAACAGTAGTTCCATGTGTTTGCATCACAGTGGTAAAAAAAAAAAAGAAATGAGGCTAGAGAGATACAAAAGCATTTCATCTCAGTCACTTAATTGCTGGAGCCTATTCATTCAGAACATACATCACCAACACAAGGCCAATGACAAACGATCGCATAAACAAGAGAAACAGAAACATGTGAAGAAGTTTAGCTTTTATATACAGAACAACTAGAGACAGAGCATTGGGAAGAGGGACTCATTGAAGAGTTTTAAATAGGGAAGCAACAGAATGAGGTTTGAATTCACAAAGACCATTCACTTTTCCTTTAGGAAGCTATTTAGCAGTAAGAGAAAAGCATAGAAATGTAGGTGGCAGAAGGGCTGGACAGAACGCAGAGTGAGTGTGCACCCATTTCTCCCAGAGCAGGACCTTGATCTGCAGAATGACCATGCTCCTGAGAGGCAATGGATGGTCTCTAGGGGCCCTTCCACTCTGAGGCCTACATTTCATGATTGCTGACAGACTGCAAGATACAAGAAAAGCCACAGGTAAGTCACCCGCTTGTCCATCATGTTTTGGGACTGAGGGCAAGGCTTCTGCCTAAGCAGGATTATTACCATTTTTGACTTTTGAAGTCACATAAATCTAAAGTGTCTAAAGTGTTTTTCTAAAGCGTTTTTTTTTTTTTGAAGACTTTTCTACTTGGGTCAATTAAGTTGGGCAAAGCAGTGAAAAGCACCATCGCTACCTAGAATAAGAAAAGCTGAATTCTACGCTATATGCTAACATTTTTTTTTTTTGGAGACAGAGTCTCACTCTGTCGCCCAGGCTGGAGTGCAGTGGCATGATCTTGGCTCACTGCAACCTCCACCTCCTGGTTCAAGCGACTCTCCTGCCTCAGCCTCCCGAGTAGCTGGGATTACAGGTGCCCGCCACCACACCCGACTAATTTTTGTATTTTTAGTAGAGACAAGGGTTTCACCATGTTGGCCAGGCTAGTCTTGAACTCCTGACCTCAGGTGATTCGCCTCCCAAAGTTCTAGGATTACAGGCGTGAGCCACTGCGCTCAGTCTGTATGTTAACTTTAAAAATACACAACACACACACATTTATTCATTTAAAAATTCAAAAATTCAACTGTCATAGAAGGGTAGAGAATGAAAAGTAAAACTCTTTTCCAGAGATAATCACTAAAAGATTGGGTAATACTTATACAGGCATGTATCAGATTGCTTATACATGCCTGTATAAGCATGTACACACACACACACGCACACACCACACACACATTCACATATAAACACTCATGTTTGAAATTTTTCTTCAAACACAAATCAGATCCTTTATGTCCTATTTTGTACCTTGTTTTTTCCTAAAATAGTTTTTAAGGTGTCTTTAATTAGCATATATAGATTTGTCTTATTTTTCTGATAGCCTCCATGTTATTATTGCATGCAGTTGCTGTACTTTATTTTACTAGTCCTTTTATTCTATCATAAAAATGTTGCAATGTGTATTCTGAAACAGAATACCACTGTGCCTTTATGCAAATACGCCTACTGTCTGAAATCGAGTTGCAGGGTCAAAAATAGTGCACACCTAAAATTTTGAAAGATAGTGCTAAATTTTGTTTCGAAAAGGTTGTATTAATTTGTACTCCTATCACAAGCCCATGTGAGTACATGCTTCCCATACTTTTGCCAATACCAAGCATTGAACTTATAAATGCCGGCTGGTCTGAGAATGAAAAAATAATATTTTAAACTGTATTTCTTTAAATAATTTGAACATCATTTCATTGGTTCATTTGTTATTTTTATTTTCTCTTCTGTGAATTGCCTGTTGATAGGTTCACTCTTTTTGTCTAATAAATGATTCTTTTAAAACCAATTTCATGAGATTTTTAAAATATATAATCAAAATTATTGGCATCAATGTTGATTATTCCTGTAAACATGAATAAGTAAGTGAGCTGGTTTCCAACTTTGTGAGGATTAAATGAGAAAATGGGTTTGCAAGCACATCAAAAGCTGGAAAGCACCACAGACACATAATTCTTGTATGTTAGGAAGATTTATTTACGTGAATGTTTTGAATCATAGTACATGCATAATCTGGCCACACCATGTGACAGAACGAGGTAAGTGCTTACTGTCATAAAGTATAAGACCGATTAAGGGAATAACCTGAGTAGCTCTTTTTGAATTAAATGTACAGGCTTAGTCAGCTGCTCAAGGCCAGCCCCCTGGGCCCAGCTTTCCTGATTTTCAGTTCAGTGTACTTTCCTCTAAATCAGACATGTTATAATAACCGTTCAACAACAACAACAACAAAAAGGGTTCCAGAACATTGCAATAAAGTGACTATTGAATAAAGTGTGTCACACTTATTTTTTTGGTTTCCCAGTGCAGTAAAGGTTATGTTTACACTATATGGTAGTCTATTAAGTGTGCAATAGCATTATGTCTAAAATAACAATGTACATACCTTAATTAAAAAATACATTGTTGCTAAAAAAAAAACCCAACAACAACAAAAGACTCACTATGGATGAGGTAACACATTCAGTAAAAATAACTGAGGTTAGTGGCCACAGACTGGGAGGAACAGCAAGGTCTACAGGGATGGAGTCAGCAGGCACAAGAGCAGCCACAGAAACTGAGAAGGGGCCCCAAAGACTGATGATGCAACACGGACAGTCAGCATAAGTTAGACCTTGATTCATTCTGGTCTATACTATGTGGGAAAGATGAAGAAAATGGAAAAAACAAAAAATGAAATGAGTGCTGGCAAGATTCACAGGAAATGACTAAAAGGTTTAGAGCCGGGGGGGCGTGCTGCAGGGTTGTAGGAATCGGAACCATTTAGCCAGGATGTGATCATTTACCCCACTGCTACCCCTTTGATGCTTATACAAAGGGTTCTGTAGTCAGTGATGTCATCCTTCTTCAACTCAGTACAGCCCCAGAGTCAAGAAACACTTACTCGGTGCTTACTGCAGGATGCAATGAGAAACAAGACATCAACCCTCCCCTTAGGGAAAATGTATAGCTACTGAGGTATGTGTCAAATAGGTAATTTAAATACAGTCTTCTAAATGCTATGATGAGGAAAAGCAGAGGATGCTATTACAGGATGATGGGGAGGATAAGGCACAAGAATCACACATACTTGAGGGAAAAGTGATGTCTAAATGGAGGCCTGAAGGAGGAGAGTTTTTGGCTAGGTGATTGGGATGGAGATGGGAAAGCTACACATTCCATCAAGGACAAGTGTTTACCCAGCCACAGGCATGAGACAATCTCTCTGTTTTGGGTGTGTGTTTAGGTATGTGTGCACAAGTGGATGTGCATGTGTGTGCATGTGGCTATGAGCTCTTTACATGGTAGTGTGAGGAGTATGAACTGTCTCTTCCAAGTAATGAAAAGTCACTAGAAAACACTGAAGGAACTTGTCTCATAAATGAAAGAAGATATAAAGGAAGCCAAAGTATTATGTCAGAAATTGGTTAATAAGTGGATAAGAGGGGATACTGAAGGAAGAGGAAGGATACAGGCCAGCTCCTGTGCCTTTGGTTGGAGCAACAAGGTAATGCCATTCATGGAAAAGGAACACAGAGAGGAGCAGGTTTAAAAGGGAACACCTTGGGTTCTGTCTGAAACTGTTGCATTTGTGGGCCTATGGGCCAATCTATGAAGACTGCAGGCTAAAATGATAGATACATATCTGGAGCTTACAGAGAGATCCAGCTGCAGATTTTGGCCAGAGAGTTCTCAGCACACAGATGATATTTGTACTCACGGAAGCAGATGAAATAACTCAGGAGTACAGATTGAGACAAGAAGGGAGATTAGGGCAGAACTCAAGAAAAATGGAGAATTTAAGGAATGAAGAGAGGAAATCTATTAAAAACGGTAGAAAGTTGTGTACAGCGATAGGAAGAAAACCCAGAGTGTACGGTGCTATAGAAGTCAAATGAAACAAAGATAGAGTCAACATCTTTAAATGCTGCAAGAGCTCAAGAATGATAAGGACTGAAGAGTCTTAAGTGTATTAAACATCAAAGAGGTCACTGGTGATGTTCAGAAGTGTGGTGTAAGTGGAGAGGTGGGGATAGAAACTGAATTACAGGGAGCTGAACTGTTAGTAGAGCAAAGACAATAAAGCTTAGATGTATGTGTGTGTGTGCGTGTGTGTGTAAGAGAGAGAGATCTAAAGTTGTCAAAGGGTTTTTAATTTTGATTTTAAATTTATATTTAATTAATTTTTCAGTTAATGTAGGAATTTTATTTCAAATCTAAAATTGCCTTTTCTATAAATTAAACTTTAAATTTTCTTATAATTGTAGATTCATATGAAGTTGAAAGAAATAACGTAGAGATCTAAGTACCCTTTATCCAGTTTCCCCCAACAATAATACCTTGTAAAACTATGGTACAATATTACAGCCAGAATATGAGATTGATACAGTCTATCAATCTTATTCAGATTTCTCCACTTGTCTGTATATATGTGTAAGTTCATGCAGGTGTGTGTGTATTTGATTTATGTAATTGCACTGCCTGTATAGATTAATGTATCTGCCACCATGGCAAAGATACAGAGCAGTTCCATCACCACAATGATCCCTTCTATTGTCCTTTTATAACCACAGCTACCCCAAACCCCCAATTCCTAATCCCTGACTTCTTGTCTCCCATCCCTAACTCCTGACAAACACTAATCTGTTCTCCATTTATATAGTGTTATTTCAAGAATGTTATATATAGAATCATACAGTATGCAGCCTTTGGGGGTTGGCCCTTCCCACTCAGTATAATTCTTTTGAGATTCACCCAAGGTGTTGCATATATCAACAACTCCTTCCTTTTATTGCTAAATCGTATTCCAGGGTAAGAATGTGCCACCGTTTAACCATTCACCTGTTGAAAGACATCTGGGTTTTTTCCAGGTTGGGAATCTTACAAATATAGCTGCTATGAACAAATATTTGATTTGTTCATTTCCCTGGGATATACAAGTCTTCATTTCCCTGGGATAAATGCCCAGGAGTGCAACTGCTGGGTCACATGGTAGTTGCAGGATTAGTTTTAAAAGAAGAAATTCCCAAAACTTTCTCTAGAATGGTTGTTCCATCTTATATTCTCATCAGCAAAATATAATTGATGCAGTCTCTCCACTCCACATCCTCTTCTGCACTGATGGTTGGTTTTTTTTTTTTTTTTTTTTTTTTTTTTTGAGACGGAGTCTCACGCTGTTGCCCAGGCTGGAGTGCAGTGGCATGCTCTTGGCTCACTGCAACCTCTGCCTCCCAGGTTCAAACAATGCTCCTGCCTCAGCCTCCCAAGTAGTTGGGATTATAGGCACCCGCCACCATGCCCGGGTAATTTTTTTTGTATTTTTAGTAGAGACAGGGTTTCAGCATGTTGGCCACACTGGTTTCGAACTCCTGACCTCAAGTGATCCACCCGCCTCAGCCTCCCAAAGTGCTAGGATTACAAGCATGAGCCACCGGGCCCAGCCTGCACTGATGTTTAATATCATTAGCACTTTGAGAAAAGCAAGTCAAACTATAATGAGATAATTACTACACACCTATCAGAATGGCTAAGATAAAAAATAGTAACAAAACCATCATGGTACCTATTTGAGACATGTCAGCATACTGATGATATCTAAAAGCTTGGGAGGATATGAGGGTGACTAAAGAGAAAATTGAGAAAGAAAATGATCCCAGAGAGACTGGACAACTTAGGAGTCAGGGAGAATACAAAACAGCAAAGGTAACTGAGACATAGGTAAAGAGAAAATCAGCAGGCTGGTCCTATGGAAACAATGTGGAGATTCCTTAATGAACTAAAAGTAGAACCACCATTTAATCCAGCAATCCCACTACTGGGTATCTACCCAGAGGAAAAGAAGTCATACGAAAAAGATACTTGCACAAGCATGTTTATAGCAGCACAATTCGCAATTGCAAAATCATGGAACCAACCCAAATGCCCATCAATCAACAAGTGGATAAAGAAACTGGGATGTGTGGGTATGTGTGTGTGTGTGTGTGTGTGTGTGTATATATATATATGATGGAATATATATATATATATATATGATGGAATATATATATATGATGAATATATATATATGATGGAATATATATATATGATGGAATATATATATATGATGGAATATATATATGATGGAATATATATATATGATGGAATATATATATATGATGGAATATATATATATGATGGAATATATATATATGATGGAATATATATATATGATGGAATATATATATATGATGGAATATATATATATGATGGAATATATATATGATGGAATATATATATATGATGGAATATATATATATGATGGAATATATATATATGATGGAATATATATATGATGGAATATATATATATGATGGAATATATATATATGATGGAATATATATATATGATGGAATATATATATATGATGGAATATATATATATGATGGAATATATATATATGATGGAATATATATATATGATGGAATATATATATATGATGGAATATATATATATGATGGAATATATATATGATGATGGAATATATATATGATGGAATATATATATATGATGGAATATATATATATGATGGAATATATATATATGATGGAATATATATATATGATGGAATATATATATATGATGGAATATATATATATGATGGAATATATATATATGATGGAATATATATATATGATGGAATATATATATATGATGGAATATATATATATGATGGAATATATATATATGATGGAATATATATATATGATGGAATATATATATATGATGGAATATATATATATGATGGAATATATATATGATGGAATATATATATGATGGAAATATATATATATGATGGAATATATATATATGATGGAATATATATATATGATGGAATATATATATGATGGAATATATATATATGATGGAATATATATATATGATGGAATATATATATATGATGGAATATATATATATGATGGAATATATATATGATGGAATATATATATGATGGAATATATATATATGATGGAATATATATATATGATGGAATATATATATATGATGGAATATATATATGATGGAATATATATATATGATGGAATATATATATATGATGGAATATATATATATGATGGAATATATATATATGATGGAATATATATATATGATGGAATATATATATATGATGGAATATATATATATGATGGAATATATATATATGATGGAATATATATATATGATGGAATATATATATATGATGGAATATATATATATGATGGAATACTATTCAGCCATAAAAATGAATGAAATAATGGCATTCACAGTGACCTGGATGAAATTGGAAATTATTATTCTAAGTGAAGTAACTCAGGAATGGAAAACCAAATATCATATTTTCTCACTGATATGTGGGAGCTAAGCCACGAGGACGCAAAAGCATAAGAATGATACGACGGACTTTGGGGATTTGGGGGGAAGCGTGGAAGGGGGACGAGGGATAAAAGATTACAAATATGGTGCAGTATATACTGCTTGGGTGATGGGTGCACGAAAATCTCACAAATCACCACTAAGAACTTACTCATGTAACCAAACACCACCTGTGCCCCCAATAACCTATTGAAAAATTAAAAACAAAATCGGGAGGCTGGGGTGCCAAGGAAGTTGGGAGGGACAGTTTTGTAAGAATGAGATATCAAGTTAGGTAAACACTGATTAGACTCACGGTTTTGGCAACATGGAAGTCCCTGATGTCCTCAGCTAGTCTATGAAGGGATAGGGGCCTGGTAGCAGGCAGAATACTTGATAGAAAAATGGAGGCAGGATTTTTTTTTCTTTTTTTAAAAAAAACTTTTATTTTAGGTTCAGGGGTATATGTGAAGGTTTAGTCACATAGGCAAACTCATGTCATGGGGGTTTGTTGTACAGATTATTTCACCACTCAGGTATGAAGCCCAGTACCCAACAGCTATCTTCATTCCTCTCCCTCCTCTCCCCCTCCACCCTCAAGTAGATCCCAGTGCTTGTTGTTTCCTTATTTGTGTCCACGTGTTCTCATCATTCAGCTCTCACTTATAAATGAGAACAAGCAGCATTAGTTTTTCTATTCCTGCATTACTTTGCTAAGGATAATGGCCTCTAGCTCCATCCATGTTCCTGCAAAATACATGATCTCATTCTTTTTTATGGCTGCTTAGTATTCTGTGGGGTATATGTACCACATTTTCTTTATCCAGTCTGTCGCTGATGGGCATTTAAGTTGATTCCATGTCTTTGCTATTGTGAATAGTGTGGAGACAGCATTTCTAATATCCAACTTTCCAGAGTTTGGCTGTGAAGGAAGGGATAAAGCAATAGCTACAGAGAGCTGTGGAGTCAATGGAGGGAAAATATGGGCCAAGCTGGGGCACAAATGGATGTTGACGAGAAGAATCCCATTGGGTAGGATAAAGAATGGATGATCCATGGAGCCAGGGCACTCAGAAGACAGGGGAAAAAGGGACCAGAGATACATGGAGACCAATTGGCAACTGATAATCTGATAGGCACTAAGGGACAGAAAGGATGGGCACAGATTTGAGAGCAGAAGCTGAAAGAGTTTCTTCTGGCAGCTTTCATTTTCACTATGAAGAATGAGGCCAGGGCATCCCTTGAGAAGGAAGGAGTGGGGAAGGGAGATAGAAGTCACAGTAGAGAATGTCTGAAACAGTTGAGAGCAGGGTGTAAGAATGTAGGCTGTGGGTGGGGTCAAGGCGCAGGTCAAGGCTGGTCACAACTTATAATGATATGATTATGCCCGGCTGTGTTTTGTTTTTTTTTTTCCCAGCAACATTCAGCTGTTCTGGCAAGCAAAAGACAAGTGGCTGGGTTCATCTGCATCAGAATATTGCTAGGAGGGTATAACAGGAGAGAGAGGCTAGGAACTGCATTCATGATCTATTTGACAGAGAAGGCATGACATGACAGGTATCTTCAGGGTAAATCTCTATAGTCACAGTTAGCATTTATTAAACATATCTTAGGAGGCAGATACTGTGCTAGGCAATTAAACCACATAAACTCATTTAATATTCCCATTAATTCAACATGATAAGTATTCCCTTTTATTAACCTCCTTTTATAGATGAAAAACCTTTGCTTTAGAGAACTAAAGAAACTTGATCCCTTTCACAATGTAGGAAGTAGCAGGATCTGGGTTCAAATTGATATCTCTCCAATTCAAAGGTTCTGTACATTGCTTTTCAGCTTCCAGGTACATGATGCCTGAGACAAGTGGCAAGGATGGTCCTGAAAGTGATGAGATACTGAGTTTTGATCTTTGGATTTGATATTTCCTGATGTGAATTTGCAACTGGAGATGAAGCCAAATTCCCTTTAGTTGAAAAAAGTATTAACTGGTATTACAACATTATTTCCATCCAAGGCAAATGAATAACTATGATACTCTTTCAAGAAGACAGGATATACTGTGGGCTTTGGTACAAGCATATCAGAAGATCCATGTAAAAAGATGTCCTTTTTCTGTGTTTCATGTGTGATATGGTTTGGCTGTGTCCCCACCCAAATCTCATCTTGAATTGTAGTTCCCATAATCCCCACGTGAAGTAGAAGGGACACAGTGGGAGGTAAGTGAATCAAGGGGGGTGATAGATTTTTTTTTTTTTTTTTTGAGACGGAGTCTTGCTCTGTCGCCCAGGCTGGAGTGCAGTGGCATGATCTCAGCTCACTGCAACGTCCGCCTCCCGGGTTCAAGTGATTCTCCTGCCTCAGCCTCCTGAGTAGCTGGGACTACAGGCACCCGCCACCATGTCCGGCTAATTTTTTTGTATTTTTTTTTTTTTAGTAGAGATGGGGTTTCACCGTGTTAGCCAGGATGATCTCGATCTCCTGACCTCGTGATCCACCCACCTCGGCCTCCCAAAGTGCTGGGATTACAGGTGTGAGCGACCGCACCGAGGCAGGGGGTGATAGTTTTATAAAGGGCTTTTCCTTTTTTGCTTGTCTCTCATTCTCTCTCCTGCCACCCTGTGAAGAGGTGCCTTCCACCATGATTGTAAGTTTCCTGACGCCTCCCCAGCCGTGTGGAACTGTGAGCCAATTAAACCTCTTTTCTTTATAATTGCCCAGTATCAGGTATTTCTTCCTCACAGTGTGAAAACGGATTAATACAAACTTCATGTTGGAAAGACCACTATAAGTCATTTTCTCCACTCCCAGTCCTTGACAAAAGTACTGTCCATAGCATCTCTGAAGAGTGGTCATCCAGTCTCTTTCCTTCCAGTCACAAAATGCTAGAGATCACTCATGTGTCCACCTTCCTTTTAATGTAGTACATATTGCTAAAGGTTAAGTCCTACTTATGGCACTAGCCACTGTTCCAAATATAATTTTATTTGACATTCACAAAACCCCTATAAATACTATTATAGCCGCTTTACACAATGAATAAACTGGAAACCCTCTTTATTTCTCCCGGTGAGTTCCTCCCAGTGAATACACATAACACCAGTCTAACTTCCCTTTCACTCAAAACTCTCAGTGCTGTCAGTCTGAATCCGGTAGTGCCTTTTGGCACCAGATTTGTGCTCTAAGTACAACTTGATGAGGAGATTGCTCAATCTCCTTTGAAAGTGTGATCCATTGCCTAATAGCTGAAAGTGTCTCCTCCATTACTGGAATCAGCTGCCCAGCACTGGGATTACTGGAAAGAACTGTTGTGATGGGAACATTTGATCACATATGTAAATTTTCTGGCATCTTCTGAAAGGGACAGTGGGCTGCATCTGATAAAGACATGGATCCAGAAACAATGTAATGAGAATGAGAATGGCGGGGTGGGATCCTGAGGGGGGATGTGTGGAACAATGGTCTTGAGGTCAGGAAGGTAGAGAAGAGGAACGTTTTCACTAGAAGGGAGAAACAAGGAGAGGAAGTGGACTTTTACTAACATTCCAGACTGAGTAGAAACCTGGGGAGCATGTCCAGCTGGCTGAAGAACCTGGTAGAGAACAGCAGCCCTGAGCTTGAATTCCTTCCCCAACTTCACAGATGATTCCTTTGGGAATGTCACCCTCTTTACCAAAGCCTAATTTCTCCCACTTGTGCTTATGAATTTGGATACAAACTGTGCCTCCTCCATTTCTGGAATCAGCTGTCCATTGATGGGAAGCCCTTAAAGGAATTCCATTTGCTGCTCCAATTCTGACCTCACAGACATCATTACAGAATCATTTTGGATACTCAAGAGATTGCAATGCTCCAAAAAAATTGTTGTTCTCAGAGCTCCTGGAAACACAAAGGTTTGATTTCAATGTTACTAAGAGTCCTTTAATCTGATTAACTGATTATTTGTATATAGTTTGGAAGAAGGGGAAGTTCTGATTTCTGTACCTCGTCGGAACTCTCCCTTCTTCCAAACTCTTTATAAAGTCCTATCCAGGCAGAAAACAAGAAGTGGCAGGAAGCTAACTGACGTATAGGTGTTCTAGTCTAAATGACAAGGTTTAGAGCCACACAGCCTTACATTCCAGTCATCCAACCAGCTCTATGTTCTTGGGCAACTCCCTTAAGCCCTCTGTGCCTTTATTTCCTCATATATATATATATTTAAATAAGAAAGAAGAAATCTGTTCGTTAGGCTCAAATTTAGGTTGGAAATGGATGAAGGAACTAGAAGTTAGCCAAAACAGAAGATTCAGATGGACTTGAGAATTTTCTTCAAATACTTAAAAGGCTGCCAAGTGGAAGATGTATTAGCTGTCTTCTCTATGGACCAATGAAAACATGTTGTAAGGAAATAGACTTCTTTCCAAAAAGTAACTTTTTAACCTTTAGAGATTTCAACACAAGGAAAAGCTGCCTTGAGAGCTAGTAAATTTCCCATCATTGGAATTACACTTATTTAAAAAAAATGGCATCCATTTTTTTTGCAAAATCCATTGCAAAATCACTTTGCAAACTCCATTGCAAAAAAAAAAAAGTCTTTTTGAAAAATGAATGAGCAGCCTTCTGTTTGTATCTTTTGTAAACTGCTCACGTGGTTACTTGGCACAAAATGAAAGCAGACCTCCATATTCCAAGACCGACCCATTGAAAGGGAACCAAACGGCACATGTGATGAGTTTGAAGGGTCCTTGCGTGTGCTATTCAGTGAGCTTCTGCCATCCTCAGATCTGTGTGTCAGCCTCGCACTGATGCACGTCCCTTCCTGATTTTCTACTGTCAATCGTACTAAATGAAATAATCCATGGTCCATAGCATCCACTTTACAATTCAGTTTTACTCACCTAAGGAATATGTCTGCAATACCCCTATCTCTCAAGCACACTATCATCAGGTACTTTTTCAGAAGGGGAGGTGGCAAATTACTCCAAACTGCAAGAATTTCTATAAGTGCACTAACATTCCTTAGTTTTTCAAGGACATCTTTTTTTTTTTCTTTTAAGTTGTCATTTGAATTCAAACTCTTTGGAAAACATGCATAATAATCTTAATGATCCCATTGACTAGTTTAAATTCAAATTGTGAAGCATTTGAAATACCATGCTGACAGCACTTTCCATAAATTACTCTCAAATTCAATACATTTCTACACACAAACACACACACTTTTATAAGTATCACACTCAAAAATCTTCAAATTACAGTTTCTCTTTGCTTGTCCCATTTATATTGTTATTTGGTGGATAAACTAGAGCTGTTGTGTCTGCTTACAAATTTCTGTATTATTTTTCAAAAAAATAATTTAGTGGCAGTCACAAAGTTTTATATCTCCTCAGGGTAAATAGAACTTTGTTGCAGGGTTCCTGGCTTTGGTGTGAGTGTGTGTTTGTTTGTATGTGCACATGGGGTGGTTGGTAAATCAAGCCTGATTTTCTCATTTACCTAACAATTCACTCTGTACACTGGCATTTTTAGGAAATTTCCCCACTTACCTCCCTATTTACTACGTACACTAGCAATTTTAGGAAATGCTGCAAGACTGAACCAAAAAGATCATTTCTGCTAGAAAGACTGTTTACCTAGAATCTTTATAATGAGATCCTATCTACAGCAGGGTTGGATTAATTACACCTCCAGAATGTAATGGTTAAAGGAAAGAAGTATCTTTTAGACCTATGAGAGAAAAGACCCTATTTTCACTTTATTCCTAGTATCTTTGAGAAGTAAAATTAGTTCACAAAGCTTGCCAGTAAAATTTCAGCAACCAGGAACTGTATATAAATGAGCTGGGAAATATTCCATTTGTAATATATGACCAAAATAAAGCAATACAGAATGTAGGCATCCTGCAGCAGAATTCCAAGCTTGTGCAATTCACAAATTTAATCATAACTTCATATGAGAAAAAAATTTCTCCATTATTTTGAAAACATGGGTGTTCTTTGCTACTGAATTGTACCTGAAATTCATCTTCTTCCAGTGGAAAACAGTTGGAATATTTGATTCCACTTGAAACATCAATGAAATAGTAAAAATAAGATACTTGGAAATAAGGGGAATTTTTGAGGCTGATTAAAAACTATTTTGATGTGTTAACAGCCCTTATTTAAAGTTACAATTCACTCACTTCAGAAAGGGACAATCTATACAAGCACAACTCTCTAAATTGCAAATCGTAGTTGAGTATTAGCTGGCTAAAATAGAATATCATTACTGTTTTGAATAAGTTCGTATTTAGAAACTCTCTCACTAAAAAGATATCTATTTTACTTAAGAATGATTTCTAAAAGGCTAATTCAAATGTATAAATAAAAATCTGTTATACCCAAGGGCCAACAGAAAATCTCTCCAGTGTTCTGGATGTCAGAGAGAAAAAATCACCAGTATCATCATCAACAAATATTAACAGAACGCCAGTGGAGTGTGAGGACTGTGCAAGGAGCCTCGGGGGATGCAGAGAGACAAAAGACATGCCAAGACACTCATAATCTACGTGAAAAGACAGGACCCTGACATGCTTAGATAAACAGCAGCAAAATTAGCTCCTCAATCTTTTGCTACCCTGTCCATCCAATCTCCAAAGACAGTGCATAGACCCATTATGGCACTTAAAATAATTCCCATTTATCTGTTTGGCTTTCTATCTCATTCAAACAGTGAGTTTCCCAAATACTGATGATTCTCTCTTTTGCAATTTCATACCCCCAATGCCCACTACAATATTTGAAATACAGATGATGTTCAGTAAATATTGATTGGATGGATTTCAATGGACTGAAGGCGATTTAGGCAGGCAACTTAGACGCAGAGGTAAAAAAAAAAAAAAACCTAGATGCATAGTTAGAAAATGGATGTCAGAACCCTGTTTTAGTTTCTTGGCTATATGGGTTACCTTCTCTATGCCTCAGTTCTCTCATATCTAATCTAGAAATAACACTTGCCTTGTAGGATTGTTGTGAATATCAAATGAAAACAACTATAAAAGTATTCTGGGTACTTGCATTTAAGTATAAGGTATTATTATGCTAAATGATTGGTACAGGTGGTAAATGCTAAAGGATGTATAATTAACATAACTGGAAAACAGGTACATAATTAAGTGAAGTTGCTTAATACCATCTAATGGTAACTCAGGGAATTGGGAGTCGTTATTCTCTCCTGGAAATGTCTAATCATTCTCTTCCATGTGAATGTACCATAAATGTCAAATAATAAACTGACTGTTATGTGATTTAGGAAATTCACATGGCTCTTTTTTATCTATAAAACTACAGTCTTACAGGGCTTCAGTTGACTATCTGCAAAAAGAGGAGCTTGGGTTGGAGAATCTTCAGTTTCTTCCAGTTTAAATGGCATGAGAATTGACTTCCACTCAATTCTACCAGCCAAATGAACTCAAACTGTCCAGCAGTACTCAGTGCTTCTTTCATAGCTTTTAAGTATTCACCTTATCAGAATAGGACAGGCAGCACTAACACGGCTTTTCCATTGGCTGTGTTTTCTTGTGGCTTCAAAACAAAGGAATTTTGGCCTTTGTATTGAATTCCATTAAGATGCCATCAGAGGAAGACAATGAGTCTAAGACTATTTGATACTTTTGTGAAAAAGCCTGTTATCCTGAAGGTATTTTTTTACCTCTCCCAGCCCCAAATTTTCTGCAGAATAATGCACATATAATGAATGCTCAACAAATCTTTACTGAACAAGAGGCTGATTTCTTTTCCTTTGATCCTAGAAGCTATAATGGAATTCAACATAAAAAAATGTTGAGATATTGGAACTGTTCTCATTCATTCTTTCCCCCTTATCCATTCCTACTCTACTTTCAAGGCTTTGCTCAAATGCTGCATCCTCTGGGAGGTCTTTCTCGATGCCAGTCCCCTCCTCTCCCCACTGTAGGATGGGGCATGGCCTTTCCTCTGAGCTCTCACAACTGCCCGAATCTCTCACAGATAAGTTGGATTACTTTGCCTTGTGTTATATTTGTTCACATGTCTGATACTTCTCATTCACCTCAGGGCTCCACGAGAGCGTGAACAAGTCTCACACTGCGCTGTATTCCGCATAGCACGGAGCACAGTCTTTTGCACACAGAAGGTGCTCACTCAATGTCTCTTAAAACTGGCAAATAGTTCACTTTTCAGTTAAAAATATTCAATGGACATGTGTTTAAACACTCACTTTTCCCAAGGAAGTGGAGACAATCTTCTCCTCCCTTTCCTAAATTCCCCTTTATAGGAACTCAGAAATACCCTTGAGAAAAATCTGACAGCACAATTTCACAAAAACAATCTTCTTCATTTTCTTTTACTTTGAACTTAATTAATGGTTATGCTTAACCTGTCACTTCTTAATTACATTGGCAAGTTGGTGGGGTTTATCGATCTGTGCATGAGGAGTTAATTCCAGAAGAGACTTTGACAAAAAGCACTTTATGGAAGAACACATCGTTATTCCAGCAGCTTTGCTGGAGTAACCTGCAGACACTGCCCAGCCAGACTCAGGTCAGTTTGGCTTCCTGCCACTTGTGCCAATTTCCTAATGATCTAATAGGAATGTATAATAACCCTCTGAAAAAACAAGTCTTCCTCTCTTTTTCTCTTGTCTTCAAAATGAGATGACATCTAGCAGGTTAAATGTATCCTTAAAGGAAAATGCACCTGAACTGTACGAGGTCTTAAACACTCATCAGGCCCTACTGAATGTCTAGCAAAATTGTTTAAAGCCAACACAGTGCTCAATAAACCTCTGTTAAATAACTAAGCATGGGCCGGGTGTGGTGGCTCACACCTGTAATCCCAGCACCTTGGGAGGCTGAAGCAGGTGGATCACGAGGTCAGGAGATCCAGACCATCCGGGCCAACATGGTGAAACCCCGTCTGTACTAAAAATACAAAAATTAGCTGGGCGTGGTGGCACATGCCTGCAGTCCCAGCTACTGAGAAGGCTGAGGCAGGAGAATCGCTTGAATCTGGGAGGTGGAGGCTGCAGTGAGCCAAGATTGTGCCACTACACTTCAGCCTGGGCAACAGAGTGAGACTCTGTCTAAAAAAAAAAAAAAAACACTAAGCATGTAGTTTCTATATAACTAGAAGCATAGGATATTCTGATCTGCAATCCATCAATCAGTGCCAATTATGCACTTACAGATCTATAGTCAAAAGGCCTAATTTATTGCTATGGACTAAATTGAGTCCCTTTATAAATTTATATGTTGAAGCCTTAACCCCAAAGTGATAGTATGTGTATATGGGGCCTTTGAGAAGTGATTAAGCCTAGATGAGGTCATAAGGATGGAGCCCTCATGATGGTACTAGTGACCTTATAAGAAAAGACACTTAGTGGGCTTGCTCCCTCCCCACACACACCATGTAAGGACACAGTGAGAGGGTGGCTATCTACAAGTCAGGAAGACAGTCCTCAGCAGAATCCTACAGTGCTAACACCCTGATCTCGGACTTCCATTCTCAATCTATAAGAAAATAAATCTCTGTTATTTAAGGCACTCAGTCCTTGTATTTTTGTTATGGTGATCCAGACTGTATAATACATTCATTTTTTAAAAAATGTACTAAATACTCCCCAAAGTGAGAGGTATTGCTTTGGGTGCTATTTTCAGAAATGTGGAGTAAGATTTGGAGGTGGATAGGGAAAAAAAGACACAAAGAACAACAGGAAAAAAAAAATGAGTTTGCTCCTAAGGAGCTCATAGTCTATGTATTTGGGGGTAAGATTACCTACCAATATAAAGCAGAAGTGGTAAACGGTTAAAACAAAGGCAAAAGATTAAACCAAGACATAGATGAAAGTTCTGTAAGTACAGTAGGAAGTGCTTGTCTTCAGTTGGAAGGGTATAGGCAAGGAATCTCAAAACAGGTGTAACCAAACTGGGCAGACCAGAGAGCTGTAACAATGAGACTTGCCGACATTAAAAAGAAAAAAAAAAGTCCTATCTGATGACAGGACATCTGTTAGCATAAATTTATTTAAGTGCAAGGTAGAAGCTAAGATTCAG
The DNA here is from genome assembly GCF_000001405.40 of Homo sapiens. NCBI lineage: Eukaryota > Metazoa > Chordata > Mammalia > Primates > Hominidae > Homo > Homo sapiens. The sequence goes on along the minus strand of NC_000003.12, from coordinate 188,774,103 downwards.
AGTCCAGGAGCTCAAAGTTCTATTTTAATCCTACACAAATTCCTTATTTTCCAAACCCCCTGGTTTTCTAAGCTTTGATTTTGTTACATTGTAAAAGGGAATAATATCAGTCTCCACTTGTCTGTTGGGGGTGAAAAATGAATGACTATGAGGTACTAGGAGAAAGTGAGATCTACCGAATGACACATTGGGACAGGTCTCTTCCTCCATGAAGACCTTCTTTTTGGATTCCTCCTTTTGCCCCCAAATCCTCCTATGCCCCCTTCCACTAGTTCTTTCCTGAGGCCCCAACACATTTAGCGCGTTCCATTTTGTGGAGAAACTACGTGTACATGTGTTATGCTAAACAAACAGGATTTATTCAGATTATTTGCTTAAACTAGCATAAAATTATAGACATTCATTTTTAAAGGAATATATTTTAGAAGATTCAATTTTATTTTTACTAACACGTCCCATGAGCTTTATTAATATAAATTGCATCAAATATCTTTTAACATTATTAAAGAGTGTGTAAAGTAAAAATAACTTCTGAGGAAGATGTTTAATATCTTTTCCAAAATGACAGATATAATTAAAAAGTCATCACAGATGTGTGTTTGTGATTTTAAGGTTGCTTAAATAGTCCTCAGTGCAGCCATCCAATTGCAATATCCCAAGCAAGGCATTCCTCGCTCTTGTCTTATTTCCCCATACTATAAATGTAGGAGACTGAATTAAAAAAATTTATATATATATATATTCTTTGAAGACCTACATAATACCAGGCCCTTGTCCTTGTGAAGTATTCAAAAAAAGCACCTGTCTTGCTATAATGATGATGTCAGCCTTGGCTGGCATCCCCTTACTCTGCAGGGACAAGAGCAAAAAAAAGATCCAGGGAGTAGACTTTATTTATTCATTTACTTATTTTAAGTAAGCCCTGGCTGTGGGAAGGAATTACCGTGTCCCATTCAAAGTCATTGGAATATCAGAGAACTTCCACTCAAACTCCTTGGCAATTTTCATGGGTGAGTCAGTGTGTTTGACCTTGAGTGTAGTAGCTCTTATGATCATTCTACGGCTGGAAGCTAGACAGCTGGCTTCACTCTCACATCTTTCCCTTCAATCTTTGATATTTACATTTCAGCAATGACTCTGTTCATAGTCTCTCAGAGCCAAGTTCTCCTCCTTCCTTCTTATACATACATAGTCTCAGGTCCTAGGTGCACGAAGGGGCAAGCAAAGGGTATGTGAGTCAATGACTGTGGGGAGACATAGTGCTAGAGTGACACAGGCTCCCCCCAAATCCCCCTCACTATCAGAGCAGCAATAGGTTCACCTATTATGATAAGCACTACAGAAAAGACAAAGACGAATTAAAGGTGACCTCCCTGCAGTCAGGAGATCGAGATCATCCTGGCTAACACGGTGAAACCCCGTCTCTACTAAAAATACAAAAATTAGCTGGGCTTGGTGGCGGGCACCTGTAGTCCCAGCTACTCGGGAGGCCGAGGCAGGAGAATGGCGCGAACCCAGGAGGCAGAGGTTGCAGTGAGCCAAGATGGCGCCACTGCACTCCAGCCTGGGCTACAGAGTGAGACTCTGTCTCAAAAAAAAGAAAAGAAAAGAAAAGAAAAAAGGGTGACCTCCCCGCACCCCGCACAGTCTTCAAGGGGTTCCTGTCAGTACTGGAGTGTGTCAAGGATGCCAGTGACTTGATAATACCAGTTGTGGTGAGGATCAATCCTATGAGAGATGTGGAAATGAAAACCTTGCATGTTCAGAAATGGTTACATCTAGTTGGTTAAGTTCCAGGAAAGCATTTTAAGGCTGGAGATCGGAAAAGGCAGAAGGTAGGCAACCAATGGCATGGGAATAGACAGAGAAACCTCCATATCAATGTCCAGGAGAAGAGTCCTCACCTTGGGCAAGTGTTGTAAAAAGAATGTGTAGGAGAGCTGATGGGAGATAAGAATGCAAACATATTTTGGGACCAATTTTTGCATGAGCTTGACTGGAAGTACAGACTAGTGGATTTCAAACTTGACTGTGCATAAAAATTTACCTCCCAACTCCCTGCTGTCCCAGGAGCCTTGCAAAAGATGCAAAGTTCCTGTCTCCTTGTGCAGAAATTCTGGGGAGGAGTCCAGAACTTTACTTTTTAATGAGGAGTTCACAGTGATTACAAAGCAGGTGACCGCTGACACATTTTGAGAAAACCGAGCTCCTAGTCTCATGACTTGCCATCTCTCAGACTCCACAAGTTCTCAAACCAAGTGGGTATGCAAGTAATATTCCAGAGCCTGAAATGCTGACTTACAGTTGTCCTTTGGTGATTCAAGTTAGGCAAAATTCTCTCTTGCAGATTTGTTATGTGTCTAACTGGGGCTAAGCCCTGGTACAGTTATTTACGACTCAAAGCCCCCACACTGATTTTTGTTCAGTCCTGTCCTCTCCGAATCCTCATTTCACCCTATAACCATGTGAGCTAAGAAACAGTACTTTCATTCAAGTGCCTCTTTCTTTCTTTCTTTCTCCCTTTCTTTCTTTCTTTCTTTTTTTTTTTTTTTTTGAGATGGAGTCTCACTCTGTCGCCCAGGCTGGAGTGCAGTGGCACAAATCCCAGCTCACTGCAACCTCTGCCTCCTGGGTTCAAGTGATTCTCCTGCCTCAGCCTCCCGAGTAGCTGGGATTACAGGCTTGTGCCACCACATTCAGCTAATTTTTGTATTTTTAGTAGAGATGGAGTTTCACTATGTTAGCCAGTCTGGTCTCGAACTCCTGACCTCAAGTGATCTGTGCACCTCGGCCTCCCAACGTGCTGGGATTACAGGCGTGAGCTACTGTGCCCGGCCTCTTTTTTCTTTTTAAATTTTTTTTGATAAGATCACAAATGAATTCATTCCTTTTATGAATTATTAGTGACTTTTACAATATTATTGGTGAATTCTACAATGTTATAATATATAATGTGAATTGTACAATATTATAGAATTAGTGAATTCTACAATATAATAGAATTAATGAATTCTACAGTATAATAGTGAATTCTAACAATATTATAATAGATAGTACAAATGAATGCAGATCCATCTGGGCAAAAATAAACTACAAAGAAGGGAAAGATGTAACAGTCATTGCCTGCATGGGACAATCCTGGAGCTGAGCACGCTAATGTTTTCAAACTGTTTTACAAAGTCAGATGTGAGAACATATAACAAACTGGTTTGCTCTTATTGTTTGTTTTCATTCTAAGTGTGAGGAAACTGAAGCTAAAAGTAAAGGGAAGAATGCAGAATAGCAGCTGGCTGAGTGTGAACCAGGTCTCACTTTAAATTCTATATTCTTTCCTTAAAATCATTTACTGCCTCATACCAACCCCACTACGTAAAAGACTCTCATATCTAGAATCTTTGAATTTATTTTCAGGTTTACTTTTAAGATTAACTTTATGGCCTGATCACACGGACACACACTCTCTTCTCTGCCACTGTCCATTTTCTTCTAATAGAGAATATTAGGTTACAAACATTTATTTCTCCTGAGAATGAAGAGTAGTTTAGGAGACCGTACTAATATGGAGTCCACGCTACAGCTGGGTAATTATCATTCCTTTATCCATTAAGAATTATGGCCAGTGCAGTGGCTCACCCCTGTAATCCCAGCACTTTGGGAGGCCAAGGCAGGCGGATCATGAGGTCAGGAGATCAAGACCATCCTGGCTAACACGGTGAAACCCATCTCTACTAAAAATACAAAAAAAAAAAAAAAAAAAAATAGCTGGGCGTGGTGGCGGGTGCTTGTAGTCCCAACTACTCGGGAGGCTGAGGCAGGAGAATGGCGTGAACCCGGCAGGTGGAGCTTGCGGTGAGCCGAGATTGCACCACTGCACTCCAGCCTGGGTGACAGAGCAAGACCCCGTCTCGGAAAAAAAAAAAAAAAAAAAAAAAAAAGAATTATAACTATGAAAGAAAATGAGGAATAGGCTCCTTTCCTATTTTCTTTCTGTCCTTTTATCTCTAAAGGAGGAAGTTTACTGAACCACTGCCAACAATTCACTCAGCCTAATGAAGTGTATAACTAATGGGATTAAATAATCTTAAACCATTATTACAGTAGCCTGATGCTGACATTCATCCAAACTCTGGCAAACATTGAGTGGTGAGTTCATGCTTGACTTAAACAAACTAGGGCAGTGGGAAGGTTCTAGAATAAAGTTTCAGAGGCATTTAACCTGGAAATCTGAGACCCTTCATTCTGGTTAGGGTGAAAGCAAACGCTGTCCTATTTCTACACTCTCCAACCAAAATCTTACTAATCTCAGCATTTTCTAGGGATGTCTCTCTGGACCTGTAGCCACAAATGTTTAAACCCTTCATGTCGGTCCCAAAGAAAGTAGTTCTTTGAAGGCCTCATGAAGACTCATGGTTTCTAGTCCCACCTCTGCCGTTAATAAATCGTATAACCTCAGGCAAAACACTCAGCTTTCTTGGGATTTAGCTTTCTCAGCTATAAAATGGCATTATTGAATTTCTAAGGTTCCTGCTGGACTTTAAAAAGCATTCTAATTCTATGACAACAGCAGTTAATACGGTTTGCAACAGGAACTGGGAAGAAAGGGTTATGTTCAGCTAGGCCTCTTTGTTGTTCTGGGCAATCCACTTACAGGTCTGTGCCTCTCTTTCCTTACCAAGTAAGGGCTGCCTTGGAACGTGCAAGGATGTGGTGAGCAGTAACTAAGATGAGCAGAGGGCTGGGGGATATTTGGTTGAAAGGGCTAAATAAATACCACTAGCAAAGGAGAGTGTAGTAACTATTCATTCCCCCACTGAAAACATTGTTGTATAATAAAGGGTGATAATACGAATGTCTATTAAAGTGAGAGAGGCTTTCCAAAGCACATTCAATCCCCAAAATACCCTTTTTGCTCATGAGTTAATTATTCATGCAAAACTTTTTTAGCATTCCTCACTTAGATCATTTATACGTTTTAAAGTTTTACCTAGATATTTTATATTTTTTATTGCTTCTGTATGAGGACACTTTTCTGTTATATATTCTAAACCTAAAATTGTCATTTTTATATTGTCAGCTTACTAAACTTTCATTATTCCAATATTTAAAATTTTTCAGGTTCTCTAGAAGAATAATCAATCATTTGTAAATGACTATATGTACATACAGTCTTAAGATGTTGAGTGGAAAAGTCTCCCACTAATACAAATAATAGAATGCCATTTATTTAAAATTAAGAAACACTATGTGCTAACAACACTACATATTGTTTAAAGAAATGCATAAAATGATAAAAAACAAATTTAGAATAGTGGCTCTCTCTGGGGGAACATGATCATGGAATAGAACCCAAGGGATTTCTACTGAATTTTTAATGTTTTATTTCTTAAATTGGATAACAGGTACATGGACCTTTGTCATTATGCTTCATATCTTTATATATGTTAGAAATGTTGCATAATAAATCGAAATATGTAAATACTACTTAGAGCTTATTTTGCATTGCCATTGTTTTTGTTTTTAAATATGAATGCATGAAAAATTTTATTAAATGCCCTTTTAATGAAAAGCATCTATGGAGATTACTAGTTTTTCTAAAATTTTGATATATCAATATAGCAAATTATGCTAAAAGATTCCTAATTGTTCTAGCACTGAATATGGAATAACTGGAATGTTTTATTATGTGGTATTCAATTTGCTAATATTTCACTTAGGATTTCTGCATTTATGAAAGTTAGATTATCACAGAATTGTCTTCTGGGGGTAACCTAGGTTAGGTATTATTATTGGGAGCACGCTAGCTTTATAAAATGATTTGGTAAGCATCTCGTTTTTTGCTAGGCTCTTAAAGTTGAAATAGCACAGAAATCATTTGTTCTTTGGAGATCTGAAAACTTTGATTAGTGAAATTTTCTGGCTCTTTTGCAAGTAGTAGCTTCACATTCCATCTGTCTTTACGAGTTTATTCAAGTTTCTTTCACCTGTACTTTAGATTTGCATAGAACATAGTCTCTCATATAAAATTTTAAGTGCAATAATTTTAAAATGTCATCTGTATCTATGCTGAGTGTCTTTTTCATTCCTAATTTTCTGTAGTTTTTGTTTCTTTCTTGGTTATCTTAACCAAATGTTTATTTCACTGCTCTTTTCAAAAAATCATCCCCAGATCTAAACATTGCAGTATTTTTCAACTTATCAACAATGTTTTATTTTAATGGATTTCTTTAAGGTTGATTTTCTTGTCTGTTCTAGTTTTTTAAGTTAATACATATGCACTGTTTCCTGTTGCAATTAATGAGACTAGTATTACTTGGCATACTATGTCGGCTCCATCCCGTTCTCATTGCTATGCAGTGTTAGCATCATCACTACTTTCTAAGATTCCTTAACCCAAGAGTGCGCTTATGTATTTATTCATTTCTTGTTCTACTATATGGCTACATGTAATTCTGCCAGCCACAGTAGGAACTGTCTACAATTTCCTATTAGACTTTGATATGATAAATGTTTTTCTAAATCTCCCATGCAGATTTAGACAGAAGATAGAAACTCTTTGTTTGCATAGATCAGTGTATGTGGATTAAATTAACGTTATCAATCATATTATTTAACTCCTTTTTATGATTTATCAAAGACTAAAAGCAATGTGTTAAGGTTTTATAAAGAATATGTTTTCACCCTTCTTATCTCTTACTTCAGTATTTTTAAATTATACATTTCAATATAATGATATTTAATGAAGGAAAGCTCAGGGCTATTCTTCATGGGGAACTGTGACATTTATCAAAAAGTAATGTTCTTCAGACTGCTTGATACCTTTGTACTGAATGGTACTTTTCTTCTATGAATATTGTAGTTAGTAGGTAATTAATATTATCTTATTTTGGTCTGAGTTTACTACTACATCTTTGCCCCTTTATTTTTTTACCAGTAGTTTTATTACTTCATTGCTTTTCACCATTTTATTTGCTATGCATCTCTTGTGCATATTATTTTGATTACTTTATTTGCCTTTTGGAAAATATCCTTGAATCAACCTTCAGAAAGCATATGTAGGTGACATATATTCTTTTTCAGTGGTTCAAGAATATTTAAAACGGACTGTATAGAAGGCAAAGTTTGATATACTGTTATGTAACAAAAGCAAGGTACTAACCAATAGTTAAGGTATGATCTCATTGTGTGTGTGTGTATGTAACCACATGTATACAGATGTGTGGTTACATTTGTATACATCCTTCCATACCCACAGGTAAACATAACAGAAAAGAAGTGCATGACAAAATGTGAACTATTATACTGAGATGAGAGAATTACATACCTTTCTTCTTCTATTTGCTAATTTTTCTCTAATGGGCGTACATTAATGAAAAACTTAGGATTTTAAAAAAGAATTACCATCATGGGAAAAAGGTAACCTAGCAACAGCAAATGGGATTTCCAGTGTTTTCTGTTAGATGTAGAGATAGCCGGCCTTGGGAATCAGAGGCCCAGGGTCAAGTATTAGCTCTGACACTCATACTCTATGGAACTAAGCAAGCTGACACTTTCTAAGATTCAGTTTCTTGCCACTGGAAATGAAGGCAAAAATAACTGTAACTATTTTCTAGGATCATTAATTAGAGGGTAATATGATAAAAGAAAAGTGCTTCATAAAAGTTAAAGCACTGAGCAAATGTTAATGTCAATGTCAGTTGTTATAAATATTTTTAACCTTTTTTTTTTGCTTTTTAAGGCCTCAAATGCTCAAGAAAATACAAGGGCTTATGGTTTTTCATCAGTAGAAGTTTAGCATTTCAGGTTCTGTGATACTGGAAAGCATGAGTCAGGTGGTTATCAATTAAAATTTTCTGGGAAAAGGCTATAATTATACCTGATTTTAAATCTGAGTAGTTGGGGGCTTTTAGGATCTTCACGTAGAAAATTTAACATGGGCTGGGTGTGATGGCTCATGCCTGTAATCCAAGCACTTTGGGAGGCCAAGGCAGTGGATAACCTGAGGTCAGGAGTTTGAGACCAGCCTGGCCAACATGGTTAAACCCCGTCTCTATGAAAAAATAAAAAAATTAGCCGGGCGTGGTGGTGGGCGCCTGTAATCCCAGCTACTCAGGAGGCTAAGGCAGGAGAATTGCTTGAATCCGGGAGGTGGAGATTGCAGTGAGCCAAGATCATACCACTGCACTCCAGCCTGGGCGACAGAGAGAGACCCTGTCTCCAAAAAAAAAAAAAAAAAAAAAAAAAAGAGTTGAACATTAAGTTGCACGTTGCACGTGGTGGTGCAAGCCTGTAGTCCTAGCTACTTGCGAGGCTGAGGCAGGAAGATCATTTTATCCCAGGAGTTTGAGTTCAGCCTGGGCAACAACAGCAAGACCACATCTCAAAAAAGAAAAAAAAAATTAGTTGCTGAATGTTAGCACGGATGTTAGTATGGGCCAAGCAATAAAGTGTAAATTATAAAAGTTATTCATAGTCTTTGTTTTGTCATTTACTTTGAAAACATCCGAGCCACATTTGTAAAATGAGACTAATAATCTCCCCATGATCTATTTCACAAGGCTCTACTAGGTATGACAGCATGCAACAACAGATGCTCGGTAGCATTATAAAATGTAAGGGGCTGTATGAATGGAAGAGATAACTATTCCCAGTGGGTAACATGCTTAACTTCCCAAGAGAGTGCTTGACAAATTTTTCTCTTTCTTGAACCATTTTTCTCCTTCCTAGGAGAGTTCTGGTGAAATGATGATGTAACAGCAAGAAGAAAGTGTGTGTGTGTGTGTGTGTGTGTGTGTGTGTGTGTGTGTGTTGTGTGAGACAGAAAGAGAGACAAGAGGCACAGACAAACACTCCTTGGAGGTGAGAGAGCAGACGTAGGCAATTAGAAAAAAAGGAAGAAAGTTCATGTGGATTTTTCAGGTTTAGTCCAAACTCTTGCTTCCTTTTCCAACATCCACATAAAGCACTGGCCATAAGTGCTTTTAAAACATTTTATTAAGAAGAATTGAGTATATAAAAGAACAGCTTTCCTGCAGAGGTACAAAACTACCTCTTAATGTAGGCTGACAAGTTAGAATGTTTTAACTGTAGCCATTTGATGACATAAGGGAGCAAAAGGCTGCTAGTGTGTTGGTCACTAATGCGCCAAGTTTCAGGTACCTTAAAGTGTTTAGCCTCCTGTGGAGTTGGCCTCCTATTTCCAGAGGCCCTTTAGTCATTTGGATTTCAACTCTAGTAAAAATGTCTGTACCACCTTCTGCTGTCAGAGAGTTAGGACCTGGAGTCCATCCACTGGGAATAAAAGCACTGGTTTGGGGGAGGATCCTTGGCTGCCACTTCATAAATAGACTTTTGCTGAGAATTTCTGATGCACTCTGTCCCTAGGCCCAGACTCCTTGGTAATGCTAGGAATAAAACAGCAATTCTTTTTCTAAAACTATACTTATGAGTAAGGCTGTCTCTTTATGTGCAGAAGGGTACATAAGCAGGAGGCACTGTTGCTGCCCTTCATATTCATACCAACATAAAAATCTTCTTAAGCAAAGCATGAACCTCCGCTTTTAATATGTGTCCTTATATTCCTTCCATGACATTTATTTATTTCAGTATTTCCATAGCAACTACAGCCAAGAAATTGCCCCAGATTTAGAGGGTTTCTATAGTGTATCACATTATACTAAAGGGGAAAAAAAAAGCAATGATAAAAATTCTGTTAATCAGATTAAGCACTTATATTAGTAAATAATTTCATGTATACAAAATATCACAACTGCTTATTCCTTATCTGTGAAGACATGGGAGAAATTAATATCTCCCTTTAGTAAATGAGGACACTGATACTCAGAAGCTAAATGATTTACCCAAGGTCACACCAGGAGAGCTAGAATTAGGATAAATACATTCTATTTATATCACTTCCTAACAAAGTTTTAGTGATCTTTACTTTAATCTGTTTACATATTCAAATCTATAAGAATAACCAAAACTAGGCTTTCAAGAGACATATCACCAAAGAAGAAAAGCATCTCATTGATTTTGCTAATAATTACACAAACTTAAAATAACTAAGACATAATGTGCTTATTAAATTAGTTCAGAAAATATAAATAAACTTCTGCCATAGGGGATAGTTTGCATTTTAACATATAGTTTCATTATTGTTGATGGTTCTGTAAATTAGAAAAATATTTCTAAAGAAATCTAGCAAGGTAATGCAAAAGTCCTCCAGATTAAATTTGATTTGGTAATATAAATCAAAGAATTTATGCTAAGGATGTAATTCAAAATAAAAAATAAAATTTTTATTAACTATCTATAGGCATGTTATTTACAATTCTAAAAGATTGCAAAACACACAATACATTTTGACTGGCAAATGGTTTTAAAATGAAGTGTGTAATCTAAATGTAAAACTAAACAGATAAAAATCTAAAAATGAATACTAACAATGCAAAACTATATGAACATTTGTATTATGTTAATAAATAAAAAATAGAAAACAAAATATGTAAAATGATTAAAGAGAATTACAATGCTATACTGAATCAAACTGTTTAATCATAACTACTTAAGCACAAAGATTAAGAACAAACTCAATAAACCACAGGAAAATATTAAAAATCATTGAACCAAAGCTGCAGACATTACTGGTGCATTTTCCCTCAAAATCATGTAAATTTTTAATTTTAATAGGATCTTAAGTTGATCAACAACCAATTTAGGCAGAAGTAAATTTAATTTACATTAGACTGGTCTCATTCCTGAACTCAGAGTATCAAACATGCTGGTCCTTATACAAAAATAATTAAGCCACTATCTTGAATATTCTCATTCCATCAATTAAAAAAAAAAAAAAGACAGGCACACTGACTGATGGCCAAGGGCTAGGTTTGCTCTGGTTTGTATGGAATACCTTTTAGACATCAGTTTTCAACAGTGTAACCAAAGGCAATTTTGCTGGATCACACAGAATATGCTTCCTGTTCTAAGGCTTTTGGTTCCAAGAGAGACGCATAGTTCTAGGATTCTCCTTAATGCAAACTATCTTCAAAGCCAACTTGTTTTATTTCATTTGCCCAATTTCCTCAACCTCCTTACACTTCTAGTATGCAGCTTATTGGACATATAAAAGTTCAGAAGAAATTAAAGTTCTGATACATCCATCTGAGGGCTTGAGGACTGTGCTGAACTCGAATCAATATTGAACAAGGGTCTTTGGTAAAGCTTAACTGAATTCTGATAAGAATTAAATTACATTTTAGAGTCACCACGAATAGATCTCATTAAAGAAAAACCTTGATTAAATGTTCTTATGAGGGAAAGAAGTAAAAAAAAAAAAATGGTTAGAATTTCCATTATTTGAATTCACCCAGTTCTTCCAAGTACGCGATTAAATATCTCCCGGATAGTTTTCCTTCTCATAAGCATAGTATAGTAACAACAAACCAAAGAAGAAGGGGCTGGCATCCTACAGAATCACAGAGACCCATACTATGCCTGGAATGGAGATAGAAACTTGAGCCCACACACTGTAGAAACCTATTATTTAATCAGATTAGACCTTCTCCAGTTTTGTTACGCACTCAGAAAAGCAAGCAAACATGTAAAAATGCGAGGAGTATGTCTGAAAGGTTATAATAATTTCCTAAAGCCCAGTGAATTTCACTGCACATGTAAGGTTCCCACATTCAGAAATATTAAACAGTTTCAGAAACATCATTAAAGTTAATCCCAGAATAACATTTATTCCACTACTTTTCCTGAAGAGGCCCAGTGTGCTTTACTAGGATTGTCTCATTTCTTCTTCATGGAAAATAACTGCCATCGTCCCCATTATATAGATGAGGCAACTGATACTTAGAAAGAGTAAATAATTTTCCCAAGGAGGGGAGGCACTAAGTGACGTAACGAAATTCAAATTCATGTTCTTCCCACCCTGTTACACTGTTTCCCAATACTGTCTATATGATTTCAAGCTAACAAGGGTTGAAACAAAACAACTGAAGAAGGCTGCTGCCACAGTAGCATCATTAAAGTAGCAAAAATCAACTATGGAGTCAAAAAGGGATAAAAAATAGACAGGAGCTATAAAAAAACACAGCAGTATGTGTTTACTTGGTGTAAGGACAACCCTGGGTGCCTCTACACACTCTGCCAACATCACTACCTTAGGGCTCGTGGCAATAAATAATTTCATAAACGTGGTGCCAAGCCATTGTGAATGACACCCGGTTTAGTCTGTTTAAAAAGGCAAGGAATTATGTAATGCCTTTCTTTTTTCAATAAAGATTTCAAAGATATTTGAAATATTCTTATATTCTAAAGAGGTAAGCTTTTGTTTACTAGACTTTCGCTTATGCATAATTGCTCCTTCCAGATCAACAGTACATTACTTTGTTTATCTTTATGTTTAGGAAAATGAAAACCATGTAGCATCTGCAAAGAATCTAAGACTGTGGAGCGTGAATAACGGAATGCAGCCTTGGTTCTGACACTAATGATAGGTCATACGAAGTCGCTTTCCTCTTCTGTATGTCTTGGCATTCTCATTGCTAAAGAGAGTAATTACGCAAATGATTTTAAGATTTTTTTTCCAACTCTACCACTGTATGGCTCTACATGTGTTTAAGCTACCTTTGGAAAGAAATGATGTTACATGTATTAAGTTACCTTTGGAAAGAAAACGAAATAAAATTGAACCTAAGACAGATGCAAAGCCATATTTAATCCTACGAAGCCTTAATCTTGATGAACTTTCAGATCTGTGCTACAGACCCCAAGGTTACAATGGGTTAGAGCTGCCAAGTTATAGGAAAATACCAACCAGGCCAAAAACGTCTTCAATAAATGTGAACCTTGTAAAGCCAAGTATGACTCCCAATACCTTGGTAAAGAAACCAAGGTGTCTTTTATGTTGAAATCTCTGGGCACTGAGGGACAAACCATGACTGTTTTGTGGGTTTACATAACAAACAAACAAAAAACACTACTTTTCCCATCAACATGTGTTAAACAAAGATTAAAATCATGCTGAAGGATAGCAAAGAAATTTACAATAGATGAAAAAAGTCTGTGTTCATTCATCAAATTACTCTACCAGAGAATAGTTTAACAGGTAGATTAAGTAAGTAGCATTGTAAAACGCTAAGGTAACATGACTGAGAATTTTTTAGTTACCCAGGTATATTATTAAAATATAGTTTTTGTGTTCTGTAATAAAAGAAAACAATGATTAGCTCAGTCAGCATTACTGTTCATTTCTCTTTAAGGTGCTTTATAATAAACAGTTCCCCTGTTTGCATCATTAAAAACCTGTTGGATAAGAGGGGGAAGAAACATTTTGGTAGATAAAAATGGACTCAAAGGGCCCAGTATTCTGGAAGAGGACTGACAAGTCCAGAGATTCTGTAAAGTTTCCTTGAAACTACTGGGCACTTCAAATGTAGGGTGAGATCTTATAAGAGGTGTGACTCAGCTACTTGGAAAGCTTTCTGATGCTTTAAGAAAGAAAATTTTAGCTTGTACATACATGCTAGAAAGCCACAGGCTGATGATCTTCCCAGCAGACCACTAACTGAATGGCAGTCCCATGCTAATACACCTTTCTGACTGCTTATGAATGGGGGATGTGTAGAAAAAAATTACAATATGCTAATTTACATGCGCGCACGCACACACACACACACACACACACACACCCCACACACACATTTTGAAGTCTAGGAAGAAGCAAAGATCTGATGGCTATATTCTATCTAGAGTGACTGGCATTCAGCCACAGAAGACATCTTTGCAAAGTGCTTGAGGAACAAATCTGGAACTTACAATGTAGCAGGGCTCGCAGTATGCTTTCTTTTCCACAGCATAGAATGGCTGCCCTCGGAGCTTGTTGTTGCAGATGATGCAGGTAAAACAATCCACGTGGAAGACCTGATCCATGGCAGTGCATCCTGTACCTTCCCCAACTACGTTTTCTCCACAGCGAGCACAGCGGCCTGGAAAAAAAAGGGTTTGATAAGAACACACCAAGGAGTACTTCAGTCCTGCTAAAGCCAAAGTGGAGGAGAAAGCAGGTTCATAACGTCAGCAGCAATAGAACCACCACTCCTGCCGTCATTACCCCAGTACTATTACCCCATTACCCCAGCAAGATCACCAGTACAGCCACCCCTATCCTCTGCAAGATTGGCATGGAGGGGATTTTACATTAATCGGTTGAGGGGATTGAGTCTCATAGTCTAAGTTCTTGCAGAAAGGAACAGTAGAACCCGGTCGCTGGCTTTGAGGTCAGTGCTCTGACTCTCATCTCACATGCAAGTATAAAAGGAACATGACTCAGGATGTTTGGAGTGGAAGGCAAAATCTATAAAACAGTACAGAAGAGTCTTTCTTCTTGGAGATTCTACACATCCAGTTAGAATGTAAGATAATTGGGTCCAAACTCAAATTTTAGTTCCTTTTACAAAAGCCCTGATTGTAAAACCTCTGCAGCCAGCTCTCAGTGACAGGCAGATCCCAAGGCAGTCCTTTAATTTCTAGATCGCTTTGATGGCTAAAAGGTTCTTTCTCCTACTGAGCCATAGTGCTTCCTCATTCTAACTGCTTACCCCATGGTTCTAGTTCTGTCTTCTGAGACCTTATCTCTCTCTTGGACTTGACATCCTTTAATACATCAAAATTCAGTAAGCATTGCTTCCAAGTCTGTTATTCCTTTGAACATCCACACATCCTGCAATAGTTTCATATACTGTAGGGTTTTGAGTCTTTCAGGGCCACGGTTCTCGTTGTTCATGCAGTATTCTGCGAAGCTCCAGCATTCTTAAATTGATTAATGTGGCATCTGGCCTACATATGGACATCAGGTTTCAGTTTTTAAAATTTGCAGTAAGCTTTAAATAATAACAATAAAATATAAATTCAGACAAATAGTTATGTCAGTGAGAGGCATTATGCTGGTTGCCATCCATATCTCTATGTGGCTCCATCATGGGAATCTTGAGCTAGACGTCACGTCCACATCTAGTTTCCCTTCTTAGTCTTTGTTTCTACTAAGTTAAAAAAAATTCTATCTAATAATTATAGAACACTGGGAATGTTAGCCAGAAGCTGTAGGCTTTGATAGATAAGGTATAGCAAATGTAGTGCTTCACATATGTCAGACTTTTTCTAGGGGCTTTAGATATATTAACTCATTTCATATTCACAAC
Source organism: Homo sapiens (assembly GCF_000001405.40). Lineage (NCBI taxonomy): Eukaryota > Metazoa > Chordata > Mammalia > Primates > Hominidae > Homo > Homo sapiens. The sequence continues at coordinate 188,758,900 of NC_000003.12, read as the reverse complement.
AGTCTATATGCAGGTACTGTTATTATGCCTATTTCACAGATGAGGAAACTGAGTCACACAAATGGTTAACTAAATTCCAGCCTAAGCAGTCTAACTTCAGCATCTGTGCTCTTAAACACTATGCTATATTACCTATTCCCAGTTCTGTGCATCAGGATTAACATGGATCTGATGTTAGGGAGCATTATGGAGAGACTTCTCACTGAAGACGGCTTTCAGCACTCCATCACATTGGATTGACAGCCATTTCACACTCAAACATGGGAGGGCTAGATGTTTCAACGTGAGAGAAAAAAAGGTAAATTTATTTCTAATCCTCTCCAGTTGTATTTGGCCCTGAAAAGTATTTCTTTATATCCTGTTGTGGGATTTGAATGTGACTTTAAATATAACCCAAAGTATACATCTTAGTTTTTTTCCTAAGGAATAAGAAATATGAAGGCTGGGTGCAGTGGCTCATGTCTTCAATCCCAGCACTTTGGGAGGCCGAGGTGGGTGGATCACCTGAGGTCAGGAGTTCAAGACCAGCCTGGTCAACATGGTGAAACCCCATCTCTATGAAAAATACAAAAAATAGCTGGGCGTGGTGGTGTGTGCCTGTAACCACAGCTACTCAGGAGGCTGAGGCAGGAGAATCGCTTGAACCCGGGAGGCAGAGGTTGCAGTGAGCTGAGATGGCGCCACTGCACTCCAGCTGGGTGACAGAGCGAGACTTCATCTCAAACCAAAAAGAAATATGAAGTGCTGGAAAAAGAGTTAAAGTATTGGAAACTAAGCTGTCACCACTACAGTTGATATCATTATAAAGTCTTGATACCACAGTCTTGACATTTGATGAAAAAATTTTGTATAGTATTTGTTTGTGGCAGACTTCAAAAGTTTTTATCCAAGACTGAACTTGTACCTGTTTTTATTATGAGATAACATTTTGGACTTTCCTGCCAACAGTAACAAAACTATTTCATATGGCACTATTTTTGAAATTATTCTGAAAAAAAAAAAAAAAAAAAACCAAAAAAACAAAACCACAAAAAAAATGTGCTATGTTTGAAAATCATGCTTAAATTCTAACAGCTTCATGCCACCCTTTGACAACATTTCATTGCAGAAAACGAATTAGGGATTAGGAGTAAATGGATTACCAATCCATATGATTATTAAAAGCATATTAGATTCCTGTGAAAGCTGTAATTTTACATTTTACATTTGTTAAATGCAGGCAGGTCAACAAAATTCTTTTTCTATATTACTCTTCCCTTTTCTAGATGTCAAGCAGATTCACTACATAGTACACGAAGGGCTATCAGGGATCTGTGGACCACACTTCCCCCCGTCCCCTAAAAAAGTAGTTCTCATTAAACTATTGGTAATGGCAGTCTACTAAGCAGCTAAAAGTAGCAATTTTGATTCAGACTATGATGCCCGAAGTGTAATACCTGGAATCCAAGAACCTGAGCCTACATGGCTTATGGAGAGTTTGATAGCTACTCATGAGGATCTGGGAGCAAACTTCAATCACTGATTTAGAGGGAACGGCCAGAGCAAAGCCTTAAAGGTCAGGCTGAAAAGATAAGCTTTGAAATGGTCCATCTATTCAACCTCAAATATCTACTCTTGCCCACGACTATGTTCTCCTTCTGTGTGATATACAAAAATGAATTCGACGATGTCACGATGTCAGTGCCTCTCACAGTCAAGACAACCTACATGCAATAGTCACATGGCAAAGCATGTAACACGTCTTAGAAGAAAGTGCTATGGAATGTGGAAGGAAAACCACACTCACAGGGGCTCAGGAAAGGTTGTGTGGAGAAAGAAGCATTTGAGCCGAACCTTCAAGGATGGAATTTTGAAAGGTAAAGGTGGAAGAGGAAAAGACATTCTAGTTTTCCCTCACGGAGAGAATGAGTGACTATGGCTTGGATACCAAAACACTGCAGTGGCTCCATGATGGCATGACACGGAATTGCCTTCTCAGCTATGAAAACAGATGGACTGTATTGTATTCCTAAGGAATGATCTTCTACTTTATGCTTTGGAGAATATTCCTCTAGAGTGGGTCAGCCTAATATGCTGGACTCAGACACAGGCCAGTTTTGCTGCCTCTCATTATTTTTTCTATTCTTGGGATACAGTGGGGACACTAGCCTTGAGGGTAACCAGTCTGGCACCTTTAAATCACAAGTACAGAAAAAAGTGAAGAACAAAACATAAAAATAGCCCCACACATCAGTAGGACAGAAAAGGTACCTGAATCTTCCCTTTTCACATGAACAAACATTTACAAACTGTGTCCTTTAGGGAGAGATTCAGAATGGAGAGAAAGTTACTCAAGCATAGTGTATGCTTGCCTCTAGAGGCACTTACCCCACACATTATTAAAAGCACACCACAATCTTAAGGCCCATCTTTTAGACAAGTATCTCAGCACTTTTAAACAAGAGAAACCAGGAGAATAGTACCAAACTTCAAGGCATCAGAGCATGAAGGAAACACAGCTGATTAGCTCAGACCCAGGGCTGGTGTGAAGAGCTTGCTGCCAATGCTGAGCAGTCAGTCAATCAAAAGATCCGATGACAGAGGGCCGGCAGCCGATGGGGAACTTTGTCAGTGAATTAAGATTTCCAAACAAAACCAAAAATGGTGTTTATATATTATTACTTATTTTATATATTGCTTTGTACTGACTCTAGATTCAGCCAACAATTCTTCTTATCCTTCACCTCTGCTCTCCCATCTATAGCAACCTCAGCAATGTGTCAGAAATGCCTGCTTTCCACCACATGCCTACTACCTAATCACCCTTCCTTTCAAAGGCTATTGCAATGGCTTCCTGATTGTTCTGATATCTCTGATTTACCTCCTCTTACCAACAGAAAGACTTTACAGAAGTCTTAATAATGGAGCTAATCTGAAGAGTTAGAATTTTAACAAGTCATTTTTGGGGATGGCATGGGTGAATAGTGGCATTCCAGGGAAATCTACAGGTTGAACAAGAGAAGTGGCATAGCGTGATATGGGTTTTCTTTTCTTTGTTTTTTTTTTTTTTTTTTTTTTTTTTTTTTTTTTTTTTTTTTTTTTTTTTTTTTTTGTGACAGGATCTCACTCTGTTGCCCAGGCTGGAGGGCAGTAGTGCGATCATGGTTCACTACACCCTTGAACTCCTGGGCTCAAGTGATCCTCCTCCCTCAGCCCTTGCCACCAGTAGCTGGGACTATAGGCACACGCCACCAAGCCCAGCTAATTTTTAATATTTTCCTGTACAGATAGGGTCTTGCTGTGCTTCCCAGGCTGGTCTCAAGCTCCTGGGATCATGCAACCCTCCAACCTTGGCCTCCTGAGGTGCCGGGATTATAGTCATGAACCACTGCACCAGGCTGGGTTGTCATATTTATTTTCTCTTTTGGTAATATGAATTTGTTTCTTTCATGATGGCAAAATAAACTTTTTATTTAAAATGTTTTTCCTGTGATCACCACACAACTGATAAAAATAAGCCACAGACCCTCTTTTGCAAGCAGTGCTTGTTTTGAGGCAGGACCAAAGCTGTCCACAGCCATTTTGGGAGTTGATGCATGGTGACTGAGCATGACATACTCCCAAACTTTCCCATTATTCACCATCAAATGTAAAGTATTAAATATGTGCAGATGTAAAGCCAGGTCACATTTTTCTTTATGTCTTCCTTGCTACTTGAATTATAATAGACATTTTAAGCACAAGCAAAATTAATATTGTACCTTTAAATATGATAATGAACTGAAGCTCTATATGCCAATTGTATGATATATCAGCATTCCCATTAAGCACATTCTTCGATATATTCTGCAAAAAGTCTTGGTTCTAAAAGTTGAATCAATAAGATTATATAAGGGTAGTGAAATGATGGCAACATATTCCTAGAAACAAAACCTGCTCCAGTTTATCCTACATATGGCTACTGAAGTTATTTTCCTGAAGCACAGTTTCCATTAAGCTGATTTAAAAATTATCTTCCACTGAAGGCCCAAAAAGATAACAGAATGAGTTTGCATTCTTTATATGACAGGCCCATATGATGTTAACTGAAGGCTCTAGGATGGTGGCATTTTCTTATCACCAAAGCTTTTATTTCATGGACTCTGTAGTATTGATGCATGTAATAATAGACAACTTGTTTCTTAAACTGCTTATACTCTAGGACAGTGACTCTCAATCTTGCCTGTATATTGCAATCATCTGGGAAACTTAAAAAAAAAAATATTGATCCCTGGTTCCCAACTCCAAAGATTCTGATTTCATTGGTCTGGAGGTGGGATATTACAGGAGAGAAACTTTTAAAACTCTCCAGGTGATTCTATGTTGAGTCAAGTCAAACTCAGTGTTCTGGGGGTGCCTATTTCTGTCCTGCTTGTCAGAAGAAAAGCTGACAAGTATCGCCCAAACAGGTTTCGTCCGCATGCAAAACAGTTTGGGGACAGACTGCTCAACCACGAGTTGGCTGAAAAAAAGAAATTCCTAACGCATCATAATACATGTTGTTTTTCACCAGAGAGAGTATTCTCCCTAATGCTATCTTTATATTTTAGTTTGAAAAGTTTGCAATGGCTTTCCATCCATTGAAAATATACATGAGCAGAATCAGCTAAATTTTCTCATAAAATATTTTGGTAGCATTGAGCCAGAGAAAGTGGTTTACTTATATTAATTGGAAGCACTGCGATAGAACAGGCTTCTTTTGGGTTGCCGATGAATTTATCATATGGCTCTTCTGTAGCCTTAGACAATATAGAATCCACAAAGAATGTCAACTGTTAGCCATGTAAAGTAAGATATCACATATCACATCATACATCAAACTGAGTTCTCACTATTTTCTTGGGACTCTGTCTTTACATAATGTAGCAATATGCAATCTCCTATGGTTATTGCCATTTAGCTCTGTGAATACAAGAGTTTTTATCATATCTTAAAAGCTGGACTGTAGGACACATGTAGTTCTGTCACTGTGCTTGTGTATATCTGATTCTATAGAGAGGCTTGAAGGTTCAACAGGTACGTGGCTAGTGGGGGAAAGGTGGCTCCAATGTCTGTTTCCCTCTCTCTTGTTTTTCCCTCTACAAATACATATACACACTCACACACACCCACACTCAAACACTCGCAACAAGAAAAGGATCAATGACTGCCACTAGGATGAGTGGTAGACACAAAACAGTTTCGGAGACAGTCACATTAAGAAACATTTTAACATCTTAGTCCAAAAAGAGAAATTAAGGTAAAGTAAAAAAAAACAAAAAACAAAACACACACACACACACACACACACACACACACACACGCACACAACAAGCCAAAACCCCAAGGTTGTCAGGGAGAGGAGTTCAGGAATGAGTGGATAAAGGCCTGGGCAGCAAACCAGATGAGATGAAGTGAAGGCTGAGTGATCTCCTGGCAAGGGGAAGTTGTTATAAAGTCTAACCACGATGTGATTCATTTATAGACAGAGATTTGCTTAGCTTAGACCTTCAGGTGAGGTGGTAAATTAGGAGGGGGAGTCCCACAGAAGGTTGCAAAAGCAAGCATGTTTCGCTGATGTAAATATATGTATTGTGAAGGAAACTAACAAAAAATAGAAAATTATTGTGCATTTTTATCTGTGCTCAGCACTGTCCTAAGCATTTCACATACATTTTTTCATTTAGTCCTACCAACCAATTATTCTCCTTTTTAGATAAGAAACCTGATGTTCCATCACCTGGCCAAAGTCTCAAAGGCAGAATGTAGTGTGGCTGAGACTGGAACCAGGTCTGACTTGTAAAGCCCATTTTCTCAATCAGCACATGTTTCTATGTATACAATTCAATCATAACTCTGACCTATATCAGTATTGTTTAGGAGCAGAACCCATTAACACCTGCAGGGAAAGAGGAAGGGCCAGTCCAGCATCACTTCTCCATCCCCACAAGCCTCAGGGGATCTTAGTGAAAGTCATGATCTACCACAGGTGGCGAATCAGGACAGGTGATGGTCCTCCACTGCAGCTCTTGGGTGTTGACCCTTCAACTCTAGCTTTCCATCAGGAATGTGAGTTTGAGAACCACTGCTGTAACAAGGACTGTATGCTTCTGTGTTCCACCAAGAGTAGTTTGTCCCGGGGTATTGGAATGCAGTGATGGCTAGTGCCAAATCTCCCAGGAGATATATTCTAGGAAACTGGAACTTTAATATGAGGCGGAGAGGGGCAGAAAGTTGGGCAACATATACCCTATTCCCAACCTTGATGAAACTAATAGCATCTATACACATAGTAGTCATGACAGTAACTTTTTGATAACAACTTCCACTCTCAGGAAAAGTAGCAAAAACAAAACAAAAATACCATCACCACCACCACAACAAACAAAACAAAAAACAACCCTGTTTTGCATTTTCGAGTATAATACATGGTTATCTTTTGAACAGTTAGATGTAACATGGTGTAAAGAAAATCAGATATGCAATTCTTGCCTTTGTTACTAGCTATTGGCAGCCTAGACAAGTTTCCTAAATTTTCTGAGCCCGAATTTCCTTGTCTTCAAAACAAGCAGCTGAGTAGACGCACTCACTAGATAAGTGGTCTTAGTTGAGTCACTTATCCAGCCATTCTGTCAATCCCTCAACAAATGCACTTGGTGAGTTTCTATTTGCTGTCAAGCACTGCAGTAACCTTTTCTAGGCTTCTCTAAGAGGGAGATGATCATAACTGCCTTAAATACTTGGCTATGAAATTCGGAGGAGGTAACATCTAGAAGGTGTCCAGCATGAGACCTACTTCTTTCTCCTTTAAACTATAGGAAGTATATAGTTCAACTTCAAAATAAAGAGCTCATAACAACTAGAACAGAAAGGCACATGCTTTGGACTGTTCTCTAAAGATGACAGTCAATGAGTGGAAAATAGAGGTCCCTATGTCTCTGAGGCAGTTGGTTAAGATTTATATTTATCAATATTTTACTGATGGAATTTTTCGGTAGAAATTTCAATCCTAATCCTAATCCTACAAAAATTTGTAGACCCCGGGGTGATGATAATAGTCAATATTTATTCAGCGCTTTTTATGGACCAGGTGTTAAGTATTTAATTGTATTATCTCATGTAGTCACCCCAACAACTCTATGATGTAGGTTCTATCATTATCTCCATAACAGTTGATGAAAAGGCAGCATAAAGAGATTATGTGCCTTGCCCACAACCACAGAGTTAAATATTGAAGCTGGAATTGGGGCTTAGGCAGTCTGACTTTACATCTGTCCACTTAACCAGTTTTCTAAACTGACTTACTACTTTAAAAGTCCACAATTCCTAAAATTATCTGGCCAGGCAGGAAACTTGATTAAATCACAGAACATTCCTGACAGAAACAGTAGTATTTCTTTTGGCCAAAGCAAGATTTCTCTTTAAGTTAATTTTTACACATGGACATTTTCACATTCTCCGTCTTAATTTTTTAACCAGTCTTCTATATTTAGAATTCATTTCATGATTGATCTGCTAACAGAAAAATCAATATTTACTAGTACAGTTAGAACCGCTATTGCAACAATTATTTTTGCCTTATGGTTTGAATCTGCTCCGTGATCTCTCCCGTGGGAATCTGCATTTCCCTTAGGTCCACTCAAAGGGTAAATCTGCCCAGGTACTTTTAGCTTTTGTGGTAGGAAATCTCCAAATTTATTCTGGTTATTTGAGACCAAACCTGATAATAAGGGAACCCAAAGGGGTTTTTCTAAAGCTACTGTATTTCAGCAGCCAGCAACAGAATAATCTTCCCTCTGTGAAGTCATCAAGCATCCCTTATATTTGTCTAGTGCTTTATCTTATTTATCAATGCATTTGATCCCTCAATAATATTTGGAGGCAGCAAAGCAAGGGTTATAATCACTCTCATTTTAACGATGAAAATACTAAAACTTAAAAAGGCTTAGAGGCCTACAGAACTTAAGAGTTCAATGTGTGACTTAAGACCATGTAAAGTTAGATCAGATCCAACAAACAGAGCTCAGGCAGAAGACTATGTTGCAAATGAGGTGGAATCCATGTACATAACATGTAATAGTCATATTGACACCAAGACATAAATGGGAGCCACAGTTTGCAGATGGAGAACTATGACTCATTTTGTAAAGAACATTAGGTTTTCTCCAGTGTCCCTCTTACCTTCTTGTTTCACAAAAGAAGAAAGCAGACAAAAAAGAGTGTTAACCTGGACAAGATTCTCTGGATAGTAAACTTTTTTTTTTATTTTTTGAGATGGAGTCTCACTCGGTTGCCCAGGTTGGAGTGCAGTGGTGCGATCTTGGCTCACTGCAACCTCTGCCTCCCAGGTTCAAGCAATTCTCTGGCCCCAGCCTCCTGAGTAGCTGGGATTACAGGTGTGTGCCACCATGGCTGGCTAATTTTTTGATATTTGTAGTAGAGATGGGGTTTCACCATGTTGGCCAGGCTAGTCTCAAACTCCTGACATCAGGTGATCCACCCATCTCGGCCTCCCAAAGTGCTGGAATTACAAGTGTGAACCACCACACCTGGCTTGGATAGTAAACCAATATGCAAAGGAATGAGTATTTCTCCAATGATCATATTACCCTTTCCATTTTAGAAAAGATGTGTGCTATGATTTGAATTGGTTCCCTCCAAAATTCAGCAGTAGATATTGTGATTTTATTAAAAAGTGTTGATCAGGCCATACGGGCTTCTCTGTCATGAATGGGATAAAGCCCTTTGTGAAAGAGGCTTCATGCGGCATTCTGCTGGCTTGCTCTTCCACTGTCTGCCATGTGAGGAGGTAGCACAAAGCACCATCCTGGAAACAGAGAGTAGCCCTCACCAGAAAACCAAGCCTGCTGGTGCCTTGATCTTGGACTTACCAGCCTCTAGAACCGTGATAAAATAAATTTTCATTCTTTATAAATTACCCAGTCTCAGTTATTCTGCTATAGCAGCACAAAATGGATGAAAACAATATGTGACTAATAAAAGATTTTGTCCATACAGTACCTGCCTCCATGGGAGATACGAATTTAGAATATAGAACAAAAAGGGGAAAATAAAAATTATAATTAGCCTAAATTAAAATTGTGATATATAAAGACTGAAAATAAATTTGCAGATTCACATAAAACTTCATAATTTCTATATTCTCATATGAATCTTATAATAACTAAAAGCTAAATGAGACAATTATCATCTTCCCAACACATGAGTTAACATAGGAATGACCTTGTACATGACTTGAGAAGTAGGTAGCAGAGTTGCAACTCAGCCCAGTCCAGTGATCTTTGAGCTGGACCATACCATATTACCTGCATAAATGGAACTGGCCCCAAAGATGGTGCTATTCTCCCCTGACACTACTTCCTTAGGAAGCCAATTCATCTTACTCGGGATTCTGTTTTACCGTTTAGTAGCAAAGTATCCATAATACATTGTTAAGAGGATTTCAAGGGTCATAGGACGTGTAGAAAATTTAGAAAGTAGCCATTCCAAACTCTTCATTTACAGACTCTATAACAAAGGGTAAGAGAGAGGCAATTCATTGATTAAGATGTCATAGCAAGCTGTCAGGAGAGATGAGACCTGAGAGCCTTTGGGCTCTCAGTGTAGCACTCTCTCAAGATGCACAGAGCTATCTCCCAGGTGCCCTACCTCAAGTATCAGTTTCTTCCCACTAGTAGGCGCTGTTGCCTGATTGTGAGGAATTTCTCCTTCTACCTAACAGTAGATTTTCATTGTAATTAGGAGTATTGCGTGGGACACTAAGTCTACAACATGGCTTCTGTATGACTCCAGAACAAGGTGAACTCCATTACAATTGCAACCAGTAGAGTCATGCCATTTCTCTCTGAAACACTGTGGTGTTTTGGATTTGTACATCTCAATGTTCTGGAAACCAAAGGAATGGCAGTAGGACATGGGGTACTGAGTGGGTTCTGCAGAGCTGTGTTGAGGCAAAAAAAAGTCAAGGCTCTGGTCCCTGTTTGACCATAGCTGGTATAAAATGATTGCTTTATACGTTGGTATTATCTAGAACATTCATTTAACAGAAACTTTCCAGTTTGGCTTTGTTACTTCTTCGTCTTATTATTATTATTACTTTGAGACAGAGTTTTGCTCTTGTTGCCCAAGCTGGAGTGCAACGGCACAATCTTGGCTCACAGCAACCTCTGCCTCCCGGGTTCAAGTGATTCTCCTGCCTCAGCCTCCCGAGTAGCTGGGATTACAGGCGCACGTCACCATGCCCAGCTAATTTTTTGTATTTTTAGTAGAAACGGGGTTTCACTATGTTAGCCAGGCTGATCTCAAACTCCTGACCTTGTGATCCACCTGCCTCAGCCTCCCAAAGTGCTGGGATTACAGGTGTGAGCCGCTGTGCCCGGCCTGTTGTTTATTATTTTTTTTAAACACCACAGACTACTCAAGTAGTGGTAAATCTGTGGATAGAAGAATTGAGTTTTGATTCAAGCTGCACCACATGTATGAACTGTGACTTTGAGTAAGCTATTTTACCCATTTGAGCCATAGGTGGAAGAGAAATAGTAATCTCAGCCCTAGGTACCTCAAAGTATTACTGACAGGATACAAACATACATTCATATATATATGTATGTATGTGTATATATGTATGTGTGTGTGTGTATATACATGTGTGTGTATCCTGCCAGTAAAATAAGTATACACACATACAAATAAAATGCAAAGAATTCCTCTAAAATAAACTGCTGTAAAATAAATTTTCTTATGAATATCTATAAAAATCACCAGTACGATGGAGCAGATGTACTTATATATCTGGGGCTTCCATCAGCAATGACATTCTAAAAAATTTCCATGCAAAATCCACAAGGTAGAATGCAAGACTGATTTGAGTACACTGACTTTTAAGATATGAGTACCTCACAAATACTGGCAATGCCATTTAGATTCTCAGTGGAGTGGGCAGATGGGGCCACAAATACTTGACACCCGATGTTACACTGGAGCTCAGAGGGAGACCCATGAGGCAGGACCTAAGGCCATTTCCATTCTTGTATCTCTGAAGAATTCTCATTGCTAAACTGTAGTCTGCATCTGATTCCATCTCCAGCATTCGCATAGCAACACTAAGCTGTCTGAGCGCTGAAGTGACGTCTAGGGAACAGTTATTAATACACATATGTGTGCACACAGTATGTGGAAATATGCAAGATTGAAAGTGATTAGTGTATTACTTTTAGGTAATACTTCCCACTGGGACTATGCTCCTGGAAAAATTCCTCTCTCTCTCTCCATAGAAGCTTGCACAGTCATCTGCTATCACTTACCAGAATGTTTGGGATAAAAATGGTGTCAATTTTAAGGAAACATGCTTCTCAAATTTCTTTGTTAACATTTGAATAAAACATTAGAAGGTTCTTACTTTTCTCCTCTCGTTTTTCATTCAGAGAATAAGCCCCTTCAGAATCTTACTTTGTGTGAGAGAGAAAATAGTCATCCTTCTTTGCTACCTCCAGACTAGCAGAATCACTGGGTTTTAAAGTAGAAAAGTTAAAATTCCATTCTAATAAAATCCACTGGCTCTCATTACTTCTCAGTTGCATGGCAATGCTTTATAATAAGAACACAGCAAGAAATCATATTTCTACCTGTAAGAGCTTATAGACCTGTGAGATCATCAGAGAGAGCCACAGAAGAAAGGCATGGAAAGCATTATAGGAAGGATTTGGTTGGGAATGAAGGTACACTTTCTGGACCAATGAAAGTTTTGCGAAATGGAACATTGCCTAGGAAGCCATGTACCTGAGCTGGCCACATTTTCTCTCTGTGACTCCCTTTTATAAAATAAATACACCGAATCAAGTGTTTTTCTAAGGACCGTCCTAGTCTTCAGTTTTTATTATGAGATAAATTTTATAGGATAAACACACAAACTAAATTTTGATGAAGGCAGATTGAGGGTAAGGAAAATCCACTCTGTGGTGGTTTCTGGGCAGCCCTTCAAGACTTCAAACTTATTGACACATTATAAAAGTTACAAAATGAAACAAATGAGAAAACTGGGCAATAGGTAATGTTTTATTTATGCCAGTAGAGTATTTCTGGGTGATTCCTCTTGTACTAATGTAGTTTCCATACTTAGATTATCACATTTAGTAAACATATATCCAAATCCCTAATAACTAGTGAGATAAGTCAAGAGCTTTCCCTTACTAAGGCTTATAGGGAGCTCCCAGAAACCATGTAAGTCCACAGAAACTGCATAAAAATGGATACGCTCAGTAACGGTTTCTTGCATCAGCTATGTGATTTTATTTGAAGTTCTGTCTTGGGCAAGAGATACCACACAGGGAGAGTGCAAAGTTGAAGGTCTTCAGCAAAAATTTGGACTGTAAACACAGCTTGGCATTATCAGCATTCTGTTAAGTTCAAAGAAGAGATAGTTACAACAAATACAGCTTGCTTTATTTCTGAAACAAAACTGTGCACATATTTGTGGCCATACTACTAATTAACCTGTAGATTGTTCCTTTCATCTATTCAGCGTGTTTTTCTGCCCCCTGTTACAACATGTTGAGGTTACTTTTCCCATATGGACTATATTTAAACAGTTCCCTTATAGGCATTAGAGAGAGAATGGTACAAATGATTAAGGGACTAGAGAAGCCGACTGTACAGAAAGATTAAAGAAACCATATATGTACATATTAGGAAGCTGACAGGTGACTAGGGAGTGCCATAATGATGGTCTATAAATATCTGAAAGGGGTAAACACTGAGGAATAATTTAGCCTGGTGCAAGTGGTACAACTCGGAGTGATGGTGTCTCTTAAAGAAAAGAGAAGATCATTATTAAAGAAAAAAACTTAGATGCGTAAGATGCTATCCATGCGATATGGGAAAAGGGGAACATGCAGGCTAGTTGTAAGTGCAACGGGATGAGAGTCAGAAGACATGGGTCGGCTCTACCATGTATAGCTGTGTAACCTCGGAAAGGGCATTTAACCACCACGGGCCTCAGTTCCCTCTTTTGGAAATTAGAGCGTGGAATAGAATTAGAGGCTTTCAAAGTATGCTCCAAAGAACTCCACAGTTTTGAGGATCCTGCTCTATTGATCCCCACCAACAGAGGAAGGAGAACGAAGGGGAGTGGTGATTGCCTGGAGCCCCTTAGTCTGTTTCATTTCTATCCCATCAGCTTCCTCAGAATAATTTCTGAGGGATTTATCAACTTAAAAAAGTTTGTAAAAAATTTACTGACTTAAAGTTTGAAAGATGTATTAGGGGTCAGCTTTAAATCCATTCCTATTCAAAAGACTTGAGGTAGAAGACTCATTGAGGTTGTTTTCACAAAAGGCTTACTGAGTGGTTAATTATGGGCCAACATAGCAGACAGAGCAGTAAGACAGAAGTGCTGTTGCCCTCATGGAACTCACATTCTAAGTGCAACTCTTAATATAGGATGTCGAAAATTCACAAATGAATACAGGAATGACTTATGTAACTTCCTGTAAGATTGAAAATAATTAACTCAATTTAACATTTACAGAGCACCTATCAATCTTTAATACTTGTGATAGATAATGTAGGGCATAAACATTAAAATAAACAGATATCAAGTGCTTACTAGACATCAGGCACTGTATGTCAAACCAGGAATATAAAGATGAGTAAGACCTGACACCTGCCTTCCCTAGAACAAATGGACATCTATAATTACCATATAAAATAAATGAAGGCTGTTAGAGAACCACACAGAAATATCTTGAGAGTCATATAAGAAAGCTATTAATTCTTTCTAGAAAATGAGCTCAAATTGGGGGAGGGATGCTGATAAGAAAAAACTTTAGAAAAAAGAAAGGAGACTCAATGAAGGATAGGGAGAACAGTTTACCCTGTTCTCCCTAAAAAGCAGGAAGGGGGAAAGCATTCTAAGTAAAGGAAAAGCCAATTAACAGAGAAAGGAATGAAGTTGTGTGGAACATTCAAAACCAAGAGGGCAGGTAGGAATGGGAGGAAAATCGGACTGGAGTCCTGGGCCCAAGACAGACTAAAAAGGATTTCCTATGTGAGACTAAGAAACAAAATGTGTTTTATAGGCAGGAAGATACCAGTTTCAAGTAAAAAATGGGATGACCATATATACATTTTAGCAAAATCTCTAGCTATAATGTAGAGGAAAAACTGAAGAGGGGAAAGGAGGTTGGGAGGCCAGTTGTTTGGCCATTATAATGTTTCAGGCAAGGGGAGCAATGGGAGTAGAAAATAATGTTTTTGACCTTTTCCTATGCCACCTATCAGGTAGGCATTATCTTCTTCTATCTGCACATTAAGACAAGGAGGCTCAGGATAGTTAAATAACTTGTCCAAGATAGCACAATGAATACATGCAGAGCTAAAATTTGCACCTTAGTTTGCTTGATGTTAAAGAATATGCTCTTTTCATTACACTTGTTTGCAAAAAATGATATCAGCAGTTGGCAGTGCAGTTGCGGGAAGGGGACAGATTCAAAGGTTGTTTCAAAATACACAGTTGAAGAGGACACATTGGATGTGGAGAAAATGAAAGGTAAGAAACAGCTTCCGCATTCCCATTTTGGGCAATTTTGTGGATGATCCCAGAGATCAATATAATAAAGTTCAGATTTTCTACAGCTTCCAGTTAAACTAGGGGTAGTGGAAAAATTCTTACTATGCATCTCTCATTGTGCATGTAAGTGTGTGGATATACACCTTTGTGTACACGTGTGTAAGTAAATGGCTGTGTATATATGTTTGTGAGTATGTATGACTATATGGAAGTGTATGTTTGTGCGTATGGTTATAAGGAGCTTTAGCAGCTGTAAGTAGAATATCAAACTCACCAAAAGAGATTATTGAGAAAGTGTGATAAAGCAAGTCTGACATCATCCAATTTCTACTACAATGCAAATGCCCCTCACAGCCTAAAACGTCATCAAACTCTAAAGAGAAAGAAGACGCATGCCAAACCAGACTGACCAGACCAGATGGCAAACAGATATCTGAGGCTCAATAATCTATGAATCAAATTTAGAGTAAATGAGGATGGGAAAACTGGCCTCTTACCACTTGCCTATTCATTGCCTATCTTGTGATTAATTTTCCTTGTCTTCTCTTCTAAATTTTTTCCTCTTTGGAGACATTCAAGCAGAGTGGTTGGGAATTCTGTAGGTAGGACACAAGCTTCAGAGGAAGTTGGAGTACACTGCCTTTTTAAGGATCTTTCTGGCTCTGAAATTCCATGACAAATCACTTCTGCTTGTACACTTCATTGGTTGCTTGATTGATCATAGGAATACTGTTGAGACTTAATGTGCCCTTCATTTAGCAATAGACTCCCTAGATTACCCTCTTAATTTTATCTGTTAACACACACAGACTGGAGTTTATGGCTTGGCTGGTGTTCCTGGCTACTCTCTTACTCTTGAGTATGTCTGTACACTTTTGCTCTTTTAGGCCTAAGGATTCTCTTCCTCTGGGTGGACACGCTTAACCCTAGTACAATGTGAAGTGGAACCTGGCCTCAATTTCGTCTCAAATGTCCCCTCAGCTGTGTGCCTCCTGCTACACCTGCTATTAGAGTCAGCTGCATTTGATCCCAAGTCTGCTCCTACTGTATGATCTTGTCATTGTAATTATGTGAGTTAACCAATTATTATGTAAATTAATACAAATAAAATGTTTTAATTTCTTAAAATAAAATCTATGCAGAATGCTTTGGAAAAGTTCTATAAAGATATTTCCCTCAGAAAAAGCAGGTAAATGTTCTATGAGGTATGGTTCAGCAAACTTTAAAATATTAGGACCAAAAAATGCACAAAAATCAAAGCACTATGTACACACACTGTTTCACTGTTCTCTGCACTCACACTGTTTCAGGTTCTTGCCATCCTTTAAAGAAACCTAACCTGGACCTTGTAGAGGATCCATTAGGACATACTCACTGTGACTTGCAACAAATACAAGGCTGACAGCCCTCGCTCAAATATGCCTTGGCCGAATTTCAAACCAATTGGTGAAAAACACTTTTTCTTGTTTATTTATTAAAACCACCTTTGTTGAGGTATAATCTAAATGCAATAAATAAAACCATTTTAACTGTACACTTTGATGAATTTCAATACATTTATAAGACTTTGTAACTGCCTCCATTACCAGGATCTGGAACATTTCCATCACCCCAAAAAGTTCCCTATTTGTCAGTCCCCATTATAATCAATCCTTTCCCCACTCCCAGCCTCAGCAAACCACTGATTGCTTTGTGTCAGTATAGATTAGTTTTGTCTTTTCCAGGATTTTGTAAATATATAATTCTAAGGTAGGCAGTCTTTTTTAGGGGTGGAGGTAGCTCTGGTTCCTTTTATTCAGCATCATATTTTTAAGATTTTTTTCATGTATTTGTGCATATTAGCAGATCATTTATTTATTACCGATGAGTCATCTTTCATTGTATAAATATAGCATAATTTGTCCTTTCACCTGTTAATGAACATTTGGGTTGTTTCCAGTTTTTGGCCATTATAAATATAGTTGCTATGAACATTTGTGTACAAGCCTTTGTGTAAAAAAAAGGTTTCATTTCACTTGGGTCAATGTCAAGGAGGAGAATTGCTGGGTCATATGTTGAACACGTTTTATTTTTAAGACACTACCAAACTGTTTTCCAAAGTGGCAGTACCATGTTACATCCTCAACTGCAGTGTATGAGAATTTCAATTGCTCTGTCTTTTAGCTAATGCTTGGTATTGTTAGTCTTAGCCACTCTCATCAATGTATGGAGGTACCTTACAGAGTTTTATTTTGTTTCTTTAATGACTACATATATTGAGCATTTTTCATTTGCTTATTGGTTATTTGTGTATTTTCTTAGAGAAGTACCTGTTCAAATCTATTGCCTATTTTCAAATCTGTTGCCTGTTTTTAAATTGCATTCTTTGTCTTCTTCTTGAGTTTTAATAATTATTTCTATATTCTGGCATAAAATCTTTGTCATATACACATACTGTACACATATTTTCTCCCTGTATGGGACTTGCTATTTCATTTGTTATGGTGTCTTTTAAAAAACAAGTTTTAGAGTTTTTATAAAATCAAATTTATCATTTTTAACTTTATGGTTTGTGGGGTTTTTTGTATACTCCTTAAGAAATATTTGCCTATCTAAGGTTGTAAGAATTCTTTTCTTTTCTTGGAAAAGTTTTATAGATTTAGCTTTTACATTTATTTGTTCCATAATATGTGTTTGTTCCATAATATGTGCAAGGCCTTTACAATAATAATTAAAAACACTGCTGAGAGAACCAAAAAAAAAAAAATGAAGTAAAGGGAGAGATATACCATGTTCATGCATTGAAAGACAATATTGTTAAAGTGTCAGTTCTCCCTAATTTGGTTTACATGTACAACAGAATCCTTTATTGGTATAAATTGACAAGCCACATCTAAAATATATATGGAAATATAAAGGATGCACAATAGTTCAACTAATTTTGGAAAAGAGGAACAAAGTTGGAGAACTTAGACCACCTGATATGAAGATTTGCTCTAAAACCATAGCAACCAAGATAGCGGAGTACCAGCACAAGGATAGATACAAAGACAGAAGTTTAAAACTTAAATTACAGAATCTCCCTTCCCCCCCCAATTCAAAGGAAACTTTGAACCTCGGTGGGACCAAGTGTATCAAGGAAGGGTCTACTTTTTTTTTTTTTCATAAATTTCATGGTTTTAGTTTAAATAACACGTTTCGGAAAATACTGTGCTTCCTTTACTCATTTTCTCTCTGAAGATATTAAAAACTAGTGTTTTAATTTCTTATAAGAAGTGGGGGATTGTGCATATCAGTGAAACACACTGATGCTTTTTAAATTTATTTTCTCCTCCAGAAAGGCATTTGCAGATATCTTATCAAATTAATGTTTTTGCCTCAAATTTGCTTATTTGCTAAAAATAATAATTGTGCATGGTCATGGAAACTGAGAATAGGCACAGGATCAGCAAAGATATTTCACATTTTATCAGGAGATGAGAATTCATGCCTGACTTTTGATGGAACCCATATTCTTTATTTTTCCTGGTGGAAAATCATTTTGCAACTCATAAGAATCAAACTTAAGTGTTTCACTATGAAGTAATCTCTTATGGATCACTCCAGAAAGATAGGAATTTTACAACCTGCTGAGCACACATCAAATAAGTTTAACTGAACAATCACAAGCTGAAGACAAAAGACTTCTAAATGGTCCTTACCCTATGAGTTCAGGCTTATTTTTCATCTCTTACCAGTTATTGTGCCTGAAATATTTAAAGTAAGTTATGAGGTTCTGAAGTATAAAGCACTTCTTATAAAAGAATGTTCTTCACTAATAAGTTAATGTAATTTTTCTAACATTGTGGAATAAAATATTCATAATGGATTAATATGAAAGGATAGAGACACAATTAAATGTAATTTCTCTTTATTAAAACTGATGTAGGATATTGGGCTTGGATAGGTATGCTCCAATAGAGAATATGAATGTATCAGAGGATAAAACACACTACTTTCTTGCAGTCCTAAAATGTTAGAAGTACACTCTAAAGTCCACAGGTAGATCCATTTACTCATTGGCACTGTTATGAACAAATTAAAGTTCACAGCCCATTAGGCAACATGGTCCCTATTGCAAAAGCACCATTTAGTAAACTAGGGAAACAGAGTAATTGACTTTCTGATGCCTGTGTTGATATCAACATTAGCTCTCACATTGACAACCTGGCTCCCTTCTTGCCATACAGTCTGTTAGTACATAAGGGGATACAGTCTGGCCTTCCATACACATGGATAACACTACTGGTGATTTCTGCGAACATATTCTTGAGAAACAAAAGGCACATTATAAATAACACCTTAGTATCAACAAACTCAAGACAATCATGGCCAATGAATGACAGTCATTGGTCATTTAACTTCACAAAATATGAGATTCAGTAGACCAAGGAAGTAACTTTCAGAGATTATTATAAAATGGCAGTATTCTCAGTCAAATTGTGTCATTATCAAGCATGCATAAGGGCTCTTTCCAAACTCTGGCTTTTAGCAGTAGACAGAGATTGAATGACTGCAGCTCAAAGACTGCAACTACAGACAATTGTAAATTCTTGTCTGTAGCCAGCTCACAGATAACACAGTTATATCCATGCAGAGTTAGCTTATCAAGGATATTTTTGGAGTAACTAACTCCCTGGAAGGGAACTAATTTTTATGAGTTAGATTTCTAGATTTATCTTATAACCCCTCCTCCTTTTCCCTGGAATTTTATCTCCTAAGGAATTATACACTGACCCATCACTTGAAATTAAAAGCCCTTCATTATAAAACTATAAAATAAAACCCTTATACATCTTCTAAGAAGCAGCAAAGACTCTGGACTTGTTTTCTACCTGCCCCATGTTTTCCAATCTCTATGCCTTTGCTTGAGTTATTTCTGCATTCTGGATGCAATTCATTTCCACCAACGACAATCACACCTTATTATCCAAGGCCCATTTCAAATGCTATCTTCTCCAAAAAGGCAAACAAGATTTCAGTCCTTTCCTTCTTGTTTCTTCTCTTGGTCACTCCCTTCCTTCCTTTTCTTTTTCCAATGAATATTGCAGTGTTTCCCTTCTGTGGATTGCCCGTTTAAAACTGTGGTCCATTTTTTCATAGGGTTGTTTATAAAGCCTTTCTGTATACCCCCCAAAGCATACATAACTTCTTCCTTCTTCAAATTATTACAGAAATTAATTCTTTTCAAGCAATCATGTTAATTCATTTTGTGCTATAGGCATTTATCTAATTGCCTAATCTCACCTACAAGATCTTGAGGCATTTTTACAGTAGAAACTATGGTCATTTGTCTATGTACTCCATGTGGATCCCAGCTAATGGCTGATATTAGAAAGACTTCAAATTGGTATATGCAGGGGCAAGCCATTATTTCCTAAAGTATTTTTTTAAAGACCAATCAGATAGCGAGTCATCCTTCACAAGGAGTCCGATATTTACACCAGCTAATATTCTCATAGTAAGAGTTGAAAGGTGCATCATTAATTGGTTTATAGAAATTACATCTTGCTGATGTCAAATAAAGGGACACAGTGAATGCAACTTTCACAACAAAAATCAAATACACATAGCACCAGGGATCCAATTAAGTATTCAAAGTTAAGAATTAAAGGACACTTAGTTGCTGGGTGTAGCAACTAAGAGACTTTTTACATTCGTGATGAAAAGCAGCCCACACTTTATCAAACGACTATGTTTGAAAATAGGGATCCATTGCACATATATAATATAACCACAGTAAATTAAAGAGCTTTAAGTTTACCACTAGGGTAGAGTAAGATTCTCCACACAGAATTCTAAACCATATTCCATTAAACAATTAGGAACAAGGTTTCTGCAGTTACATTGTCTGCCTTTAAAATTTGGCTCTGTTACTTACAGGTTTGTATAACCTATCTGGGTATAAACTACCTCATCTATACATGGACAATAGTTTCTATTAAATTAGAGTTGCTGAGGAAATTATACAAGGCAACACATATGAAGAGCTTTGGATGTACCTAGCATATCCACCATAAATAATACTGTGTTTATTGTTGTTTTCGCAAAGGAGTCTACAGATTCACAACGTGACCGATCATCATCATTTGAAAAAAAACACTTTCGGGGACTCATTTGCTACAGAATTTTGTTTTTCAATAATGACAGGTCAGGGGATGGTGGACTAAGAAGACAATTGCATTCCAATATCCTACTCAAATAAAAGCACATCAGTACCAAAAATAACAAGTAACAGAAAAAAATGTAGAGGGGAAGAGAGAAAGGGGATGTATGTGGGAGAAGATGGCTATAACAACCAAGATATTTCAATATATGTCTGGAATGCAGAAAGCATATGATAGCATGTTGATTAAGTGGCATAAGCCATATCCTAAGCAGAATAGAGCTGAGAAAGAGGAGAAAGGAAAGGCTGCTTAAAGACCATTTAAACAGCACAGATTTTTCTCAACTCAGGGCATCCTGTGATGCTTATAATGACAATCTAAATCACAGGGTTGGAAATGGTGGACTAAAGAATCTACAGTTCTCTATGTAGGGGACACTGCCACATTCCCTAAGGCTATTAAACATTCAAAAGTCCATCACTGATACATTCAGCAGCAAACCGTAGCCAAAGCCAGCCCAAACTCAGCCTGGTGCTGAGGTGGTATCTGAGTCTAGAACTACTTAAGACCAAAAAGAACACACTGAATATTTGCTGCCTCCATCTCACAACTGAGGGCGAGTGGGAAAGGGGGATGGTATCAGAAGTTTCTTAGCTCTCTTCCAGAAGAGTAAAAGAACAACAACAACAAAAAAGGGTGATCAATGGAGCGGAGTTCTAAAATTCATCCACGGGAAATTTCATCTGGGCTACTAACCTGTCTACCAGGGTTGACAGGCCCATGGGTACACTAGGATGGGCTCTTTGATAAATTACTGGCTCATAAAATCTTTGAGCCAGAAGAGAGAACCTCAATAAGTCTCCTTGTTTCTTTGTGACAGAGCCAGTGTTAGTATCCACATTGCCCAGCTCTCAGTCCAAGGATCTCTTCACCACTCCATTCACAAATTTCTTCCCTTGTTCTTAGAAACTTTCCTATTTGGCTAATTAGTTCTATATATTTCTTTTTATAAAAAAGTCTTTTATACTTATGAAAATAACACATGTTCATTGTACGGAACTTGAAAATTAAGGAAAATTAGGGGGGAAAATAAAATCACATGTAATCTGATTATTGGGAAGTACTCCGTTTATATTTTAAGGTGTTTTTTAAAAAGAAATTCTACCCATTTTTTTATATAAATTTGGCAATACTGAATATACAAATTTAATGTATTTGCCCTCACAAGATAATATTTTCCCAAATCACTTAAGTTCTTTAAATATAGTGTTTTGGCAATATCTCATTATTTGGGATTGATAATATTTTGTTCAGCAGATTCCCTTTCTATTTGCCATTATAAGTTTTGCATTAGTGAACATTTTCATAAATAGATTTTGTTCAAATATATATTTCTTTAGGATAATATAGATATATATTTATATAGAAACATATATCTCTATAGATGTCTATGTATCTATCTATCTATCCATCTATGTATCTATTACTGATAAATCCATCCATCCATCCATCCATCCATCTGATATTTATCCATCCATCCATCCATCCATCTATCTGTCTGGATTGACAGATATGAGACATTTAAAGTTCTTGAGAAATATTGTAAAATAACTTTCTAAAAGTTTTGGGCCAATTTACGGTCTTACCAGCAGCAAATGACAGTAGTTTCTTTTCCTAAATCTTTGCTAATTTCATAAGTGAAAAACTAGATTTCAATTATTTAAATTTTCTTTTCATACTAATGTGAATAAAATTTTTTTTAAGTTAAATATCCATTTGTATTTATCTACTTAAGAATTATTTACATTCCTTGTCTTTCTCTGTTGGGATATTTGTATTTGCATGAAAATTTTCATACAGTTGTTAACCCTTTGCTTATCATAGTCATTGCAAATATTATTCTTACATATTTTTTCTTAATTTTATATGATATTTACATACACTTTAAAATTTTTGTTTTAAAATTTATTGATAAATTATTTTGTGATTGATCTTTATGTTTTATTATAAAGCACAGAGAAAATCTGTTCTCAGTACAGATCAGATCAATAAAGTTTTTAAAAAGTTGTTAGCTTCTAAACATTAAGTTTTGCAGTCTATCTGGACTGTGCGTATCATTTAAGTGAAGGGGCTGTGTTTTTTGAAAACACTACTTTTTTGATGAGCCACAACTCTTATTTTTAAAATAGTTTAAACTTCTAGGAGAAGTTTGTGGCTAGTCCTGTCTCATTCTTCTAATTAATTCACTCCCTCCATTCAGTTCCTCCAAACTACCTTGTCCACACAGGTCTTTCATAAATCATAATCCCACTAACTCTTGCTGGGACAGCTCAATGGATCAGTTGGCTTCTCCCATGTCTAGTTTTGCTGCCCAGCCCCGTTGTCACTTGTTTAGACACACAACAATTACCACAGTGTTAGTTTGAAACTCCATATGTCTGACATATCATCATGAAAATATTTTGGGGACATTGCCCTTTCTCTGTAACTTTAAAATATGTTATTACAGGCCAGGCACAGTGGCTCATGCCTGTAATCCCAGCACTTTGGGAGGCTGAGGTGGGTGGATCACCTGAGGTCAGGAGTTCAAGACCAGCCTAGCCAACATGGTGAAACCCCATCTCTAATAAAAATACAAAAAAATTAGCCGGGCACGGTGGCAGGCTCCTGTAATCCCAGCTACTCGGGAGGCTGAGGCAGGAGAATTGCTTGAACCCAGGAGGCAGAGGTTGCAGTGAGCTGAGATCGCACCATTGCACTCCAGCCTGGGGGATGAGAGCAAGACTTCGTCTCAAAAAATAATAATAATAATAAAATAAAATTTTTATTTTATTTATATTACACTACATACAGTAAGAATTAAATCACAATAAATGTGACTTAACCCGGCTAATTCATTTAGCATTTTGTCTTTTCTAACTATAATAAAGCTATTGTTGATATAATTAGGAGAGCTCTTCTGAAACATGCATCAACATATTTAATTGCCTGAAACAAACACAGAACAACCACTGAGAAACAAGCTAAGAAAACTCAATGTCAGTGGGTCAGTAAATGATGTATTATACAGGCAGATCCGGCTTAACCAGAAGAATCAGGGTCAACAGTATGTTCTGGGTATAGATCAGTTGAGCTATGTGTTAAAAAGGAATTCTGCTTATGATCAACAACGACGTGAATACTCCAATGTGAACCACATCTGCACATAATTTTCAAGGGTGAATGACTGCTGGGTTCACGTGTAGATTATGGCATTCTGGAATTCAGGGCATGGGGTGACACCGAGTGTCTCCAATTTCAAGAAGGGCTCAATACCCTCAGGCTCTTGACCATATGCTCCCCAAACCTATCAGTGTTCCTCCTGGACTCTTTTCAAATTCAGCAAATGCATCCTTTCCATTGAAGTCATTGGGATGGATGACAATCTTCACAGGTCATCTAATCCGTGCACCTGCCTTCAGGCAGGGCTGCTCCTAAAACCAGCCCAGACAGATGGTTCTTTGCTGTTCTCAAAATTCCCCAGGGAAGGAGGTTCCACAGGCTGTTACAATAATCCATTCCCATGTCTCCCAGTCACCCCTAGGACACTGAATCCTAAGCATTTAGTTAATAGCAGGTGGCAATGAGACAACTCTTTGTTGCTCCCTGAGGAATTGGAAGTTGGCCAAATTAGCCATGGGGCAATTGCCAAAGTGTACAGGAACCCCAATGCTACTCTGAGCTTCACAAATAGCAAGTTAAGTGGGGGTATTTAGTGTTCCCAGCTGACAAAATACCAAATTCAGCAATGAACTAAACAAGTTTCATAATGCTCAGTCAGGAATTTACATGTCACTAATAAATTTCAAGACTTAAATTCTTTCAAATTAAAAAATAGAATAACATTTTTTGATAAAAATAATTTAGAAATAAGTTTCTGAATAATTCTTATGTGGAAGAATGACTGAATTATAACACCTTTATGATAAATTTTAAAAGATATCCAAATGGGATGCAGATAAAGTCAAGGAGAGGCATTTCATCAATTTAAATGCTTTTTATTAGTAAACAGAAGAGACAGAGAAATATAAATGAACATTCAGAGTAAGATACTACAACAATGAATAACTAAATAAACTTAAAGAAGGATATATAAAATAATAAGGCAAACGTTAAAAGTAATGAGTTAGAAAACAAACTCCACACACACACATATACACACTTCTTAGGAAAGTTCCACTAAGGAGGAAAAAGGAAAAACAGTCAAAGCAAAAGGAAGCTATGAATATGGACAAGACAGATATTTTAAAAAGTATAAGTGAGAAATACGCCTATATCATAGTAACAACAGTAGACAATCTTGACAAAATGCATAATTTTCTAGCAAAATATAAACAGCCACATGAATTCCAATAGAAGTAAAACAAAACAAAACAACCACAAAAACACTTCAGTAGCCTAATAATCACTGAAGAACCTGAAAACGTTGTTAATATAAGTTTGTTAACAACTGAATTTGGTAAAGTGTTTGGATATGAGCAAGCAAAGTCAAGAGTTTCCTTTAAACTAGCAATAACCACACATCAACAACAACAAGCAAAAAGATTGCACAGTAGCAACAAAAATTGAATTATCTTGGAATAAAGTCCTCATGAAAAGAAATGAAACTAGAAATAATTGTTGAAGTGCATGAAACAATTCAAATAAAGAGAGAGAGTACCATGTTAGAGAAGGGGGGCTTAATTTTTCAAAATTGATTTTAGTACAGATTTATGAGATAGCATGTAGAAAATAAATTATTTTTCAGGGGTATTGCAGAATTCTTCTGTTTTCTACAGAGGCTTTGTATTTTAACTAAAGCATACTAGCGTGTACATGTATGGTATATAAATGTACACACACACACACACACACACACACACGTTTTTGGTGAAGTAAAGTAAGATTCCTAAGATAGGTTGAGAACTTTTGACTGTAGACGTAGTCACTCTGCAGCAGAGAAATAAAGAAATGTTCCCTTTAGACTGTACCCATCCACAGTCACATATGAGACTTGGATTAAAATTTACGACTACACAAGGTAATTACCCCCGAAATAATAAAGTTCAAATGTGGGCCTGACTATGGCAGGAAGCGGGCAGGAGCAGCCAGTTCCAGCCCTTTTTCACTGAGTTCGACCTGCACATGGGATTCTTCGACTTTGATGCCCATTGCCAAAGTGGTACTGGCCCAACTTTGCTCTATTGTCCAAGCAGAAGAAATTACCACTAAGGTGAGATGACAGAATGAATAGTCAAACAAAAAGAACTTTCTCAACTCTAATACTTTATAGTTGAAAGAGCATTTTCACTGGTATTATTCAGTTTAATTTATACCCCAATACTCTAAGAAGATGTATTTTCATTTTAATTTAATGAAGAAATATGAAACAGTTATCTTAGAAATTTCTGTCATTTTTCTCTTCATTAGGATATTCTTTTTTTTTTTTTTTTTTTTGATAAGAGTCTCACTCTGTCGCTAGGGCTGGAACACAGTGGTGTGATCTTGGCTCACTGCAACCTCCGCCTCACGGGTTCAAGCGATTCTCCTGTCTCAGCCTCCCAAGTAGCTGGGATTACAGGTGCCCACCACCACGCCCAGCTAATTGTTGTATTTTTAGTAGAGACGGGGTTTCACCGTGACCCGCCTCGGCCTCCCAAAGCGCTGGGATTACAGGCGTGAGCCACTGCGCCCGGCCAGGATATTCTTTTTTGACCAATATTAGTTAATCTAATTGGCACAGTTAGCATTAATGTGGCAATGTACAGTGCACAGTGGTTCATGGAAGAGGGAATTTGGGGATGTAAATGTAAGTGCACCCTTAAGACTATCAAAACACAATCCCTTATGTCTCCTCCCATCTAGATCTTAGAATAATTTTATTCATTTCATTTCTGAATTGTGTCTGACCTGGTTCTCATTGCGTCAGATAAACATTTCCATGGGGGAACCATAATTGTTCTCTAACTCAGGAAGAACCTATTGCTTTGACAAACATGTCCTTTCCCATAGCATCGGTCACAAGTTTCCTTACTTAATTCCCTTTTGTGTATTCCATGAAAGTTTCTACTGTAACTTCTGACCTAACTATTCTCAGGAAACGAAAGACTACGCAAGATTAGGATGGGAGTCGGGGTGAACAGCTTTTCCTCCTGGCCTCTTTTCTTTATGCGTATACTCCTTAACACATCTATTTTTCCCTCATCTTTCTTTGCTCACTCCTCTCATTCATTTCTAACACCATTTCTCTGTAAATGAAAAGAAGGAAAGAAAACGAGATAGGGAAGTAGGAAAAAGGAAACCATGAAGGAAGAAAGGAGGAGCCTAGATGCATTAAATAAAAGATTAGACAGGCCAGGCGCGGTGGCTCATGCCTGTAATCCTAGCACTTTTGGAGGCTGAGGTGGGTGGATCACAAGGTCAGGAGTTCGAGATCAGCCTGGCCAGCATGGTGAAACCCTGTCTCTACTGAAAATACAAAAAGTTACCCGGGCATGGTGGTGCACGCCTGTAGTCCCAGCTACTCTGAAGGCTTAGGGAGGAGAATTGCTTGAACCCAGGAGGCGGAGGTTGCAGTGAGCCGAGATCGCACCACTGCACTCCAGCCTGGGGGACACAGTGAGACTCCATCTCAAAACAAAACAAAACAAAACAAAAAAAACAAAAAAATAAAAGATTAGACAAAAATGACCAATGCCAAGGAAAATTATAGCTCAGCTTCTAATAACTTACCAGCTCAAGTGCTCCATCAAAAAGATCAAGCTTCCTTGGGAATCAGCAAACATGCCCCAGATAATCCAGGAGCTTCATGTGGTTGTTAAATCCGAATGATCTTTCCCACAGTGGAAATACCAGCACCAAAAAAAAAGGTGGAGTGAAATCTCAAACTTTCCTTTACCCCAAGATTAGAATCTATGCAAAGGGTAGGGCCTCTTAAAAAATAGACTTATTTAGGTCCCCGCCATGCATGTTCCCAGGACCAGGATTGTTATGTCTAGAAGATCACTGAAAATGTATCAGAAGAGCACTGTCACAGGCAGCGTAATGCCTCCCAAAGAGGACCATGTCCAAATGCTTGAAACCTATGAACATGCTACTGTATATGACAAAACGGACTTTGCAGATAGGATTAAGTTAAGAGTTTTGAGATAGGAAGAGTATGTGAGGTTATTCAGGTGGGTCATATCTAATCAAGTAGGTCCTTACCAATTGGAGAACTTTTCCCAGCTGGGGCCAGACACAGAATGACTATGAAAAAAATGGTCAGAGGTGCTATGTTACAGGCTTTGAGGATGGAAAAAGAGGGCCACAAGTCAAGGAATGTGGTCAGTTTTTAGAAGTCAGAAAAAGCAAGGGGGATTCTCCCCTAGAAAGAACCTTCAGAGACAAATGCAGCTTTGCTAACATGATGGTTTTAGCCAGATGAGACTCATGTTGAACATCTAACCTACAGAACTGTCAGATCACAGATTGTGTTGTTTTAAGGCCTAAGTTTAGAGGTATCATAAACACTTATTGACACAACCCCTTTTAGTTGATAAAATTTCTCCTCCTATCATGTCGATCCAGTTTGAGAATGACAAAGGGAAGAAAGGGCTTAATGTATTTGAACAAAGGTTAAATATGATAAATTCACTCATACTTCCTTACCAGATTCCCAGAATATTTTCCTATTAGTGTTTCTCCACTTACAAGTGAGTACCAAGATATCTCCAACCTTGGGATAATTCACTCAATTCATAACTACCAAACACTGTAAATACGTGGTACAAAAAGGAAATAAGGTTTCCAGAGTTAATGGAGAAAAGTGTTAGCCTGGGCACTGGCACTTGGTGGCTGTGGCTTACACTCCTGTTTCAATCTGGGCACCATTTGCTTCATCAAAATAAATAAATAATGAAGTCAGAATTAGGAGATGATTTCCAAGGTCCTTTCCATGGTAAACACATACAACCTCTTAAGTAAGCATCAGGATCTTGAAATATTTTCTCCTTGAAGGTGGGACCAGCACAAACAATGCACATATGCACATACGCACAATGATTTTCTAAAGATCTACTAATTTCTTAGAAAGTTGAAAGTAATCTTTAAATCTATATGTGTGTATATATGTACTTTTAAAACATCATGGCCATTTTTTAGTTGAATCTGGTGGATTATTCACATAATAGTATTCTTTTTTTGGAGACAGGGTCTGGCTCTGTTGCCCAAGCTGGAGTGCAGTGGCATGGTCACAGCTCACTGCAGCCACCAAAAATTCCTGAACTTAAGTGATCCTCCTCCCACCTCCACGTCCAGATTAGCTGGAACCACAGCATATGCCATCATGCCCATCCATTTTTTTTTTTTTTCACTTTTTGTACAGACAGGGTCTTACTATGTTGCCCAGGCTGGTCTTGAACTCCCAGGGCTCAAGCAATCCTCCCACCTTGGCCTCCCAAAGGGCTGGGATTATAAGCGTGAGCCACTGTGCCTGGCCACATAGTGTTCTTACAGTATTGCTGATGTGTGAAAATCTAAACACACACAAAACACACCAAAAATATAGCTGGCTTGATTTGCATTTCTGCATACCTAGGCACTTCCTGTTTTGAACTGAAAGAGAACAAAAGAGAGCAATATCATGTTTCTTATCCCACAAGCACTTTAAATCTATTCCCATTAAATTTCCAGCCCCATTATTCCCTATTAAGTGGCTTTATAAGGTTATCCAAGTGGTATACAGCAGTAGAAATGGTTATCCCTTCAGTTTTACATAAATCACTAATCTGATGTTACCCATTGTTTGACAATAGTCAACAATTTCCCATTTTGCACAGGTAAACATCCAAAACATCCTTCCTATGACTATCACACAAGATCTTTTATCACTGAACTCCAGACTCTCTATCCTTCCTTGTCCCACTACTTGTCCCTCAACTCAATGTGGCTTCAGCCACAGAGAAGTTCTGTTAGGAAGTAACATCTTCCTGTTCCCAGAATACCATGTTTTCCTACCTCTATACCTTTGTACATGCTGTTTCTTCTGTATCTAACATCTTTCTTCTCTTTCTCTACTTGGAAACATTTTATTCCTTCATGAAGACATCAGATATCACCTCTTAATCTCCCTAGGGAGGTTTTTCCTAGAGCTCTCAAACATTCCCTCTCATAATCATAGGTACAGAGCTCCTTTATAACATTTATCACATGGGAAAAGGGATTATCATATATTTTTTATTCTCTAACCTATAATGGTCTATGGACTTCTTGGGGGCAGAGACCTCTAAATTTGTTCATGGTACATTTTTTTTTTTTTCAGAAAGCACTTATAGTAATTCTAATTCACCCCACCTAAGACAGAGATGGACATATCATAGGCTCTGCATAAATATTTACTTAAACCAAATAACCTTATAATCTACTGTGTCATTAGTAGACATACCAACTCACTAGAGAAGGGAGATCACATAAAATCTGGAAGATAATTTGCTTGCTGGGTTTCACCATCTCTGTTATTTGTTCAGTTATCAAAGGAACAGAAATTGAAAACAGACACAAAAAAGCTATGCAACCCACAAATCTACTATGAAAATGTGTATTCCATATTGATGAGCTGTTTCTTAACTAAACGAAGTGAATAGGTATAGATCTGCATAATATAATAAGCTTATTATCTCTTGGTCAACTGGTTTGTTGTAGGATCCCAGGCAAATTAATCACTCTCTTCTTTTGTATTACTCCAGAACCATCAAATAACATAGTGCATTCTACAAAGGCAGTTTTAAGGAATAAACAAGAAAATCACTTAACATTATAAGTCAAAAGACGCAGGTTCTTTTGCAGATAGTTATAAGTGACATTTTAAAAATCTTTAGAAAGTGATTGTCACTCTTCATTCTGTTTTCATGTTTGTGATGTAAGATTGGACTAGATCAGTAATTGTCAACTTTTTTTGTTATCTCATCACACGTGGGGTATGGCACACTCCATCAGCTAAATTTTCTCCGAGTAATAATATTTTCTCAGTGGATCTAGGGTTATGTCAGTAGATCAGAGTTTCATTGTAAATACAAGGTAGATGTGTGTGGGTGTGTAGTTTTGAATGTGATAAAGCTCCCCCAGGTGATTCTGAGTCTTTATGCTGAGAACCAAGAAACTCCTCAGGTTTCCTCCAGCCTTAACAATCTATGATCTTATAATTCTATGAATGAGTATTAGGAATGACACAGAAAGGATAGCAGTGTAAAATGCAGACTGGTTGCAGAATATAGTAGCTAGTTGAGAAAAGCATCCTCATTAAAAATAGGTATTTGCTGAGCAAAAAGAACAGAGACTTGGCTTATGAAGATCTAGGCTCTTGATATCCGTATAACCTTGGACAAGGTACTGAACTGCCTAAGACTCAATTTTCTCATCTGAAAAATCCGGATATGAATGCTTACCTGTTGTGAGCATTAAGTAAGACCAGCTATGTGAAGTGTTCAGCATGCTGCTTGGCACATGGTCAATGCTCAATAAGTGGCTGTCAACAATTATGAGGCCCATTTGTGTTAGACATACATATATGAATAAGTGTCCCTGTCTTTCAAGGTTAGGGTTCTATTTCTGGTGTAGAATTTTACATAACTCTTCTCTAGACTGGATTGTCTAGAACTTCTATGAATGAAATAAATATCAAAGTTATTTTAATATATTTTATAATTATTCAGTGACCCAAGAAAAGTATTTAATATTTCAACATCTTAACTGGAAATCATCTTAACTAAAACACAGAATATCTTACCCGTGGTCATCACCAGAAATTGGTCTGAAGTTTATGTTCAAATACACAAAACCTAAGTAGCCTGTATCATAACGTTTCAATACTCTCAGTACTGCTGAACATTAACTGTGTGTCAGCCCACATCTGTAAGTAATTTGCATGTATTATTAACTTATTTAATCCTCCAAAACCCCCTATCACAGACACTTTTATAATCATCCCTACCTTGCAAATGAGCAAACTGTTGCAAAGAGAAGCAAAACTTGCTCAAGGTTACTGTGGCAAAGTGGAAATTCAGACCCAAGCTACTTTGGGCTTTTCTGGGATGGTGATAAGGGTAAGATCCTTAGACATGAAGTTAGAGCACCTAAATTGTAGACCTACCTGTGTGTCCTTGAATAACTGACTTCCTTGCTCGGCTGAAGGTTTTTCTGCCTAAACTAAGAGATTTGGATTAAATCTAAGGTCCCATTCTGTGACTTTCTAATTCAAACTACACAGCATTTTGAATGATAAGAATTTGTGTCTGAGAAAGCTCCCTTTTTTGATATTTACTTTTTTTAGCTGCTGTTTTCTTTTGTTTTTCCTGGCATGTGTTATGTTGGCAACACAAACTATTATGCCTACATCTATGTGCTTGTAAATGTTTATGTTGCTATTGCTGTTTATTTGCCTTGTTTACGAGAAATAATAATTCATCAAACAAACAAAAAATGGAAAAGAAACAAAATTAGGCAGACCAGATTTCACCCATAATAGAGACCTCACAATTATAGCGGTCACACTATTCACCATAATACTTCCACTCCAATACCACTGTATCACTCACTATCCCTTTCTCCTGCATAATTTTCTCAATAGGATATACTGCTATCTGACCTGCTATGTATTTTATTTATGTGTCATCATTTTCTTCTCACTGGAATGTAAGCCCCATAAAAGAAGCTTTTCATCTGCTGTAGCACCAATGCTTAGAACAGTGTGTACACACAGCAAGTGCTCAATAAGTATTGATAAAGAGAGGATCTCTGTGGACTGATGGCATCACCATTACTGAACTCCTTCTCTTTTTCTCACATCACTTAGTGATGTCATTACCCACCCAAGATAGAGGCCCAGGAATAAGTCTCAGCCCATCCCTCTTACGCCCCTTTGAAACCCTTCTCTAAATTGTCACAAGATGACTATCTTGGTTCCAGCCCTTATTCCCCTTAGACAAGTACAAATGACACCCAGACTGATCTTCATCCCCCAAATCTTGTCCCATTGAACACCTCTCCCCACAATAGTACCCAGAGTGATCTTTAATCAATATCTTGTGGTTCCCTTGTTGAAACCCTTCATGGAGTTTCCACACTTTCAGGACAGACTCTAGATTCTTTAGTAAGAAATAAGAGGCCCTCTTGATCTGGCCACTAATCATTCATTTAGTCTCATTTCTCCTTCCAATATTCTTTGGCAGTCATATTGCACTTTTTTTGGTGTTGGTCTCTATACCTTTGTCCCTATTGAATTGTTTGTCTGAAATGCCCTTGAATTCATGGCTTACCTGAAAAATTCCATTAATATTCAGTCTTAACATGATCTATGTCAGAAAATCTTTCTCCACTTTTCCATTCATAGTAAGCCATTCTAACTTCTTTCCTCCCATATCACCAAACTCCAGCAATGTATCATATTGGAATTGAGCTATTTGTAAGCACTTCTGTCTATATTTTGTGGACTAATGTTTAATGGAAATGCTTGGAACAATTGTCTGGCATATCATAGGCCTTCAATAATTATTGAATAAATGGAGAAACAAAGAACAACATATATTTCCTATCTAGAGATCCTTATCCTTCTTATTTAGAGCATGTTTACAAATAAAATAAGATTACAAGCCCCTAGCAACAACACAAAACTTAGAATTTTCCTAGTCTTACCTATACATGCTGTGTGGTCTGTCTAGAATACCTCTTGACTTCGAAAGTGACTGCAATGCTGAGGCCATTCCTTCCACAGATGTCTTCATAGGTGATCTCCAAATTAAGTCCACCTTGAGTCTAATGCGTCAGCGAGAATGCTGTTATTATGACGGATACATTTTGAATGGGAACGGGCTGCACGCACTTGGATTGTATTTGCTTGATCTGCCAGAGGAGAACCAGAAGCAAAAGTATCCCCATACCACCTGTGACCAGAGAGGTAGAACACAGCAGGTTCCAGCATAACCAGACACAAGGGTAAACTGTTCCGGATTGCTCTAGAGGCACAACGAAACTTTTCTTTAGAATCAAGGTGACACAGCAGCTTCCTAAAGACACCACACATCCAAAATTAGGAGTGGGAACTAAGTCGAAGAATCAGTTAATCAGTGTCTGACTTCCTGAACCATCTTAATGAAATAAAATGGCAAAATTCACAGATACATTGACACTGCCGCTGACGGCCTAAAATAGCATCAACTTCCGACTGAGTGAGCCAATTGCTAGCTATTGCACTGAACTCTTTTGACTGATGACATGTCAACAGGGTGACTTTATTTTCAAAATCAGTCCCCTTTTCCTTGCTCTCTCTTATTTCCACCTGGGCAATGAGACTGGGCCTGGCTTTTCTACACATCACTAGACTAGAAGATGCCATAGGCATGGATCGTTAAAAGTTAAAACTATTTACGTGTGTGAAAGAAAGCAGTACTGGATTGAGGCAAATTGTGGGGAGAAGAGAGTTTCTGGACATAAATATTGCTACAATCATAATAACCAAGTTTCAAGTCCAAGAAGGAATGGAGGAATAAAGATGCATATTTCAAGTGTTATTAACAACAAAAAAAATTACGGTCAGAAATCGCCTTTTGTTATCTGGACTAAGCAGCCCAACTGGGCACTACTACCCATGTAGGAGGGCAAAGACACTGTCTCAGCAGACATCTGGTACAGAGCAAACAAAGAGATGGTGTACCTGTATTTCTAATTGCTCCCTTATTAGTAGTGAGAGCTTTCAATCAGAGAAAATCAAATCATACTAAAAACATCCCCCAAGGAAAGTAGAGGAAAAAACAGAATAGGATTTACCAGAAAAGTCATGGAATGAGCACAGATCCTGTGAGTCTAATCTTTTTCCAGGCTTTGGCTAGCTCATTTTCTGAAATCTATAGTCACAGGCATGGTATATGCAGGGGTTAAGAGCTGGGTTCTGTGTTCAAATTGCAACTCTAATTACTAGATTCCGGGAAAATTATTTAACTCATCTTGGCTTCAGCTTTCTCATTGTAAAAAACAGTATCTACTGCCTAGAGTTATAGTCCAGATATAAGTAATGCATGTAGAACTCATACTAAATAGTCAGTGCTCAATATGTACTAGTCTTATTTTAAGCAGAATCATTAGTGAGAATGGTTTAGGATCAAATCAGACTAGAGAACCTCTATTGCAAGCAAAACTCTTGGTGGAGTGGCACAAAGATATTTAAAAAAATCATCCAGCTCTATCTCCTCTTCTCATTTTTCTTTTTGGGGAAGAGAGGAAGAGTAAGATAAGAAAGATGTGCTCTCCCATCTTAGTAATTTTACAGTAAAATAGAAAATATATAAACACACATGAGGAAAATAAAGATCATAAGAGTTATGAATCAAATACAATAGTAACAAAAATTAGAAATAAATTTTGACTTAGGAATTAGAGTTTTTTTCCTGGGATATGCTATAGTGCCTCTTTATTTGTGTAAAATCTTTTTTTTTTTAAGCTACATTCACAAGCTAAGTGGATTATGCATCGAAATTCTAGAATCCAATAGGACAAAGTGTTTTTGTTTAATCATTCACATCAATAAACCCAAGTAAGTTATTTTCAGGGAAGCAGCAATTCAGTCCTGTCCAGGTTTCTGTATGTCTGCCGTCTCCCTGCTCTTGACCATCTGACAAAATGACACTGGGACCAGACGTTCAATAGAGGGTCCAGTCTCTGATTGGCCTCTGTTCAATAGAGATCACAGGTACATTTCTGAATGGTTTGAGAAGCAATTACTGAGGGGCCCCAAACTCTCTTGATTAGAATGCTTTAACCAAGGCAGAACGAGACAATTTTAGCAGACTATAGACAAAGCAAAAATAACTAGGTTTCCGACTACCTGCAACTCTCAGCCTTGCAGAAATGTATTCTTTATTCTGTTGAAAAACACTCTATATTGATTATGCTGACACTGACAGTAAAGCTGTGTGGTGGTTGGTTTCCTTTACATTTTCTTCCTCACATCTCAGATGAGAAAGTGGGTTATGATTCATCCTGTTCAATTTGAGTCAAAATTCATTTTGTCTCTTTTCAATTAGTTCTTCTACATTCCACATTAAAAAGCAAGAGTAGTTTGCTCAGCAAACGAGAACATTGTGGTATATCTTGGTGTGTTGCTTTCTCACACACAATGACTAAAAAACACTTTTTGTATTCTCCAGCGATATTCCAATTACAACAGAACATCATAAGAAAATACAAAGTGTTAATTCAAATAGAGATAAACACTGACGTTAACAATTTAGAGGAATGATTATTACACACTAATCATAAATGACACAAATCAAACCAGATGCTGCACTAGGTGGAGATACTAACACCTCTTAAATTTTTGGTCTTCTGCTACGGTTTAGAAAACTTTTTCATACCGACTTATTTAATTTGATTCCCACAATATGCACATAAAATAGATAGGGATAATTATCTTTTTAATAAGTGAAATACCTGAAATTCAGGAAGACTCTGAGGTTCTATAGAAGAGCTAATCTAAACAAGAAAACTGAAATAATTTGGTTTTAACTTCTGACTTGTCCATGGATATGTTAGTTCTTCTGGCAAAATAACACTCATTTTAAAGCTGCTAAAAGAAGAGTTCTCAAGACTGTATAACAAAATACTCTAAGGAGAGCACAAATGTCACATGTCACTAACGTCACACAGAAAAGATGACTTACACTTGGATTTCCTGACTCCAAATCTAGTGCTCACTTTACTAAGCTATCTGACAAAAGATGAATTATTCATTTTTATTACTGCTGTATCATCTACATTAGACTATTGCTCCGTTGATGGTTACCCACACTAATATCACTCACATATGCCAGTTACCATTAGTAAACACCATTACTGAGCCGGTATGCCAATTACCATGACTGAACACCATTACTGAAAATGCTGAAACACAGTGACGCTGCTAGTGTACCCAACACTTAGTGCATGGTATTCTTCATCATATTCAACATCCTATTCCACTTTTATTACCTGGCATTGAAAGCTACTTTCAAGGCAGTGACCCTCTCATAAACCTCAGGAAATGGGTAACAGTAACAAGCAGAGCATAAAGTGATCTAGGAAATATAATTCTTGGGTTTGTTTACAATTCTCCAGAACTCTGAGGCAAGCAGCACTGAAATTTTATATGGGGCAGCTGCTTTTCTTACTCACCTACATTTTAACAGTGTAGAGAGGACAATATATGAAAAGTGTTTGAGGCAAAGGAATTAAGGTCAAAAGGATCACAATAGTTCATGTGTTCTAATCTCGTGATATGAGAGATGAGACCTATGGAAGAGAAACCGGCCTAAGATGTCACAGTGAGTCAGTGGGACAGTATCAGGCCGGCAATGCCTCTCAGTGCTGGATGCCTGGAACAATATCTAACAACACAACACGATCCTTCACAAGAACATGATGACTCCGCATGCAAAAGAAAAAAGAAAAAATTATGCTTTATACACTTAATGGGTAAGCTTGAGGACACCATTTCTTTCACCATGGTATCCTATCAATTTTTCTTCTTGTTGAATGATATCCACATTTCTCAATATTTCAAACATTAGCTGGTGCATGAAATGAACTTTGTTTTTTGTTTTGTTTTGTTTTGTTGAGACAGACTGTTACTCTGTCACTCAGGCTGGAGTGCGGTGGTGCAATCACGGCTCACTGCACCGTTGACCTCCAGTGCTTAAGTGATCCTCCTATCTCAGCCTCATGAGTAGCTGGAACCACAGATGTGCATCACTATACCTAGTAATATTTTTTTCATTTTTTGTAGAGATGGGGGTCTCACTCTGTTGCCTGGGTTGGTCTCAAACTTTTGGACTCAAGCAATTCTCCAGCCTCGGCCTCCCAAAGTGTTGGGATTACAGATGTGATCTGTAATTCCAGCCGTATTTTTAAAATTTAAATATAGTATTCAGTTTAATATCTTTTACAGGAAAGAAGCAACTTAGTACTTCAACCCACAGAATCAAATTATAGATGTTATTGACATGAAGGAAGACAAAGTCGGATAAAAAGTTAATTGATTTAAATAAAAATATTAGGCAAATAATACTATGGATAGTTTACATATATGGTAAAAAAAATTATGAAGATGCTCACTAATGACTGAAGAAAGGGAAGCTTTCAAGCAAGATGATTTCTAAATGCCTCTGTAACTTTGCCATGACCCTAAGGGTGACTAGGAAAGAAAGGGTGAGTCAGTGGAGGTTAAAAACTCATTTCCATTACTCCTGCCTACTGTATCTTCTTAGGCTCTTTCAGCAAGTCACTAGTGTACACTGTTTCTGTTTGCTCTTGTTGAATTTTAACAAATGATGCTCACTGCCAGATAGGAGTAGAGCCAAGTTCAAGGCTCATGCAAGCTCAAAGTTTGATGGTCAAACCTTAGAACCAAGTGAGGACTGAGATCAGAGCTGTACAGTACTATAGGAAATCTGGAAGAATTAAATACAACATGACTAACATCAGAGTCAGACTTAGGAACAGAATTGGGATAAGGTCATTAACTTGGACCTGCTTCTGTGATTTCCCTTTTTTTTTTTTTTTTTAATTGCCTCGGATATTTTTTGCTTTTTCTTTTTAAGTATTTTACAATTTTTGGTGGGAACTCTAACCAGAGACAGTGCATTGCCACTCATCTTCACACACCAGGAAGATGTATGCCTGTACCTCTTCTCATGAACTATTTCAGCATTTTATATGGCACAAGTACAGTGGCAAAATCCTCTGAACCGGGATGGAAAAGAATACATTTTCCACTGCCAGTTGTGAAATCTGTTCTCTATCAAAGCCCTTGGCCCTAGAGGATTTGACAAATGCTTTCTCTCCTTGGCCATTATATCATTTCCATTATCTCCCATAGTATACACTACAATAATTGGTGAGTAGTAGGCACTCAATAAATATTTGTAGAGGAAAGAATCGGTCAATTAAAAATACAACAGGGCCAGGTGCAGTGGCTCACGCCTGTAATCTCAACACTTTGGGAGGCCAAGGCTGGCAGATCACAAGGTTAGGAGTTCAAGATCAGCCTGATCAATATGGTAAAACCCCATAGCTACTAAAAATACAAAAATTAGCTGGGCGTGGTGGCACGTGCCTGTAGTCCCATCTACTTGGGAGGCTGAGGCAGGAGCACAGCTTGAACCTGGGAGGTGGAGGTTGCAGTGAGCCAAGATCACGCCACTGCATTCCAACCTGGGCGACGGAGCAAGACTACGTCTCAGACAAAACAAAACAACAAAAAAACAAGATGCCTACCAAGTACAACTCCAGAGATGTTCAAACAATAGCTTTGCTGACAGTCAATTAATTATGCCTTCTGACAATCCTAATGTCACTTCAAAGTCTGTAAGGAGATGCTTATCTGTGTGTTTTAGAGAAAGTGGTGGGGAAAGTGCAGGTTGGGGGAATGATGGTGGTTTGAAAGGGAAAAGGAGCTGAGTTCACAGTTAATTGTGTTTGTGTGTTAATACCAGAAGATGCATAATTAGCACTTGCAGGTTCAGGTACCAGTACCAAACTGAGACTTTCTTTGCACCACAGACAATGTGTGCCCCATCAGTGCTTTCTCTCCCAGAATTTCAAGTTTGCTTCCACAGTTAATAAGCAAAGAACATTCAATTATGAAGTAGAAATCTCTCTTCTACTTTTCTCTTCTTTCTTCTGATAAAGAGATAGTGATCCTAACGCAGCTGAATGACTGGATGTCTGCTGTTTGTATCAAGACGGTATGAAACACCAATCTTGGGTGGTGGTTCACAGTCTTGAAGAGGCTTACTTTAAACGGACAATCTTTCAGGACAGGTTGCTATGGACAACTCAAGTAAACGTAAGAAAAGAATGTTTCTTTCAATGTGATGCCCTATCCATCCAATCCAATTAGATTAGAACAGAAGAAAATTGTGGTGGTACGAAATGGTCCTGGGAACCAAAGACTATAGATGAAACCTACAGGTGGAGGAAATGTGACCCAGTACTTAAAAAATAAAATCTTAACCAAGTACTCTCTTCATTGACCAGTTGAACCTTTAAATTTCACAGAAGATACATGCAAAAGAGATCAAGTCCAAAGGTGTTAAAACAATTTAAATTTAAGTTCAATAAATGTAGCAGCCATGTCTTACTCTAGTTTATATGTTTTCCTGTGCCCTTAAGTGAATTAAAAAAAGGAATGAGAAAATCTGAGTTATACTCTGTGGCTCTGTCACTAACAAATTTGGGACCCTAAAAATCTCACTCATTTTCATGATCTCTAAAAATGAAGAGGTTTTCCTAGTCTCTTAAGATTCCCTCCAGCTCTAACGTTTTATGATTTTATAAGGTGCTAAATAAATATATCTTAAATGAATGAAGTATTTCCTCCCTATAGTTTACTATATACCATGTCCTGTCACAGAAGTGTGAAAGTCTGCTCACAGTTTTCATTTATTAGTTCATTAATTCATTAACACCTATTAAATATCTCCGATGTGCCAGGCATTATTCCAGGAATGATAGGAACACAATACTGAACTAAACATAAATTGTTGCCCTCACGCAGACTTACATTTAGTGAAGAAAACAGATAGGAAATATTACAAGTAAATTGGATAAAGACACTGAGATAAAAGATACTGGGAATCTCTTTTGTTTCTTTTGAATAAGAAAACTTTGGTTCTTTTGTATTTGAAAAATACATACACAAAATTCCTTAAAAGTTATTTATTTTATTCTTTTTAAGGACAATGTGTTCTTATGTTTGAATAAGGTGGATCTACGGTCTGAGATCACAAAAGTAGCAGGCCCGACCTATGTCTGCACCTTTGTAAACAGCCCTGCCATTCCTCTTCATGCCATCGGAGACTGTCCATTACTCAGAAAGAAAATTTTGACCATAGAATTCAAAACACACCTAGTTGCATGGCTTTGGATAAGTCATTTGGGATACAGTTTTCTAGAAAATGAAGGATTTTCCTAGATAATTTCTAAGATCACATTCTTCTTTACTCTAAGTCTGGGATTCCAAATCAATGCTTAAAAACACATTAGCCAGGCCGGGTGCAGTGGCTCACGCCTGTAATCCCAGCACTTTTGGGAGGCCGAGGCAGGAGGATCACCTGAGGTCGGGAGTTCGAGATCAGCCTGACCAACATGGAGAAACCTCGTCTCTACTAAAAATACAAAAATAATTAGCCTGGCATGCTGGCATATGCCTGTAATCCCAGCTACCTGGGAGGCTGAGGCAGGAGAATCGCTTGAACCTTGGAGGTGGAGTTTGTGGTGCACCGAGATCGCACCATTGCACTCCAGCCTGGTCAATAAGAGTGAAACTCTGACACAAAACAGACAAACAAACAAACACACTAGCCAAATTAATAAAAAATTAATGTATGCTAAGATAGAACACATAAAATGCTCAGAAT
This sequence comes from Homo sapiens, assembly GCF_000001405.40. Taxonomy (NCBI): domain Eukaryota; kingdom Metazoa; phylum Chordata; class Mammalia; order Primates; family Hominidae; genus Homo; species Homo sapiens. Next base: position 188,717,750 of record NC_000003.12, on the reverse strand, counting down.
TATTATTTATTTAGTGCTGTAAACATATACTACTCTGAACAAACATTACCAGAAGTCACTACCACAAAAGAAAATATATCTAATATGCCTCATTAACTAGAGAACATTCTATTCCCACAACTCAAAGATACCCTAAACAAAAAGTTAGAGAGAAACAAAACCAAAAAACCCATTTTTCCCCCCAAATCAATACAACCTTCTCTCTAAGCCACTTATTGTCTAATTTTTCTTCCATTGTGGTTTTGGGGTTTTTCATTAATTAGGTCATTTATCTGTGAAAACAAGATCCACTAAAGGTAGCTGCCTACCTGGAGTCATTTCCCAGTTTGTAATTGATAGAAGCACTTTGGAAACCATTTTCTTGTCACATAATAACACAAACTATGAAATACAAATTACTTTACACCTCTCAGTTGAGATCCTCTAAGCACTTTACAAAGTAATCACATCGTTCCTTATACAGATTAAAAAGCTAAAACATGAAGTATGTTAACTCATCTATCTTATGGCCCATGACCAATTCAGCAACATGGTGTTAACAGCACAATGGGGTGAAAAGTGAAAAGAATTTAAAGTCTGTAGGCCTGTGCCCCAGGGCAATTCTGCTACTTACCTGCTTTATGACTTGTGAGGGTAGTGGAGAGCCCTGGGGAGTGGGGAGTCCCTTAATCACTGAAATCTTTCATTTCTTCATATCCCAAATGGAAATAAACACACTGTCTATTTTGTAGGACTGCTGTCTTGCTCAAGTGATATAACATGTAGAAAAGTGCTTTAAAAAGCATTATATAAATGTTAGTTGAAATCATGTAATAATAATAATGATAATCTAGGGGTAGACCTAGAAGTTGGATGCAAGACGCTAACTTCCAAACAAGTTTAGCGTCTTGTTTGTGCCTAAGTCACAAAATGTTAGAATTGGACAGCACTTATGAAGTATAATCTAATCATCCATCAGTTGCTTGAGTACCTATCACCATTTTCACCAACAAGGGATTATTAGATTCTGACCTAGAATTTTACAAAGACTTTCTTCTGTCTCTTAAGAAAGTGATTTCATTACGCTGAATGGGAACTGGCCAGACTCCCCTCACTTGCCTTTGTTGCTAATTTTTGAATCACAAATATTAAGTCAAATTCCTTTTCCACATGATAGTCTTTCAACAGCAATGAGGGCTCTAGGTTTTCCTCTCTCCATACCTTCAACTGCACCTCAAATCATGGTTTCTAATTTCCTAAGCATCTTAGTCAAGTCCTCTGGACAAGCTCACTTATCAACTGGTCCCACTAGTGCAGAAAGAAAATGGACCATCCTCCTCATTGTTTTTTTTGTTCTGTTTCTATTCATGAACATTCACTGGCCCTCCATTTTCATCTTAATTGAGTTGATACCAAGGCACCAAATACAATGAGCTGGCATAACCAATAAAGTGACCGATCATAGCACTTTGTTCATGTTAACGCCTTTCTTCTCTCAAGGCTTAGCATGTGCTAGGTCCCTGCTGCCTCATGCCTTCACTTTTGTCTAGCTGTCCTTTGAAAAATGAAGGCCTAGTTCCACTGGAACAAACTCCTGGTTTTCTGCAAAAATTCTCAAAAACTCCTACTAACAATACTCAGAGATGAACAAAAAGTTTCCTTAGATAAATGCTAAGTTCTGAGAAGATAATTTACCTGGCACTGCTCTGAAGGATTCTTCAAATAGCTCACTCAATAATTTTAAGGCTCACATACTTCTGCTTTTTTTTAAAGAAGGAATAAGACAATATCATATAAACAATGTCAAGATAATTACAGCTCTATGCTTAAAAATCTACTGTCAGATATTTCCAGTCCATCCTTAGATGTATTACAACATCCATTTCCAGAGATACTGTCTTCCAACAGTGTTGCCTTCAGCCTTGAGGGCTCCTCAGCCAGAATATTATTATTTGGAAAAAATTATGCCATAGTCACAGACATGCATGTATGAAAAGCTTCATATACAAACACGCTTTCTCTTACAAAATGAATGAAAGCATAAAACTTAGAGGCTCTGGGTGTATTACTTAAGGCTGTGGCTGTATCAACCAACACAGAAAAGTCTTGGACAATTTCAAAGAGATATCTCAAGGTTATCTGGAGAAAAACTCAACTTTGCTTTCCTTTAGCTGCCTAAAACTGTTTGAAAAAACAAACTTTAAAACTGGCAACTAGCCCTGTAGATGTCCCAATTTTCTGAGAATAATACCTTTCTCTCCTATTCATTTTAATACTCAATTTAAAAGTTTTCCATTTTCTATTATAAGCTCTGAATTGACTCTAAATTATAATAATTTACAGCTACTTCATCGCCCCATGTTCCTTTTTTTTTTTTTTTTTTTTTTTTTTTTTTGAGACGGAGTCTCCCTCTGTCACCAGGCTGGAGTGCAGTGGCACGATCTTGGCTCACTGTAACCTCCGCCTCCTGGGTTCAAGTGATTCTCCTGCCTCAGCCTCCTGAGTAACTGGGACTACAGGTGCGTGCCACCATGCCCAGCTGATTTTTGTATTTTTAGTAGAGATGGGGTTTCACCATGTTGGCCAGGATGGTCTTGATCTCTTGACCTCGTGATCTGCCCACCTCAGCCTCCCAAAGTGCTGGGATTACAGGCATGAGCCACCCCTTGTTCTTTTTAAGTATCTATCACTAGAACTGAGAGCCTCCTTTAGTATCAACATATTTTTCTAGTTGTCTAGGAAAAAATTTGCTCTAAAATGCAAGCACTTGAACCAAGGCTTCCTGTAGATGAGCTGGGCTAAACACTCACTGTCTGGTTTATTGAACTGGGTAAGAATTTTCTCCTACCCCCAACTTTCTACTATGTTTCCTCCCTTTCCTCTACAGGGTAGTGTTTAGAGGCCCTCTCAATGACACCAGTATTAATGGAAAGACACAGGTCCATGGTAAGGAAATCTGTTATAGCCAAAACTTAAGTCCAAGTAGATGGCAAATGCCCACAGTATAGAGACTGTATCTTCCCTTTAGAGATATAGACTCATCCAACTGCTTTATCATGGTTCAACATCTGTGGCATTTACCTAATACTGTAATGCGACAGTCACAAGTTATAATGAACATGGACAAAAGAAGGCATGGAAACACTAAAACTATCACCTTTCCAGAAGAAATCATTAAAAAAAAACCCAGCTGAGACAGTTAAGGGTCCCTGTTTGTTATATTTTATAAAAAAACCTGACTTGAAAAAATAAGAACGGTGGCTATTAGTGATTTGCCTTCTCCCATGGTCAAGAGAAGAACTACAGACTGCAAAATGGCTGATAGGTAGGTATTCGGTAGACGGTCTTCCTAATGTATGTACCTCAGCCATGTCACAGCAGTTAATTCAGGATGTTTAAGATAGTTGAAACATATCAGTGACATCGAAGTCCAGATTACAAACATGTAATCTTGGGCAGAAGCAGTCCCTCCATCTCTCACTTGAAGATCATAACTTCATAAGGAAAAGTTATGACATGGGAGAGAAACAGCCAGTTACTAACATTCAGCAGGAACAGCATTTATATACCTTTCTGTAATGGTAATGTATTATGATAGACATGAGATCAGAAGAGTGAGGCCAAATTCCAAAATTATTAGCTATGTGAGCTTGAACAACTCACTGAGCCTCTCTGAATCTCTATTTCCCCATCCAAAAAATGAAATGAAGACATCATCGCCAGGTCTGCCAGTCATGTTGTGGCTGCGACTTGGTTTTTTAAACATATGGAGCTCTAGGTAAATATCAGCTTTTGTCATCACTACCACAATTGTCCTCATCTCACCAGCAATAGAAGATGTGTATGTCTGGTAAAAAATAAGAAAAAAAGAAAACGATAACGGGAAATTTCAAAGACCCACTGTAGTCATTAAAACAGGAAAGTTGAGAAGGTGCAGAAATGTCAATCTCTCTACCCACCCAAGAAGGGATTCTTAAGGTAATTCATTTGTGACAGGCTTCAGTACACTTTTAGAGAGGAGGGGAGTCCTTATAGTTGTTGCAGTTATAGCATCTCTAGCTGTTTTAACCTGAGGTGATTCTGCCTCCCCACATTTATCTCTATCTCTGTTTGTCTACGTATATCTGTCAATCATCCCTCTCTCTCTTTCTGTCTCTCTCTCTCTATTTCTGTCACTCTATCAATATTTCAAAATAAAACTGTAGACACAATCATACCTCACCTTATACTGCAACAAATAGCTCATAAAAATAAGATTTTCCTACATAATCACAACACCATTAATATCATCATGAAATTAACATTGATGTATTATCTAATATATCATTGATATTCAAATTTCTCTAAGTTTGTTACCAATCCTTTACAGCTTTTTTTTTTTTCATCCAGAATTCAATCAAGACACATGCCTTGCATTTGAATGGCATGTCTCTTCAATTTCCTTTAATCTAGAATAGTGTTTTATAACATTGACAGTGTTGCAGAATTCAGGACAGGTGTCTTGAAGCATGTCCCATCATCTGCATTTTTTACTTCCTCATGGTTGGATAGAGCTGAAATATTTTAGCAAGACCACTGCCTAGACGATGCTGCAGACTTCCTACATTCAGTTGGCACATGCCAGTCTGTCCCATTATTGAGGATGTTAAATTTCATTACTTGGTTTAAGACGGCTTCCAGGAGACCTCTCCATTATAAAAGTTCCTTTTCTCCTTTGTACTTAAGTCATCTGTGAGGTGATCTTCTGGTACCTCTCCCAGTACTTTTAAGCATACGATAATTATAATTCAATATAAATAAAACTGTTAAGAGTGATGAGGGGCTCCGCAAAGAAACAAGAACTATAATAACATATTCATGAATCATTCTACTTATGAAAAAAAAAAGAGTGTCTTGGAAGCAAAGCAACATGACCACAAAGGAACCTACTCTGTTGACATCATTTATTTACATTTTGTTCACTCTCACTCCCAAGTACAGCCTGTAGTCTAGCAGGAGATCTACAGCATGAAAGCACTTAATTACCTTCAGTAAATCAGCTACAGTTTAAATAAAAATTCCAGCATTAAATAGGCAAAGTAGTAAAGAAAGAGTAGGTGATGGGGTTTTGGCAGGGCTGAGAGGATAGTCCTGCAAAAAAGAGAAGTTATTTAAGGGAAGTGCTTGGCAATGCTATTTGCAGTCCAGAATAGGCCAAAGGTAAAACTCTGACAGAAAGGAAGAGAAGACTTTATCGCTCTTGGGTCAGGCCCTGCTGATGCAAACACACTGCTATGTATTCTTTCCGCTCATCCTCAGGCAGACTTATGGACTCTCACATAGCAGCTCAGTCACACCCAACACAGTGCTAATATCTGCACTAAAATCCTTGACATCTGTGACTCTCTTGTCCTTCCTAGGAACCCGTGAGCCCCATGAGGGCAGAGCCTCTGCATTTGGGTGTCCTGAACACCCAGCACAGTAGCAGGCACAGAGAAGGTGCTTGAGAAATGTTTAAAGCACGGAACAATAAAGGACAGTTCTTTTCACTAGTCCTTTGCCTCTTGATTTCATCTTGCTGGTAAGAAGTGCATCCTGGCTCTGGAGTGCATGTTTTTAACCACTATCCACAGAGCAGTTCTCATGGCATGTGATCTCAATGTGCAAGGGCTCATTATAGACAATAACGTTCTTAGCCTTTAGCCGGACATTGACAGCCTTCCCTAGATTGGTCCTAACCTACTACTTGAACCTTATTTCCCAATATTTGCTACTTCTCACGTGGACACTTCACTCCAGTGGTTTTATTCCCTGTTATGTCAAAAACTCCCCTCATGAGAAATGACTTCACTTCTCTACTATCTTCCTACTTCCAAATCTCAATTAGCACAATTTTAAAGACTTACTCAAAGGCTAAGTATTCCATAAATACTTTTCCATTTCTCTCTCTTGATTTTCTCTTTCCTTTTTCTGAATTCTCAAAGAACACTTGGTGAACATTGATTAAGTCACTTGTCACTTTCTGCCTTGTGCTTATAACACCATAACTCTGTACACATATCCTATTAGACTATAAGAACTTCAAAGGTAAGACCCACATCTACCCCCACCACCACCTAGCAGAGCAGCCTGAATATTACCATAGGCACTTTTTTTTTTGTTTTCTACATAACGTAAATTTTCTTTAAATAATCCTGGCCTCAACTTATATTTTGTTAATTCTGTGTACCTAGAAGAGAATGCTCATCTCTTATTTCCCATCTGTCCAAAGCTAATCTCCACCATAAACACTCTTCTAAATATGTAGCCTGGCTAGCTTTCCCCATCTTTTACAGTGTGGTGTGTAAATGTACAGATCTGCATTCTAATTCAGTTCTGCAATGTATTAGCTGTTGACATTAGGCAAATTAATATTTCTGTGCCTTAATTTCAAAATCTGAAAATGATAATAGTATCTATTTCACAGGGTTATGTTTTCCTATAAGAGTGAAATGAGTTAATTCCTATAATGTAAATAAAATATAGTGCTGCCATATCATAAGCACTCAATAAAAGTTAGCCATTTTTCCAAATTCTCAAATGGTTATTCATCCCCATTTGGCAATGATTACTTACCAGTGACATACGTTCTATTGTTGCTAGGAACTTAAACTTAAATTGAGCATTATTAATGGATTTTTAACGAGCATATCTTATGTCTTAAATAAACTATAAGCCCCAAGAGCATGGGAGAACCTTGAGTATTGTATTGAGCATATTCTACATGCCAAGAACTTGGCTAAGTGCTTTGTATAAATATTTCATCCATTTCTTAAAACAACAGTATAAGCTAGTTATTATTCCCATATTACAGATAAAACAAAACAAAAATGAAGGTTTAGAGGGAATAATACTTGTTCAAGTTTTCTAAGCTACTAAGTAGTAGAGCTTGGACAGTTCTTGAAGGGAAAGGTAATAATTTATATCTGTTTCCCAGAGTGTTCAATATATATTCATTCATGCAATTAGCATCTATGTTCAGTTTTTTTTTTGTGGCAATATATTTTGTTGCTATGATATTTGAAGCATATATACTTGGTAAGTCAGCTTTTCCTTTTTAATAGGACCTAAATACAGAGACCTTATTTTTCACTTTTAAAAAATGTATTTTAGACCCCATTATAAACCCTCCTCACATGGCAATGACAAGAGCATTAATAAACTTTTTGTGTATTTTGATGTAACTAGAAACCTTCGTGGATTTTCTATGTTTTGTTTTACTGTTCTCCATGCATTGTTGTTAATCTCCATCAATTTATGTTTAGCTTTATTGTTATACTTTAGATTAAGGATGTTTGTACATTGAACTTATTACTGTTGAAAGAAATGCTAGAGAACATTTGCCCCAACCGTTGATATAGTGAGGTGGGAAATGGGGCTCAGGCAGATGGGTGACATGCCAGTATTGCTTGGCCAGCGAGGGACAGAGAAGAGACCACAACCAGATGTTTCATTCCCACTCTTTTTGCTCTTTTAGCTAAGCTAAACTGCCACCCCAACACAAATAAAAGCCAGGGTTTTCATATCCTAATACCTCCTACTTCATCTACTGTGTGTTTTTGGACTGGTGTGGTCAGTTGACCTGTCATTACATATTCCCATATAGGAGCAAAAAAGACATGAAAATAGAAAATATTTGAAGAAGCAAAAATCCTGTGCAATTTCCCCATCTTTGTGCCTTTACTAATACTGTTCCCCAAATGTCGTTTCTCTATTTGTCCTTAAAGCAGTGCCACTCAAAAAGTGGTCCATGGATGGGTGTCTAAGAAATGCTTATCACCCTGGATGAGATAAATACAGGAACAAAGGATTAATATTTAGAAACTAGTATAAAAATTTAAAAGAGTAATTCGTTAACAGTTAACTCTAATAATGATAAAATTTCATCTTCCATTTTATTTTGTGTCTTTTATTTCCCTAGTAATTAATTTTAACTGACTCAACAAAAATACTGGTCTCCAACAGATTGGGAGGAAAATGGTCTTCTACCACAGAAAATGTGAAAGGCACTGGTTTAAAGGGCTCAGATTCAAGTGCCACCAATTCTTTACCAAAGTATTCCGGATGCTCCTAATAAATGGAGCTTTTAAAACTTCTGGCCGGGCGCAGTGGCTCACACCTGTAATCCCAGCACTTTGGGAGGCTGAGGCGGGTGGATCACCTGAGGTCAGGAGTTCAAGACCAGCCTGGCCAACATGGCGAAACCTCGTCTCTACTAAAAATACAAAAACTAGCCAGGTGTGGCGGTGGGCACCTGTAATCCCAGCTACTCGGGAGGCTGAGGCAGGAGAATTGCTCAAAATCCGGAGGTGGAGGTTGCAGTGAGCCAAGATCACGCCAGTATACTCTAGCCTGGGTGACAGAGCAAGGCTCTGTCTCAAAAATAAATAAAATAAAATAAAATAAAAATAAAATTTGCAACAATTGACCTAAGCCTTCTCATGTCTTTTATCACTTTCTACCTAGACTAGTAATTATTTGTATGCTTGTCTTACCTCTTTCTGAACAATTTTAACCTCACTGAGGACAGGTTATGCGTCCACAGAACCTCACAATCGGCATATAATTCATAAATTTGCATTATATTCATGGATTGGAAGGATTAACCATTCCTAGTTATTAACAAGTTTGAAGAGGGGAAAATTAAAACTACAAAGAAAACATCATTTCTTCAACTGAGATAGAAAAAAAAATTAAGAGTACAATCTGGAAATTGGATATCAGACAATATCCAATTCCACATTTTTTACTTGAATCTTTAGACCAGTGAGAAATGGGAACATACACAGAAATCCTATTTCTGCCTAATGGGAAGCTAATAAGTTGTCAAAAAATGTCTTCTTTTTTAAAACAAAAAACAAAAACAAAAACAAAAAACAAAAAAACAGGGTCTCACTCTGTTGTCCAGGCTGGAGTGCAGTGGCACAACCACAGCTCACTGAGCCACAGCTCACTGCAGCCTCGACCTCCCAGGCTCAGGTGATTCTCCAGCCTCAGCCTTCTGAGTAGCTGGGACTGCAGGCACATGCCACCACACTCAGCTAATTTTTGTATTTTTAATGGAGACAGGGTCTCCCCATGTTGCCTAGACTGGTAAAAAATAAGTCTCAACAATAAAATTTGTATCTAAGGAAACTCTAAGGACCACTGAAATTTTAGTATAAGCTAAGTAGACATCACATCTATGGCAGTCTTGCAAATGCAAATCCTACAATTACTTAGTTGTGCGGGGATGTATATCAACTCTCATGCATCTGGACTCAAATACTTTACCAGTGGAGCTGATAATAGTTCCAATTACTAAGGAAGGAAATCAGAGCAAGATAGTTACTTCAGAAGTCAGCTCTAGGCCCCACTCACCAAAGTATTCGTCAGCAGGTGGATTTTCCATGTCATACAGCATCTTTTTGGTCAGGTGCTCAAGCTCATCCTCTGGGCGGAATGAAGGGGCAACTGACGAAGGCCCCAGTTGCCCTGAATGGCCACCCTGAAAGGCAGAAAGCACACAGTCCTTTAATTGCCACCTAGACCATCAACCAAGGCAGTCAGCCTAAACAAGCAGCGATTGCACTGGAGAGGAAAAAGCACTGGACGTGGCTGTCAGGAGACCTGGGTTTTAGAATTAGTTTTATCACTTATTCAGTGGCTAACCTTGGACACATCTCTTTACTCATTTGCCTTATCTAGATGAGTCATCTATCAGGCTTTAGAAATCCATGTTTACAATAGGAAGAATCTATTTTGTTCAACAATTGCTAAGTAATCACTATTTGCTGTTATACATTTATGAGAAAAATAAATTGAGTCTTTCTTTCTTATGAACCTTACAGTGAAGTGAGAGATACAGGCACATTAATAATTAAAGAAAAACAGCTGCAGGAAGAGCAAAATAAGGGTATAAGGTGGGACCTCTCGCATAGCCCGCGACGGACTTCCTGAAGAGAGGGAGCAGAGCAGGCTAGGCCTTATTCAGCTAAAAGGGAGAAAACATACAGGTAGAAGTTTCTCACACTCAGGTGAAAAAAGTCAAGCAGCATAAAGAGCTTGTGGAAGTTGTGTACTTCGGGACCACATATAAACTTTGAGATAGGAAATGAGATAAATCTTATCGAGTACAGGAGTCCAGAAAGCGAACATTTTGGTTCTAGTTCTTTTGTTCCAGTTAAGGAAGTTGAGTAATTTCATTTTTCCAGCACTGCAAACAGCCAGATTTCAAATAGTGATGATAAGTCAGTAGCATTGACACTGGGTTGGTGTTGAAATGGGTGGGTGAGAGCAAAGCTACGAGGATGTGAAGACATACAGAGCAAAATGATGGACTTTGGGGCTTTGGCGCGGCCAGGTTGGGCAGGGGGGCAGGGATCAAAGACTCCATATAAAATGTATAGTCTTTTATCCCTCATCCCCTGTACCCATATGGGACATGCAGGGCCACTGGGGCCTTTGTCTATTCCCCCTTCATTCCACCCTTATGGGTACAGTGTACACTGCTTGGGTGATGGGTGCACTAAAATCTCAGAATTCACCACTATAGAACCCATCCATGTAACCAAAACTCACATGTACCCCAAAACATACTGCAGTAAAAAAAAAATTAAAAAATAAATAGGCGGGCGAGCCAGAATTATAGCAATGCAAGAGAATCAAATATCAATTGAGAGAGTACTTGAGATCATCAATGAAGAATAAAAAGTATGTAAAAAAGGAATAAAGGCCATATACTAGATTTAAAGTAGCTTTGTGCTATGTGATTAAAAGGGAATTTATCACATTTTCCATTGCCTATAAATTTGACCATTTCTAATATCTCACCCCAACATTCTTAATAAAAGTGTGATAAAAACAGAAATGCTATTATTTAAATTTAGAACTGATGATGATGTCTGCCATGAGTAATGGGCAGAGATGTGGGTTGGGAATGCTCTTGCCTTGATATTTATGCATTGTTAAAATAGTTGGCCAAAAGGTTCTCTTTTCAGAATGTTTACAAGAGTAAGTTCAACAAAACTGAAAGCTACATATTCATTCTCCTATTATCTTCACTACACCAAGTGAGCTCTTGGACGTGAAAATCCTGTAAAGTACAAATCTCTGAACACATGCTATCATTCCCAACATTTACTACAACTCCAAGATGGGTATTAATCATTTGTGTGATGTCTAAAGCGTTAAATGTCTTCTAAACATAGTCAAGAAGGTTGATTGGTACCTATTTGGCCTTTTCTCTAAAATAATTTCCATTTTTTTTGGTTTCCCAAAATATACAGACATTTGAAGTACAGACACGCAGAAGGCTGAAAAGGCCAAAAATATTTTATGCTGGTCACTAACCTTAGCCTGAGACTTTATTGCATTGTTGAACAATTTGGATTAGAGATGAGACAGTGATGAGTAAACTATGGCATATGCTCAGGTTACAGACAAAAAAAATTGAGTTGCTTGCCAGGATCTGAAGAACCATTATGCTAATCTCCTCTTTGTGAGACAGGGAAACTGAGAGCCCCCCAAAAATCAGGGAGGGCTAGTTTTGATAAAGTCAGGACAAGAGCTCATCCTTGACTGACTTATTTATTAGCAAACATTAAAGGTTAAACTTAGGACCTCCTCTGAACTGTAAACATTACCTGTCATATGAGGATTAGAGAAGCTACTGAATTATTCAGTTATTCTTTTGTTTATTGTTTTATCCACTCATTCTTACAGGGTTTATTTTGTGTACCTTCTGTAAGAACCCAGGAGGGACATGAAGATATATTACACACAACCTTTGTTTTTGAGAGTTTTGCAGTCTAGTGGGGGTAAGAAACATGCACAAATGATTAATTATAAAAAGCACAGGTCGGGCACAGTGGCTTACATCAGTAATCCCAGCATCTTGGGAAATCAAGGCTGGCAGATCACTTGAGGCCAGAAGTTCGAGACCAGCCTAGCCAAAACTGTGAAACCCCGTATCTACTAAAAACACAAAAATTAGCCAGGTGTGATAATGCACGCCTGTAATCCCAGCTACTCAGGAGGCTGGGGCATGAAAATCGCTTGAACCCGGTGGTACAGTTTGAGCCAAGATCGTGCCACTGCATTCCAACCTTGGTGACAGAGGGAGATTCTATTTTCCCCCCACACAAAAAAAGAAAAAATTAAAAAAAATTATATATATATATAGCATAGTATATTGATAG